>NC_000023.11:116595566-118023504 GCF_000001405.40 Homo sapiens
CCTCTTTCGCTGTCAATAGTGTCACAATTTGGACAAAAAATTATGATATCCTATGTATAAGCCACAATGAGGTGAGAAACAGAATCCTTAACTTATTTTCAATTCCTATAATATTCCGGAACAGATTGTACCTCTAATTAGTGTGCTGAGTGCTAAGAAATAATTTACTATTAGTTCTCATAATTATAATGCATTTTATGCATATGCAGTCCCTTCAGTGGAATATCTCAGAGTGCTTTATGAAGCATCACATTTTTGTAACATTTGTAATATTACTCCAAAATTACCGATGACATCTTTAGCAGAAAGGTTAAATGATTTGTGTAAGGTCACATGTCAATTTAGATGGTAGCAAACCTGAAAATATCATGGACACTAATTATCTAACATTGTAATAGCCCTTCTCTTGGCAGAGTTATTTATTACAACTCTATGAGCTGGGTAAGTTTTATTTTAGATGGGCTAAAAGACTCACTATATTTTAAAATAGAATAAGAGAATTTTAACACGTGTTGGCAAATATATTTTGTGAAAGTAATTGTGGTCTGCAGACTGTGAGATACAGTCTTTTCTGGTAAGGGTTAACAGTCATTTGAAATCTCTAGTTAACACTATTTTTCCAAGGGCTCCACTAGACAACATGCTCCCTCCTATGCAGCACATAACCTCAGTCCTGCTTTACCTAGATAAGCCAGACCATCAAGTGGAAGCAGATTCAATTTATTGTTCTGCATAGATACATTTGTATGAATCCTAGTCCAATCTAATCTCCTGTTATAAAGGGAAAGGCATACCTCTTCTTGTGTAAAGATATTTACTTCACCATGGGGTCTCATTCTATTCCATCTTTTCAGAATTCTGATCCATAGATTAATCTGTATTTTCTCCTGTAATGTAAGCTTTCATTTCTTATCAGATCTTTCCACTAGGCTTTACACGTGGTAAATTCTCTTTCATCTTAAAATAAAATAAAATAAAATAAAATGAAATAAACCAAAGAAAAGCAATGCTCTCATAACTTAATATTCTCTGCTACAAACTTAACTGTGTTCTCCCCTGTCTAGACAGCTAATTCATATGCACTGAATTTTCTCCATCGTCTACTTTCAATTCATTCCTTTTTACCATCTTCCTGCAGAATTCTGGATTCATCCCTTACCATTTCAGCAGGCCAGGAAAAAATTACACTTTTCTTTGATTCAAATCTAAAGAACACTTTTTAGTCCTAATATGAGCACAAAAACCACACCAGTCTTATGTTTATGGTGAGAACTAAATGACATAATACAATAAAAGCTCTTAGACCACTAGATGGTAAAGAGTAAACAGCTAGTTATTGTACATAATTTCATCACCACAGCCACCATCATCATCATTTTTTAATTAAATTTTAAATTTCTGTGGCCACATAGTAAGTATATATATTTATGAGATACAGGAGATATTTTGATACAGGCATGCAATGTGAAATAATCACATCATGGAAAATGGAATACCTATCCCCTCAAGTATTTATCTTTTGTGTGACAAACAATCCAATTATACTCTTTTGATTATTTTTAAATATACAATTAAATTATTATTGGGTATAGTCATCCTGCCATCCTATCAAATACTAGGTATTATTCATTCTTACTATCTATATATTTTGTACTAACTAAATATTCCACCTCCCCACTACCTCCCCAAACTACTCTTCCCAGGCTCTGGTAGCCATCACTGTACTGCATATCTCCAGGAGTTCAATTGTTTCGATTAGATTCCACAAATAAGGGAAAACATGCAATGTTAATTTTTCAGGACCTAGGTTATTTCACTTAACGTAATGACCTCCAGTTCCAACCATGTTGTTGCAAATGACAGGATCTTATTTTTTATGGCTACATAGTACTCCACTGTGTAAAAGTAATAGTTTCTTTATCCATTCATTTGGTGGTGGACATTTAGATTGCTTCCAAATATTGGCTATTGTGAACAGTGCTGCAACAAACATGGGAGTACAGATACCTCTTTAATATTTGGATTTTTTTTATTCTGGGTATATACGAAGCAGTGGGACTGCTGGATCATATGGTAGTTCTGTTTTTAGTTTTGAGGAGCCTCCAAACTGCTCTCCTGAGTGGTTGTACTAATTTACATTCCCACCAAGTGTACAAGGGTTCCCCTTTCTCCATCTCTTCACCAGTATTAGTTATTGCCTGCCTTTTAGATACAAGGCATTTTAGCTGGAGTGAGATGATATCTCACTGTAGGTTTGATTTGCATTTCAGTGATGATTAATGATGTTGAGCACCTTTTCATATGCCTATTTGCCATTTGTGTGTCTTCTTTTGAGAAATTTCTATTGAAATCTTTTTCCCATTGTTTGATTAGATTATTAGATTTTTTCCTATAGAATTGTTTGGGCTCTGTACATATTCTGGTTATTATTAATCCTTTGTCAGAGGGGTAGTGTGCAAATAAATTTTTCCCATTCTGTGGTTTGTCTCTCCACTATGTTGATTCCTTCCATGCTGTGCAGAAGCTTTTTAACTTGATGTGTCCCATTTGTCTATTCTTGCTTTGGTTGCTTGTGCTTGTGGGGAATTACTCAATAAATTTTTGTCCAGACCAGTGTCCTAGATATTTTCCCCGATGCTCTCAGCTAGTAGTTTCATAGGGTGAGATCATAGATTAAGTATTTAATCCATTTTGATTTGATTTTTGTATATGGTGAAAGATGGGGGTCTAATTTCATTTTTCTGTATGTGGATATGCAGTTTTTCCAGCACCATTTGTTGAAGAAATTATCTTTGTCTCAGTGTATTTTCTTGGCACCTTTCTCAAAAATGAGTTTGCTGCACGTGTGTGGATTTGTTTATGGATTGTTTATTCCATTAGTCTATGTGTCTGCTTTTATGCCAGAACCATCCTTTTTAGTAAAAATAGCTCTTTAGTATAATTTGAAGTCAGGTAATGTAATTCCTCCAGTTTTCTTTTTGCTTAGAAGAGGTTTGAATATTCTTGATGTTTTGTGGAGAGCGTTGGATATACTTGATCTTTTGTGTTTCCATATACATTTTAGGATTTTTTTCTGTTTCTGTGAATAATGTCATTGGTAGGTTGATAGAGATTGCATTTGGGTGTTATCAACATTTAAGCAATATTTATTCTTCTAATCCAAGAAAGTGTACCACCACTCCATTTTTTAGTATCTTCTTCAGTGTTTTTTAGTTCTCATTATAGACACCTTTTGATTATTTTGTTAATTCTTTGGTATTTAATTTTATTTGTGATTATTTTAAATGGGATTAGATTTTTGATTTACTTTTCAAATTGTTCGATGTTGGCATCTAGGAATGCTACTGATTTTGTGTTAAATTTTTTATCCTGTAATTTAAAGAATGTATCAGTTCTAATTGTTTTTCAGTTGGATATTTTAGATTTTTTTCAAATATAAGATCATATCATCTACAAACAAAAATAATTTGACTACATCCATTCCAATTCAGATGTGCTTTATTTCTTCTCTTGTCTGTTTGCTCTAGTGAGGGCTTCCAGTACTATGTTGAATAACAGTAGTGAGAGTGGGCATCCTTGTTGCGTTCCAAATCTTTAAAAAAAAAGACTTTCAGTTTTACCCCATTCAGTGTGATACTAGCTGAAAGTCTGTTGTGTATGGCTTTTATTATGTTATGTTCCTTCTAACACACAATGTTTTGAGGGTTATTGTTATGAAGGGATTTTGAATGTTATGATATGCTACTCCAGCATCAATTGCAATACTTATATGTTTTTTGGATTCTGGGAAACATGTGCAGAACATGCAGGTTCGTTACATAGGTATACACATGCCATGGTAGACATGAAGTTCAATAGGCAATTGTCAGCAGTTGATTCAGTCGAGTCTTCTTTTCCATGTTTCAATTCTTTTTAAGCTTCCCCCCATCTTCCTGCTTCACTGCTCCTCATGAGAATTAAAACAAAAGCGTAATTAACATCTGTTAAACCTTGTATTGAAACATGAGGTCTAAGTATACATGTATATTATAATTATATAAAGAAGAATGAATGTTAGGAAGAGACCTAGGATAATCTTCTTTTTCTCTTTGTGTTATTAGAGAACAAAAAATAAATATAAGGTACCATATTATTTCTCATATAGGAATACATGTTTTTCCATTGTTTAATTTAAAAAAAAGAAGTAAAATTTTGTCAAACAGGCTAAATAAGAAAATTGATTGAAATTCATATTGTTTTACATTATTCACACTCATGTCATCACCTTATATTTATTTGATTTAGAGAGAATTGTACTATTCTAAGGAATTCAGCATGTTATAAGAGTTAGGCTAATTTCCCTTTGCACACTAGCTTGTTTGGGATTCAGTTGCTTTTAGGTAACCTGAAATAACTACATGTTCCAAAATGTAATTTACTATAGTATAACATGGTCTAGTATGCAGAGAATTCATCAGGTTTTTTTTTTGTTGTTTTTGTTGTTTTTGTGAGTTTAGAACCATGAGAATCAACAGACAGACCAGATGTTTTATGGGCTAAAAGGAGATAAGAGGGCAGTGTTGAGTGAGATTATCTAAGTGAGAACACCCACACTTCCTGGGTGTAATGGTGAGTATGGATGCTTCAGTTTCACATTCTTAAGTCTGGCACTGAAAAAAAAATCCTATTCAAATCTTGTCTCTATAATACAGCACAGAGGAGTAATTTTAGTCTGAACTCTGGATGCAATGTAGAAAAGGATAGATATGCTATGGCATTAACTCAAATGAATGGTAGTTTAAGTAGGGCAAAGGGACATAAAGACTGGAATATATGCATATTCAAATTACCCATCTGCAACATCTTAGGCATTTCTGCATGCTTATTACCCAGGAACATTTTAATGAGGTGCTCACTCTCAGTGCCTGAGCTAATTTTCTTCTCCTAAAACACTATTTTTGATGTGATTCTAAAATAAAAATAAGAGAGGACTGAATATTTCATAAGTATATTTCAGAGGAAAAGCCCTCTCTTTACAAACTATCTCAATGGGCATGTTATTGATAACATGTAAGACTAATGCATGTACCCATAACTTTAATTAAAAATAAATAATATAACTGAGATAGAAAAATGCATCCTCAAAATATCAGTTTTTATTGTTGGCTTGTTCATGTGGAAAAAATTATAAAATGCTGGATAGTAAAAGGTAAACATACAAGTAAAAGTAAACATATAAATCATGTCAATTTTAAAAGTATTTTATATCTGAAAGTATACTTACAAATGTTAAGAGCAGTCAACACTCTAATCAAACCATTATATATCTGATTAAACATTTTAAATAGAATCAAGAATTAGAAAATCTTGCCCCATAATCCATAATATTGATCTCATCATATGGAGAAATATGACTTAAGTAAACTGCAAGCTTGAATTTTTGTAACAACTATCAATTCACACAGTGGAAAAACTGTAAATAATAAATATATTAGAACATCAAAAAATGAAAGACTTTAGAACATACATATGGTTAATGCATTTGTATGTTAAATTATAATGTACAGACTTTTAAGAATGTTTATGAACATATGGTGAATTATGACAAGCTTCTTTGAATGAAAGTTATATTTATTACATCTATGATTTTTAAATTTCTAATTACCATAGATAAAAAATATTTTCCCACATGATCTCAGCTATATATAAAAATGATACAGGCCTCAGTCTTCTCCTTTGTGAAATAAAAAATATTTCCTCAATCTACTTTCATGTTGAAAATTGCATGATTTTTGTCAATGAATAACAAGGTAAGACAGCAAAAGATAAAAAGGCAGACAGAAGACCTAAAAGATAGACAGAAAGCAATTAACAAACTGACAATTGTAACCTCTCACCTATCAATAGTTACTTTACCATGGTGCCCTGCCCCAGTTGACATGAATACGCTATGCCACACTGCTGTGGCTTGTGGTACACGGGAGTGAACACAAATCCTTCCGCCACTGCCCTGATGAAATGCTGTGGCTGGCACCCCTGTTCAGAGCCTTGTGGCCAGCAGACTGGGAACACATTGGCCCCTCCAGTGCAGCACATTCCTAACCTTAAGGGGCCAGGTGACAAAGCTGGGGGCACAATACCAGCCCCCCAGAGTTAGAGCATACAGGCCAGAAGTGGTGAATTGAATCTTTGCCCCCTAAAATCTTCCAAATATGAAGCCAGTCAACTGAACCCAACTTATACCACAATTAAACCTTCAAGTGCTCCAAAGAAGATAAAAGCATAAATCCTCATCCAAAGAATGGCGGCTTCAAAGACTAAAGGAACATCAGCCCACACAGATCAGAAAGAACCAGTGAAAAAACTGGCAAAGCAAAAAGCCAGAGTGCCTTCTTACCTTCAAATGACTGCACTAGATCCTCAGCAATGGTTCCTAACCAAGCTAAAAATGACTGAAATGACAGATATAGAATTCTGAATAGGGATAGAAATGAAGATCATCAAGATTCAGAAGAGAATTGAAATCCATTCTAGAGAATCTAAGGAATACAAAAAATATAGATGAGCTGAAAGATAAAATAACCATTTTAAGACAGAACCAAACTGATCTGATAGAGCTGAAAAACTCACTTTAAAAATTTTATAATACAATCTCAAATATGAACAGCAGAATTGAACAAGCTGAGGAAAGAATCTCAAAGCTTGAAGACCATTTCTCGAAAATGACTCAGTCCAGCAAAAACAAAGAAAAATATAAAAAGAATGAACAAAGCCTCTAAGAAATATGGAGTTATGTAAAAAGACCAAATCTGTGACTTATTGTTATCCTTGAAAGAGAGGGAGAAAAAGCAAGCAACATGGAAAATATATTTAAGGATATCATCCATGAAAATTTCTCCAACCTCCCTAGAGAGGCCAACATTCAAATTTAGGAAATAAAGAGAAACCATGTGAGATACTATACAGAATTATCATCCCCAAGACACATAGTCATCAGATTCAATAAGGACGACATGAAAGAAAAAATGTTAAATGTAGATAGAAGAGAGAAGCAGGTCACCTAAAAAGGGAACCCCATAGGGCTAACAGTGGACCTTAAAGCAGAAACCATAGAAACTACAAGACATTTGAGCCCTATATTGAGAATTCTTAAAGAAAATATATTCCAACCAAGAATTTCATATCTAGCCAAACTAAGCTTCACAAGTGAAGGAGAAATAAGATTTTTTTTCAGACAAGCAAATGCTAAGGGAATTAATTACTACCAGATTTGCCTTACAAGAGACCCTTACCAGAGTATTAAATATAGAAAGGAAAGATGATCACTGGCCATTAGAAAAACACACATTAAAAACATAGACCACTGACACTTAAAAAGAAACTACACGACCAGCTCTGCATAATAATCAACTGACAACATCATGAAATGATCAAGTCTGCATATATGAATATTAGGTTGGTGCAAAAGTAATTGCGCTTTCAGACCATGAATTTTAAATTCTTATAACTAGCCTTAAACACATCTTTATTAATCAAAGTGGAACCATTACAATCAACACATTTTTGCTAACAAGAAATAAGTGTGTTTATTCCTGTAGCATAAAAATCTGTTCTTAGGGATTCAATGAACTCTTGGAAAGCATTTTCTGCATCCTGCTGGTTGTGGAAGCATTTTCCTTGCAAAAAGTTGTTGAGGTGCTTGAAGAATTAGTGGTTGTTCATTGGCAAGGAGTCAGGTGAATATGGCGGATGAGACAAAACTTCGTAGCCCAATTTGTTCAACTTTTGAAGCATCGGTTGGGCAACGTGCAGTCAGGCATTCTTGGGGAGAAGGATTGGGCCCTTTCTGTTGCCCAATGCCAGCTGCAGGCATTGCAGTTTTTGGTGCATCTCATTAATTTGCTGGCCGTACTTCTCAGATGTAATGGTTTTGCTGGGATTCAGAAAGCTGTAGTGGATCAGACCAGCAGCAGACCACAGAATATTAACCATGACCTTTTTTTGTGCAAGTTTGGCTTTGGGAAGTGCTTTGGAGGTTCTTCTAGGTTCGACCACTGAGCCAATCATCACCAGTTGTCATATAAAATCCACTTTTCATCACACATCACAATCTAATCAAGAAATGGTTCATTGTTGCATAAGAGAAGATGACACTTCAAAACGACGACTTTTCTGTTTTTGTCAGCTCATGAGGCACTCACTTATCGAGCTCTTTCACCTTTCCAATTTGCATCAAATGGTGAATAACCATAGAGTGGTAGACGTTGAGTTTTTCGGCAACTTCTCATGTCGTTGTAAGAGGACGAATTGTTCTCAACTGGTCGTTGTCAACCTCCCACGGCCGGCCACAACACTCCTCATCTTCAAGGCTTTCTTCTCCTTTGCAAAACTTCTTGAGCCACCACTACACTGCAGGTTCGTTAGCAGTTCCTGGGCCAAATGTGTTGTTGATGTTGTGAGTTGTCTCCACTGCTTCACGACCCATTTTTAACTCGAATAAGAAAATCACTCAGATTTACTTTTTGTCTAACATCATTTCCATAGTCCAAAGTAAACATAAAATAAACAGCAAGTAATAAATAATTAGCAAAAAAAAAAAACACAAAGTGATAAATGCCCATTAAAATGATATATAACGTAACCACATTTATTTAAGAATATATTCTAATATCAAACAGCAAATTTCAACAATGCAAACTGCAATTACTTTTGCACTAAGGTCTGTGGGATTTATAATCCAAAAACTGTGGATAAAAAACAATACATATAATAACAACACAGTACTGAAGTATGTTTGTGTGGTGGCTGGTAACATTCTTTAGTTTTCATGTTTAGCATTCCCTTAAGGATCTCTTATAAGACAACTGTGGCGATAATGAATCATTTGAGCTTTGCTTGCCTTAAAAAAATTTATTTCTCTTTTGCTTTTAAGTATAGTTTGGCTGGATATGAAATTATTGGTTGAAATTTATTTCCCTTAAACATGCTGAATATAGGCCCCCAATGTCTTCTGGCTTTTATTGTTTCCGATGAAAAGTCCATTGTTAGCCTGATGGGGCTCTCTGTAGGTGACCTGCCCCTTCTTTCTAGCTGTTTTTAATATTTGTTCTTCATGTAGACCTTGAACAGTCTAACTATGTGTCTTGGGGATGGTTTTCTTGTGTAGTATCTCACAGGAATTCTCTGAATTTCTTGAATTTAAATGTCAACCTGTCTAGTAGAGTTGAAGAACATTTCCTGGACAATATTCTCATATATTTTGAGAATTTTCCAAGTTGCCTGCTATTTCAGGGACACTAATCAGTCATAGGTTTGGTCTCCTTACATAATCCCATTGTTCTCATAACTTTTGTTCATTTTTTAATATTCCTTTTTTAAAATTTTGATTTGACTGAGTTGTTTAGGAAAAAAACTAAACAACTAGTCTTCAAACTCTGAGATTCTGCCCTCAGCTTGGTCTATTCTGCTGTTAATACTTCTGATTGTATTAGGAAATTCTTGTAGTAAGTATTTGAGCTCTGTTAGATCAGTTTGATTTTTTTAAATAGATATTTAATCTTTTAGCCTTTGACTCATTTTAGTGGATTTCTTAGATTCCTTGGATTGGGTTTCAACTTTCTCCTGAATCTCAATGATCTTTGTTTCCATCCAGATTCTGAATTATAAATCTGCTGTTTCTGCCATTTCAGTCTGGTTAAGAACCATTGCTGGGGAGCTCCTGTAGTCATTTGAAAGAAAAAAAAAATCACTTTGACTTTTAGAGTTGCCTGAGATCTTGCACTCATTCTTTCTCATCTGTATGGGCTGATTTTTTTTAACTGTAGTGTAACTTGAGTATAGTCAGTTGGCTTTATTTCTGCCTGTTTTGAGAGGGCTGAGGAATTGTTCAGGGTCTTTATTTGTGGCTGAATTTTTGCTTTTGGTTTCACAGGGTGTTCTGTTAGCAAAATGTATTTTATGACGTTTGGGCCATGATGCAGTAGATGGCGCTTAAATGTAGTGGCCGGTAAATTGGCTCTTACTCAGCTGCTGACTCCTCTGTATTTCCTTGCATTTGCAACCATGTTCCTTCTTAAAGTCCTGAGAGTGTGGGCTCCTCTCTCACTAGAGTGCTGGCCACAGATTTCAGCTTGGCACTGTTAGGCTGTGCACCACAGCCCTGGGGCTAGGTCAGGCTTTTTGTTCTTTCCCCAGCTTGGAGGCAGCAGGGGCAAGGACCTTGGCAGTGGCAGTGGCAGAGGGCGGGGGGCCTTTCACTTGTCTCTGGGGGTTCCACCTCAGAGAAACACAGAGTCACTGAAAATTGGAATAATCAGCCAAAGGTGTATTAGTTCTGTTGTGAGCCCAAGCTGGGGGCCCTGCCTAGTAAAGAGCAGGGGTTTGAGGGGCTCATAGAAGACAGTCTGATCCCTTTGCAGGGTGGTTCTAGCATGCTGGAGGTGGAAGTAAAACACTCAGGCCTTTTGTTCCTTCTCTAGCCTGATGGCAGCAAGAGCAGGTACTATTGCAGTGGCAGTGGTAGAGGGGCTGAGGGTTGTCTCTGAGAATTCCACCCCAGAGAGACATAAAGTTGCTGCCAATGGGAATGTTTAGCCTGGGGTGGGATGGCTGCATTTAGGCCCACCTAGGGGACCTGCCTCGTGAAGAGCAGCGAATCAAGGGCTCATAGGGAAAGTATTCCAGCCTTCTCTCCATATGAGGGCTGCAGTGTACTAGAGATGTGAAGAAAGAAATCAAGGTCTTTGTTCATTCCGAGCCTGGGGCAGCAAGGGCAGGTACCACTGCTGAAGCAATGGCAGAGTGCCTGTCAGTGTTCTCTGGAAATTCCACCCCAGAAAAACACAAAGCCACCACCCACTGAAGTGATGGGGTGGGGGTAGGGTGGCTGTATTGTGGACCCTGGTCAGGAAGCCCTATCCAGTAGGGAGTAGTAGGGGCAAAGAGGCATGTGGAAAACAGCCCAGCTGCTTTTCCATATGGCAGTTCTGGTGTCCTGGAGGCTTCTAGCTGTTCTTGGGCTCTACATTCCCTCTTCTCCAGCTGGAGGGCCATGGGGTGGGGGCCATGGTAGTGGCAATCATGGCAGGTCTTTTGGTCACTCCTGGGGTCTCTGTCCCAGAGAAATGGATAAAGGCAACTGGCTGGAGTGCTCAGGTAGGAGTAGAGTGGCTGTGCTGGGGTCCCAGGCCAGTGGGCTTTGCTTGGCGTGGTGCAGTGTAGGTGAGGCCTACAGTTTGCTCCTCAGCATCGTGGATGTGGCCCCTATTATTGGGGACACAAGAAAATGTTTCCTTCCTTGTTTGCAGAGTTATGGCAGCTGACACCAGTATGCTCAGGAATCCAAGGTTCTTGGGGCTCCATGTGGGCCTGAGTGGTAGCTCTTCCTAGACTTTACACACCTTTCTCTGTCTGTCTGGAGGCTCTGTGGGAGGTGAGATTAGGGGGGATCTCCTGTGCCCAGGATTGTAAAGGTCCATAGCATTACTGTGGGTCACTGGGGGCTCTTGCTCACTTACATCTTCTCTGAAGTGGGGAGCCTCTCTTGGCTCCATGCTACTACTGGGTAGGCAGTTGTCCTGCTTCACTCCTTTCTGCTTTCCTTGGGTCATGTTGCTTCTTTGATGAATCCCAACATATCCTCTTCGGTGATCCAGTTGAAGAGCTAGTGTTCACTGGCCACTCTATCTCCTCTTCATGAGAGCAGTGCCCATTAGCTGCTTCCAGTCAGCCATCTTGGCACCTCCCAATGTAATACGCTTGTTTACACCAACATCACCACAAACACATAAGTAGTGTGCTGTGCCATGATGTTAGGACAGGTACAATGTCACAAGAAGTTTTCAGCTCCATTATCTCACAGGACTCATATATGAGGTCTACCATTAATTGTACCATTATTATGTGTCCCATGGCTCTATAGGCTGCCTACAAGAAAACTCATCCATGTTTAAGAATATACATAGGAAAAAATGAAGGGATAGGAAAGAATATTCTATGTAAATGATAACCAAAAGAAAGCAGGCATGGCTATACTTATATTAGACAAAATAGTCTCTAAGTCAAAAACTGTCATGAGAGAGAAGGCAGGTCATTGTATAGTAGTAAAAGAGTAAATTTATTAGGAAGACCTAACAATTACAAATATATACATACACAGTATCAGAGTATATAAATATGCAAAGCAAACAGACAGATCTGAAGGGAGAATAGAAAGCAATACAATAATAGTAGGAGACTTCAATACTCTACTTTTAATAATGAATACAATATCAAAACAGAAAATCAATAAAAGAACAGCAGACTTGAATAACACTGTAAACCAAATGGACCTAATAGACATACATGAAACGTTTTACCCAGCAGCAGCAAAATACACATTCTTCTCAAGCACACAATGAACATTCTCCAGGGTATACACATGTTAGGTCACCAAACAAGTCTTAACAAACTTAAGATTGAAATCATTCCAAGTATCTTTTCTGACCACAATGGAATGAAACTAGAAATAAATAACAGAAGGAAAACTGGAAAATTCCCAAATATCTGGAAATTAAACAGCACACTCTTGAACAACAAATGGGTCAAACAAATCAAAAAAGAAATTAGAAAATAAGACAAACAAAAATGAAAACAAATTATACCAAAATCTATGGAATGCATAAAAGCAGTGCTAAGAATGAAGTTTATAATAGTAAATGCCTACATTAAAAAAGAACAAAGATCTTAAATTAACAACCTAAGTTTATACCTCAATAAACCAGAAAAAGGCCAAATCAACTCCAAAGTTAGCAGAAGGAAGAAAATAATAAAGATTAGGGCAGGGCAGAAATAAATAAAATAGAGGCTTGAAAAACAAGTGTAAAAAGCAATGAAACCAAGATTTGGTTTGTTCTTTATGTTTTTAACTGACAAATAAAATTTTGTATCCTTATGGCATATAGCATGAGGTTTTATAAATATATTAATATAGTGAAATAAGTGATACTATTTAACATAAGCATATACTTATGTTATATATACTTATATTTCTTTGGTGAGAAAATTTACCTACACTCTTAGCAATTTTCAACTATACAATAAATTAGTAACTATGATGTACAGTAGATTTATTGAACTTATTCTTCCTAACTGAAATTTTGTGTCCTTTGACCAACATCTCTCCAATCTTCCAACTCCCTAGCTGCTGGAAACCATCATTTTGCTCTCCGTTTCTGAGTTTAATTTTTTTAGGTTTTACATATCAGTGAGATCATTTGGTATTTTTCTCTCTGTACCTGGTTAATATCACTTAACATAATATCTTGAGGTTCGTTCACATTGTCACAAATGACAGGATTTTCTCGTTTTGGAAAGCTTAGTCGTAATTCATTGTGTATATATACCACATTTTTTCTTATCCATTCATTTATTGATGAAGACTTAGGTTTATTCTGTATCTTTGCCTGTGTGAATAATGCTGCAATAAACACGAGAGTGCAAATATCTCTCTGACGCATTGATTTTATATCCTCTAGATACATATGCCATAGTGGGATTACTAGGTCATACGGTACTTCTATTTTTAAAATTTTTAGAAACCTCCATACTATTTCCATAATGGCTGTACTAATTTACATTCTCACCAAAATGTACAAGGATTCCTTTTTTCCACATCCTCCATAACACTTGTTAACATTAATCTTTTTGATAATAGACTTCTAACGTGTGAGATAGTTGTCTCGTTGTAGTTTTAATTTCCATTTCCCTAATATTCAGTGATGTTGAGCATTTTTTCATATATTTGTTGGCCATATATTTGTATGCCTTTTGTTGAGAAATGTCTATTCAGGTTCTTTACCCATTTTTCAATCAGGTTATTTGTTTTCTTGCTATTGAGTTGAGTATATTATATATTTTGGATATTAACTTCTTATCAGATAAATGGTTTGAAAATGTATTCTTCCATTCTGTAGTCTGTCTCTTCACTCTGTTGATTGCTTCCTTTGCTGTTGAGAAGCTTATTTTTATATTTGTTTTTTATCTTTTGAGACAGAGTCTCACTCTGTCGCCCAGGCTGGAGTGCAGTGGCGCGATCTTGACTCACTCCAATCTTCGCCTCCCAGGTTCCAGCAATTCTCCTGCCTCAGCCTTATGATTAGCTTGGATTACAGGCATGCACCATCATGCCTGGCTAATTTTTGTATTATTAATCGAGACGAAGTTTTACCATGTTGGCTAGGCTGGTCTTGAACTCCTGACCTCAGGTGATTCACCTGTATCGGCCTCCCAAAGTGCTGGGATTACAGGTGTGAGCCACAGCGCCGGGCCAAGAAGCGTTTTAGTTTAATGTCATTTCATTGTCAAATTTTGCTTTCATTGCTTGTGCTTTTGGGGTAATATCCAAAATGTCCTTACCCAGATAAATGTTATAGAGTTCCCCCCTATGTTTTCCTCTAGTAGTTTTATAGTTTCAGGTCTATCATTTTAGTTTTTCATCGATTCTTTGTTGATTTTTGTCAATGGTGTGAGATAAGTGCCTAATTTTATTCTGCTTATGGATATCCAGTTTTCCCAGCACCAATTTTTGAAGAGCCTGCCCTTTCCCTAATGCGTGTTCTTGGCACCGTTGTTAAAAATGAATTCCCTGTAGACATATGAATTTGTTTCTGGGTTCTCCATTCTCTTCCATTGGTCTATCTGTCTGTTTTTATGCCAGTACCATGCTGTGTTAATTGTAGTAAACTTTGAAATCAAGTAGTGTAATGCCTCTAGCTTTCTTCTTTTTGCTCAAGATTCTTTTTGGCTATTTGGGAGCTTTTGAGGTTCCATACAAATTTCAGTAATTTTTTATTTTAAAAAAAATGCCAGTGGAGTTTTCACAGCAGTTGTATTGAATCTGTAGATTTTTTGGGTTGTATGGATATTTTAACATTATTATTTATTCCAATTCATGAACATGAGACATTTCTTGTCTTCTTGTTTATTTGTGTCTTCACCTTCTTTCATCAATATTTTATAGTTTTCAGGGTACAGATCTTTCATTTCCTCGGTTACATTTATTTCTTAGTATTTTATTATTTGTAGTTATTGTGAAGGGGAATGTTTTCCCAACTTCTTTATTGAATAGTTCATTTTTAGTGTATAGAAACACTACAAATTTTGTATACTTATTTTGTATCCTTCAACTTTACTGAATCTTTTATTAGTTCAAATACTTTTTGTTAGAGTCTTTAGAGTGTTCTGTATATAACATCATGTCATCTGTAAACAAAGAAAAACTTACTTCTTCTTTCTGATTTTGATGCTTTTTATTCTTTTATCTCATTTTATTGCCCTGGCTAGGACTTCCAGTACCATGTTAAATGTAAGTAGTAAGAGGGAGCATCTTTGCCTTGTATCTGATCCTGGAGTTAACTTTACAACATTACACCATTGAATATGATGCTATCTATGGTTTGTCATATATGGCTTTTATACTGTTGAGGTAAATTTCTTTTATAACTGATTTCTTGAGAATATGGCATGAAAGAATGCAGAATTTTATTAAATGACTTTTCTGCTTCTATTGAGATGATCTTATGTTTTTCCCCTCATTTTGTTAATGTGATGTATCATATTTATTTATTTGTGTATATTGAATCATTCTTGCATCATAGTGATAAATCCCACTTGACCATGGTGAATGATCTTTATAATGTGCTGTTGAATTTGCTTTGCTACTATCTTGTCAAGAAATTTTGTATCTATATTTATCAGGGATATCTGCCTGTAATACTTTTTTCTTAGATTGCCCTGGTCTGGCTTGTGTATCAGGGTAATGCTGGCCTCATTAAATGAGTTTAGGAGTATTCATCTATTTTACATTGAAATAATTTGTGAAGAATTGCTATTAGTTGTTCATTAAATGTTTGTGGAATTCTGCAGTGAAGCCATTAGTTGCTGGGCTTTTCTTTGATGGGAGACATTTTGTTACTCAATCAATTTCCTAATTCACTACTGGTCTGTTTAGATTTTGTATTTCTTCATGATTCAATTTTGGTAGGTTTTATGTCCAGAAATTAATCCATTTATTCTAAGCTATCTGGTTTGTTGGCATACATTTTTTTCAGTGGCCACTTATGATATTTTGTATTTCTGTGGTATCAGTTGCAATGTTACCTGTTTTATTTCTGATTTTATTTATTTGAGTCTTGTTTTTGTTTTCTTAGTCTAGCTAAGGGCTTATCAATTTTGTTTATCTTTTCAAAAACTAACCTAGTTTCTTTGATATTTTCTATTGTTTATTTAGTTTCTAGTTTATTTCTGCTTTGATATTTATTATTTTTCTTTCTTTTTACTAACTTCAGGCTTCGTGTGATTTTTTTTCTAGTTCTTTTAGGGGCAAGTTTAGATTATTTGAGATCTTTATTCTTTTTGATGTATGTGGTTAGTGCAATAAACATCTATTTTAGAACTCCTTTTGTGGCTTCTAATAAGTTTTGGTATATTGTATTTCCCTTTGTGTTTTTCATATGTTTAAATTTCTTTTTCAAATTCTTCTTTGATTAATTATTAATGAGCATTTTCAGGAACAGAGACTGCTATGAACAATTATACATTAACAACTTAAATAACATTGAATAGATTCTTAGATGCATGAAAACTATCAAGACTGAATTATGAAGAAATTGAAAAGCTGAACAGATCAATAGTAAGTAAAAGGATTTAATCAGTAATAATATCTCATCAACAAAAAGCCCTGGACCTGATGGCTTCTACCAAACTAGATATAGAAGTATCTTAACATAATAAAGGCCATACATGACAAGCTCACAGCTAAAATCACACTCTATGGTAAAAAGTTGAAAACCTTTCCTCTGAAATCAGAAAAAGACAATGATGTCCACTCTCACCACTTGCATTTAATATTGTATTGGAATAACAAGCCAGGGCAATTAGTCAAGAAAAAGAAATGAAAGTCATGCTAATCAGAAAGGAAGAAGTTAAATAGTCTCTCTTTGCAGATGACAGAATCTTATGTATAGGAAACCCTAAAGATTCCATCAACAAAATGATTAGAACTAATACACAAATTCAATATAGTTGCAGGATACAAAATCAACATATAAATATTACTTGTGTTTCTAAACAGTAACCATCAACTATCTGTAAATAAATCAGGGAAAAAATCCATTTACAATAGCACCAGTAAAAATAAAATACTTAGGGATAAACTTAACTAAGAAGGTAAAAGACTTGAACACTGAAAACTGAAAAATATTACTGAAAGCATTAACATGCACAAACAAATGAAAAGACATGTCATGTTCATGTATAGGATGAATTAATATTATTAAAATGTCCATACTACTCAAAATAATCTACGGATTTAATTCAATCCTTATCAAAATTCCAATGACATTGTTCACAGAAATAGAAAATAAAATTCTGAAATTCATATGAAATTACAAAAGACTCCTTAATTGCCAAAGTGATCTTAAGAAAGAGGAACAAAGTAAGGGAAATCACACTTCTTGAATGTAAAATATATTACATAGTTAGAGTAATTAAAACCGGTGATAATGACATAGAGACAGGCATGTAGATGAATGAAACAGAATAGAGAGCCCAGAAATATATCTGTACATGTATTGTCAATTGATCTTTGATAAGGGTGGGAAGAGTACACAATGGGGAAAGTTTAGTCTCTTAAACACATGGTGCTGGGAAAACTGGATATCCACATATAAAAATGAATTAAATTGGACTTTTATCATACACTCTACACAAAAATAAACTCAGAATAGATTAAAGAGAAATGTAACACTTGAAACTCTTATGCTCCTAGAAGAAAACATAGGGAAAAAAGTTTATTGACGTTTGTCCAGGCAATGATTTCATGGATATGACACCAAAGTACAGGCATCAAAGACAAAAATAAAATGGGACTATTTAAAACTAAAATCTTTTGCACAGAAAAGGTAACAATCAGTGGACTGTAAAGGCAACATGTAGAATTGCAGAAAAACAATCCCAAACCATATACCAAATGAGAAATTAATATCAAAATATATAAGAAACTCCTACAACTCAATAGCAAGAATAAATAAATCAATACATAACTCAACTTGAAAGTGGGCAAAGGTCTTGAATAGATATTTCTTCCAAGAAAAACAACAAATGGGCAATAGGTATATGTTGATATGCTCTACACCACTAAAGTTCTTTGAAACCAATGAAAACAAATACATATGGTACCAGAATCTCTGGGATACCGCTAAAGCACTGTTAAGAGGGAAATATATAGCTCTAAATGCCCACAGGTGAAAGCAGGAAAGATCTAAAATCGACACCCTAACATCACAATAAAAATAACTAGAGACGCAAGAGCAAACAAATTCAAAAGCTAGCAGGAGGCAAGAAACAACTAAGATCAGAGCAGAACTGAAGGAGAGAGACATGAAAAACCTTTCAAAAAAATCAATGAATCCAGGAGCTGATGTTTTGAAAAGATTAACAAACTAGATAGACTGCTGGCCAGACTAATAAAGAAGAAAAGAGAGAAGAATCAAATAGACACAATACAAAATGATAAAGGGAGTATCACTGCTGATCTCACAGAGTTACAAACTACCATTAGAGAACACTATAAACACCTCTATGCAAATAAACTAGAAAATATAGAAGAAATGAGTAAATTCCTGGACACATACACCCTCCCAAGACTAAACCAGGAAGAAGTCAAACCCCTGAATAGACCAATAACAAGTTCTGAAATTGAGGCCATAATTAATAGACTACCAACCTAAAAAAGCCCAGGACCAGACAAATTCACAGCCGAATTCTACCAGAGGTCCAAAGAGGAGCTGGTAGCATTCCTTCTGAAACTCTTCCAAACAATAGAAAAAGAGGGAATCCTCCCTAACTCATTTTTATGAGGCCAGCATCATCCTGATACCCAAACCTGGCAGAGACACAACAAAACAAGAAAATTTCAGGCCAATATCCCTGATGAACATCAATGTGAAAATCCTCAATAAAATACTGGCGAACCGAATCCAGCACCACCATCAAGTCAGCTTCATCCCTGGGATGCAAGGCTGGTGCAACATACACAAATCAATAAACATAATCCATCACATAAACAGAACCAATGACAAAACCCACATGATTATCTCAATACATGCAGAAAAGGCCTTCAGTAAAATTCAACATCACTTCATGCTAAAAACTCTCAATAAACTAGGTATTGATGGAATGTATCTCAAAATAATAAGAGTTATTTATGAGAAACCCACAGCCAATATCATACTCAATGGGCAAAAGCTGGAAACATTCCCTTTGAAAACCAGCACAAGACAAGGATGCCCTCTCTCACCACTCCTATTCAGCATAATATTAGAAATTCTGGCCAGGGCAATCAGGCAAGAGAAAGAAATAAAGCGTATTCAAATAGGAAGAGAGGAAGCCAAATTGTTTCTGTTTGCAGATGACATGATTGTATATTTAGAAAACCCCATCATCTCAGCCCAAAATCTCCTTAAGCTGATAAGTAACTTCAGCAAAGTCTCAGGATACAAAATCAATGTGTAAAAATCAGAAGCATTCCTATACACCAATAAGAGACAAACAGAGAGCCAAATCATGAGTGAACACCCATTCACAATTGCTACAAAGAGAGTAAAATGTCTAGGAATACAACTTACGTGGGATATGAAGGACCTCTTCAAGGAGAACTACAAACCAGTGCTCAAGGAAATAAGAGAGGACACAAACAAATGGAAAAACATTCCATGCTCATGGATAAAAAGAATCAATGTCATGAAAATGGCCATACTGCCCGAAGTAATTAATAGATTCAATGCTATCCTCATCAAGCTACCATTGACTTTCTTCACAGAATTAGAAAAAACTATATTAAATTTTATATGGAACCAAAAAAGAGCCCGTATAATCAAGACAATTCCTAATCAAAAAGAACAAAGCTGGAGGCATCACGCTACCTGACTTCAAACTATCCTACAAGGATATGAACAGACACTTCTCAAAAGGAGACATTTTTATGGCCAACAAACATATGAAAAAGAGTTCATCATCACAGGTTATTAGAGAAATGCAAATAAAAACCACAATGAGTTACCATCTCACACCAGTTAGAATGGCAATCATTAAAAAGGAAACAACAGATGCTGGAGAGGATGCCAAGAAATAGGAACGCTTTAACACTGTTGGTGGGAGTGTAAATTAGTTCAACCATTGTGGAAGACAGTGTGGCGATTCCTCAAGGATCTACAGCCAGAAATACCATTTGGTCCAGCAACCCCATTACTGGGTATATACCCAAAGGATTATAAATCATTCTACTATAAAGACATATGCACACATATGTTTATTGCAGCACTGTTCACAATAGCAAAGACTTGGAACCAACCCAAATGACCATCAATGATAGACTGGATAAAGAAAGTGTGGCACATATACACCATGGAATACTATGCAGCTCATAAGTTTTAATTACTATGCAACACGCATTTTTTTTTAATTTGGGAAAAATAAACTGAAGCTTTCATTTAAATACCAAACCAAAGTGCTATCCTGCCCTTCCTTACCCATGCTCTTGTCATGAACATTAAAATATGTCTTGGACCTTGCTTCCCAAAGAGTCAATAAACAAAGAGAAAAACCCTTATACCTGTGAGATTTCTTGGGTTTACTTTAGAGTATAGAAGCTTAGTCAGTGCCTGTCTTTTCTCTTTGTTCTAACTTCCCCAGCTCCCCGCAGTTCTGCCTACTAATTGACCATAACTGCAGGAATATCCCACGTAATTCCTGAGCTAATATTGACATAAGCAAGTTATATACTTACACTGTTGGTGGGACTGTAAACTAGTTCAACCATTGTGGAAGTCAGTGTGGTGATTCCTCAGGGATCTAGAACTAGAAATACCATTTGACCCAGCCATCCCATTACTGGGTATATACCCAAAGGATTATAAATCATGCTGCTATAAAGACACATGCACACGTATGTTTATTGTGGCACTATTCACAATAGCAAAGACTTGGAATCAACCCAAATGTCCAACAATGATAGACTGGATTAAGAAAATGTGGCACATATACACCATGGAATACTATGCAGCCTTAAAAAATGATGAGTTCATGTCCTTTGTAGGGACACGGATGAAGCTGGAAACCATCATTCTCAGCAAACTATAGCAAGGACAAAAAACCAAACACCACATGTTCTCACTCATAGGTGGGAATTGAACAATGAGAACACTTGGACACAAGAAGGGGAACATCACACACTGGGGCCTGTTGTGGGGTGGGGGAGGGGGAGAGATAGCATTAGGAGATATACCTAATGTAAATGACGAGTTAATGGGTGCAGCACACCAACATGGCACATGTATACATATGTAACTAACCTGCACATTGTGCACATGTACCCTAGAACTTAAAGTATAATAATAATAATAAAAGACATGAAGAGCAAAGGTAAAATTTATAGGATGGGACTTGAATATCTATTATTAGTGATAATCTATGTGTAAGAAATTTGTACATATGATAGACAGGAATAAGCATTACTAGGAGTAAATGGAACTATTGGTTAAGAGTAAATCAACATCTTAGTCACTCATTTGTTACTGATTCAACAATATTTTTTCAGCACTTACTGTATGTGGGCTGTTCAAGCACTGGGGATTCAACATTACAAGAAACAGGCTAAAAAGTCCCTGGGTAATGGAGATTTTAAATGAACTTCTTTTCTCTGGAATTTTACTCTGTGATAGAGAATAATAAATGAACTTAATAAAAGGTAAAGTTTTAAGGATAATCATAAAAGCAAGGTTACAGAGCCAGAAAAACCTGAGCTTGAAATTTGCCTCTATCACATACTACCTGAATAACTATGGGCAGGTTAATTAATTAACCAGTTTCTCTTAGCATCAACTTCTATATACGATAATCAGAAGTAATGAAAACTACTTTGGAAGATATTTGTGAGCATGTAATGAGACAACATATGTAAGCCTACTAGTACAAGAACTTGATACACATCTTACCCTTTCCTTATGAGAATAGAAGAGGCATCCATACTTTTGTCCTACTGGCACAAGACACTCTTTTCCATTATCTTTGTCTACTCTGGATTGGAAACCTCTTTCTCTTTTATTTGATAAACTCATTATAATATTGTTCTTTTAATACTCCAAATTTAGTTTAGTTTAACTGGTATTTATTATTTACTTTGTACCAGAAAAGATGCTAAATTCTGGAAATACAAAAATGAATAACAGAATTCTTCCCTTGTTTTTTCTCACAGCCTAGTGGGAGAAATAGGCAAAAATAAATAAATTTTATGCAATGTGGTAACTGCTATTACAGATCTAATCCCAGAGTGCTATGAAAGGACATAGGAGGGACATCTAAGCCAGACTGGAGAGAAGGAGGTTCAGTGATGGCTTCGTGAAGCACATTTTATATATAACAACCAATAATTCCCTAAAAATATGGAGATTATGAATCCACAATTCTCTTAATTTTAAACTGAAGGCTAAGTGTCTGGGACAACACTTCAACATTCCTTTATAAGCATGCCATTTGTGTAGTACATTCTTTAATACACTCCATCAAGTGAAGCTCTTATTAGATTCATTAAGGAGAATGGACATCTCCATTCATGTAGCTTCAAAGGCAGTGATTTATGTCCAAAATGTTAGAGAGGCAGCATAGTATAGTTTGGTAGCTCTCATTCTTGGTAGATAGCTGAAGCAGGTGAAGAGGGAGTGGCTTAAGAAATACAGATGACTTGACCCCATTATCAATGAATTGAATCAAAATCCTTGGAGAGGAGGCCCAGACATCTGTATTTTTAAGAGCTCCCCAATCAATTCAGATGCACAGTGAGTGTTAAAAATAAGTAATATAGTGGTCTAAACAGCTTATACAGAATAGGTGTTCTCTTCATGGCTCAGTAATAAACTTGTCCTGTTACTTAGCGAGTCATTTCATCTTTCTTGTCCTTAATTTCCTTGTCCACAAGATGACACGATCTCCAAGGTCTGACATTCTTATACCATGGCTCTGTTTCTTTATTTCTGGACAATATTTCTCCTGCTCATTTACTGCAAAACACACTTTGATATTTGGATTTGCATACTATTTACTTTATTCAAGCACATGGTGATTCTCAAACTGATTTATACTGTGGAAGAAAATTAACATTCTCAAGGAAAAGATTTAGCCAAAGCACATTTTTTGAAGTCTTATGTAATTAAATATAATAACAGTTGAGTACATATTTTCATGTAATGAAATAATCCAGATTGTGATATATTGGAAGGAGTTACTCTCCAAGGGACAGTACAATGACAGATGGAGAAGAGTTAGAACAGCCAGACTTTCTGACTTTTTAGAACTTAGTCTAAAGAAAATAAATGTTTCTGGTGTTAAATATACTTCTTGTTTATGTTTCTGGAAAGGTAATCTAATTGATATTGAGAGAACTTGTTGATTTGGATAAATTTAAGGTTTCCTTCTCATAAAATATATTTAAAATACAAGAATATATGAAGTATTGCATACAGGTCAATATGTCTACAATTCTGTGAAATAAATTAGAATGATTTAAAAACTAGAACCTCTGTGGCCAATAAATTGATGCTATGGTTAAGAATATTATTATCTGTGTTACAAGTTTTGAAGTAAAGCAAATCTCCTGAAATGGCCAGATTATTTCTATTGCATTCTAAAAGAAAGTATATAGTATATGAGTCTGAATGTTTGTCAATTGCTCCAGCCGGTAAGGTCAATAGGCAATACTGTTCAGAGTACTTTATCTAGTGATAAAAGGAATGAATTGTTGATAGGGAATAAAGCATGTTTGGAAATAAAGCATAAATGTTTAACCCAATAATATGTGCTAGTTGCCTCATTCAACGTTATTCAAATTGGAAATAGTAGAATGAATGTTATAATAAAGGAACTGAAGTCCAAGGTAAGTGAAAATGTGGAGTACCTGGCTTCTTGAAGGGAGTTCAGGTTTTCAGGCCCGGATAAACTGGTTCCAAGCCTGAGAGAATGGCTTATGGACTATGAAAGACAGGTTTAGATACTGGAAGCCTGAGAAATAGAGACTACGTTTTCTCATTCCTTCTGGCTAATGAAAAAAAAAAATCAAAGCTGTATACACATGGGACAAAGTTGTTTAGTGGAATAAGCAAAGACTTTGGAATGACATTAATGTGGCTTCAAATCTCAGCTATGTAATTCTAGCCTGGAGGATATCACTTTACATCCTGAGCCTCAGTTTTCTCAATTATTAAATAAAAATAACATGTCAATCTGGTACTATTGTTGTAAAGATAGAAGATAATAGAGATGTTCTTTGACACATGATGTGGTCATGTCCTAATGAACCCTTCATAATATGAAAATGTTGTCAGTTCAAAATGCATTTACTACACCAATCTTTCAGACCATCATAACCTAGCCTGGTCTACCTTAAAAGTGCTTAAACACTTACATTAGCCTACAGTTGACCAAAACCATCTGGCAACATGGCACACTATAGAGTATCAGTTGTTTACTCTTACAAAAGCATGGTGGACTGGGTGCTGTGTCTGGCTGCTGCTACCCATCATTGTGAAAGAGAATCATACTGCATATCGGTAGCCTGAGAAAAGATCAAAAATCAAATTTTGAAGTATGGTTTCTATTGAATGTGTATCACTTTCACACCATTCTGAAGTCAAATTATCGTCAGTTAAACCGTCATTAAGTCAATGATTTTCTTTATATGAAAATGGCCACAAGAAGTTTGTTACACTACAGGAATTCAACTAATTATAGACCCTCTATTATTAAAAATAGTTTGTGCCTTAGGCCTGCTTATTTTTATACCCATTCTTGAGTTTCTGGAAGCCCTGAATAACTTTTTGTGAAGATATATCATAAATAACACTGATACCAATGTTCTTACATCCTCTGCATAAGTTTAATGAACTTCTGAAATTCCATAAAAATGTAGAGTGAAACTAGTTTCTACCCTACTAGGAAAAGAAGTTTTAAAGGAGATATTTAAAAAATAATTTCAACTTTTGTTTTGGACTAAGGGGAAACATGTGCAAGTTTTTTACATGGATATATTGTGTGATGTTGAGGTTTGAGGTATAAATGAGCCTGTCACTATGCAGCAAGGATAGTACCTAATAGAAAGTTTTTCAGCCCTTGCCGCCCTCCCTTTCTTCCCACTAGTAATCTCCAATATCTATTGCTCCCATTTTTATGTCTATGCATACCCAATGTTTAGCTTCCACTTATAAGTAAGAAAATGCAGTATTTGGTTTTCTGTTCCTGCATTAATTTGCCCAGGATAATGGCCTCCAGCTGCATCCATGTTGCTACAAGGAATATAATATTATTCTTTTTTATGGCTGCATAGTATTCCATGGTGTATATGTGCCACATTTTCTTTATCAAGTCCACCACTGATGGGCACCTAGGTTGATTCCATGTCTTTGCTATTGTAAATAGTGCAGTGATCAACATATACGTGCATGTGACTTTTTGGTAGAATGATATAATTTCCTTGGCATATATACTCAGTAGTGGGATTGCTGGGTAAGGTGGTAGTTCTGTTTTAAGTTCTTTGAGAAATCTCCAAACTGCTTTCCACAGTGGCTGAACTAATTTACCCTGTCCACCAACAGTGTACAAGCATTCCTTTTTTTCCACAGCCTCACCAGCATCTACTTTTTTTTAACTTTTTAAAAATAACCATTGTGACTGGTGTGAGATGGTATCTCATTGTGGTTTTTATTTGTGTTTCTATGATGATTAGCGATATTCAGAATTTTTTCAGATTAGTTGCTTATTTGTCTTCTTTTCAGTAGTGTCCGTTCATGTCCTCTGCCCATTTTTTAATAGGGCTATTTCCTTTTGCTTGTTGAATTGTTCCTACTTATAGATTCTGGATATTAGACCTTTGCTGGATGCATAGTTTGTGAATATTTTCTCCCAGTTCTGTTGGTTGTCTGTTTACTCTATTAATAGTTTATTTTGCTGTGCAGAAGCTGTTTAGTTTAATTAGTTCCCTCTTGTCAATTAATCAATTAATTTTTTCATGTGCTGCTGGATTCAGTTTGCTAGTATCTTGTAGAGTACTTTTGCATCTGTGTTCATCGGAGATATTGGCCCATCATTTTCTTTTTTATTGTATTTTTATCAGGTTTTGGTATTAGGGTGATGCTGGCTTCATAGAATGAATTAGGAAGAAAAACCTTCTCCTCTATTTTTTTTAAATAGTTTCAGTAGAATTGGTACCAGCTCTTCTCTGTACGTCTGGTAGAATTTGGCTTTGAATTTATGTAATTCAAGGCTTTTTAGTTGGCAGGCTTACTGCCAATTCAATTTTAGAACTCGATATTAGTCTGTTCAAGGTTTCAGTTTCTTTCTGATTCAACCTTGGGAAGTTGTGTGTTTCCAGGAATTTATCCATTTTCTCTAGATTTTCTAATTTGTGTCCATAGAGGTGTTCATAATAGTCTCTGAGAATCTTTCTTATTTCTGTGGGATTAGTTGTAGTGTTTCCTTTGTCATTTCTGATTGCACTTATTTAGATCCTCTCTTTTTTTTTCTTTGTTAGTCTTACTAGTGGCCTATCAATCTTCTTTATCCTTTCAAATAAACAATTTCTGGTTTTGTTGATTCTTTATATGGATTTTGGGATCTCAATTTTCTTTCAATTCTGCTTAAATGAGGTATTTAAAAATCATGCTAAATGATTTAATGTTTTGAATTCTCTCTGCAGGTAAAAAAGTCTTCTAGGGTGGTTTGTTTAAAAGAAGACAAGAGTTAGTGTTTGTTTTGTTACATATTGTTTTGTTTTCAGGGTGACCTATCATTCTGTTTTCCATCTAATCTTTTTGTGTGTTGGGCAAAAGTATTACCTCTGTGTATTTACTATCCTATGAGTCAGTTACCAACAGTGATGATATATGTATGTAGTTTGGAAAGTGACTTGATAGAAAATAGAAAATAGAAAATATAAATGTAAAATATTGCTTGCAATAAGCTTATTTGAAGCTATAAAGCACAGAGATCTTAATGACATTGTACAAGAAGAAGGCACACAAAGGCAGAAATCAAGTTCTTTGAAACCAATGTGAACAAAGAGACAACATACCAGAATCTCTGGGACACAGCTAAAGCGGTGTTAAGAGGGAATTTTATAGCACTAAATGCTCACATCAGAAAGCTAGAAAGATCTCAAATCGACACCCTAACATCACAATTGAAAGACCTAGAGAGACAAGAGCAAACTAATCCAAAAGCTAGCAGAAGACAAGAAGTAACTAAAATTAGAGAAGAATTGAAGGAGATAGAGACATGAAAAACTCTCCAAAAAATTATGAATCTGGGAACTGCTTTTCTGAAAAAAAAATAGCCAATTTTGAAGAATCAAATAGCCACAATAATAAATGATAAACAGCATATCACCACTAACCCCACAGAAATACAAACTACCATCAGAGAATACTATAAACACCTCTATGCAAATAAAATAGAAAATCTAGAAGAAATGGATAAATTCCTGGATGCATACACCCTACCAAGACTAAACCAGGAAGAAATTAAATCTATGAAGAAATCAATAACAAGTTCTGAAATTGAGGCATTAATTAATAGACTAAGAATCAAAAAAAAAAAAAAAAAAAACCCAGGACCAGACAGATTCACAGCCGAATTCTACCAGAAATACAAAGAGGAGCTGAAACCATTCCTTCTGAAACTTGAAACAATTGAAAAGGAGGGTGTCCTCCCTAACTCATTGTATGAAGCCAGCATCATCAGGATACCAAAACTGGGAGAAGAAACAACAAAACCAGAAAACTTCAGGCCAATATTCCTGATGTGCATTGATGCAAAAATCCTTAATAAAATACTGACAAACTGAAACCAGCAGTACATTAAAAAACTTAACCACCATGATCAAGTCAGGTTTATCCCAGGGATGCAAGTCTGGTTCAACATATGCAAATCAATAAATGTAATCCATCACATAAACAGAACCAATGACAAAAACCACATGATTATCTCAATAGACGCAGAAAAGGCCCTTGATAAAATTCAGCATACCTTCATGTTAAGAACTCCTAATAAACTATGTATTGATGGAAGATATTTGAAAATAATAAGAGCTATTTATGACAAACCCACAGAAAATATCATATTGAATGAGCAAAAGCTGGAAGCATTCCATTTGAAAACCAGCACAAGACAAAGATGCTCTCTCTCACCACTCATATTCAACATAATATTGGAAGTTCTGGCCAGGGCAATCAGTGAAGAGAAAGAAATAAAGGGTATTCAAACAGGAAGAGAGGAATTCAAGTTGTCTCTGTTTGCAGGTGACACGATTTTATATTTAGAAAACCCAGTTATCTCAGCTGCAAAACTTCTTGAACTGATAACCTTCGGCAAAGTCTCAGGATAAAAAATCAATGTGCAGAAATTACAAGCATTCCTTTACACCAACAATATGCAAGCAGAGAGCCAAATAGTGAATGAACTCTCATTCACAATCGCTACAAAGAGAATAAAATACCTCAGAATGCAGCTAACAAGGGATGTGAAGGACCTCTTAAAGTAGAACTACAAACCGCTGCTCAAGGAATTAAAAGAGGATATAAAACATGGAAAAACATTCCATCCTCATAAATAGGAAGAACCAATATCATGAAAACAGGCATGTAGGGAAAAGAAAGAGAGATAAGACTGTTACTGTGTCTATGTAGAAAGGGAAGACATAAGAAATTCCATTTTGACCTATACCCTGAACAATTGCTTTGCCCTGAGATGCTGTTAATCTGTAACTTTGCCCCAGCCTCTTTGCTTCAACCTCTTTGCCCCAATCTTGAGCTCATAAGTTCAGGAACAGAAAACCAAACACCACATGTTCTCACTCATAAGTGAGAGTTGAGCAATGAGAACACATGGACACATGGAGGGAAACATCACACACTGGGGACTGTCTGGGGGTTGGGGGCTAGGGGAGGGATAGCATTAGGAGAAATACCTAATTTAGGTGATGGGTTGATGGGTGCAGCAAACCACTATGGCATGTGTATACCTATGTAACAAGCCTGCATGTTCTTCACACGTATCCCAGAACTCAAAGTATAATAAAAAAAAATTTTAAAAAGAAATATAAATAAAAACTTTAGCAAGATATCACCTCACACCTGTTAGGATAGATATTATCAAAAAATAGATACTATCAAAAAATAACAGGTAACAAGTGTTGGCAAACCCTTGTACACCATTCGTGGAAATGACAAATGGTGCAGCATCTATGCAAAAGAATACTGAGGTTTCCCCCAAATTAAAAATAGAACTGCCATATATTCTAAGGATCATATGGCAATTATAAGCTGCTGATATCTGGATCTGGAAGAGGTATATGCACTCCCATGTTCATTGCAGCATTATTTACAATGGCCAAGATAAGGAGACAACCCAAATGCCCATAAATGTATGAATGGATAAAGAAAATATGGCACACATACAATGTAATATTATTCAGCCTTATAAAAGAAGGAAATCCTGCCCTTGGCAACAACATGAATAAACTTTGAGAACGTTATGCTAAGTTAAATAAGCCAGTTGCATAAAGACAAATACTTTAGGACTCCACTTATATAAGGAATGTAAAATAGGCAGACTCATTGAAGCAGAGGTACAGTGGCAGGTGCCATGGGTTGTGGGGAATGGAATGGGAGGTTGCTGTTTAATAGGGATAAAATTTAGGTTATATAAGACAAATACATTCTAGATATCTGCTGGACAACATTGTGCCTAGAGTTAACAATATTGTATTGTGCACTTAAAAATTTGTTAAGAGGGTAGATCTCATGTTAAAACTTTTTATCACAATAAATAATATAATTCTTTGACTTGATTTTTTAAAAGACATTCTATAGCAGAGGAATATGTCCAGTATTTTATTAAAATACCATTATTATTGTGATCCCAGTACTGCTGTGAAAGACCACACTCAATAAAAGGAATATAAAACTATTTTTCAATTTATAATCATATTAATTTAGCAAAGAAAATGCTTTTACAGAAACAGCATCATTTGTAGCCTCTTTCATCAGATTTTGCATGTTGCTATGGACTAATTTTAAAAAGTGCTCTCTCTCTTGTATTTTATTTGCTAGGAAAACTTGATATTTACTCGTGGGCTCATCTATGAGAAGAGTACTCACTTGTGTCCTGTCCAAATATATTTAGAGTAGCAGTTTAGAGCCCTAAACTCCCTTAATTCTGGTCTGCCTCCTCAGGCAGGGGCAAGGGGCAAATGGCAGGATGTAGTTCTGCTTCTTGCTTCCTCGCATTAGAGTTATATGATGGAAGATTTAGTTTGACCTTTTTTGGAGAGAAGCAGAAAGAGCAGGCTTCCTGGCTTTATTCAGTTTTAGATTCCTGCAGCCAAAGCAACCATATGTCATGAATGTGTGCTAGCTGGGCTCACTAAAGTTCTTCAGGAAGACAAAATTCATCAGCGATAACACAAACAAACACAACACTTACCTAGTGGTATTATAGAATTATAACATTACATATAGAGAAATATATAGCTAGATATATATACATCATACACACACATATGTATGTGTGTGTATAGATATATAAATATATATATATATGTATATATATAATTGTAAAGAGTAACAGAAGGGAATTTAAGGATTATTGAGTGGAAATCCCTAATTTTATAGACTGTTATGGACTGAATGTTTATGTCTCCCCAAAAATTCATATGAAGAAATTCTACCTCCCAATGTGATGATATTTGGTGGTGAGGCCTTTGTGAGCTGAGTAGGGCAGAGGTCTCATATATGGGATTAGATTCTATATAAAAGAGACCCTCAGAGAGCTCTCTCACTCCTTCTGCCTTGTGAGGACAAAACCAGAAGGCAGTCTGCAACCTGGAAGAGGACCCTCAGCAGAACCTGCCCATGCTAACACCCTGAACTTGCACTTTTGGTCTTCAAAATTGGAAAAAGTAAATTTCTGTTGTTTATAAGCCACCAAGTTTACAGTATTTTTTTATAGCAGCCCAAGTGGATTAAGACATAGGGACTCATAGATTTACAGGTATTAAGTGAATTGTTACAAATTGTTACAGTTGTTGGTAAGGCTGCAACTCCAAGATTAGTTTGTCTTTTCCAAGACATGAATGCTTGAATTCAAATGTATTCATAGGAATGTACTGAATAGTTTGATTTGCTTATCTCAATTCAGGGGCAACTTATGTACATTGCCAATACCCTTATTTCAAGTTATGTTGAGAATTTACAAACTTTGGTCACCAGTGCTTCACATTGAGGCAGTGATGATCTACCTGTTTGCACATAATTTTACACACTGCACATTTATGCACTGGTTGTGAAATATATTCTTCATTCATTCATTAATTCAAGTACTAAATGCACATTTATTTTGAGCACCTGCTTTGTGCAAATAAAAAAGGTACATACAATACAGAACCAAGAAACTTTCCACCACTGGGTCTTTAAGCTATAGTTTAGAGAGAAAAACAGTATGTTTCCAATCACATTCATTTTTATGCTATGATTTTATGATTTTATGCTATGATTTTATGATCATTTTATGATTGTTGTATGTGAATCTGATAATTATGTGTCTGGGGTTGATCTTCTCATGGAGTATCTTAATGGTGTTCTCTGTATTTCCTGAAATTGCATGTTAGCCTGTCTTGGTAGGTTGGGGAAATTATCCTGAATAATATCCTGAAGTGTGCTTTCCAGCTTGTTTACATTCTCCCTGTTTCCTTCCGGTACTCCAATCAATTGTAGATTCAGTCTTTATATGAAGTCCCATATTTATTGGAGGCTTTGTTCATTCCTTTTCATTCTTTTTTTTTTTTCTATTCTTGTCTGTAGGTCTTATTTCAGTAAGGTGGTCTTCAAACTCTGATATCTTTTCTTCTGTTTGGTCGATCTGGCTGCTGATACTTGTGTACGCTTCATGAAGTTCTCATGCTATATTTTTCAGCTCCATCAGGTCATTTCTGTTTCTCTCTAAACTGGTTGTTCTAGTTAGCGATTACTCTAACCTTTTATCAAAGTTCTTAGCTTCTTTGCATTGGGTTAGAACATGCTCATTTAGCTCATCATAGTTTTTTATTACCCATCTTCTGGAGCCTACTTCTACCAATTCATCCATCTCATCCTCCATCCAGTTCTGTGCCCTTGATGGAGAGATGTTGCACTCATTTGGAGGAGAAAAGGCACTCTGGCTTTTTGGGTTTTCAGCATTTTTTTTTATTGATTCTTTCTCATCTTCATGAGTGTGTCTAGTTTTAGTCTTTGAGGCTGCAGACCCTTGGATGGGGTTTTTGTGGGGGCCTTGTTGTTGTTGTTGTTGCTGTTAATGCTGTTGCTTTAACTTTCTGTTTGTTTTTCTTTCAATACTCAGGTCCCTCTTCTGGAGGGCTGCTGCAGTTTGCTGGGGTTTGCTTGAGACCTTATTCATCTGATTTCTTCCCATGCCTGGAGATGTTACTCAAGGGTGCTGGAGAGCAGCAAAGATGGGTGCCTTCTCCTTCTTCTGGGACCTCTAACCTTGAGGGGCACCAACCTGATGCCAGTAGGATTGCTCCTGTATAGGGTGTCTGACAACCCCTGTTGGGGGGTCTCACTCAGTTGGGTGGCAGTTGGGGAGCAGGACCCTTTTAAAAAAGCACTTTGTCCCTTGGTGGAGAGGGTGTGCTTTGCTAGTGTGGGAACCCACTCATCTGGGATGCCCGGATTCCTCAGAACTACCAGGAGGAGAGGGTAAGTCTACTGGTCTGCAGAGACTGTGGCCACCCCTCCACTTAGGGGCTCAGGCCCAGGGAGATCTGACTTCTGTCCCTGAGCCTCTTGCCAGAGTTATTGGAGACCCTGCAGGGAAGACCTGTCCAATGAGGAAGGATTGGTTGGAGTAAGCCTGAAAGGGCACTCTGGCCACAGACTGCCACAGCTGGTGTGTTAGGCTGTGGGGACAAGTCTTGCGAACAAGCTATCCAGCCTCCCTGGCTCCAGCAGGGGAAAGGCACAGCCTGGAGCTATAGAAATGGGTGTCACCCTTCCCTTGCCCAGGGAGCTTAGTGTGATGCAACTGCTTAGGCAGTTGCAAGTCCCAGTACTGGCTGCTGCCCCTCCCTCAAGGAGCTCAAAAGAATGAGACAGGGACAGGTGATGGTGGTTGCCCCTTTCCCCAGGAGTTCAGTAGGCTTAAGCAGATTCCTGCTGAGAGACTGTAAGAATCTGTGCATTCTGGATTTGGGATACTAGGCCTTAGTGGTGTGGGTTGATAAGTGGGAACTTCTGATTCGTGGGTTGCACAGTTCCATGGAAAAAACACAGTTTCCCTGGCTGGATAGTGTGCTCACTCACCGCCTCCCTTGGCTGGGGGAAGAGAGTTCCCCTTCCCTGTGTGGCTCTCAGGTAGGCCACGGCACCACACTGCTCTTCCTTCTCTCCATGGATCTAGCCAGCCTTCTAGTCAATTTTGATGAGAGTACCTGGATATCTTGGTTGCTGGTGAAGGATTCACATGCTTATTATGGTTTTATCCTTGAGAGCCTGGGAACACAACTGCTTCTAGTCAGTCATCTTGGCCCCGCCCCCTCAATAATTTTCTTTTAAAAACTTTAGTCTGGATATAAAAATAAATATTTGGCAAATAATTATTTTTTAATTTTAAAAATAAAGCATAAATTTGATGATTTTTATTATTATTCTAAATTAATAATCATAGTGTGATACTGGCAATAAGAACTGATATATACATCAGTGTAACAAAGTTGAAAATCCAGAACTAAATCCATGTACTTATGACAATTTTCATTTGAAAATTCTTATTTATTTTTACTTTTTATGGATACATAATAGTTGTACATATTTATGGGTACATGTGATATTTTGATATAAGCATACAATGTGTAGTGGCCAAACCTGGATAACTGGTATGTATCTTAACTCAAAAACATTGAGGTTTTTGAAAAAAAAGACAGCATTTCAAATCTTCTCTTCTAGCTATATTGAAATATACAATAAATTATTAGGTATAGTTGCACTATTGTGCTATTGAACACTAGACCTTATTCCTTCTACCTAACTGTATTTTTGTACCCATAAACCAACTCCTCCTTATAACCCACTCACTACTCTTCTCAGCCTCTGGTAACCACCATTCTATTCACTACATCCCTGAGAGCAATTTTTTTAGCTCTCACATATGGGTGAAAACATGCAGTATATGTCTTCGTGTTCCTGGCTTATTTCATTTAACATAATCTCCTCCAGTTCCCTCCATATTGCCACAGATGAAAAGATTTTATTTAATAGTTGCTGAATAATATTCCATTGTGTAATATATGTATTTTCTTTATCCACTTATCTATTGATGGACACTTACGTTGATTCCATATCTTGGCTATTATAATTTTTGATAAGGGAACCAAGACCGTTCAATAGGGGAAAAAAACAGTCTCTAACAAATGGTTCTGGATAATTGCATATCCACAAGCAAAATAAATGTAATTAGACTTTTACCACTCAAGACATGAAAAGTAACTCAAAATGGATTAAAAACCTTAATGTAAGGACTCAAACTAAAAAATCTGTTTGAAGCAAATATGGATGTAAATCTTCATGAACGTGCATTAAGCAATGGTTTCTTAAGTATATCACTCAAATAAATGACAACCAAAGAAAAGGTGAATGGAACTTCACAAAAATTAGAAACAATTGTATATTACACCGGGACAATTATACATTATACAATTACACAAGGAGAAGGAAGAGCAAGATGGCAGAATAGAAGGCTCCACCCATCATCCACCCAACCCTGCAAGGACACCAATTTAACAGCTACCTACAAACAAACAAAAAGAAACCCTTCATAATAACAAAAAATCAGATGAGCACTCATATTACCTGGTCTTAACTTTCTATCACTGAAAGAGGAACTGAAGAGGTAGAGAGAACAGTCTCAAATCACTGGTGCTACACCTTCTCCATCCCATTGCAGTGGTGGTGTGGTGCAGATAACTTTCCTGGGTCTGGGGGAGGAAGAGAACAATTGTGGGACATTAAACTCAGTGCTGTCCTGTTAAAGCAGAAATAAAAAATGGACCAAACTCAGCTGATGCCCACCCACAGAGGGAACATTTAAACCAGCCTTCGGCAAAGGAAAATCCCCAATCTCAGCAGTCAAAACTCAATCCCTGCAAGCCTCACCACCACAGGCTAAAGTGCTCGAGGCCTCTAAGTAAATTCAAAAGGCAGACTAGGCTATAAGAACTGCAATTCTTAGACAAGTTTAGTGCTGAACCAGGCTCAGAGGCAGTGGACTTGGGGGGAGAGGGTCACGCAACGCACTGAGACACCAGCTGGGGTGGCTAATGCAATGCTGGCATTACCCCTTCCCTAACCCCAGGCTGCACAGCTTGTGGCTACAAAAGAGACCCCTTTCATTCTTCTGAGGAGAAGAGAGGAAAGAGTGAGAAGGAATTTGCCTTGCATCTTGGATACCAGTTCAGACACAGCAGAACAGGGCACCAGTTAGATGCATGAGGCCCTCATTCAAGGCCCTAGCTCCCAGAAGATATTTTTAGACACAACTTGGGCCAGAAAAAAACCTGCTGTCTTGAAGGAAAGGACCCAGTCCTGGCAGCATTCATCACCTAATTGAAGAGGCCTTTGGTCCTTAATAACCAGCAGCAATACCCAGGTATTACATTGAAGGCCTTGGGTGAGCCTCTGATACATTCTGGCTTTAGGTGAGACTCAGCACATTACCAACTGCAGTGGATTTAGAAAGAAACCCCTTCAGCTTGAGAAAAGCAGAAAAAGTAAAGGGAATTTGTCTTGGACTTTAGGTATCAGCTTGGCTACAGTGGGGTAAAGTGCCAAGTGGGTTCTTGAGGACCTCAAATTCAAGAATTGAATATTGAATGTCACTTTCTGGACCTGCCTTGGGTCAGAGGGGAGCCCATTGCCCTAAAGGGTGAGTCCCAGGCTATGCAGCATTCATCACAAGCTGATGTAAAAGCCCTTGGGTCTTAAGGGAACATTTGTGATAGGCTGGTAGTATTCCCCATGGGCCTGTGGGGGTGAAGGCTATAAGATGAAGCTCCTCTGCCTTTGGAAAAGGGAGGAAAGAGTGAGAAAGACTGTGTCTTGTGGTTTAAGTACCAGCTTAGCCACAGTACAATAGAACACTACATAGATTTCTTACATTTTTGACTCTAGCCTCAGACACCCAGATGGCAGCTCTGGACATATACATTGTTATATACAATGGCCTAGTTATATACAATAGTTATATACTATTGTATATGGCCCCCAGCCATATACAATAGACCCTCAGCAAATATCATACTGAATTTGAAAAACTGAAAGCCTTTCCTTAGAGATCTGGAACACTACAATGATGCCCACTTTCTCCACTGTTATTGAGCATAGTACTGAAGTCCTAGCTAGAGTAATAAGACAAGAGATAGAAATAAAAGTTATGCAAATTGCAAAGAAACAAGTCAAATAATCCGTTTGCAGGTGATATAATCTTATATTTGGAAAAACCTAAAGAGTCTACAATAAAACTATTAGAACTGTTTTGGTACCAATACCATGCTGTTTTGGTTACTGTAGCCTTGTAGTATACTCTGAAGCCAGGTAGCATGATGCCTCCAGCTTTGTTGTTTTTGCTTAGGATTGTCTTGGCTATAGGGGTTCTTTTTTGGTTCCTTGTGAAATTTAAAGTAGTTTTTTCTAATTCTGTGAAGAAAGTCAATGGTAGCTTGATGAAAATAGCATTGAATCTATAAATTACTTTGGGTAGAATGGCCATTTTCATGATACTGATTCTTCCTATCCATGAGCACTAATGTTTTTTCATTTGTTTGTGTCCCCTCTCATTTTCTTGAGCATTCGTTTGTAGTTCTCCTTGAAGAAGTCCTTCACGTCCCTTGTAAGTTGTATTTCTAGGTATTTTATACTCTTTGTAACAATGATGAATGGAAGTTAACCCATGATTTGCCTCTCTGCTTGTATGTTGCTGGTGTATAGGAATGCTTGTGATTTTTGCACATTGATTTGTATCTTGAGACTTTGCTGAAGTTGCTTTTCAGCTTAAGGAGTTTTTGGGCTGAGATGATGTGGTTTTCTTAACATGCAATTATGTCATCTGCAAGCAGAGACAATTTGACTTCCTCTCTTCTTATCTGAATTCCTTTTGTTTCATTTTCTTTCCTGATTACCCTGGCCAGAACTTTCAATACTAAGTTGAATAGGAGTGGTGAGAGACAGCCACCACACATCTACAACCATCTGTTCTTTAACAAACCTGACAAAAACAAGCAATGGAGAAAGGATTCTCTATTTAATAAATGATGCTGGAAAAACTGGCTAGTCATATGCAGAAAACTGAAACTAGACCCTTTCCTTACAAATTGTACATAAATTAATTCAAGATGGGTTGAAGACTAAAATGTAAAACCCAAAACCATAAAAACCGTAGAAGAAAACCTAGGCAATATCAATCAGGACATAGGCATGGGCAAATAGTTCATGACTACAATACCAATAGCAATTGCAACAAAAGCCAAAATTGAAAAATAGGATCTAATTAAACTAAAGAGCTTCTGCACAGCAAAAGAAACTATCATCAGAGTGAACAGGAAACCTACAGAATGAGAGAAAAATTTTGCAATCTATCCATCTGACAAATGTCTAATATCCAGAATCTGCAAGGAACTTAAACAAATTTACAAAAAATAGACCAACCCCATCAAAAAGTGGGCAAAGGATATGAACAGACACTTCTCAAAAGAAGACATTTATGCCGACAACAAACATATGAAAAAAAGTCATTATCTCTGGTCATTAGAGAAATGCAAATCAAAACCAAAATGAGATACCATCTCATGCCAGTCAGAATGGCGATTATTAAAAAGTCAGGAAACAACAGATGCTGGAGAGGCTGTGGAATAATAGGAATGCTTTTACACTGTTGGTGAGAGTGTAAATTAGTTCAACCATTGTGGAAGACAGTGTGGTGATTCCTCAAGGACCTAGAACCAGAAATACCATTTGAACCAGCAATCCCATTACTGGGTATATACCCAAAGGATTATAAATCATTCTACTATAAGGACACATGCACATGTGTGTTTATTGCAGCACTATTTACAATAGCAAATACACGGAACCACCCCAAATGCCCATCAGTGATAGACTGGATAAATAAATGTGGCACAGGTACACCCTGGAATACTATGCAGCCATAACAAAGAATGAGTTTATGTCCTTTGCCGGGGCATGAATGAAGCTGGAAGCCATCATTCTCAGCAAACACACACAGGAACAGAAAAGCAAACCCAGCATTTTTTCACTCATAAGTGGGAGTTGAAGAATGAGAACACATGAATATGGGGTAGGGGGAACATCACACACCCGGGCCTGTCGGGGTGGGGGGCAAGGGGAGGGAAAGCATTAGAACAAATACCTACTGCATGTGGGGCTTAAAACCTAGATGGCGTGTTTATAGGTGCAGTAAACTACCAGGGCAAATGTATACCTATGTAGAAAAGCTCACGTCCTGCACATGTATCCTGGAACTTAAAGTAAAATTAAATAAATACATACATAAATACATAAATAAAATTTAAAAGAAAAATGATTGGAACTGATAAATTCAGTAAAGCTGCAGGATACAAAATCAATATACAGAAGTCAGTAGCATTTCCAGATGCCAAAGGAGAACAATCTGAAAAACAAATTAAAAAGGTAATTTTATTTGTCATATCCACAAATCAAATTAATCACAGATTGGAGGAATTAGTATTCTTAAAATGCCCATACTGCCTAAAGCAATCTACAGATTCAATACAATCCCTATCAAAATACCAAGGATATTCTTCACAGAAATAAAAATAATGCTAAAATTTATATGGAACCACAGAAGACCTAGAATAGTCAAGGCTATCCTGAGGAAAAATAACAAAACTGGAGGAATAACATTACCTGGTTTCAAATTATATTACAGAGCTATATTAAACAAAAAACTTGGTACTGGCATAAAAACAGAAACATAGACCTATGGAACAGAATAGAGAACCCACAGACAAATCCACATACCTATAGTAAACTCATTTTTTTACAAAAGTGCCTAGAACATACACTAGGGAAAAGATAGTCTCTTCAATAAATGGTGCTGGGAAAACTGGATATCCATATGCAGAAGAGTGAAGGTAGACCCCTATCTCTCACCATATACAAAAATCAAAACAAAGTGAATTGAAAACTTAAATTTAATACCTCAAACTATGAACTAGTGTAAGAAAATTTGGGGGAAAATCTTGAAGATATTGGTCTGAGCAAAAATTTCTTGAGCAATATACCACAAGCACAGGCAACCAAAGCAAAAATGGACAAATGGATTCACATCAACTTAAAACACTTTTGCACAGCAAAAGAAACAATCAGCAAAATGAAGAGACAACCTACAAAATGGGAGAAAATATTTGCAAACTACCTATCTGACAAAGGATTAATAACCAGAATACATAAGGGGCTCAAACATCTCTATAGGAAAAAAAATCTAATAATGCAATTAAAAATGGGCAATATATTTGAATAGACGTATTTTTTTGTTTGTCTAGTCCAACAAATGTCAAACAAACACACCTAGAGTGAACTCACATATGGTGAAACACACCTATAGTGAACAACTATTTATTTGCCATTTGTTTTAATAGTAAAACAAATGCCAAACAGACATATGAAAAGGTGTTCAACATCATTGATTATCAGAGAAAAGCACATCAAAACTACAATGAGATGTGATCTCACCCTAGTTAAAATGGCTTATATCCAAAACATAGGCAATAACAAATAGTGGCAAAGATGTGGAGAAAAATGAAACGCTAGTACACCATTGGTGGGAATGTAAATTAGTACAAGCACTATGGAGAACAGTTCAGAGGTTCCTCAAAGAACTAAAAATAGAGCTTCCATATGATCAAGTGATTCCACTCGTGTATATATTCTCAAGAAAGAAAATCAGTATGTCTATCAAAGAGATCTACACTCCTATGTTTGTTGCAGCACTCTTTACAATAACTAAGATTTGGAAGCAAGCTAAGTGTTCATTGACAGATAAATATATGAAGAAAATGTGGTAAATAAACAGAATGGAGTACTATTCAGCCATAAAAAGAATGAGATTCTGTCATTTGTAACAAAATGGATGGAACTGGAGGTCACTATGATATGTGAAATAAGCCAGGGAAAGAAAGAAAAACATTGCATGTTCTCACTCATTTGTGGAGCCTAAAAATCAAAACAATTGAATTCATGGAGATAAAGAGAAGAAGGATGGGTACCAGAGGCTGGAAAGGGTAGTGAAGTGTGTGGAAGGAATGTGGAGATAGTTAACGGATACAAAAAAATAGGAAGAATGAGTAAGACCTGCTATTTTATAACACAGCAGGGTGAGTATACCCAATAATAACTTAATTCTACATTTTAAAATAACTAATAGAATGTAATTGGATTGTTTGTAATACAAGTGATAAATGCTTGAGGAAATGGATGCCCCATTTTCCATGATGTGATTATCACACATTCATGCCTGTATCAAAACATTTTAGGTACCCATAAACATATACCCCACTGTGTAGCCACAAAAATGAAAAAATCCATACATAGGTACATAACACACACACACACACACACACACACACACATACACAATTGTACTTTAAAGAACACTATATATAAAATGAAAATATAATGCACAGAATAGGAGAAAACATTTGCAAATCATATATCTGATAAGAGGCTAGCATCCAGAATATATTTAAAAAATCTTAAAATTCAACAGTTAAAGGACAAATCATCCAATTAAAACGTGAACAAAAAATTGAATAAAATATTCTCCAATGATGATATGAAATGGGTAACAAACACATGAACAATGTTAAACCTCATTAGTGATTAGGTAAATACAAATCAAAACCACAATGAAATCCTTCACCCCCACTAGCATGGATAGAATTTTAAAAATGGACAACAACATAAGTGAAAGAAAACAGTCACAAATACCCACTTATTATGTAATTCCACTTATTATATAATTCCACTTATATTAAATGTTTAGAATAGATAAATCCATAGAAATAGGAAGCAGATTAGTGTTTGACAGGAGCTGGATGGAAAGGGAGAATACAGAGGGACTGCTGTTGCATATGAGGTTTATTTTCAGGGTGTTTAAGATATCTGAAAATAAATATCATGATTTTTTGCACAACTCTGAATATACTAAAAATCATTAAATTATACGCTTTAAAAGTTTGAATCTCATGTTGTGTAAATTATATCTCAATAAAGCTGTTATTAAAAAAATGATGGCTTTCTGAGAAACTTGCTGGAAAATATAATGCATTCAGGATTTTTTTTCAAATTTTTCATAAACATTTCTACTTCCTAGCCATTTGTAAGCTTCCAATTTTACTCATTTGTTCCAAACAAAATATATATATATATATATATATATATATATACACACACATACACACACACACGCATGCACACAAGCACACATCTCCTAACACATTACACATTGCCAAGGAAAACAAATTCAGCACTTGTGGAAACTTAAATGAAAATGAGAAGCTTTGTCTATGCAGAAATTTGGAATATTTTGTCATGAGCAGACGTGGGAAAACCGAGCTTACGTTTTAACTTCTTGTGTTACAAGGTTCTGTGTTAAAGTGGTTGAGTCTGGTAACATAACTTGCAGCAAAAATCATTGGATATTTCGGTATTCATTTAGCTCAAAATGGAAATTTCAATACAACATCAATCAGCTGGCTTTATGACATTTCAGAGATGAAAGCAGAATACAAGAGAGAAAGACAAAATAATAATCTTAGAAATGAAGACTTTTCAGTGCTCTGGAGGCTGCTTAGGGACGTGTGTGTGTGTGTGTGTGTGTGTGTGTGTGTGTGTGTGCTTACAAAGGCAAAGGAGCTTATGCTAAAGGTACAAGAGTCAGAGGATAATTTAGAAAGATAACTTGCAAGACTTGCAAATAACTAATGTCCAAGAAGCTTAAATATTCATTTCTACTTTTCTGGAGGAAACTGTAATGTTTCCAAAGATCTTGATTGTTGAGCATCATAGAACAAACACACAGAATATCAAAAAGTGTCATAAATAGCAATGGCCTATCATTTTCTTTTTAACAGAGGTGAATAGGATGTAGGATATGTTATTTTCTTAACAGCTTTACTGAGGTATAATTGATATGTAATAAACTGCATTGTTTGTGTTTCAAGTGTATAATTGGGTGGTTTTGACACATGTTCACGACTGTGAGGCCATCACCATAATCACGAAAGTATCAAATCTAACATCACCAGAAATTTTCTAGTGCTCCTTAATAATTTATTCTTTCCATCTCTTCCCACACAGTGCAATATATCTCCACCTACCTCCGTGACTACCCTCCCCTCCCCTGCGTATAGCAGCTGCTAATCTGCTTTCTGTCACTATAGGTTACTTTTCATTTTCTAGAGCTTTGTATTAATAAATTTTTACAGAATGTACTTTTTTCGTGCTTCTTTTACTGATCCCATTACAGATGTTCCTCAACTTGCAATGGGCTATGTTCCAACAAGCCCATTGTAAGTTTAATATATTGCAAGTCAAAATGCATTTGATGTATCTAACCTATGGAACATCATAGCTTAGCTTAGCTTACCTTAAAAGTGCTCAGAACACTTACAGTAGCCCACAGTTAGATGAAATCATCTAACACAAAGCCTACTTTATAATAAAGTATTAAATTCCTCATGTGATTTATTAAATGCAGTACACTGCAGGTTACAGTATCATTTCTTGACCCTCGTGGTGCTGTGGCTGACTGGGAGCTGTGGCTGGCTGCCACTGTACAACATTGCAAGAGATTATCTTTCTTACTATATAGGAGTAGCCTTGGAAAAGATCAAAATTCAAAATTCAAAGTATGATTTTTACTAGGTGCATATCACTTTTGTACTCTAAAGTTAAAAAATTGTTAAGTAGAACCAATGCAAGTTGGGGACTGTCTGTATTTTGAGGTTCTTATGTGTTATGTATGTCAAGAATTAATTCTTTTTATTGCATATACCACAATTTGTTTATTCTTCCATTTGTTGATCAACAATTTGAGGTTTTTTAGTTTTAGACTATTAAAAGCAAAGCTTCCAAAAACATGTGTGTATAAGTCTCTGTGTGAACATAAGCTTTCATTTGTTGGTTAATTTTTAAAAACATACAAACTATTAAATAGCATCAGGAGTCAAGATTTATATTGACTTAGTAATAGCATATCAATATTTTTTTTACTTCAGAATGCATTTTTTTCTAGTGAAGTTATATAAAATTATTGCCACGTAATGGCAAAACTACTGCTTACTGAGTTAGTTTGTGTAATAATCTGCAAAATCATCAGTTGATACAATTATATAGTTGCCTTGTCATTCAATGTAAATTACTGTTTTTATTTTAAAATATATTTTATGTTAATGGTAGGTGTTTCTGAGTTGTAGGTGATCTTTTCCATTTACACTTTTCATTTCCTTTTTTATCCCTGAGTGTGTATTATATGTAAAATAAATAAATATTATTTCAAATTGTTTAATTATTTGTTTTGCCCTCAAACTAACCACAATAATATTTATATTATTACATGGTATATTAGTCCATTCTTGCATTGCTGTAAAGAACTACCTGAGTCCAGGTAATTTATTTTCTAAAAGAGGTTTACATGGCTCATGGTTCTGCAGGATGTACAGGAAGCATGATTGATGAGGCCTCAGAAAACTTACAATCATGGCAGAAGGTGAAGAGGATGGAGGCACTTCTTACAGGGCTGGAGCAGGAGGAAGATAGTGAAGGGGAGGTGTTATGCACTTTTAAACAACCAGATCTCATGAGAACTCACTCACTATCATGAAAACAGCAAAAGGAAATCTGACCATTGATCCAATCACATCCCATCAGACCCCTGCTCCAACATTGGGGATTACAAGATTTGGGTGGGGAAAAAAATCCAAAGCATATCATTTTGCCCCTGGCCCCCCAAAAATCTCATGTCCTTCTCACATTGCAAAATACAATCATCCCTTTTCCACAGTGTAACGAGTCTTAACTTATTTCAGCATTAACTCATAAGTTCACAGTCCAAAGTCTCATCTGAGACAAAGCAAGTGTCTTCTGCCTATCAGTTTGTAAAATCAAAAACAAGTTAGGTACTTCCAAGATATAATGGGAGTACAGGCATTGGGTAAATATACCCATTTCAAAAGGGAGAAATAGGCCAAAAAAAGAGGCTACAGACCCCATGCAAGTCTAAAGCCTAGCAGGGCAAGCATTAAATCTTAAACCTCCAAAATAAACTCCTTGGAGTCCATGTCTCACATCCAGGCCACACTGATTCAAGGGGTGGATTCCCAAGGCCTTGGGCATCTCTGGCCCTGTGGCTCTGCAGGGTACAGTCCCATCAGCTGCTTTCATGAGCTGGCATTGAGGGCCTCCAGCTTCACCAGGCACATGGTAAAGGGTGTCAGTGGACCTACCATTCCTGGGTCTGGAGGATGGTGGCCCACTTCTCACAGATCCACTAGGCGATGCCTCAGTGGGGACTCTGCATAGGGTCTCCAACCCTGCATTTCCCCTCTGCACTTTCCTAGAAGAGGTTCTCCATGAGGGCTCCACCTCTGCCACAGACTTCTGCCTGGACATCCAGGCGTTTTCATGCATCCTCTGAAATGTAGGTGGGAGCTCCCAAGCCTGAACTCCTACCCTCTGTACACCTGCAGGCTTAACACCATGTAAAAGTCACCAAGCCTTATGGCTTGCACCCTATGGAGCAGCATCCTTAGATGTATCTGGGACCCTTTTAGCCACAACTGGAGCTCATGAGGACTCACTCACTATTATGAAAACAGCAAGGGGGAAAATTGCCTCTATGACCCAATCACCTCCCACCAGGTCCCTCCTTCAACATTGGGGATTACAATTCGACATGAGATTTGGGTGGGGACACAAATCCAAACCATATCATATAGTATAATTATTTTAATCTTTTTTCACTTGTGATGTATCTGAACATGCAAATTAAAAATTGTAATTTTAATAATATTCAAGTTGAAAATTTTGCCCTTTAAATTAATACCTTTCTTTTTGTAATGGCAGAAGGCATTGAGCAAGAATTCTCCAGGTAAGTGTTTCAGCATTTCACTTGGCTGTATATGCGACGGCATACATAAATATGGATTTGGATATCCTGCCTTCCATGAGAAACACTTTGTCATATAATATGAATGAACCTGGCAGCTGACAACTTTATCACATTATAATAGACCAAAATTGGAGTTTAAGTGATCTTTAAAAAGAACAGAAAGTATTTTGAAAAACACTGATTTTTCCTGCCACGATCCTGTTGAGGTTCTGTCCCATATCTTCTATTTCTTTGACTACAACAATAATTTGCAAGATATTTTTTCAGTTTAGCCCACATTGATATATTGCGAGAGATATATTGTGCCTTCTATAAAGGTTTGGGTTATTTGAGACCAAAAGTAGCTTCACAATGTTTGCTGAAGAAAGGAAGAGAGGAATGATAAGAATTGTGTTGCTTGCATCCTGCATATATTAGTACTGGTACATTTTTGAAGCAAATTTTAGATGGACCACTAATATTTTCTACTTACTGTCTTGTGAGAAACATCACATATGTAATCCCATACTATGCTATAATCTTCAAGAAAATCTCACAGGATAGATAATATTATCTTCTTTGTACAGATTGCTAAGGTTAGAGAAGTTAAATAGTATGCCCTCAATCACACAAATAAAAAGGCAGAATGAAAGTGGAACTTGGATTTGATGAACTCCCTTGAAGAAGGGAGATGTTTATTTGACATTTATTGGAGGTTAGAAACTCTGCTAGGTGCATTAAAAAGTTCTTTCAGAATTTAATCACCATAGATAGCCCTATTAAGTAGAAACCATTATGACCTCCACTTTATTTTTTAACAAGGAACCCAAATCACAAAGAGTTTTAATAGTATGCCCAATATCACATACACTGGATGCAAACAGAAGCCTAGGAGGGTAATCTGGGTTTTCTTACTCCTGGCCTAATGTTATTTCTTCTATGCTACACCTAACGCTATGTTAGGGGAATTATCTTGGGAAAACATGGACAATAATAATCTTTTCTGTGCATTTTAGGAATTACCTGGGCCTTGGGTTTATGCTTTCTGCAAGAGTAGTAGTAAGAATTCTGGAGTTTGAGATAATTTGGGGAATGGAAACAAGTTAACATGTTTGTGATGCTGTGCAAAGCATAATGAAAAAATTAAAATCTTTCATTAGATTCCAATTGATACCATTTTCTCATTTCTGTTTAAAATCATTATAAGCAGATAATACAATCAATGGTTTTGGAACAAAAATCATCTTGAATATTCATAAGCCAAACACCTGCTTCCTTTTGCTCAGAATCTCAAAGAAAACCCGTGGAGATTCACAAGATAGAAGGCCGCAGATTTTAATCAAAGCTTTTTCTTTTTATTTTAATAAATTAGGCAAGAGAGCAATGTCACCCTTTATACAAAAGTATAACAGTGCTCAGAGAAGTGGAGGTAAATATCAAACTGAAAAAAACTCTATTAGAAAATAGATTACAGTTTATCAACAATGATGTATGTGCATGGAATACCAATGTTATAACATTTTAGATATTTTAATGTCTAATAATAGTTACTAATCAGAAGCATTATTTTTAAAAAGTTTGCAAAATTAATGGCAATACTAATTTTATTTAGTATACAAGTCTGTTCAATAATTCTGAGGAATTCAAAGTTTAATTATATTTAAATTTGATGTGGAATGAGTTCCCAGCCATCATATTTTTAAAAACAAAAGTTAGATCTAGAATAACAATTGTTGAAAGAATTGTACAATTTAATTATACTGACATAATGTACTAAAATGCCCATTTATAGCCATTTAACTTCAGAAAGATTTACATTATATTCAAGTCAATGGCTTAACGGCAGGCCAAAGATCTTATAATTTCCTTGAATTATCAACTTCCAGCTCTATTTTCTAAAAGTACAATATATTGATCTAATATAGTTGACATCACTCAGGTAATCATGTTTAAATACCCCAATTTCATCAAACATGAAATAATTGTATTTTATTGTTCAATGGCTGAAGTTTGCATTTAAAATAATGTTAATTGCATTTTTAGAATTATATAAAGAACATGTAACTATTGTAAAATTGTAAAATATAAAAATGTGAAAAGGAGCATTATCTCACTACTGAGAGATAATCCATTGTTATTTTAATGTATATTCTTTTCAGTTTTTCTATATCTTTATATAACATAATAATATAGGAATCTCACCCCACATATGACTTTGCAACCTGACTTTTCCCTTAATGTGATATTACTGAAATGGTTTCTTCTGTCTTATGCTTCAGCCCACTCTGACACAACTTTTGTCCCCTCCATTCCAAGAAAACTGAAGTACCAAATGGACAATTTTCTGTGTTCATCTTTCAAAACTCAAGCTGCACTGTTTAGTGTAACAGTAACTAGCCACATTTGGCTATTAAGGTTGAGATAAAACAAAAAATTTAGTTCCTCAGTTGCAGTAGCCATCCTTCAAGTGCTTAGTAGCCACTTGCAGATAGTGGCTACTGTGTTGCACAGCACAGATATAAAATATTTCCTTCACCACATAAACTTCATTTGGACAGTTCAGCAACTTTTGACAGAGGTGTTCACTTCCTCTCTCTCAGGAAAGTTTCCCTTCTGCTTCTATGAAAACAAACTCTCCTGGTTTTCGTCTTACGTTACCGATGCCTCTTCTAGTTCTCCTTTGCTGAATCCTCTTCCTTCCATCTAAAAATGTTAAAATGTTATTGACTATAGTCTCCTTGTTGTGCTATCAAATGCTAGATCTTATTCATCATATGTAACTATTTTTTGTACCCATTAACCATCCCCATCTCCCTGCCACCAGCTTTCCACTACCCTTCCCACCCTCTGGTAACCATCCTTCTGCTATCTACCTTCATGAGTTCAATGGTTTTGATTTTTAGATCCCACAAATAAGTGATAACATGTGATGTTTGTTTTTGTAACACAAAGTATAAATGCTTGAGAGAATTTATACCCCATTTTCTATTATGTGATTATTACACATTGTATGCCTGCACCAAAACATCTCATGTACCTTATAAATATATACACCTACTAGGTACCAAAAAATAAAAATAAAAAAGTAAAAATAAAAATGTTAAAGTGCCCTAGAGTTTAGTGCCCTAGAAGTCCACAGACATCTATTGCTTTCGCTCTTGTACCCTCACTCAAGGTGATCATATCAAGTCTCATAGATTTAAATATCATCTATCAGCTGGCTACTCCCAAAATTAAATCTCCTAAACACTAACTTTGAAATCCAGACTTGTTTATTAATTGTCTACTAATTATCTTTGTATCCAACTGAATACATCTGAAACAGACTTATTTCCAACTCTCCAAACCTATTATTCCCCAGGTATCCCTTAACTCAGTAAATGGTACCATAATCCACCTAGTTACTCAGTCTAAAAAAACAAAGGAGTAATTTTTTTTATAAATATCTTTCCCTCTACTGACATAGCAAATACATCTATTTCTCCTAGTTCATAAAGAACAATGCTTAAAGCGTAATGAAATAAAAAGTTTGAAAAGAAAGGGATGAGAAAAATGCCAACACATTAAGGGCTAATATAAAGAAAATGGGCATCGTGATGTTAATATCTGAAAAAAAGTCAAGGGGTTGTAAGCTTGGATAAAAGTAATATTTCATGTTAATAAAGCAGATATTCTAGATAGAAAATAAGCTTTATATCACAAAAAAGGAAACACTGATGAACGTGCAAAGAGAAACAGCAGACAAACCCACATTGGCATGATTTTTTTGGTCACAGAATTTGACAAATCAAAGTAACCAAAAATGCATAAGAATTTTATGAATTTAAATATTTCATTTAATTATCTTGTTCTAAAATATACTGTATTGTACCAGAGAATACATATTCTGTTCAAATATTAAATATCAACAGAAAAATAGCTATTACATTTAAAAGTAAAGTATTCTATGCCAGCAACAAAAATGATAAAATCTCTTAGAATAACTTTGGAAAATGTGTTGGATCTCCATCAAGTAAACCGTAAAACTTGACTGTGGTAAATAAAAGACCAAATCTTCTATAAAAACAAGACATGCCATATTATTTGTTAGGAGGAAAATTTGACAAACTGATCTAAATATCATCTCTAAGTGCTAATGAGGTGATACAGCCAAGATAATTTTGAAAATAAGAATAATGAAGAGACTAGCACTATTAGATTAAAAATATTGATGGAGTATAAAGCTAAAATAAATCAACATAGGACTGGTGCAAGAATAGCAAAAAATGTTTATGTAATCTACATCTTTATATATGTTGACAAACTTTATAAATCATAAAGGTGTTATTTCAAATTAGAAAATAGTGACAGACAATTGAAAAACTTCATAGGATAAGACTAAAAGAATCAACTATAATTTTATTTTTAAATTTCTGTATCTAAACAACCTCAAGAACAATTACAATCAAAATTGAAAGGTGAGTGAAACCTAGGTAACATTTGCAACATAGAGTTCAAACCCTTGCTATGTAGAGTTCTAACAAATAAATGAGACAACTGCCAACATCCCAGTAGAAAAATGTTTGAAGGACAAAAACAGGAAATTCATAAATAAAGAATACAAAAGGTAAACCTATAAAAATAAATTGTATATTATTAAAAGTTGAATAAATTTGCTTAGTATATTGTTAGCAATCAAAGAGATTTAAACATAAATACCTTGATAAATTGCTTCTGTATCAAATTGGCCCAAATTCCTTTATGATAAAGTGTTGAATATAGGCATGTATATGTATATATGTATAAATATATACATAGATATACATAACTAATATATACACACATATATTTATATATGTAGCATATTTTACTAACAATGTGAGTGTATATACCAAATACATATGTATTTTTAAATATATATATACTTTATATATATTTATATTTAAATATGTACATATATTTAACAATATTTATATACCATTTATGTCTATACATAAATATATATTTAGTACATAGGTTTGCTACATATAAATATATATTTATATTTATGAAAGTGTATTAATATATCTCAAGTATGTATTAATATGATGATATATATATTTACTGATCCTTGAACAAAGCAAGAACTATTCAAACTTGGTGATTGCCATCAAATGAGACATTGATTATTCTTATCCCACTCTTTGTCCAAAATAATAATGACACAAACTTCTTTTCAGATATAGCAAGGCCTTTCTTTTTCTGTCTCCACCCACAAACTTTAATTATGGAACTGTATTTCTCAGGATATAATATCTATCTTAGGCTTCTTGACATGTTGTATTCTCAGAGTTGAAATCTCTATATAAATTTGGAATGAGTGGAGACAGGTGACATAATATAACAGCATTGGCCTTATTTCCAAAAGCAAGCAGCTTCCTTGAAGCAGAGAGAAGCCTAACCATTTCTGTCATTGGTCCGATACTTGAGTATCAGATTCAGGGTACAGACAACCACAAAGAGATAAAGCATTTCCTATCTTTTTACTGGTTGGCATGCTTAATCTAATTGTTGCTGGTAATTCAAAGTTTTTGGTAATAGATTGCCAGTCCAGGATTTTGCTTTAGCTCTTATCTTTTTAATGTCCTCATAAGTATCTTGGTGGGAGATAGAGGCTGAATCAGAATTTGCTAAGCATTTTAATTTTAAAATTGTAAATTATTGATCTTTTTCCTGATTGTGAAAGCATTCTTTTAATCTTACAGAAGATGTAATTACTGTGCAATTGTTATGCATAATAAACATCTTTTTGGAGAAAATAGAGTATAATTTTTAAAACTACTCTAGTGGAATATATACCTATATACCTATATTCACATGTCATGCAATTCATCTATTTAAACTCTTCACTTAATTTTGAAAATATATTCTGAGGCAGGCAGATCACTAGGTCAGGAGATTGAGACAATCCTGGCTAACACGGTGAAACCCCGTCTCTACTAAAAATACAAAAAAATTAGCCAGGTGTGGTGGTGCGCGCCTGTAGTCCCAGCTACTCGGGAGGCTGAGGCAGGAGAATCGCTTGAACCCAGGAGGCAGAGGTTTCAGTGAGCCGAGATCGTGCCACTGCACTCCAGCCTGGGCGACAGAGCCAGACTCTGTCTCAATATATATATGTACTCGTCATTTTTTATGGCTGCATAGTATTCCATGGTGTATATGAGAACACTTGGACACAGGAAGGAGAACATCACACACCGGGGCCTGTTGTGGGGTCGGGGGAGGGGGGAGGGATAGCATTAGGAGATATACTGAATGTAAATGACGAGTTAATGGGTGCAGCATACCAACATGGCACGTGTATACATATGTAACAAACCTGCACGTTGTGCACATGTACCCTAGAACTTAAAGTATAATAAAAATATATAAAAATATGTATATAGTATATATATTACATATATACGTATATGTTATATATTACTTATATATGTATATATATGTAATATATATATACATATATTCACACAGTTGTGTAACCATCACAACTATCTGATTCCAGAAAATTTTCATCACCACAGAAAAGAAACTCTGTACCTATTAAAAATAACCCCCCAACTTCGTGTCCTCCCAACCCTTGGTCCTTGTCCCAGGAAACCACTAATATACTTTCTGTCTTTATGGATTTGCTGATTTTAGACTTCATATAAATGGAAATATACAACAATTGGTCTTTTCTTTATGACTTATTTCATTTAGCATAATGTTTTCAAAGTTCATCTCTGTTATGGCATGAATCTATACTTCACTTCTTTTTGCTGCCAAATAAAGCTTTATTATATTATTGATCATTAGATATAAATTATTAATCAAGTTGATGGACATTTGGGTCATATCCACTTTTTGGCTCTTATGAATAATGATACTATGAACATTCATATTTTTTGGTCATATGTTTTCATTTCTCTTTGATATGTACCTTGAAATAGAATTGCTGGATCATATGGTAACTCTTTATTTAAATGTTTAAGAAACTGCTAAATTTTCTCAAAGTGGTTGCACAAATTTACATTCTCATCAGCAATGTAGGAAGCTTCCAGTTTCTCCAAATACTTATCAACATCTTTTGTTTTCTTTTCTTTTTTTAAGATATATGGCATAGTTGTTATGAGCACAAGTAGCTCAGTGGCTTCTGTCACTATGCAACTGATGAAATGAAAATTATGGAAATCATCATTATGAGACTTTAACATGACAATGGATGTGCAGTTCTTAGGTACAGTGACCGGTGCATATTGACTTCTCAGTAAATGTTAAGTTTATTTTAATAATCTATCTATTTATTTATTTATTTATTGAGATAGGGTCTCACTCTGATGCCCAGACTGGAGTGCAGTGGTGCAATCTTGGCTCACTGCAACCTCTGTCTCCTGGGTTCAAGTGATTCTGGGGCCTCAATCTCCTGAGTAGCTGCGATTACAGGCACGCACCATCATGCCCTGTTAATTTTTGTACTTTCTGAGGAGTCGGAGTTTCACCATATTGGCCAGGCTGGTCTCAAACTCCTGACCTCAAGTTATCCACCCTATTCGGCCTCCCAAAATTCTGGGATTACAGACGTGAGGCACTGTGCCTGACCAGTAATTGTTAACTTTAAATACTATCCTACCATACATTGTAAAAATGTAATTTTCTAATATATTTGAAATATATCAGATGAGATTGAGCAATATTGCAGAACTCCTGCTCTTGAACAGTAACGTTAAAAATTTCTCAAATCCTATAGGTGAAGTGTCCCTGATCTGAAATGCTTGGGACCAGATGTGTTTTAAGATTTCAAGAATTTTCAGATTTTGGAATATTTGCATAGACATAATGAGATGTCTTGGGAATAAGACCCAAGTATAAACATGAAATTCATTTTGTTTAATATATACCTTATATACATAGCATAAATATAATTTTATACAATATTTTTATATTATTTTATTTAGTTATCATTTATTTATTTTTGTACATGAATAAGTTATTTAGTGATGATTTCTGAGATGTTGGTGCAATCAACACCTGGGCAGTGTACACTATACCCAATGTGAAGTCTTTTATCCCTCACCCCCCTCCCACCCTTTCTCCCAAGTCCCCAAAGTCCATTATATAATTCTCATGCATTTGCATCCTCATAGCTTAGCTCTCACATGAGATCGAGAACATATGATGTTTGGTTTTCCATTCCTGGGTTATTTCACTTAGCATAATGGTCTCCGGTTCCATCCAGGTTGCTGCGAATGCCATTATTTTGTTCTTTTTATAGCTGAGTAGTATTCTATGGTATATATGTGTATATATATGTATATATATAGACACACACACACCATATATATGTGTGTGTATATATATGCATGAATATATATATGAAAATTATATGATTTTCTTTATATATGTGTATATGTTTATATATATACCATATATGTGTGTGTATATAAACACACATATATACATGTATAAAGAAAATAATATAATTTTCATTATCCACTCATTGATTGATGGGCATTTGGGCTGGTTTCATATTTTTACAATTGCTAATTGTGCTGATATAAACATGTGTGTGCAAGTATTATTATTATTTTTTGTATATTAACTTCTTTGCCTCTCGGTAGGTACCCAGTAGTGGTATTGCTATATCAAATGGTAGATCTACTTTTAGTTATTTAAGGAATTGCCAAACTATTTTCCATAGTGGTTGTAATAGTTTACATTGCCACCAACAGTGTAAAGGTGTTCCCTTTTCAGCAATCCATGCCAAGATCTATTATTATTATTTTAATTATGGCCATTCTTGCAGGAGTAAGGTGTTATCGCATTGTGATTTTTATTTGCATTTCCCTGATTATTAGTGATGTTGAGCATTTCTTCATGTTTGTTGATATTTGTATATCTTCTTTTGAGAATGATCTATTCATGTCCTTAGCCAACTTTTTGATGGGATTGCTTGATTTTTTCTTGCTGATTTGTTTGAGTTCCTTGCAGATTCTAGATATTAGTGTTTTGTTGTATCTATAGATTGTGAAGACTTTCTCCCATTCTGTGAGTTGTCTGTTAAATCTGCTATATTTCTTTTGCTGTGGAGAAACTTTTTAGTTTAATTAAGTCCCATCTATTTATCATTGTTTATGGCACATTTGCTTTTGGTTTCTTGGTCATGAAGTCTTTGCCTAAGCCAATGTCTACAGGGTTTTTCCCATGTTATCTTCTAGAATTTTTATGGTTTCAGGTCTTAGATTTAAGTCTTTGATCCAACTGGAGTTGATTTTTGTATAAGGTGAGAGATTAGGATCCAGTTTCATTCTTCTACATGTGGCTTGCCAATTATACCAGGACTATTTGTTTAATAGGGTGTCATTACCCCACTTTATGTTTTTATTTGCTTTGTTAAAGATCAGTTGGATGTAAGTATTTGGCTTTATTTCTGGGTTCTCTATTCTGTTCTATTGGTCTATATGCCTATCTTTATACCAGTACCATGCTATGTTTGTTACTATGGCCTTATAGTATAGTTTGAAGTTGGGTAATATGGTGTCTACAGATTTGCTCTTTTACTTAGTCTTGCTTTGGCTATGTGGGCTCTTTTTTGGTTCTATATGAATTTTAGGATTGTGTTTTCTAGTTCTGTGAAGAATGATGGTATTTTGATGGGAATTGCATTGAATTTGTAAGTTTCTTATGGCAGTATGGTCTTTTTCACAATATTGATTCTACCCATTCATGAGCATGAGATGTGTTTCCATTTGTTTGTGTCATCTATGATTTCTTTCAGCAGTGTTTTGTAGTTTTCCACGTAGAGCTCTTTCACCTCCTTGGTTAGGTATATCTCTAAGTTTTTTTTTTTTTTTCAGCTGTTGTAAATGGGGTTGAGTTCTTGATTTCATTCTCAGCTTGGTCGCTGTTGGTGTATAGCAGAGACATTGACTTGTGTACATTAATTTTGTATCGTGAAAGTTTGCTGAATTCATTTACCAGTTAAAGGAGTATTTTGGATGAGTCTTTAGGGTTTTCTAGGTATACGATCATGTCATCCGTGAATAGCAACAGTTTGACTTCCTCTTTACTGATTTGGATGCCCTTTATTTCTTTCTCTTGTCTAATTGCTCTGGCTAGAACTTCCAGTACTATGTTGAATAGAAGTGGTGAAAGTGGATGTCCTTGTCTTGTTCCAGTTCTCAGGGGGAATGCTTTCAACTTTTCCCTGTTCAGTATAATGTTGGCTGTGGGTTTGTCCTAGATGGCCGTTTTTACCTTAAGATATGTCCCTTCTATGCCAATTTTGCTGAGGGTTTTAATTATAAAGGGATGCTGAATTTTGTCAAATGCTTTTTCTGCATCTATTTAGATGATCATGTAATTTTTGTTTTTAATTCTGTTTATGTGGTGTATCACATTTATTGACTTGTGTATGTTAAACTATTCCCACATCCCTGGCATAAAACCTACTTCATCATGGTGGATTATCTTTTTGATATGCTGTTGGATTATATTAGTAATTTTTTGAGGATTTTTGCATCTATGTTCATCAGGGATGTTGGTCTGTCATTTTCTTTTTCTGTTATGTCCTTTCCTGGTTTTGGTATTAGGGTGATACTGGCTTCATAGAATGATTTAGGAAGGATTCCCTCTCTATCTTTTTGAATAGTGCCAATAAGATTGGTACTAGATCTTCTTTGAAAGTCTGTATAATTCAGCTGTGAATCCATCTGGTCCTAAACTTTTTTTTCATTGGCAATTTTCTTATTACTATTTCAATCTTGTTGCTTGTTATTCATCTGTTCAAAGTTTCTATTTCTTCCTGGTTTAATCTAGGAGGGTTGTATATTTCCAGGAATTTATCCATCTCCTCTAAGTTTTCTAGTTTATATGCATAAAGGTGTTCATAGTAGCCTTAAATGATCTTTTGTATTTCTGTGGTATTGGTTGTACTATCTCCTGTTTTGTTTCTCATTGAGCTTGTTTGCATCTTCTCTCTTCTTTTCTTGGTTAATCTCACTAATGGTCTATCAATTATATATATGTATGTATTAAAGAATCAGCTTTTTGTTTCATTTATCTTTTGTATTTTTTTGTTTCAATTTCCTTTAGCTCTGCTCTGATCTTTGTTATTTCTTTTATTCTTCCAGATTTGTGTTTGTTTTCTCTCTTTTTTCTCTCATTCATTGAGGTGTGACCTTATATTTTCTATTTGTGCTCTTTCAGACTTTTTGATGTAGACGTTTAATGCTATGAACTTTCCTCTTAGCACCACTTTTGCTGTATCCCAGATGTTTTGATAGGTTGTGTCACTATTATTGTTCAGTTCAAATAAATTTTTAATTTCCATCCTGATTTCTTTGTTGACCCAAAGATCATTCAGGAACAGGTTATTTACTTTCTATGTATTTGCATGGTTTTCAGTGTTCCTTTTTGAGTTGATTTCCAATTTTATTCAGCTGTGGTCTGAGAGAGTACTTGATATAATTTACATTTGTTTTAAATTTGTCGAGACTTGTTTTGTGGCCTATAATATGGTCTATCGTGAGGAATGTTCCATGTGCTGATGAATAGAATGTCTATTCTGCAGTTGTTGGGTAGAATGTTCTGTAAATATCTGTTAAGTTCATTTGTTCTAGGGTATAATTTAAGTCCATTGCTTCTTTGTTGACTTTCTGTCTTGATGACCTGTCTAGTGTTGTCAGTGGAGTATTGAAATCCCCCATTATTATTGTGTTGCCATCTATCTCATTTCTTAGGTTTAGTAGTAATTGTTTTATAAATTTTGGACCTCCATTGTTAGGTGCACATATATATAGGATTGTGGTACCTTCCTGTTGGCCTAGTCCTTTTATTATTACACAATGTCTTTCTTTGTATTTTTTAACTGCTGTTGCTTTAAAGTTTGTTTCGTCTGATATAAGAATAGCTACTCAGCTGGGTGCAGTGGCTCACATCTGTAATCCCAGCACTTTGGGAAGCCGAGATGGGTGAACCACCTGAGGTCAGGTGTTCAAGACCAGCTTGACCAACATGGTGAAACCCCGTCTCTACTAAAAATACAAAAATTAGCCAGGCATGGTGGTGGGTGCTTGCAATCCCAGCTACTCAGAAGGCTGAGGCAGGAGAATCACTTGAACCCAGGAGGTGGAGGTTGCACTGAGCCAAGATTGCACCAGTGCACTCCAGCCTGGGCAACAGAGCAAGGCTCTGTACCCAAAAAAAAAAAAAAAAAAAAAAAAAAAGCATAGCTACTCTGGCTTGCTTTTGATGTCCATTTTCACAGAATATCCTTTTCCACTCTTCTACCTTAAGTTTATGTGAGTTCTTATGTGTTAGATGCGTCTCTTGAAGACAGCAGATACTTGGTTAGAGAATTCTTATCCATTTTGTATCTTTTAAGTGGAGCATTTAGGCCACTTACATTCATTGCTAGTATTGAGATGTGAGGTACTATTCTATCCATCATGCTATTTATTGCCTGAATACCTTTTAAAAAAATTGTTATTGTTTTATAGGTCCTGTGAAATGTATGCTTTAAGGAGATTCTATTTTGGTGCATTTCAAGGATTTGTTTCAAGATTTAGAGGTCTTTTTTTCAGTTCTTGTAGTGCTGGGTTAGTAGTGGCAAATTATCTCAGCATTTGTTTCTCTGAAAAAGACTAACTTTCCTTCATTTATGAAGCTTAGTTTTGTGGGATACAAAATTCTTGGCTGCTAATTGTTTTGTTTAAGGAGGCTAACAATAGGACTCCAGTCCCTTCTATCTTGTAGGGTTTCTGCTGAGAAATCTGCTGTGAATCTGATAGGTTTTCCTTTAGAGGTTACCTGATGTTTTTGCCTCACAGCTCTTAAGATTCTTTGCTTCATCCTGACCTTAGATAACCTGACTACTATGTGCTTAGGTGATCTTTTTGCAATGAATTTCCCAGGTGTTCTTTGAGCTTCTTGTATTCGTATGTCTAGATCTCCAGCAAGGCCACAGAAGTTTTCCTTGATTATTCCCTCAATTACATTTTCCAAACTTTTTGATTTCTCTTCTTCCTCAGGAACACCAATTATTCTTAGGTTTGGTCATTTAACATAATCCAAACTTCTTGGAGGCTTTGTTCATTTTAGAAATTTTTTTCTTTGTCTTTGTTGGATTTAGTTAATTCAAAAGCCTTTTCTTTGAGCTCTGAAGTTCTTTCTTCTGCTTGTTCCATTCTATTGCTGAGACTTTCCAGTGCATTTTGCATTTCTCTAAGTGTGTTTTTGATTTCCAGATGTTGTGATTGTTTTTTTGTTTATGTTATTTCAGTGGAGATTTTTTCCATTCATATCCTGTATCTTTTTTTTTTATTTCTTTAAGTTGCACTTTGCCATTCTCTCATGCCTCCTTGATTAGCTTAATAATCAATGTTCTGTACTCTCTTTCTGGCAATTCAGAGATTTCTTCTTGGTTTGGACACATTGCTGGTTAGCTAGCGTGATCTTTTGGGGTTGTTAAAGGACCTTGTTTTGTCATATTACCATATTACCTTCTAATTTGCATAGACTATGTCAGAGGGAAGATCTGGGATTTAAGGGCTGCTGTTCTGATTCTTTTGTCCTACAGGGTGCTCCTTTCATTTAGTGCTCCCTTCTTCCCCTAGAGATAGAGCTTTCTGAGAGCCTAATTGCAGTTATTTTTATTTCTTTTGTTGATCTAACCCCCCAGCAGAACTACTGGGCTCTGGGCTGGTACTGGAGAGTGTTTGCAAAGAGTCCTGTGATGTGATCCATCTTAATGCTCTCAACTGTGGATAATAGCACCTACTCCAGTGGAGGTAGCAAGGGAATGAAGTGGGCTCTTTGAGAGACCTTGGTTGTATTTTTGTTGAGTGTTCTGCTTTTGTGTTTGTTGGCCTGCAGCCAGGAGGGTGCACTTTCAAGAGTGAATCACCTGCAGTAGTATAGGAAGGATACAAGATTGCCCTAGGGTCAGGCAGTGGGCAGAGCCATAGAGCTCCCAAGATATGTCTTTTGTCTTTGGCTACCAGGGCAGGTAGAGAAAGACCATCAGGTGGGGGCACCATTAGGCGTGTCTGAGCTCACACACTCCTTGGGTGGGGCTTGCTGCAATGGCTGTAGGGAATAGGGTGTGGTTTCCAGGCCAGTGGATTTTATGTTCCCAGGGGGATTATGGCTGCCTTTGCTGCATCACACAAATAGCCATGAAAGTGTTCCCAGGGGGATTATGGTTGTCTCTGCTGCATCACACAAATAGCCATGGAAGTGGGAGAAAGCCGGCAGCCACAGGTCCCACCCAGCTCCCACGCGGCCTGTAGCCTGAAAGGCCTGTCTCACTCCTACCGTGCCCCCACCCCCCAACAGCACCGAGTTTTTTTCCAGGCAGTTGGTGAGCAGGGCTGAAAACTTGTCCCAGGTTACAAATCTCACAGCTGAGAAAGCAAGCAAACTCTGTTCCTTGGCTGTCCTACAGAGCCTGCAGCGGCAATCCACCTCCTTCAAAGGGTCTGTGGATTCCCTCTGCTTTCATGGTATGTTCCTGCCATAGTTCTGGGAGCAAAATTTACCATGTGAGTCTCTGGATGCTGCTCTGTCCATCCGAGTGGAGCAGCAAGTTGGTTCTGCCTCCTATTCACCATTTCCCATGTTTTAAACACTTTTTATTTTCTTTCTTTCTGATTTTAGCCATCCTGGTAGGTGTGAAGTGGTATCACATTATAGTTTTGATTTGTATTTACCTGATGACCAATAATATTGAATATCTTTTTATGTGCTTCTTGGCTATTTGTATATCTTTCTGAATAAATATCTATTCAAATCAATAGATTATAATTTCTAAAATTTATGGCATTTATTGTCAGTAGCCAGATATGAAAGGATATTTGGAAAACATTTTAAAAACAAAATGCTTAGTGCGTCACATCTTGCTCTTTTTATTGCATTCTGCAGTTCTTTGTGTATTGATCAAACCTTATCAGAGATACTATGTGAAACCATTAGAATATGTCTTATTTTCATGTTACATTTCTAATTATATTAGTCTGTTGATGTTAAGACCTCTTTATTTACGTTATCTTACTTCTACAGAAAGCATTGTTTCCTTATTTTTAGAATTTTGAACTAGAAAGTGCATTAAATATTGTTGTAAATTTAAATTACAAAACAAAAAGCCTGGTTTCCTAAATCAAATTCATTTTTAGCCCAGGAGGATACTGTAGCAGAATATGATTTTCTTTGTCTTTAGTGATCCACCATCTTAAAAAATATAGAGGATTTATTTGGGACAGACCAACATAATTCAGTCATAAATTTACTTGGTGCCTATGTCTACTGGGAAAATACTTCAATAGTACTATTTTTATATTGTAGAGTATTTGTTCTTTCCCCCTGTCTTTGGTGCTACTAGGTCTAGTTGTGAGCCTGATTGGACCATGTGCTCTTACTACCCCCTGCGGCTTCTAATCAACCTACAGTTGAACCTACTAATAACAGAAAACTTACCACCTTTAGAAACAGCTCTCTTCATATTTGGACAACTTTGACATAAAGGAAAATTATTTTCCTACTTGTTCAATCCTTCTGATTTATAAAGAAAAAGTGAGGACACATTGTTAAAAAGGAAATTCCATTTTGGTTCCAACTGTTTACAGTAAGGGCTATAGTGGAAATGAAATTATAGTGGAAATAAAATGAAGAGAAACTACTCTTTCTTACATACGCAAACTTTTTTCAGCGTGCTCTGAGGGCTGTCCATTTGGCTCCATGGCCTACACTATATCTTTAATTTCTGGTCCCTTTTTGCACTATTCACTTGCCTTCTTTGTCCATCCATTCTATCGTGCCAAACAAAAAGCAATCACCCAGTTGCAGGAATGCTTACTTAGAGAGAAGTATTTCTCCACAAATATTTTTCCAAAAACTTCCTAATATTTTCTCTGCTACATCTTTTATGCAATATGACCTTTGGCTTATTAATCAAATTTTATATGCCTTCTTAGAAATCTATCTGCTGATTATTTGTCTCAAATAAAAAATTAAAAATAAGATTATTTTGAGGGTAGATATTAAGGGAGGTGGGGGAAAGTATCTGAGATCATTTTATGGATTCTTCTTCTCAATGAGGAGAGAGTGAAAAATTCAATGGTTAATTATTCAAACTTATGTGTGTGTGCCAGTGGGTGTAACTGTCTATACTTTTCTCAATTTACATTAAGTGTAGATCACATTCACAAATACTTATTAACTGAATGATAAATCTTTCCTCAATAATAAAAACATTCTGATCACAGTTCAGAAAAGAGGGAAGGAATCTGGGGTCACAATTCAATTGTTTGAAAGAAAAATTTAATTCATACAGAAACTTGTTGCAGAAATAAATTGCCCTTAATGTGTTATTATATAAAGGCTTCCTTCCTGCTCCCTCCTATTACCTGAAGGTGGCATCCTTTCTATAAACCAATTTTTCATTACCCTCACAGAAAGGCATGTCCATGTTGCCAACATACTCAATACTACAAAGGTCAAACCACCAGGCAAAACCACTTTTCCTCACAGAATATATTAATCAAGAAAATTAAAGATTATTTATGCCCATCTCAAAGATGACAACAAAAAGAAAAATGAGAATCAAGTCTCATCATACAGCTGCATAACCAGACCTTTAACAAGAATCAGAAGAACATATAAACAGAAGAGATCTTGTCTTAAATGTCTTAAATTTTGTACTTTATCAAAGAATGAATTAAAATGCTTCAAAACTTCTGCATGCTAATAGCACCTGTGAACCAAAACAACCTGCCAGAATATAAAACATGTTGCTTCAAAATAACTGCATCTAAAAGGAAGTTTTTAAGGAGAAATTATTCTATAATTACTATTACCATCCTCGGTTTAAAGTGACCCTTTTCAGAGGTTCCATATCTCCCATGACAGTCCTGGGCAAGGAATAACTTCCAGCATTTCAAAAATGTCTCAGAAATGCCAAGTAGCTGATTTGTTCTTGGCTTTGCTCAAGTTATGCGTTTTATAATCCATTAAAAAATAAAAACAAATTTAAACTTCATCTACCCTTGGAACAAACCCTAGATATTACATGTGTTTTGTCTACTCTGGCCCACACAGTAATAAAATGTCAGAGATGAGTTTTTAGTGTAGAGAGTAGACATTATAAGGTTGTGCTTCATTGAGGCACACTTGAAAAGCAACCAAAATTGTGACTCAGAATATCAAAAGTTTCAAACTAAATCATTTGATAATAACATAAAATGATTTAAGAATGTTCTATGACAAGTCTTGTACACCTTAATCACAATAATTCCCTATTTTCTACAAGACAGTGCAGTTTTATATTCACCATTCCTGTGCAGAATTTAAAGGTCTTAGGAAACTGACTTTCACAGGCTCATGCTGGTTTTGCCTGCCTTTATAATGAAAAAGAAATCCCCTATTTTGCTTCCATTTCATTTCCTGTATTCGTGATTATGCATTTAGACCAGTGTTGGAAAATTACATCCCTAGCAAAAACCTGGCCCACCACCTGTTTATGTAAATAAAGTTGCATTGGAACATATCCACGCTCATTAATTTATGCATTCTCTATGGGTACTTTTGTACCACAACCACAGGGCTTGATATGTGTGGCAGAGATCATCTGGTCTATAAAGCTGGAAATATTTTCCTTTACACCAAAAGTTTGTTGACCCCACAATAGAATGTAATATCCATGCCACTCCAAGAAGGTAAGTTTCATGGCAACATACACTATATTTGTCTTATTTGTTGCTGTATTCCTTTTCCCTAGAACAATGTCTGGTATATAATTGAGGCTCAATAAATACCAGTTGATTAATGAGTGAATAATTGTTACCTTGATCACATTTAAGCAGCCAGTCTTTCCATACTCAGATACAAGAAAGACTAGCCTACTCCACTGACCCTATGTCTTTCAGTCACTTGAGTCTTGGAGCCTGGACAAGGAGAATGGAAGGTAATCAGGAATGGAGAAGCAGCCAATGGCTTAACATCTGAATCACACTGTTTTCATTGACCATGCAGAGGAAAAGCTCCTTAAAGTTTTGTTTTGTTTGTCTATGCAGTGCCTAGCATGGAAGAAGCAGAATTCAGTAATTAACACACATATTGTTGTTGTTGTTGTTATGATAATCAGAATAGTGATAGCAATTATCTAATTTGGTCACTGCTCTGTAAAAATCCTTTCTGATCACAAACACCAACTTTACCCCCTTCTATTCTTAAGGCACAAAACAAATAGGAGGTATCTCCTAACTTAGTTCTTCAAAGGATAAATGCTGATGAAATAGAGGATTTTTAAAAGTCAGAAATTAATTATAACAAATGATTCAGAGGTAGTGATAAAGAATATAAAGATATGAACATTGGATTTTCTAACCTTTGCTAGAATAGTTTCAATCGAAGTGTGAACTTGTATATCTAACTGCAGGAGATTAAAATAAAATGGGTATACCCAAACCAGACAAACATTACAAGAAAAAAACCACACAACTATAGACCAATATATTTTATAAATATAGACATAAAATTCTAAACAAATGCTAGGAAAAAAATCCAGCAACAGGCAAAAAGAAATACTTAGCACAACCACATGGGATCTATCCCAACATGCAAGGGTGATTCAACATACATAAGTAAATCAATGCAATATACCATATTAATGGCAGTAAGAACAAAAATCCCATTATCTTCGCAATAGATGCAGAAAAAGTATCTGACAAATTTCAACATCATTTTACCATGAAACAATCAACAAATTAGTAATAGAAGAAAATGTCTTTAACCTAATAAAGAAAAAGTATGAGAACCTAGAACGAATATCATACTTAATGGTAAAAAAATGAAAGCTTTCTCACTAAGATCAGGAACAAGACAAAGCTACTTGCTCTCCCCATTTCTATTCAATATTGTAGTAAGGTTCTAGCCAGAATATGTAACAAAAAAAACAAGTCATCCAAATTATAAAGAAGTAAGACATCTCTTCTCACAGATGACATGACCTTATGTACACAGAAACTCATGAGGATTCCACAAAAACTATTATAAATAATAAACAAATTGAGCATGTTTTCAGGATACAATGTTAATATCAAAACTTAAGCTCCTGTAATCAAGATTGCGTGATACTTAAATATGGAGAGCCATATATGTCAAAGAAATATAATTGAAAGTGTAGAAATAAACCCACACATTTATGATCAATTGCTTTCTGATAAGAATGCCAAAATAATTCAATGAAAAAAGAATAGTCTTTTTGACTGTAGGTAAGAAAGTCAGTAGAGAAGAAAAGGGCGCAGGACTACCATGTTTCATTTTGTTGATATGCAAATTAAAGCCTATGTAAGTCAAAATCAGGCTCAAGGGTATTTCACTCATGCAAAATCAGTTCTATCAGAGGATGAAAACAGCTTTAAGAATACATATGCTTCTTGGGAGCCAAGATGGCTGACTACACGCAGCCAGGAAGAACTTCTGCCACCAAGAGACAAGACCATCAAGAGGAACAGCCAACTCTGAGAAGATCTTTGGAAGGCACTGAGAATGGGTGGAAGGAGAATGCAGACCCTGGGCTGAAGAAGCTGGGAAGCATGGGGTTGCTGAACACAAGAACTCTTTCCTGGTCCTGAGTGGCTCTGGGGAAGGGATGAGTTAAATAGGCATGGAGTGTCCCACTATCGCCATGGACTTAGAGAGTCCTAGCTGCAGGAGACCACACAACTCCACAAAACATTCAAGCTGTCAGGGATTGCTGCCTGGAGAATTGGAAGGGATGGTACTAGAGACTGCACGAGCCCACAGGGTTTGACACAGGAACAGCTGCAGTGGAACACAGCTAGGAATACCAATCCCCACAAGGCTTGCCACACTCCTCTAGGTGGCTTTGGCCTTTGTTGACTATCAGACCCGGACAGATAGACAAGGAGCCAGTCTGATCTCAGTACCTCCCTGTCTGCCAGCCTCTCCTGGGGTCCCTGCCTGGCCACACCTGCTTGCCGTGAAACCTCAGAAGCCCAACTGGGTAGCTTGCCAGCAATCACTGTCATAGCTCTTTCACTGGCAGACCCTGCCTACAGAGCAGAGAGTTTTTGCAGATGGGCCCCCACCAGCATGCACCTGCCCACAGCCTTTGCCCACCACTTTGCCAACATGAACTGACCCACAGAAAACCCCAGTGCTTTGCCAGCACATGTGTGCACACCATCTCCACTTCCACCTCGACAGCCGCGGGCACGCAAAGCTCAGGGCACATTCCCTCACCCTCTCCTTTTCCAGCCCGGGTGCCTGGGCATATCCACAGCATGCAAAGGCTGCGCCCAACAGCCATGAGGGGAAATAAATAAATAAATACAAACACGGCTATCGCTGGAACCCCACAAGGCTGACAGGTGGGTGCTTCTCATGCACCATGCCAAAGGAACATTTTTCCCCTGGCCACAGAATTCCACCCGGTCTGAACCAGGGGAAGAATACAAGGATTAAAGGGACCCACTAGCACTGAGCAAGGGGTTCTTTCCCCAGGACCTGCCCATATTGCCCCTTAAATTCTTTTTCTTTTCTTCTTCTTCTTTTTTTTTTTTTTTTTTTTTTTTTGCCTTTTCTAAGTGAGAGGGCTCCTCCTCCGCAGCGCTCTGTTTTTGATAGGGCAGTTAATGGAGTAAAGATCCTGGCTGGCTGATAACTGCAAAGTCGGCAGGGCCCATTTGAGACAAACAGCCCCTGAAATATCTTTTAAGTCCTAAACTTGACTCCAAGTTGCTGGCTGAGGCCCTAGAAAGGAAAATAAGGTCTGAGGGATCCAAAGCCAGGCAACAGGCACAATGTAAATAGGCAGGACCAATTCCTGCCCACTGAACCCCCCAACCCCCACCCCATGGAAGGAGGCCATGCTCCATGGCATAAACAGGCCCAGGAAACTCAAAAGTTGTTGACAGCAAAGGAAAATAGAGGCATAGGTGTGAGAGGTTAATTCCTATTCTCCAGGTTTTCCCTGCTACATGGGTGCATACGGCATTGATATCTATGGCCAGCACCTGCGAAGTTCGCCAGGACTCAGGGATACAAAGATGGAAGAGAAAGGGACGATCACTTTCTCTCTCCATCACACCCTGAGTTTTCACTAAAAGAAGCAAGGGAAATGAGAGACACCTCTATTTTCTGTCTTTCAGAATGAGCAAAATGTGGCACATATACACCATGGAATACTATGCAGCCATAAAAAATGATGAGTTCATGTCCTTTGTAGGGACATGGATGAAACTGGAAACCATCATTCTCAGCAAACTATCACAAGGACAAAAAACCAAACACCGCATGTTCTCACTCATAGGTGGGAACTGAACAATGAGAACACATGGACACAGGAAGGGGAACATCACACACCGGGGACTGTTGTGGGGTGGGGGGAGAGGGGAGGGATAGCATTAGGAGATATACCTAATGCTTAATGACGAGTTAATGGGTGCAGCACACCAAAATGGCACATGTATACATATGTAACAAACCTGCATGTTGTGCACATGTACCCTAAAACTTAAAGTATAATAATAATAAAATTAAAAGAAAAAAAACAGAATTTAAGCTCAACCAATTAGAAGTAGCCAATAAACTAATAATTATATAACGAAGGAGTTTCCAACTGGATAAAACAAATATGGCAACAGTTTAACTGTAACCAATCAAATACTTGCTTAACTTCTGTGTCCATCTTTTAAAAGCCTCCCTTTTGCAGTTCCTCAGTGGAGCTCCTAAACCACTCCTGGTTTGGAGCTGCCTGATTCATGAACTGTTGTTTGTTCAAATAAACTCTTTAAAAATTAAAAAAAAAAAAAAAAGAATGAGCAACCAGCTCTCTTCACCCACCCCAGCTTATACACCTCTGGGTTGTATCCTGCTTTGACACTCAGAATCTGGAGGACAAATGCCTCCTAGCCCTCTGCACAAAGGTTTGGCAAAATTATGAAAGACTAGGTTTGCCTCAGGAAGTAACTATTTGCTTCAATACTGTCCGTCAGTTGGAACTTTTCTGTAGATGTGAGGACAGATGGTCTGAGGCACCATATTGTTGCATAACTTTTCCTTAGTTCAGCTAAAGATGGGGTCCTTGCCGCAGGGCCATGAAAATTTAGGCTCATAGACAATTTGAAGGGTAAGGCAGGGTTTTATTGGGTGAAAAGGGGGGAAAAAAGAAAACAGGGACCCTCGGCAAAGCCAGAGTCCCTGCTGGTGCACTTCCTGCCTCACAGTTTGAACTCCAGGTTCCACACAGAAAGAGGGGCCAGACTCCTCCATGCTGAAAACTGCACAAACTTCTGCAGCTCCACCCCAGTATGCACTCCTCTCAGTGTGCAGGCCAGCTGGAGTTTCACCAGGTAGCCCTTCCCACCTGTCTGTCTCATTTCCCCCTCTAAAGCAGTACATCCAACTGACATTAGAATAAAAAATATAGATAAGGATGAAGACCAATCTTAACTGCTTCCTGGTGACGGTGGCACTGTTTTGGGAGAAGCAGCAGTCAGAGCTCCCTCAGAGGTATATCTAAGGGTTCCCAGCAGAAGGGGCCATCATCCAAGGCTCTGGTTATATGACCCTTTGGAATTTGATGGCCTGAAGTCAAGAAGAGACAAACCAGGTTGTTAGAAAACATGTAATAAAATGAAACAAGGAGAGGGATAAGGACAGCTCAGAAATCCTAAGGCCTTTTTCCAGTTTGCACAGGAAGAGGGAGGCCAAAAGCCCTACTGGTAAAAAAAAAAAAAAAAAAAAAAAAAAAAAAATTTAGCCAACATATTGGGCTTCTGTGTTCCCTTCCCCTGAGGCCAATCCTAAACCAACCAGTTTAAGGATTGGGAAATTAACTCTTTCCAGTTTGGAAGATGCATGAGTGTCCCATAGTAAAAAGACACAATTACCTATCTGTAAAGATAGAACCAAGGAGAAGAAAAAAAATAATAATGCTTTTTTTCAAAGGAGTTCCAGAGGTTCAGAATGCATCCAAAAGGGGTACAGACTGGGCCGGGAGCGGTGGCTCATGCCTGTAATCCCAGCACTTTGGGAGGCCGAGGCAGGTGGATCATGAGGTCAGGAGTTCGAGACCAGCCTGACCAACATGGTGAAACCCTGTCTCTACTAAAAATACAAAAAAAAAATTAGCCGGGTGTGGTGGACGCCTGTAATCCCAACTACTCAGGAGGCTGAGGCAGGAGAATCGCTTGAACCTGGGAGGTAGAGGTTGCAGTGAGCCAAGACTGCACCATTGCACTCTGACAGAGCAAGACTCCATCTCAAAAAAAGGGGGCTACAGATTGAAGATGAATGATTACCCCTCTAGAAAGAGGGGAGCAGGCGTCTTCTGAGCAGATACACAGGGTACGTGAGGGAGAGAAGAAAGAGCATCCTCTTTCCCTCTTCCATCCTGCATCCCTGAGTCCTGGCAACCTTGGCAGGTGCCGCCATGAGTGCCAAAATGGCTTGCACACATGAATCAGGGCTGCCTAGGGAGTGGGAATCATCCACTCTTACCCATGTATGCCCTATCTCCCCTGGTATCAATAGCCTTGAATTCCCTAAAACTCATTTATGCCATGGATACTAGCATGGCCTTTATCCATGGACATGGGAAGCCTGAGCTTAGCTTGATCGGCAGGAGGTAGCCATGCTTACCTGTACTGTGCCCTTTTAACCTATGTTGTCATCTGCCTCTGGATCCCTTAGATACAGTTTCTTTCCTAGGGCTTTGATCCAAAGCTTGGAATTGAAAATGTGTCTGGCGGGGGCGGGGTTTGCAGGGGCTTCTTATCATAAGTCGAATGCTAAGGTGAAGCTCTGGAACTGAGCCCTTCTCCAGCAAGAAAGAGAAAAGGATGTCTTGTGACACACCCAGATAACTGGTAGCTATAGTTATGCTTTCTAGGATTTGGGTGCATGGTGCCTGGCCTTTGTTAGCTCCCTTGGTCTTACTTTCCCAAAACAAAACCTCAGAGTGATGGCATCCTATCACCTGGCAGGTCTTGCAAAATTAAATTGCTCAGAACTAGAATATTATCCCAGGTTTCTACATCACCCATCCCTTTTGTTATTTCTGAGATGTAGCTGGATATTGCTGATTGTTTCACAGGAACAAGCAGGGTTAGTCTAAAAATGTAGGCAAAAACTTAAAAACAACTAATAAGCTTAGAATTTAACGACAAATGCATGATAAGTTTTAAAACATAATTTCTCTCTCTCCAGTTCTCATTTTTGTTAAAAAAAAATCATAGGACTGAGTGGTTTGCAAAGTAGACTTTAGTTTTATACTTGGCCTAATTATTTGCATGAAGTATAGCAAGAATAACTCTTTCTACACAGGCCTTTTGGATTGGCTTTGATGGAAGTCTGTTCCACAAGGAACCTCCGATGAGGCCTTTAAAGCTAAGCCCAGCCATGGGTTTGTATCCTCAAATACCTGTGAGTTAGGTGATCCTCTCCTCTTAATGTCCCAAGATATACTTGGAGATCCTGGACCTCTTAGAAAGTGACATTCTTAACTGACCACAGGTCAGGAACCCTGTACAGGGACTGTGTAGATGAGGGTATAAGACCAGTCTCCCATGGGGCTTTTACTGGCTCTGCATGTTGAGATTTACTCCTTAAAGAGAAGCATACACTTCCAGTCAAAGCCTTGGTAAAATACCCAGTTTTTCCAATTGCATCCTATTGCAAAAGAAAAATGGATTCTTATTGCACAGATACAAACAACTATATTGCCGTAAGTTAAGAATACTTACAGATAGTTTCCAAATTCTAGAGGAACCAGGCAGAGAGAAACAAACATGCTCTAAATTTTGATCACAGGAGTATACTCAATTATTAAAGGCCATAAATCGTTCAAAATACATTTCCTTGACTCTGAAAAACAAAACGTGGACCAGCAATTTTTCAAGCAAAAGTCATAAAGGCTGTTTCAGCTTTCTCAGTTCAGTCCATTTAGTTAAAACTCTTGTTTTGCATGATATTCATGAACATATCAGCTCTTCATGAGTCTTGTAAACTTTCCTTTATTCCAATGTCACAATCTCAAAAGTTTTCAGAAGCTTGTATTTGACAGCACCTGTTAAAGTTCTATAGCTTATTATAAACCATCTTTTGAAAAGAATAAAACAAGACAACAATTGTCCATGAATAGCAAAATGTCCAGGATAGTTACAAACACAATTGACAAAGAAGTTTGGTAATTTCTGTGGTTTACAATGACTTAATATAATGACCTTAATTATGATTGATAGTATATACTTGGACTAGAATTTGAGAAATCCCATACAATTTTGGAACATATGTTAGCATTACTCACAAAAATATAACCTAAAGAAAATTGAACATCATTTTGGCAACACCATGCACCTAAATATGTCAAATAATCCTGTTTATCTTGCTTTTCTGGACACTGTAGGGGCCCTCTGAAGTATCCAAAAAGCCAGGCATCAGGAAAGACAATTTTGAAACTGAAGTTTGATTTTGGGAAGCCTATTAAATATGTTTAAAGCATTTGATATTATGAAATAGAATTTCAGATTACCATACATTATTTATTTTTCCAAAACTGTGACTCAGAATTTTTAAGAAGCAAAAACCTTTTATAACCCTTTACAAATTTTGCCAAAGAGCATATTAGTACCTTAAGAATACCTTGTTATTGTTCTCTTTCAATGCTCAATTTACAGAAAAGTCATATAATACCCTTTTGAATTTAGTCAATATGTTTACATAGAGAACCCCTTTGTGAGATTAATTTTCACAATCCTTCCACCACTTGTTTGAGCCTTCAGATTTTCCTAACTCAAAACAATCCTTTAACCCTAGGCAAAAATTTATATATCCATGACTTCTTACAACCTTTGACTAAAACACACATTTTATTATTCTTACACACCTTGCATGTAAATTTATGTTCAGTAGTTTCAATTACATGTTATAATGGTAACTCCTAGTAATTTTTAACGTTAAGGTAAAATCTGGTAAGTTGCTTTAATTGTGTGCTAAGTACAGCCAAGGTTTGCTTTCCAGCGTAATTAGGGGTGTGGTTAGTTCCATATGTCCTCAAGCCTTACCAATTCTGAAGCAGGCAAGTCAAATATTTCTTAAAACCCATAAATCAGTTTGTAACCTCAAAACACTGAGCAAACCTTGCATCTGACTTGCATAATTTAGTTCAGCTATTTACATTTTAATGACACCTGCATTTTACCAATAATCTTCAAGGCTGTTTTTATTTCTCAAGGATTAAAGTTACGTGAAATGAAAGGCACCACAGCTTTTATCTTCCTTTAAAGGAATATTTGATCCAAGTGCTTGTCTTTCTTTAGGCCAAATTAATTAGAGCTCTTTTTACAGACATTACAAACAACACACACACAGACAGGCAGAAGAAAACCCAGTCCCCACAAGATCCTTTTTCACAACCAAAACTTTACAGAGAATATAAACAGTGATAGTTGGGGGTCCTGGCCTAGCAAAATGCCTTCTAAAAAAAAAAATTGGCTTAAAACATAACTGCTGATGGGGTAGATAAGGGGAAGAAAAAAAAGTTTAAAAATGCCTGGGGAAGAACCTCTTACTCTTATGCAACTGGTTCCTCCACCTGGAGAAAAGCTTAATTACTGTCTGATGGAGTTAAACCCCTTAGCTACGGAAGGGGAAGGCGCCTGGCAGGAATGGCAGTGCAGGGCCCTTGGGCCATGTGTCCCAGCTCCGGCAGGGGTGGGGAGTGGCGAGGGGAGAAAGGAGCTGCAGCTCGCTGGTCCATGCAGAAAAAGAAAGGAAAATGCCATGAAGACCGAGGCTGACCTTCCCAAACCCCAGGAGCAATGGGGGTAGGAGCAAGGTCTCCCCTATGCTCAGAACTCCCAGGATGAAAAGGCTTACAAATGACAGTGAGAGGTTTTGAATCCCCATTTCACTCACTGCTTCTTGAGCCCCCATGTTGCATGCCAAAAATGTTGCAAGACTATTTCTTAGATCAGCTAAAGAAGTGGTCCTTGTCACACAGCTGCAAATGGTGCAAACTTCTGTGGCTTCACCCCAGTGTGCACTTTTCCCAGTGCAAAGCCCAGATGGAGTTTTGCCAGGAAGCCCTTCCCACCCGTCTCTCTCAATATGTGCAGGCTTTCTACATCTCGCAAAGCAATCCAGACCTTTGCTGACAGTGTAGGTTTGATACAGGCCTCCTGTTTGCCATCTCAGAGAAGGCTGCAAGGGCAAGCTCAGGGAATTAAAGATATGAGTCTCAGATTCACCCCCAGCAGAGGCACCAGCTCCGTCCAGCCCTGCTCCTCTGAGTCCACCCTGACATCCCTATCCAGCTTCAGCCTCTCACTTGCCCCCTCCAAAAAATCCTCACCCTAATTCAGCCCCAGTCTCAGTCTTGCCCTTGCAACAGATGCCCAGTGAATTTGGACCAAGTAAGGTCCAGGTCGCCTTCTCCCTATAAGACTTAAAGTAAATTAAGGGGGATCTTGGAAAGTTTTCAGATGACCCTGATAGATATATAGTGGCTTTCCAGAATTTCACCCAAATATTTGAACTCTCCTGGAGAGACGTTATGTTACTTTTGAATCAGATCCTGACAGACACTGAGAAGCAGGCCACTCTGAAAGCAGCAGAGGGATTTGGGGATGAGCTTTGTATCATATATAGCATCAGGAAAAGGAGCAGACATTATCCAACTGGAAGAGAGGCAGTACCAGTAAATGACCCTAACTGGAATTCCAGTGATGAGATGGGAGACTAGAAGAGGAGACACTTTTAGGTGTGCATAATGGAAGGTTTATGTCGAACTAGGACCAAGCCTCTCAATTATACTAAGTTGTCCATGATTGACCGAGGATTTGATAAAAATCTCACTGCCTTTCTGGAAACGCTAAGAGATGCCTTGGTAAAGCACACCTCTCTATCTTCTGATTCAGTCAAGGGACAGCTAATCCTAAAGGATAAATTTATTACCCAGGCAGCTCCTGACATCAAGAGGAAGCTACAACCAGGTCCTGGGACCAGATAGTATTTTAGAGAACTTTCTGAAAGTAGCCACCTCAGTGTTTTATAATAGAGATAAGGAGGCCCAGAAGAGAGTGAGGAAATACAGGAAAAAGACAGAGGCCTTAATGGCCACCAGGAAAGCCCACAAAACTTTTCCTTTTCTAGGAAAACCTTTGAAGCATGAAGACAATGAAAACCAAAACAGATCTATGAAGCTTTGACACTGCCCCACCCCACCATCATTATTTCTAGCTCATAATCATTCTCCATCCAGTGTAGTGTTTATTTTGGTGCTCAGCCATCTACTGTCCTAAAATATTATTTGAAGATTTTAAGTCTATATGTTATGTCTCTCAAGTAAAACAACTTTTGCATTACCTCAGCTCCTAAATAGTATTAATTGTTGAATTTATTAACATAAACCATTGCCCCTATTGACACAGGTAAGTTTCTTTGTTTTCAGTTGCCAAATACCTTCCTCATTAAGATATAAAATGTGAATTAAAATATGACTGGTGTTTCTCAGCAGTCAGTATATTTAAACTGAATTCCTTGAAGGCAGGATGTAGGCCTTATGTATCTCTGTGTTTTCTGTGCCTGGCAGAATGGTTAGGAACATTATTGTTGGCTCAAAATATTTTTTAGGGAATAAGAAAATTCATGATTTATTTTCCTTTATTCTACTGATAAATTTTAAATTATTGATAACTTTTAAGTGTATATGAACCTGTTTATTTTCTCAAATGGTAAATGTTTAAACTGATGGTCTCAAAATAATACTGCAAAGGCGTTTTAATTGAAGCAACTTGGAGGCACCAGCTATAAATACTGCAAAACTTGAAAATCATTCACTTATAAAATTAGTTTGCCTTTTGTCTTCAATGTGAATTACTAAGTTTTAGAATGTATATATTATTGATACCAATGTCATGGTATATTATTACTTACAATCAAAAGGATAGGAGTAATGACAAACCAGCCAGCTCTCCACCATAGCCAGAATATCCACCTCTTTGCTCCAATCATCATTTCTATATCCTCAATGAATCTGTTCCCTCCTAAACAAGACAAAGAGTACATTGAATGTTTGCTAGTATTTTCTTCCAATAACCATTGTGGCATCAATGATCTTTCTGTGTCTAAACATTTTTCTGTAGCACAACAATGAAGCATACACCTGTAACTACATTTTCTTCATAATATATTTTGTCCAGTATATTGTACTTTACTATTATAATAGTATAAAAATTAATAGTATAATTAGGTAAACATAATGAAAATGAGTCAAACTAAACTATTTTAATAAAACTTGAAAATAATTTTATAGTTACTATTTACCATAAATCCAGATGATTCCAACTAGCTCCAGCACAGCTGCAATTAAAATGCCCCATCCAGCACAGAAATGGTCAATCAGATGAATCCAGTAAATTCCAGTCTACCAAAAAATATTGATTACTTCTAAGTATATTTTAATCATTTTTATGATTGCTGAGGTATTCAAATTGAATCTATTAACTTAATCTTGACATATGTTCCTTAGTTTCACCTCTGCTAAAATGTGTAAAGGAATGTTTCAGGTGTAAACCCAAATGTGGCTTTAAATATCTCAAAAATCTTTCAATCTATATTGAGTCACTGGAAAAAAAACAAGCACTTAGAATAGTTGATTATCAGAATGGTATGCAATGTCTGTATGTTCTGCAGTGGTTACCAAGAAATGTAGTATCTGTATCTGTAGTGTTTAAAGTCTGTAATCTTATTGTAACTGAAGTAACTGTCCATTATTCGGCCTCCTCATCTGCAAAATAGACTTATGAAAGTAATAATGGAGAAAAATGGGCTAAAACCCAGAAAACCTTGATCCAAGTCAGACCTGGACTTGTCACTAAGCAACCTCTTAAGCCTTCGTTTCTTTCGTTAGGTTATAAAGTATGTTCCAACTAATAATTTGTGTACGAAAAAAATGCTGTAGTATACCTGAGTCACACAGACAAGACCAAGGAGAAACAAAACCAAGCAGCAGCCCAAAGTTATGGAAACCATCATTTTCTTCATCACTTTGGGAAGTAAATCTTGAATCGTTGTTTTGATCACTTCTTCAGAGGGGGAAAAATGACATGTTATATATCAACTTATTTGCCAATACTGTTAATCACAGAATTCCATGTCTGTTTATCAAATTTACAAACATATGTTGAGTAGACACTCTGAGCCCTGCTCCTTGCTTTTAAAAACCCATAGGGTCATTTCTTTTGGCAGTCATTACTTGGTTCTGATGAAAACTGAATGCAGTTCTATTTGTTGTTTTTAGTCTGCTTTATATGATTTTTCATTGATAGCAATCGTAAGGTAACAGTCCTCTGTGAGCTGAATTCGTCTAAAAGGAAGAATTCTAATAGGACTTTTAAATAAGGTAAATATTTGAATCAGTGGTATGGAGACATAAAGGATTCTAGGTTTAGAAATAAATGTGTTCATGAAATAGGGAACTGGCCAAGAGTAGAAAGATGTGTGAATGAAAATATCAGAAAAGATGTTTGAGATTTTCGAGGATTTTAAAAGTCAACAAGAAAACTCTGGATTTTATCCTATAAACAGAGTAAACTATGAAACTGTTTTATATGAGAGAGTGGTAGAATGAAATTTTTTTTTCAGAATTTCCCTCGTCATATAATCTAGGTAAATCCCTATATGTGCATAGAACTATGTGCAAGTATGATCATTGCAGCAGTGTGTGTAATTTTTTTAATTAAATTATTCAAATGCTCATTATTATGGTAAAAAGAGATTGTGATTTAATTAGATCTATATACCTATGTATCAACTTGATTCATAATTAATGCAAAAACAACTTTCAGAGTAATATGTATGCCATGAAACTTCACATTTATGGGAAAATTTAAAAATGTATATGTTATTTTTGAATACATATAAAATGTATATAAACATGGACAGAATAACATACACAATCCATGGTAACAGTTGCCTCTAGAGAAAAATATGAATTGTATCAGGGAGAGAAAGACAGGGGACTTCAAATTCACCTGTAACACTTTATTTTTTTAAATAGCTGAAAGAAGTATGATAAAATATTATTGGGTATTCCTTTTGAGTGTCAAGTATTTTTCTGTATTTAAATTTAAGTTAAAATATCTTTCAGAAAGGTCATTCTGAGATTAACTGCTAGGGGGCAATATGGGTAATAAAAGCATGTCAATTAGAGGAAACACAAATGAAATGTGTTGTGTTAACACTGGAAATATTACTTACCAATGGAAGCAAACTGAGAATCGAGACCCAAATTTAAAAGCTTGAAAAAAATAATATGATCTAAAATGGACCACCTGGTAGTTGCACTAGAGCTTCTGGATAGGCAATGAATGCCAAATCAAAACATACAAAAATGTATGATATTTTAAATTAGTTACCAATATTTAAACATTTAAAAAATAAGATATTAGAAAAATCTCATCTTATTTGGCAACACAATCTATGACATAAATTCTTTACCAACTGTTTCACTTTCCTTTTTAAAAACATTGGATTTGGTTGTTTTGTTCGTTAAAGTTAGGGAGTTCACGAAGTTTTCTTTAAAGCTGGACACTCAAAGTCACTTGACTCTCTTACCTTTATAATATTCATATGTTTTAAATAATCAGTCCCAATACTTTAATTTTACATAAGGAATTTGTATATTGTCTTTCTCTCCCTGATACAATTCACATTTTTCTCTAGAGGCAATTGTTACCATGGATTGTATATGTTATTCTGTCCATGTTTATATACATTTTATATGTATTCATAAATGTATGGGAAGTGCTTAGCATGATGCCTGAACCTTGTAGTTGTACAGTAAGTAGTTCATATTAAGGACTAAACAAAATCTGGGAAAACATTCTATTTTCTTAAGCAATGTTTTCCTAATATACTCCTGTTTACATGGATAATCTAAGAATTATTATATTATTAAGGCAACCAAATTATGTAAGACTGTGATGGGTGATACTGAGTGTCAACTTGACTGGATTGAAGGATGCAAAGGATTGATCCTGGGTGTGTCTGTGAGGGTGTTGACAAAGGAGATTAACATTTGAGTCAGTGGGCTGGGGAAGACAGACCTACCCTTAATCTGGTAGGCACAATCTAAACAGCTGCCAGAGAATGTAAAGCAGACAGAAAAACGTGAAAAGGCGAGACTGGCCTAGCCTCCCAGCCTACCTCTTTCCCCCGTGCTGGATGCTTTCTGCCCTCGAACACTGGACTCCAAGTTTTTCAGTTTTGAGACTCGGACTGGCTCTCCTTGCTCCTCAAGCTTGCAGACAGCTTATTGTGGGACCGTGTGATCATGTAAGATAGTATTTAATAAACTCATGTAAGGTAGTATTTAATAAATATATATATATTTATTAATATATAATACACACACACACACACACACACACACACACACACACACACATCCTATTACTTCTGTCCCTCTAGAGAATCCTAGTACAAAGACAAAATGAGAAAGAAAATGCAATACTCTAAATTATGACTGTTTTAAGTAAATTTCTATAAACTATATTAGAGTTTCATAAGTGAGATACATTGAATTAATCAGAGTTGATAATATATGGTATTATATACCTGATTTTCCAACTTGAGAAAATTCCTTTCCAGATATATGAGCCATTTGGCCCAATATAGAAAAAAATAGCAAATCCAGCAAACACACTAGTGAGACAGTTTGTCAAAAAAACTACAATGGCATCAGAGAAGCAGTTGTTTTTGAACTTATTGTAAGATAATAGAGCAACTAAGCCACCCCAAGCCACTGAAAGGGGGTAAAATATCTGAGTGTCAGCATCTACCCAAACCTATAAGAGAAAATAATTTAATATTTTAAAACATATACTCAATTTTTTATTTGTATAAGTATCTCACATATGCAAATTAATATATTATACGTAACAGTGAAATGAACACCCAAATGCCACTACTCAGCTTAAGAAATAAAATATTACTGTCCCTTCTTGATTACATCACCCTATCACCCTCCAGTGGTAATTGCTATCCTGACTTTTGTGTTCATCATTTCTTTGTTCTTTTTTATACTAGGTTTGAATGTTTTGGAATTTATAGAAAAGTTATTTTAATGCATGTAAACATATACAATGTGCACTTTTCTATTTGGTATTGTGAGATTTATCCATCAGCAAATTGAACTATATAAAGTGTCCACTTTATGATTCTAAAATGAAAGAATATAAGCAAATGTATTTGTTTAAATTAAATATATATAGTTCTTTTAATCATTCTTTATTGCCACAATGCATATGTCACAATTTATCCTTTCTCCTGTTGATGGACATTTAGGTCATTCACTGTGTTGCTCTTATAGAGCTGTAAACATTCTTATATATTCCCCATATGTAGGTGTGGAACTGTGATGTTGAAAAGTATACGCATTCCCCTCTTTTACTAAATCTTGCCAAATTGTTCTTTAAAGTGGTTATACCATTTTGCACTCCCACTAGCTGGGTTTGAGGGTTCCCATTCCACCATATACTTGCCAACACTTCATTTTCCATAGGATTTTTTTTCTGTGAAATTCTTGTTTATGTCTTTTGCCAGTTTTTGGTTTGGCCTGTGTTACTTGGTTTCTAATAATTATTGATGTCTTTTGGATTCTAATTCTTTGTCTATTATATATGTTGATTTTTTGCCTCCCAATTTGTGGCTTATTTTTTTTACCTTTTAACATTGTATCCTTTGATTAACCACAGTTGTTGTGGGTTTACTGAAAATGAAGGTATCCATCTTTGATTATATGTATTGCCCTTGATCTCTGTTACTTTTAAAAACTGCTTAGCCCAAGGTTATAAAGGTACTATTCTATATGTTCTTCTAAAAGAATTCAAGTTTTTGCCTATATTGTCAAATTTTCAATTCACCTAATATTGACATTGTGCATATCAATTTATGTGATATGTGAATGATATGTGAAATTTCCAACTGATGGTGTTTCCTAAATAGGATATCAATTGTTCAAGGATAATTGATATTATCAATTAAATCAATTAGATATCAACTCTATCAATTGGATGATTATCCCTTTCCCTATTGATCTGCATTGCCACCTCTGCCACATGCCAAGTTCCATTTGTTTTTTAATCTATTTCTGAGATTACTATCCTGTTCCATTGGCCTATATACCTATACCTATGCTAACAACTCACTATTTTAATTAGTACAGTATATAAATATTGTTTCCTATCTTTATTTAAATAAAGGACAAGTCCTTTTCACATCAGATACACCTTGGGGTTTTGACCTTTTTCTTTTTCGAACAAAATTTACAATCAGTTTTCAAGTTCCACAGAAAACTGTTTTGGGATAGATTAAGGTTATTTTATTTATATTTAAGAAAATCATATTAGAAATAAAATTCCCTCTTTTTTCTTAGGCTTTTGTCCATATTAAGAGATAAGCAGCATGCTCAGGTTGGTCTCTGACCTTCTTTTACTTGATAGATTATGTGTGCCTGTGTGACAGGGGAGCTGGAAGTGGGTGTGGCAGTTCTGTGCTGTGTAAGAATGCTACTGCATACTATGATGTGTACCTAGGTTGCAAACAAAAGTGAAGATAAATTCCGAACATAGTTTAAATCTCCATATCTATGAATCTCATATCCATATACAATATTATTACATTAGAGATTAGGAAATCCTAATTCAAATTGCATTAATTGGCTGTACACTATTGGCACAATTTGAATCTATCTTGGTTTTAGTTTCATCACTGTAATGAGGTAGTTAGAAAAATAATTTCTGCATTCCTGAAGACCTCTCTATCTATAAATTTGTATGGTTCTCTACTCTCCTGGAGATCTCAATGGAGTTCAGATATTCAAAGAAAAGGAAGGACACCTGATTATAATTCTCTGTTTAGAACATAGATTGTGAGGAATACAATCTGTGCCCAGCTAATTTTTGTATTTTTCTAGAGATGTGGTTTCACCATGTTGGCCAGGCTAGTCTCGAACTCCTGGCCTCAAGTGATCCACCCCAATCAGCCTCCCAAAGTGCTGGAATTACAGGCATGAGCCACCGCAGCTGGCAGACCATGTTGTTTTAGAAAGTCTTGATAGACAACAAGGAAAACTCTTTGTTCATTATTTAATTAAGGATAACCTTAATTAATCAGTTATTAAATTTTTTAATTGACACATAATAATTGTACATATTTGTGGGGTACAGTGTGATGTTTTGATACATGTATGCAATGTATAACAATCAAATTCGGGTAATTATATCCATTACTGAGACATTGTCATTTCTTTGTGGTAAGAACATTCAAAATCCTCTCTTCTAACTATTTTGAAATATGCGATGTATTATTGTTAACTATAGCCACCCTACTGTATAATGGAACACTAGAATGTTAATAAGGAAAGCAAGCTGAAGATTTAGAAAACAAGAGAAATAAATCAATTGAAAGGGAAAAAAAAAAAAGAAAAGAAAAACAATTCTCACTGCCAACAAACCCAAAGAAGGAGTTCGGTTGTGTTGTGTTGGAGAGCAGAGGGTGAGAAGATTAAATTGTATGTTTCACAAGGAGCTTTAGGTTTCACTCTGATTTTTTTAAAGATATTAGAGACACTGAAACACGGGCCAATAAAAAAGAATCATATAAATTTTTCAGAATGGTTTCAAGTAAGTACAAAATCCAGTTATCTTGGGCTTTTAAAATCCACTAAAAGAATATCAAAGGTGCTTTTCAACTATGCTCAAAGTCATGAGTTTTAAAGAAAATGGTGAATCTACTTCCTAGGGAAAATGTTGCAACTATAACAAGATAGTATAATGTAACAGAAATAATTGAAATAATTGTGTGTTACCTCATATTTATTAAAAAGTTTACTATTTCCAAGTGCATTAACATATTTTATCTTGTTCAGTAACCTAACATAGAGAAGGTGATGAATCCCAACTTTCATTTTATTTTTTATTCACCATCCAAAATGGTCTTCAAATGGGGAAGAGATTAACCCACAGGGATAAAAAGAGTAAGGCCCAAGATAAATGAAGAAACAAATTAAGATGGCCTGTGGACACATCAAAGTATATTAAGCTCCAAGACTATAATAATACAATTCCATAGATCTAAAATAACTTGGTTATGTGATTAATCGTTGAGTAGAAATTACTGAGCACAAAAATGTAACCAAAGACCAATGATTGACATTTCAATTTTCAGAAAGGTAATTGTAAATAAATGACAGATTTCCACAACTAAAATCTCATACACTTGGCACTGCTTACCAAAAAACTTACAAAAAATAATTACATATCCTCTTGTAAATATTTAGAAAAGAAAACAGCAATGGCTGGAAATTAGCATGAGTTCCATGAAGAATACTATAGCAAACTAAAACTAATATCCATTTTGAATAGTACCACTAGTATGGCAGATAATATTAACATAGTGTCTCTTGATTTCAACATAAGATTACAGGTTTTTACTTGAACAGAACTTAATGTGTGCTAAGAATGTGATGTGACTAGTAAAAAAGTGAAAGCATTCTAGGCCATACTGATAGAAGCATACTATCTGTAGTACACTTACTGTTAATACTCTCTGCAGTAAAACTGTAAATGATTTTACATACCAGTGATATACTCAGCCATTATCTAAAGGTAAAGTTAAAAGAGTGTTACCTAATTCTTTTTCATGGCATATGTTTAGATTTTTGGTATAAGTAACAATTTTGGTTATGGAATGCTTAATCCATGTCATATTTATGTTTTGACTTCACAATTCACTAGGCAAAACTTGACAATATTTTGGGGATATTAAATTTTGAAGAAAATTAAAATGTATATTAGACCATTAAACTTTCAACAGTAATCTCTAAAGCTACTATGAGTTTATCCAATAAAACACATAGCCCTAGTCATCAACTTGCAGGTATTTATGAATGCAATATTATTTTTCAGATTAATAAGCCCAAAATTTTGTTGGTCAAATAGAATCTGTTTAAATGAATAAAAAATGACTTTTAAAATCCTATTTCTAAAAATTATCTCACCATCAATAAAAGAGCATTAATGGCATATTAAATATTAGCTAAATCAGATATCCTAGTGGATAGAAACTAATAAATCTAGCTGTATATTTTGTTGCGAGCTACTACATTATGATATTCATATGGAACCAAAGATTTTTGGCATTTGCTTTTAAGATTTACCTCCTCAGATAATTCGAAATCCAAAATAAGACTCACCTCAGCTTCCTTAAGTTTTGTAAAATGTGTGCTCCAATATAGTATGAAATGCCTACTGAAGCACTCTCCCAAGTTGCACCTCTTACTAACAAGATGAGTAGGACCACATAGGGGAAAAGAGCTGTAAAATATAACACTTAACAAAAAAATAACCAAAAATTAATGTTATTTTTTAAATCATGATATATATTTACAATCATATATAATTGTACACAAGTAAAATTATTAGCAAGTTGAGATTATTTAAATAAAATACTGGGATTTCATAGGGTCTGATGATATAGCAAAGTTAGCATAATTTCTTATTTGTGTTCTCACAACTCTCAAATGATCCATTTAAAAAATACTTTGATGTATTAATCAGCATTTCCCAGGTTTAGGTTGTATCCTTCTTCTCTCAGTAAATTACTGCATTGAGATGAGGCAGGAAATGATTTTAAACCCTGCAGTGGTTAGTATATATTCAGCCTTCAAGACGAAGGAAAATATTTTCTAGTAGATATCCAAATCCCAGAAAAGCATACTGAAGTGAATACTGGACACTTGTTACTGTTATCCTTACAGCTACCATTAAGAGAGTTTGATAGCATACATACAAGTGCACTGCTTCTGTACCAGATTACACATGGTTCCAGATGAGCAGATTGCCTTTGAGACCAGCTTTGCCTGAATATGGATGTTTTCTTTGATCCATAGATGTCCTATGTTTTATAATACATCCAAGGAGATGATTTAAACAAGTCATTCAGAGACCAATAAAAATTAATCGCCTGGGTAAATGGCCTTTAATGGACTCTTTCAATATTAACATCAAAAGGAAACCAAGGGTTTAAAAAATGTGGAACTAAAACATTTTAGGAAGTTTTCCCTGGATTTGTGATATTCACAGTATTTTTGTGATGTAACAGCATGTCTCATTACAACTTAACATTAACTGAATGTGCTGGATATTGTACTGAGAATACAAAGATAAGATCCCCAGTTATTCCTGTCCTCCACCTTACAGAAATTTCCATTGACTAGTTAAAAACTCATAGACATTTTTTCTGGGTATTGTGCAACTATTCACGGAGAAAATTTCATGTTGTTTTCTTAAATTATCATGATTTTCCCTGAAAGTTTATAAAAGTAAAAAATTAAGCAGGAAAATATAACAGAATGTTTTTCAAAAGAGGCCATTTCCCTGAGAGAAAAAGTTCTGTGTATATTTTGGCAATATTTAAGAGAATAAATACAGTGTGTGTACACACACACACACACACACACACACACACACACACACACACACACACATATACACATTTCTCTCTCTTTCTCTCTCTCCAACTAGGGGATTCCTGATACTATTATTCTATAGAACAAGGATCTAGATTTTCCAAACCAAACATTGCAATATACGATTCCATTCAAAATGCTTCCTTATATGGTAGGATAGAAAATTTTATAATATACTCTCAAGCCTCAGAATGCTGTATCAGCTAAAAGGGTCCAATTTTTGAGTAATTGTGCAACTCTAGTAGTAGTTACTATTTTGTTTGTTTGTTTTGTATTTAGCAAGACAGAGATCCGGGCTGGGCACGGTGGCTCCTGCCTGTAATCCCAGCACTTCGGGAGGCCAAGGCAGGCGGATCACCTGAGGTCCAGAGTTTGAGATCAGCGTGACCAACATGGAGAAACCCTGTCTCTACTAAAAATACAAAATTAGCCTGGCATAGTGGCACATGCCTGTAATCCCAGCAACTCGGGAGGCTGAGGCAGGAGAATTGCTTGAACCTGAGAGGCAGATGCTGCAGTGAGCCGAGATCATGCCACTGCACTCCAGCCTGGGCAACAAGAGCGAAACTCCGTCTAAAAAAAAAAAACACCAGAGATCCTATATATTTACTTATAGCTTAAGATGACTACTTAGAAAGCTTTTCATACATTTGAATCCTTCCATTATAGAAAGAAAAATGCTTTTGATAATGCTTGACAATGAACTACAATGAAATTAGAAAGCTGCCATATCACTATCTAATGTATTTTTCAAATTACCTTGGCAGGGGACTTGATTCCTTTAAATAGTGCTGCCCCAAGTATGAGCCGAGCCAGAAGACAACAAAATGCTAAATACCACACAATTACTGCAGTCTCATCCATTCCACTTGTCCGTTGGAGCACCATTTTACTGAAACACATAAGCTGTTTTCTGATCACAGAATCACTTGTGTTATAGAAAATACATTGCATTTTGTAATATAATTTATCCGGGGGAAGCTTCATGAATATTGTATCTTATTAATATATCAATCTCCTGTGAGCCTTTATTGATAGATACTAACAATATGAAGGGGCAAGAACATTTTATTAAAAGGCCTGGCTCTAAACTTTGGAAAGTCTAGATCACTCTGAACTTCAGAGTAAACAAAACTTCAGCCAATCCAAATTTTCAAAACCCTAGTATTCTCTATTTTGGTCAGTGGGTATGCAGTTAGATGTAAATTCTTTGATTTTATACAACTTTTTTTTTCCAATTTCTGTTTCTCCACTGATTCCTTTATTTTTACATTTTTGTAGCTGAACATAACCTCCTATCTTGGAATTGCTGTAGTTCTTTGTTATGTCAGTCCCAGAATGATCAAACTTACTGAATACGTGCATATTCCCCATTTACTCCTGTCTAATCCTTCTATAAATTGAGATATTATTTACATACTATATAATTCATCATTTTAAAGTGTACAATTTAGTGGGTTTTAGCATGTTCATAACCATGACCACTTTCGCATCTCAGAATATTTTTACCACCCCAAAAAGGAACCCTATACCCAGTAACAGTCACTACCCAATCTTCCTTTTTTTCAGCCCTGGTAACCACAAATCCACTTTCTGTCTCTGTTAAATTTGCCTGTTCTGGAAATGCCATAAAAAAGTAATCGTACAACATTTGGCTTTTTATCTTTGGCTTCTTTCACAAAGCATAATATTTTAAAGGTTCATCTATGTTTTAGCACAAATCAGTACTTCATTCCTTTTTATGGCTGAATAACATTTAATCATATAGATAGATCATATTTTACTTACACATTTATCACCTGATGACATTTGGCTTGGTTCTACCTTGGCTATTATGAATAATGCTGCTATGGATATTTGTGTACACTTTTTTGTGTAGACTTATGTTTTCAATTATCTTGGTTATATACCTAGGAGAGAAATCGCCGGGTCACATGGTAACTCTGTTTAAAATTTGAGGAACTGCCAGACTCTTTTTCAGAGTGTCTACACCTTTTTACATTTACACAAGAAATTTACAATTAATTTAAATTTACATTTACACAAGAAATGTAAAAAGGTGTAGATACTTTGAAAAAGAGTCTGTCAGTTCCTCAAGTTTTAAACAAAGTTACCATGTTACCAGCAATTTCTCTCCTAGGTATATACCCAAGATAATTGAAATGGTAAGACTATCATCAGAGTGAACAGGCAACCTACAGAATGGGAGAAAAATTTTGCAATCTATCCATCTGACAAAGGACTAATATCCAGAATCTACAAGGCACTTAAACAAATTTACAAGAAATTAACAAACAACCCTATCAAAAAGTGGACGAAGGATATGAACAGACATTTCTCAAAAGAAGACGTTTATGCAGCCAACAAACATATGAAAAGAAGCTCATCATCACTGGTCATCAGAGAAATGCAAATCAAAACCACAATGAGATACCATCTCATGCCAGCTAGAATGGCCATCATTAAAAAGTCAGGAAACAACAGATGCTGGAGAGGATGTGGAGAAACAGGAACGCTTTTTCACTGTTGGTGGCAGTGTAAATTAGTTCAACCATTGTGGAAGACAGTGGGGCGATTCCTCAAGGACCTACAACCAGAAATACCGTTTGACCCAGCAATCCCATTATTGGGTATATACCCAAAGGATTATAAATCATTCTACTATAAAGACACATGCACACATATGTTTACTGCAGCACTGTTCACAGTAGCAAAGACTTGAAACCAACCCAAATGACCATTAACAATAGACTGGATAAAGAAAACGTGGCACTTATGTACCATGGAATACTATGCAGCCATAAAAATGGATGAGTTCACGTAATTTGCAGGGGCATGGATGAAGCTGAAAACCATCATTCTCAGCAAACTAACACAGGAACAGAAAACCGAACACCGCATGTTCTCATTCATAAGTGGGAACAATGAGAACACATGGACACAGGGAGGGAAACATCACACACCGCGGCCTGTTCAGGGGTGGGGGGCTAGGGGAGGGATAGCATTAGGAGAAATACCTAATGTAGATGATGGGTTGATGAGTGCAGTAAACCAGCATGGCCCGTGTATACCTATGTAACAAATCTGCACGTTCTGCACGTTTCCCATAGCTTAAAGTATAATAATAAAATAAAATAAAAGTATGGGGTTTCAATTTCTCCACATTCTTGCCAACATTTGTTATTGTCTGTTTTTTTGACAGACAAACCTAGTGGGTGTGAAGTGGTGTCCCATCGTGGGTTTGATTTGCATTGATGACTAATGATGAGTATTCTTTCATGTATATATTGGCCATTGTGGATCTGCTTTGGAGAAATGTCTTTTTTTTTTTAACTTTTATTTTAAGTTCAAGGGTACAAATGCAGGTTTGTTACATAGGTAAACTTATGTCATTGGAGCACAAATTATTTCATTACCCAGGTATTAATCCTAGTACCCATTAGTTATTTTTTCTGATCCTCTCTCCCTCCTCCCTCCCAATGTGTATTTTTCCCTCTATGTGTCCATGTGTTCTCATCATTTAGCTGCCACTTACAAGTAAGAACATGCAGTATTTGGTTTTCTCTTCCTCTGTAAGTTTGCTAAGGATAATGGCCTCCAGGTCCATCCATGTCCCTGTGAAGGACATGATCTTGTTCCTTTTTATGGATGCATAGTATTCCGTGGTGTATATGTACTACATTTTCTTTATCCAGTCTATCATTGATGGGCATTTAGGTTGATTCCATGTCTTTGCTATCATGAATAGTGCTGCAATGAACATACACATCCATATGTCTTTATAAAAGAATGATTTATATTTCTTTGGGTATATACCCAGTAATAGGATTGTTGGATCAAATGGTATTTTTCTCTTTAGATCTTTGGGGAATCACCACCTTGTCTCCCACAATGGCTGATCGAATGTACAATCCCACCAACATTATATAAGCATTCCTTTTTCTCCACAACCTTGCCAGAGTCAGTTATTTTTTGACTTTGTACTAATAGCCATTCTGACTGATGTGAAATTATATCTCATTGTGGTTTTGATTTGCATTTCTCAAGTGATTAGTGATGAGCTTTTTTTCATATGATTCTTAGCCACATGTATGTCTTCTTTTGAGGAGTGTCTGTTCATGTCCTTTGCCCACTTTTTAATGTATTTTTTTCTTGTAAATTTGTTGAAGTTTCTTACAGATGCTGGATATTAGACCTTTGTCAGATGCATAGTTTGAAAAAATGTTTTCCCATGCTGTAGGTTGTCTGTTTGCCCTGTTGATGGTTTCTTTTGCTGTGCAGAAGAAGCTCATTAGTTTAATTAGATCCCATTTGTCATTTTTGCATTTCTCAAAATTGCTTTTGGTATCTTCGTCATGAAATCTTTGCCTGTGCCTATGTCCTAAATGGTATTGCCTAGGTTGTCTCCCAGGGCTTTTATAATTTTAGGTTTTACATTTAAGTTTTTAATTCATCTTGAGAAACTGGACCCCTTTCTTTTACCATGTACAAAAATTAACTCAAGAAATATCTTTTTAAATTCTATGCCCATTTTCAAATTGGGTCCATTGTCTTTTCATTATTGAATTCTAAAAGTTCTTTATATACTCTGAATACTAGACTCTTATCAGGTATGTGATGTGTAAACATCTTTCCCCATTCAGTAAATTGTCTTTTTACTTTTGATAATGCCCTTTGAAACACAAAGTATTTTAATTCTGATGAAATGCAATTTATCTATTTTTTTCCTGGTTCTTTGTGCTTTTGGTATTATATTTTAAAAAGCATTGCCAAATCCAGGGTCATGAAGATTATGCCTGTCCTTTAAAGAGTTTTATAGTTTAACTTTTACATGTGGATATTTGATCCTGTTTGAATTAAATTTTATATATTGTGTAGTAAGATTTCAAATTCATTTTTTGTATGTGGATATCCTGTTGTCCAGACACCATTTGTTGAAAAGACTATTCTTTTTTCTTAAGTCAAATACATTTCTATTTATTATAAATTAACCAGTCCATGATATTCCACTATAGTAGCAAAAAATGTACAACACTACCTTAGGCACTGAATTTTAGAAACTTGGTCATTTCGTTATGTTAAAACTATATTAGTTGGGAAATATTATTTTAAACCCCACAAGAAATGTTGTTAATTGACAAGGCAGGTATATGTAAGCAAATGCATATGCTTTCTTATTTGATTATTTTTCTAATTTAGAAAGACAACTACCTAAATTCACTCTGCAGGTGTCTCTGATTACAAAAAATTGGGGAAAAATATGTTAAGAATCTACTATGTGAAAATTACTGTAAAAGCATGTAAGAGATACAGAGATATGTAAGACATAGGCTTCTCCTTTAGGAATAATACAAAATTATTTTATCAATAGCATATGAACACAAAACATAATTAAAATAAGGAACGCTGTATAAAATTATATTCATATATTGGGCCAGGCACAGTGGATCACACCTGTAATCCCAGCACTTTGGGAGGCTGAGGCGGGTGGATCACGAGGTCAGGAGTTTGAGACCAGCCTGGCCAATATGATGAAACCCCATCTTTACTAAAAATACAAAAATTAGCCAGGCATGGTGGCATGCCTGTAGTCTCAGCTACTATGGAGGCTGAGGCAGAAGAATCGCTTGAACCCGGGAGGCGGAGGTTGCAGTGAGCTGAGATCGTGCCACCGCACTCCAGCCTGGGCGACAGAGCAAGTCTCCGTCTCAAAAACAAAAAAAAAATTATATTCATATATTTATTTAGCACATAGTTACTGATCAGCTGCTTTTTCACATTGTGTAAGAATCCAATGGTGAACACTAACACTAAAGTTTATGCCTTTGTAGTCTTTACAGATTTGGGGATAATTAGATAGATAAGTACAAAATAATAGGACAAATGTAACAACTGACACAGAAAAAGATATAATTTTCCCTTGTCACAGTTCAAAGCTAAATTTATTCTTCATTTTAGATACTGTTTAGAATAAATAAGTTGGTTAGAATAAATAAAATATTGATAGGAAGAGAAAACAATTGAGGAAGGCAATTAGCCTTCTAGGAAAAGGTTTTCCTAGAAAAGTAATTCTATCCATGATTTGCATCAAATCTAAAGTGTCATATTTGTTTGCAGAGAGGATTACATTTCTTTAACATTATGAGATCAATTTCAAAAAGTGAGCAGTTTGGAACTAGATATGCTGAATTGAAATATTTGGACACTCCATATTTTTGCTAAATGACTTTAAAAATGCTGCTAAATGACTTTGAAATGCTGCTAAATATTTTTATTTGACAAGTCTCCATAATAAAGTAAGCCCCCTTGTCAACTTAGAAGGTCTAGCTGGACCTCTTAACAAGCTAATATTCAATGATTACATAGGTTTGACACCTGAATTTAATTTAAAATGCAAAAGTATTACATATGAAATGATTTACAATGCCATCTATTTTGTATAAAGTCATGTGTATTGAACTCCACTATCTCTCAGTCATTCTCTTATAGTTATGTACATTTATAATAATTATAAAATACATTTAAATTTCTGTAATTAAATTTATGAAATGAAGCCATTGAATTTTTGATATGGTTTGGCTCTGTCTCTACCCAAATCTCATCTTGAATTGTACTCCCATAATCCCCATGTGTTCTGGGAGGGACCCAGTAGGAGATTAATTTGAATAATGGGGGAGGTTTCCCACATACCATTCTTGTGGTAGTGAATAAGTCTCATGAGATCTGATGGTTTTATCGGGGGTTTCCACTTTTGTATCTTCCTCATTTCCTCCTGCCGCTGCCATGTAAGAAGTGCCTTTCACCTCCCGCCATGATTCTGAGGCCTCCCCAGCCATGTGGAACTCTAAGTCCAGTTAAACTTCATTTTTATCTCAGTCTCATGTATGTCTTTATCCTCAGTGTGAAAATGGACTAATACAGTAAATTGGTACCAGTAGAGTGGGGCGTTGCTGAAATGATACCTTAAAATGTAGAAGTGACTTTAGATCTGAGTATCAGGCAGAAGTTGGAACAGTTTGGAGGGCTCAGAAGAAGACAGGAAAATGTGGGAAAGCTTGAAACCTCCTAGAGAGTTGTTGAATGGCTTTGGAAAAAAAAATGCTGATAGTAATATAAACAATAGGGGCCAGGCAGAAGTGGTCTCAGATGTTGATGAGGAACTAGTTGGGAACGGGAGCAAAGGTGGCTCTTGGTACATTTTAGCAAAGAGACTGGCAGCATTTTGCCTCTGCCCTAGAGATTTGTGGAACTTTGAACTTGAGAGAGATGATTTAGGGTATCTGGTTGAAGAAACTTCTAAGCAGTAAAGCATTCAAAAGGTGATTTGGGTACTGTTAAGAGCATTCCATTTTAAAACAGAAACAGCATAAAAGTTCAGAAAATTTGAAACCTGACGATGCAGTAGGAAATAAAAACCCATTTCAAGGTGGCCGCAGAAATTTGCATAAGTAACAAGGAGCTGAATGTTAACCTGCAAGAAAATGGGGAAAATGTCTCCAGGGCATGTCATAAGTCTTCATGGCAGCCCCTCCCATCACAGACCTGGAAGCCTAAGGAAAAAAAAAATGGTTTCATAGGCCGGGCCCATGGTCCCCATGCTGTGTGCAGCCTTGGGACATGGTGCCCTGTGTCCCAGCCACTCCAGCCATTGCTAAAATGGGCCAAGGTACAACTCAGCCCCTGGTTTCAGAGGGTGCAAGCCTCAATCCTTGGCAGCTTCCATATGGTGTTGAGCCTGTGGGTACAGAAAAGTCAAGAATTGAGGTTTGGGAACCTCCACCTAGATTTCGGAAGTACAGAAACTCCTGCATGCCCAAGCGTTTCCTGCAAGGTTGGGGCCCTCATGGAGAACCTCTGCTAGGGCAGTATGGTAGGGGAATGTGGGGTTGGACCCCCACACAGATTCCCTACTGGGGCACTACCTAGTGGAGGTGTGAGAAGAGGGCCACAGTCCTCCAGATCCCAGAATGGTAGCACCAACAGCTTGCACCGTGTGCCTGAAAAACCGCAGACACTCAACACCAGCCTGTGAAAGCAGCCAGGAAGGGGGCTATACCCTGCAAAGCCACAGGGGCAGAGCTGCCCAAGACTATGGGAACCTACCTCTTGCATCAGCATGACCTGGATGTGAGACATGGGGTCAAAGGAGATCATTTTGGAGCTTTAGAATTTGACTGCCCTGCTGGATTTGGAACTTGCATAGGCCCTGTAACCCCCTTGTTGTGGCCAATTTCTCCCATTTGGAATGGCTGTATTTGCCCAATAACTGTACCCCCACTGTAGCTAGGAAGTAACTAGCTTGCTTTTGATTTTACAGGCTCATAGGTGGAAGGGACTTGCCTTGTCTCAGATGAGACTTTGGACTGTGGTCTTTTGGGTTAATGCTCAAATGAATTAAGACTTTGGGGGACTGTTGGGGAGGAATGATTGGTTCTGAAATGTGAGGACATGAGATTTGGAGGGGACAGGGGAGGAATGATATTGTTTGACTCTTTGTCCCCACCCAAGTCTCATCTTGAATTGTACTCCTATAATTCCCACATGTTGTGGGAGGGACCCAGTAGGAGATCATTTGAATCAGGGATGCAGTTTCCCCATACTGTTCTTGTGGTAGTGAATAAGTCTCACGAGATCTGATGGTTTTACCAGGGGTTTCCGCTTTTGTATGTTCCTCATTTTCTCTTGCTACTGCCATGTAAGAAGTGCCTTTCACGTCCTGTCATGATTCTGAGGCCGCCCCAGCCATATGCAACTCTAAGTCCAATTAAACCTCTTTTCTTCCCAGTCTCGGGTATGTCTTTATCAGACATGAAAATGGATTAATACAATTTTAAAATTAAACTGATAGATCTACTTATAAAGATTCTTACAATGTATTTTCTCATTGATTTTAGTAAAACAAAAACAGCTAAATAGTGTGTGTAAATGCATGTGTGTTTTTGATGTGCTAAAAGGGGAGCTTTGTGCAGTGGGAAAGAATAGAAGCAGTTCCTAAGCAAGGAGAAAAGCATGCCCATTAAAATGTACTTCACATTCTTATTGTATTAATCTATATGCTGGTTAGCTTATGGCATAGAATAAAATCATGCTATTATAAATCAAAGAGAAAAGCTCAATAACAGAACATTTCAGATATTATTTTACTTTTAATCTGATATATGATCTAGCATTTTCTTGAAATATATGTTGAACAAGTATTTGGATTTAGAAATATATGACAGTATTAATTTTGGAAAAATTTATTCAATGTAAAAAGGAAAGTTATTTATTTAGGTTCTTTTCATAGTTGTCTTCTGGCTTGTTACTAGATTATCTCAATTGCTTGAATATATTTTCATATTAATTATTTTTGATAAATCACATCTAAGGAACATAATCAAATTGCTAATCATTAGTGCAATAAAGTCGAATCTTTAGCTTTGTCTTTGCATATTTCACTTTCACAGCAATATTTATCTGTAACTAATGCAATTCCATAGACCTGATTATGGTGCAATTCCATACCCTGACTGGGGAGTTGCTCTAGGCTGGTGTATAATAATTTTCTACATTATTTGGATTCCAATTATGGCTATCATAAAAATAATTCAGGCTAAAGAAAACATCTTTCAAGTGAGGGCATTAATTTTTTTTATATTTTATACAAATTACTTATGGTTAAAGATTACTTTACTCACATGATGTCATATGAGAATATATAAGATGCAATTAATTACTCCTACTTCTTGGCTACTTCTATATCTGACAACCATCTGTTACTACTGCATAATATGGTATTATATTCTTTATATATTTGCTGTATTTCTCTATAGTAGATTATAAGCTCCTTGTGGGAGAAGTCTGGTCTTGTTGCTGTATCCACGGGCCTTGCTACAGTGCTTAGCATATGACAGCTATGACATCTATACCTGTGCTGAGTTGTCCCTGAAGATGTCACAAAGCAAATGACCTGTTTGGTTTATATCCATAGTCACTACTTTTGAAACCTTATCTGGTTATAATATACATCCTAATAGTGTTTTCATACTGGAATAAGCCTGGTAAATATCTGGAACTCAATCTAGACCCTGAGTCGTCTTTCTTCCATGGAGGTCTAAGGGGATAAAGTTTATTATGATATCTCAGTAAGACAACAACAAAGTAGGCTCAGGAGTCTTAGATTTAAATAAATTAGCAAGTCCATATAACAATGGATCCAAATCCATGGTTTGATCCTGGAACTTTTTTTCCTTTGTTCTTGAAACATATCCCAGGTACACACTGATTTAGATCCTTACCTCACACTCATCCTAAGGCCAGGATGGAAATGTCGGAGAATTCAGCGAAGATACAGAGTAGACACACTGTTACTCTAATGGGTTCACACACCTTGTTTTGAATTCATTTACATACTCAGTTATTTTGGTTTAGTAGTTAATATAGTTCTATTAACAACTAGTTACTTTTGATTATGCTTTTATCTTGGTAAACTGTGCATTAATACGAATTTAGATGATCACTTTTTACCTATGATTCTTATTTTTTGTTAGTAAAGAAAAAAATTTAAATGAAAGTACAGTTCAATATTTACTTGTTTACAGATCATAGCACTTAAATTCTAAGACAGTAATTTTTTTTTTCACTTCAGTGCCTTGTAAGTTGCTGCAGACTAGCTTCTAACTGGGTTCCATACCTGGAACAACGTTCTGGGGAGAGATATAAAGGCATGATATATCCCCAAAAAGAGACTGACAGTGACATACCTACTGTTAGTGGCAGCAGAAAACCAGAATGAGATCTCACTGAAAAAAATATATGATTGTATAATGTTATTGTTTTTTTAAGAATGGGGGAAACTTTTTTATTTGTATGTTAACTGAGTAGGGAAATGTACATACTATTTTCATGATAGTGTGATTTTTCTCACATTTAAGCAGGAATGCAATATAAAAATGTGAATTTCTTAATGCTCAGCCATGTGATAATATTTCTTTTTAGATTATCTATCTGTAAAACACACACATACATACATAACTGTCTGTATATCATAATTATATTTTTGTAAATATTAGAATGCTTTTCTAATACATTGAAGGCTTTTTGGGGCTAATTGCTTTGAAATATTTACATTTTCCACTATACAAGTTTTAAAATATTATTTACTTGTATTTTCTTAATATAAAATCTTTCTTTTCCACAAATCTGTGGGGAATATAAATCAATACATTTAAAAGAAAGCGTTAAAACTGAAGACCTCACTTAATTAGAAATGTCATAAATATATGCAAAAATGGACTATGTATACTATAAGAGGACTGTAGTTTAATATTTTTATCCAAATATGTTTAAAAACTTCAAGCATTTGTTACAGTTCATGTTTTCTGTGTGAAACGTGTAGTTAATGTTCTTTATAAAGAGTGACATAAGAGAAAAATAAGGATCCCATGGCCAGTAAGAAAGAAATCTAGAAAATGAAATTTTGAGTACTTCCTTTCCCATATACAATCTTCCTTCCTTGGGTCATTCGGAACAAAACTAGGACCCATTCAATTTCTATTGTGTTTCACAAAATTAAGAGTTGTTCATTATACCCTCTGAAATACATGTTTAATTTCAAATAGCATATGGACCGAAACATTAATGAGAAAATGGCTTTAATCAAATCTAGCATTTTATGATTGTGATACCCAGCTGATAGAGTGATTTTGCCTTATATGAATAAGTTATTACTTACAGGTGATAACTTACTTACATACTATTAGAAGATAAACTCGTCAAACTTGCCAAGAATGAGAAAAGCCAAATTAGAAGTCCCATGTCCTAGTTTCCTCACAAAGGATAATTAAATATATTACTAAGAGCTTTACATATTTATTATATACTGTTGACAACTGGTTTAAGCATCACAGCCTATGATGATAAACACTGCCTACATATATAAAGAACTTTTCATCAATTCTTAAGGTTCTTAAAATAGGCTTCAGGGAATGTAAAAAACAGAAATTATATGGAATATTTTCTGTGTGTACTTCTACATGCATTTTTCTAGGGAGAGAGTCCATAGTTTTCATCAGCATATCAAAGAAATCTGTGACCTAAAGACGTTTAAGAACCACATACACTACTGCTGACATTTTGTGCTTGGCAAATGAGTGACAATAGAAGGAATAATTTTTCTTAAATATTTTAAATTGTTTTCTCTTTCTTGTAATTGAAGATGAAAGGAGTAAGAAATTAAGGCATTTCTTTAATTTATACTGGTAATTTATTTAGGGGGGAGGGGACATGAAAGTACGTAAATAGGTAGGCCTCTAACTGAATCACCTCAGTAAGTTATGTGCATACGTCTAAGATGAAAGTGTCTGACATTCTGAGGGTTTCCCTTGAAGGCAGGTCAAATGCTATTAGTAAACTTCAACAGATTGTTAATTCCTTAGATACAAGATTCTAAAAAATAATATTTGAAAACAGATGGCTAACTAGAGGTTAGAAATACATTTCCTTAATTTTAATCCACATTATATTACATGCATTCTACCACTACATTTTGGTACTATTTAAGGTGTCCAATTTTTTATAGGTGACTTTTGCAATTCAGGGAGGATTTGGGCATTTTATTTCATTTTTTAAAATTCATTTTATTTATGTATTTATTTTTGAGAGGGAGTCTCGCTCTGCCCCTCAGGCTGGAGTGCGGTGGCGCGATCTCGGCTCACTGCAACCTCCGCCTCCCAGGTTCAAATGATTCTTCTGCCTCAGCCTCCTGAGGAGCTGGGACTACAGGCACGTGCCACCATGCCCGGCTAATTTTTTGTATTTTTAGTAGAGATGGGGTTTCACCATGTTAGCCAGGATGGTCTCGATCTCCTGACGTCATGATCTGCCCGCATCGGCCTCCCAAAGTGCTGGGATTACAGGCATGAGCCACTGTGCCTGGCTGATTTTAAATGAAAGAATATCTAATTGGGAGAAGTGTGAAAGGAAAGAAATCTTTTTCAAAAGCTGACCACAAAGAGTAGTTAAAAGTTTTTGTCACTATCTTCACAAATGTGTAAAGCACAAATCTTAACATAGTGCTTGGCATATTGTAGGGTGTTCAATAATAGTTTTTATTATTATTACCCAGATTCAACAGTGGCAAGAAACAGCATTCTACACAAGGGGAAACAGTTCCATCAAATCCTACTTACTTTAATGCAAAGTAATTTATGGAGACAATTTATGGTATTGCATTATAAACCATTAGTGAAAACTGTTTTTCACAGTTGAATGAAATAAAAATCACTATATCTCAACTATATTGTTTAATGTAGCTTATTTATTTTTTAAAAATAAACTTTTGAACTGTTTTTTTTCTATTGTGGTTACATTCCTTCCCCAGTAAATATATTTTAGCAACATGTAATCAATTACCTAAAGTATAAGTAAGAAACTCGATAAGTATCTGGATTTTTTTTACCTGACTTGTCATCCCCTCCCTCTTAAAAAATAATTCATTTAGTATAAACACACAATCAAATGAATCTACTCAAAGTGTCTTTAATGATTTCCACCACTGGCATTACATCCTGTACGCTTTTGAGGTGAATTTCTGGAGACCTGACGCACCTCTCAAACCCTCGCTAACTAGAAAATATTCCAGTTCAGCCATTTGGTATTCCACCCTCTTCAGGTTTGCCAATAGTCGCTTCTGCATGTTTTTCGAGTGTGAGAAATTATTTAAAATATCTCGAGAGAGGTTGTTGAATAAAAGATCGTTGTCTGTATTGCTGCTAATTAACCCAGAAAAGCGTCTTAGTAGTGCAAAAGCAGTTGAAACTGATGACATTTCGCCATTGTTTCCCTGTAAAGGAAGGAAATTATACATCTGTAGTTTATCAAATTAAGCAATTTCCAAACTACCGAAAAACAACTTGTTTAATCTTGGTTACCAAAATAAACTGATTTCCCCTAATATGTAGAGATCAAAAATGTATTGAATTACTACATTAATTCAAAAATATATTCTTCCAAAACCAGACTGAGAAAAAAAATATATGAAAATACCCGTTAGTGCCAAAGTTTCATATCCTTCCTTACATTTCCTGAGCAGCCCAGTAGGTAAACATATGAACCCTGTCTTTGACTCTTATCTAAAAGCACCTCACTAGTGACTTTAACACCAGAAAATCCACACTTACACTCGAATTATTTGTGAATGCCCAGAAAGCACCCTTAAAATAAAGATGGCGACATTAGCAAACAGACACGTTGGGGAGGAGAAGCAAGAGAAGAAAGAGAGAAGGTAAGATTATCTTAAAGTGGGGAGACGGTGGTGGGGAATGGGCACTGACAACTGCACTTTGCTCTCCAATGAGTGAAAAGCTGACCATATTACTTAGGGACTTGGGGCTTTTTAGAAGAGACCACAACTGTCGAATCACTGGTCAGAATACGGGAATTGCGGGAGTGAGGGGGTAAAAGTCTGGGGCTCCTTTGAGCGAAAGAGGAATGAGATGATCTCCCCTTACCTCTCATTTTACTGTATTTTACTCTCTTACATACACACTCCCCAGTCCATATACTTATCTAGCTTCATTTAATTCAAATCTCCCTTACATTCACCGTTACCTGAAAGCGATATTTCCAGAAGACAATCAAGGCACACAGAATGCCGCTCGCTAGGAGTAAAAAGATGTTGATGTTTCCTCTTAGGCCTCTTCTCCCTTTTCGGGACGGACCCCCTCAGCTGGTAGTTGGGAAGCAGTAGGCCCCTAGTCAGCCTGTTTTGGGAAACTTCAGGCCAGACTGCCATGTGTCTTGCATCGCCTGGTGCAACTGGGATGTTCTGGGGTTGTCCCGCTTTATATACTGCTGAGAGCGCGCGCCCTCACAGTTGGGCACGCACGCGGAGATGCTGCGCCACAATAAGATGACGTAAAAACCGGTCCTGCCGGAAACCAGGCGGCACTTAGTAACCGCCCGCCTGGTTAGTGTCAGGTCCTTAGAGAGGAGAGTGAAAGACAGTGAGGAAGTTAGGGATTTCTGGGAAGCTGAAACGTGGTGGAAGTATAGCCTCCAAATGGATTGGTTAAATAGAGTATTTTAAAACTGCTCCTACTTAAAAAAAAATATGTCTTTGCTGCAGCCACTCCTTTATTCACTTCAAAAACAAGACAGAAACGCACTGTAAAAAGTAGTTACCCACAAATTATTTTTGCCAGAAACTACCTACTCCACACTCACATAGCTATTTTAGAATTTACTCCAACCCTAGTCACATTGGAATAATTACATACATTTGTGTCATTATACAGTTTAAGAAATAATTTTGGGGACATTTTCACATATAAGCCTCACAACAAATTTGCACTAAAGGTATCTTTTTTTTTTTAATTTCATGTTTATACCATGACATTTATTTTTATTTTATTTTTTATTTCTTAATCAACTTTTATTTTAAGTTCTGGGATACATGTGCAGGATGTGCAGGATTGTTACATAGGTGAACGTGTGCCATGGTTGTTTCCTGCACAGATCAACCCATCACCCAGATATTAAGCCCAGCACCCATTAAGCTGTTCTTCCTGATGCTCTCCCTTTCCACCCATCCCACCCCCGCCCCCCACAGGCCGGTGTGTTTTGTTACCCCCTGCCATGTGTCCATGTGTTCTCATCATTCAGCTCACACTTATAAGTGAGAACATGTGGTGTTTGGTTCTTCAGAGCCACACACAGGTATTTTTACTACTGTGTCTAATTTTGCAAATGTGGAAACAGATGCAGGTTTTAAACTCATTTGAAACTATTTAGCAAAAGCAGGACTTGAATCCATGGAGTTTGAGCTCTGAGATAAACTCCCCCATTCCCATCCTTATTCACATGACCTCCACCTCCACCCTGATTTGTGAGCATCAGGTATTTAATACTCTCCAACGAAAGAATTGAACAGTGTAGTTGGATTTGTATTGATGGGAGGTAACACATACAGGAATCCTTGCACTAGACAAGTTAGAAATGTTCAAGAAATTCAGTTAAATGTAGGCTATAGATACAGGAGTGGGACAGAGAAATGCTGGAAAGGGAAGGGCATGGTCCCTGGCTAGGGCTCCCTACCCTGGGCCTGTGCCCACAGACCTAGGTGAGAACAGGCATTTCTGTTTCCCTGCCCAAATGTTGCATTTGCAAAGACAACCCTGGCCTGCCATGTCCCCAAGCTGTGCCTATAAAAAACTGGAGACCCTAGCAGGCACAGACACAAGTGGCTGGATGTCCAGAGGAATACACCAGCAGAACACACAAGAGGCTGGACGTTGAGAGGATGTCGAGGGGTGAGAGCACACTGATAGGCACGGGCAAGCTGGCAGGCCATTGACTGGTGGAAAGATGCATAGGGGTGATTGGAGGGGACCCCAGCCACTCAGTGGCCCAACTTCAGGGGAAATCCACCTTTCCACTTCATCTCCCTTATGGCTCCACCATCTGCCAAAAACTACTTCCACTCAATAAAACCTTGCGCTCGTTCTCCAAGCCCATGTGGGATCCAATTTTTCTGGTACCTGAAGTCAAGAACTCTGGATATAGGAAACTCTCTGTCCTTGCAATAAGGCAGAAGGTCTAATTGAGCTGTTTAACACAAGCCACCTATAGACACCAAAACTAAAAGAGGATATGGTAACACACACTCTCTGCAGCCTCAGGAGCTGTAAACATTAACCCCTAGAGGCTCTCATGAAGTCGAGCCCCACAACCTGCCCTTCTGCCTGGTCCGCCTAGGGCTTTTGTGCAGCGAGACACTGAAGAAGCCAGCCACACCTCCATCACACACTCTGTGATGCAGACAAGGGAACTTTCCTCAATTCACTATGACACTAACCTAAGACCCAGAATTTAAAAACAATAGTCACCGTAATCTCAAGGTGAGCGTCCAACTGCAACGCAGTAACTCTGCTAGGTACACAAACCTCATCTTCATATAGATGGGAAGGGGAGGAATTCTATTTTTTATTTTTTTATATCACACCATTTCCTAGCTATGAGTACAAAGCTTAACATTTTATTGATTCAGTTAATATTTATTAAACACTTACATACTAGACACTGTGTTGTATTTTAGGAATCTGATTAGGAGCAAAAATAAAGTCTTTGTCCACCTGGAATGTGCACTCTGGTGTAAGAGACAGATATTAATCAAATACAGAAATGCATGTGAAAGTGCTGAGATAAATGATAGCAAGGAGTACATAGTGGTGTGGGAGCTCATAGTAGGATATGGGATCTAAAGGGGAGTGAAGTACCTGGCTTTATGGCTTACTCAATGGTATGGATAGAAAATGACCAAGTGTGGAGTTACTGATCATTAATTTAGTCTTGGACACATCAAGTTTGAGGTGACTTTGAGGCATGAAATAAATGTTCCCATGGAGATAAGTGAAGACATAAATCTGTGAGTCATCTGCATGTAAATGATAATTGAAACTCTAGATATAAAAGAAATTTCTTCATGTCAGTGTAGGGAGTACAAACGAAGAGAAGTTTGAATGGAGCCTTGAAAGATTTTAATACTGAATGGCTGGGCAATAACACTTCTATTAGTATGTGATTGTGGGCTTCCTGACATCTAAATTTCCTGTTTCATTGAATAAAATTTAGGGAAGCCCATTAACCTTATCTCTAACAATAGGATTGTGAATTTTGATCCTACTGGTATTTAAGTGAAAACTTCAGAGATCTTGGAAAATATTCTCATTAAACGCATTAAAGTACTGTTGCTAATCATTGATTTTTTTATTTTATTTTTAATTGTTTTATATATATATATATAACATAGAATTTAACATTTTATTCAATTTTAAGTGTACAGTTTTGTGGTAATAGGTACATTCACATGGTTGTGCAACCATCACAATAATCCATTGCCAGAGCTTTTTCATCTTCCCCAACTGAAACTTTATATTTATGAAACATTAACTTCCCATTTTCCTCTTTCCCTACTTCTTGGCAACCACCATTCTATTTTCTGTCTTTATTAATTTGACTACATTGGATAGCTCATACAAGTTGAATTATGCAATATTTGTCCTGTTATGAATGGCTTATTTCAATGAGCATAATATACTCAAAGTTCATCCATATTGTAGCATGCATCACAATTTCCTTTCTTTCATGAAGGGTAGGCTGAATAATATTCCACTGCATGTGTATACCATGTTTGGCTCATCCATTCTTCTGTTGACAAACTCTTGTGTTGTTTTCATGTTTTAGTATTATAAATAATGCTGCTTTGAACATGGATGTACAAATGTATCTTCAAGATCCTGCTTTTAATTTCTTTGGGTATATACCCAGAAGTGGAATTGCTGGATAATACGGTAATTCTATTTTTAGTTTTTTCAGGAACTTCATAGTGTTTTCCATAGCAGCTATACCATTTTATATTTCCACAAACAGTGCACAAGGTTTCGAATATCTCCTTATCCTCCTCAACACGTGTTATTTTCTATTTTCTTGCTTTTGTTTGTATAGTAGCCATCCTAATGTTTATGAAGGGTCTTTCATTGTGACTTTGATTTGCATTTATGATTAGTGATGGATGTTCAGTGTCATGTCATGTGCTTATATCTTCTTTGAAGAAACCTCTACTGAAGTCCTCTGCCCGGTTTTTAATTTGTTAGTTTGTTTTCTGTTGTTGAGTTGTAGAAGTTCTTTATATATTCTGGATACCAATCTCTTATTAGATATATGACTTGTAAGTATTTTCTTTGTTCCTGTGTGTTGCTTTTTCACTCTTTTAATAGTGTCCCTTAATGCACAAAAGCTTATAATTTAAATGAAGTCCACTTTACCTACTTTTTCTTTTGTCATCTGTAATTTTGTTGTCATATCCAGGAAATCACCGCCAAATCTAAAATCATGAAGCTTTTCTTAAATGTTTCCCCTAAGAATATTTTAGTCTTACCCCTTAAGTTTAGTTTCTTGATCACTTTTGAGTTAATTTTTGTACATAGTGTAAATGGTCCAACTTTATTATTTGGCCTGTGGAGATCCAGTTTTCCCAGCACCATTTATGGAAAAGACTAATTATTCCTCATTGAATAGTCTGGGCACCCTTGATGAAAATCAATTGACCACGTATTCAAGGGTTTATTTCTGTGATCTCTGTTCTGTTTCATTACTTCATGTGTGTCTTTATGTTAGTAGCAAATTGTTTTGACTACCATAGTGTTTGGTAAGTTTTGAAATCAACAAATGTGAGTCCTCTAACTTTATTCTTATTTCTCAGGATAGTTTTGGCAACTTGATTTCTCTTGTGTTTCCAAATACATTTTAGGATGGATTTTGATTTTTCTGCAAAAAACGTCTTTGGGATGTTTCCATAGGGTTTGCATTGACTCTGTAGATCCCTTTGGGTAATATTGACATTTTGAGATTATTAAGCCTTTCACTCCAATATTACAGTATATATTTTTATTTATTTGTATCTTCTTTAAATTATTTCAGCAGCATTTTGTCGTTTTTAGTGTACAATATTTTGCCTCCTTCGTTAAGTTCATTTCTGTGTTTTACTCTTTTTGAGACTATTGAAAATGGACTTGTTTTCTAAATTTTCTTTTCAGATTTCATTGTTAGTGGACAGAAATGCAAGTGATTTTTGAGTGTGGATTTTACATCCTACAACTTTGCTGAATCTTCTTATTAGTTCTAATTGTGAGTGTGTGTTGATGTGTATGTGTGTGTGTGTATGTGTGTTTGTGTGTAATGTTTAGGGCTTACTAAATATAAGACTATGTTACTTGCAAACAAAGATCATTTTACTTCTTCCTTTTCTATTTGGAGACCTTTTGTTTATTTTTTAATCACTCTGGTTAGGACTTTGAGTACCAGGTTAAGTAGAAGTGGCAAAAGAGGGTATCATTGCCCTGTTCCATCACTTAGAAGAAAAGCTTTCAGCCTTTTACCATTGAGAAATTTCAATTTTTAGTTTGTTGAGTGTTTTTATCTTGAAGGCTGTTGAATTTTGTCAAATATTTTTCTCCATCAATTGAGATGATCATGTGCTTATTTCCTTTTTATTCTGTTAATGTGATGTATTATGCTGATTGATTTTTATACATTGAACTATCCTTTCTTTCCAGGAATAAATCCTAGTTGGTCATGGTGTATAATTTTTTAAATATTCTGTTCCCTTCAGTTTGCTATCATTTAAAAATATACAATTTTAGAGAAGCTTCAGACTCACAGAAAAAAATTGAACAGAAAGTACAGATATTTACCATATGCCTCCAGCCCTCACAGATGCATTGCCTCCCAGATATTCAACATCTCATGACCAGAATGGTAAATTTGTCACAACTGATGAACCTAAATTAATAACTGTTTATAACACAGAATCCATAGTATACATTAGGATTCACTTGAGTGTTTTACATTCTATGGGTTTGGCAAATTTATATGTATCCACCATTATAGTATTGTACAAAGTGGATTCACTAAAAATCCTGTTGTACTCCACCTATTTATACCTACCTGACCTCAACTCCTGTAAATCACTGATCATATTACTGTATCCATAGTTTTGCCTTTTCCAGAATGTTATATAGTTGGAATCATACAATGTATAGCATTTTCTGAATGGCTCCTTTTACTTAGTAATATGCAGGTAGGTGTCCTCCATGACTTTACATGGATTCATAGCTCATTTCTTTTTAGTCCTGCAAAATATTCCGGTGTCTGGATATACAAGAGTTTATCTATTAACCTACTCAAAGACATCTTGCTTGCTTCCAAGTATTGGCAATTATGAAAAAAGCTGCTATAACCATTCATGTGCAGGTTTGTGTGTGGACATAAGTTTTTAACTCTTTTGAGTAAATATCAAGGAATATGACATTATATGGTAAAGGTAGATTTAGTTTTGTATGAAACAACCATCTTCCAAAGTGACTATAACATTTTGCTTTCCACCAGCACTAAGTGAGAGTTCCTGTTGCTTCTACATTCTTGCCGACATTTGGTGTCAGTGCTCTGGATTTTAGCAATCCTAATAGATGTATAGTAATATGTCATTCCTGCTTTAATTTGGATTTCTCAGGTGATATCTGATTCTGGGCATATTTTTGTATGCCTCTTTGCCATCTGTATATTTCTTTGGTGAGGTGTCAGTTAAGGTTTTTGTCTCATTTAAAAATTAGGCTTTTTGTTTTCTTATTATTGAGTTTTAATAGTTCTTAGTGTATTTTAGATAGCAGTCCATTATCAGATAATGTTTGAAAATATTTCTCCTATCTTTGGCTTATCTTTTTATTGCCCTGACTGTGTCTTTCATAGAGGAGAAAATTTTAATTTGAATGAAATCCACCTTATCCCCTTTTTTCATGGACTGTGCCTTTGGTGTTGCATCTAAGTTGTCATCACCAAACCCAAGGTCATCCAGATTTTCTCTTATCTGCTATGAGTTATATATTTTTCCGTTTTACATTTAGATCTGTGATTCATTCTGAGCTCATTTTTATGAAGGTTTTAAGGTCTGTCTGTGGATTTATTTTGTGTACATGGATGCCCAGTTATTTCAGCACCATTAATTGAAAGACTATGTTTGCTCCATTTTATCGACCTTATTCCTTTGTCAAAGATCAGTCAACTATATATATCTTGGTCTGTTTCTGGTCTCTGTATTCTGTTTCATTTATCTATTTGTCTATCCATGTTATTGAGATGAGATCTTGCTATGTTGCCTAGGCTGGACTTAAACTTCTGGGCTCAAGAAATACTCCCCACTGAGCTTCTGAAATAACTGGCACTACAGACATGCACTGCCATGACAGTGCCAGACTTATCTGTCTACTCTTCTTGCCAATATCACACTGTCTTGATTACTGTAACTGTATAGTAAGTTTTGAAGAAGGGTAGCGTCAGTCCTCCAACATTGTGATTTTCATTCAATAATACTGTTGTCTATTCTATGTCTTTTACCTCCTCATACAAACTTAATAATCAATTTATTGATGTCCACAAATTCATGTTCTGAGATTTTTGTCGGGATTTCTCTGAAACTATCAATCTGAGAAGAACTGACATTTTGACAATATTGACTCTTTCTATCTATGAACATAAAATATCTATTTAGGTTTATTTGTTTCATTCAAGGTTTATAATTAACTTTACATATATATCTGGTATTTTTTTAAGATTTACACCTGTTTTTTTTTTGTTCCTAATGTAATATAATTTATATTAATATAATCATTTATATATGATATAATTTATAATTATGTATTCCTAATATAATTTTTTAAATTTCAAATTTCAATTGCTCAATGCTGGTATATAGAAAGCAGTTGACTTTCACATATTAACCTTATATCCTGCAACCCTACTGTAGTTTCTTATTAGTTCTAGAAGGGTTTATTTTGGGAGTTGTTTGAGATATTTTACATAGATGATCATGTCCTCTGTGAATAAAGACAGTTTATTTCTTCCTATCCAATGTGTATACTCTTTATTTTTTTCTTGTCTTATTGTGCTATCTAGGACTTCCCATACAATGCTCAGAACCAGTAGTGAGAGCTGACACTCTTGACTTGTCCTTTTTGTAAAACATTCTTTAATTTTAAATTTTTGTGGGTACATGCCGGGTATATATATTTATGGGATAGGTGAGATGTTTTGATATAGCCATGCAAGGTGTGCTAATTGCATCATGGAAGATGAGGTATCCATCTTTCCAAGCATTTATCTTTTGTATTACTGACAATCCAATTGTAGTCTTTTAGTCATCTATTTATTTTTTATTTTTTTTGAATTATAATTAAATTATTATTGATGATACTTACTCTGTTTTGCTACTAAATATGAGACATCTTTTATTCATTCTATTTTTTTTTGTACCTATTAACCATCCTCAGTTTTCTACCACCACCTTGCTCGCTTCCATTCCCAGCCTCTGGTAACCTTCCTCCTACACTCTATGTTTATAAATTCAATTGTTTTGACTTTTAGATCCCACAAATAATTGACAACATACAATATTTGTCTTTTTCTTCCTCACTTATTTTGCTTAAACATAATGATCTCCAGTTCCATCCATGTTGTTGCAAATGACAGGATCTCATTCTTTTTTATGGCTAAATAGTACTCCATTGCGTATCTGTACCACATTTTCTTTATCAATTCAACTGTTGAAAAACACTTAGGTCGCTTCCAAATCCTGACTATTTGCAACAAACATGGGAGTGCAGACATCTCTTTTATATACTGACTTCTTTTGAGTATATGTCCAGCACTGGGATTGTTGGAGTATATGCTAGCTCTCTTTTCATTTTTGTGAGGAAAGTCAAAAGTGGTTGTACTAATTTCCATTCCATCTAACAGTGTACAATGTTTCCCTTTTCTCCATGTTCTTGCCAGAATTTGTTATTGCCTGTCTTTGTATATAAGCCATTTTAACTGAGGTGAGATGATATTTTATTGTAGTTTTGATTTACATTTCTCTGATGATCAATGATGTTGAGCTCCTTTCCATATGCCTATTTACCATTTGTATGTCTTCTTCTGAGAAATGCCTATTCAAATCCTCTGCTCTTTTTTTATTGTATTATTGGATTTATTCCTATAAAGTTGTTTGAGATCTTTATATGTTTTGGTTGTTAATCCCTTGTCAGATAGATAGTTCAGAAATATTTTCTTCCTTTCTGTGGGTTGACTCTTCACTTTGTTGATTGTTTCCTTTGCTTTACACAAGCTGTTTAGCTTGATGTGATTCCATTTGTTCAGGTCTACTTCTGTTTTCTGTGCTCAATAAACTTTTGCCTAGAACAATGTCCTGGAGGCTTTCCCCAAATTTTGTAGTAGCTTCATAGTGTGAGGTCTTAGATTTAAGTCTTTAATCCATTTTGACTTGATTTTTGTATCTGATGAGAGATAAGGGTCTAGTTTTCTTCTCCTGCATATGGATATCCAGTTTTCCCAGCACCATTTATTGAAAAGACTGTCCTTTCCTCAGTATATGTTTTTAGCATCTTTCTCAAAAATAGGTTAACTGTAGCTGTGTGGATTTCTTTCAGCTTCTCTGTTCTGTTTCATTGGTCTGTGTCTGTTTTTATGCCAGTAACATGCTGTTTTGGTTACTATAGCTCTGTAGTATAATTTAAAGTGAGGTAATGCAATTCCTCTAGTTTTTGTTGTTGTTGTTTAGAATAGCTTTGGCAATTCTGAATCTCTTGTGGTTCTACATAAATTTCAGGACTGTTTTCTTTCCATTTCTGTGAAGAATGACATTGGTATTTAGATAAGGATTACATTGAATATGTATATTGCTTTGGGTGGTATGGACATTTTAACAATATTGATTCTTCCAATCTATGAACAAAGAATTTCCATTTTTACGGTGTCCTCTTCAATTTCTTTTATGAGTGTTTTATAGTTTTTATTATGGGGATATTTTATGTACTTTGCTTAAATTAAATCATAGGTATTTAATTATATTTTGTGGCTATTGAAAATGAAATTACTCTTTAAAATTTATTTTTCACATTGTTCATTGTTGGCATGTTGAAATGCTACTGATTTTTTATGTTGATTTTGTATCCTGCAACCATAGTGAATTTGTTTATCAGTTCTAATAGTTTTTTGTAGTCTCTGGGTTTTTCTAAATATAAAATTATATCACCCGCAAACAAGAATACTTTTACTTCTTCCATTCTAATTTCTATGCCATTTATTTCCTTCTCCTGTTTGATTGCTCTAGCTAAGATTTCCAATACTGTGTTGAATAGCAGTGGTGAAAATGGGCATCCTTGCTGTGTTCCAGACCTTAGAAAAAAGGATTTCACTTTTTCTCCATCCAGTATGATGCTAGCTGTGGTTATGCCATATATGGCTTTTATTATGTTGAGGTATGTTCCTTCTATAACTAGATTTTTGACAGTTTTTATCAAAAAGAGATGTTGAATTTTATAAAATGCCTTTTCAGCATCCATTGATATAATTGTATGACTTTTATTCTTCATTTTATTGATCTATCACATTGATTGATTTGTGTACGTTGAACCATCCTTGCATCCCAGTAATAAATCCTACTTGGTCATGATGAATGTTCCTTTAAATGTATGGTTGAATTTGATATGTTAGTATCTTGTTTAAGATGTTTGCATCAATATTTATCTGAGGTATTAGACTGTGGTTTTCTTTTTTTGTCTTTGTCTGGTTTTGATATCAGGGTAATACTGGCCACATAAAATAAATTTGGAAGATTTTTCTCCTCCTCTATTTTTTGGAATAGCTTGAGTAGGATTGGCATTAGTTCTTCTTTAAATACTTTGTAGAATTCAGCAGGAAAGCCATTGAGTCTCAGGCTTTTCTTTACTGGCTTTTTTTTTTTTTTTTTTTTTTTTTTTAGCTTGGAACTCATTACTTGTTATTTGTCTCTTCAGGTTTTGGATTTCTCCCTTGTTCCATAATGGTAGGTTGTATGTGTCTAAGAGTTTGTCCATTTTCCATAGAAATTCCAATTTATTGCATATAGTTGCTCATAGTAGCTGCTAAAGATTTTTTGAATTTCTGCAGCATCAGTTGTAATGTCTCCTTTTGGATGTCTGATTTTATTCATTTGGATCTTCTCTCTCTTTTTTTAGTATGGCTAAAGGTTTGTCTACTTTGTTTAACTTTTCAAAAAAAGAAAATAATTTTTAGTAACATTGATCATTTGTATTATTTTCTTCATTTCAATTTCATTTGCTTCTACTCTGATCATTATTTCTTTTCTTCTATTAATTTTCAGTTTCGTTTGATCTTGCTTCTCTAGTTCTTTAAGATGCATTGTTAGATTGTTTATTTGAAGTTTTTCCTTTTTTCTCATGGACATACTTATAGCTATAAGCTTCTCTCCTAGTACTGGTTTTGCTCCATCTCATAGGTTTTGGTATATTGTGTTTCTATCATCATTTGTTTCAAGAATTGTTTTCAACTTCTTTCTTAATTTTTCACTTACCCACTGGTAATTCAAGAGTATATTGCTTAATTTCCATGTATTTGTATAGTTTTCAAACTTCCTCGTTATCAATTTCTAGTTGTATTTTACTGTAGTCAGAGAGGATGCTTGATATTATATCAGTGTTTTGAATGTTTTAAGACTTGTTTGTGACCTAACATAAATATGCCTGAGAATGATTCATGTGCTGAGGAAAATAATATCTATTCTGTAGTTCCTGGATAAAATTTTCTGCAAATAACTATCAGATCCATTTGCTCTATAATGCAGATTAAGTCCAATGTTTCTTTGTTGATTTTCTGTCTGGAAAATCTGTCTAATGCTGAAAGTGGGGTGTTGAAGTCTCTAGCTATTAGTGTATAGAGTCCTATCTCTCTCTTTAGCTCTAACAATGTTTGCTTTATATAACTGGATCTTCCAGTATTGGGTGCATGTATATTTAAAATTGTTATATCTTCTGCTGCATTGGCACCTTTATCACTATATAGTGACTTTCTTTGTGTCTTCTTACAATTTTTGTCTTGAAATCTATTTTGTATGAGAAAAGTATAGCTACTGCTGCTCTTTTTGGTTTCCGTTTGCTTGGAATAACATTTCTCATCTTTTTATTTTTATTCTATATGTGTGTTTATAGGTAACGTGTTTCTTGTAGGCAACAGATCAAGATGGTCTTTTTTTTTTTTTTTCATCCATTCAGCCACTCTGTGTCTTTTGATTGGAGAGCTTAGTCCATTTACATTCAATATTATTATTGGTGTGAAAGGACTTACTTCTTCCATTTTGTTAGTTGTTTTCTGGTTGTTTTGTGGTCTTCTCTTTCTTCTTGTTTTCTTCCTGTCTTCCTTCAGGGAAGGTGATTTACTCTGATGATACAATTTAGTTTCTTGCTTTTTATTTTTTTAATATTTGTTGTATTTTGTTGGTTTAAAGTTACCACAAGGCTTGTAAATTCTATCTTGCAACCCATTAATTTAAGGGGATAACAACACTTTTAGCATAAACAAACACACAAGCTAAAAAATATAGTGAAAATTAAACACTGTATCTTTGTACCCCACTGTTTAATTTTTGTTGTTTCTATTTGTATCTTATTGTACTCTATGTCTTCAAAAGTTGTTGTAGGTATTATTTTTGATTGGTTTATTATTTAGTCTTTCTACTTAGGATAGCAGTAGTTTGCACACCACAATAACAATGATATAATATTCTGTGTTTTTCTTTGTACTTAATATTAACAGTGAATTTTGTACCTTCATGTAATTGGTGATCTCTTATTAACATTCATTTTTTTATTAAAGTCATGAGGTCATGTTTTCCTGGGTTATCTTGATACTTATAGATGTTTTTCTGTTTCTGGGCATTGAATAATTACGTATTATTGTAGTCTTCTCAGTGTGTGCTTGTTCGTACCTGTCCTTCTAAATGGCTTTCCTGATATTTAAAAGGGCTTGGATTTTGTAATCTTAGCTGCATCTGTTTTAGGGAGCACCCCAAGGCTAGTAATACTGTGGTTCTTGTAGACTGATATAGGTACTGTATTTATGGTCTTGGACAAGATCCAGAGGAATTTTCTGAATAACCAGACACAGACTCATATTCATTTTCCTTACTAGCCCACATAAATGGAGTCTCTCTCTCTCTCTCTGTTCTGAGATCCCTGAACCTGGGGGTGGAGTAACACAAGTACCCCTGTGGCTGCCACCACTATGGCTGTTCTTGGTCAGACCTAAAGCCAGCATAGCACTGGTTTTCACACAAGGCCTGATGTAACCACTACCTGACTACCTCCTATGTTTACTCAATGCACTGGTGCTCTACGATTAGCAGGTGGCAAAGCCAGCCAGACCTGTGTCCTTCCCTTCAGGGTAGCAAGCTCCCCCTGGCCCTGGGCTGTTCAAGAGATGCTGTCTTCGAACCAGGGTCTAGAATCAAAAACTTTAGAAGTCTACAATTTATTATACTGTACTGTGGCTGAGCCTGCATTCAAATCAGTAGATGCAGACTTTCACACTCCTCCCTCCCCTGTCCAAAGGCAGAAGAGCCTCTACCCATAGCCAAAGCCCCCCTGCCCCGCCGCCCCCATAGGCCCATGTGGAGTATTGCCAGGCTATTGGCCATGTTCCCATAAGGTTCAAGGCTCTTCAGTCAGGCTGTGGTGAATGTTGCCTGGTCTGGGATTCACCCTTCAAGGCACTGGTCTCCCTTTTGGCTTAGGGCAGGTCCAGAAATACTGTCCAAGATTCTCATCCTGGAATCAGGGATCAAAAGTGCCTGCTGATGCTTACCACGCTGTGGCCAAGCTGGTACCTAAGGTGCACGACAGAGTCCCCTTTACTCTTCCCTCTGCTTTTCTCAAGCAGAAGGACTCTCACATAATAGGCACCACAGCTGGGAAGGTGCTGAGTCTCAAATTGAGCCAGGAAGTCTGAGTCTCATCCAAAATGTCATGGGAATTGCTGCTGGTTATTCAGGGTGCAATGACTCTACGGTTAGTAGGTGATGGACGCTGTCAGGACTGGGTCCTTCCCTTCAAGGCAGTGCATTCCCTTCTGGCCTAGAGTGTGTTTAGAAATGTCATTCAAGAGCTAGGGCCTGGAAAAGAGGCCCCACAAAGCTGACCAGTGCCCTATCTTGCTGGGCTCAGCTCTTATCCAAAATGCAAGGAAAGTCCTTCCCACTCTTTTCTCTCCTCTCCTAAAACAAAGGAAATCTGTCTCCTTTGGAGCTGCAAACTGTGTAGCCGGGAGTTAGGGGAGGGGTGATGCTAGCACTCCCTTATCTGCTTCAGCTGGTATCATGGTAGGTCACGTGCCTTCCTACTCTAACAGCTCTCGGCCCAGTTCAGCACTAGGATTTACCTAGGTGTTTCAGTCCTTGTGGCATAGATTGCCTTTCAACTTCATTTAGGGCCCCAGAGTGCTTTAGCCTACTGTGACAAGGTTTGTGGGAACCGAAGTTTGGGCTGCTGGGATTGGCTATTCCTCTCTGGCTATGGCCGGTATAAGTGTTCACTCCATCGATGAGTATTAGCTAATTTTCTTCTGGCTTTGTTTTCTGCTATAACAGGTGTTATCTCACTATGGGTTTTATTTGTATTTTTCTAATAATCAGTAATGTTTCATTTTTAAATTATAATTGCTGGCCCATGTATGTCTTCTTTTGAAAAGTTCCTGTTCCTGTACTTTGCACACTTTTTAATGGGGTTGTTTTTATCTTGTAAATTTGTTTAAATTCTTTATAGATGCTAGACTTTAGACCTATGTTGAATGCATAGTTTGCAAAAATGTCTCCCATTCTGTAGGTTGTCTGTTTACTCTGTTGACAGTTTCTTCTGCCATGCAGAAGCTCTAGTCTAATTAGATCCCATTTGTCAATTTTTTTTTTTTGCTTTTTTTGCAATTGCTTTTGGCATCTCCATTGTTAAATATTTGCCCATGCCTATGTCCTGAGTGGTTTTGCCTAGGTTGTCTCTTAGGGTGTCTATAGTTTTTGGTATGACATTTAAGTCTTTAATCCATCTTGAGTTGATTTTTGTATATGATATAAGGAAGGATTCCAGTTTCAATCTTCTGCTTATGGCTAGCCGGTGATCCCAGCACCATAAATTGAATAGGAAATCCTTACTCCATCGCTTTTTTATTTTCTGTAAGGTTTGTCAAAATCAGATAGTTGTAAGTATGCAGCCTTATTTCTGGAATCTCTATTCTGTTTTATTAGTCTATGTGTCTCTTCTTGTGTCAGTACTATGCTGTTTTAGTTAATGTAGCACTGTATCGTAGTATGAAGTCTGGTAGCATCACGTCTCCAGCTTTGTTTCATTTGCTTATAATTGCCTTGGCTTTGTTTCATTTGTTTATAATTGCCTTGGCTATTCGGACTTTTTTTGTTCCATATGAATTTTAAAATAGTTTTCTTTCTAGTTCTTTGAAGAATCTCAATAGTAGTTCAATAGGAATAACATTGAATCTATAATTTGCTTTGGGAAGTATGGCCATTTTGATGATATTGGTTCTTTTTCTCCACGAGCATGAAATCCTTTTCCATTTGTTTGTGTCATGTCTGATTTCTTTGAGCAGTGTTTTGTAGTTCTACTTGTAGAGATATTTCACTTCCATAGTTAGCTGTATTCATAGGTATTTTAATCTTTTTGTGGCAATTATGAATGGGAGTGTGTTCCTTATTTGTCTCTCAGCTTGACTTTTGTTGCTGTATAGAAATGCTAGTGATGTTTGGGCATTGATTTTGTATCCTGAGTCTTTGGCGAAGCTGTTTATCAGCTTAAGAAGCTTTTGGGCTGGCACTATTGGATTTTCTAGATATAAGATCATGTTGTCTGCAAATAGGGATAGTTTGATTTTCTCTCTTTCTACTTGGATGCCTTCTGTTTCTTTCTCTTGCCTTATTTCCCTGGCCAGGAATTCCAATACTCGGGCAAATAGGAGTGGAGAGAGAGAGTATCCTTGTTTTGTGATGGTTTTTCAGGACAGTGCTTCCAGCCTTTGCCCACTGAGTATGATGCTGGCTGTGGTTTTTTCATATATAGCTCTTATCATTTTTAGGTATGTTCCTTCAACGTCTAGATTATTGAGAGATTTTAACATGAAGGAATGTTGAATTTTATGAAAAATCCTTTCTGCCTCTATTAACATAACATGTGGTTTTGTCTTTATATGCGTTTATGTAATGAATCACATTTATTGATTTGCACATGTTGAACCAACTTTGCATTTCAGAAATAAAGCCTACTTGTTCGTGGTTGATAAGCTTTTTGATGTGCTGCTGGATTCAGTTTGCAGCATATTGTTGAGAATTTTTGCATCAACGTTTATCAAGAATATTAGCCTAACGTTTTCTATTTTTTTGTGTCTCTGCCAGGTTTCACTATCAGAATGATGCTGGCCTCATAGAATGAATTAAAGTGAATTAAAGAGGAGTCTCTCCTCTTTAATTTTAGGAATATTTTCGGTAGGAATGGTACTAGCTCTTTTATGTAAATGTGGTAGGATTCAGCAATGAATATGTCTGGTCCTGAGTTTTCTTGGTTGGTAGGCTATTTATTACTACCTCAATTTCAGAGTTCATTATTGGTCTGTTCAGGGATTCAAATTCTTCCTGTTTTAGTCTTGAGAGGGAGTATGTTTCTGGGAATTTCTCCATTTCTCCTGGATTTTGTTGTTTATCTTCATAAATCTGTTCCTAATGTTTTCTGATGGTTGTTTGTATTTATGTGGTGTTAGTGGTAATATCCTCATTGTCACTTCTGATTGTGTTTATTTGAATATTCGTTTTTTATTTATTAGTATAGCTAGTAGTCTATTTTATTAACATTTTCAAAGCAGCTCCTAGGTTCGTCGACCTTTTGAAGAAATTTTTGTGTCTCAATCTTCTTCAGTTCAGCTCTGATTTTGGATATTTCTTGTTTTTTGCTACCTTTGGGATTTGTTTGCTCTTTATTCTTCAGTTCTTTTAATTGTAATGTTAGGTTGTTAACTTGAGATCTTTCTAACTTTTGCATGTGGGCATTTTGTGCTATAAATTTCCCTCTTAACACTGCCCTAGCTGTGTCCCAGAGATCCTGGTATATCGTATCTTTGTTCTCATTAGTTTCAAAGAATTTCTTGATTTCTGCCTTAATTTCATTATTTACCTGTATTAGTGTATTCTCACACTGCTATAAAGAACTAGCTGAGACTGTGTAAGTTATAAAGAAAAAAGGTTTAATTGCCTCATGGTTCTGGTGGCCATACAGAAAGCACGGCTGGAGAGGCCTCAAGAAACTTACAATCATGGCAGAAGGCAAAGGGGAAGCTGGCACATCCTACATGGCTGGAACAAGAGGAAGAGAGAGAGTGAAGGGGGAGGTGCCACACACTTTTAAACAACTGGATTTTTGCCAGACTCTATTATTAGAACAGCAGGTGGTAAGCTCATCCCCATGATTCAGTCACCTCTCACCAGGCCCCTTCTCTATCATTAGGAATTACAGTTTTATATGAGATTTGGGTGGGAACACAGAGCCAAACCACATAATTACCCAAAAGTAATTCAGGAGCAGATTATTCAGTTTCCATGTAATTATATGCTTTTTAGTGAATTTCTTAGTCATAATTTTAATTTAATTGCACTGTGGTCTGAGAGATTGTTTATAATGATTTCAGTTCTTTTGCATTTGCCAAAGAGAGTTTTACTTCTGACTATGTAATCAATTTTACAGTATGCACCATGTGGTGATGAGAAGAATGTATATTCTGTAGCTTTTCGGTACAAAGTTCTGTAGATATCTACCAGGTCTTTCTGATTCAGTGCTGAGTTCAGGTCCTGAATATCTTTGTTAATTTTCTGTCTTGATGATCTGTCTAATATTGTCAATGAGGTGTTAACGTCTCACACCATTATTCCGTGGAAGTCAGTCTCTTTGAAGGTTTCTAAGAACTTTCTTCATGAGTCTCACTGCTGGACTCTCTTGTGTTGGGTGCATATAGATTTAGTTAAATCTTCTAACTTTTACCATTGTGCAATGACCTTCTTTTTTTTTTTTTCTATCTTTGTTGGTTTAAAGTCTGTTTTATCAGTAATAAAGATTGCAACTCTTAGTTTTTTCTGCTTTTTTGTTTACTTGGTAGATTTTTTTTATCCCTTTATTTTAAGCCTATGTTATTGCTTGTGAGATAGGTTTCTTGAATACAGCATAGTAATAATAAGTTTTGCTTCTTTGCCTAGCTTGCGTGCCACTCTGTGTCTTTTAATTGGAGAATTTAGCTCATTTACATTTACAATTAGTATTTATATGTGTGGATTTCATCCTGTCATCATGACGTTAGCTGGTTATTTTGCAGACTTCTTTATGTGGTTGCTTTATAGTGCATGTCACTGGTTTGTATATTTCAGTGTGTTTTAGTAGTGGCTGGTAATAGTTTTTCCTTTTCATATACAGTACTTCTTTTAGGAGATCTTATAAGGCAGGTCTGGTGGTAACAAATTGCCTCAGCATTTGTTTCTCTGAAGAGGATCTTATTTCTCCTTTGATTATGAAGCTTAGTTTGGTTGGATATAAAATTATGTGTTGGAATTTCTTTTCTTTAAGAGTCAGTGTGATGGACTTCTTTTGGTAGGTGACCTGACCTTTTCTCTCTAGCTGCCTTTAACATTTGTTATTTTATTTTGATCTAGAATCTGATGATTATGTGTCTTGGAGATAATCTTCTTGTGACATATCTTACTGGGTTTCTCTGCATTTCCTGTATTTGGATGTTGGCCTCTGTAGCTAGGTTAAGGAAGTTCTCATGGACAATATATTTTCCAAGTGGACTCACTCTCCCTATCTCTTTTAGGGGACACCAATCAGTCATAGATTTGGTATCTTCACAGAATCTCATATTTCTCAGAGTTTTTGTTTATTCCTTTTCATTATTTGGTTCTATTCTTGTTTGCTTGTATTATTTCAGAAAGCCAGTATTCAAGCTCTGAGATGTATTTCCTCACAGTCTATTTTTCTATCAATACTTGTGACTGCATTATGAAATTCTCGTAGTGTGTTTTTCAGCTCTATCAGGACAGTTACATTCTTTTTATACTGGCTATGTTTTCTGTCAGCTCCTGCATTGTATTTAAATTATTGTTAGCTTCTTTGCATTGGGTTTCAATGTACTCCTGTAGCTCAGTGAACTTCATTCTTATCCATATTCTAAATTTAATTTCTGTCATTTCAGCCATATCATTCTCAGCCTGGTTCAAAACCCTTACTGAGATGTCTTGTGGTTGTTTGGAGGAAAAAGGGTGCTCTAGATTTTTGAGTTTTCAAGGTTCTTGTGTTGATTTTTCTTATCTTTGTAGGCTTATCTACTTTCAGTCTTGGAGGTTGCTGACTTTGGATGTGTTTTTCTTTTATCCTATTTGGTAACCTTGAGTGTTTACTTGTGGTATAAGTTGGATTCAGCCAATTTGCTTTGTTTTTGGGAGAATATATGGGGCCAATGCTCAGCTCCCAACTCCTGGACTGTGTGCTTTAACTCTGGGGGACTTGTATTGAGTCACAATTTTGTTCTATGACTTTTTGAAGTTTGGAGTCCACTGCACTAAGGAGGCCAATGTGCAGAAGCTTCAGCAGAGTGGTAGTGGATGCAAGGGTGCCTGCCTCCCTAAGGGCATTCATCACAGTAATGGAGGCAATGCAGTTTGTGGAGGGGTGCCATGGGCCCCTGCTGGAGACTGTGTGCACTGTTGCACTGGAAGTGGTGTTGCCTTGTGGTGGGGTGCTAGCCGGCATAAGTCTGGGTACCTTCGTTGTGCCCCACAAGCAGGAGTGATCCAGAATATCCTTTTCAATCAATCAAATACTAAATGAATTCATTACCACCCACACTTGCCTTACAAGAGGACTTAAGGGAGGGTTAAACCAGAAGCAAAAGACTGTTAGCAGCAACTACGAAAACACACTTAAGCACATACATCATTGCCACTATAAAGTAATGACACAATCAAGTCTGCATAATAACCAGCTAACAAAACAATGACAGGATCAAATCCACACACATCAATCTTAGCCTTGAATGTAAACTGGCTATATACTTCAGTTAAAAGGCACAGAGTCTCAAGTTGGGCAAAGAAACAAGACCCAACTGTATGCCATCTTTAATCAGCCCATCTCACATTCAATGATACGTATACTGTCAAAATAGGGAAATGAAATAAAGTCTACCAAGCAAACAGAAAACAAAAAAGCAAGGGTTGCTATTCTAACGTCAGACAAGACAGACTTCAAACTAAAACTTATTTAAAAAGACAAAACAACACGGGAGCACCCAGATTCATAAAGCAAGTTCTTAGAGGCTTACGATGAGACTTATATAACCATACAATAATAATGGGAGATTTCAACACCACACTTATGATATATTAGACAGATTATCAGGCAGAAAACTAACAAAGATATTTATAAATTGAACTTGACACTTGACAAAATTGACCCAACAGACCTCTACGTAACTGTCACCACAAAACAGCAGAATACACTTTCTTTTCATTGGCACATGGAACATACTCTCAATTTGACCACACAATTGGTCATAAAATAATTGTCAGCAAATTCAATAATACCAAAATCATACCACCCACACTCTCGTAATATTGTTCAACAAAAATAGAAATCAATACTAAGATGATTACTCAAAACCACATGATTACATGCAAATTAAACAACTTACTCCTGAGTGACTTCTACGTCAACAGTGAGATTAAGACAGAAATCAAGAAAATTATTGAATCAAATGAGAGCAAAGATAGAGCATACCAGAATCTCTAGGACACAGCTAAAACACCGTTAAAAGAAAAGTGTATAGTTTTATATGTCCACATAAAAATTAGAAAGATCTTAAATTAAAAACCTAACATCACACTTAGAACTAGAATAACTAGGGCAAACTAACTCCAAAGCTAGCAGAAGACAAAGAGAGAAAAAAGAACTAAGTAAACACACTCAGAAATGACCACAGAAATTACTGACACAACAAAAATAGAAAAAACTTTCAGAGACTATTATGAACACCTCTATGCACGCAAATTAGAAAACCTAGATGAAACAGATGAATTCCTGGAAACATACAACCTCCCAAGTTTGAATCAGAAAAAAATTGAAACCCTGAACAGACCAATAACAAGTTCCAAAATTAAATCACTAATAAAAGCCTACCAATCAAAAAAAGTTTAGGACCAGATTATTACCTGCCAAATTCTACCAGATGTATAAAGAAGAAATTATGTTATTCTTATTGAAACTATTCCAAAATATTGAGGAGTAGAAACTCCTGCCTAACTCACTATATGAGACTAACATAGTTCTGATAAGAAACTGAGCAGACACAACCAAAACAGAAAATATAAGAATAATATATTTCATGAACATAGATGCAAAAATACTCAACAAAATACTAGCAACCTGAATCCTACAGCACATCAAAAAGCTAATCCACAATGATCAAGTAGGCATTATCCCTGGATTTCAAGGCTGGTTCAATTTGCACAAATCAATAAATGTTACCCATAGTGTAAAAATGACTAAAACATAAGTCATATGATTATTTTAATAGATGCAGAAAAGGCTTTCACTAAAATTCAACATTCTGTTATGTTAAAACCTCTCAACAAACTAGGCATTGAAGGAACATAGCTTGAATAATAGGAGGCATCTCTGATAATCCCACAGTGAACATATCAAAAGTCTAAAAGTTGAAAGCATTTCCTTAGAGAACTGAAAGAAGGATCCCCTATTCAACACAGTACTGAAAGTCATAGCCAGAACAATCAAGCAAGAGAAAGAAATAAAAGAAATCCATATAGGAAGAGAGAAAACCTACCTATTTTGGAATGCAGATAATATGATTTTATAACTAGAAATCATAGTCTCTGCCCCAAAGCTTCTGGATCTTATAAACAACTTCAGCAAAGTTTCAGAATACAAAATGAATGCAAAAAAATTTACCAGCATTTTTATACACAAACCATATACAAGCTAAGTGCCAAACCAAGAATGCAATTACATTCATCATAGCCATAAAAAATCTAGGAATAAGAGGATACAAACAAATGGAAGAACATTCCATGCTCATGGGTAGGAAGAATCAATATCGTGAAAATGGCCATACTGCCCAAGGTAATTTATAGATTCAATGCCATCCCCATCGAGCTACCAATGACTTTCTTCACAGAATTGAAAAAACTACTTTAAAGTTCATATGGAACCAAAAAAGAGCCCACATCACCAAGTCAATCCTAAGCCAAAAGAACAAAGCTAGAGGCATCATGCTACCTGACTTCAAACTATACTACAAGGCTACAGTAACCAAAACAGCATGGTACTGGTACCAAAACAGAGATATAGATCAATGGAACAGAACAGAGCCCTCAGAAATAATGCCACATATCTACAACCATCTGATCTTTGACAAACCTGACAAAAACAAGCAATGGGGAAAGGATTCCCTATTTAATAAATGATGCTGGGAAAACTGGCTCGCCATATGTAGAAAGCTGAAACTGGATCGCTTCCTTACACCTTATACAAAAATCAATTCAAGATGGATTAAAGACTTAAATGTTAGACCTAAAACTATAAAAACCCTAGAAGAAAACCTAGGCAGTACCATTCAGGACATAGGCATGGGCAAGGACTTCATGTCTAAAACACCAAAAGCAATGGCAACGAAAGCCAAAATTGACAAATGGGATCTAATTAAACTAAAGAGCTTCTGCACAGCAAAAGAAACTACCATCAGAGTGAACAGGCAACCTACAAAATGGGAGAAAATTTTTGCAACCTACTCACCTGACAAAGGGCTAATATCCAGAATCTACAATGAACTCAAACAAATTTACAAGAAAAAAACAAATAACCCCATCAAAAAGTGGGCGAAGGATATGAACAGATACTTCTCAAAAGAAGACATTTATGCAGCCAAAAAACGCATGAAAAAATGCTCATCATCACGGCCATCAGAGAAATACAAATCAAAACCACAATGAGATACCATCTTACACCAGTTAGAATGGCGATCATTAAAAAGTCAGGAAACAACAGGTGCTGGAGAGGATGTGGAGAAATAGGAACACTTTTACACTGTTGGTGGGACTGTAAACTAGTTCAACCATTGTGGAAGTCAGTGTGTCAATTCCTCAGGGATCTAGAACTAGAAATACCATTTGACCCAGCCATCCCATTACTGGGTATATACCCAAAGGACTATAAATCATGCTGCTATAAAGACACATGCACATGTATGTTTATTGCAGTACTATTCACAATAGCAAGGACTTGGAACCAACCCAAATGTCCAACAATGATAGACTGGATTAAGAAAATGTGGCACATATACACCATGGAATACTATGCAGCCATAAAAAATGATGAGTTCATGACCTTTGTAGGGACATGGATGAAGCTGGAAACCATCATTCTCAGCAAACTATTGCAAGGACAAAAAACCAAACACCGCATATTCTCACTCATAGGTGGGAATTGAACAATGAGAACACATGGACACAGGAAGGGGAACATCACACTCCGGGGACTGTTGTGGGGTAGGGGGAGGGGGGAGGGACAGCATTAGGAGATATACCTAATGCTAAATGACGAGTTAATGGGTGCAGCACACCAACATGACACATGTATAAATATGTAACAAACCTGCACATTGTGCACATGTACCCTAAAACTTAAAGTATAATAATAATAAAATTAAAAAAAAATCTAGGAATATAGCTGACCAGGTAGCTGAAAAATCTTTACTGTGGGAATTACAAAACTCTGCTCAAAGAAATTAAAGATGTCACAAACAAATGGAAAAACATTACATGGATAAGAAGAGTCAATATTCGTTTACTGTCCATACTGCACAAAGCAATTTACAGGTTCAATGCTATTTCTATTAAATTTCCAACGACATTGTTCACAGAATTAAATATATATATATATTCGAAAATTTATGTGAAACCAAAAAAAGCCTGAAAAACCAAAGCAATACTAAGAAAAAAAAAAGTCAGAGGCCTCACACTTCTTCTTGACTTTAAAATATATTAAAAGATGACAGTAACCAAAACAGCGTGGTACTGGTATAAAACAGACACATAGACCACAGAAACACAAAAGAGAGCCCAGAAGTAAAGCCACACACCTAAAACCATCTGATCTCTGATAAGATTGACAAAAACAAGCAAGAGGGAAAAGACTCCCTGTTCAACAAATTGTGCTGGCATAGCCAAATGCAGAATATTGAAACTGGACACCTAATTTATACCATGTAAAAATAACAACTCAAAATGAATTACAGAACTAAATGTAAAACCTAAAACTATAAAAACCCCAATGAAAACCTAGGAAATACCATGATGGACATAGGCCCTGGCCAAGATTTAATAATGAAGATGTCAATCGCAATTGCAACAAAAGCAAACACTGACAAATGGAACTTAATTAAACTAAAAAGATTCTGCACTGCAAAAGAAACTATCAACACTGCAAAAAGAAGACCTACAGAATGGAAGAAAATACTTGCAAACTATGCATGTGAGAAAGGTCTAATAACCATGATCTATAAGAAACTTCAAGCTGTACAACAAACTAGACAAACTACAAACTATGCAAATTAGCAAGCAAAACCAAACAACCCTATTACAAATTAGGCAAAGGTCATGAACAGGCATTTAAAAAAAAAAAGACACATAAGTGGCCAAAAAGCATATGAAAAAATACTCAAAATTTCTAACCACTATTATTTAAAAAGTCAAAAATTAACAGATGCTGACAAGGTTGAGGAGAAAGGTTGAGTGCCCCAGTAGGGACTCTGTTTGGGGGCTCCAGCCCCACATTTTCCCTCTGCACTGCCCTAATAGAGGTTCTCCATAAGGGCTCTGTCCCTGAAGCAGACTTCTGCCTGAACATCCAGGCAATTCCATACAGCCTCTGAAACCTGTGTGGAAGCACCCAAATCTCAGCTCTTGCCTTTTGCACACCTACAAGCTCAACACCACATGGAAGCCAAAAAGGATTGGAGCTTGCACCCTCTGAAGCAATGGTCTGAGCTGTACCTTGGCCTCTTTTAGCCACGGCTGGAGCTGGAGTGGCTGGGACACAGGATGCCATGTCCCAAAGCAGCACAAAGCAGTGGGACCCTAGGCCTGGCCCAAAAAAACATTTTTTTCTCCTAGGCATCTAGGTCTGTGATGGGAGGGGTGGAGAACACAGAGCCAAACCATATCATACACCATGAATACTACATAGCCATAAAAAAGATTGAGATTATGTCCTTTGCAGCAACATAGATGGAGCTGGAGGCCATTATTTAAGGAAACCAATATGGGAACATAAAACCAAGTTCTATATAATCTTACTTATAAGTAGGAGCTAAACATTGAGTACACGTGGATACAAAGAACAGAACAATAGTGATGTGGTTTGGCTTTCTGTCCACAACCAAATCTCATCTCAAATTGTAATTGCTATGTGTTGAGGGAGAGACCTGTAATCCCCACACGTCGAGGAAAGAAGGTGATTGGATCATGGTGGTAGTATCCCCTGTGCTTTTCTCATGATAGTGAGTTTTTATAAGATCTGATGGTTTTATAAGTATCTGGCATTTCTCCTGTTTACACTTCTTTCTCCTGCTGCCAGGTAAAGAAGGTCCTTTCTTCCCCTTGCCTTGTGCCATGATTGCAAGTTTCCTGAGACTTCCTCAGCCATGTGAAACTGTGAGTAAATAAAAACTATTTCCTTTATACATTATCCAGTCTTGGGCCTTCCTTCCCCTTCCTTCCTTCCTTCCTTCCTTCCTTCCTTCCTTCCTTCCTTCCTTCCTTCCTTCCCTCCTTCCTTCCTTCCTTCTCTCTCTCTTTCTCTCTTTCTTGTTTCACTCTTGTTGCCCAGGCTGGAGGGCAGTGGTGCAATCTCAGCTGACTGCAACCTCTATCTCACAGGTTGAGGTGATTCTCTTGCCTCAGCTTCCCAAGTAGCTGGGATTACAGGCACTCACTACCACACGCACCTAATTTTTGGTATTTTTCATAGAGATGGGGTTTCACCATGTTGGCCAGGCTGGTCTCAAACTCCTGACCTCAGGTTAGTCACCTGCCTTGGCCTCCCAAAGTGCTGGGATTACAGGCATGAGCCACCACGTGGGTATTTCTTTATAGCAGTGTGAAAAGGGACTAATAGAGTAAATTGTTACTTAGGTAGTGGGGTACTGCTATAAAGATACAAAAAATGTGGAAGTGACTTTGGAACTGCATAACAAGCAGAAGTTGAAACAGTTTGGAGGGCTCAGAAGAAGACAAAGATGTGGGGATGTTTGGAATTTCTTAGAGACTTGTTGAATCACTTTGACCAAAGTGCTTATAGTGATATGGACAATAAAGTTCAGCTGAGGTAGTCTCAGATGGGGATGAGAAACTCATTGGGAACTGGAGCTTTCAATCGTGTCGGTGTGAAGAGACCACCAAACAGGCTTTGTGTGAGCAACAAGGCTGTTTATTTCACCTGGGTGCAGGTGGGCTGAGTCCGAAAAGAGAGTCAGTGAAGGGAGATAGGGGTAGGGCCGTTTTATAAGATTTGGGTAGGTAAAGGAAAATTACAGTCAAAGGGGGGTTGTCCTCTGGATGGGCAGGAGTGGGTGTCACAGGGTGCTCAGTAGGGGAGCTTTTGAGCCAGGATGAGCCAGGAGAAGGAATTTCACAAGATAATGTCATCAGTTAAGGCAGGAACAGGCCATTTTCACTTCTTTTGTAGTGGAATGTCATCAGTTAAGGCAGGAACTGGCCATCTGGATGTGTACCTGCAGGTCACAGGGGATATGATGGCTTAGCTTGGGCTCAGAGGCCTGACATTCCTGTCTTCTTATATTAATAAGAAAAATAAAATGAAATAGTGGTAAAGTGTTGGGATGGCAAAAATTTTTGGGGGTGGTATGAAGAGATAATGGGTGATGTTTCTCAGGGCTGCTTCCAGTGTGATTAGGGGCAGCATGGGAACCTACAGTGGGAGAGATTAAGCTGAAGGAAGATTTTGTGGTAAGGGGTGATATTGTGGGGTTGTTAGAAGAAACATTTGTCATGTAGCATTATTGGTGATGGCCTGGATTCAGTTTTGTATGAATTGAAAAACTAAATGGAATAAGAGAAGGAGAAAAACAAGTATTAAAGGACTAAGAATTGGGAGGACCTAGGACATCTAATTAGAGAGTGTCCAAGGGGGTTCAGCGTAATTACTTACTTGATTGGCAAGTTTTTGGGCTCTATCCTTGAGTTTTTTATGTTGTCATATACCAGGCCAGATTGATTTAGGTAAAAACAATGCTCTTCATTTAAGAATATACAGAATCCTCCTTTTTCAGCAGTGAGTAAGTCAAGGCCTCAGCGGTTTTGGAGGACAACTGCAGCTAAAGAGTCAACTTGGGCCTGGAGGACTGATAAAGTTTGTGACATGTCTGTGATGCTAGCAGTGAAGTCATTAGACAGGCTATGGAAGGTTGTGACAGAGGTTGAAATGCCTGCTATTCCAGTACAGAGAGCAATAGTGGAGGCAGAAAGTCCTAAACCGACAAGCAAGGGAATTAGTGGAATAACTCTTTTTTGTCATGTTGGTGTCATGAGGGGAACAGGGAGCTCTTCGGTCCTATTTGCAAATTGAATTTTGGGAGTAAGGAAAACTAGTGTGCACATGCCTGTCCAATTAGCAGGTAGACACATGTAGGTAGAGGATCCACAGAGGAAGAAGAGACCTTGTGTGAGGCAAAACTGGAGATGCAAAGTAAAAAGATGAGAAGGAGTGCTGAAAGGGGTGTCTTGTACCTAGACTCCTAGGGATGCAGCTAGGGCGGCAGCTGTCAGAGGTTGTAATGGGGACTGATGAGGTAACTATGTAGAGGGGGAGGTTCAGTTTTCATGGTGTATGAGAAAACGTTGAGTATCTATGAGCAACCTTTCACTATTATTTACGGGGCTGGGTATAAGTAAACAAGAAGAGGGCTTTGGAGATGAAGAGTAAAGGAACATTGAGAAGGTGAAAGGTTACCTAGGGGAATTCCAGTGGGTCTTTGCCAAGAGATACATAAAGGAGCGGCCACAGGAATAGTAGTTTGTGTTGTGAGAGGTCTAAATATGGGAGAAGCAGAGTTGATATAAGGAGAAAGGTTTTTTAAGTAAGTGCTGAGGAGGGCGGCAGCTTGCTGATATGAAATGTCTGGGGAGGTCTTGCTGGACCTGCCTAGAAAGTAAATGAGTTCCTCAGGAGGGTAAAGGTGAGGGCTGTTAAAGGAAGTTCGGAGGAGCAGGGAGACAGGAGATGTTGCCTAGTCTGCATGTAAAGCGGGGACAGCTGTGTAGGTGCTGGAAGAAAGGGAAATGCAAAGCCAGTGGTTATTTGCTAAGGAGGGATTAGAAACGGCTAGGAGAGAATGAGTAAGGTTGATAGTGTGGTGGAGTTAGCTGGGGAGAGGTAGAGGGTGGCATAAGAATGGGAATGAGAATAAGAGTGAGTATAAAAGTAAAGAATAGAACTTCATCAGGGTGAAAGTATTGGAGGGTTCCCTGCCAGCAAAGATCATCTATCCACTCTAAGAGGGAATTAAGAGTTACCAGTCCTGGGTGGGGGCAAATCCTCGAGCTTGATGTGTAGGAAAGGGAGGGGGCCTGAATAATCCCTGAGGAGTAGTAGAATAGCAGGTGGAACACTGAGAAGTTATTTCCTTGAGGATGGATTTCCATGATGGAAAGGAAATGAGAGGTTCTAAGAGGCAGGCTGGTGGCTTGTACTATAGCATAGTCTGCCTTTGCTGGTGTGTGGCGATTAGGCCTGGTGGAACTACCATCAATAAACCAAGTGTGTTCAGGGTGAGGAACAGGAAAGAAGGAAATATGGGGAAATGGGGTGAATGTCAGGTGGATCAGAGAGATACAGTCATAGGGGTCAGGTGTGGTATCCGGAATACTGTGGAAGGACGGATTGGAGTCTGGGCCAGGAACAATGGTAATTGTGGGAGACTCAACAAAAAGTGAGTACAGCTGAAGGAGCCGGGGAGCAGAAAGTATATGTGTCAGGTGTGAGGAAGAAAATAGATTTTGGAAGTTATGAGAACTGTAGAGAGTTGAGCATAGTTTGTGATTTTAAGGGCCTCTAAAAGTATTAGGGTGGCGGTGGCCACCGCACACAGATATGAGGGCTGGGCTAAAACAGTAAGGTCAAGTTGTTTGGACAGAAAGGCTACAGGGTGCAGTCCCAGCTCTTGTGTAAGAATGCTGACTGCACTAACCATGCCTAGGAAGGAAAGGAGTTGTTGTTTTGTAGAAGGTGTTGGGGTTTGAGAGATCAGTCGGACACAATCAGCAGGGAGAGCATGTGTGTTTTTATGAGAATTATGCTGAGATAGGTAACAGATGAGGAAGAAATTTGGGCTTGACTGAAGTAATGGGGGCTGTCTGTGAAGGCTTGCAGCAGTACAGCCTAGGTAATTTGCTGAGCCTAATGGGTGTCAGGGTCAGTCCAAGTGAAAGCAAAGAGAGGCTGGGATGAAGGGTGCAAAGGAATAGTAAAGAAAGCATGTTTGAGATCCAGAACAGAATAATGGGTTGTGGAGGGAGGTATTGAGGATAGGAGAGTATACGGGTTTGGCACACACGGGGTGGATAGGCAAAACAATTTGCTTGATAAGGCGCAGATCCTGAACTAACCTGTAAGGCTTGTCTGGTTTTAGGACAGGTAAAATGGGGGAATTGTAAGGAGAGTTTATAGGCTTTAAAAGGCCATACTGTATCAGGCGAGTGATAACAGGCTTTAATCCTTTTAAATTGTGCTGCAGGATGGGATATTGGCATTGAGTGGGGTAAGGGTGATTAGGTTTTAATGAGATGGTAAGGGGTGCATGATCGGTCACCAAGGAGGGAATAGAGGTATGGTATACTTGTGGGCTCAGGTGGGGAGATACAAGGGGAAGATGTGAAGGAGGCTTTGAACTGGGGGAAAAGGTGGCAATGAAGCATGGCTGTAGCCCAGAAATAGTCAGGGAAGCAGATAATTTAGTTAAAATATCTCAGCCTAATAAGGGAACTGGGCAGGTGGGGATAACTAAAAGGAGTGCTTAAAAGAGTATTGTCTAAGTTGGCACCAGAGTTGGGGAGTTTTAAGAGGTTTAAGCCTGGCCATCAATACCCACAACAGTTATGGAGGCAAAGGAAACAGGCCCTTGAAAAGAAGGTAATGTGGAGTGGGTAGCCTTCGTATTGATTAAGAAGGGGACAGACTTAACTTCCACTGTGAGAGTTACCTAAAGCATCTGTGATGGTCCAGGAAGCTTCCAAGGTGATTGGGCAGCGTCAGTCTTCAGCTGCTAAGCCAAGAAGATCTGGGAAGGAGTCAGAGAGCCTTGGGCCAGAGTTCCAGGGGCTCTGGGAGTGGCTGCCAGGTGAGTTGGACAGTCCGATTTCCAGTGGGGTCCCACACAGATGGGACACAGCTTAGGAGGAATCCCGGGCTGTGGGCATTCCTTGGCCTGGTGGCCAGATTTCCCACATTTGTAGCAAGCTCCTGGCCTGGAGGCGGGCCTGGAGGAATGCCTGGCCGCTGCAGTTTAGGTGTTTGGAAGTTCTTGTGTGCTGGAGATGTGACTGAGGTTTGTCTCACGGTGGAGGCAAGGAATTGCAACTCAGAAATACATTGCTACTTGGCTGCCTCTACTCTATTATTGCACCCCTTGAAGGTAAGGTTAATTAAGTCCTGTTGTGGGGTTTGAGGGCTGGAATTTAATTTTTGGAGCTTTATTGAATGTCGGGAGCAGATTGGGTAGTAAAATAAAATGCATATTGAGAATAAGATGGCCTTCTGACCTTTCAGGGTCTAGGGCTGTAAAGCATCTCAGGGTTGCTTCCAAACGAGCCATGAACTGGGCTGGGTTTTTATACTTGATGAAAAAGAGCCTAAACACTAACTGATTTTGGGAGAGGTCGGATAAAGAAAAAGGAGCATTAACTTTGATTATGCCTTTAGCTCCAGCCACCTTTTTAAGAGGAAATTGCTGGGGAGGTGGGGAAGGGCCAGTCGTGGAACAAAACTGTAAGCTGGACAGGGTGTGAGGAGGGGAGGTGATAAAAGGATTATAGGGTGGGGGAGTGGAGGCTGAGGAAGAATTGGGACCTAGCTCGACCTGGGGAGGAGAGGAGAGGTCAGATGGTCTGTAGAAAAGGAAGATTAGAAAGACTGAGAGACACTTGGGGTTGGGACTGAGGGGACAGGCGGGAGGGAAAGAAGGAAGATTTGGGAGGAGTTGCATTGAGAACAGAGACTAGGGAGGGACCGATGTGTAAAAGAATGCCTGGATGTCAGGCACTTCAGACCATTTGCCCATTTTACGACAAGAATTATTTAGATCCTGTAGGATGGAAAAATTGCAAGTGGCATTTTCTGGCTATTTGGAACAACTGTCGAGGTTGTATTGGGGTCAAGCGGCATTGCAGAAGAAAATAAAGCATTTAGGTTTTAGGTCAGGTGTGAGTTGAAGAGGTTTTAGGTTTTTAAGAACACAGGCTAAGGGAGAAGAAGGGGGAATGGAGGGTGGAAGCTTGCCCATAGTGAAGGAGGCAAGTCCAGAGAAAAGAGAGGGTAGAGACATGGAGAGAAGAGATGGGGGGTTCTTTCCCCCCAGAAAAGCAGAGAAGGGGTAGAGACATGGAGAGAAGAGATGGGGGGTTCTTGCCCCCCAGAAAAGCAGAGAAGGGGTAGAGACATGGAGAGAAGGGGTTGGGGGATTCCTGCCCCCTAGAAAAGTGGTACTTGCCACTAAGGGTGAAGGAGAAGGGGTTGGGGGGTTCTTGCCCCCCAGAAAAGTGGAGAAGGGGTAGAGACATGGAGAGAAGGGGTTGGGGGTTTCTTGCCCACCAGAAAATCAGAGAAGGGGTAGAGACACAGAGAGAAGGGGTTGGGGGGTTCTTGCCCCCCAGAAAAGTGGTACTTGCTGTTAAGGGTGAAGGACCAAGGCAGGCATCCCCGCGTGGTCAGACACCTCTGAAACTTGGGTGAATAATCAGGCAGCCATCCCCGCACGATTAAACACCAAGGGAAGACTGTCTTCCTGAGTCCGTGACCGGCGCCGGAGTTTTAGGTCCACAGATAAAATGCGTCTCCTTCATCTCTACCAGAAAAGGAAAGGAACTGAAATTAAGAGAAGGGTGAGATTGAAGTGTGGCACCAAGATTGAAAGGAGAAAGAGGTTGAGGGATAGTGAGAGAGGTTGGAGAAGAGAGTAAAAAGAGGCCACTTACCAGATTTAAAATTGGTGAGATGTTCCTTGGGCTGGTTGGTCTGATGACCAGAGATCATAGGTGGATCTTTCTCACAGAACAAAGAGCAGGAGGACAGGGGATTGATCTCCCAAGGGAAGTCCCCCAATCCGAGTCACGGCACCAAAATTTCACTTGCATCCGTATGAAGAGACCACCAAACAGGCTTTGTGTGACCAACGAGGCTGTTTATTTCACATGGGTGCAGGCAGGCTGAGTCCAAAAAGAGAGTCAGCGAAGGGAGATAAGGGTGGGGCCATTTTATGAGATTTGGGTAGGTAAAGGAAAATTACAGTCAAAGGGGGGTTGTTCTCTGGCAGGCAGGAGTGGGGGGGTCACAAGGTGCTCAGTAGGGGAGCTTTTGAGCCAGGATGAGCCAGGAGAAGGAATTTCACAAGATAATGTCATCGGTTAAGGCAGGAACAGAGCATTTTCACTTCTTTTGTGGTGGAATGTCATCAGTTAAGGCAGGAACCGGCCATCTGGATGTGTACATGCAGGTCACAGGGGATGTGATGGCTTGGCTTGGGCTCAGAGGCCTGACAGGAGCAAAGGCCACTCTTGCTATGCTTTAACAAAGAGACTGGCAATATATTGCCCCTGCCCTAAAAATATGTGGAATTTTGAACTTGAGAGGTGATCTGAAATTAAACCTTACGTTTAAAAGGGAAGCAGAGCATAAAAGTTTGGAAAATTTGCAGCCTGACAATGCGATAAAAAAGAAAAACACCAATTTCTGGGGAGAAATTTAAGCCCACTGCATAAATTTGCATAAGAAAAGAGGTTAATCACCAAGACAATGAAGAAAATGTCTCCAAGGCATGTCAGAGATCTTAATGGCAGCCCCTCCCTTCATAGGTCCTGAAGCCTAGGAGGAAAAAATAGATTGTGGGTCAGGCCCAGGGCTCCACTGCTGTGTGCAGCCTGGTGACTTGGTGACCTGTGTCCCTGCTGCTCCAGCTCCAGCCATGGTGAAAATGGGCCAAGGTACAGCTTGAGGCATTGCTTCAGAGGGTGCAGGCCCCACGCCTTGGCCGCTTCCACGTGGCGTTGAGCCTGCAAGTACACAGAAGTCAAAAATTGGGGTTTGGGAGCCTCCACCTAAATTTCAGAGGATGTATGGAAATGCCTGGATGTCCAGATGAAGTTTACTGCAGGGGCGGGGATCTCATGGAGAACCTCTGCTCAGGCAGTGCAGAAGGGAAAAGTGGGATTGGACCCCCTACACAGAGTGCCAACTGGGACACTGCCTAGTAGAGCTGTGAGAAGAGGGCCACCGTCCTCTGACCCCAGAATGGTAGATTCACTGACAGCTTGCACTGTCCACCTGGAAAAGTGCAGACACTCAATGCTAGACTATGAAGGAGCTGTCCGAGTCTGTGGGAGCCCACCCCTTATATCAGCATGCACAGAATGTGAGACATGGAGTCAAAAAATATCATTTTGAAGCTTTAGGATTTAATGACTGACCTTCTGGATTTTGGACTTGTATAGGGCCTGTAGCCCCTGTTTTTTGGCCAAGTTTTTTTTATTTGGAATTGGAGCATTTACTTCATGCCTGTACCTCCATTGTATCTAGGAAGCAACTAATTTGCTTTTGATTTTACAGGCTTATAGGCAGAAGGGACTTGCCTTGTCTCAGATGAAACTTTGGCTTGTGGACTTTTGAGTTAATGCTGAAATGAGTTAGGATTTTGGGGAACTGTTTGGAAGGCATGGTTGGTTTTGAAATCTGAAAAGACATGAGATTTTGGAGGAGCTAGGGGTGGAATAATATGGTTTGGCTCTGTGTTCCCACCCAAATTGTCACTGGTAGTTAGGCATGAGTGGGGCAGGAGAGAGCTCTTCCCCCACCCACTAGAAATGTCAGGTGATAGTTCAGCAATTATCACATTGCCTCTCTAAACATGATAATTCAGCAACACCAGGGAGAGAGGCAATTTCATGATGGTCCATACCTGTTAACATCAAAATCTTAATTGAAGGCAGGTCCCAGGGAGAAACAACTTCCTGGGCATGTATATTAAAATACAAAAATGATGAAGTGTGGTCTTCTGAGTACACTCTACCAGAAAAAGGAAGAAAACCTCAGATGGACATGTTTAGAACTCCCTAAACACACTGTGCATGCTCACTTCCTAAGGGTAAGGGCGGCCCTGTGCATGAAGAAAACCCACCCTAAGAGAAGAATCATGGGAAAAAGGTGAATTTATAAAAATCCTAGAATCCCAGTTAAAGAGGGCACTTGACCTTCTGTCTTTAACCTTCACATGCCCACTTCAGTCTTTTCCAAGTGCATCTTCCTTTCTTTCCTGTTCTGAGACCTTTTTATATAAACTTCCATTTTTGCCCTGGAACTTGCCTTGGTGTCTTTTTCTGCTTTATGGCCCTCAGTCGAATTCTTCCTTCTGAGGAGCCAAGGAGTGAAGTTGCTGTGGACCCATAAGAATAGGCTGCTGGTAACATGGGGTAACTCAGATCTCTTCCACGGTAACAAAACTTCATCTCTTATTGTAATCCTCATGTGTCAAGGGAGTAACCTATAATCCCCACATGTTGAGGGAGGGAGCTGTTGGATCATGGGTGCAGTTTCCCCCATGCTATTTTCATGAGTGAGTTCTCATGAGATCTTATGGTTTTATAAACATCTGTCATTTCCTCTGCTTGCAATTCTCTCTCCTGTCACCATGTGAAGAAGGTTCTTAATTCCCCTTGCCTTCTGCCATGATTGAAAGCTTCCTGAGTTCTCCCCAGTCATGTAGGACTGAGTCAATTAAACCTCTTTCCTTATAGATTACCCAGTCTCAGGTATTTCTTTATAGCAGTGTGAAAATGGACTAATATAAATAGACATCGGGGTTTTTTTATGGGTGGAGGTGTGTAGAGGGTGAGGATTAAAACAATACCTATCAGATTTCATGTTTATTAGCTGGGTGATAAAATAATCTATATACCAAACCCCTGCAATATGGAATTTACCTATGTAACAAATCTTCACATGTATGCCAAATTAAAATAAAAGTTTAAAAATAGAAAATAAAAAACAAGTTAAATTAAAAAGCAGTTCAAAAACTCAGACCTACATCGATATTCCTATTAAAGTCTCAGAGAAAATAATGATCTCTAGCATCAGTTGACACTTTGCTATTTGTCCTGCAGTAGAAATAATTGTGTTTTGTCAGACATGCATTCTATAGCATCCCAAAAGGTGAAGGCCATCAACCTGCAGCCAGCTAGCACACCCATAAGTGGTTTGTCATCAAAGCCTATGACACATATGATGCATATGGAGAATCCCAAATTCTGAATTAAAATGGCAAACTAAGTCCAATCTCAAATATCAATGATATGTCTGCACATTTTAGCACCATATAATTGCTTTTCAGGTGTTTTTTTCTCAGTGCCACTGGTTTATGTATAAAAATTTTATACATAAAATTTTATACATAAAATTATTCATAAAAATAAATGTTTTATTACTTTAGCAAACAGAGAAAAGACAGAATTGCAGATCTATAGATGATCTACAATTCTGTGTTAGTAGATAAGTACTTAAAATAACTATGACTAAAACATTAATGCATGTGGATAAAAAGGTAACAAATAAAAATAAAAAATCTTACAAATAATTGGAAACCTTAAAAAATCAAGTGGACAGTATTGGGTGGCTGTGGGAGAATTACGAATTGTTAATGGGTACAAAAACAGAAAGATTAAATAAGACCTATTTGATAGCACAACAGGTTGATTATAGTCAATAATAACTTAGTTATACATTTTAAAATAACTTAAAACATGTAATTGGATTGTTTGTAGCTCAAAGGATAAATGCTTGAGGGGATGGATACCCCATTTTTCATAATGTGATTATTACACATTGCATGCCTGTATCAAAACATTTCAGGTACCCCATAAGTATATACACCTACTATGTACTCACGAAAATTACAAATAAAAAATTAAAAATCAAATTGACTCTCTGGAACTGAAAATCTAATATCTGTAGTTTAACAACAGAATCCACACAAACAGAAGACAAGATTAACAAATGTGAGGACAAGTCAATATAAAACATGGAAAAGAATAATGGAAAATAAAATTGTAGAAATAAAGAATAGGGGAAGAAAAACAACATACAAGACAGAACACAATCACGTTGTTAAAATATACGTAATTTTCATCTTAAGTATATAGGAGAGAGAGGAAATGGGAAATAAACAGTATTTGAAAAGAAAATCATAAATAATTTTCCAAATATGATGAAATATTGCATCTTAAAGATTCATAATGCACAGCAAATTCCAAACAAAATAGCTGCAAATAAAACCACACTTAGGTTTATCATGGTCAAACTGCTGAAAACTAGTCATAAAGGTAAAAATCTTCAAATAATTCAAAAGAAAAAGACTACCTTAAAAGGAAGAACAAAAAAAAAATGGAGAACTAGAATTTCAATAGAAACTATGAAAGCCAAAACTCAATGTAACGTCATCTTTAAAAATACAGAAATACTTCAGACATAGATTTTCAATCCTAGAAAAGTGTACCTTCAAAAATAAAGGCAAAGAAGGGCATTATCACACAAGCAAAAGATGAAAGAATTTACTGATGACACATTTGTATTTCAGGAAATACTAAATAAGATTATTAAAATTGAGGAAAATAATCCCAGAAATAACTTCAGGAATTAATGAAGATCACCTAAATAGGCAAATGTGTAGCTAAAGTATCTTTGATCCACTTTGGTGACATCAAACCCAACTTAAACTCTAAGGGAATTCTTAAGTGTAAAGACCTGCAATCACAGAATATTATGCTAGAAGAGACCTTTGAAAGCATTTAGTCCAACTCACCTTATTTGACAGATATGAGTAAATGTTTTTTGCAGATGAATTAGTTATCTGGTTAGAACTGGAAATAAATCCCAATTTGTAATGATTCTAACCCTCAAGTTCTAACATTCTGAGCTCCAGTCCCTTCACAACCTCCTAGGCCTTTAAATTCTCTTGGGACAACCTGTTGTCATTATGTATAGCCTCTGGTTACTTTTCATTTTCTATACTGGCCATGCCCAATTAACTGTATAATCATTCTCTGCACCAAGGATCTTGAAGACATAACCTCTGAGCCTCTTGAACCATCTGGAATGTCAATTTCCTGTAGGGTTTTTTTTTTTTTGGATCTTGAACAATAGATCTTGAATCAAGAATATTCCACATTCACAGATGAATATGTGCTAATTCTAGAGTAGGTAAATTATTTGTGAGGGTTCTTGACTATAGCAGGGGCTCAAATCAGACCCAGCTGCTGTAGCAGTCGTATCTTCACCACTTGCATTCTTAGGTATAGTGTGATGAGACAGAAAACTTGTGCAAGTCTACAAGTAATAAAGAACCTTTATTACTCATAGATAGGGGGTAAGAATCAACAGAAATATATGAGCTATGGCAAGCTGGCCCTCCAATGCTCAAGAAACCTATGCAAGGTGGATGGAGTAGCATCTACACATGCCCCAGTTTGCACAACAGCTTTGGGATCCCAAAAGCCCTCTGCTCTGGTTTTATACTCTAGAGGCAAATTGTTGGCACACTAAGTCCAAGTGTTGTGGGATATCCAGTTCTATGAGTGATGGGGACAAAGCCAGGGCTGTTCTATGCCATTCCTTTTTATCTCAGGATTTTGTATTATCAGCACATTTTACAGTTATCCTGAGAAATACAAGCAGGAGCGGGAGAGCTAGGTCAGCCCAGAGTACCCAGGGACCTATCATCCTGCAATAATATTTCCCCCAATAAGTTTTTGTGCTTGGAGATAAAAAGGATGTTCTAATACACTAATTATAGTGGCTAGGAGAAGATTGAGTTATTGAAAATATAGCCTTGACAGCTTGTCCTAACCACTCCCTCTTGTCAATCAAGCAGTACAATTTGATCAGTTGATACTAAAATATGCACATATTTAGGATTTTTTGTTGCCATACAACATTGAGCATAAACACTTCTAATCCAGTGGCTTTAGAAAAATAACACTTTTGTAAAACAAATGTTGTTTGATATTTGCTCTTATATTAGACATGAGTTTCTACAGTGGATTCATTTTGACTACATTTCACTCTATAAAAGCTATCATTTTAAGTGTAATATATGTTTCATTTTACTGTTTTGAGGCTGAGTGGCAGCCAATCCTTTGGTTATGTCCCTCTGACTCTGCTGACCTCAATTCGTGGAACTGTTATCTTTTGATTGTGTATACTAGCTGGTACACCTGCGTTCATTGCCCTGCTGTGTGAAATAGATGCTTAGCAGCCAGGAATTCTGTAATTCTGGGAAAAGCCTTTTCTAATTTGTTTCTGTTTGTGACCTAAACCACTAGCATGCAGGAATCAATTATTCCTTTATTTATTTATTCATCTACCATTTATTGAGACAATACTAACACAATATTAGACAAGGATAAGTCACTTCATTTTTATACAGAGAAGTTGTGGATTGATGTACTGATTCTGCTACTTACTAACTAGTAAATTAGATTTTGAGTAAACCATGTAAACTCTCTGAGACTGTTTTCTCTTCAAGAAAATGGGAATAGCTACTATAAGTAAAATAAACTATTACTTGATCTTTACAATTCTGAACAAGATAAATCATAAGAGAATATTACTCACAAACTTCCAGTCTATGATTCTATGTATATCATAGCAGGTCTATCTTCTTAGCCTGTCATTTGAATTAAAGAACAAAGAGACATAAGATTGACAGAAACTGAACATCAATATTCATGATGCTGTTGCATTGAGACAGAGCATTTATGATATTTTCTTAAGCTGTTATGTCTGGTTTATAATGAGTATCCCAGAATAAGCAAAATGGTAGACATTCAAGTCTCCAAAGAGCCATTCAGCTCTATGCATCTGTCTAAATTTGAATAATGAAGTTCTTCATGAATGAAAAGGAAAACCAAGGAAACGAGAGCTAAGTATATTATGTGCTTATATGGAGAAAATTTAAGAATGATTCTCCTGCTTCTTAAAATTGTGTCTACGAATTTACACAGATATACATCTATACCATATGTGATCACCAAAAGTTCAGAGTGAAATGAAACCCCTTTGTGCCCTTTTGGTCCTTAAATGGGGCAAAGGTAAGGTCATATTTAGTTTCTACTCTCTAGGGTGCTTTAGCAGCATCTGCAAACATCACATCTTTAAAAATACTGGAGTTGTATTTTAAGTTCGGTTGCACAATCTTTACATACAGAGTCAGAGACATGCAGAAAAAAAATAAAAGAGTATGGAAGGGATGCTGTCTTGGCATGAAAATATCCTGGTTCTTCTACTCTTGAAAGGATCATAGTCTAAGGTCTATCTCTACCTATCTATCTATATCTATATCTATATCTATATCTATCTATATCTATCTATCTGTCTGTCAAGAGAGACAGAGAGAGTGGTCCAAAAATCTGTAGCTAGCAAGCAAGAAACCCAGGAGAGCTCCTTATAGATATATAGAGAGAGATGTGTATATACATATATATGTGTATATAGATTTATAGATAGAGAGAGAGGAGAGAGAGAGAGAGAGAGAGAGAGAGAGAGAGAGAGAAAGTTTACCATAAGGAATTGGTTCACATTATTATGGAAGCTGACAGGTCCAAAAATCTGTAGTCAGCAAGCTAGAAACCCAGGAGAGCTGATTGTTTAGTTCTGGTCCAAAGGCAGAAAAAGGCCTTTGTTCTACTGCTAAGGAAATCAGGTTGAAGGAGTTCCCTCTTGTTTGGGAAAGGGTCAGCCTTTTATTGTATTCAGGCCTTCACCTGATTGAATGAACCCCCCCCCCAACATTCATGAGAGCAATATGCTTTACTCAGTCTATCTATATGAATGTTAAACTCATCCAAAAACACCTTCACAGAAGCACCTGGAGGAGTGTCTTACCAAATATCTGGACACTTCTTAGACCAGAAGAATTGACATAAAATTAACCATCACAAGGATTCAGAGATCAAGTCCAAGATGCTATCAGGAAAACATCACTTGGTAAAGATGAACTAAGGGTTTTAACTGTGAAACATTTTGTGAATATCTCAGAGATATTTAAGATAGTTTTTACCCTTTGAAACCGACCCTTTGAAACAGAAAAAAGGCCTTCAAAGAGATATAGTTGCAGATAGCTTAGAAAATCACAGTCTGTCACATGTCAGTAGATTTTCTCCTGAACTTTATCCCACCTTTCTGATCAATACCTCATTTCCCTATAATGGCTTTCCCTTTCTCAAGCCATTTGTCAATATAACAAGTTCTGGCTTCTTTTACAGAATATAAACATTATAAAATCTTAATTTTTTAAAATGTCCAATGTTTTCCAGTATAAAACAGTATAAAACAACACAGCAAAACTGAGCCATGGCATTGTTTTATATTAATGTTTAACAAAGTGTCTTTTCATAACCCAAATTATTTTCTGCATGTTCTATTGCCTGGGGCTATAGAGGTCAAATAATAATTCAAACTCCAAATTTAAGCAGTTAATATTTTACTTAATATTTTCATATTTTAATAAGCTTACAATGTCAGTTATTTCCAGGTCTATATAGAATGAAGGGAGCTTTAAACCTCAACAATACATTAATGTATTCCAGTTTACAAGCCCTTCGACCCCATAAAACCCTGTAGACCTGAATTTTTTTTTTGTTCTACTTTTATTTTAGATTCCAGAGGTACATGTGCAGGTTTCTTACATGGGTAAATTGCATTTTTCTAAGGCCTGATGGAGGAATAATCCTGTCACCCAGGTAGTGAGCATAATACCCACAGGTAGCCTTCCAACTCCTCCCCCCTCCCAAGAAGTTCCCAGTATCTATTGTTCTGAGCCTTGTGTCCATGTCTATTCAATGTTTAGCTCTCTCATATAACTGACAGCATGTGTTATTCAGTTTTCAGTTTCTGGATTAGTTTGCTTAGAATAATGGCATCCAGCTACATCCATGGTGCTGCAAATGAAATGATTTTATACTTTTTATGGCTGCATAGTATTCCATGGTATGTTTATCATCTTTTATTTATCCAGTCCACTATTGTTGGCATCTTGGTTTATTACATGTCTTTGCTATTGTGAATCATGCTGCAATGAACATATGAGTGCATGTGTCTTTGGTAGAACAATTTATTTTCCTTTGGGTATATACCCAATTGTGGGATTGCTTGGTCAATTTGTTTTTAAGTTCTTTGAGAAATCTCCACATTGCTTTCCATGGTGGTTCAACTAATTTTCATTCCCATCAGCAGTGTATAAGCATACCCTTTTCTCCTTAACCTCCCCAGCATCTGTTTTTTATTTGTTTTTTAACTTTTTAATAATAGCCATTCTGACTGGTGTGAGATGGTATCTCATTTTACCTTCGATTTGCATTTCTCTAATGATTAGTGGTTATGATCATTTTTTCATGTTTGTTGGCCACATGTATGCCTTCTTTTGAGAGTGCCTGTTCATGCTCTTTGCCCAATTTTTAATGAGGTTATTTGTATTTTGCTTTTTAATTTGTTTAAATTCCTTATAAATTCTGGATATTAGACCTTTGTCAAATGCATATTTCTGAATATTTTCTCCCATTCTGTAGGTTGTCTGTTTACTCTGTTGATAGTTTCTTTTGGTGGGCAGAAGCTCCTTAGTTTAATTAGGTCCTACTTATCAATTTTTATTTTTCTTACAATTGCTTTTGTGGACTTAGTAATAAATTTGTTGCCAAAGACAATTAGACCTGAATTTATATGCTTCTCACAATATGAGATAATTATCACAATTTAATAAAAATGTTGTAATAGCATTTTCAAAGTGAATGTGAAAGTCTAGGATTTATTTAGCAATTTCCAATGTCCAGGCTGCAATTCTTGTGTTAAGGTAGATTTCTGCTAAGTGAGATAGTGTCCATCAGAGTGAGTTAGTTCCTCAGGAAAGAGTGAACATCTGACTTGCTTGGTGCAAAATGATTTTCGTTACTGTAGGCATAATGAGGATTAGAGTTGATTTTTCTAGTTCTAAAGCTGACACATAATCAGATGAACATATCTCAAAGACTTCCATTCACTCAGTCTTTCTTTCAGTATATGTTCCTTTAGCACCTATTGTGGATTAAACACTAAACTATAGAGATGCTGGGAACACAAAGATGAATAACATATGGTCTCTTGCCCTGAGAACCTTACCATCTAGTGGGAGATACAAACACCCAGCCAGACTTTAATATAATGTGGCGCTATTTCTGATGCCTCTGTTCTGTTCCATTGGTCTATATATCTGTTTTGGTACCAGTACCATGCTGTTTTGGTTACTGTAGCCTTGTAGTACAGTTTGAAGTCAGGTAGCATGATGCCTCCAGCTTTGTTCTTTTGGCTTAGGATTGTCTTGGCAGTATGGTCTCTTTTTTGGTTCCATATGAAAATTAAAGTAGTTTTTTTCTAATTCTGTGAAGAAAGTCAATGGTAGCTTGATGGGAATAGCATTGAATCTATAAATTACTTTGGGCAGTATGGCCATTTTTACAATATTGATTTTTCCTATCCATGTGCATGGAATGTTTTTCCATTTGTTTGTGTCCTCTCTTATTTCCTTGAGCAGTGGTTTGTAGTTCTCCTTGAAGAGGTCCTTCACATCTCTTGTAAGTTGTATTCCTAGGTATTTTTTTCTCTTGTAGCAATTGTGAATGGGAGTTCACTCATGATTTGGCTCTCTGTTTTGTCTCTTATTGGTGTATAGAAATGCTTGTGATTTTTGCACATTGATTTTTTATCCTGAGACTTGCTGAAGTTGCTTACCAGCTTAAGGAGATTTGGGGCTAAGATGATGGGGTTTTCTAAATATCCAATCCCATCATCTGCAAACAGAGACAATTTGACTTCCTCTCTTCCTATTTGAATACCCTTTATTTCTTTCTCTTGCCTGATTGCCCTGGCCAGAACATCCAATACTATGTTGAATAGGAGTGGTAAGAGAGGATATCCTTGTTTTGTGCTGGTTTTCAAAGGGAATGCTTCCAGCTTTTGCCCATTGAGTATGATATTGGCTGTGGATTTGTCATAAATAGCTCTTATTATTGTGAGATACATTCTATCAATACCTAGTTCATTGAAAGTTTTTAGCATGAAGAGGAGTTGAATTCTATTGAGATAATCATGTGGTTTTTGTCATTGGTTTTATGTGATGGATTACATTTATTGATTTGCATATGTTGAACCAGCCTTGCATCCCTGGGATGAAGCAGACTTGATCGTAGTGGATAAGCTTTTTGATATGCTGCTGGATTCGGTTTGCCAACATATATTTATATATATATATTTTTAGACAGTGTCTCACTCTGTCGCCAGACTGAAGTGCAGTGTTGCAATCTCAGCTCACTGCAACCTCTGCCTCCCGGGTTCAAGTGATTCTCCTGCCTCACCCTCCCAAGTAGTTGGGACTACAGGCATGTACCGCCACACCCAGCTAATTTTTGTATTTTTAGTAGAGAAGGGGTTTCACAATGTTGGCCAGGATGGTCTTGATCTCTAGACCTCACGATCCACCTGCCTTGGCCTCCCAAAGTGCTGCGATTACAGGCATGAGCCACTGCACCTGGCTGCCAGTATTTTATTGCAGATTTTCACATCAATGTTCATCAGTGATATTGGCCTGAAATTTTCTTGTTTTGTTGTGGCTCTGCCAGGGTTTGGTATCAGGATGATGCTGGCCACATAAAATGAGTAAGGGAGGAGTCCCTCTTTTTCTTTTTCTTTTTCTTTTTCTTTTTTTTTTTTTGCAGTTGCAAGATTTAATAGAGTGAAAACAGAGCTCCCATACAAAGGGAGGGGACCCAAAGGGGGTAGCCATTGCCAGCTCGAATGCCTGGGTTTATATCCCAATCATTGTCCCTCCCTCTGTGCGCTCAGGCAATAGATGATTGGCTATTTCTTAACCTCCTGTTTTTGCCTAATTAGCATTTTAGTGAGCTCTCTTTACTACCTGATTTGTTGGGTGTGAGCTAAGTTGCAAGCCCCATGTTTAAAGGTGGATGTGGTCACCTTCCCAGCTAGCTTAGGGATTCTCAGACAGCCTAGGAAATCCAGCTAGTCCTGTCTCTCAGTACCCCCTCTCAACAGGAAAACCCAAGTGGTGTTGAGGAGGTTGGCCAACGACTGCTCTAACTGCTTCCTGCTGAATTGGGGCATAGTAGGGGTCATGCATTTGAGATTTCTTCCGGAGGGGTGCCTTCGATCTCATTAACATCAGAGCATGGGCTACCAGGCCAGTCCAGGGGTCGCGGTAGATCTTAGTCATGGACTGCATCTGGTGCTCCATTTGAAGAACCATTTGTAGTTTTACAGCTTTGATTCTGGAAGAGACAAACTTAACAAGGAGGTTAAAGATACAGAGATTGAAATATAGGCCTGAAGTGCTGGGGATTATTTCTTTGGCACACTTCACAGGCCCTGACTATCTGCTTGATAGTTTTGAAAAGGCCTGGTGCAGTAAATAATGATTTGGCCATCTGATGGGTGCTATCAATGCCTAAGTGAAAGGTCTGGTGAAGGGTTTTAAGTAATTTCCATTGGTTAGCTGCAGGCAAAAGTATTTTTCCTTCTTCAGTGGCTAGCCATCCTGAGGGGAGGAAACTACATCCTCGTGAGCTTCCCCATAGTATTTTATTCTGCTGAGTACCGGGGCTTGGTTTCCCGGAGGGGATTACCCCATACCAGGGGTCCTTTTATAAGCATTTGTAATGGAGGGTCCCACCTTGCGGCTCTTTTGGCTTCAATATCTGCTTAGCGGTTCCCTTGTATTTCTCTTTCCTTTCCTTTTTGATGACCCCGGCAGTGTAAGACTGCTACCTCTTTAGGTTTCTGTACAGCCAATAATAATCTCCTAATGGCTTCCTGATGTTTGATAGGTGTTCCCTCGGAAGTTAGGAATTCCCTTTCTCTCCATATTGCTGTGTAGGCATGGAGGACTAGATAAGCATACTTAGAGTCTGTATATACATTTACCCTTTTTTCTTCTAATTTTAGTGCCCGAGTGAGGGCTATTAATTCTGCCAGCTGAGCGCTAGTTTCTGGAGTAAGGGGATTACTTTCAAGTATTCCATTATCACTGACCACTGCACACCCCACTTTTTGAAGTCCTTTTTCTACCAAGGAACCAAAGAGCTTCCATCAGTGTACAAGTTGAGGTCGGGATCAGTCAAGGGAACCTCTAGAAGGTCCCCTCAAGCGGCGTATGTTTAAGCAATCACCTGTTGACAGTTATGTTCTATCTTTTCTTCATTGTCTGGAAGAAATGTGGCTGGGTTAAGAGTTGCACAAGTGTGCAGTTGCAGCACTGGCCCTTCAAGTAATAGAGCCTGATATTTAAGCAAACTGTTGTCTGACAGCCACAAGTCTCCTTTAGCAGTGAGTATGCTGTTTACATCATGAGAGGTCCACACAGTAAGATCTCTTTCCTGTATTATTTTAACTGCTTCAGATACTAAGACTGCTACTGCTGCCACTACCCGTAAAGAATGAGGCCAGCCCTTTGCCACTACATTAATTTCCTTACTCAGGTATGCCACGGGTTGCAAGCTGGTCCCTCGGACCTGTGTAAGGACTCCTAGAGCTATTCCTGTTTTTTTCTGTGACATATAAAGAAAAGTCTTGCCCCGTTGGCAAGCCTAACACTGGGGCTTGGGTTAAGGCCTTCTTTAGGGCCGGGAAAGCCACTTCTGTTTCAGCTGTCCATCTTACTCAATGGGTATTGGCTTTCTGAGTTTCCTTAATTAGTGTACATAATGGCCTGGCTATTTTGCCATAACTGGGAATCCATATTCAGCAGAAGCCTGTTATGCCAAGGAAACCTTTGTTGCTTTAGGGTTTTGGGATGAGGATAAGCCAGTATAGGCTGGATACATTCCTCACTGAGGGCCCTGGTGCCTTTGGATAATTTTAGCCCTAAGTATTTAACCTGCTGTGAGCAGAGCTGAGCCTTTGGTTTGGAAACCTTGTAGCATCAGGTGGCAAGGAAATTTAAGAGCACTTGGGTGGCTTGAATGGGCGGCTTAAAGTAAATCATCAATGTACCAAAAGACAAGAGTGTCCAGGTATGAGAACTGGCTCAAGTCTTGGGCCAATGCCTGGCCAAATAGATGGGGGCTATCCCTAAACCCTTGGGGTAAAACAGTCCAGGTGAGTTGAGAGTCAGGATGTACAGGGACATGGAAAAAGGCATCCTTAAGGTCCAGGACTGTAAACCACTCTGCTTCCTTTGGTATTTGGGAAAGCAGAGTATAAGGGTTAGGTACAGCTGGGTATAGAGGGAAAACGGCCTCATTGATAATCCTGAGATCTTGCACTAACCTCCACTGTCCTTTGGGTTTCTGTACTCCTAAAACTGGAGTATTACAGGGACTATTGCATGGTTTTACTAGGCCTTGGGCTTTTAGGTCCTTAACAATCTTTTGGAGTCCTTGTTGGGCCTCGGGTCTAAGGGGTTACTGCCTTTGGTAGGGAAAAGAGGCGGAATCCTTTAGTTTAACTTGAACAGGACGGGCATTCTTTGCTCATCCATATTGTCCTTCTGTTACCCAGACTTCAGGATTAATGCCTTCCTCAAGCAGGGGACAACAAATGAGTGTTCCTTCTCCTATGTTCAGGTGTGTAATGGCTCCTGCTTTTGCTATAATGTCTCTCCCTAACAAAGGAGTGGAGCTTTCAGGCATAATTAGAAAAGCATGTGAAAAGAGTAAAGTTCCCCAGTCACAACTTAGTGGCTGGGAGAAGTATTTAGTGACTGGCTGTCCTAGGACCCCTCTGATAGTGACAGATCTGGAGGATAGTTGTCCAGGACAGGAGAGTAAGACTGAGAAGGCCGTGCCAGTGTCCAGGAGACAGTTAACCTCCTGGCCCTCAATGGTCAAGCATACCCAGGGCTCTGTGAGGGCGATGGCATGGGCTGGCGCTTGCCCTAGGCACCCTCAGTCCTGCTGCTGGATCATCTGTTTAGTGGCTTCTGACTCAGAGGACCTTCGTCCCCTGGGGCAGTGGGCCTTCCAGTGATTCCCTTAACATAAGGGACGTGGACAATTGGATGGCTTATTTCTATTTGGACAATCTTTTTAAAAGTGTCCTTGTAGACTGCACTGGAAGCAAGCCTTATTAAGGCATTCAATTTGCCCAGCTTTTCTCTTTTCCAGAACGTCCAAAGTCCGCTTGCCTGAGGGCCGTGACTAAAGTGGTAGCCTTTTTTTTTTTTAATCTCCTTAGTCCTGTTCCGCCTGCAAAATGAGTAAGGGAGGAGTACAGAAACCCAACGGACAGTGGAGGTTAGTGCAAGATCTCAGGATTCTCAATGAGGCCGTTGTCCCTCTCTATACCCAGCTGTACCTAACCCTTATACTCTGCTTTCCCAAATACCAGAGGAAGCAGAGTGGTTTACAGTCCTGGACCTTAAGGATGCCTTTTTCCATGTCCCTGTACATCCTGACTCTCAACTCACCTGGACTGTTTTACCCTAAGGGTTCAGGGATAGACCCCATCTTTTTCTATTGTTTGTAATAGTTTCAGAAGGAATGGTAGGAGTTCCTCTTTGTGCCTCTGGTAGAATTCAGCTGAGAATCCAACTGCTCCTGGGCTTTTTCTGGTTGGTAGGCTATTAATTACTGCCTCAATTTCAGAACTTGTTATTGGTCTATTCAGGGATTCAACTTCTTCCTGGTTTTGTCTTGGGAGGGTGTAGGTGTCCAGGAATTTATCTATTTCTTCTAGATTTATCTATTTCTTCTAGATTTTCTAGTTTATTTGTGTAGAAGTGTTTATAGTATTCTCTGATGGTTTGTATTTCTGTGGGATCAGTGATGATCTCCTCTTTATCATGCTGTATTTTGTCTAGTTGATTCTTTTCTCTTTTTTTCTTTATTATTCTGGCTAGTGGTCTTTCTATGTGGCAAGTAAATGTGATAATAGAGAAATGTACAGAAAGCTATGAGAACTCAGAGGAGGAATATTTAACATAACCTGTAGAGATCAGAAAATGTTTCTTGAAGGAGATAATATCTGAACACAATTATGAAGCCTGAATATTTTTTTCTAAATCTATATATGAGTATCTTAAAGATATGTACTCACAAAAACGATGACAAAGGCTAAAATAACAAATAATGTATTATATAACAAAGTAAAAGCAATTCATTGTTGCTAGACTATAAAGTGCAAAACAGCACGTGGTAAGTAATGAATACTGAGCAGTGATCTGGAGGTAACTCATTAAAAACTATATGTGATATCCTGTAGTTTAGACATATAGGAACTCACTGGATAACTGAAGAATGACATAATTAAACTTCTTTATTATTTTTATTTTCATTTATGTTTTCTGTCTTTCATAGGATATTAGTTTGAATTTTATTTTATTTTTTATTTTTATTTTTTAATAATTTCAACTTCTGTTTTTGATTCAGTGGTTATATGTGCAGGTATGTTACATGGGTATGTGTGATGCTGAGTTTTGGGGTACAATTGATTCCATCACTGAGATAGTGAGCATAGTACTTGGTAGTTTTTCAATCCTTGTCCCCTCACTCCCTTCCCCATCTACTAGTCTCCAGTGTCTAGGGTTGCCATCTTTATTTCCATATATAACCAATATTTGGCTCCCATTTATAGGTAAGAATGTGTGGTATTTGGTTTTCTGTTTCTGCATTAATTCGCTTAGGATAATGGCCTACAGCTGCACCCATGTTCCAGCAAATGATGAGATTTCATTCTTTCTGTGGCTGCATAGTCTTCTCTAGTGGATATGTATTACATTTTCTTTATCTGATCAGCCATTGATGGGCACCTAGGTTGAGACCATGTTTTGCTATTTTGCATAGTGCTACAATGAACATATGAGTGCACGTGGCTTTTTGGTAGAGCAATTTATTTTCTTTTGGACATATTCCCAGTAATGGGAAGGGTAGGTTGAGTAGTAGTTCTGTTTTAAGTTATTTGAGAAATCCCCAAACTGCTTTCCACAGTGACCCAACTAATTTACATTCCCACCAACAGTGCATAAGCATTCTCTTTTCTCTGCAACCTTGCCAGTATCTGTTGTTTTTTGACTTTTTAATAATAGCCATTCTGACTGGTGTGAGATGTTATCTCGTTGTGGTTTTGATGTGCATTTGTCTGATAATTAGTGATGTTGAGCTTTTTTTCTGTTTGTTGAATGCATGTGTGTCTTCTTTTGAGAAGTGTCTGTTCATGTTCTTTGCCCAATTTTTAATGAGTTTATTTGTATTTTGCTTTTTGATTTGTTTAAATTCCTTATAGATTCTGGATATTAGACCTTTGTCAGATTCACAGTTTATGAATATTTTGTCCCACTCTGTAGTTTGTCTGTTTGCTGAAAATTTCTTTTTGCTGTGCAGAAGTTCTTTAGTTCAATTAGCTCCCACTTGTCAATTTTTATTTTTATTGCAATAGCTTTTAGGGATTTATTTATAAATTCCTTCCCAAGGCTGGAATCAAGAATGGTGTTTTGTAGGATTTCTGCTAGGAATCTTACAATTTGAAGTCTTATATTGGAATCTTTAATCCACATTGAGTTAATTTTTATATATGATGAAAGGTAGAGGTCTTCATTCTTCTGCCGATGACTATCCAGTTATCACAGCACCACTTATTAAATAGGAAATCTTTTCTCCATTGCTTGTTATTTTCATCTTTGTCAAAGATCAGATGGTTGTAAGTGTGAAGCTTTATTACTTGGCTCTCTATTCAGTTCTACTGGTATATGTATCTGTTTTTTGTAACAGTACCATGCTGTTTTGGCTAAGGTAGACTTGTAGTAGTTTTAAGTTGGGCAATGTGATGCCTCCAGCTCTTTTTTTTTAAGATTGCTTTGGCTATTTGGGGGCTTTTATAGTTCCACGTGAATTTTAGAATAGTTTTTTTCTCATTTTATGAAAAATGACATTGGGAGTTTTATAGGAATACTATTAAATCTGTAGAATCTTTTGGGAAATGTGGCCATATTAGCAATATTGATTCCTCTAATGCATGAACATGGAATGTTTCAACTTTGTTTGTTTCATCTGTGATTTCTCTCAGCAGAGTTTTGTAATTCTCTGTATAGAGATTTTTCACTTCCTCGATTAGATGTATTTCCAGGTATTTTGCTTTTTGTGTGGCTATTGTAAATGAGATTGCATTCTTTTTTTTTATTATTATACTTTAAGTTTTAGGGTACATGTGCACAATGTGCAGGTTTGTTACATATGTATACATGTGCCATGCTGGTGTGCTGAACCCATTAACTCGTCATTTAGCATTAGGTATATCTCCTAATGCTATCCCTCCCCACTCCCCCCACCCCACAACAGTCCCCAGAGTGTGATGTTCCCCTTCCTGTGTCCATGTGTTCTCATTGTTCAATTCACGTCTGTGAGTGAGAACATGCGGTGTTTGGTTTTTTGTCCTTGTGATAGTTTACTGAGAATGATGATTTCCAATTTCATCCATGTCCCTACAAAGGACATTCTTAATTTGGCTCTCAACTTGAACGTTATTGGTGTATAGAAATGCTACTGATCTTTCGAGACCATGCTGGCTAATACGGTGAAACTCCGTCTGTACTAAAAATACAAAAAATTAGCCGGGCATGGTGGTGGGTGCCTGTAGTCCCAGCTACTCGGGAGACTGAGGCAGAAGAATGATGTGAACCCGGTAGGTGGAGGTTGCAGTGAGCTGAGATCGCACCACTGCACTCCAGCCTGGGCAGCAGAGCAAGACTCTGTCTCAGAAAAAAAAATAAAAAATAAAAAAAGAAAGAAATGCTACTGATCTTTGTACATTGATTTTGTATTCCAAAATGTTACTGAAGTCTTATATCAGTTCCAAGAGCCTTTTCACGGTGTGTTTAGTGTTTTCTAGGTATAGAATCATATGGTCAGCAGAGGAAGGTAGTTTGATGTCTTCTCTTCTTATTTGAATGCGCTTCATTTCTTACTCTTGCCTGATTGCTCTGGCAAAGGCTTCCAGTACTATATTGAATAGGAGTGGTAAGGATGGGCATTCTTATTATACTCCAATTTTCAAGGCGAATACTTCTAGCTTGTGCCAACTCAGTGTAACATTGGCTGTGGGTTTATCATAGATGGCTCTTATTATTATGTGATATGTTTCTTCAATGCCTAGACTGTTGATGGTATTTATTATTAAGTAACGTTGGATTTTATTGAAAACTTTTGCCACATCTATTGAGATGATCATGCAGTTATTGTTTTTAATTGTCTTTAGGTGGTGAATTCCATTTATTAATTTGTATATGTTGAACTAACTTTGCATTCCAGGAATGAATCTCATGTGATCGTGTTGAACTAACCTTTTGATGTACTACTAGAATTGGTTTGCTAATATTTTGTTGAGGATTCTCGTGTCCATTTTCATCAGGGATATTGCCCTGCAGTTTTCTTTTGAAGTTGTGTCTCTGCCAGGTATTATCAGGGTGATTCTGGCTTTGTAGAATAAGGTAGCAAAGATTATCTCCTCCTAAATTTTTGGGAATAATTTCAGAAGAATTGGTACCAGCTCTTCTTCGCACACAAAAAATTACACTGTGAATCCATCTGGTCTGGGGCTTTTTTCAGTTGGAAGATTTATTTTTAATACTGACTCAAAGTTTAAACTTGATATTAGTCTGTTCAGCACTTCAATTTTTTGCTGATTCAATCTTGAGAGATTGTGTGTTTCTAGGAATGTATCCATTTCCTCTAGATTATCTAGTTTGTGTCTGTAGAGGTGTACATAACAGTCTGAGGTTTGTTTGCATTACTGTGAGGACATTTGTAATGTCACCTTTGTCTTTTCTGATTGCACTTATTTGGATTTTTTTTTTCTCCTTGTAAATTGAGCTAGCAGTCTATTCATCTTGTTTATTTTTTCAAAAAAAAACTATCTTTTGGTTTTGTTGATTCTTTGTATGGCTATTTGGATCTCAATTTCACTGAGTTCTGCTCTGATTTTAGTTATTTCTTTTCTTCTGCTACATTTGGGGCTATTTTTTCTTCTTGTTCTAGCTTCTATAGGTGTGATGTTATTGTTATTTTGAGATCTTTCCAACATTTGAAGTAAGCATTTAGTGCTATAAACTTTCCTTTTAACATGGCTTTTGCTGTATCCCAGAGATTTTGGTATGTTGTCTCTATTTTCATTTATTTCGAAGATTTCATTTAAGCAGAAATCATTCAGGAGCAGGTTATTTAAATTTCATGCATTTTTTTTTGTTTTGAGAGATCTCATTGTTGATTTCTATTTTCATTCCACTGTGATCCAAGATTATGGTTGGTATGATTTCAATTATTTTGAATTGATTGAGACTTGCTATATGGCTAAGCATGCTGTTGACCTTAGAGTGTGTTCATGTTCAGATAAAAAGAATGCATATTCTGTGGTTGGTGGGTGGAGTATTCTGTAGACATCTATTAGTCCCAATTGGTCAAATGTCAAATTTAATTCCATAATTTCTTTGTTAGTTTTCTGCCTCAATGATCTGTCTAATGCTGTCAATGGAATATTAAAGTCTCCCACTATTATTGTGTGGCTATCTCAGTCTTTTGTAGGTCTAGAAGTACTTGTTTTGTGAATCTGGTTTCTTCAGTGTTGGGTGTTTGTATATTTACAATATTTAAGTCTTCTCATTCAACTGAACTATTTATTATTACATAATGCAAGTTTGTCCTTTTTTACTGTTGTTGGTTTAAGTCTGTTTTATCTAATATAAGAATAGTGACCCCTGCTCTTTTTTGTGCTCCATTTGTGTGATATATTATTCTTTATCCCTTTAATTTGAGCCTATGTATGTCATTACATGTGAGATGAGTCCCTAGAAGATGCAGATGGATGAATCTTATTTTTATCTAACTTGCAGCTCTTTGCCTTTTGTTGCGTTTAGACTATTTTCATTTAAGGTTAATATTTATATGTGAGGCTTAGATCCTATTGTGAAGTTATTTTCTGTTTATTTTGTAGTTTCTATAGTGTGGCTGCTTTATATGGTCTGTGGGCTATATACTTAAGTGTGTTTTGTGTTGGCAGGTATCATTTTTTTCTTTCTATGTTTAGAGGTCCCTTAAGTATCTCTCTTTTTTTATTATTATACTTTAAGTTCTAGGGTACATGTGTACAACGTGCAGGTTTGTTACTTATGTATACATGTGCCATGTTGGTGTGCTGTACCCATTAACTCATCATTTACATTAGGTATATCTCCTAATGCTATCCCTCCCCTCCTCCCCCAACCCCACGACAGGCCCCAGTGTGTGATGTTCCCCACCCTGTGTCCAAGTGTTCTCATTTTTCAATTCCCACCTATGAGTGAGAACATGTGGTGTTTGATGTTCTGTCCTTGGTGATAGTTTGCTCAGAATGATGGTTTCCAGCTTCATCCATGTCCTACAAAGGACATGCACTCATCATTTTTTATGGCTGCATAGTATTCCATGGTGTATATGTGCCACATTTTCTTAATCCAGTCTATCGCTGATGGACATTTGGGTTAGTTCCAAGTCTTTGCTATTGTGAATAGTGCCACAATAAACATACGTGTGCATGTGTCTTTATAGCAGCATGATTTATAATCCTTTGGGTATATACCCAGTAATGGGATGGCTGGGTCAAATGTCATTTCTAGTTCTAAATCATACCATCTCACACCAGTTATAATGGTGATCATTAAAATGTCAGGAAACAACAGGTGCTGGAGAGGATGTGGAGAAATAGGAACACTTTTACACTGGTGGTGGGACTGTAAACTAACTAGTTCAACCATTGTCGAAGAAAGTGTGGAAATTCCTCTCTTTTGTTTTTTTAATAAGAGGTGTATTTTAATCAGTTTCCCAGTAAGTCAATTACAAACATGCACTGCTAAAATGCAAGTTACAATTCAAATGGTACCACAAATAATTAGAATATACACTGAGTATTTTCATAAATCAGCTTCCATATCTTGATCACTAAATGGAAAAGTTCTTCAGAACAGTCCCTTACCCTTAGCTCACATCTTCTGGTTGTCATCATCTTCCACTGAGCTGCACCTTGTTAAGAAGGTGAAGCTGGTGTCTCAGCAAGTCAGACTCCTTGGAGAAGGCATCGAATGGCCTGTGCCCCATTTTCCTTTCTCTCTTCAGTGTACTGAATGCTGCACACAACTGCTTTAAAAGGAGACCATCCCTGCAGCAGGCTCAAGAAGGAACAGACCCCTTTCATCACTGACTACACCAATGGCATGCTGCTGTGGCCCGCACACACACACATTAATAAACTGCTGTGAAATTTCTTCAGTCTTTATATTTACTCAAGCCCTTGGAGTTTCTTCATCTTGTTTAAATTTTTTCCTGGATGAAGGCATGCTGTAGGGCCTGGTTGATGCTAATTCGTTTAGCTGGATCCAACATCAGAATCTGGTCCAACAAGTCCTTTAGCTGGTGTACTTTCTTACGTTGGTCTTCAGGAAGTCTCTGGCACCCAATCAAGTCAGCCAACAGGTCCTTAGTTGGATTAATGGTGCTTATAACAGTAACTTTCTCCCTCTCTGTTACTTTATCAATTTCTATATACCTGAAGTTGAGATTTTGATCAAAATGCTGATCCTTGAATACACCTTTTCTAATCATCTTATTTGGCATCTTTCCTTTGAGATCCATTGCAAGTTTCAGCATATGGTTATTGGTATCTCTTAAGAGGTCCCTTAAGTATCTCTTATATGGCTGGTGGTCTAGTAGGAACAAATTCCTTTTTGCACTTGCTTGTCTGGAAAAGACTTTATTTTTTCTTCACCCATGATACTAAGTTTGCTGGGCTATGAAAATCTTGGTTGGCAATAATTTTCTATAAGAATGCTGATAATAGGCCTTCAATTTCTTTTGGCTCTTAATCTTTCTGCAGAGAAGTCTGCTGGTAGACTTTTGGGGTTTCCTTGGTATGTGATCTGATATTCTTTCTATCTGCCTTTATGATTTTTTTTCTCTAGCCTTGACTTTCAACAGTCTGGTGACTATATGCCGTGGTGTTATTTGTTTTAAATAGTATCTTGCAACTGTTCTCTGGATTTCTTGTATCTGGATGTTTAGGTCTCCAGCAAGATTAGGGAAATTTTATTGAACTATTCCCTCAACTATGTTTTCTGGTTTCTTATATTTTCTACTTCTTTCTCAGTAATGCCAGCAACTCATAGGTTTGATTGCTATATATAATTCCATTTTTGAAGACTTTGCTCATTTTTAAAAATTATTTTTTCTTTATTTTTTTCTGACTGGGTTCATTAGAAAGATTGGTCTTTTTCTTCCTGGTCTCTAGTCTGCTAACAAAGCTTTTAATTTTATTTTAAAATTTATTAAATAAATTTTTAAATTTCAGGATCTTTTATTGATATTTTAAAGATTTTATCTCTTCCTTCAATTCCTGGATTACTTTAGAAGTTTATTTGTGTTGATTTTCATCCTTGTCTTGTATATCATTAAGCTTCTTTGCAATCCATGCTTTGAGTCCTTTATCTGTCATTCCTGAATTTCCATTTTGGTTATCAACCATTGCTGGATAGCCAGAATGAGCCTTTGGTGGTGTTACTACATTCAGATTTTATAGCACCAGAATTTTTATACTGGTTTCTTCTCATCTGGAGACACTGAAGGTTCTAATTTTTGTAATTATTTTTGTGTGAGTAGGATTTTTTCCTTTTTTTTTCTTTCCCTATAGTATTATGGTTTTATTTTTCTTTCTCTTTCAGTTTCATCCTTTGCCTTTGGGGTGTTACTATAGTGAATGTTAGGTAGGGTCTTTTGTCTTTGCTTCTAAAGCCCTATGCAATTCTATTGGCAGGTTTTATATTGGGCTTCATGATTTGACCTTAAAGCCGGTAGATGGCACTTATGGATAAGCACAAACTGCTACCAATCCAGCTTGGTATATACTTGATCCTTGTTTACCGGGAGAAGCTCTCTGTTGCCCCAGGCAATGAGCTGATCTATGGAGTGCACAGTAATGTGAGCTTCTCGTTCAGCCCCAAGAGGGAGGGGTTAGATGGCTGGGGCTTGACTGGGCAAGTCCACCTACAGTTCTTCCATAGCAGACACAAAACCAGTGCTTATAGAGAATCCAGTGGGCATCAAACAAATACCTAGAATTGTATCTAGGTGTCGAGCAGGGAAGCCTTTTTCTTCCATTCTCAACATAGGTAGAGGGGTGGCCTATACTCCTAATCTGGGAGATTGGGTGCTCCAGGTGCCTGGACATCTACTTGGGCAAGGATTGAAGAGGGCTACTCTGCACCATGATATATTCCCAGGAAGGATGGGGCAGCTCAGGCTGCTAAACCTGGTCAGGTGCTACAAATGTCTGGAGATCTGCCTGGGCATGGAACAGAGAGGGCCCAGCTGCACGAGGACCTCTGCACAGGAGTGATGGGGTGACTTAAGCTACTAATCCATAAGAGTGGGTGCTCCCAATGCCTGGAATCTTCCTGGATATGGACCAGAGAGGACCCCACTTCACCACAATCTATACACAGGAAAGGTGGCATGGCTTAAGCTGCTGATCTGGATGAGTGGGTGCTCTGATTTCCTGGAGATCCACCTGAGCATAGGGCAGAGAGGGCCCCACTGTACCATGGTCTCTGCACAGGGAGGGTGGGTGACAGAGCCTGTTGAACCAAGCAAGTGGGTGTTCTAAATGCCTGAAGATCTGCCTTGGTGTGAAGCAGAGAGGGCCTCATTGCACAATGATCTGTGCTCAGGAAGGATGGGGTGTCTCAGGCTGCTGAACCATGCAATCAGGTGGTCTTAATGCTTAGAGATCTGCCTGGGCATGAAGTAGAGAGGGCCCTACTGTACCATGGTCTATGTGCAGGAAGAATAGTGTATCTCAGGGTGTTAATCCTGGCAAGGGGATTCTCTGACTACCTGAACATTGAGTGACGAGGGCCCTGCTGCACCACAGTATCATGGAACCAGCAATGGGCATCCAACAATGACACATTCAGACCAGTTCCAGTCCACCAACCTGGCTCTAGCTGCAAGTCTTTTCACCCAGGTGAAAATGCATTTGTAGTAGTTCTGCTCCTGCCCCAGGCCTGTGAAAGGGGAGAATACAATTTCAGCATCTACTACTGAGGTGCTTTCCACAATTCTGGCTGTGGAGGCCCCAATCCACTTCAGAACAAGCACTCTAATCTCTGGCCCAAGACTAAAATGCTTACATGGCCACACTGCTGGGTCATTAAAGAATGTCTGGTTTTGTATGCACTTAGATTAAAAATGTCATCCTCTCCTTGGTCCTGGGTCTGGGAAAATGCCTTTAGCATTTCCCAGTGTCTTTCCCTCTCAGCATCTCCAAGCCTCTCCCCAGGTTAGCTCTGGGGCTAGGAAAAAAATAAAGTGCTTTCCATCTTCCTACGTTGCTCAGATCACCAGTGGAAAGGAGAGTCACAGAAGGAGGCTCTCTGCTTCTCTCACATACTGGGGCTTCACTCAGAATTATCAGCCAGACACTGTCATGGGGGCTGTTTTATTTTACATTCTGTTTCTCAGTATCTGGTGTGTACTACACATCCAGTGAACTCCCACTTTCCTTTTTGAATTAAAGCCAACAGAGTTCATCTTTATGCACTATTTTGTTATTTCCCAGTGGCCAAGGCATCCTAAAAGCCTCTAATCCACCATCTTGGAAAAATAAACTTATTTTTAAAAAGACCATTCTTGCACCAGCCTGAACAGTGAATCAGGAAGGGTTAAAATGGAGAAGCAGAAGAAACAAGAGGCTTTTACAGTAATTCAGGTCAGACATAATGTTAGCCTTGACTACAATTAGGACAGTAACGTGGACAGATGTAGACAAATTCAAAATACATTTTTGAGGCAGAGTTGAAAATCTTTGCTGATGAATTAAATGTTTTCTTCGTTTTGTGCTTGGGAAAACCAATAAATGGGAATGCTATTATCCTATTTATTGCTAACATATATAGAGAACTCTAAAGAGGAATACTTTTTTTCTGAGTAAATGTGGGATAAGAGAGGTCATGAATTCACTTTTATGCAACACTTATTTTAAAAGAGATGAATTTACTTTTTAATAGTTGTGTTTGAAGTGCATATATGTTGAGTATGTGATTGAGGTCTGAAACTCACATATAGATTCTGGAATCCATCAATATCTGTTATTAAAAATGATAAGAAAGTATAGGATAATCTGGGGGAATTGTGTTGATTGAGAAGAATAATGAGACAAGGAAAGAATCCTAGGAAACACCAATATTTATTGACAAGGCAGGCTAAGAAACACCTGTAAAGGAGACAAAGCAAAATAGTTTGAAAGGTATGAGAAAGAGCAGTGGAGCCCGTAAAAGAATGTATGAGTTCATCAAATGAGAATCAGGGCTAACAACCAAGTTTTTAACTTTCACCATGTTTAAGGGAAGATTCCTAGAGAACTTATTCTCCACCCAAGCTTTGAAAATTAGTGTAGAAAATAGCAGAAAAAGGCCTGAGGGATCTTCTTATAACCTTAAAAAGCTTAAGAAGTCATTATTGACCTAACTCTATGGAGGTTCCATTTGTTGCATGATATCATAAGGTGAGATATTTGCTAATCAAACAGAGGATTTTTTTACACCTTCTCCATTTAAAAATATTCTCAATATTATCTGGATATTTTTGCCTGGCAAAAAATGTTTCATTTTTTATGGCTGCATAATATTTAATGGTGTATGTATACCACATTTTATTTATCCAGTCAACTGTTGGATGACATTGAGGTTGGATCTATGACTTTGCTATTGTGAATAGTGCTGCAATAAATATCTGAGTGCAGGTGTCTTTTTATATAATGTGACACTGGAAACTCCAAAATGGGGGAGAGTGGAAGAGGAGTGTGAGCTGCAAATTACCTATTGGGTATAATGTCGAATATTTGGATGATGTGTACACTAGCCCAATCCACATATTATGCATGTTATGCCCATTTAACAAACGAGCACATATGCCCCTTGAATCTATAATAAAATGAGAAAGAAAAAATATGTTTCATATTCAATTTCATAAGTACACAAAACTATTTATTTGGCACATGCTTACTACATTTCAGACAAAGTACCTGCATTTTTAGAAGCTGAAATCTACTGAGAGGCAGATAAACAAATAACTATGGTATTGTGACCAATTCTGTAATCTTGATAGGTACAACATACTATTGAAACCCAGATAAGGAAACAATTATATCTGACTTCATTGGAATTTGGTGAGAATAGATTATTTAAGAAAACTGATATATGAATTGAAATTCGACAAATGAGTAATAGTTTGCCAGACAAACAAGAAGTGGATAGAAAGAGTATTACAGGAAGAGTATACATCTGATCAAGAATAAATCAACATGAATGGACCTTGAATTAAAAAAAATGGAAAGCAATCCAATGTCGCTAAATACATGAAAGAAAATGATTGATAGTAAAAAGAAAGGGTAAAACAGTTTTTTTTTGGAATGCTCTGGACTTAGTTTTAATGGCAAAGGAAAAACAATGACTCATTTTAAGCAAGAGAGTTACATTGTCAGATTTGCACGTTAGAGAGATAATTTGAGTTGCAGCCTGGAAAATTAATTGGGTAATTCAAGGCTAGAGGCAATCGGATCTGCTCAGGTGCAGTTGAAGCAATCCAGATGAGAAAGAATGGTAGTCAGGACTATGACACAGGTGGGAAGTGTAAAGAGGAAAATCAGATACAGGAGAACTTTGAGAAAGAATTAAAAGGACTTGACTATCTTTGACATTTTTCTTCCCTTACTTTAACTAAGAGGTTTCTTGCTTGATATACTGTATAAAATATAATGCCCTTATTAAAAATATGTCTAAACAAGAAATACATATGAGATTCAGCATGGGGATAGAGTGAGAGACTGACTGAGCAGAAATAAATAATGAACTTGGTTTCATACAATGTTGAGTTTGAAGTTTTGCTCCTACTCAATTCAGTTTTTTATACAGCTTACATAGTGAACATGTTACTTCTTTGCTTAAAATCCTTCTGTTAGTCCCCAGCACTTAAGTATTAAGCAATAACTAACAATGGCTTATTAAGGCTTTTCATAATTGGAACTGCCTTTTGACAATTATATTTTATCACTTCTCGCTGCCTACTCTCCATTATAGCCACATAGAACTATGCAGTTCTAAAATTCTATACTCTCTCCAGCCACTAGATCTTTGTATATATTGTGCCCTCTGTCTGAAACATTCCTCCCTGACTCTTCAGCTAACTTCCACTTATTATTTTGGGCTCATCTTAGACATTACTTTTTCTCTAATTTGACTGGGTACTTGTTTCTAGCTACTTCTATCCTGAAAGTGCAATGAGGTAAGAAAATTTGTCAATTTCATTACTTGTTATATCCCTTGTACCAGTACATTCCTTAAGGTATAACAGATGCTGAATAAATAATCGGTAAATAAATGAGGTTCCTGCCAATCACCTGGGTAGAAAGGGCCTATAATCAACTATATATGCAGATCTTCATTGCAGAAGATAAAGTTATTTATTTATTTTTGTTATACATGTACTAGTTAAAGTTTTCAGAATAGACATGATTCAGGGAGGCTACTAGATTGAGAAAAGATATGGCCTAGTAGACCTCCGAGGAACACCAACATTTTAAAAATGATTAACCATGGGAAGAGACACGGGGAGAATGGCCAGAAAAGTGTGAGGAGAGAATAGTGTCTCAGAAATGAAGGTAGGAAAGACTTTTAGTAAGATCAACAGTTAAAGAGTTTGGCAACAAGAATTAGTCAGGAAGAACTGACAAGATGCTATTTGCTTGGTTAATCTATAAAGTAATGCGAAAAAAAGCCAGAATACAAAGATTTCTGGAGTCAATGGAGTATAAAAGGAAGAGGCAATAAATATTGACGAGTCTTTTAGCAAAGTAAAGAGTATGAGGAAGGTGAGGACAGTATCAATTTCAGAGCCTTCAGGGTTTTATAATCAAATACTATGAATTTAGTTTACAATAAGACCTGTTTAGTATTTGACAGTTTCTTTTTGTTCCCTTATTTTCTCATTTTAAAAATGTAGATGGACTCACATAACTTTAAAACTTATATTTAGAGCTCATTTAATTCAACTCCCTCACTTATGGAAAAGCAAATTTAGGCTTAGAGGGATAAAGATGCTTCCCCAAAGCCCCATAGCCATCCAGTGGGCAATACATTTCTACACAAGAATAATTTCTCTTGATTTCTAGTCTTATGATCTTTCCAATATGACATACTCTTCTGTACTTTTTTAGCGTTATTTAATCTGTTAACATATCTTTCACTTATATTGTTATTTCGGATATTTTAAAAGCATATTTTAAATGATCCTTGTTTTCAAATATGTATGTTCCTACAGCTTGTTGTTATGAGGTGCCGTTGAGTAAAATCCAACAAATATTGGAATTTGAGCTTAGCAAAAGAAAGTGATTTATCAATCCTTGTTTTCCAGTATGTATGCATTTCTATGCACTGTCAGTCACATAAACATGCTCAAAGCTGCTAACTAGCTAAATAAAATAAATATGCTCAAAAACTTTTTGTTTTGCATTCTAATGAATATTTAAATATTTTGTACGTACTGGATTGTGTGTTGAAAATATTTTAGTTAATGCTCTTTAAAAACTCTACACCTAAAATTCTAATTGTAGAATTTTACATTATTATTTTATACATTTTTTCTTTTGTGAGTATTATAACTTTACACCGAAATAAAAACATAATTCATAGTGACTTACTTAATATAGCCTAAGTATTCAATTGTACCTCTAAAATATGCTTTTAACATTCGGTCCCCCCAAAGCAATATGCTGTCTATCTTACTTCATGCTTTCTTGATTATATTCAGATTCAAATACCTTCTAGATAACTAGATTTCCCACATAAAATAAATCTTTATGATTCCTCTGATACTGTCAATAATGGCAGGAAAATTGTCCCTTAGGAAACCCTGGAATCCATTTATCTCAACAAATAAAAAAATCTTACTGGAAAGAAAAAAAAACCCTATCACATCGTTAAAAAACTGTGTCTTCTAATGGTTGTTTCTAATGTCTAGAATGAAGTAAATTTTGAAAACACCTAAAACAAATAATTTTTTAATTGGCTAGTTATTTCAAACACTGTTTTACCACATCCAGGTCTAACATCACAAATACTATAAAAATATGAGAATGGTGATCTGTTAGATATCATTGACACTGACTACGTTAGAATATTTGGCCAATAATCAACAATAAACAATATAATTTCTAATGTATTTTGTTTTATAAGTTTGGGCCAATTAACAGTTAAAGGCTATTTTGGAGCTTATACTATTTGATTTATTGGAGTTGTTTAATATTTATATTGGGAAAATAAATTGTATGCTTGCTTACTTTTTGTTTAACCCCACATAACTACAAAATCTATAGTAATGTGATTCAGTGAATAGCTATTTGCTTAGGATTTATCTTACATTAGCTATAACCATGGTGGCTTTACATTTTCATTATTTCTCCTTTATTTTTCTGTATGTTTTTTATTTCTCTTTTCTCTTTTCTTTTTCTTATTTTTTCTTCTTGGAGAGAAGGGAGCTGTGATTAATGCTAGGTGTCAACTTGACTATGAAGTAAGGAATACCTAGAGAATTGGTGAAACATTACTTCTGGGTGTGTCTGTGAAAGTGTTTTTAGAGGAAACTGTTGTGTAAGCTGGTGGACTATGTGGGGAAAATCTGCCTTCAATGTGGGCAGGCACTACCCAATAGACTGGGAGACAGAATAGAACAATAAAGGAGGGAAAATGATGATCTCTTTCTTCTCTTGAAGCTGGGACACTCTCTTCCTTCTGTCTTTGGACATCAAAACTCCAGACTCTTTGGCTTGTGGCTGTAAGACTATACTAGAAGTCCTCCGGATACTCAGGCCTTTGGCCTCAGATTGAGAATTACATCATTGACTCCCCTGGTTGTGAGGCTTTCAAACTTGGACTGAGCTATGTTACTGGCACCCCAGGGTCTATAATCTACAGATAGCCTTCCTGGAATTTCTCAGCCTCCATAATTGCATGACTCAATTCCCTTAATAAATCTTCTATCTATCTATCTATCTATCTATCTATCTATCTATCTATGGTTCTGAATAAAACATAATATTAAGAATGTTTTCTTAGTTTTTGGGTTTCAGCAACTGGCTTTCTAATCTGATTAGGCCTAAAAATTCCAAGGACTTCTAATAGTACTATGTACTTTTAATAGTACAGAGAACACTGATAGAGCATGGTATGAACTGGTTATAGAAATTCACAAAATATCTGCATTTGATACTCCTAATCAATCACATATAGAGAAAAAGAATTTGGTGACTCTGTGTGATACCTTCAAGAATTTGTGAAAAATCAAAGAATATATAACATTATTTTGTTGCTTCTAATGTTGCTGGATAAAGTGATGAATGGAAAGTATGAGCTCAGAGATTCTAATTTAATGCTCCAGCTCTGCATAAATAATGTTAAGAGCTTCCAAGTATGTTCTGAGCCAGAATCTTTTCTCCTGTAGCCACAAGATTAAAGTTGCTAAAAATTAAACATAAGCCTTTACCAAACTATTGGCTGAAGTAGAATAAAAGTTAACCCCATAAGGTGTCTACTGTTAAAGTGAGGAAATTGGTTGGGAAATAATGAAATCCTGTAAATTGGGTTGTGAACATGTGGAAAGACCCTGATGAGACTAGGGACATGACACTCCTAAGTTCTGATGAGTCTTGTTTTCCAGCAGTTGTGGCCTCCCTCTCCCCATCGCAAGCTGCAGTGCCATCCTCACCCAAAGTGACCACTGGCTTTTGCACAGCTGTCTGAGGCAATTAACTCCGCATCGCCTAAGAGATGTTAATGACTTTCCCTGAGGCAGTTACCAATTAAGACAAAGCTGATTCTCCTCACGACCCACCTTCATCACCCCTCTTTGCTTCTAGGCCTATAACTAGACTTAAGTCCCAGCAGTCCTCTACAGGTGAGGGACAACGTCTTACTCATGAAGAGGTGTACTACACTCCAAGATAACAACTTTAGTTTTTTAATTTGTACAAGCAGAAAGCCAGAGAATATGTGTGAAAATGGATATTAATGGTTTGATACAATGGTGAAAGGAACATAAAGTTGAATCTCACCAAATTTGTTGATACGGACCCATTAAGCAGATATTCTGTATTTAATTTTGTAGCTCAAGGAGTTAGAAAAGGTGCTAACAGTTTGTTTTTTTGGTTGGCTAAAACATGGATTAAAAGATGGCTGAAAATGAGCAAGTCAGAGGTGCCTGATTTCCTTTGGTCTAATGTAGAAGGAATTCAAAGACATAGGTAGATTGAAATTCTAGAGTAAATTTGTCACTTGAAACATACCCACAATGGAAATGTCCAGAGGACATAGCTTTCACTAATGCTTTGAGAAGTAGGTTTGTGAGGGGATCCCCAGCATCCCTAAAGAGCTCCATGATTGCTTTTCTCTGTAGCCCAGACTTTACAGTAGAAATCACAGTCATTCAATAGATAAATGCAATAAAGATAATTGAATCCCAGGTTGACAGAGGCCAATTGGTGGCACTCATATGTTGAAGGCAAGGTGGGCATAGTTATTGTAGTGGAAAACAGAAGCAAATCAACAATCAGAATAGTTTGACTCATGGAGATACACAGTGATGGCTAGTTAACCATGGCATTCTTAGAAGTGAAATAAATATGAATCTTAGTAAATTCTTACTTGATCTGTATAAGTAGAAAATTTTCAGGTCAATTGAACAAAAGTCTGACTTAAACCATTAAAACTGAGCCCTTTGCAGGACCTCCCAACTGGGGACTCCAGCTGCTCTCACTGGTGTTCTCTGGCTGACAAAGCTTTCAAACCTCTCTGAGATGGAGCTCCCAGAGGGAGGGGTGGACCATCATCTTTGCTATTTGGGCAATTTAGCTGTTCTGCCCTTCAGGCTTTGAAGAGTCCAAAATGATCAGGAGCTGCAGCGGATCCCCACCACAGCAAAGTTGCTCTATAAAAATGTGGCCAGGCTGTTTTTTTAAGCAGATCACCAATCCCATTCCCCCTCACCAGGGGAGAACTCCCAACCCAGGTCTCCAGCCACCTCTTATAGATGAGTTTGGGCCAGCAACAGGTGCATACCTCCCTGGGACAGAGCTTCCAGAGGGAGAAGCAGACTGCCATATTTGCTGTTTTACAGGCTTCACTGTTGATACCTCCAGGTACTGAAAAACCCAAGGTGAGGAGAGACTGGAGAGGACTCCTAGAATATGGCATCAGCTCTATGGAAAAATTGCCGAATTCTCTGCACTGGGAAGGCCTTCTAAGCCTGGGCCTCTAGCCACCCTACGCCAGGGTTATTGAGCCAGTTGCAGCTCTGCAACTCCCTGAACAAAGACCCCAGGGGCAAATGAAAGCCTCTCTGCCACTGCCTGTGCAGTGGAAGTCCTCTTGCTACCCTCAGACTAATGAAGGAGCAAAGACACTAAGTGCCTTATCCACACCACCAACAAGCTGCAGCCGACCCAAGGAGAAGAGGCCAGTCCATCTTCCATGGGTCCTACCCACCTTTCGACAAGAAACCCCCAGCTTGGGCCCAAATCACAGCTTCATGGGAAAATACTCCATGCTCATGGATAGGAAGAATCGATATCATTAAAATGGCCATAACACCCAAAGCATTTTGTAGACTCAATGCTATTTTTATTAATCTACCATGGTGATTCTTCACAGATCTAGAAAAAAGTATTTTAAAATTGATATAGAACCAAAAAGAGCCCAAATAGCCAAGGCAATCCTAAGCAAAAAGAACAAAGCTGAAGGCATCATGCTACTTGACTTCCAACCATAATACTGGGCTACAGTAACCAAAACAGCATGGTACTGGTACAAAAATAAGCACATAGATCAAGGAAACAGAATGGAAAGCCCAGATGTATGGCAGCAAACATACAATCATCTTATCTTTGACAAAGCTGAAAAAAGCTATCAATGGGGAAACAACTCCCTATGCAATAAATGATCCTGAGATAACTGACTAGCCATATGGAGAAAATTGAAGCCAGACCCATTCCTTACACCATATAAGGAAATCAACACCAGATGGATTAAAGACTTAAATATAAAACCCAAAAGTATAAAAACCCTGGAAGACAATCTAGACAATACCATGCTGGACATAAAAATGAGCAAAGATTTCACAACAAAGACACCAAAAACGATTGCAACAAAAGTAAAATTTGACAAATGGGATCTATTTAAACTTAGGAGCTTCTGAACAGCAGAAGAAACTATCTACAGAGTAAACAAAAAACCTTCAGAATGAAAGACATTTTCTTTGCAATCTATGCATATGACAAAGATCTAATATCCAGCATCTATAAGGAACTTAAACAAATTTATAAGAGAAAAGCAAAAAACTTTCTTAACAAGTAAGCAAAGTACATAAATGGACACGTTACAAAAGAAGACATATATCTAGCCAACAAGCATATGAGAAAAGCTCAATACCACTAATAATTAGAGGAATGCAAATCAAAACTACAATGAGATAATATCTCACGCCAGTCAGAATTGCTATTAGTAAAAAGTCAAAAAATAACAGTTGCTGATGAGGTTGCAGAGAAAAGAGAACAGATACACTCTTTGTGGGAATGTAAATTAGTTTAACCATTGTAAAGAGAAGCATGGCAATTTTTCAAAGAGCTGAAAAGAGACACATCATTTGATCCAGCAATCCCATTACTAAGCATATACCCAAAAGGAATATAAATTATTCCACCATAAAGACACATGCACGGAAATGAAAATAGTGCGTTGCAGCACTATTTCCAATAGCAAAGACATGGACTCTACCTAAATATCCATCAATGACAGATTGGATAAAGAAAATGTGGTGCATATACACACGGAATACTACGCAGCCATAGAAAAGAATGAGATTGTGTTTTTTGCAGGAACATAGATGGAACTAGAGGCTATTATTTTTAGCAAAATAATGCAGGAACATAAAACCAATAGCACATGTTCCCACTTATGAGTGAGCAAAACAATGAGAACTGATGAACATCAAGAAGAAAACAGCAGACGTTCAGTCTATTTGAAGGTGGAAGGTGGGATGAGGGAGAGGATCAGGAAAAATAACAGGCTTAACACCTGTGTGTTATAATAACACTTGTGTGATATAATCCACAGACCGACCTTCCATGATGCAAGTTTACCTATATAACAAACCTTCTAATATACTCATGTTATACCTATATAACAAACCTTCTAATATACTCATGTTATACCTATATAACAAACCTTCTAATGTACTCATGAACCTAAAATAAAAGTTAAAAGAAAAACCCGAGCCCTTCATTCAAGCCCCAGAATTCAGCCATTTTACAGACCCATAATCCCTTGAAAGGAGGGGTGGATGTGTCTCTTCCTAGGAATGACCCCATTATACCACAGAAAATTTAGATTACTAATCTTTCTCTCATACTTTTCCAAAGGGACCTCTGGCCTGTTACCAAGGCAACTGTGAATTGGGGAAAGGAACATGATCAACCTACTTGACACTGGCTCTGAACTGACATTGATTCTAAAAGGCCTCAAACATTACTGTGGCCCTCCAGTTTGGGTAGGGGCTTGTGGAGGTCAGATGATGAATGTAGTTTTAATTCAGATTTAACTCACAGTTGATCCTGTACGTCCCCAAACACATCCTGTGGTTATTTCTCTAGTTCCAGAATGGAACATACAAACATACTTAGCAGATGGAAGAATTCCCACATTTGTTTTCTAACCTGAGGAGTGAGGGCTGCTTTGGTGGGAAAGGCCAAATGGAAGCCATAGAGCTGCCTCTGCCTAGGAAAATAGTAAATCATAAACAAAACCACATCCCTGGAGAAATTTTAGGAATTAGTGCCATCATCAAGAACTTGAAAAGTGCAGGAGTGGTTAATCCCACCATATCTCCATTTAATTCTCCTATTTGACCTGTGCAGAAGACAAATGGATCCTGGAGAGAGAATGAGAGTGGATTATTGTAAGCTTAACAAATTCTAAAAATGTTGAAGTAACCCACAGGAAAGCAGGGAAATTAAAGCAGATAAAAACAAACAAACAAACAAAATACAGAAAGCAAAGTATGTAATAGGAAATTTAAATTTCAACATATCAATAATTACATAAATCATGAAGATTAAACCCCTCAATTAAAAGAAATAGATTTGCAAATTTGTTTTAAAAAGACTAAATTATATGCCACATAAAAACATGTACAATATAATGCTGTATGTAGGTTAAAATTAAAAGAATGGAAAATGATGCATCATAAAATCATTATTTAAAAAAGCAGAATTGGCTATAATAATATTAAAATAAAGTAGACTTGATAGCAAATATAATTATCAGTGATGGAGAGATACATGACACAATGATGGAGTGTCAGTTCAGTGAGCAACACATAAAAATTCTAAATATGCATGAGCCAAACAGAGGTGCAAAATATGTGAAGGAAAGACTAATAGAACAGAAAGAATAAGTAGACACATCCATGCTTATAGTTAGAGATTTCAACATTCCAATCTCAACAACTGATGAAGCAATTAGACAGAAAATCAGCAAGAATGTAGAAGAACTCAACAACACCATGAACCAACAGCATCTAACTGACATGTATAGAATAGACCACTCCAACAACATCAGAATTTTTATGTTGTTTAAAGGCTTGTGGAACATTTGCTAAGACACACAATATCCTGAGCCTTGAGAGAATCTTAACACATATAAAATAATTGAAATGATCCAGTGTGTTCTTTAATTACAATGGAATCAAACTAGAAGTCAACAACAACAACAAATACCAGAAAAGATATCTGAACACTTGGAAACTAAACAGAACACATGTAAATAACCTAAATGTTTAAAGTGGGTTAAAGAGGATGTCTCAAGTAAAGAAACACATTTAACTGAGTGAAATAAAATACAACGTGTCAAAATTTGTAGGATGTTTCTAAATCAGCACTGTGAAAGAAATTTATAGCACTAAATCGAAGTCTCAAATCAGTAATGTGAGCTTCCTCCTCAATGTCACAGAACAAAAGAGCAAGATATACCTAAAACAAATAGAAGGAAGGGAACAATAATAATCAGAGAAGAAAAACATGCAAGTGAAAATAAAAAAATAAATCAATTAAACACAAACTTGTTATGCTAAAACATTGTAACATTAACAAACCTTTACCAAGAGTGACAAGGAAAACAAAGAAAAGACATAAATAACTAATATCAGGAATTAAACAAAGGATATCACTGCAGACCATGCAAACATCAGAAGAATCATAAGAAAACACTATGAACAAACTTTACATGAATAACTTTGATGACTTAAATGTACAAATTTATTGAACAACACAGTTTACAAAAACTCAAAACAGATTATTCAAATGGCCCTTTATTAAGGAAATTGAAATTATAATTTAAAAATCTTGCCAAAAAAGAACTTTTCAGATCCAGATGGTTTTACTGAGAATTCTACAAAATATTTTTAAAAATTATCTCAATTCTACACAATGTCTTCAGAAAATAGAAGAATTGGAAAAACTTCTCATTTAAATGTTAAAAGCAAGTATAATCCTGATACTAAAACTGGACAAAGACAATACAAACAAAACAAACTCCCCGAGTTACACAAAAAACCAACAAAAAACTTGCAGATCAAAATTTCTCATGAATATAGTCACAAAAAACTCTTTAATAAGATATTAGCAAATAGAATTTAGTCACAAAAGAAATTATATACCATACAATTGGAATTATTGCAGGGATGCAAGCCCAATTCAATATTCAAAAATGAATCAATGTATGATTGATTGATTTATCTTCAACACATTAAGAAGGTAAAGAAGAAAAGCTACATGATAATATCAATTAATGCAGAAAATTATTTGACAAAATTCTATACCTATCTATGATAAAAATATTTAGAAAACTCGAAAAAGATAACTTTTTTTCAACTTGATCAAGAGAATCCATAAAAATTCTGAAATGAATATTGCACTTAATGGCAAAAGATGCGTGTCTACTCTTATATTTTAATTAAACATGGTACCAGAAGTCCTAGGCAGTGCAATGAGGCAAGAAAAGAAATAAATTACATACTGATAAAAAATGAATAAATAAAACTGTCCCTCTTTGCCTACGACAGAATGGTTTATTTAGAAAATTCCCAGGAATCTACATGAAAATCCTTCTAGAACTAATATGTGAGTCAAGAAAGATTACAACATGCAAGACACAACATACAAAAATCAATTGTGTTTATATATGTTTGTAAAAAACACATAGAATTCAAAATAAAAAATATAACACTACTTTGAATTACTAAAAAATAAGATAAAATACTAAGGTATACGTCTAATAAAATATTTACATGACATGAATACTAAAAACTACAAAAATATTGATAGAACAAATGAAGGAAGACCTAAATAAATTGAGACCTACCATGTTCATGTGTTGAAAGAGTCAACATGATAAAAGAGTCAACAAGGTAAAGACAACATTTTTTCTCAGAATGTTACACATATTAAATTAAGTCATATCAAAATACCAGAAAGACTGCTATAGGCAGAGGGAAAGTTGATGGAAAAAATTAAAAAGGAAGAAGCAGAGCAAGATGGTGAAATAGATGGACATACTGATAGTGCCCCCCACAAGGACACTAATTTAACAACTGTCTACACAAAAAGCATATTCATAAGAATGAAAGATTAGTTGAGCATCCGCAGTACCTGTTTTCAACTTTGTATCAGTGAAAGAGACACTGAATTTTTTTTTTAAGTTTTCATTCTCTAACACCACCTCTTCCCCACTCCACTGCAATGGTAGCATGGTGCTCAGAGCATTTCTGTGAACTGGGAAAGAGAGATTACAGCAATTGTGAAGTGTTAAATGCAGTTCTGTCTTTTTATAGCAGAAATAAATACCATATCAAACTCAACTGATGCTTACACATGAAGGGAGCTTTTAAATCAGCCTTAGCCAGAGGGGAATCACCAATTCCAGTGGTCAAATTTTGAGTTCATGCAAGCCTAACCACCACAAGATATAAAGTGCTTGGGGAATCTAAAGAAACTTGAAAGGCAGTCTAAGACACAAGGACTACAACACCTATGAAAGTTCTAGTGCTGATCAGGGCCCACAGACAGTGGACTGGTTGGGGTGTGATCTACTAAGACACTAACCTGAGGTGGCTAAGAGACTGCTGGCAACACTCCTCCCCTAACTCAAGGCTGTATACCTGTAGCTCCAAAAGAGAAACCTTCCTTTCACTTGAAGAGAGTAGAAGGAACAGTGGGGTGTGAGGGGTGACTTTGTCTTGAATCTTGGATACCAGTTCAGCCACAGCAGGATAAGGCACAGGTTGGAGTCATGAGACCCCCTTTCTATGCCCTAGCTCCCAGAAATTTTGAGACATACCTTGGGCCGGTAGAGAGACTGCTGCCTTGAATAGAAAGACCCAGCCCTGGTAGTATTCATCACCTGCTAATTTAAGAGCCCTTGGGCCCTAAATAACCAGTAGTGATACCCAGGTACTATATTGACAGCTTTGGCTGAGACACTGAGGCTTGCTGGCTTAGATATCAGCTTGGCCACAGCAGGGTGGAGCACCAAGTAGGCTCTTGTAGTTCCCAATTTCAGAATTTGGCTTTTGGTTGGCATTTATAGACCTTCCCTAGACCAGAGGGTGTCCAGTTCCAGGCTAAGCAGTATTAACTACAAGCTGACTTGAGAGCTCTTGGGCCTTAAGGGAACATTGTTGGTAGTCTGGCAGTACTTCCTGTAGGCCTGTGGTGGTGCCTACTCAGGGTCAGAATCATCAAGCTGTCGCTGAGTAAAATAAATTTTTCAGCTCCATTATAATCTTTTAAAAAATAGGCTTAAGGGGTACAAGTTTAGTTTTGTTACATGGATATATTGCATGGTGGAGAAGTCTGGGCTTTTAGTGTACCTATAACTTGAACAGTGTACATTGTACCCAATGAGTAAATTTTCATCCCTTAACACCCTTCTAACCTCCCACCTTTTAAAATCTCTAGTGTCTATTATTTTACACTGTATGTCCATGTGTACCCATTGTTTATCTCCCACTTATAAGTGAAAACGTGTGGTTTTTGACATTATGTTTCTGAGTTATTTCATTTAGGATAATGGCCTCCAGCTGCCTCCTTGTTTCTGGAAAAGATGTGATTTCATTCTTTTTTATGGTTAAGTAGTATTCCTCTGTGTATGTGTCTGTGTGTGTGTATCTCACATTTTTAATCCAATCGTCCATTGGTGAATACATAGGTTGATGCTGCCTTTTTTAACACAATGATTTCTTTTCCTTGGGTAAATAGCCAATAGTGGGACTACTGTATTGAACAGTGGTTCTATTTTTAGTTGTTTTTTTTTTAGAATTCTCCATACTATTTCCAATAGATGTTGTACTAATTTATATTTCCACCAACTGTGTATAAGCATTCTCTTTCCTCTGCATCCTTTTCAACATCTGATGCTTTTTGACTTTAATAACAACCGTTTTGACTGGTATAAGATGATATCACATTGTGGTTTCATTTTGCATTTTTTGATGGTTAGTGATGATACTAATTTTTTCATATGTTTGTTCACCATTTGTATGTCGCCTTCTTTTAAAAGATGTGTGTTATGCCCACTTTTTAGTAGGGTTGTTTTGTGGTTGTTGTTGAGTTGTCTGAGTTAGTTTTAGAGTCTGGTTATTAGCCATTTGTAAGATATATAGTTTGCGAATATTTTCTCCAATTCTGTAGGTTTTCAGTTCACTATTCATTATTTCTTTTGCTGTTTAGAAGCTTTTTAGTTAAGTCCTATTTGTCTACTTTTGTTTTTGTTTTGTTTGCTTTTGAGATATTACTCATAAATTCTTTGCTTAGGCCAATGCCCAGAAGAGTAGTTTTTGAAAATTCCTCCTAGGTTTTGTATAGCTTCAGGTTTTACATTTAAGTTTTAATCCATCTTTTGTTAATTTTTGTATATAGTGAGAGATATGGGTCGAGTTTTATTCTTCTGCCTATGGCTATCCAATTTTTTTCAGTATCATTTATTGAACAGGGTGCCCTTTCCTCAGTGTATATTTTTGTTGACTTTGTCATAGGTTGGTCAGGGGTGGATTTATTTTTGGGTTCTCTATTCTGTTTCATTGATCTGTATCATTTTATACTGGTACTATGCTGTTTTTGTTACTGCAGTTGTATAGTATAATTTTAAGTCAGATAATGTGATGATTCCAGGTTTGTTCCTTTTGCTTAGAATTGCTTTGGCTATTCAGGCTCTTTTTCCATCCCATATGAATTTTAGGATTTTAGGATTTTTTTTCTGATACTGTAAAAAATGATTTGGTAATTTGAAAGAAGTTGTGTTGCATCTGTAGATTGCTTTGAGTAGTATAATAATTTTAACAACATTGATTCTTCCATCCATGAGAATCCGATATTTTTCCATTTGTTTGTGTCATCTATGATTTCTTTCAGCAGTATTTTCTAGTTGTCCTTGTAGAGTACTTTCATATCCTTGGTTAAATGTATTGCTAGATATTTTATTTTTTTCTGGCTATTGTAAATGGGGTTGAGTTGGGTTGTAAATAGGTTGATTTATTTATCAGTTTGATAATTATTGGTATATGCAATCATTACTAATTTTTGTATGTTGATTTGGTATCCTGAAACTACTGAAGTCATTTATCAAATCTAGGAGTACTTTGGAGAAGTATTTAGGGATTTGTAGGTATGAGATCATATTTTAAGCATATATATATATATATATATATACTTCCCTTTTTCCAATTTTGATACATTTTATTTATTTCTCTTGCTGGATTGCTCTGGCTAGAAATTCCAGTATTATGTTGAAAGGAAATGGTGAAAGTGGGCATCCTATTTTTCTTCCAGTTTTTAGGGGAAATGCTTTCAACTTTTCCCCATTCAGTTTGATGTCAGCAGTGGGTTTGTTATACATGGCTTTTTAAACTTTCAGGCATGCTTCTTTGAGGCCTAGCCATATCATTATAATATTATGGAACCATTGTCATATATGTGGACTGTCATTTAACAAAATGTTACTATGCAGTGCATGGCTATATCTGTCAAAAAAACTAGTATCTAAAAAATATAAAGGATATTCCAAACTCAACAGTTGAAAAACAGACAATCCAACTAGAAAATGTGCAAAAGACATCAGGAGGCATTTCACAAAAGAGGATGTTCTACTGGCAAATAGGGACATAATATGTTCTACATGAATAGCCATTAGAGAAATTAAAAATAAGATCACAATGGTATATCACTGCACACAGATAAAATAAAATATAGTAAAAATACCAAATGCTGGTAAGGATGTGGAGAAACTATCATTCTCATGTGTTTCTGGAGAAGATGTAAAATGATAAATTTAATCTGGACAATAATTTGGCAGTTTATAAAAACCAAATATAAACTTGCCATACAATTCTACAACAATCACCAACATGGGAATTTATTTAAGAGGAATGAAGTCTTATGTCTACACAAAAATACATAAGCAAATATGCAGAGCAACTGCATTCATAATTGACAAAAATTGGAAACAGCAAAACATGTCTTTTCATAGATAAATGGCTAAATAAGACTGTGTAATGCCCATAATATGTAACACTACTTAGCAGCAAAAAGGAACAAACTATTGATACATGAAAGAATGCAGATGCTCTCATGAACATTGTACTGATTGAAAGAAATAAATTTCAAAATATCCCACACTGTATGAAGCCATTTACATATTATCCTCAAAATGACAAAATTTTAGAGGTGGAGAAAATATTAGTGGTCTCTAGGAGTTAGGGATGCAGACAAGGTCTCCAGACAAGTGAGGGGTGTGGGTACAAATATAAAGGAGGTGAACAAGAGAAATCTTTGTGTTGATGGAAAAGTCTGTATCATGATTGTGGTGATAGTGGTTACACAAATCTACACATGTTATAAAATTGCACAGAGCTACACATACACATTGTAGGAATGTAAATGTCCTGGCTTTTATGTTGAGCCAGATTTGCATAAGATGCAAATATTGGAAGAAACTTGGGGATATGTACAAAAACAAGTTTTCTGTAATATCTTTGAATCTTCTTAAAATCTGTAATTATTTCACAATTAAAACAGTAAAATTAACAAAAGAAAGTTTAACACTGAAAATACAAGTGTTATGTATTTTTAATTTACTTTATTTAAGTAAGCTAAAAATTCAAATAAAATATTATATCTGAAAGTAAAACTTCACTGAACAGGAATAACATCAAATGAGACATGATAAAAGAAAATAACACTGAACTTAAAATCAAGATGATATGCACTGTGGAAACCGACCCATAGAATGAAAAAAGGCTCAACAAATATACCAAGTCTCAGCAAATATACTTAATATGTGTGAACATATTAAGTAGATTTTGTACATTTAAAGTCCCAGAAACAGAAAGTGGTAAAAAAAATTTGAAGAAACACCCAAAACTTTTTTAAAAAATACGGATTTAAAAATATTAATCCAAAGATTCACAAATCTCAATTCATCCCAGGAAAGGTAAACATAAACTAACCACACTGTACTAGTTTCCATGGGGCTGCTGCAACAAAATACCACAAAAGTTGTGGTGAAAGTTGACAGAAATTTATTTATTTATTTTTTACAGTTCTAGAGGTTGGAAGTCCAAAGTTAAGGCATCAGCAAAGCCCTCTTGTCTCTGAAAGCGCTAGGTAAGTATCTGTTTCATGAGTCTCCCAGTTTCTGGTGTTATTCCTTGGCTTGTAGACACATTACTCCAATCTCCGCCTGTATCTTCACATGAAATTCTCTCTATATCAGTTTATTCACATAGCCATTTTATAAGGACACAAGTTGTTAGCTTCAGTGGGCTAACCCTAATCCAGTATTAACACATTTTAATTTGATTACATCTGCAAAGGTCTTATTTCCAAATAAGGTTATGTTTATAAGTAATGAGAGTTAGGATTTAAACATATCATTTTGGGACATACAATTCAGTCTGCAACACATTCCAAGAAACATCTAATCAAATTTTAGAAAAGCACTTATAAAGAGAAATAACTTAAAGGCAAAAGTATTGGGCACAGCAGCTTGAGGCTAATGAATTACAGCCAGGACAAGCAATAAATGAAAAAAAAGCCTGAGAAGAAAGACATTGAAAAAGTAGATACATCGGGGGGAGGTGTAGGCTTGTTAAACGTTTCTGCATATATCATGAAATTGAGAGGAGCAAGAGGATGCCCAGGGGTGCAACCATGAACAGAAAAGGCCTGAGAAGACCCTAATCTTTTACTTCAGGCTGATCTCCATGATCTGGCAAGCATAAAGTGAAGACTAAGACATAGTTGTAAATGGCCTGGCTAAGTACTGAAAGAGTACTCCAGCACAGAAGCAATCTGCAATAACTGGGAAAGTTTTTTTTTTTTTTAATTTTATCTTTATTTTATTTTCTCTTTCACTGGCTCCAAGAATTTAAGGAAACCTTGTCAATATTCTATTTGATCAATGTACTAACAGAACATAGATTGCAATGGCACACAGGACAAAGAATACAAACTTCAAAAATAGTTTAGAAAAGTCAATAAGCAAACAAACAACAACAAACCACAACAAGCATATGGAGTTGCAAGTGAAATCACATAGCCAAAACAATCTTGAAAAAGAGAAAAAATGCAGGACTCACATTTCCTGATTTCAAAATTTACTACAAAGCTACCATATGGTAGTGGTATAAGGATAGACACATAGGGCAGGCATGGCGGTTCATGCTTTTGATTTCAGTACTTTAGAAGGCCAAGGCAGGAGGATTACTTGAGGCCTGGAGTTTGAGAACAGCCTGGGAAACATAGTGAGACTCCATCTACTAAAAATTAAAAAAAAAGAAATCAGCCAGGAGCGCTGGTTAATATTGAATGTCAGCTTGATTGGATTGAAGGATGCAAAGTATTGTTCCTGGGTGTGTCTTTTAAAGTGTTGCCAAAGGAGATTAACATTTGAGTGAGTGGACTGGCAGAGGCAGACCCACCACCCACCCTCAATTTAGGTGGGCACAATCTAATCTGCTGCCAGTGTGGCCAGAATAAAAGCAGGCAGAAGAATCTGTGAAGGTTAGATTGGTTTAGTTTTCTGGCCTACATCCTTGCTCCTCTGCTTTAAGATGGCCTACTGTGGGAACTCATCTTGTGATTGTGTGAGTCAATACTCCTGAATAAACTCCCCTTCGTATATACATCTATCCTTTTAGTTCTGTTCCTCTAGAGAACCCTGACTAATATACCGGACATGGTGGCATGTGCCTATGGTCCCAGCTACTTGGGAGGTTGAGGGCTAAGGCAGGAGGATTGCTTGTGCCCAGTAGGATGAGGCTGCAGTGGGCCGTGATTATGTTGCTGCATTCCAGCCTGGGTGACAGAGTGAGACCTTGTCTAAATAAATGAATGAATGAATGAATGAATGAAGCATAGACGTATAGACCAATGGAATAGAACTTAGGGTCCAGAAATAAGTTTACACACACATGGTCAATTTTTGGCAAGGGTACCAAGATCATTCAATAGAAAAAAAATAGTCCTTTCAACAATAGTGCTGTATATCCACATGCAAAAGTAGGCAGTTGAACAATACCCAATACTATATACAAAAATTAACTCAAAATGTGTATCAGAACTAAACTAAAAAGCTCAAAGTATAAAAATCTTAGGAAAAAATATTGGCAAATCTTTATGATGTTAGATTTGACAATTCTTAAACATGACAATACAAACACAATTCATGAAAGAATAATGTAGTTAAATCAGACCTCAACAAAAATTTCAAAAATAGATTAAAGGACACTACCAAGAAAATGGAAAGTCAATCTAAAAATTGAGAGAAAACATGTGCTAATCATACATCAGCTAACAGAAAGCAGTCTCAATCGAGACCCCAAAAGAGGGTTCTTGGGTCTTGTGCAAGAAAGAATTCAGGGTGAGTTCATAAAGTGAAAGCAAGTTTATTAAGACAGTAAAGAAATAAAAAAAATGGCTACTCCATAGACAGAGCAGACATGAGGGCTGCTGATTGCCTATTTTTATGGTTATTTCTTGATTATATGCTAAACAAGGGGTGGATTATTCACACCTACCCTTTTTAGACCACATAGGATAACTTCCTGACATTGCCACGGCCTTTGTAAAGTGTCATTGTGCTGGTGGGAATGTCCCAGTAAACAAAAGAAACCAAACCCAAACCCAGTAGAAGAAAATAAATAACCAAGACCAGGGCAGAGCTAAAAGAAATTAAAACAAAAAAAAAACAATACAAAAGATAAATAAAACCAAAAGGTGATTCTTTGAAAAATAATCAAAATTGATATACCGTTAGCAAGATTAACCAAGAAAAGAAGAGAGAAGATCCAAATAAGCTCAATTAGAATCAAAATGGGAGATGTTACAACTGACACCAAAGCAACACAAAAGATCATTCAAGGCTATTGTGCTATAAGTGTATGCACATGAACTAGAAAACCTAAAAAGATGGATAAATTCCTGGAAATACACTACCCTCCTAGCTTAAAGCAGGAAGAATTAGAAACCCTGAACGGACCAATAACAAGCAGCAAGATTGAGATGGTTATTTTAAAAATTACCAACAAAAAAAAATTCAGGACCTGACAGATTCACAGCAGAATTTTATCAGACATTCAAAGAATTGGTACCAATACTATTGACACTATTTCACAAGATAAAGAAAGAGAGAATTGTTCCTAAATCATTCTGCGAAGCCAGTATCACCCTAACACCCAAATCAGAAAAAGACATAACAAAAAATGAAAACTACAGAAAAATATCCCTGATGAACATAGATGCAAAAGTCTTTGACAAAATACTAGCTGACTAAATACAACAGAATATAAAAAAAAAAATCCACCATGATCAAGTAGGTTTCATACCAGGGACTCAGAGACAGTTAAACCTATACAAGTCAATACATGTGATACACCACATACAGAATTAAAAATACATGATCATCTCAGTAGATGCAGAAAAAGCATTAAAAAAAATCTAGCATCCCTTTACAATCAAAACCCTCAGCAAAATCAACACATAAGGGACATACCTCAATGTAAGAAAAGCTATCTATGACAAACCCACAACAACATAATACTGAATAAGGAAAGTTGAAAGCATTCCCTCTGAGTACTGGAATAAGACAAGGAGGCCCATTTTCACCACTTCTATTCAACATAGTACTGGAAGTCCTAGCCAGATAAATCAGACAAGAGAAGGAATTAAAGAGCATCCAAATCAGTAAACAAGATGTGAACCTGTCACTGTTTGCTGACGATATAATCATTTAGATAGAAAACCCAACAGACTCCTCCAAAAAGCCCCTAGAGCTGATAAATGAATTCAGCAAAGTTTTAGTATACAAAATTAAGTACACAAATTAATAGCTCTGCTATACACAAAAAGTGACCAAGCTGAGAATGAAATCAAGAACTTAAAATAACTGCAAAACAACAACAACAACAACTTAGGCATATACCTAACCAAGGAGGTGAAAGATCTCTACAAGGAAGACTACAAAACACTGGTGAAAGAAATCATAGACAACACAAACAAATGGAAACACATCCCATGCTCATGAATGGGTATAATCAATATTGTGAAAATGACCATACTGCCAAAAGCAATCTACAAATTCAATGCAATTCCCATCAAAATACCACCATCATTCTTCACAGAAGTAGAAAAAAAAATCCTAAAATTCACATGGAACCAAAAAAGGATCCACATAGCCAAAGCAAGACTAAGCAAAAAGAACAAATCTGGATGCATCACATTATCTAACTTCAAACTATACTGTAAGACCACAGTCACCAAAACAGCATGGTACTGGTATAAAAATAAGCACATAGACCAATAAAACAGAATAGAGAATCCAGAAATAAACCAAATACTTACGGCCAACTGATTTTCAACAGAGCAAACAAAAACATGAAGTAGGGAAAAGACACTCTATTCAGCAAATAGTGCTGGGATAATTAGCAAGCCACATATAGGAGAATAAAAGTGGATCTTTTTCTCTCCCCTTATACAAAAATCAACACAATATGGATTAATGACTTAAATCTAACATGTGAAACTATAAAAATTCTAGACGATAACATTGGAAAAACCCTTCTAGATTTTGGCTTAGGCAAAGACTTCATGAGCAAGAACCCAAAAGCAAATGCAACGAAACCAGAGATAAATAAGTGGGACTTCATTAAGAGCCTGTGCACAACAAAAGGAACTGTAGGCAGTATAAACAGACAACCCACAGAGTGGGAAAATATCCTCACAATATAGACATCTGACAAAGGATTAATATCCAGAATCTACAAGGAACTGACACAAATCAGCAAGAAAAAAAGAATCCCATCAAAATGTGGGCTAAGGACATGAATAGACAATTCTCAAAATAAGATATACAAATGACCAGTGAAGATATGAAAAAATGCTCCACATCACTAATAATCAGGGAAATGCAAATCAAAAACACAATGTGATAACACCTTACTCCTACAAGAATGGCCATAATTAAAAAAACAAAAGGGAGGGAGAATTATAGATGTTGGCATGGATGTGGTGAAAGGGAACACCTTTACACTGTTGGTGGGAATGTAAACTCGTACAACCACCATGGAAAACAGCGTGGAGATTCCTTAAATAACTAAAAATAGATGTACCATTTAATATAGTGATCCCACTACTGGGTATCTACCCAGAGGAAAAGAAAGTCATTATACGAAAAAGATACTTGGACACGTATGTGTATAGCAGCACAATTTGCAATTGTGAAAATATGGAACCAGTCCAAATGTCCATCAATCAATGAGTGGATAAAAAATTGTGAGATATATATATATATACTATTTAGCCATACAAAGGAAGGAATTAATGGCATTTGCAGAAACCTGGATGGAACTAGAGACTATTATTCTAAGTAAAGTAACTCAGGAACGGAAAACCACACATTGTGTGTTGTCACTCATAAGTGGGAGCTAAGCTATGAGAATGCAAAGGCATAAGAATGATACAATGGACTTTGGGAACTTGGGGAAAAGAATGGGAGGTGGGTGAGGGATAAAATACTACAAATTCGGTTCACTGTATACTACTTGGGTAATGAGTGCACCAAAATCTGACAAATCACCACTAAAGAACTTACTGATGTAACCAAATACCACCTGATCTCCAAAAACCTATGGAAATAAACATTTTGAAAAAAGAATCTAATTTTATATCATTTACTTTCCTTCGCCCCCCAAAAAAAGGAAAAAGAAAATTCAACATTCTTAAAGAAAAGAAATTCCATCCCAAAATTTTGTATTTGGCCAAACTAAGCTTCATAAGTGAAGGAAAAATAAGATCTTTTTCATACAAGCAAATACTGAGGAAATTTGTTACCATTAGACATGCTTTAAAAGAGCTCCTCAAAAAAGCACTAAATGTGGAAAGAAAAGACCTTTGCCAGCCATTGCAAAAACACACTGAAGTACACAAACCAGTGACAATATAAAGAAACCACTTAAAGAAGTTTGCAAAATAACCAGCTAACATCATGGTGACACAATCAAATCCACACATATCAATACTAACCTTAAAAATAAATAGGTTAAATGCCCCTATTAGAAGGCACAGTGTGAGAAGCTGGATAAAAAAGCAAGACCCAATTACATGCTCTCTTCAAAACACCCATCTCAAAAGCAATAACACTCATAGGCTCAAAATAAAGGAATGGAGGAAAATCTACCAAGCGAAAGGAAAACAGAAACAAAACGAAACAAAACAAAAAAACAAGGGTTGCAATCCTAGTTTCTTACAAAGCAGAATTTAAACCCACAAAGAAAATTTCACAAATCACCACTGAATAACTTACTCATGTAACCAAACACCACTTGTTTCCCCATAACCTATGGAAATAAATGTTTTAAAAGATAAAAAGGGCATCCCATAATGGTAAAAGTTTCAATTTAACAAGAATATCTAACTATTTTAAGTATATATGCACCCAACACAGGAGCACCCAGATTTATAAAGCAAGCTCTTAGAGACCTTCAAAGAGACATAGACTCCCACAAAATTGTAGTGGGAGACTTTAATACCCTAGTGACAATATTAAACATATCATCAAGACAGAAAATTAACAAAGATATTCAGGACCAGAACTCAGCTCTGGATCAAGAAGCCCTGATACACATCTACGGAACTGTCCAGCCCAAAACAACAGAATATACACTCTGTTCATCACCAAATGGCACTTAGTGTAAAATTGATCACCCCTCAGCATATGCAAAAGACCTGAAATCACAACAGTTTCTCAGACCAAAATGCAATCAAATTAGAAATCCAGACTAACAGATTCACTCAAAACCACATAATTACATTGCAATTGAATAGTCTGCTCCTGAATGACTTTTGGGTAAATAATGAAATTAAGGCAGAAATCAAGAAGTTCACTGAAACTAATAAGAACAAAGATATAACACACATGTGCAACATCACTAGCATTACTAAACACCAACAACAGTCAAGCCAAGAGCCAAATCAGGAATAAACTTTCTTTTACAATTGCCACAAAAAGAATAAAATACTGAGAAGTACAGATAACTTGGGAGGTGAAAGATCTCTACAAGGAGAACTACAAAACACTGCTCAAATAAATCAGAAACGACACAAATAAATGGAAAATCATCTCATGCTCATGGATAGGAAGAATCAATATTCTTAAAATGGCATACTGCCCAAAGGAATTTACAGATTCAATGCTATTGCTATTAAACTACCACTGAGATTCTTTACAGAACTAGAAAAAGTATTCTGAAATTCATATGGAACCAAAAAATAGTCTGAATAGCCAAGATAATCTTACACAAAAAGAACAAAGCTAGAGGCATCATGTTACCCAACTTCAAACTGTAGTACAGGGCTACGACTAACCAAAACAGCATGATACTGGCACAAAAGCAGACACATAGACCAATGGAACAGAAATAAAAATAAAAACAAAATAAGGCTACACACCTACAACCATTTTATCTTCAACAAACTTGACAAAAACAACAATGAGAAAAGGACTCTGTCTTCATTAAATGGTGCTGAAATAACTGGCTAGCCATATGCAGAAGATTGAAAATTGAAACCTCTTCCCTACACCATATAAAAAGTTAACTCTAGATGGATTAGACATATGTAAAACCCAAAACTATAAAAGCCCTGGAAGACAACCTAGGCAATATCATTCAGGACCTAGGAACAGGCAAAGAATTCATGATGATGCCATAAGCAATTGCAACAAAATCAAAAATTGTCAAATGGGAATTAACTAAACTAAAGAGTTTCTGCTCAGAAAAAAAAAAAAAAAATCAACAGAGTAAAGAGACAGCCTGCAGAATGGGAGAAAATTTTTGCAAACTATGCATCTGACACAGATCTAACATCCAGCATCTGTAAGGATCTTCAACAAATTTTAAAGAAAATGGGGAGGCTGAGGCAGGCAGATCACGAGGTCAGGAGATAGAGACCATCCTGGCTAACACGGTGAAACCCCATCTCTACTAAAAATACAAAAAATTAGCCGGGCGTGGTGGCGGGCGCCTGTAGTCCCAGCTACTCGGGAGGTTGAGGCAGGAGAATGGCGTGAACCCGGGGGGCGGAGCCTGCAGTGAGCCGAGATTGCAGCACCGCACTCCAGCCTGGGCGGCAGCGAGACTCCATCTCGAAAAAAAAAAAAAAAAAAAAAAAAGAAAGAAAATGAAACAACCCTGTCTCCCCCAAAAGTGGGCAAAGACATGAACAGACACTTTTCAAACAAAAACATACATGTGGTCAACAGTCACATGAAAAGAAGCTCAACATCACTAATTATTAGAGAAATTTAAATCAAAACCTAAATAAGATACCATCTCACACTAGTCAGAATGGCTATTATAATAATAAAAAGTCAAAAACTAACAGATGGTGCTGAGGTTGTGGAGAAAAGGGACACTTATACACTGTTGGTGCAGTATAACTTACTTAACCATTGTGGAATACGGTGTGGCAATTCCTCAAAAACCTGAAGACAGAAATATCATTCGACCCAGCAATTCCAGTACTGGGTGTATGCCCAAAGGAATATACGTTGTTCTGTTACAAAGACATGTGCATGTGTATGTTCATTGCAGCACTATTCACAGCAGTGAAGACAGGGAACCAACCTATATGCCCATCAGTAATAGACTAGATTAAAAAAATGTGGTACATATACACCATTGAATTCAGTGCAACCGTCAAAAAGAACGAGATCATTTTCTTGGCAGGGACATGGAAGGAGCTGGAGGCCATTATCTTTAGAAAACTAACACAGGAACAGAAAACCAAATATTGCATGTTTTCACTTATAAGTGTGAGGTAAATGATGAGAACACATGGACGCATAGAGGGGAACCACATACACTGGGGCCTTTTGGAGAATAGAGGATAGGAGGAAGGAGAGGATCAGGAAAAATAACTATTGTGTGCTAGGCTTAATACCTTGGTGATTAAATAATCTTTACAACAATCCCCCCATGACACAGGTTTGCCTATGTAACAAACCAGTGCATGTACCCCTCAACTTAAAATATTTTTTTTTCTTTTTGAGACGGAGTCTCACTCTCACTCAGGCTGGAGTGCAGTGCCACAGTCTTGGCTCGCTGCAACCTCCACCTCCCGGGTTCAAGCGATTCTCCTGCTTCAGCCTCCAGAGTAGCTGAGACTATAGGCATGCACCACCACACCCAGCTACTTTTTTTATTTTTGGCATTTTTATTAGAGATGGGGTTTCACCATGTTGGCCAGGATGGTCTCGATCTCGTGACCTCATGATCTGCCCGCCTCAGCCTCCGAAAGTGCTAGGATTACAGGCGTGAGCCACCGCACCCGGCTAAAATAAACGTTAAAAAAAAAAAAAAAGGAAACAAAAAAACCACCTTGTTAGCTGCATGATAAAGCAAGCTGAAACTGAATTTACAAGAGCAGTGCAAGCCTCAAAGATAGATGTAGTTAATAAATAATTATTCATATTATGATTCACAAAATCCACCCATGTTTGTCTGTATGCAGCAGCACAGAGAAAATCTACAGCTACTAATTCAGTATTTAATTTTATCTTTCTGCCTAGGGTATATTATTACAAAAATAAAGCTTTTACTGAAAATAAGAAGGGTTCTATAATTATTTTTAACTATGAATTCTTTCATAAGATTTATTTCCTCTCACACATGAATGATATGTCAGGCAACATGAAAGTACTGAAATAGAGACTATAATATGGTAGAATGGGGTAAGTGAATGGACAAAGTGGATGAAAAACAAAGGAAGACTAGGGCCTTAATAATATATTTCCCATGTTTTAATGATTTTGTTTCCAGTTCTGTTCAGAAAGTATGCCCAAATATCATCATATAAATTATTGTGCCCATTTCATTTTGACATAGATGTACAACAAAGTCATTTAAAATATAAATCATTGTAAGGTGGCTGAAAACACATTGCCAATCATTAAGACAATTCTTAGTTGAGTGGTGTTTCATATCTATGTTCTATTTCACCTGCCCCCTACCCCTTGAAACACACATCCAGCAAATATTTTCTGAGTCCTGCTTCCCACATGCTGAATTTACTACTGTGATGGACTAAACTAATCCCTTAAAATACATCATTCCTTATTCTTTTTCTTCCTTATTCACATCTTAGATATTTTTGAAGTTCAGGTATGTCTGAATTTTCTTTGAGGCAGCCAAAGTTCATTCTACAGAATTAAGTACTCTCTTGCATCATACTGCAAACTTCACTTGTGATAGTCCTCTCAATCCTCCCATGGTTCACATATATGTGGTTAAGAAGTATATGTTCTGTTGCTGTTATCCTCCATAACTATGGCAATCTGGATTTCTGAAAAGCATATGAATTTCAAATATCCTATCTCATTTGCTTTATGGATATATTCATATTTATCTTTTTATATGTTCCAATTAGAAGTTTGGAAAATATGGTTATCATGCTGATAGTACTCTTGAGTGTCAAAGGATAATGACTTTCTGCCTCTTAATGTATGAACTCAAATAGCCACCAGTTCTAAATAGTCTTCTCTTTTTTCCTCGTGAAATTTATTTTTACCACAAATATGTCATCTCTTATAGGCTCATCCCATTCCATTATTTTTTATGATTTTATTTTCCCTGACTCAATTTCTGATGCTTTCCTTCTCCCTAAGATTTTCAACTGTGTCTTTTAAATATTAACAAACTTTAGGACATCTTCAACCTATCACAGAATGTTTAATCATTCTTAAAAGAAGATTTTCACTCAAGAATGCCATATCTCCCCACCCCATTCCTCTTGATAGATCTTGCCTATTTATCCATTTCTCACATACAATAGAACAGTGTGAGTGTAGTTATGATGGCAAGGAAGGAGGTTATAGAAGTGTCAATTGGTTTTCTCTCTAATACAGCTTTTCAACCACCACTCTTTCACCATCTTGACATAAAAATATTTTTGAAGTCTGTTGAACAGAACCAATTACTACATGTATATTATACGCTAAATTTAAAAACGCACTTTTGACTGACTCCAAAAGTCAAAGTTTTTAACCAGAGTTTCAATCATAATAATTAATAGGAAAGGTAACTTGAGTTTCTACTTAAACTGAAACCCTTAAAACTCCTACATGGTCTATGAAGAGGTTAAATTAACTTATTAAAATGTGATTATTAATATAAATCAAGTAGTTATATCTCTATGGTAGAAAATGAGTTTAATATTTAGTTTTTCACCTAAATATCAGAAGTATCTGTATTTTTAAGGTGACTGTAGTGTCCTAAATTAGGATTTATGCAATTAAGAACAATTTAGAAAGATGGTTAAGTATATAATAACAGAACTCACTTTTCATGTCAGTTTGCAAAGTTCAAAGGAACAGTTTATTTAAAAAGAAATACTGTATTTTCATAAAAATTACATAATGACCATTTCATTGATATTTAACAGATGAGGCAAAATTATATTAATATATTTTAAAAACTAATTCTATTTAAATAGTTATGTTTTAATAAATGAATAAGCACTACCCATATCCCTGAAAAATTTGATCCAAATATGTATAATTTTAAATGTCCTAGAAATGTGTCTCATTATCTCTTTGCAATCCTCCTTAAAGATATCTTCTATTAGAAATTGTCACTTCATAAGGAAAAAAATGTCCCTTACATCCTCTTGAATTTTGTAAAACTTTTCTTTAATCTCTGCCCTAGGTTAGTCTCACCCAGCAGCACTCAGTCCTAAAGAATAATGTGCAAGCAGTTTGTTAAGAAAGTGATCCCATCAAGGCAGACAGGAGGCAGGAAGAGATTGCAGCTCTCATTTAGATGGACAGAACAGTGTATGGAGGATTGCATTATGAATTTTAATTCCAGAACGACTACAGGAATAAACCAGGTTGCCCAAGAGGATCAACAACCCCTCTGAAAGAAGGGGATTGCTCCTTCAGAACCCAGGCGACACACCAAATAATGTCAGTGCCCAAACTGCAGAAGTGGGAAAGTGAGATCTTCCACCCCCAAACACAAACCCCCACTGGAGAAAATGAAGGTCTAGATTATGAAAGAAGATTCGGACATTACCTGGAGCTGAGTCAATTTAGAGAGCTGAGCAAAATACGAAGGTAGAGGAAGCAGTGGGAAAAGCCCTGTGAGTTTGCTGGGTCCCCAAGCAGGCCGTTTTTGCCTGGCTTCACAAGAATCCTTCGGGAGGGCAGCCAGAGGTGCTGGGAAAAGCCACAGGGAGAAGGACATCTCCAGCTGAACTTTGTAACAATTTAAATTGATTGAGAAACCTCCTGGCCAGAACTCAGGGAGGGAGTGAATCCAGTGTGCAGAATCCACAGGCAGAAGAAGAAAATCCATACTTGCTTTTCCAGGTGGGAGACAGGTAGTCTGGGGCAAGTTCTCAACTCTGCTTGCCCACTGCCTGGAAACAGATTCAGTGCTATTTTATTTGGGGTGGGGGGCAGCACGGTGGGAGTGAGACCGGCCCTTCAGATTGCATGGAAGCTGGGTAAAGCCTGTGACTGCTGGCTTTCCCTCACTTCCCTGACAACCTACACGACACAATAGAGACAGCCACAGTCCTCCTAGGATTATAACTTTATTGACCTCGAACCTCAGCCTGATCCCCACATTAGCTGCTGCAAGACTCACCCAAGGAGCATCTGAGCTCAGTCATGCCTAGCTGTGTCCCCACCTAACAGTCCTTCCTTACCCACCCTGATAACTGAAGACAAAGGGCATATATATACACTGGACAGTTCTGGGGCCCCACCCATCACCTATTTCTCTCCATACTACTGTAGCTGATGCTCTCTGGAAAGGGCTACCTCCCAGCAGGAGGTAAACCAACACAAAAATAGTGCATTAAACCACCAAAGCTAAGAACTTTCACAGAGTCCATTTCACCCCTCTGCAATCTCCACCGGAAGAGGTGCTGGTATTCATGGCTGAGAGACCCACAGATGATTCAGATCACAGGACTCAGTGCAGACAACCCCCAGTACCAGCCCAGAGCCTCGTAGACTTGCTGGGTGGCTAGATCCAGAAGAGACGTAACAATCACTGCAGCTCAGCTCTCAGGAAGCCACATCCATAGGAAAAGGGAGGGGGATGCTACATCAAGGGAATACCCCATGGGACAAGAGAATACGAACAACAGCCTTCAGTCCTAGACCTTCTCTCTGACAGAGCCTACTCAAATCAGAAGAAACCAGAAAACTAACTCTGGTAATAGGACAAAACAAGACTCTTTAACACACCCCCCAAAATCACACTAGCTCACCAGTGATGAATCAAAACAAAGAAGAAATCTCTGATTTATCTGAAAAGGAATTGAAGATGTTAGTTATTAAGCCAATCAGGGAGGCACCAGAGAAAGGCCAAGCCCAATGTAAGGAAATCAAGAAAATGATACAAGAAATGAAGGGAGAAATATTCAATGAAATAGATAACATAAATAAAAAGCAATCAAACCTTCAGGAAACAATGGACACTTATAGAAATGCAGAATTATCTGGAAAATCTTAGCAATAGAATTGAACAAGTACAAGAAACAATTTCAGAGCTCAAAGACAAGGTCTTTGAATTAACCCAATCTAACAAAGACAAAGAAAAAAGAATAAGAAAATATGAACAAAGCCTCTAAGAAGTCTGAGATTATGTTAAATGACCAAACCTAAGAATAATCAATCCTGAGAAAAAAGAGAAATCTAGAAGCCTGGAAAAATACTTGGGGGAATAATCAAGGAAAAATTATCTGGCCTTGCTAGAGACTTAGACATCAAAATACAAGAAGCACAAAAAATACCTGGAAAATTCATCACACAAAAAAATTATTTCCTAGGCACATTGTCTTCAGGTTATCTAAAGTTAAGATGAAGGAAAGATTTTTAAGAGCTGTGAGGCAAAAGCACCAGGTAACCAATAAAGAAATACCTATCAGATTAACAGTAGATTTGTCAGCACAAACGCTACAAGCTAGAAGGAATTAGGGTCCAATCTTCAGCCTCCTCAAGCAAAACAATTATCTGCCAAGAATTTTGTATCCAGTGAAACTAAGCTTCATATATGAAATAAAGATACAGTCTTTTTCAGACAAAAAAAAAAATGCTGAGAGAATTCACCACTGCCAAGGCACTACTACAAGGACTGCTAAAAGGAGCTCTAAATCTTGAAACAAATCCTGGAAACACATCAAAGCAGAACCTCTTTAAAGCATAAATCTCACAGGACCTATAAAACAAAAATACAACTTAAAAAACAAGGCTGGGTGTGATGGCTCATGCCTGTAATCTCAGCACTTTGGGAGGCTAAGGTGGGTGGATCACCTGAGGTCGGGAGTTTGAGACCAGCCTGACCAACATGGAGAAACCCCATCTCTACTAAAAATACAAAATTAGCCAGGCATGGTGGTGCATGCCTGTAATCCCAGCTATTCAGGCGGCTGAGGCAGGAGTATCGCTTAAACCCAGGAGGTAGAGGTTGCAGTGAGCCCAGATCACATTATTGGACTCCAGCCTGGACAACAAAAGCAAAACTCCATCTCAAAATAAATAAATAAATAAAAATTAAAAACAAAAACAAAAAACCAAGGTACACAGTAAAAAAAGATAACACAATGAATGGAATGGTGCCTCACATCTCAATCATAACGTTGAATGTAAATGGCCTAAATGCTCCACTTAAAAGATACAAAACTGCAGAATGAATAAGAATTCACCAACCAGCCAGGTGCGGCAGCTCACTCCCATAATCCTAGCACTTTGGGAGGCCAAGACGGGCAGGTTGCCTGAGCTCAGAAGTTTGAGACCAGCCTGGGCAACATAGTGAAACTCCATCTCTACTAAAATACAAAAAAAAAAAAAAAAAAAAGAATTCACCAACCATCTGCTGCCTTCAAGAGACTCACCTAACATAAGAACTCACATAAACTTAAAGGGTAGAAAAAGACATTTCATGCAAATGAACACCAAAGGTGAAAAGGAGTAGCTTCGTAATATCAGACAAAAAAACTTTAAAGCAAAACAGAAGTTAAAAAAGACAAAGCAGGATACTATATAATAATAAAAGACCCTGTCCAATAGGAAACTATTACAATACTAAACATATATGCACCTAACACTGGAGCTCCGAAATTTATAAAACAATTAATAATATACCTAAGAAATAAGATAGACAGCAACACAATAATACTGGGGGACTTCAATACTCCACTGAAACCTTTAGAGAGGCCATCAAGATAGAAAGTCAACAAAGAAACAATAGATTTGAACTATACCTTGGAACAAATGGATTTAACAGATAGAAATAGAACATTCCATCCAACAATCACAGAGCATACATTCTACTGAATAGTGCACGGAAATTTCTCCAAGATAGACAATATGATAGGCCTCACAACAAGCCTCAATAAATGTAAGAAAATTGAAATTGTATCAAGCACTCTCTCAGACCACAGTGGAATAAAACTGGAAATAAACCCCAAAAGGAACCTTCAAAACCATGCAAATACATGGAAATTAAATAACCTGCTCCTGAATGATCATTGGGTCAAAAATAAAATCAAGATGGAAATTAAAAATTTCTTTGTGCTGAAGGACAATAGTAACACAACCTATCAAAGCCTCTGGGATACAGCTAAGGTGGTGCTAAGAGGAAAATTTATATCCCTAAAAGCCTACATCAAAAAGACTGAAAGAGCACAGACAATCTAAGGTCACACCTCAAGGAACTAGAAAAACAAGAATAAACCAAACCCATACTTAGCAAAAGAAGGAAAATAACCAAGAACAGAGCAGAACTAAATGAAATTGAAACAAAAATATCCAGAAGATAAATGAAACAAAAAGCTGGTTCTTTGAAAAAATAAATAAAATTGATAAACCATCAGCAAGATTAACCAAGAACAAAAAGAGAAAAAATCCAAATAAGCTCAATAGAAAATGAAAAGGGAGGCCAGGCATGGTGGCTCATGCCTCTAATCCCAGCACTTTAGAAGGCTGAGGTGGGTGGATCACAAAGTCAGGAGTTCGAGACCATCCTGGCTAACGTGGTGAAACCCCGTCTCTACTAAAAATACAAAAAAATTAGCCAGGTGTGGTGGCGGGCACCTGTAGTCCCAGCTACTTGGGAGGCTGAGGCAGGAGAATGGCATGAACCCGGGAGGCGGAGCTTGCAGTGAGCCAAGATCATGTCACTGCACTCCAGCCTGGGTGACAGAGGGAGACTCTGTCTCAAAAAAAAAAAAAAAAAAAAAAAGGTGGGAGGAGATATTACAACTGACACCACTGAAATACAAAAGATCATTCAAAGCTACTATGAACACCTTTACATGCATGAACTAGAAAACCTAGAAAATATGGATAAATTCCAGGAAACATATAACCCTTGTAGCTTAAATCAGGAAGAATTAGATACCCTGAACTGATTAATAACAAGCAGCGAGATTGAAATGGTAATTAAAAAACTACCACCAACAAAAAAAGTCCATGACCAAGTGGATCCACAGCAGAATTCTACCAAATATTCAAAGAAGAATTGGTACCAATCCTATTGACTTTATTCCACAAGATAGAGGAAGAGGGAACCCTCCTAAATCATTCTATGAAGCCAGTATCACTCTAATACCAAAACCAGGAAAGGACATAACCAAAAAAGAAAACCACAGACCAATAAACCTGATGAATATAGATGCTAAAGTTCTTAACAAAATACTAGCCAACCAAATCCAACAACATATCAAAAAGATAATCCACCATGATTAAGTGGGTTTCATACCAGGGATGCAAGGATGGTTTAACATATGCAAGTCAATATATGGGATACACCACATAAACAGAATTTAAAACAAAAAAATTACATGATCATCTCAATAGATGCAGAAAAAGCATTAGATAAAATCCAGCATCTTTTATGACTAAAACTCTCAGCAAAATTGGCATACAAGAGACATAACTCACTGTAATAAAAGCCACCTATGAGAAACCCACAGCCAAGATAATACTGAATGGGGAAATGTTGAAAGCGTTCCCTCTGAGAACTGAAACAAGACAAGGATGCCCACTCTCACCGCCCCTCTTCAAGATACTACTGGAAGTCCTAGCCAGAGCAATCAAACAAGAGAGGGCATCCAAATCAGTAAAGAGGAAGTCAAACTGTCACTGTTTGCTTATGATATGATCATTTACCTCAAAAACCTTGAAGACTCATCTGGAAAGCTCCCAGAACTGGTAAGAGAATTTAGCAAAGTTTCCAGATGCAAAATTAATGTACACAAATCAGTAGCTCTTCTATACATCAACAGTGAGCAAGCTGAGAATCAAATCAAAAACTCAATCTTTTTTACAATAGCTGCAAATAAAATAAAATACTTAGAAATACACATAACCAAGGAGGTGAAAGGCTTCCACAAGGAAAATGACAAAACACTGCTGAAAGAAATAATAGATGAACAAACAAATTGAAATATATTCCATGTTCATGCATGAGTAGAATCAATATTGTGAAAATGACCCTACGGCCAAATTTAATGCAATTTCAATCAAAATATCACCATCATTTATCACAGAATTGGAAAAAAAATCTAAAATTCATATGGAACCAAAAGAAAGACTGCATAGCCAAAGCAAGAATAAGCAAAAAGAGCAAATCTGGAGGCATCACATTACCTGATTTCAAACTATACTATAAGTTCATAGTCACCAAAACAGCATGGTACTGGTATAAAAATATGCACATAGACCAATGGAACAGAAGAAAGAATCCAGAAATTAACCAAATACCTAACAGCAACTGATCTTTGACAAAGCAAACAAAAACATAAAGTGGGTAGAGGATACTCTTTTTAACAAATGATGCTGGGATAATTGGCTTGCCACATGTAGGAGAATAAAACTGGATTTTCATTTCTCACCTTATACAAAAATCAACTCAAGATGGATTAGGACTTAAATCTAAGACCTGAAACTATAAAAATTCTAGAAGAAAACATAGAAAAAAATCCCTCCAAGACATTGGCTTAGGCAAGGATTTCTTGACCAAGAACCCAAAAGGCAATGCAATTAAAACAAAGGTAAATAGCTGAGACTTTATTAAACTAAAGAGCTTTTGCACAGAAAAAGGAACAGTCCACAGTAAACAGACAACCCAAAGAATGGGGGAAAAATCTTCACAATCTATACATATGCCAAAAGAGTAATATTGAGAATCTACAACAAACTCAAAGAAATAAGCAAGAAAAGAACAAACAATCCCATCAAAAAGTTGGCTAAGGACATAAATGGACAATTCTCAAAAGAAGTTGTAAAAATAGCCAACAAGCATATGAAAAAATGCTCAACATCACTGATGATCAGAGAAATTCAAATCAAAACCACAATGTGATACCACCTTACTCCTGCAAGAATGGCCATAATAAAAAAATCAAAAAACAGTAGATGTTGGCATTGATGTGGTGATCAGGGAACACTTCTGCACTGCTGGTGGGAATGTAAACTAGTACAACCACTATGAAAAACACTGGATATTCCTTAAAGAACTAAAAGTAGAACTAACATTTGATCCAGCAATCTCACTACTGGGTATCTACCCAGAGAAAAATAAGTCATTTTATGAAAAAGATACTAGCCAATGCATGTTTATAGTAGCACAATTTGCAATTGCAAAATTGTGGAACCAACCCAAGTGCCAATCAGTCAACGAGGGGATACAGAAACCGTGCTATGTATATATGATGGAATACAACTCAACCATAAAAAGGAATGAATTAATGGCATTCGCAGTGACCTGGATGAGATTGGAGATTATTATTTTAATTAAAGTAACTGAGGAATAGAAAACCAAACATTGTATGTTATCACTGATATGTGGGAGCTAAGCTATGAAAATGCAAAGGCATAAGAATGATACAATGGATTTCAGGGACATGGGGGGAAAGGGGGAAGGGGGACAAAGAACACACAACTACAAATAGGGTGCAGTGTATACTGCTCAGGTGATGGGTGCACCAAGATCTCACAACTCACCGCTAAAGAACTTACTCATGTAACCAAACACCACCTGTTCCCCAGTAACCTATGGAAAAATCACTTTAAAAAAAGAAGTACCTGCTTTCTTCTGTGGGCACTTAGTGTTATAAATTTCCCTCTAAACACTACTTTAGCTGTGTTCCAGAGATTCTGGTACATTGTACCTTTGTTCTCATTGGTTTCAAAGAACTTATTTATTTCTGCTTTAATTTCGTTATTTACCCGGTAGTCATTCAGGAGCAGGTTGTTCAGTTTCCATGTAGTTCTGAGGTTTTGAGTGAATTTCTTAATCCTGAGTTCTAGTTTGATTGCACTGTGGTCTGAGAAACTGTTATGATTTCCGTTCTTTTGCATTTGCTGAGGAGTATTTTACTTCCAATTATGTGGTAAATTTTAAAATAAGTGTGATGTGGTGCAGAGAAGAATGTATATTCCTTTGATTTGGGGTGCAGAGTTCTGTAGATGTCTATTAGGTCCATGTGGTCCAGAGCTGAGTTCCAGTCCTGAATATCCTTGTTAATTTTCTATCTCATTTATCTGTCTAATATTGACAGTGGTGTGGTAAAGTCTCCCAGTATTATTGTGTGGGAGTCTAAGTCTCTTCGTAGGTCTCTAAGAACTAGCTTTATGAATCTGGGTGCTCCTGTATTGGGTGCATATATATTTAGGATAGTTAGCTCTTCTTGTTGCATTGATCTCTTTACCATTATATAATGCTCTTCTTTGTCTTTTTTGATCTTTGTTGGTTTAAAGTCTCTTTTATCAGAGACTAGGATTGTGACCCTTGCTTTTTTTTTGCTATCGATTTGCTTAGTAAATGTTCCTCCATCCCTTTATTTGCCAAAGTGATTTATAGATTCAATGCTATCCCCATCAAGCTATCATTGACCTTTTTCACAGAATTAGATAAAACTACTTTAAATTTCATATGGAACCACAAAAGAGCCTGTATAGACAAGACAATCCTAAGCAAAATGAACAAAGCTGGAGGTATTATGCTACCTGACTTCAAACTATACTACAAGGTTACAGTAACCAAAACAGCATGGTACTGATACCAAAACAGATATATAGTCCAATGGAACAGAACAGAGGCCTCAGAAATCACACCACAAATCTACAACCATCTGATCTTTGACAAACATGACAAAAATAAGCAATGGGGAAAGGATTCCCTATTTAATAAATGGTGTTGGGAAAACTGGCTAGCCATATGCAGAAAACTGAAACTGGACACCTTCCTTACACCTTGTACAAAAATTAACTCAAGATGGATTAAAGACTTAAATGTAAGACCTAAAACCATAAAAACCCTAGAAGAAAACCTAGACAATTCTATTCAGGACATAGGCATGGGCAAAGACTTCATGACTAAAACACTAAAAGCAATGGCAACAAATGCCAAAATTGACAAATGAGATCTAATTAAACTAAAGAGCTTTTGCACAGCAAAAGAATATCATCAGAGTGAACAGGCAACCTACAGAATAAGAGAAAATTTTTGCACTCTGTCCATCTGACAAAGGGCTAATATCCAGAATCTACAAGGAATTTAAACAAATTTACAAGAAAAAAATCCCATCAAAAACTGGGCAAAGGATATGAACAAATACTTCTCAAAAGAAGAAATGTATGTGGCCAACAAACATGAAAAAAGCTCATCATCACTGGTCATTAGAGTAATGCAAATCAAAACCACAATGTGATACCATCTCACACCAGTTAGAATGGCAATCATTAAAATGTCAGGAAACAACAGATGCTGAAGAGGATGTGGAGAAATAGGAATGCTTTTACACTGTTGGTTGAAGTGTAAATTAGTTCAACTATTGTGGAAGATAGTGTGGCGATTCTTCAAGGATCTAGAACCAGAAATATCATTTGACTCAGCAACCCCCTTACTGGGTATATACCCAAAGGACTATAAATCATTTTACTATAAAGATACATGCACACATATGTTTATTGCAGCACTATTTACAATAGCAAAGACTTGGAACCAACCCAAATGCCCATCAATGATAGACTGCATAAAGAAAATGTGGCACATATATACCATGGAATAGTATGCAGCCATAAAAAAGAGTAAGTTTATGTCATTTGCAGGGACACGGATGAAGCTGGAAGCCATAATTCTCAGCAAACTAACACAGGAACAGAAAACCAATCCTGCATGTTCTCACTCATAAGTGGGAGTTGAACATGAGAACACATGGACACAGGGAGGGGAACATCACACACTGGAGCCTGTCTGGGGGTGGAGAACTAGGGGAGGGATAGCATTAGGAGAAATACCTAATGTAGATGACTGGTTGATGAGCACAGCAAACCACCATGGCACGTGTATACCTGTGTGACAAACCTGCACGTTCTGCACATGTACCCCAGAACTTAAAGTAAAATAATAATAATAACAAAATACCAGTAAGAAAGAAGAGAAGTGAGATAGAGAAAGGAAGAAAGTTAATACAGAGTGTTTTAATTAGCAGGTTAAGATGTGGGTAAGTGATACTGAACCTTGCTAGAGCCCTCTTGAAGACTGTATAGAACCAAACTCGGTTGTCTCACACAAGGGAGAAGAAGATGGATGTTCATCTTCCAATTTCTGTCCATAGCTGATTTAGGGTTGTAACGGTTTTTCATGGCTGCTTTAACAAATCACCACAAACTTAGTGGCTTATAGCAAAACAAATTTAGTACTATTATCCTTACTATCATCATAATTATCATTATCTTACAATTCTGAAGGTCAGAAGTCTAATATGTGTCTCACTGAACTAAAATCAAGTTGTCAGCCTGACTGTATTTCTTTCTGGTGGCTTTAGAGGAGAACACATTGCCTTCCATTTTCCAGATTCTAGAAGCTTGTCTTGAAGGCTCATAGGACTCTTCCTCCATCTTCAAAGCCAGCAACATCAGATCAAGTCCTTTTAATACTAACATCTCTCTGATTCTCTCTCTTCTGCCTTCGTCTTCCACTTATGAGGACCTTTGTGATTACATCCGGGCCCACCCAGATAATTCAGTATCATCTGCCAGTCTGAAGGTTAGCTGATTAGAAACCTTGTTTTCTGTTATTTGTGTAACTTAACATATTCACAGGTTCCTGGAATTAAAATGTGAATATTTTGAGGTGCCTTTATTCTGCCTACCAAAAGAGTTGCTTCCCAGGTTATTAATTCCTCATGACCCTGGCCCCAGAAATAAAACTGAGTACCAAAGTGATATAGATAGGGCCCAAATGTTCCCTGCTACCAGTTCCTTGTCTTAATTGAAACCCAGATCTTTTCAAGAAACACCATTTTACTTTTGGCCTTCTCAAATGGCTGTTACTAATCTCATGGCTCACACACTTAATACTTTATATTGTTAGTAGTCCCCATAGTCTACCCTCTCCTTTTCTTTGTCCAATGTCCAGGTACCACGGTGTAGTAGCAAAATAATGAATTATGGAAACATATTATTTGTACTTCAATCTCAATTCCTTTACTTATTTACAGTGTAATTCTATACAAGTTATTCAATATTCCTGTGTCTCTGTTTCCTAATGTATGAAGTTCAACAATACTATATTTTTAATAGGGAGATTTTGAGCATTATATAACATAATATCTGTGAAGTGCTTAGAACAGTACTTAATAAAGAGCTATATTAGTGTTTGTCAGATGATGATGGTGATGGTGATGATCTGTCAATCTAAAGGATATTCTTCCTTATTTGTCAATTATCCTCTGTTTTTACTTTACCCATTTTCTTGGATGACTTTAAAGTCCATAAACCACTCATTTTCCTCACAGGTCCTTGACTTCCCAAACATTCACCTGTATTGGATGTAAGCAGGCTACTCCCATGGCTACACCACAGGATGGCTGAAGTTCAGTATCTTACTATGTGATCATGATCTCCTACTTTTTTCCAAATCGCTCCCTCCCATTACACCAGCTCCCTGAGGCTATTGTGATTTTCTTTATCTTAGTCCATCAGCTCTGAACTGAATTTGCTTTCTCCCACTATGAATGCAATGGTCAATTGCCAAAATATTCTTTTGAGTAGCATCGTGTTCTTTCTATCATGTTTACCTTATTAGTCACTAAATTTGGAAAAAGTCTTAAAATTTGTCTTCTCTTCTCCTATATCAAGGAGTTTAGGTGTTTATAATTGTGCAAATGTGCAAATTAGTTTTTCTACAAAATATTTTTTTCAAATAACAACTGGCACATCAGAGCTGCTAGGAGCTGCTTATCAATCTTTTTAATGTTCTTTAATCATTTCCTCTTTTAGTTAACCCAAATAATTATTATAGACTTTTTCACTCTCTTCAAGCCTTCTCACCAATATCCATTCTTACTTTGAGTACAAAACTTTAACTTCTGTTTAACGTAGAAAAATATCAATTAAGTGAGAATTTCCATTTTAACCAGAGGATTCTGTGCTATTTTTATACCCTGGTCTATCCACTCCTCCTTTCTTCTAATTTTAGAGAAAGCAGTGTCTCTTCCTTCATCGAAAGCTAATTCCACCAGTGTTATTTTAGGCTGCATCTCCTTCCAAAACCTGAAGGCTATACTCTATCAATTAACTCATTCTTTTTTTCTAAGCATTCAAAATGTTCCTCTAGTCTCCAGATTAATTAAGCATAAGAACACCTTTATTGTCTCCCATTAAAAACGAAACCAAGTAGAATATGGGTTGCTATTCAACCCTAACTGCACCCTATATTTCACCTTCATTTTATTAAAGTTGCAATAAAAAAAAATCCCTTTTACATTTGCTCTTCTCTTTCCCTTACCTCCAATAAATTGTTTTCTTAAGTTTTAAGTATTTATAATGTTTATTATTTTTGTTATTTTTTATTGAGCTATAATTTACAACCCATAGCATTTATGTATTTAAGGTGTACCATTCAGTGCCTTTTGGTATAATCACAAGTTTTGAAATTATTACCACTATCTAATGGCAGAACAGTTTCATTACCTCTGATAGAAACCCCATAACTATTGGCACTCACTCCCCAATTTCCCCCAGACCTGGCAAATACTAATATACTTTATGTTTTTATAAATCTGCTTACTCTGGATATTTGTTATAAGTGGAATCATATCTACATGGCCTTTTATGTCTGGCTTCTTTCAGTTAGCATAGTATCTCAGAGGCTGATTTATATTGTGGCATGAATCAGTGCTTTATTCTTTTTATAGCTGAATAATATTTTTTGTATGAATATACCACAATTCATTTTTCCATTCATTAGTGGATGGATATTTAGGTTAGTTCTATATTTTAGCTATTGTAAATAATTATCATATAAATATTAAGTACAAGTTTTGTGTGAACATATGTTTCATATATATATATACTCATATATATACTCATATATATACTCATATATATACTCATATATATACTCATATATATATACTCATATACATATACTCATATATATACTCATATATATACTCATATATATATACTCATATATATACTCATATATATACTCATATATATATACTCATATATATACTCATATATATACTCATATATATACTCATATATATATACTCATATATATACTCATATATATATACTCATATATATACTCATATATATATACTCATATATATACTCATATATATATACTCATATATATACTCATATATATATACTCATAAATATATATATGAGTAGAATTGCTTGGTCCTATGATAACTTAATATATAGCTTTTGAAGAACTGGCAAACATTTTCTAAAGCAGTTCCACCAGTTTACATTCCAATAAGAAATATATAATAATTCCAATTTCCCCCTATCCTTTCCAATACACATTCTTTTCTGTCTTTTTGTTTATAGCTATCTTGCTGGGTGTGGAGTAATAGATCGTTGCAGTTTTGATTTGCATATCCCTGGTGACTAATATTGTTGCAGTTTTTCTGATATGCTGATTGCCATTCATATATTTTCCTTGGAGAAATACATATTCAAATACGATGCCCACTTTTTAAATTTTTTTATTTTTATTTTTATTTATTTATTTATTTATTTTGAGACAGGGTCTCACTCTGTCGCCCAGGCTGAAGTGCAGTGGCACCATCTTGGCTCACTGCAACCTCTGCCTCCTGGGTTCAAGTGATTCTCCTGCCCCAGCCTCCTGAGTAACTGGGACTGCAGGCGTGCACCACCACACCCGGCTAATTTTTGTATTTGTAGTAGAGACAGGGTTTCACCATGTTGGCCAGGCTAGTCTCAAACTCCTGACCTCAGGTGATTGGCCTGCCTCGGCCTCCCACAGCGCTGGGATTACAGGCATGAGCCACCACGACTGGCCACGCTGCCCACTTTTAATTGGGCTATTTGTGTTTCAATTTTTGAGTTATAAGAGTTCAAAATATATTTGAGGTACTGAAACATTATCAGATATATGGCTTGAAAAATTTTTCTGTCATTTTGAAGTATTGTTTTCACTTTATTGATAGTATCCTTTAAAGCATAAAAGTTTTTAATTTAGATAAAATTTAATTCACATATTTTAAAAATTGTGTTACATGAGTTTATAAATATTTCTCATTTTTGTTGTAAAATATACATATAATATTTATCTTATTTTTTTAAGTTTTAACATTTTTAGATTTAATTTTAGTGACAAATAAAAATTGTGTATATTTATTATGTAAAACATGATGGCTTTAAATATGTATACATTGTAGAATGCCTGAATCAACCTAATTAATGTATAAATTAACTCACATCTTTATCATTTTTAGTGGCGAGAACACAAAATCTACTCTGTTAGTGACTTTTAAGAATATGACATGTTGTCATTAACTGTAATCACCATGTAGTACAATAGGGTTCTTTTTTCTCAAAGTTTAAAATATAGTATATGTGATTATGTTTTAACTCACAGAGTAATAAAATCTCAAATGGCATTTGACTGTCAATATTGGAAATTATCAAAAGAAGAAATAGTCCAACATCCATCTTCCCTCAACTGAGTTTTACGTCCATTTTTCCAGAGTCCTCTAAGTGATTGTCCATTCCAGGCTTGTGCACAAGGAATCACAGAGAACTGACTCACTACCTCCTGAGAGAGGGAATTCCTTTATTGAACAGTTCTACTAATAAACAAAAAAAATATTTTTTAATTAAACCATACTTTGTTACTCTGGTATTTCTGTAATTAGCTGTCTCTGTTAACTGCTGGCCATATAGATTGAACCTAGCCCCACTCCACCTGAATTTACAAATACCTAAATAAACAAAATATGAAAATACATCAAATACCTAAAGGAAGCAGTCAGGGCCCTTCCACATCTTGTCTTCTCTCTGCTAAATTTATTATCTGATGATATGGTCTCAAATCTCATAACAATTCTGGCTACTCTCCTTTGAACAGGTCCTGCTTGGCTGCATTTGACATGGGTCTGTCACCTAGGCTGAGTGCAGTGGTGCAAACTTGGCTCACTTCACCCTCAACCACTCGGGCTCAAGTGATCCTCCTGCCTCAGTCTCCCAGGGAGCTGGGACTACAGGTGCATGCCACTATGCCCAGCTAATTTTTCTTTTACTTTCTTTTTTTTTTTTTTTTACATTTTATAGAGATGGAGCCTTATTATGTTGCCCACTCTAGGTCCAACATTTAATGTAGCTCAGCTGTAGTCTGCAGAAGTTTGAGAAGAGCAAGTCACAGAAGGTTAGTCTCAGAAGAAATCTGTAAGAACATCCTTTGTAGTGCCTTTCAGTATGAAAAATGATGCAAGGAGTTGAAGTGATTTTCTCAGAGTCACAGAGTAAAATCCCTACTTCTCATGCCAGTTATCTTACTTTGAGCAGTTAGTCATTTTTTTTTACATGTGCAGAATGTGCAGGTTTGTTACATGGGAGTATATATGGCATGGCAGTTTGCTGCACCTATTGACCTGTCCTCTAAGTTCCCTCCCCTTACCTGCCCCCAACATTCCCTGGTGTGTGTTGTTTTCCTCTCTGTGTCCATGTGTTCTCAATGTTCAACTCCCACTAATGAGTGAGAACATGCTGTGTTTGATATTGTGTTCCTGTGTTAGTTTGCCATGATGGCTTCCAGCTTCATCCCTGTCCCTGCAGAGGACATGATCTCATTCCTTTTTATGGCTGCATAGTATTCTATGGTGTATATGTAACACATTTTTCTTTATCCAATCTATCATTGATGGGCATTTAGGTTGATTCGATTCCATGTCTTTGCTATCATAAATAGTGCTGCAATAAACATACGTGTGCATGGGTAGAATAATTTATATTCCTTTTGGTGTATACCCAGTAATAGGATTTCTGGGTCAAATGATATTTCTGGTTCTAGATCCTTGAGGAATCACCATACAGTATTTCACAATGTTTGAACTAATTTACACTCCCACCCATAGTGTAAAAGCATTCCTATCTCTCCACAGCCTTGCCAACATCTATTGTGTCCTGACTTTTTAATAATCGCCATACTGACTGGCAGAAGATGGTATCTCATTGCGGTTTTGATTTGAGTTTCTCTGATGATTAATGACATTGAGTTTTTTTTTTTTCGTGTTTGCTGGCCTCATAAATGTCTTATTTGGAGAAGTGCCTGTTCATATACTTCACCCACTTTTTGATGGGGTTTTTTGTTTTTTTCTAGTAAATATGTTTAAGTTCCTTGTACATTCTGTCAGATGAGTAGCTTGCAAAAATATTCTCCCATCCTATAAGTTGCCTGTTCACTCTAATGATAGTTTCTTTTGCTGTGTAGAAGCTCTTTAATTTAATTAGATCCATTTTGTCAATTTTGGCTTTTGTTGCAATTGCTTTTGGCGTTTTTTTCATGAAGTCTTTGTCCATGCCTATGTCCTGAATGGTATTGTTTAGGCTTTCTTCTAAGATTTGTATGGATTTAGGTTTTACATTTAAGTCTTTAATCCATCTTGAGCTAATTTTTGTATAAGGTGTAACGAAGGGGTCCAGTTTCAGTTTTCTGAATATGACTAGCCAGTTTTCCCAGCACCATTTACTGAATATGAAATCATGTCCCCATTGCTTGTTTTTATCAGGTTTGTCAAAGACCAGATGGTTGTAGATGTGTGGTGTTTGTTATTTCTTAGGTCTTTATTCTGCTCCATTGGTCTATATGTCTGTCTGTTTTGGTGTCAGTACCATGCTGTTTTGGTTACTGTAGCCTTGGTAGCATAGTTTGAAATCAGGTAGCATGATGCCTCCAGGTTTTTTCTTTTTGCTTAGGATTGTCTAGGCAATACGAGGTCTTATTTACTTCCATATTAAATTTAAAGCAGATTTTTCGAATTCTGTGAAGAATGTCAATGGTAGCTTGATGGGAATACCTATGAATATGTAAATTACTTTGGGCACTATGGCAATTTTCACTATATTGACTCTTCCTATTCATGAGGATGGAATGTTTTTCCATTTGTTTATGTCCTTTCTTATTTCCTTCAGCAGTGTTTTGTAGTTCTTCTTAAAGAGGTCTTTCACATACCTTGTTAGCTGTATTCCCAGGTATTTTATTCTCTGTAGTGATTGTGAATGAGAGTTCATTCATGATTTGGCTCTCTGCTTGCCTATTGTTTTGGTGTAAAAGAATGCTTGTGATCTTTGCATATTGATTTTATATCCTGAGACTTTACTGAAGTTGCTTATCAGCTCAAGAAGTTTTGGGGCTGAGATCATGGGTGGGGTTTACTAAATATAAAATCATGTCATCTGCAAACAGACACAACTTGGACTTTCTTTCTTCCTATTTGAGTACCATTTATTTCTTTTTCTTGCCTGATTGCCCTGACCAGAACTTCCCATACCATGTTGAATAGGAGTGGCGAGAGAGGGCATCCTTGTCTTGCACTGGTTTTCAAAGGGAATGCTTCCAGCTTTTGCCTGTTATAAATAGCACTTATTAGTTTGAGATATATTCCATCAATACCTAGTTTATTGAGAGTTTTTAACATGAAGGGATGCTGAATTTTATCAAAGGCCTTCTGCCTCTGTTGAGATAATCATGTGGTTTTGTCATTGATTCTGTTTATGTGATGGATTATGTTTATTGATTTGTGTATGTTAAACCAGCCTTGTATCCCAGGGATGAAGCCGACTTGATTGTGGTGGATAAATTTTTTATATGCTGCTGGATTCATTTTGCCAGTGTTTTATTAAGGATTTTTGCATCAATGTTCATCAGGGATATTGGCCTGAATGTTTTTTTGTTTGTTCGTTTGTTTTGCTCTCTCTTTCCGGTTTTGGTATCAAGATGATGCTGGCTTTATAAAATGAGTTAGGGAGGAGTCCCTCCTTTTCAATTGTTTGGAATAGTTTCAGAAGGAATGGTACCAGCTCCTCTTTGTATTTCTGGTAGAATTCAGCTGTGAAGAACTCATTCCTGGCAGTATTCATCACCTGCTAACTAAAGAGCCCTTGGGCCTTCAACAACTAGCAACAATACCAAGGATGTATGTCCTGGGCCTTGGGTTAGACTTGTTGGCTTCAGGTGAGGCTCAGTACATTCCCAGCTTTGGTGGCTAAGGTGAGAGATGCTTCCTGCTTGAGAAAAGTGAGAGAAAATTAAAGAGAACTTTGTCTTGCACAGTAGGTACCAGCTCTGCCAAGGGGGGGGGGGGTAGGGCATGAAGTGAGCTATGGGTGCCCTGATTCTAGGCCTTGGCTTTAGCATTTTTGGAGCTGCAATTGGCCAGAAAAACAAAAAACCCAATGACCAGAAGGGTGAGTACCAAGCCAGGCAGTATTCACTAAAAGCTGATCCAAGAACCCTTAGGACTTAAGCGTACATCTGCAACAGCCTGGAAGTACTCCCTGTGGAGTACACACCATTTCGGTACATGAATGCAGTGCATAATAATCACAACATAGAAAAAGGGGTATCAATATCCTCAAGCATTTAAATTTGTGTTACAACCAATCCAGTTCTTTCAGTTGTTTTTAAATGTACAATTAAATAATTATTGACTATTATCCCTCTGTTGTGCTATCAATTACTAGGTCTTTCTATTTTGTTGTATCTATTAACCGTCCCCATTTCCTCCCAAACCCCCACTAATCTTCTCAGCCTCTGAAAACAATCCTTCTGTTCTCTATATGCATGGGTTCATTTGTTTCCCTCTTTACATCACATAAATAAGTGAGAACATGTGATGTTTGTCTTTCTGTGCCTGGCTTATTTGATTTAAAATAATAATCACCAGTTCCACTCACATTGTTGCAAATGAAAAGATCTCATTTATCTTTATGGTTGAATAGTACTCCATTCTGTATATTTTCATTATCCATTCATCTATTGATGGACACTTAGGTTACTTCCAATTTGTGGCTATTTTCAACAGTGCTGCAACAAACACGGGGGAGCAGATATATTTTCAATATACTGATTTCCTTTCTTTTGGGTATATACCCAGCAGTGGGACTACTGGCTTGTATGGTAGCTTTATTTTTAGTTTTTTTGAGAAAACTTCCAACTGTTCTCCATAGTGGTTGCTCTAATTTATATGGCCACCAATAGTATATGAGGGTTCTCTCCTCTCCACAACCTCACCAGCATTTGTTATTGCCTGTCCTTTGAATATAAACCATTTTAACTAGGGTGAGATGATATTTTATTGTAGTATTGATTTGCCTTTCTCTGACGATCAATGATAATAAGCACCTTCATACCTGTTTGCCATTTGTGTGCTTTCTTGAAAAATGTTTATTCAAATCTTTTACCCATTTTTAATCAGATTATTAATTTTTATAGAGTTGTTGAAGCTCCTTATATAGTCTATTTATTACTCCTTTGTTAGATGGATAGTTCGCAAAAGTTTTGGCCCATTCTGTGGGTTTTCTCCTCACTTTATTAACTTTTTTTTCTGTGAAGAAGCTTTCTAACTTGATGTGGTTCCATTTGTCCATTTGTGCTTTGGTTGCCTGTGCTTGTAGGGTATTACTCAAGACATTTTTGCTGAGACTAATGTCCTGGAGAGTTTTCTCAATGTTTTATTTTAGTAGTTTCATACTTTGAGGTCTTAGATTTAAGTCTTGAATTAAGTTTGATTTGATTTTTGGTGAAAGAGAAGGGTCTAGTTTTATTCTTCTGCATTTGGATATCCAGTTTTCCCAGCATAATTTATTAAAGAGACTGTCTTGTCCCCAGTGTACATTCTTGGCATATTTATTGAAAATGAGTTCACTGTAGGTGTGTGGATTTGTTTCTGAGTTATCTATTCTGCTCCACTGGTGTGTGTGTCTATTTTTATGTCAGTACCATGCCATTTTGGTTACTATAACTCTGTAGTATAAATTGAAGTCAGGTAATGTGATTTCTCCAGTTTTGTTCTTTTTGCTTATAATAGATTTGGCTATTCTGGGTCTTCTGTAGTTCCACCTACATTTTAAAATTATGGGTTTTTTTTCTATTTGTGTGAAGAATGCATTGGAATTTTGACATGAATTTCATTGAATTAGTGGATTTCTTTGGGTAGTACAAAAATTTTAATAACATTGATTCTTCCAATTCATAAATATGGAGTACCTTTCTATTTTTTGTGTCATCTTCAATGTTTTTTATCAGTGTTCTATAGTTTACACTGTAGAGATCTTTCACTTGTTTGGTTAAATTAATTGTTAAGTGTTTAATTTTATGTGTGGCTATTGTTAATTTGATTACTTTGTTTTTCAAATTGTTCAACGTTGGGTTATAGAAATGCTATGAATTTTATGTTGATTTTTAAACCTGCAACTTCACTGAATTTGTCAGTTATCATGGTTTTATTGGTGAAATCTTTAGGTTTTTCTAAATATAAGCTCATATAATTTGTAAACTAAGATAATTTGACCTCTTTCTTTCTAATTTGGATGCCCTTTCTTTCTTTCATCAAATTGCTCTAGCTGATCTTCCAGTACTATGTTGAATAACAGTGGTGAATGTGGGCATCCTTTTCATGTTCCCAATCTTAGGTGAAAGGCTTTAAGCTTTTTCTCACTCAGTATGATATTAGCTGTGAGTCTGTCTTATATGGCTTTTATTATGTTGAGGTATGATCCTTCTATACCCAGTTTTTTGAAGGTTTTTATTATGAAGGGATGTTGAATTTTATCAAATGCTCTTCAGTTACAATGGAAAAGGTCATATGGTTTTTGTCTTTTATTGTATTGATATAATATATTGCACTGATTGATGTGCATATGTTAAAGATTATTGCATCATAGGATAAATACCACATGGTCATAATGAATGATTTTTTAAGGTATTGTTGAATTTGTCTTGCTAGATTTTGTTGATGATTTTTGCCTCTATATTCATCAGAGATATTCATCATCACTGGCCTGTAGTTGTTTGTTTTTTTATGTATTTTTGTCTGGATTAATTACCAGGACAATAGTGACCCTGCAGAATAAGTATGGAAGTATTCCTTCTTCCTCTATTTTTTGGAACAGTTGGAATAGAATTGGTATTACTTCTTGTTTAAATGTTTGTTGGAATTAAGCAGTGAAGCCATTAGGTCCTGCACTTTCCTTTACTGGGAAATTTTTATTATGGCTTCAAACTTGTTACTCATTTGTCTATTCAGGTTTTAAATTTCTTCATGATCCATTCTTGGTATGTTGTATGTGTCTCAGAATTCATTTTTTTAAATTTTCAAATTTATTGTAACATAGTTCTTTATCATAGTCAGTAATAATCCTTTAAATTTACATGTTATCAGTTGTGATGTTTCCTTTTTCATCTCTGATTTTATTTGGGTATTCTCTCATTTCTCATTTAGTCTGGCTAATGATTTGTCAGTTTTTTTATCATTTCAAAAAGCCAACATTTTGCTTCATTCTTGTATTGTTTTCTTTATGTCAAATTCATTTATTTCTGCTCTTATCCTTGTTATTTCTTTTAATCTACTAATTTGGGTTCACTTTTCTCTTGCTTTTCTAGTTCTTTAAGGTACATCATTAGGTTTTTGAAGTTTTTTTGATGCAGGCACTTATAGCTATAAATTTTCTTCTTGGTACTGCTTTCACTGTATCTCATAGGTGTTGGTATGTTGTGTTTTCATTGTCATTTGTTTCAAGAGTTTTCAATTTCCTAATTGACCGTTCATTCAGAAGAATGTTGTTTAACTTCTGTGTTTTTATATTTTCCAAAATTCCTCTTTTTATTGATTTCTAGTTTTATTTCATTGTGATCAGAAAAGATGCTTGATATTATTTTAATTTTTTTAAATGTTTTAAGACTTGTTTTGTGACCTAACATATGTCCTATCCTTGAGAATGACATATATGTTGAGGAGAAAAATGTGTATTTTTTACTCATTGGATGAAATATTCTGTAAATATCTATTAAGTATATTTTTTCTATAGTTCAGATTAAGTCTGATGTTTACTTATTTAGTTTCTGTCCAGGAGATTGATCCAATGCTGAAAGTGGGATGTTGAAGTCTCCAGGTATTGTACTGGGGTCTCTCTCTCTCTCTTTTGCTCTAATAACATTCCCTTTATATATCTGGTTGCTTCAGTGTTTGGTGCATATATTTTTGTAATTTTTATATCCTCTTGCTGAATTGGCCTCTGTCATTATGTAATGACCATCTTTGTCTCTTCTTACAGTTTTTGTCTTGAAATCTATTTTGTCTAAGTATAGCTACTTATGTTTTTTATAATATAAGTAGTTTTTTTTGCTCTCTTTGGTATGGAATATCATTTTTTATCTATTTTCAGTCTGCATGTATCTTTACAGGTAAAGTGTGTTTCCTGTAGGCAACAGATAATTGGGTCCTGTTTTGCCATCCATTCAGCCACTTAGTGTCTTTTTATTGGAGTCTTTAGTCCATTTACTTTCAATGTTGTTATTAAGAACTTACTCTTTCCTTGTTATTATTCGTTTTCTGAATGTTTTATGGTCTCCTCTTCCTTTTTTTCCTTCTTTCCTGTCTTGATTTTAGTGAATATAATTTTCTCTGGTGGTATACTTTAATTTTTAAAATTTATTTATTTCTAATTTTTTGTGTATCTCTTGTATCTTTTGATTTGAAGTAACCATGATTCTTGCACATACTATCTTATAATCCATTATTTTAAACTGATGACAACACTGATTGCCTAAACAAACAAAAGCATAAAATAAAAACTGATAAAACTCTACATTTTAACTTTGTATCCCCACTTTTTAGTATTTTGTTGTTTCTCTTTATGTCTTAATTTACTGCATATGTTTTGAAAAGGTGTTGTAGTTATTAATTTTGATTGGTTTATTGTAGTCATTCTACTTAAGACAAGAGTAGTTTACACAGCACCATTACAGTGTTATACGATTCTGTTTTTCTGTGTGCTTACTATTACTTGAAAGTTTTGTATCTTCAGATGATTTTTTTCTAGCTCATTACCATCATTTTATTTCAAATTGAAGAACTCATTTTATTTCTTGTAGGACAGGTCTGCTGTTGATGAAATCCTTTAGCTTTTCTCTTCCTGGGAAGATCTTTATTTGTATTTAATGCTTGAAGGATATTTTTGCTGGCTACAGTAGTCTTGGGTAAAAGTCTTTTGTCTTTTTTTTCTTCAGCACTTTAAATATGTCATGCCTCTTTTACCTGACCTGTAAGGTCTCTACTGGAAAGACTTCTTCCAGACATATTGGGGCTGCATTGTAAGTTATTTGTTTCTTTTTACTTGCTGCTTCTAGGATCCTTTCTTTATCCTTGACTTTGGAAGTTTGGGTATTAAATGCCTTAAGATATTCTTCTTTTAATTAAATATACTTGGTGTTCTATAACCTTGTTGTACTTTAATCTTGATATCATTCTGTAGATTTGAGGTTTTCTGTGTTTTTATCTTCCTGAATAAACTCTTTATCCCTATCTCTTTCTCCACCTCTTCTTTAAGGCCAATAACTCTTAGCTTTGCCCATTTGAGGCTATTTTCTATATCCTGTAGGCGTGTTTAATAATTTTTTTCTTTTCTCTCTTCTGACTATGTATTTTCAAATAGCCTGTCTTCAAGCTTACTCTTTTTTTTTGCTTCAAAAATTCTTCTGTTAAGATTCTGATGCATTCTTCCACATGTCAATTGACTCTTTCATCTCCAAAATTTGTGCCTGATTCTTTTCAATAATTTCAATTCCTTTGTTAAATTTATCTGATAGAATTCTGAACTCCTTCTCTGTGTTATCATGAATTTCTTTGAGTTTCCTCAAAACAGCTATTTTGGGTTCTTTTTCTTCAAGGTCATATATCTTTCTCTTTAGGATTTTTTCTGGTGCCTTATTTAGTTCATTTGGTGAGGTCATGTTTTCCTGTATGGAGGTGATGCTTGTAGACGTTCATCAGTGTCTGGGCATTAATCTGGACTAATTTGTGCCCGTCCTTCTTGGGAAGGCTTTCCAAGTATTTAAAGGCACTTTGTCCCCAACCCAATAACACTGTGGTTTCTTTAGAATCACAGAGGTACCACTATGGTGGTCTTGGATAAGATTCAGAAGAATTATCTGGATTACCAGAAAAAAACTCTTTTTATTTTTTTAATATTCTTCCAAGCATATAAAATCTCATTTTTCTGTGCTGAGACACCTGGAAGTGGGGGTGTGGTGATGCCAACGCCTCTGGCCACCATTGCTAACCTATACTGAGCCAGACCTGATGCCAGCAATGCACTGGTTTTTGCCCAAGGCCCTTCCTTTTAGGGCCACTAGTTCTCCCAGGAACCTGGCATGTCCAGTGATGCTGTCTGTGAGCCAAGGATTGGGTTCAAAATCCTTAACAGTTTTCCTGATGTTCTATTCTACTGTACCTAAGCTTGCTCTCAAACTACAATGCAAAGTTTTTCTTTCCTTTCCCTCCCCTTTCCACAGGGATAGAAACCCCTGTCTGCATCCACCATTACCACTGTTCCACTGGGGGTTCCACTAGGCACCTGCTGATATTCACTTAAAGCCCAAGGGCTCTTCTGTCTGGGACTCACCCTTCTGGGCAGTGGGCTCCCCTCTGGCCTAGAGCAGGTTTAGAAATGGTTTCCTAGAACCTAGGTCTGGGATTGGGGACCCCAAGAGCCTGCTTGTTGCTCTACCCCACTGTGGCTGAGCTACATGACAAAGTCCCCTTTACTTTTTCCTCTGCTTTTCTCTAACAGAAGGAGACTTTCCTCACATTTCACCACATTTTCACCACAGCTGGGAATGTGCTGGGTCACAGCTAAAGCCAGTAAGTCTGAGTCTCACCTGAGGCCCACGATGTACTACCTGGGTATCACTGCTGGTTATTCATTCACAGTTCTTTAATCAGGTGATAAATCCTGCCAGGGCTGAATCCTTTTCTCCAAGGTAGTGGGTTTCCTTTTGGCCCAGGGTGTGTCTAGAAGTGTCATCTGTGAGCTAGGTCCTTAAATAGGGTCCTTGTGACTCTGGGCGGTACCCTATCCTGCTGTGGTTGAGCTGGTATCTAAGATGCAAGACAAAGTCCCTTCTACTCTTTACTGTCTTCTCTTAAGCAGAAAAAAAGGAGCCACTTTCATTGCTGTGAGCTGCACTACCTGAGGTTGGGGGAGGGTGAGCACAAGCACTTCTTTGGTCTTGCTAGCTGGTGTCTCCCTAGGTCATATGCCACCCTAGTCCACTTACTCTCAGCCCAGCTTAGCACTAGAAGTTGCTAGGAATTTCCATCTTTGTGTCTCAGACTGCCTTTCAAGTTTACCTAGGACCCCAGAGCACTTCATCCCATGGTGTGAGGCTTGATGAGGAACTCAGTACCAACTCCCTGGTATAGGCAATTCCCCTCTGGCTAGGGCTGATCCAAATGCTCCCTCCATACATGAGTGCTGGCATGACTTTCTTCACTGCTGTGACAGTGCAGCACTGAATTCCATGTAAAGTCCCCCAGTCACTGTGCTGTCTCTCCTTGATGCGCACAGATTTTCTCTTTGTGCCACTCAGCTGCTTCTGGACGGTGTGGGAGAGGGGTGACATACACAATTCAAGACTGTCTCCCCTGCCATCCTCATTGTCTCTTTTAGCAATACGAAGCTAAAACCAGATACTGTGTTTGCTGAACTGATTTATTGTTCTTATGACGGTACTTTTCTGTGTGCAGATACTTTTTAACATTTGGTGTTCCAGTGGGTGGAGGTGGGGATGAACAGTGTAGACTTCTGTTGCACCATCTTACTCCGCCCTCTTTCCATGAACTTTTTGACCATTTATATTAGAATTGCAGCTTGATATATTTATAATGTTTTGGCAGTTTATCACTTAGTGTAGTTTTCTTACTGGTTTTGTGGTTATTAAAATACACATGTAACTTACAGTCTACTGGAATAAACAATTTTGCATTCAAGAGAAGTTTGGAAACCTTACTTTATTTTAGATTTCTTTATCTTCCCCATTTAAAACATGATTGTTACATATTTCACGTGATGTATTTTTTTCAATTATCCTATATGATTAGAGAACTCACATGGAGAAGTCACTATGTTTACTCATATATTTGCTCTTTCTGTTCTTCTGTTATCTGAATATTCCAGTTTTCTTCCTTTATCATATTAGTCCTATTTAAAGATCCTTCTTTTGGTGTTCTCTAAAGGCAGGTCTGCTAGTGGCAAATTATTTTAGTTTTTCTTCGTCTGTCTGAGAATGCCTTTATTTCCTCCTCACTTGTGAATGATATTTTTGCCAGATACAGACTTTGACATTTCAGCTGATAGTCCTTTTCTTTTGGCACTTGAATAATTTTGTGCCACTTCCTTCTTTTTCTGTGGTTGCAGATGTGAAGTCTGTTGTCATTGTAATTGGTACTGTTCTACAAGTAATATATCACTTCTGCCTGCTTACAGGATTTTTCCTTTGTCCATTCTGAATTTTAATTATAATATGTCTTTGTGTGGATTTCTTTATGCTTATCTTTTTTGGAATTTACTCAGCTTCTATAATTTGTAGATTAATGGCTTTTGCCATATTTGGAAAGTTTTAAATTATTATTTCTTTAAATGTATTCTTTCAATTTCACACTCATCTATTTCTCGGACACTAGTGATATAAATAATAGGTTTTTTGGTCATTGTCTCAAAGGTTATTAAGATACTTATTTCAGTCTACTTCTCTCTGTTTTTCAGATTAAGTGAATTTCATTGATTTGTGCTCTGGTAACTGATTTAATCCTTTGTCACATCCACTGTAATACTGAGTTTATTCATAGAAATTGTTTTGTTATTGTGTTTTTCTGTTAAATAAGTTTCATCTTATTTTTTATAACACCCAGGACTTTGCTGAGATTTTCTTTTTCCTTTATTTTTTTCAAGAATGTTAATAATTTTTCATTGAAGCATTGTTATTATGGCTTCTTTAAATTGTTTTCAGAAATTTATGACATTTAATTTATCTTGGTGCTGGTGTCTGTTAATTGTCTTTTCTCATTCATATTGTGATTTTACTAGCTCTTGGTATTATATGTGATTGTGTCCTGGATATTTTACATATTATGAGATTCAGAATTTTAGTTTATCTTCTGTTATTGTAGGCAGTTACTTTGTTGAGGTATAGGAGAAGGACCAGGTTTGTTTGCATATTCAGCTTCCCACTTGGCTCTGCCAATACCACCCTGTCAAAAGTGGACTACTGACTTATGATTCCAGATTGAAAAGGAGTAAGGTGAAAGTTCAGCTACCTATTCAACCACATTTGACACTTCCCTAGCAAAGTGAAACATTAATTTGTGCAGTCTTACTGCCTTGGAATATGAGTGTAAGCTTAGCTCCCCACTGGGCTCTGCTGAAATCAGAGGTGGTATAGGGTGGAATTTCAACTGCCCTGCCTGACATCATTTCATTCTGCCTTGTTGATGCCTGGTACATATAGAGGTGCAGATTTCCATTGGGCCTAGCTGACATGGGAGAAAGTGTTAAGACAAATTGGAAACCGTTGTAGCCCCTGCTCAAACAGTTTTGTTCAGTCTTACTGATTCCATGTGAGGGTGGAGGCTCAGATTGCCTCTGAGCCCTGCTGATGTGAGGGAGGAGAAGAAGTGGAGCATAGTGGTAACTACCCCTACTTCACCTCCCCTTAATGAGTCTCTTTGTTGCCCAGTGGGAGTAAAAGTTTTATTTGCTTCTGAATCCCATTTACACTACCCTGGTCTGGGAATTAGAGAACTGCTGTCTTCTACCAGGTGGTAGTTGTAAGTTTACCTCCCTAGTTGGTCCTGCAGACACCACTGGGTGGAAAGTGAAAGAGTTGCTATCTACTTATGTTGGAGTCAGGGATAGACTGGAAGATCAACTACTACCCATTCAGCACTACTGAGACCACAGGGAAGTAGCATGTGGTATTTTTGTTGGTGTTTGGCTGGAGTAGTGTGAGAATTCCCAGAAATTTTCTGTTATTTGGTCATGTTTTTTCCTGTTTCTTTTGTAGGAGAAACAGGTTTTTCTTGTAGCTTTTTTATTTTGTCTATGCCAAATAGTAATTCCAGATTGGAAGATTTCACAGAACCTTGTCCTTGATATTTGGGAGGCAATAAGGAAAGCCAAGGAACTGACAACCATATCATTTCTCAAGCCCCATGTCTCCAGGCAGCACATCCTTTTCCCACATTTTAGAATCTTCCTAGACTTTACTATTGTAATTTGTCCAGGATTTTTTTTAGCAGTAAAAGAAAAGAAATGAGAATAATATAGGTAGCCTTTTTTTTTAGCATAAATAGAAACCATGCTATATATTATTTTAATTTAAAAATTATTTACATTTACTGAGTGACTGCTACTCCAATGCATCATGCTTGGCGATATGAAGAAATACAAGAATGCTATTCTGTCTAATATCTGCAAAAATTTTCAATATATTTAGCTAGACAGAACATAGTGGCATAAAAAGGAATGCAAGATTTATACAATAAGTATAAATATATGGCATAAAGCATTAGTACTGTCAAAATAGAAAGAGTTCAATATGAGCTGATGAAAACAGTAGAAAAACTGCAAGTTAAGCTGAGAATTACTATATCAAAAGTAATTCCATAACAAAATGTTACTGATTTTTTAAAATTGTTGTTCACCTTTATCCATTCATTGCATTATTTGATTACTTTTTTGCTTGTTTGTTGGGAGGCAAATAAGGTGGAAGTAGAAGACAAAAGAAGATTAGGAAAGAAAAAAGATGCATCTTCAATTGATTCTTTTATTTGGAGGACATTGATATAATGTTTATATTATCATCTCCACGTAGGTATAGCTGCCAATTCCTTTTATAACCTCCCTATCTCCTTTGCTCCTTTCCTCTTTCCATCTCTTCTTCCATCTTTTCTTCCTTCATTTAACAGACATTTATGAAGCTTCTTTTATGTGTATGTGCCAGATAATATTGTAGGTAGAGTGTATAAAATTCTCCTTTTTATACATTTGTAGTTTTCAGTCTAGTAACAGAGCTTAGCCAAATATAGAATTAGCTACAATACCAAACAATATATATTTTTAAATACCATATATAGTGGTACATTAAATGCATGCAGTAGGAATTCTTGAGACAAATGCTAATTTCTATTATGCTTTCTGAAATATCATATTCTACCCAACATATATTCTATTCTTTCTTCCCTAGCATCCTTCCCTACCTCCTGGCCACAGCTACCATATCAAACTTAAATTTACATTTCAAATTAAGATTAGTAATCAAGCAAGCCCATAAATTTAAACCAACATTTCAGTAGCCAAGGTAAACATTTTTGGAACACTGCAGAAGGAGGATCGTGGAATAGTTAAGGCAAAGATAATGAAAGCTATTTCCCAGAAAAAGATGGGAGAAACTAAATGATACATTTTAGCTTTATCCCAAAATTAATTTAGAATTTCTCATTTTATAGTCCAATCATTCAAGTATTAAAAAATCCTTCTATAAAAAATTTGTTATGAAATGTTTCATTCAGCCCAGGAGTGAAATTTTTCCTGTGTTCAAGAAAAAGTGAAAAGAAAAACAACAGATGTTGAATTATAGGAATAAAAATTTCAGATGGTTTATTTTCTTTGGAATTCATGTAATTTTAGGACAGATCCATTTATTTAAATTACATTTTGCAGATGGGTTATCTGAGAAGAGATTATTCTTAGGAGAGGAGAAAAATACAATAAAAAAAGGAAATGTGACTTCTCTTCTGCTGACTCCTCATGTTTTTGGGCAAGAGCTTCCTCATGAATGGATTGTTTTCTTTAGCTACACTTGTACCAAACATGTCAAGGCCTTACCTCCACTAAAAAGCACACACACCTGCCTCTCGAACACCCGGTTGAATCAAATCCTTCTACTTTTGACAATCAAGTTTTCTTTTATGCAGGTTTGTACGCTGTCATTCTCTGTATGAGCTGCTTCTTCCGTGACAGTAAAGTTCAATTTAAGAAGAAAAAAATCCTGCATGCCTTTCATACTGAATAAACCTTCTTTTCTTACCTGATAAAGTAAAAAAAAAAAAATCTTAAGAAAGAACTTTGTGAATAATCTTGCTTTCAAAAGGGAATTTGCTGGAAGCAATTGTATAAATTCCAATCATACTTCCTTATGACTGTTCTCTTCTACTCTATTTTTCTTGGGTGCTCTGGTATTTTTATTTGTCTTTTTTGGTATCTCAATCTCTCTGTTCCTCTTGATCTCTCTGTCTTCTACCTCCATTTCAATTCCACCTTCTGATTCTCAGTCGTATTGGCTAACATATTTATCTCTGTGGTAATGAAACTTATGCATGACATGTACTTTCTCTCAATAACAGACTTTCAGATTCAAAATCTAAAGCCTGTTTTGGTGTTTTACTGAAATTTAAAAGGAATTTAAAAGGAATGGGAAGCCCCTTAGCAACAAAATTGGCTTTTAACCAAGCTGTCTCTACCTATAACAATTTGCTTTTAAATATATTTTTAAAACTTCAATAGCTCTTGGGGGTACAAATGGTTTTCCATTACATGGATAAATTATATAGTGGAAGGCTGATATTTTAGTGCATCCAAGTGTTGTACATTGTACCCAATATGTAGTTTTTTTATTCCTCACCCCTCCTCTACCATGCCACCTCTGAGTTTTCATAGTCTATTACATCACTCTCTATGCCTTTGTATTCCCATAGCTTAGCTTCCACTTATAACTGAGAATTAAAGAAAAGAACACAGGATATACAAAACAAACAAAAAATTAATTTAATCCTGTGTTCTTTTCTTACCCGCTTATTCATGATTTTCGTTTGGTTGTTTCATGTAGTGGTAGCATTTATGTCCTTTCTCTTTTAACTGGATAGGTCAACCAGAGACAAGATAATAAGAAAGTAGAAGACAAGATAAACAATATAGACCAAATAAACCTAACAGATATACAGAACACTCCACACACACTCATTGGAAAAATACACATTTTTCTAAACTGCAGTTGGAACATTAGCCAGAATAGATTACATGTAAGGACACAAAACAAGTCTTATCAATAGAGAACCTGGGCATTCACATATTTGTGGAAATTAAACAATGTACTCTTGAACAATCCATGGGTCAAATATGAAAAATTTCATGCACGTCCCTGTGAAGAGACCACCAAACAGGCTTTGTGTGAGCAATAAAGCTTTTAATCACCTGGGTGCAGGCGGGCTGAGTCCGAAAAAAGAGTCAGCGAAGGGAGATAAGGGTGGGGCCGTTTTATAGGATTTGGGTAGGTAAAGGAAAATTACAGTCAAAGGGAGTTTGTTCTCTGGCAGGTAGGAGTGGGGGTCGCAAGGTGCTCAGTGGGCAGGAGTGGGGGTCGCAAGGTGCTCAGTGGGGGTGATTTTTGAGCCAGGATGAGCCAGGAAAAGGACTTTCACAAGGTAATGTCATCAGTTAAGGCAAGGACTGGCCATTTACACTTCTTTTGTGGTGGAATGTCATCAGTTAAGGCGGGGCAGGGCATATTCACTTCTTTTGTGATTCTTTAGTTACTTCAGGCCATCTGGGCGTATATGTGCAGGTCACAGGGGATGTGATGGCTTGGCTTGGGCTCAGAGGCCTGACATTCCTGCCTTCTTAATAAGAAAAATAAAACAAAATAGTGTTGAAGTGTTGGGGCGGCGAAAATTTTTGGGGGGTGGTATGGAGAGAGAATGGGCGATGTTTCTCAGGGCTGCTTCAAGCGGGATTAGGGGCGGCGTGGGAACCTAGAGTGGGAGAGATTAAGCTGAAGGGAGGTCTTGTGGTAAGGGGTGATATTGTGGGGATGTTAGAAGAAACAGTTGTCATATAGAATGATTGATGATGGCCTGGATACAGTTTTGGATGAATTGAGAAACTAAATGGAATAACAGAAGGAGAAAAACAGGTATAAAATGTCTAAGAATTGGGATGACTCAGGATATCTGATTAGAGAGTGCTTAAGGAGATTCAGCATAGTCCTGCCAGCAAAGATTATTTATTTACTTCAAGAGTTAAGAGTGGCAGTCTGGGGATAGCACCAGGAGATATCAGCTGTGATGGCTTGGAAAAGCAGTGTAAACTGGCAGTGTAAACAAGAGCAGGGCATGTATGAGTAGTTGAGAACGGTGAATAGGAGTATGACTAGACAGAAGATAGTAGGGATGACAAGTTTTTTTGGGGCACAGTCTGAGTTGGTCTGGTGTCTAGAATGAGACTGGGGCCTAATAAAAAGGAGCGTCTATACAGGAGCTCAAATGGGCTGTACCCTGTAGCATTCCAAGGACAGGCCTGAATTCTGAGAAGGGAAAGTGGTAAAAGTATTGTCCAGTCCTTTTTAAGTTGGTGGCTGAGCTTGGTGAGGTGTGTTTTTAAAAGACCTTTAGTCCATTCTACTTTTCTTGAAGATGGAGGACCGTAAGGGATATAAAGGTTTCACTGAATACTAAGAGCCTGAAAAACTGCTTGGCTGTTTTGACTAATAAAGTCCCTTCTGTTATCAGACTGTATTGAGGTGGGAAGGCTAAACTGAGGAATTATGTCTGACAGAAGGGAAGAAATGACTGCGGTGGCCTTCTCAGAACCTGTAGGAAAGGCCTCTACCTATCCAGTGAAAGTATCTACCTAGACTAAGAGGTATTTTAGTTATCTGACTCAGGGCATGTTGAGTAAAGCTAATTTGCCAGTCCTGGGTGGGGCAAATCCTCGAGCTTGATGTGTAGGGAAGGCAGGGGGCCTGAATAATCCCTGAGGAGTAGTAGAATAGCAGATGGAACACTGAGAAGTTATTTCCTTGAGGATAGATTTCCACGATGGAAAGGAAATGAGAGGTTCTAAGAGGCGGGCTAGTGGCTTGTACTATAGCATAACCTGCCTTTGCTGGTGTGTGGTGATTAGGCCTGGTGGAACTGCCATCAATAAATTAAGTGTGATCAGGGTGAGGAACAGGAAAGAAGGAAATTTGGGGAAATGGGGTGAATGTCAGGTAGATCAGAGAGATACAGTCATGGGGGTCAGGTGTGGTATCAGGAATAATGTGGGAGGCCAGATTGAAGTCTGGGCCAGGAACAACAGTAATTGTGGGAAACTCAACAAAGAGTGAGTATAGCTGAAGGAGCCGGGAAGCAGAAAGTATATGCATCAGGTATGAGAAAGAAAATAGATTTTGGAAGTTATGAGAACTGTAGAGAGTGAGTTGAGCATAGTTTGTGATTTTGAGGGCCTCTAAAAGTATTAATGCAGCGGCAGCCACTGCACGCAGACATGAGGGCTAGGCTAAAACAGTAAGGTCAAGTTGTTTGGACAGAAAGGCTACAGGGTGTGGTCCTGGCTCTTGTGTAAGAATTCTGACCACGCTAACCATGCCTAGGAAGGAAAGGAGTTGTTGTAGAAGGTGCTGGGGTTTGAGAGATCAGTCGGACATGATTGGCAGGGGGAGCACGTGTGTTTTTATGAGAATTATGCCGAGATAGGTAACAGATGAGGAAGAAATTTGGGCTTGATTGAAGTAATGGGGGCTGTCTGTGAAGCTTTGCAGCAGTACAGCCTAGGTAATTTGCTGAGCTTGATGGGTGTCAGGGTCAGTCCAAGTGAAAGTGAAGAGAGGCTGGGATTAAGGTGCAAAGGAATAGTAAAGAAAGCATGTCTGAGATCTAGAACAGAATAATGGGTTGTAGAGGCAGGTATTGAGGATAGGAGAGTATGTGGGTTTGGCACCACAGGGTGGATAGGCAAAACAATTTGGTTGATAAGGTGCAGATCCTGAACTAACTTGTAAGGCTTGTCTGGTTTTAGGACAGGTAAAATGGGGGAATTGTAAGGAGAGTTTATAGGCTTTAAAAGGCCATGCTGTAGCAGGCGAGTGATAACAGGCTTTAATCTTTTTAAAGTGTGCTGTGGGATGGGATATTGGCGTTGAGCGGGGTAAGGGTGATTAGGTTTTAATGAGATGGTAAGGGGTGCATGATCGGTCGCCAAGGAGGGAGTAGAGGTATCTTATACTTGTGGGTTAAGGTTGGGGGATACAAGAGGAGGATGCAAAGGAGGCTTTGGATTGGGAAGAAGGGCGGCAATGAGATACAGCTGTAGCCCAGGAATAGTCAGAGAAGCAGATAATTTAGTTAAAGTGTCTCAGCCTAATAAGGGAACTGGGCAGGTGGGGATAACTAAAAAGGAGTGCTTAAAAGAGTATTGTCTAAGTTGGCACCAGAGTTGGGGAGTTTTAAGAGGTTTAGAAGCCTGGCCGTCAATACCCACAACAGTTATGGAGGCAAGGGAAACAGGCCCTTGAAAAGAAGGTAATGTGGAGTGAGTAGCTTCCGTATTGATTAAGAAGGGGACGGGCTTACCTTCCACTGTGAGAGTTACCTAAAGCTCGGCATCCGTGATGGTCTAGGAGGCTTCCGAGGCGATCGGGCGGTGTCAGTCTTCAGCCGGTAAGCCAAGAAGGAGTCAGTCAGAGAGCCTTGGGCCAGAGTTCCAGGAGCTCTGGGAGTGGCTGCCAGGTGAGTTGAACAGTCCGATTTTCAGATGGGACGAGGCTTAGGAGGAATCCCGGGCTGCGGGCATTCCTTGGCCCAGTGGCCAGATTTCCAGCATGTGTAGCAAGTTCCTGGGGGAGGAGTTTCTGGAGGAACGCCTGGCTGCTACAGTTCAGGCGTTTGGAAGTTCTTGTGTGCTGGAGATGTGGCTGGCGTTTGTCTCACAGTGGAGGCAAGGAATTGCAACTTTTTTCTGTTATTGCACACCTTGAAGGTGAGGTTAATTGAGTCCTGTTGTGGGGTTTGAGGGCCAGATTCCAGTTTTTGGAGATTTATTTAATGTGGGGAGCAGATTGGGTAATACAATGTATATTGAGAATAAGATGGCCTTTTGACCTTTTAGGGTCTAGGGCTGTAAAGCGTCTCAGGTTTGCTGCCAAACAAGTCATGAACTGGGCTGGATTTTTATATTTGATGAAAAAGAGCCTAAACGCTATCTGATTTGGGATAAAGAAAAAGGAGCATTAACCTTGACTATGCCTTTAGCTCCAGCCACCTTTTTAAGAGTAAATTGTTGGGCTGGTGGGGGAGGGCTAGTCACAGAATGAAACTGTAAGCTGGAGCAGGTGTGAGGTGGGGAGGCGATAAAAAGATTATAGGGTGGAGGAGTGGAGGCTGAGGAAGAATCGGGACCTAGCTCGTCCTGGGGAGGAAGGGAGAGGTCAGATGGGTCTGTAGAAAAGGAAGATTAGAAAGACTCAGTGACGCTTGGGGTTGGGACTGAGGGGACAGGCGGGAGGGAAAGAAGGAAGATTTGGGACGAGTTGCACTGGGCACAGAGACTAGGAAGGGACTGATGTGTAAAAGAATGCCTGGATGTCAGGCACCTCAGACCATTTGCCCATTTTACGACAAGAATTATTTAGATCTTGTAGGATGGAAAAATTGAAAGTGCCATTTTCTAGCTATTTGGAAATACTGTTAAGTTTGTATTGGGGTCAAGCAGCATTGCAGAAGAAAATAAGACGCTTAGATTTTAGGTCAGGTGAGAATTGAAGAGGTTTTAAGTTCTTAAGGATACAGGCTAAGGGAGAAGAAAGAGGAATGGAAGGTGGAAGCTTGCCCATAGTGAAAGAGGCAAGCCCAGAGAAAAGAGTAGAGACACGGAGAAGGGGTGGGGGTTTCTTCCCCTCCAGAAAAGCAGAGAAAGGGTTGGGACATGGAAATAAGGGATTAGGGCACAAAGAGGTCAGGGTGCAGAAATAAGGGATTGGGGTGCAGAGGGAAGAGGTTGGGGTGCAGAAATAAGCGATTGGGGCTCAGAGATAAGAGGTTGGGGTGCGGAAATAAGCAATTGGGGGGTTCTTGCCCCCTAGGAAAGTGGGACTTGCCGCTAAGGGTGAAGGAGAAGGGGTTGAGGGGTACTTGCCCCTGCCCCAGGAAAGCGGGACTTGCCACTAAGGGTGAAGGAGAAGGGGTTGAGGGGTACTTGCCCCTGCCACAGGAAAGCGGGACTTGCCGCTAAGGGTGAAGGACCAAGGCAGGCGTCCCTGTGTGGTCTGACACCCTTGAAATGTGAGTATATAATCAGAGAGGTGTCCCTGCAATGATTAAACACCAAGGGAAGGCTGCCTTCCCAGTCCATGACCGGCGCCGGAGTTTTGGGTTCACGGATAAAACATGTCTCTTTTGTCTCTACCAGAAAATGAAAGGAATTGAAATTAAGAGAAGGGAGAGATTGAAGTGTGGCACCAAGATTGAAAGGAGAAAGAGGTTGAGGGATAGTGAGGGAGGTTGGAGAAGAGAGTAAAAAGAGGCCGCTTACCGGATTTGAAATTGGTGAGATGTTTCTTGGGCTGGTCGGTCTGAGGACCTGAGGTCGTAGGTGGATCTTTCTCATGGAGCAAAGAGCAGGAGGACGGGATTGATCTCCCAAGGGAGGTCCCCCGATCCGAGTCACGGCACCAAATTTCATGCGCGTCCGTGTGAAGAGACCACCAAACAGGCTTTGTGTGAGCAATAAAGCCTTTAATCACCTGGGTGCAGGCGGGCTGAGTCCGAAAAGAGAGTCAGCGAAGGGAGATAAGGGTGGGGCCGTTTTATAGGATTTGGGTAGGTAAAGGAAAATTACAGTCAAAGGGGGTTTGTTCTCTGGCGGGCAGGAGTGGGGGTCGCAAGGTGCTCAGTGGGGGTGCTTTTTGAGCCAGGATGAGCCAGGAAAAGGACTTTCACAAGGTAATGTCATCAGTTAAGGCAAGGACCGGCCATTTACACTTCTTTTGTGGTGGAATGTCATCAGTTAAGGTGGGGCAGGGCATATTCACTTCTTTTGTGATTCTTTAGTTACTTCAGGCCATCTGGGCGTATATGTGCAGGTCACAGGGGATGTGATGGCTTGGCTTGGGCTCAGAGGCCTGACAAAAAATATGAATACAACTAAAAATAGGAAAATATATTGATTGCTTCTTGGGAGTTTGTCTAAGATAAAGCAGTAATAATCTTTTTTGTGAAAAGTATTTATTTCGGAACAAAAGTGTTTTCAGAGGGATAATGGTTAGAAGGTAAAATTTACAATTTTAACGGAATGATTAGAAGGTAAAATTTACAATAAATGTTTGTGCTCTAGAATCTTAATTTAAATTATGCAAATCTGTGAAATGATTAAGTAAATGGAAAGCCATAGCATTTATGAAAAATCCTATTTCACCTATTTGTTATAGCTTCTGATGAAAAGGTTTGCTGACATAGTGATTTTGGCCAGTTGTTTGAAGTATTTCTTTTTTTTTCTTTTCTTTTTATTATTCTTTAAGTTTTAGGGTACATGTGCACAATGTGCAGGTTTGTTACATATGTATACATGTGCCATGTTGGTGTGCTGCACCCATTAACTCGTCATTTAGCATTAGGTATATCAACTAATTTAAAAATCTTAAGAGAAATAAAAATAGAAATACAATATACCAAATCTTATGGGATGCAGCAAAATCAGTACTAAGAGGGAAATTTTAGAAAGTGGATATCTGCATTTAAAAGGAAGAAAAATTTTAAATTAACAACCTAACTTTATACCACGAGGAACTAGAAAAAGAAAAGTAAACTAAGCACCAAACTTCATGCAAAGAAATAATAAAGATTAGAATAGAAATAAACAAAATAAAGAATAGAAAAACAATAGAAAAATATGAAACTGTGTGCTGTTTTTATTAAAGTTAGACTAAATTTACAAACCCATAGCTAGAACAGAAACAAAAAGATAAGATTCAAATAAATAAAACTGGAAATGAAAGAGAAGGCATTACAACTTATGCCACAAGAGAAGAAAAAGGATGATAAGAAACTACCATAACAATTTCATTCTAACAAATGGGAAAACTTAGAAGGAATGCATAAAGCCTTGAAATGAGTATTCTAGAAGCATCAACCTACCAATGCTGACTTATGCAGAAATAAAAAAATCTGAAGCGACTTATAACTAGTAAGAAGATTGAATCACTAATTAATAGATTCATTGCAATCCATAGAAAAATCTCCATGGAATTTTTTTGAGACACAGACAAAAAATGTTTTAAAACTATATGGAATCTCAAAGAACCCTGGATAACAAAAACACACTTGAGGGAAAAAAAATAAAACAAAGTGTGGCTCATGCCTGTAATCCCAGCACTTTGGGAGGCCAAGGCAGGTGGATCACGAGGTCAGGAGATCAAGACCATCCTGGCTAACATGGTGAAACCCCGTCTCTACTAAAAATACAAGAAAAATTAGCGAGGCGAGGTGGCGGGCACCTGTAGTCCCGGCTACTGGGGAGGCTGAGGTAGGAGAATGGTGTGAAACCCGGGGTGCAGAGCCTGCAGTGAGCCGAGATCGCGCCACTGCACTCCAGCCTGGGCGACAGCAAGACTCTGTCTCAAAAAAAAATAAAAAATAAAATAAATAAATAAATAAAACGAAGCTGTAATCCTCATACTTCCTGATTTTGAAACATATTACAAAGCTACAGTAATCAACAATATAATATTGGCATAAGACAGAAATGGATCAATGAAATGGAATAGAGGTCCCAGAAATAAGCTTTTATTCATATGGTATAATAGTCTTTTACAAGGGTACCAAGGCTTTACAATAGTGAAATAATTGTCTCTTCAACAAATGGTGTTGAAACAACTGAATATCCAGCATGAAAAAGATTGAATTTGGACCCTTACTTTACATTGCACACAATGTATACATATATAAATTATGTATGCAAACGTATTATGATAGTTAAGACTGAGTGTCAACTTGATTGGCTTCAAGGATGCAAAGTATTGATCTGGTTGTGTCTGTGAGGGTGTTGCCAAAGGAGATTAACATTTGACTCAGTGGGCTGGGGAAGGCAGACTCACTCTTAATCTGGGTGGGTACCATCTAATCAGCTGCAAGTGAACACAAAACAGGAAGAAAAATGTGAAAAGGCTAGACTGGCTTAGCCTCCCAGCCTACATCTTTCTCCCATGTTGGATACTTCCTGCCCTCAAACATCAGACTCCAAGATCTTCAGCTTTGGGACTTGGACTGGCTTCCTTGATTTTCAGCTTGCAGACAACGGGTATATTTTTATGTGTGTGTATGCATATATATACATATATATATATATGTATGTATATATGTACTGTCCCTCTAGAGAACCCTGACTAATAGAGATTTTGCTACCAGGAGTGGTTCTAGAAGAACAGAATATTAAAGATGGAGTTCATTTGCTGGTTTTGGGGTTCCTGCAGTGGGCTGCTTAATATTATTAGATCCCAAAATGCTAAGGACTCCACTTCTAATTGTATAGAGATCACTGACAGTCCTTGGCATGAACTGCTTAGAGAGTTATGCAAAATAAATGCATTTGACACTCCTGATTCACTGCTAGTGAGAGGCAATGTGTTTAGTGACTCTACACGTAATACCTTTGACTATATGTGGAGAACCAAGGAACATAGTGAATCTGGTTGGTTGCTCCTAAGTTCACTGGACAAACGGATGAAAGATTGAGATCTTTCTCTGAGTTTGACTCAGAGATTCAAACTCCCAGTTTCAGAAACAGATGCTGAGCTTCAGATATTCAAGATTGCCCTGAATCAGAGTCCTATCTCCTGTAGAGAAAGAGCTGAAATTCTGGAAATTTAGACACAAGTTCTTATCAAGTGAATGGCTGACCTGCAACAAAAGGTTGCATATATATATATGGCTAGCATAGTACACCATGTACAAATTACACATTGTACAAATTATATACTGTACATTTTTAAATAGCTGAAAGTAACTTTCAAATGTTCTTTTGAAAACAAAATAAAGTTATTTCAGAATTTGTTACTGCTTTCACAATGGCTAAACTAACTCACCTTCCAACTACACTACAGAGCAGTGAGACAGTCACAAGTTGTAACCCATAGTTTTTTTCTCTTTGACCTACAAGCTCAGAGTGGTAAATTGGCAAATTACATTAGAGAAAAGTGGCTGGAAAGGGAGGCAATACCTTAATGACTTTTTTCTTCTCTGTGATGTTGGCCACTCAATTCCTGAATGCCTCAGTTTCTTTTTCTTCCTTTTGTTTTTGTAGATGTTCTAGTTGGGTAGACTGGTCTAGGCTGATTATAGCCCCAAACTGGAACTTTTCATAACATATTTTGTGCTCAAAGTGCTTAAGATCATTTACTATGCTCTGTTTAAATTATTAATAATCATATTATTCTGCTTCTGCTTAAGACCATTTACTATGCTCCGTTCAAATTATTAATAATCACCATTAATGAGAGAAAACTGGTTTGCACAAGTGGGTGATTTTTTTATTAAATGTTATTCTTACTACCTTTCAAATTTTTACAAACATTGAAATTATTAATTTTACTCTAATATCTGTTCTTGTTCATTCACTGACAAATTTAATGTTGTAAATTGCTGTGATAATATAAACAGATTTTAAATTCATTCTTTCTAATGCCAGGTATTTTGATATGCAGTATGGATGAATGGCAAATTTTGTAGACTGCACATGCATTATTAGAGCTGTCACTTTAAGTGAGTATAATATTAGACATTATTAATCATACATATGTGAAGACAAAATAATATTTAAGTGTTTACCCTAAACTTTAGTTAGACTAATCAACTACTAAACTACTGAAATCAGATGAAAGGGGGACTAATGGTAGTAATCTAACTAACCTTACAGAAATACAAAAATAAAAAAGAATTTTTAGAAATACTATATGCCAACAAATTAAATAACGTGGAAGAAATAGACAAATTCTTAGAAAGACACGAACACGAACTACTTGAATTCACTCAAGAAGATATAAGATGCTTCCTCAACCTGCTCCTTCTGAAATGGTCAACATGTTATAATAAGAGTTCAAGTAAAGTGTTACAGGGTGCTTAACACAAAATTATTTAATTTCAACTGAGAGAATCAGTGTGAGTTTAATATAGGCTGAGTTGAGGTAAGTGTCAATAAGTAAAAAGAAATTTTGTCAGATAGGGAATGCATTTCAGATGGTTCAAGGAGCCAAGAATGAAGTCATGGCCATAAGAGCATATATTGCTTGCTTGTTAAACATTGGGGGCCATGTGTCTGGAGCCTGGATGTATGGAAGGCTCTAGTTAAAGATTAGATATTTAAAAGGTAGATTGGGTCTACTGGATTGTTAGATTTGCCAGAGCAATTATTCAAGAGAAAGAAATGAAGTGCATCCAAATTGGAAAGGAAGAAGTCAAATTGTCCCTGTTGGCAGATGACATCATCTTATATCTAGAAAAAACAAAAGATTCTACCAAAGAACCCCACTTGGAACTGATCAATGAATTCAGTAAAGTTGCAGGATACAAAATTAATAAACAAAAATTAGTAGCTTTCCACACACGAACAAGAATCTAGCTGAAAAAGAAATCAAGAAGACAATGCCCTTTGTAATAGCTACAAAAATACCTAGGAATAAATGTAACCAAAAAGGTGAAAGACTTCTTTAAGGAAAACTACAAAACACTGTTGCAAGAAATTGAAGAGGATACAAAACAAATAGAAAAACATCTCATGTTCATGGATTAGAAGAATTAATATTGTTGAAATGACAATATTACCCAAAGCAATCCACAGATTCAATGCAATCTTTATCAAAATACCAATAACATTCTTCACAAAATTAGAAAAAATCCTAAAATATTTTGGAACCACAAAATACTCCAAATAGCCAATGTGATTCATAGCAAAAAGAACAAAGCTGGAGGTATCATACTTTCAGACCTCAAATTATACTACAAGGCTATAGTAACCAAAACAGCATGATACTAGCATAAAAAGAGACACAAAGGGCAATGGAGCAGAGTAGGTAACATAAACATTAATCGACATATCTACAGCCCACTGATTTTTGACATAGTGCCAAGGACATTCATTGAAGAAAGGATTGTCTCGTCAATAAGCAGTGCTTAAGAACAAAACATAAAGAAAATGCTACAGGAAATTGGCCTGGGGGAAAAAATTGTGAATAAGACCTTTAAAATAGAGGCAATGAAAGCAAAAATAAATAGAGTAAAACAAATTAAAAATCTTCTCCACAGCAAAGCAAACAAGCAACAGAGTGAAATGACAGCCTATAGGATGGAAAAAGAATCTTTGCAAGCTACTCGTCTGACAAAGGATTAATATCCAGAACTTTCAATGAACTCAAACATGTCAACAACAACAACAAAATATCTGATTAAAAATGAGCAAATGATCTGACCAGACATTTCTCAAAAGCAGACATACAAATGGTCAACAAATATATGAAAAATAAAATGCTCAACATCACTAATCATCAGGGAAATGCAAATCAAAACCATAATTGAGTATCATTTCATTCAGTTAAGATGACTATTATCAAAAAGTCAAAAAATAGTAAATTGTGGTAAGGATGCAGAGAAAAGGGGATTCATACACTGTTGGTGGGAATGTAAACTTGTACAGCCACTACGAAGAACAGCATGAAGTTCTTAAAAAATTAAAATATAACTACCATATATACATATAACTACCATAAAATATAACTACCAGCAATCCCAGTACTGGGCAGGTATCCAAAGGAGAGAAAGTCATTATAATGAAGGTTCATCTACACCTCCGTGTTTATTGTAGCACTATTCACAATACTGAAGATGTGGAACCAACCTAATGTTCATTAACATATGAATGGATAAAAAATGGAGTATATATTCACAATGGAATACTATTTGGCCACAAAAAAATGTAATCCTCTTATTTGTGGCAACATGGATAAAATTGGAGGATATGTTAAGTGAAAGACGTGTCAGGAACAGAAAGCTAAACAGTGGATATTCTCATTCATATGTGGAAGTTAAAAAAAAAAGCTGACCTTATAGAAGTGAAAAGCAGAACAGAGAATACTAGAGGGTGGAAAGGATAGGAGGCAAGGAGGGACAAGGAAAGATTTGTTAAAGGACACAAAATTGCAGCTAGATAAGAGGAATAAGTTCCAGCATTATATAGCACTGTAGTTAATAACTGTAGTTAATAATATATAGTTTTGAATAGCTAGAAGGAGGATACTTGAAATATATCCTACAGGATAACCATAGTTAATAATATATAGTTTCAAATAGCTAGAAGGAGGATATTGAAAGTATCCAACATAAATAAATAACAAATGTTTAAGATACTGGATATGGTGTCAACTGAAGAATGACAAGGTTCATAAATTTGGAAAGGGGAACTTACTTCTCTTAAAGGGTTGCAGCCTGCAGAGTGGCCATTCCAACAGGCTGGGAAGCATAGCCTCTGGCCAGAATCTGGAAACAGACACTTTGAGGGTGGGAAGAATGAGACAGGGATTTATGCTAAAGGAGGTGGCTAAATATATACATATATATATTCAATAAGCTATAGAAGGAGTCATAAAAGAAGAAACATGCATATGTATAATTGAGCTTCATTTCCCTCCATGGGATTCATGTTCAAAAAAATGGTTGTGTTAGCATGACCCAAGGGTAGAGTTTTCAGCCCTCTGACTTCAGAAGGTGAAGCAGAGGACTCAATACCCCTTTAGTGCACATCATCTGTAGACTGGCAAGAACCACTCCATGGTTGGTGATCTCTTATCAGGAAGGAATGCTGGTCAGTTCTTTTGTCAAAGCCACAAAAGGAAGGAGCAGCATGAGGTGTTGTTTGAAATCAGCAGTGCAGCTAGTTTTTTGAAAGGGCTAGTTTCTGTTCAACCCTTAGGAAAAAAAGCCTAATGGTGATTAGTGTGGGAGGAGGCATAATGAGACCTGTCCGACCTCCCATTCCATCATGGCAAGAACTCAGTTTACAGTTTTTCTCTGGAGTTCCCTTGGCCAATGGAAGAGGAGGGGAGGGGGCTTAAAATTTAATTTTTATTTATCAATGGTAATTACCCTGATCTGATCACTATACATTACATATATCAAAATGTCATGATGTATCCCATGAATATGTACAATTACTATTTGTCAATTAAAAATAATATTGAAAAAATTCAGTAGAGGTAAAATAAAAAAAATGCTGTCTTCAGAATCAAATCTGAATTACTATGGTTAGCAATCCACATTTTTTTGCTCAGGGGAATTATAATAATTAATATAATATTTTAAACAAATCCTTCTGGAGGTAAATAATTGATTTAAGAGGATAAAACCAATTAAGAGATATTAAACTAGTATCAGTGAGAAGTAAGGAGTACCTGGCATAAGGCAATGACAGTAAGAATAAAGAGGATTTTTTTGTATGTTTTTCTAGTTTTACCTAAAAAAATAATGCTTCAGAAATTTTCTCTGGAGATAAAACTGTTTCTATGTTATTTAAAGAGAATGTCCAAATGAGTCTGGCCTTATATATTACAGCTATTTGGAGGAAGACTTATTTTTGTCTACTCAAAGTTTAGCTTATAAGAAACAGCAAAAGAGAACAGAAATTCATTCATGCATTGTTATTTTCAGCTTTAGAGTCTCAACTGTGACTCTTCTGAACATGGCTAATAGATTAAAAACTAGAGCCCTATGAATACTTTGCAGGTAGAAGCTGCATTTTTAACCAAGAGTGTAATAACAGGCTTTCTAAATCTTGAGGTTTAGTAAGTAATTATTTATTTCTTAAATGAATGTTTAAATTTTAAAAACTTCTCTAATGACTGTAGATAATTTATAATTATAATGAGTGCATGTTCCAGATTTCATGGGTCAACTCCAAGAGAACAGGCCAAAGACGAAAACAACCTTTGAGACTTTGCTTTGGATTCTTGCAAAGACCATGCAAGGACCTTCCTTCTGAATTTTGTTTTGTTTTATGGAGAACGCTTCAGAGCATAGAGCATAAAGACTCAAAAAACTGATTGACCTAAGTGTTCCGTGTATAGAAAAAAGGGATAGGAAGGAGGAAAACGTGTCTGGCATTTTCTGCTTTGAACCTAACACACATAATCCAAAGCTATCACAGCAAGAATAATTCTTCCCCCTAAGTTGGACACAGTGTCCACAGGTATATCTAAAATGATCAAAATATATAAATGAATTAATGTGCTACAACTACCCTGTCTATAGTAGGTGAGCAAACAAGTGTTCTAAATCACCAGAACTACCTACTTAGCCCAATAGAATCCAATGGTGATAAATCTAGAGTCAGTAAATCTCAAGAAAGTAAAACACTCAAATATTTAAAAAATTATTGGGCATTCAATGTTGTTTTGATGGTTGTTTTAGTTGTTTTATATGATCTGAAAATCTTAAAAATGATACTGGAGAAAACAGGACTTTGTAAGTACTATGTTTATTTTTTTCAGCCTTACATTAGGTGATATTATTATTATTATTGAAATTAACTGATGATAAATAAGAAAACTAATGCCTCTACTTCGGTTCTTAATAATCTTATTGTTCTTGAAAGCATTAAAAATGTGGTCATTTGTAACACCATCTCTAGGCAGCTCTCAATATAAAAAATGGAAAACATGTTTTGATTGGTATGTATGTCATAGACTAAAGTGTGGGGCTGTGTGAAAGAAAGAAAAAAATGGTAAGGAGAGAGGAGAATGAGAGTTCAAGAGATATCCACTGATGACATCTCATACCAAGTTATTTCTGAAACAACATAAGGGGGATGTGTTTGAGATCTGCAGAATAGAATATAAAGACTTGTCTAAAGCCCAACTCCTGCATTTCTAGAATGAAGTGCAACGATTAATTGACTCAATGAAGAGTTTACTCTTCTGAATACTAACTGAGACTTCGCATTTTCTGCTGCTCTAGCTGACAGATTTTAGATTTTTACTTAACTGGCGTATTAATAAACAATATTTTGTAGTCTTACTTTCATGGACTTTTCACTGACGTGTTGACATGAATTTTTATTGTTCTTTTTATTGTGCAACCTAAACACACCTTTAGTTCTTTTTCCTTGAGTTCAAGCTGACAAGGAAAACTTCAAGTGTCTGAATGTACATTCTCATAAAAACCTCAACAGAGGTTATGAAGGTAAACTTAACCTTAACGTGTAATTGGAGCATAGAGAGAATGAAGCTGCTTTATACATGAAAAGTGAGAGGTATTCAGAGAAAGAGAAGGAGGAGAGAAAGAGAGAAATGAGGGAGGGAAGGAAGTAAAGCAATGACATTTAAAACTGTTAGAAATATCAGGGGGAAAAGGCAAAAGATACTGAGCATAAAACTGGAGGGTTTTTTGCCTTCAGAAACAGTATATAATAGTCAATGAGAAGGATTTTGCCACAGGAGGCAAATTGCCGTGGATTCTGAAAATTGCAGAGTACTAATAAAACACTGAACATATCCCTGGTTACAAGTACTTAGCTATGCAATTTGTTACTTCTTGGGGAAAGTTTTGCATTACATAAATTTGTGTTTCAGAACCTTCTTTCATTCTGGGTGCAAGCTGAATAGCCAAGTGGGAAGTGACATAGCTTTTATATCAATCATTATGCAAATCTGCCTTTGGCTTTACCTCTAGTTTAAAATATTCTAAATTCTATAAAAAATTATTATAGTTGGAAAAGTAATATTTTGCCTAAATAAATGCTCTTTCTCCTAAATCAACCTGCATTCTCCATTAATGAAAGACTTTGCATGAAAGTTAAAAGAGGCAAAATGGGTGACGGATGCATTTAAATGACAAATTTTCTGTATATTTCCTTTAATATCAGAGCTAGAAGAAATTCTAGTCCTAAGATAGAGAGCTTGAGGCAAATTCTCTAAGTACCCACATTGAATTAGTGACAATAACGGGACTAGACCCCAGGTCATATTGCTCTAAGGCCATTGCACTATATGAGAACTGCCTCTGTGAAACTACAAAGCAAAGGAGGCCTTCAACTGTTTTCAAACAACATGTATTCTCTCCCTCATATTTCTCTGTTTCTCTACATTAATATTGTCATCCCCACCACCTACTCCTAGATCCCATCATGTCCTAAGCAAAAATTTACCTCTTTTAATAAACCTGACTAACTCCACTCTCCAGCCCACACTTATTGCAGATTTATACTTCTGGCTCTCAGCAGAACATTCAAGTTTTAATTTTTTATGTATATTTAAGCCCTTAATCATATGGTGCTTTAAAATTAGTCTTTATTATTCCATGGGGCTTGTTTTGTCCTTTCAATTTAATTGTAAGCTTTTTAGGACAGGGGCCACATTTCCTGCTTGTTTAATAGCAACTTTCAATACTTTACCAACAACCCACACACAACCTTACAGAGAACAAAGAATTGACGTATCTTGTTGTTAAAACTAGAGTTTTAAGAGAATTGCAAGCATTTTCAAAAGTATTTTAAAGCTGTTGTTTTCCTAATTGTACATTTTTCAAATTCTACACAATGAGTCTGCATTACTATTTAAGTAGAAAATTGTATACAATTAAAATAAATTAGAGGCCCATATTTTGTTTTCTTTAACAGCTTATTTTCCTCAGAGCTTTACCTAACATCTCTATTCTGATGCCTCCTGAAACTGAAACTTCCTGTGGACTTTTCACCCAAATCATGTAAATGTATTTTTTACTGCTCATGATCTATCGGGCTCTCTTCAATGTCTGTCTTAAATGTGTTCCCTTATAATGTTTACTCAATAAGCCAACAAATATTTATCAAGCACTAGTCAGTGCCAGGAACAGCATTAGATCTTGCATATACATTGGAAGTGAAACAGGTAATGTTACTCAGTGTAGCTTAGTGGGGAGAGATGCAGAACAAATAGAAAAGCAAGTCAATAAATGTTCAATTTATAAATAAGAAAATTACAGATTTAGAGTCTCAGAGCTAGAAGAGATGTGAGCAAATTCAAGACTTTCTCTCTATTTTCTATTTCTGTTTTAAAGTTTCAAAATAAAGGAGATAGATAAGTTACTTTTCCAACATTACACAGTGTGATGGTTAATACTGAGTGTCGATTTGATTGGATTAAAGGATGCAAAGTATTGTTCCTGGGTGTGTCTGTGAAGGTGTTGCCAAAGGAGATTAAAATTTGAGTCAGTGGACTGGGAGAGGCAGACCCACCCTTAATCTGGGTGGGCACCATTTAATCAGCTGCCAGCTCGGCTAGGATAAAAAGCAGGCAGAGGAACATGGAAGGACTAGACTGGCTAAGTCTTCTGGCCTCCATCTTTCTTCCATGCTGTATGATTCCTGCCCTCAAACATTGAACTCCCAGTTGTTCAGCTTTTGGACTCGTGCTTACACCAGTGGTTTGCCAGTGGCTTTCGGGGCTTTGGCTGCAGACTGAAAGCTGCACCATCGGCTTCTCTACCTTTTGAGGTTTTGGGACTTGGACTGGCTTCCTTCTCCTCAGCTTGCAGGTGGCCTATTGTGGGACTTCTTGTGATCGTGTGAATCAATGCTCCTTAATAAACTTTCTTTCGTATATACATCTATTCTATTAGTCCTGTCCCTCTAGGGAACCCTGACTAACACACACAGCCAAGATTAGACTTCTGTGGAGGTCTTGGCTCTCAGATAAGTGTTAGTTTGCTTACACTTCATCCTGTTTCCCATCCATTTAGATGTTGCCTCATCACATCTAATACAACATGTATTAACAAGCATTAATCAAGAAACAATATATTCCAAGACCTGTACTAAGGTTCTAGGGATATATTGATGAAAAACATCATCAACAGTATCAAAAACAACAAATGCAACTTGTTCTTGGGAGACTGAATCTTAACAGAGGCTTGTTTATTTTGCTAAACTTCTAAAAGAACCAGGTTTTGTTTTGTGTTTTAAGTCTCTCCTTTTGTAACTATAGTGTATTAATTTATGTTCTAATATCTATTATATGTTTATTTCCTTTTTCCAGTTCTTTTAGTTGATGCTGTTGTACTTTTGACACCATTTTAATATGATTACCAATACAAATTTTATCTTTGAAATTCCTAAATTGGTAGAAAAGATTTAAAGAATACATACTTTCTTTTATTTGCCAGTTTAGCTTCATCCCCGATCAGAAATGAAGTGTTTTTATTACTGTTCAATTACAAATATTTTATCATTTATATTATTACATCTTCTTTGAACCATAAATTATATAGAATTTTTTTTTGCCTTTTTATTTTTTTAACGTATGGGAATTGAGTACTCTCATTTCATTGATGTTTAATTTTATCACATAGTCATCAGCAAAATGGGTTACATATCTTATTTTTATACTTCCTTTGTGACCTATACATAGTCAATATTGTGTTACATGAATGTATGCTCTCTAAATGGTGGGTACAGGTAAATGTTCTCCAGATAAAGCTTGTTAACCATGTTTTTATATCTTTATTCATGTTTTGTCTATGTAATCTATCAGTCGCTGTGGGGAAATCGGTGTTAATATCTTCCAGTTTAATTATGGACCAGTCTGTTTCCCTTTGTAATTGTCCACATTTTCTCTATATTTTAAACATAAATTACTACAACAGCCTGTTATATTTCTCTATATCTTTCCATTACTATACAACCTCTCAATTTCCTAAAACGTAAATTTGAATACATTGTTCTTTTGCATAGAAGTCATTAATGATGCATTATTTGTCATTGCAACAATCTTGAATACTTTTGTGTGATTTCCATGTGTAGGCTTTACCCTAAATCCACCAATCCCTTCTCACTAAATTTCTGCTTGATTTTTTTCCCTGACATCAATCTCATCTCTACCTCTATGTTGATTCCACATCTAGGATTGCCCTTTCTCCTATTCTTAATTTATATAATTCCTAAAAGTTCCTTAAAGACATTTTCTCTACAAGACCTTCCTATTCATTCCAACCTGTACTTATCACTCCCTTCTCAGACTCTCAAAGAACTAAGGGTCTAAAGGATATTTGATAGTTTTCTGGTTTTCCTGGACTGGAAAGTCTTTAGATAAAAACTACATTTATACATTACTAGGTATAGCACATGGTAGGAAACATTTAAGCCATTTATGCTGTTTTACCATTTTATTGGCCCTGTACTCTAAGTAGAGAAGTTGATGTTAATCTGCTAAGTTAAATATAAAAACAAAGACTAAAGATACAATCTTTTGAAAGACCTGACATGGTAGCTTAGTTGGGTCTATCATAAAAACCCAGTTAATATTATTTTGAGTAGATAAAATTATTTTATTATTGGTGAATTAATTCTACACTAATAAAATGGAAGATTTTGTCATTCTAATAAAAGAGACTGCAAAGAGAATAGCAAGACAATCCCAGCTGCTAAGTAATAGGTGAAACACATTTATGTACTCTAGATATTACATTCCTTTGAAGAATCCATACTTTTATTTGACCTGGCTCCAGTGGAAAATAAAATGTTAAAAAAAAATACAGTGCTTTCCCCTTCTTTTTCATGAAAAAGAAAAAAACATTTAGGAGGTATTTTCAAAAGGTTAGTTGCTGGTTTAATTTATTTCATGACAGGTTATTACATGCTTCAGTACACAGGATGTTTTCTGCAGAGTGATCACTAATCAAAGCCTTATTGAGATATGATATTTCTTGTAAGCCATTGAAAGAGTATCTGCCTCAGTACTCTAATTTCTTCTCTCATGGTTTGATTTTGAGGAGCTCAATTATATGGCACAAAATCTCATCCATAAAAATAGACCAAAATGAGGGCTTTGATGTTATAGTCAATGTCCCATTATCTGAGCACAGATATTTCACAATAAATCTTACTTTCAATTACTTAAAATATTCTTGCTGGTATAAATACGGTTTTAAGATATTTTGTATAATCGCCTCTTCTTATTGAACTTTAGGGAATTAGTCCTGTAATTAAACTTGAACAGTAGGTAGTTCCTGCCTATCTGTCTGTTTATTCTAAGAGTTGATTGATTTTGAGGAACAGTTACTTATTCTCCACTCCACATGTTCCCATGTGGAAGCCTTCCCATATGTGTAATACTCTTGGCCTTTCTCCTCATTAGAGGAGGAATGGCTTAACTGATTGGTGAGCCTGGGAGAATAAACTAGGGGAGCATGGTAAAATCCTCCCTCTTTTTCAGGACTGGGATCTACTGTCTGGCTATACACATAGTTTTCAGGGTCACCTTTGTATCATAACACAAATGTTATACCCTCGCACAATGAGACTTGAAATTCCTCTGCTATGCTGGTGACATCAGATCTCTCAATCTTAATCATTTATTTGCACTGTTCGTAAACTCAGATATTATCTTAGGTTAAATAAATTGCCCAAGGGCATGAAGATGTTTAAGGTTGCAAATTGAAATTCTAACACAGGTGTTTCTGACCATAAAGCTGATTTTTTACCAAAATCACTTACTTTATTTATGCAAATTTATGTTAAAATCAAATAATAAAGAATTCTGTTTTTGAATAATAAAGGATGACAGGGACCAGATTTGCCTTTCCTCCTGAAACAACAACCATAAAAAACCCAAACAGAAAAAAAAATGTGCGAATCAATTGCTTTCAGGACACTAGATATCAAACAACGAGGGAAAGTGACAACAGAGAGAAGGGGAAACAAATAAACTGAGCACTGTGCTTGCTCCAAATTGTTTCTTTGAGTTTCCAGGCTGCAATGCAGAATAAAATAATTCAGGTGGAGAATCCTTAGCATCCCTGACATAAGGTAAGGGAGCTGAAAGTCCAGGGAGAACAAAGGGGCTAGAATTCACAGTACAGGGTACCACAGAGGAGAAAGCTGCACAGACAGAACAATAGAGATATGCAAAGAATGCCCCTCTAGTGTGTGGCTGAGAACTGAAAAGCACATATGTATGTGGAAATCACCTGAGGCCAGGAGAAAAAGTATCATCCAAAAGGATTAGAGGAGAGTGGCCTATGTTCACACAGGACCAGAAATAGCACCTTTCCTCACCGGTAAGACTGGAAAAACACACAATTTATGTGGCAGTGGGTATGGTATTCAGGAAGACCTTGCCTCAGTAGAAGAGAATAATTAGCCTCATTCTGAGAACTGTTCTGGTCTTGCCTAACAAATACCCAAAAAGATCGAACTGATTCCTAGTATTTGAACTGCATCCCAAGAAAAAACTAAAGAATATTTACTATAATACAAAAATATTCAACATCTATTGAAGTAAAAATCACAATGTCTGATGTTCAAAGATGAACAGACATTCAAAGAAATTGGAAAACATATCCATAATGAAGTAAATAAATAGTCAATTACAACTGACTCAGAACTGACACAAATGTTAGATTTGGCAGATAAAACATTAAACAGTTACTGTAACTATATTCCATATGCTGAGAACATTAAGACTTGTAAAAACATCTAGAGGTGAAAACTTTAATATGCCTAATGAAAATGTACTTAAAGTGATTGACAATAAATTAGAAATTACAGAAGATAGGATTATGTTATGGCAATATAGTGGTAGAAACTATTCAAAATTAAACACACAGGAAAAAAATAACCCAATAAAATTAAAAGAGCATCCAAAAACTGTGGGACTACTTCAAGTGACCTAGCATATTTGTAATTAGACTCATTAAAAGCAATAGTGGTGACAAAATATAGATGAAGAATTAATGGTCAAAAATTTCCTCAGTTTATGAAAATGATCATTCTGAAGAAGTTCAACAAACCTTAAGCACAGAAAACATGAATAAATCTATACCAAGTCACATCATAATCAAATTGATCTATGCCAATGATAAATATAAAAATTTAAAAGTATCCAGAAACTTTGTGAAATGCTGTTAAAACAGCACTAGTGAGAAATTTAGAGAACTAAATGCCTTATATTAGAGAATAAAAATGTTCTTATCGTCCACATTAAAAATAACCATATAAGGAAGAACAAATTGTATACAAAGTAAGCATAAAATGGAAATAAATTTTAATAGAGGACTCAATAAAATAAAATACAGAAAAACAATATAATCCAAATACTGTTTTTTTGAGAGGATTAATCAAATTTCAAAACCTCTAGCCAAACAGATTAGGAAGGAAAAGAAAGAAGACACAATTTGTCAATATCAGAAATGAGGGAGGTAACATCACTACATATGCTAAAAATATATTTTTTAAATGATAATAAGTGAATATTGTGAACAAATTTATGCCTATGAATTCAACAACTTAGCTGAAATGGACATAGTCTTTGAAAGCCATCAACCGTCAAAGCTCAGTCAAGAGAAAATATACAACCCAAATAGCCCTATTTATATTAAAGGTATTGAATTTTTAATTAAAAAATTTTCAATAAATAAATCTCAATGCCAAAGTGGCTTTCACTGGTGAGTTGTACCAAACATTTACAGAAGAAATAATATGACTACTACATGAACACACTGTAATCCCAAACATTAAGGAAGTGAAATACTTTCCACTCATTTGATGAACTGAACACTATCTTAATATAAAAAATACACGGAAACAATATATGATAAAAATACTACAGACAAATATGCCCTATAATTACAAATACAAAACCAAAAGAGATGAATAAATTTTAGCAATCTGGATCCAACTGAATCACATAAAATGGTAATAGATCATGATCAAGTAAAGTATATCTCAGGAATGCATGATTGGTATAGCATTAGAAAATCAATGTAATTCACAATATTAACAAAGTAAAATAGAAAACTATCTGATCACTTCAGTAGATATAGACAAAGAATTTGACAAAATCCAGTACCCATTCATAGCAAAACAACAACAACAACAACAACAACAAAAACCTCCCAGCAAAAACTAGGCATAGATAGAAATTTTCTCAAGTTGATAAAAAGCATACAGAAACATACAACTGTCATCATTCTTAATAGTGAAATACAGTTTTATTTTTCAGAAACAAGACAGAGAGTGGTGTCAGTAAGCTGGCAGAGTAGGTCCCCACTTATATCCACCCCCCGCAACAATACTTTTACATCTATCCAAGGACAAAATTGCCTTTGTGCAGTCTTTGGGTTTTAGGTAGGAAATTGTGAACCACTGGTCGAAAAGATCTAGGAGACCTGTTTTGAGAGGGCAAACCTGTGCCCAGGTGGCAGGCTCACTGACTTTGGTCCTGACTGCAGACCAAGAAATGATCCCATCCCCTCTGTGGAATTGACCACAGTCCTGTTTGGACTTGGCCCTGCAAACAGAACCATCTACCAAAGAAGCCAGGGGGAGTCATGCCCTTTTGCACCTCTGGTGACAAGTCTGCCAATCTTGATCCCAGCTGTTAACTCTGAAATGGTTCTGTAACTCAGCTTTAGCCCTTCTCAGCTGCAATCTGAGAGCAGTCCTATGCATACAAGTACCCAGAGGCAGACATACCCATCTGTGTTCCTGGAATAGACTTGCAGACCTCATTCCATCAGTGGCCCTGTAACTAAGCTCCAGTCATTCTCAGCTATAACCTTAGAGAAGTCCTGCTTGACCAGGGACCCAGAGAGATATATGCCCATCCAGATCCCTGAATGCAGGCCTGTGTACCTACATTTTGACTGTGGACTCTGAAGCATCTCTGTAACTTGGTTCCAGTACTCCTCAACTGTAGTCCAGGGCCATCACTGCCTGTCTAGGCACAACCCAGTGACCCAGCAGGAGCCCACTAATAGAACCAGAAGCCACACACACACTTGTATCTGATAACAGCTCTGTTATTTGTGGACACTGAAGTAAACTTTTATCCTAGCACCAGTTTTAATAAACAAGGTCCTAAAGGCAGTCTAGTTTACCTAGGGAACATACAGGATCCACATCCACTTTAGTCTCCCATTACAGGCTGACACCACTGTGGATCCAGCAGCAGCCACTTGACCCAGATCCAACTCCAGTTGGCTGCAGTTTCAGAGCCAATCCCATTAGCCTGGGGATCCAAAAGGAGAAAGTCTTTAGTTTATAAAGCAGATATATTTTTCTGCTTTTTTTTTCAATGGAGGTCTTCCCAAGCATCTAGAAATTGAATTGAAATTCTATTAAATTTTTTGAAATGATTTGAATTTTATTAGGCTAAACTTGTCTTTAGTCAAATAGCATATCATGGAGCTAAGACTTGAACACAGCTCTGTCTTATGTAGGTCCCAACCTCCTAATATATATGTTGCACTTATTTTACTAAATAGAATAATAATGTGGGAAGAGTTTGAACATTCAGTAAAGCATAAAGGTAACTAGTTTAGAATATTTTTGGAAAAAGACAGATGAGCATTGGACTTAACATCACTGATCTTTCTACTAGATCTACCCTGTCCCAACTCTGAACCTCATCTTCCTAACTACGTTGAAAATTCACAACACCCTGCTTTTCCTCACTCTCTGTGGGTGACGCCAACTGCCTAGTCAGGCCCAGTGAAAGAATTTAGATGCCTTGATTGCCAGTGTAGAATTCACTGGTCATTTTTGTTCTTCTCAGTGGGAGCCTCTGACTGCCGCTGTTTCCAGTTGGCGATCTTGGCCCCTGCCCCACTTTATTCTCTTTTATTATTTTTTTCTTTTGGTGCCTACTTACTGTGTATTTTCAAATAACCAGCCTTCAAGATTACCAATCTTTTCTTCTACTTAATAAATTCTGCTGTTAAAAGGCTTTGATATATTTTTCAGTATGCCAGTTACACTTTTCAGCTCCAGCATTTCTGCTTGATTGTTTAAAATTATTTTATTTTATTTATTTATTATTATTATTATTATACTTTAAGTTTTAGGGTACATATGTACAATGTGCAGGTTGGTTACATATGTATACATGTGCCATGCTGGTGTGCTGCACCCATTAACTCGTCATTTAGCGTTAGGTATATCTCCTAATGCTATCCCTCCCCCCTCCCCCTATTTTAATCTGTTAAATTAATCTGATAAAATTCTAGATTTCTACTCCGTGTTCTCTTGAATTTATCTGAGTTTCCTCAAAACAGCTATTTCAAAGTATCTGTCTGAAAGATCATATATCTCTGTTTCTCCAGGATTGGTTCCTAGTGCCTTATTTAGTTATTTTGTTGAGGTCATTGTTTCCTGTATCTTCTTGGTACTTGTAGATATTCATCTGTGTCTGGGGGTATTGAAGAGTTAAGTGTTTATTTTAGGTTTTGCGGTCTGGGCTTGTTTGTACCTCTCTTTCTTGGGAAGGCTTTCCAGGTATTTGAAAGGACTTGGGTGTTGTGATTTAAGCTGTATCTGCTATAGCAGACACCTCACTCCAGTATCCTGTGGTTCTTGCAGACTCATAGAAGGATAGCTTTGATGGTTTTGGGCAAGATTCAAAAGAATTCTCTGAATTACCAGGCAGAAACTCTTGTTCTCTTCTCTTACTTTCTTTCACAAAATGGAGTCTCTATCTCTGTTCTGAGCCACCTGGAGCTAAGGATGGAGTGACGCAAGCACCCCTGTGGCCACTAACCCTAGGACAGTGCTGGGTCAGACCTGAAGTTACCACAGCACTGAGTCTCCCAGAAGGTCTGCTGTAATCACACTCTCTGGCTATGACTATCTTCACTCAAAGCCCTGGGGCTCTAAAATCAGTGGGTGGCAAAGCCAGCCAGGCCCATGTCCTTCTCTTTAGGGCAGTAACTTCCCCCAACCCTTAACGGGTAGAGAGGTGTCATCTGGGGACCAGGGACTAGAGTAAAAAACTTCAGAAGTCTACCTGCTGTTCTACTGTACTGTGGCTGAGCTGGCACTCTCTACACTTTATTCTCCTTTCCAAAGGCAGAGGAGTCTCTTCCCATTGCCACCACCACCTCAACACATGTGGAGTACTGATAGACTACTGACAATGTTCCCTTAAGGTCCGAGAGCTCTTCAGTCAGCTTGTGGGGTATGCTGCCTGGCCTGGGACTCACTGTTCATGGCATTGAGTTTCCCTCTGGCTTAGGGCAGGTCTAGAAATGCCATCCAAGAGTCAAGTCCTGGAACTAGGGACCCTAAGAGCCCACTTTGTGCTCTACCTCCCTGTAGCCAACCTTGAACCTAAGTTGCAAGACACACTCTCCAATACTTTTTTCTTCACTTTTATCGACCAGAAAGAGACTTGTCCTGTAGCCGCCACAGCTGGGAATGTGATGAGTCTCACCTGAAGCCATCAAGTTTCAGGTTTATGCAAGGCCCTCAATGTAGTACCTGGGCATTGCTGCCAGTTATTCAGGGCACAAGGTTTTTTCAGTTAGCAGGTGATAAATTCTCCCAGGACTGTTTTCTTCCCTTTAAGGCAGTCAGTGGGTTCCCTTTTGGCCAAGGTTAGGTCTAGAAATGTCCTAGAGCTAGGACCTGAAAATGGGGCCTTAGATTTCTGACTGGAACCCTATCCTGCTGTGGCTTAGCTGGTATCCAAGATGCTAGACAAAGTCCTCCCCACTTTGCCATCTTCTCTCTTTAAACCAAAGGACAGTGTCTCTTTTGGAGTCTTGAGCTGTGCAGCCTGAGTTTAGAGGAAGGGTGATGCCAGCACTCCCTTAGCTGCCCCTGCTGATGTCTAAGTAGCTCGCATCCCCCACCACCAACATTCACTGTCTGTGGGCCCAGTTCAGCCCTAGGATACACCTAGGTGTTGCAGTCCTCGTGGTTTAGATTGGGTTTCAAGTTTATTTGGGGCCTCAGAGGATTTTAGTCAGCAGTGGCTAGGCTTGTGAGAACTGCTGGGATTGGCAATTTCCCTCTGGCTAGGGCTGATTTAAATGCTCCCTCTGTGGGTGGGCATTACCTGTGTTTGATCCAGTTTTGCTTTCTGCTATAACAAGGGCAGTGCTCAACTAGAGGCCTCACAATTGCTGGCTATTACTCCCTTAACACACAGTAATGCTTTCTGTACCAGGCTGCCTCTGCTGGTAGACAGGAGAGGGGTGGCATCAGTGATTTAAGACTGTTTTTCCTATCTCTTCAGTGCCTCTCTCAGTGATATAAAGTTAAAACTAGATACCGTGAGTACTCACCTGATTTTTGGTTCTTATGAAGGCAGTTTTTGTGTGTATAGATAGTTGTTAAATTGGGGTCCTTGCTGAAGGGATGATCAGTGGGGCCTTCTATTCTGCCATCTTGCTCCGCCCCAAAAACTCATTATAGATCTTATTTTTTTTACATGACTGGTAATTTTTGATGCCAGATATTACTATTTTAGATTGTTTGATGCTTGATATTTTTGTATTTCTAGACGTTTGTTCTGTGATGCAGTTAAGTCACTTGAAAACAATTTGATCCTTTTGTTTGGTGCATCTAAAGCACTTTGCAGTCTAGGGTTAATTATTTCCCATTACTGAGGTGAAATCCTTCTGTTTGCTCTACCCAATGTCTTGTAGATATTCAGGTTTAGCTGGCAGCAAGAGTCACTGTCGTGGGGCCTATGTGAATGCAGAGAATTCTAATCCTCTGGAAATTGTTTCTAATGTCTTGGATAGTTTCCTCACAGTCACACACTCATTTGAACACGTGAGGGCAGCTGTCTCTTCTCTAGAACTGTATTCTGTAAACACTGGTCACCTTAATTTACCTGGATTCTCAGATCTTTCTTCTCAACTCAGGGAATTCACTGGATTCTATATGAGCTCCCTCTACTTGTGGTTGGGAAACTGTCCCAAGGAAGTAAGCTAAAACAATCTTATTTGTTTGCACTCTCTCAAGGTTTACTGTCTTTGATTGCCAGATATTCAACATCTAAAAATTTCTTGTTGCATATATTTTGTCTTTATTTGTTGGTTCGTATGGGAGGAGAAATATGGTTCTATTATTTCAATGTATTTGGAAGCAAATGTCTTGTGGACAGGTTAAAAGTAATGAGCAATAAAAAAGTCTTTGGCATCTGGGAATGTCAGAGCTCATTCAATAATTTGCCCTTTAAAGGTGGAATTTGATTACAGAGTCAAAAGTCTATATATTCACTGAACATCATTTTACTATTTTGTAAACAGATTTCATGTTGTTAGTATAGCCAATCCACCGTAGATATTAAATTTATAGACATTCCTTAATGCAACTTCAATAAAGGTTAGGTTTTAAACTTCAGGGGTTTTCAAAGCAACAAAGCATTCCAGAAAATGTTTGCTGCTTTTTACCATCCATCTTTTTCACACAATATTATTCATTCACAGGGTGGGAGAGTTTACCATTATTTCCTTTGACATCTGGTCACATAATTTAGGTCTACAAATAGAAATCAAAATTCAGAATTGAGTCTGTTATCTAAATTATTCTGCCTCCAGTTCCTCTGTACCCTCAAACCTAAATGGAATCTAAAATGTATGTGTGACATATTCATAAATATAAAAGCAGAATATTTGAGAGGCTTTCAACAAAATAGTTAAAATTATTGCCTTATAATTTCTAGCTTTATTCCTCAATGTATGGTACTGTTTCAGGTGTTGTGAGAATATTAAAAATAGCTTATGAGGGAAAAATATATATAAAGAGAAATACTACATGTTTACTGCTGAAGAAATGTTGATTAAGGAATCTCTTGAGTATGCTAAGAATTGGGCAAAGAATGAAATCAGTGAAGTAGAGTTTCATATAGGGTTGATTATTATAATTTTTTTCTTAACCAAATTGTTGCAAATTGATTTAGAAAAATAGAGAGCATTCCAGACATTGGCAATAACATGAATGAAGGCATGGTGGCAGGAGGGAACAAGATGTATTAATAAGAAGGGTGATTTGGCTGAAGAAAGAAAGAAATTAGAAATAAATTTTTGAAAAATATGTGAATTCGAAAACAAATCTATGGAGAATTTTGTATTTAGTCTAAAGGCTTAAGCATACATAACTTTCATTTCCAGAAAGTAAAGTGAAGTAGATAAACTTACCAATTCTTACTCTGAAAACAATAAACACAGAAACCTGGATTAAAAATTACATATAATAGCCTTCTGGTTTGGAACAAGATGGCATAGATTTATTTCTTCCAGCTTCTCTTCACTTAGTACAAGTAAAAAGCCTAAAGATAACATAATAGACAGTCGTAGAATAACCTGAATGATGAAAACGGGAAGCAGACTGCCTGGGGGACCCCAGGGCTTGAGTGAAAGCACGGCAACTCAGTGTCTCCTGATCACCTTCTCAGAGCCAGAAGCAAAATCAGACCCAAAGTCTCCCAACCCTCCAAGAGACAGGAAGCATAGCAGGCCCAGTGTCTTCATACAGCGGTACCCCTACTGGCACTGAACAGCCTAAAAAAGCAGGACCTTGGAAACTCTCCCTTTTTTTATTTAGTTCCAGCTACTCCCAACCTCTACCTTGCAGCACCCAGTGGCCTAGAGTAGCACAGTCCGCCCCTGCAATCAACACCAGGAGAAATCAATAGGGAACTTCACCAGTAAAGGGTGGGTGGGTGGAGCTGACTGACAACATGTTCTATGTGTTTTATCAGGCCCCGCTGTCTCCTGGTCCCACTTAGGGACACCAGGCCTAGGAAAGCACATTTAAAGAAGAATTAACACCATCTTTTACACAATCTCTTTCAGGAAAGAAAAGAGGATGGGAGACTTTCTAACTCATTTTATGAGATCCCTTACCAAAATAAGACACTTACAATTCCCTTACCAAAATAAGACACTAGCAATACAAAAAAATAAAAATAAAATAAAAAATAAAACTTCAGTCTCTCTCATGAGCATAGACTCAAAATACCTCAACAAAATATTAACCAAGTATTGTGTAAAAGTGGTGTGAAATATTCTTTAAATGTTTGGTACAATTCTCCAGTGAAACCATCTGGGCCTAGAGAAATATTTCTTGAAAGCTTTTTAACTACACATGTAATTACTTTAAAGGTAGTGGGGCTATTCAGATTATTCATTTGTCTTGTTGAATTTGTTAGCTTGCAGTGTTGAGGAACTGGCTCATTTCTTCTAAATTGTTAAATTTATGAGCCTAAAGGTGCTCATAGTATTGCCTTATTATCCTTTTAATGGCTGCAGGATTTGTAGTGATATCTACTGTTTTATTCCTGGTATTGCTAGATTGTGCTTTCCCAGTTTTTTTCAATCTTGTTAAAAAGTTTATCAATAATATTGTTATTTAAGTAAAACCAGATTTCTTTGTTGTTTCCTCTGTCAATCTTCTATTTTTAATTTAATTGATTTCTGCACTTATCTTTATTATTTCCATCTTTCTGCATGCTTAAGTCTACTTTGCTTTTTCTATTTTTTGGTAGTGGCTGAGATAAATGTGATGCAGGGTCTCAAATTAAAAAATCTCAGCCACTACCAAAAAAAAGAAAAAGCAAAGTAGACTTAAGCCATAATATAACATGTTTTAAAATCCAGAAGTCAGTAAAACGAAAAAAAAAGTTGATGTTTTCAACAGTAGTGAAATGAGGTGTGCAGTATAATCTGAATGATCTGAACAAATACTCTGACAAACAGATCAATTATATCTTATTTTCCCGAAATCTGCTGTAAAAGTGAATGTTTGAGTTATCTTGATTTATTTAAATTCTCCACCATATATCTATAGCATTGATAACTTTGAAGACTTAAAATAATTCAAAGACATATTATTTAAACATAATATGTAATGAGAAAAAGAAAAAACTGAGACAAGTAAATAGAGAAGACAAAAGAATACCCCATGGTGTTTGCACCAAAAATAGTAGAGAAGATTATAAGGCCAAACAAATGATCAGAAATGCAAAACTTAACAAGGCTAAGTAAGAATAGGACTGATAAGGAAATATAGGAGCACAAAACATAAGACAAAGATGAGATTCAGTTTATATAAGAAAACATTTGATGAAGATGATTTTTAAAAATTATAAGGACAAGGAAGACTTATTCAAGGATGAGGGTAAGACAGTGCAATCTAGTAGTTATTAATGCTTGCCAGGACTAGACTCGTGATTCACCACTTATTAGATGTGAGAAGTAGGGAAATTTACCTATCTTCTTTGAGCCTCAGTTTCCTTATCTCTAAAGTGGGAAATAATAGACTTTATAATTTTATAAGAATATTGTAAGGATTAAGTGAGGTAATGTGTAGTCATTTAACATAATGCTTACACATAGGAAACAAGGAATACTATATATTATTATAAATCTGGTCACATCCTTATATGACTCAACATACATATTGAGCATCTATGAAATTATCTTTACAATTCTCTAAATTTTTTTCTTACTGTTTTAAAGATCCTTATCCAGTACTGTTCCAAAATTACTATATAAAGGATCTCATTTTCTGATGTTAATCTAATACCTTCTAATTTTCTTGTTCAATTTGTTCTACTATGGCCATTTCATATGCAAAAAAATGGGGCTCAGGGAAACTAAGTGAGTGGTCTGAAGTCACACAGATGGTACATGGTGAAACTGTGTAGGTAATTATTACTTGATGAGAAAATAAATTCAAGAAAGCAGGGAATTAGAATTCCTCAAAACCTTACATGTTCAACTATGATCAGATAATCGGAAAAAGCAGCACATCTATAAAGGGGTAAAACGTCAAACTTGATTCATAAAATATATATATATATATATATATATATATTTCCTGTTACCTAGACAGCCCAAGTTCAGCAAGCCTGAATTTCTTTTGTTAGTGATTGTTGAGAAATGCCTTGACTATTGGTCAATTAAAAACTGTAAACCTATAAAAGGATATAAGGCATCTGTTAAGACTAGAAATGTGTTGGCTTTCTGAGTTAGTTCACGTAAAATTGTATGAGTTCAATGTATTTTCAGTTAGAGGATGTGGTATTATGACTGGTCCTATCAGTATTAACTGAGGAGTTATTTTTTCAAATTACACATATGAAAGGATTCGAGCATGTAGCAATTTAAAATAAATCTTAGAATGCAACTTAGATGTGCAAAAGGACCAAATTTCTATAAGTGATATTATTTTTCAACTTGTACCTTTGATTTGCTCTGTGGCTTTATACTTAATCTTGTTAATTCAGGGTAAATAAAATCAGATAACTTAAGATTTTCTCGTGTATTTCAGGGTAAATCCATTATATTTGTGGTTTCCCTTACCTTTCCTCTAAATATACATTCTATTGGCCTAATTTCTTCAGACATTTCTCTTTTAAAAATCAAAAGCTGGCCAGGCACGGTGGCTCATGCCTGTAATTCCAGCACTTTGGAAGGCTGAGGTGGGTGGATCACCTGAGGTCAGGAGTTTGAGACCAGCCTGACCAACATGGTGAAACCTCGCTCTACTAAAAATACAAAAATTAGCCGGGCGTGGTGGCAGGCACCTGTAATCCCAGCTACTCGGGAAGCTGAAGTAGGAGAATCACTTGAACCCAGGAGGCAGAGGTTGCAATGAGCCGAGTTCGCGCCATTGCACTCCAGCCTAGGCAATAAGAGTGAAACTCTGTTTCCAAAAAAAAAAAAGAAAAAAGAAAAATCAAAAGCCAGTCATCTTGAGATTCAGAAACTTGTTCTTATAAGTTTCCGTCTCTCTTATGAACTTCAAATCCTATTTTGAAATCTATTTTGAGATTCAAAAGCTGAGAATTGAATCTTTCCTTTCTCTTTGAATTTCTATCATTATAACTGTACCCTCAAGGTAGTGAGTATGGAATGATGTACATACAATGGCATGAATGGGATAGAGTAGAAATAGCAAAAAGTAACAACAAGCATATTGTCATATTTTACAAATTTATCAAATAAAATTAAAGTATCTGCCTCATGTCCTTTCAACCAACAATGTGTTCTAGAAATAAACTTGAACAAGAAGATCAGGCTTTTCCTGTACTCAGACCTAGCAGAGCACATTGGTCTGCTGCTAATGGTTTACAGGTTTGTGGAGATATTGTACCCCTAAGTCCAGGGAGCTTCTGGCCATTAACAGCTACGCAAACATCTTATTTAAAAAAAAAAAAAAGATAGGGAGCATCGTCCCAAACTATCTTCTTTTCTATTCCTCTGTTTAATCTTTTTTAATAAATAAATGTCTATAGCAGCAAGCCTAGTCAGACCAGAGTAAGATGGGGTATGAAAAGTGTAAACCAATGAATAGGGAAGATAAACCAAGTTAAACTCAAACAGAAGAAAGGTGGTGCAGGTGAGGGTTGAAATCAGCCACAGTATCTCCATTTCAGAGACAGGACTCTAAACTTTGAAATTCTTGGAAATAGCAACGGAATTTAGAGTACCAGGAAAGAAGTCAGGGGAGTAGTTCATCAGGCCCAGTTATTAGAATTTGGGTGTGATCCGAGAGTAGGACCAACAGTAAGGTGAATGTTCCTGAGATACTAAATTACTGGACTAAAATTCTTCAGATTTTCTTGCTTTCATAAAATGGTCCTAGATTCCAGAGCAGAGATGGATTTCAGCAAGATTTAGTATTAGGGAGCAAGGTACACTGTTATATGCTATGGGAACAAATCCAAACAAAAATTCCTAAATATTGAGAAAAAGTGGCTTTTCCTATCCTAGGGATCTGTGATTATGCATGACTTCCTAATTAGGAATCAAGTCGGGAAGGACTGAAGACCCAGAGACTGTTACCTCTTACTAACGAGATCTCTGCTGTCTTAATCTGTTTAAGCTGTTATAACAAAGTGCCATAAACTATGTAACTTATAAAAAACAGAAATTTGTTTTTCTGAGCTCTGGAGGCTGGGAAGTCCAAGGTCAAGGCAGATTCTGTGTTTTGTGAGAGACTGCCTTCTGGGTCATAGATGACATCTTTTTGCTTTGTCCTCACATGGTGGAAGGGGTGAGGAGTTTTTCTCATTCTCTCCTAATAAGGGCACTAATCTCATTCATGTGGGCTCTGCCCCCATGATATAATCACCTTCAAAGACCACTAACTCCTAATACCATCACCCTGGGGGGTAAGATTTCAACAAATAAATTTTTGGAAGGGTGAGAAATATTCATATCATAGCATCTACTGATGTATTTTAAATATTCTCTTTGTTTCATTACAAATCAACAATAAAGTGAAAAAATACTTGAGACTAAAACATACAATATTTCTCTGATATACCCGTCACATGAAAAAAGCTTGTAATATCAAAATTATGCAGGCCAAACAGCAAACCTCATCTTTATCCTCACAACTCATCACCCCAAATGCCAAGATTCCTAGGCTTTCTACCCTCCGCAATGCTCTGTACTTCCTTGCCTATGACTGAAGCAACTATCCCCCTTTCCAAAATCATTTTACTAAACCCTCCGTAAATATTCCTTGCTCCATATTTAGCAAACCATCCTATATACTACTCAGAATACAGGTGAGCACTACAAAAAAAAAATGCTCCACCATCTTATTATCTTAACTGAATCCTAGCTCTCCTCTGAGATCACTTCCCCTACAGTATTCTAAAGTGAAGTTTTTAATTTTCTCACAACACAGTTTGTTGCTGTTCTCGTTTCATCCTAAAAGTTTTGCCTTCATCCTGGATGACTCTCATACCTACAGGAATCATCTATGTAATAATACCAAGACCTCTCATTTCTTCAACTAATACCAATATATTTTTTTTCTCAACACCATGTGAGTCAGCTATTTTCACAATGATGACTTGAACCTCACCATTATTCACAACTGCTCTAACAAAAGTATTATTAACCCAAGACTTGTCTTTTCTGGTTTCAATCTGCTATCCTTCCAGCTTGCCTGTTTGACTATTTCCCTTGTGATCATATCTCAGGATCATGGAGAATTCTGGTGTATTTATTCCTATACTTTTTTCTTATTCACTCAGTACTTCCTTTTGTAACTTGGCTGTTTATCCAGCATAGATTTTATATATAGCATAAAGAGTAGCTTATTAGTAGTATTAAAATGGCCCAGCATTTCAGTAATATCCAGCCAATTATTTCCAGTGCAAGTTTATACTTACTAGCTTTATGTAAGACTTCAAGACTACACTGTGTCCTTACTATGGTTCACTGCTCAAGTGACTGTATTGAAACTTCTCTATTATCTGCAAACCTCTTTGCCCATGCAGAAAATGAGGGAAGGGGTCAGAAATTTTAAAATAGAGGGTACGAGGAAACTCACAGAAGAAAGTTTTATTTTTCACAGCAGAAAACCTACACATTTATTTAAATCTTATAACAGCTATTATCCTTCTCTCCAACTAAGACAAAGGAGCTGTCTTTTATGCCATCTAAAGTGAATCCCGCCACATTATTTATGCTCACAGTCTCCATTTCTCTATTTCCCCACTCATCCACTTCAATTTAGCTTTTTGCCCCATCCCTCCCTAAAAATAAATCTCATTATGTCACCAATATGGCTACATAAACTTTACAGCTCACAGTTTATTTGACCTCTTATCGATATTTGCTGTTGAACTGTGCAACCTTTTTTGAAACACATTTTTCTCTCAGCTTCCACGAGACAGTACTTATCTGTTATTTTCCTTCTGTGTTTCTTTGCAGGCTCATCTTCCTCTTCCCAGCCTTTGTATGTTATAATTAATCAAGGTTTGTTTATAAACTTTACTGGCTTCTCAATCTATAATCTTTCTTGTGGCTTCAATTAGTACATATCCCAAGTGAGTAAAATAGAGATATATTCATCTGAGACATTTGTGATCCAAAGCAGCATATTCAACTACTTGTTCTACATCATTCTTTTACTATTTTAAAGGTACTTCAGATCGATGCTGAACACATACCCCCCTCCTCTCTCTCTCTCTGTCTCTGTCTCTCTCTTTCTCTCTCTCACACACACACAAAAACTCTGCCCCCCGCCCCCCCAGCATATATAGTCCTCTATAAAGATCCTCTGTTTTAAAGAATGAAACATCCAAGCATCAAGTTGTAAAAGCAAGAAATTAAAATGCATTTTTGACATTATCCCACTCACACCCCATAGCTAATCCAGAACTAAGTTCTCACAGACTTTACTTCCCAAATCATTCATAAACATTCAGTTCTCTTTACCTCCACTGCTACCACCCTAATACAAACCAACATCATCACTTGATTGAATTTCACAACTTTCTAAATTTTTCCTATCATATTCACTATCTCTGCCTTTCTAGCGACTTTCAAATGCTGCCAAAAATTGTAATGCTAACCTTATCAGTGGCTCCTCTTTCAATTTAATATTTTTCAATGTTTTCTTATTGCTCTTAGGTAAAGATTAAAACTCCTTAACATTTCAACAAATCTCTCTGTGCTTTGGGCTTCACCTATTTTTCAAATACTTTTTTTTTTTAATTACACTTCTCTATCTTTCTGTAATTCAGCTACACAGGGCTTTATCAGGCCTTTCTGCCTGCCATATTCCCTCACAACACAAGGACTTTGTACATGCTATCCTTTGTTTTATTGAACATTTTATCCCATGGTCCTTCAAGTCTCCCAGCAGAACTCAGGTCAAATTTCTTTCTAATACTCCTTACTTCTTCCTAGAATCCATCTTAGTTTGTAGTTTTTCTTTGTGTTGTTACTACTGCCTGGAATTTTGTCTAGAGTCTAGATTCTAGCTCTGTAAGAGCATTTTTGCTTCTACTCACTAGGCATATTTCCAATGCCTAGTGAATAATTGTTGAATAAATGACTGAATGGATACTTTATCAGCACAACTGTGATATTCACCAAATAGGAGTTTAGTTCTTTTGTCCACACCTTTCCATGTCTTTTTTTTCCTCACCAGTGGTACAATGTCCTCATTTTCCTTAGACACTCAGTGCTCTCAAAAACTTTCTCTTATATATTTTTTCCTAGTTCTAAAATTTTAGTTCTCATATGATAAGCTCATTTAAACTTAAGAATCACAGGCTGCTAAGACTCAATAGTTTTCTCCACCCAACTGGAATTACATTTTAAAAATGGATTAAATCTTATAAGTAAAGCAGAAATCTTCTATTATGGGATTTCTTCTATTAGTCAACCAAGTGAAAAAGGGTTCTGAACCAGAGGTCTACCAAAGAGACAGTCTTTTCCTTACTCTATTACTGTGAGATCCATTTCTTGTTTATAGTATAAATATAAGCTCATTTGGTAATTGTCTAGAAAATAGTTCGCAACATTTTTTAAACTGAAGTTTTAAAAAATTAAATTTTGCTAATATATCAGAGCTGAGAATGACCTAAATATTTTCCAGTTCCACATAAATGTAATATGTTTGTTTTCACATTTTAACTAACTTGAGTGGTAATTATTGTTGAAGTGGTTATTGTCAAGAAAGTATATAAATTATGTCAATAGCTATATATAGGTGTATATATTCAGATAGATAGTACATAATTGATTTTATAATATATATGTTAATAATGAGAACAAATTATCATAACATTCCTTTCTCCCTTGTATCCCAAAGAGGAATAACTTCTCTTGAGAACCATAGACCCAATGAAAGACTTAGCACTGGAGATGACAAATTAATCCTGGCTTCCATGACTTGTAGGAGGCTGTACATTTTATTCACTGGGAAATATAATTTCTGCATTGACCTAGAATACAAAAAGAAATCCACAAGTTGTTGAGATTCTGATTGATATACAGCTGCATTAAAATGAGAGACAATGTAGTACTGTTTGCCTGTTTTCTTTCAGTCACCACAGAGTAATAAAGGAAACATATTTTTTAATTACCATTTCTTACTAGAATGTTGAAATATTAGCCTCCAGATACCCATTTAAAAGCCTGAAACCAGATGGTGGAAAATATCAAACTGAATCAAAGTAAAGGGGAGAACAACATGACTAAAGTGATTTGGAGACATCTGATGCATGGAAACGGAGCATAATAAAGACTCCAAGAGAAAAAAAGACAAGGCAGAACTCAACTACTAACATCTCTAAAACCTCAGATATATTTCAGAAAATGATATCAAGTCAATAATGAGCAAATTCACATTTTATTTCACTGGATGACTAGAAATCATAAGCTGTAGTTTCCAGCATTAGATGTGAAATTGCTTCTTTAAGTATAAGTGATTTTGACACCTTAAATTTCCATGGTGGCTTTCTTCTTCTTTTTTTTTTTGAAGGCGTCATTTTATTTGAGACTCAAAACCACATTAAGCATTTTTTAGATATACTTTAAGTTCTGGGACACATGTGCAGAACATGCAGGTTTGTTACATAGGGATACATATGTCATGGTGGTTTGCTGCACCTAACAAGCCGTCATCTATGCTAGGTATTTATCCTAATGCTATCCCTCCCCAACACCCCCACCCCCAACAGGCCCCGGTGTATGATGTTCCCCTCCTGGTGTCCATGTGTTCTCACTGTTCAACTCCCACTTATTACTGAAAACATGTGGTATTTGGTTTTCTGTCCCTGCGTTAGTTTGCTGAGAATGATGATTTCCATCTTCATCCATGTCCCTGAAAAGGACCTGAACTCGTCATTTTTTATGGCTGCATAGTATTCCATGGTGTCTATGTGCCACATTTTCTTAATCCAGTCTATCATTGTTGGACATTTGGCTTGGTTCCAAGTCTTTGCTATTGTAAATAGTGCTGCAATAAACATACGTGTGCGTGTGTCTTTATAGCAGCATGATTTATAATCCTTTGGGTGTATACCCAGTAATGGGGTGGCTAGGTCAAATGGTATTTCTAGTTCTAGATCCCTGAGGAATCACCACACTGTCTTCCACAGTGTTTGAACTAATTTACACTCCCACCAACAGTGTCAAAGCATGCCTAAGTTCTCCACATTCTCTCCAGCATCTGTTGTTTCCTGAAAAATATGGAACGTGTCACGAATTTGCATGTCATCCTTGTGCAGGGGCCATGCTAATCTTCTCTGTATCGTTCCGATTTTAGTATATGTGCTGCCCAGGCCAACACAAACATTTTCTTTTTTTTTTATTGTTATACTTTAAGTTTTAGGATACATGTGCACAACATGCAGGTTAGTTACATATGTATACATGTGCCATGTTGGTGTGCTGCACCCACTAACTCGTCATTTAACATTAGGTATATCTCCTAATGCTATCCCTCCCCCCTCCCCCCACCCCACAGCAGGCCCAGGTGTATGATGTCCTTCCTGTGTCCCTCTTCCTGTGTCCATGTATTCTCATTGTTCAATTCCACCTTTGAGTGAGAATATGCAGTGTTTGGTTTCTTGTCCTTGCAATAGTTTGCTGAGAATGATGGTTTCCAGCTTCATCCATGTCCCTACAAAGGACATGAACTCATCATTTTTTATGGCTGCATAGTATTCCATGGTGTATATGTGCCACATTTTCTTAATCCAGTCTATCATTGTTGGACATTTGGCTTGGTTCCAAGTCTTTGCTATTGTAAATAGTGCTGCAATAAACATACGTGTGTGTGTGTCTTTATAGCAGCATGATTTATAATCCTTTGGGTGTATACCCAGTAATGGGATGGCTAGGTCAAATGATATTTCTAGTTCTAGATCTCTGAGGAATCACCACACTGACTTCCACAATGGTTGAACTACTTTACAGTCCCACCAACAGTGTAAAAGTGTTCCTATTTCTCCACATCCTCTCCAGCACCTGTTGTTTCCTGACTTTTTAATGATTGCCATTCTAACTGGTGTGAGATGGTATCTCACTGTGGTTTTGATTTGCATTTCTCTGATGGCCAGTGATGATCAGCATTTTTTCATGTGTCTTTTGGCTGCATAAATGTCTTCTTTTGAGAAGTGTCTGTTCATATCCTTCACCCACTTTTTGATGGTGTTGTTTGTTTTTTTCTTGTAAATTTGTTTGAGTTCATTGTAGATTCTGGATATTAGCCCTTTGTCAGATGAGTAGATTGCAAAAATTTTCTCCCATTCTGTAGGTTTCCTGTTCACTCTGATGGTAGTTTTTTTTGCTGTGCAGAAGCTCTTTAGTTTAATTAGATCCCATTTGTCAATTTTGGCTTTTGTTGCCATTGCTTTTGGTGTTTTAGACATGAAGTCCTTGCCCATGCCTATGTCCTGAATGGTAATGCCTAGGTTTTCTTCTAGGGTTTTTATGGTTTTAGGTCTAACATTTAAGTCTTTAATCCATCTCGAATTAATTTTTGTATAAGGTGTAAGGAAGGGATCCAGTTTCGGCTTTCTACATATGGCTAGCCAGTTTTCCCAGCACCGTTTATTAAATAGGGAATCCTTTCCCCATTTCTTGTTTTTCCTCAGATTATGAGCCCTCTGGCCAGGCGATCTTCTTCTGTATACCTTTCAGAATCTTCTTATGTTTGTTTGGTTTGTAATTTCCCAGGTTTTCAGCTATACTTAGTGGGAGAAATAGGAAAATGTGTGACAATTAATTTTTACAGAAGCAGAATTCAGAATCCATTTGATTCTTATGGTGGTTATCAAATTGCAAACAAGGAGGTGTAAGTGGATTTAATGTTGCTGATTGTAACCCATATACACCTTATCTTACTTTCCTTGTTTGAATAATGCACAAAAATAAATTTCAATGCCTCGAAAATATAATCAACCTCATACTTTTGAAGATACTGCTCATGTAGTTTTTGATTACAAAAATAATGCTTCATTACTGCCTTGCAAGTAAATTTTACAAAAATACAGATTTACCTAAGCAGAATAAATCTTTAGGATCTAAGCTTCTGTGTGAATTTTTAAATAGCTCTTCTAGTTCTGGAAACAATATCATTGGTAGTGTGATAGGAATGCACTGAATCTATAAATTGCTTTGGACAGCATGGTAATTTTAATGATATTGATTCTTCTTATTCATGAACATGAGATATTTTTTCATTTGTTTATGCTATCTCTAATTTCATTGAGCAGTGTTTTTTATGTATCATTGTAGAGATCTTTCACCTTCCTGGTTAGCTGTATTCCTAGGTATGTTTTTCTTTTTGCAGCAAATGTGAATGGGGTTGCTTTCCTGATTTGGCTCTTGGCTTGGCTGTTGTTGGTGTATAGGAATGCTACTACATTTTTTTACATTGATTTTGTATCCTGAAACTTTGTTGAAGTTGTTTATCAGCTGAAGGAGCATTTGGGCTGAGACTATGGGGTTTTCTAGGTATAGAATCATGTTGTCTGCAAACAGGGATAGTTTCACTGTGTTCCTATTTAGATGGCCTTTATTTTCTTGTTTTGCCTGATTGTTCTGGCCAGGACTTCCAGTACTATGTTTAGTATGAGTGGAGACAGGGGGCATCCTTGTCTTATGCCAGTTTTCAAGGTGAAAGCTTCCAGCCTTTCCCCATTCAGTATAATGCTGGCTGTCGGTTGCTCCCAGATGGCTCTTATCTCGAGGTATATTCCTTTAATACCTAGTTTACTGAGATTTTTTTACATAAAGTGATGTTGAATTTTATCAAAAGCCTTGTCTACATCTATTGACATAATCATGGGGTTTTTGTCTTTAGTTCTGTGTATGTGCTAGATTACATGTATTGATTTGCATATGTTGAACCAACCTTGCATACCTGACATGTCTATTTGATTGTGGTGGATTATCATTTTGATGTGCTGCTGGATTCGGTTTGCAAGTATTTTGTTGAGAATTTTTGCATCAATGTTCATCAAAGATACGGGCCTGAAGTTTTTTGTTGTTGTGTCTCTTTCAGGTATTGGTGTCAGGATGATGCTGGCCTCACAGAATGAGTTGAGGAGGAGTCCCTCCTACTTAATTTTTTGAAATAGTTTTAGTAGTAATGGTACCAGCTCTTTTTTGTACATCTGGTAGAATTTGGCTGTGAATCAGTCTGGTCCTGGCTTCTTTTGGTTGATAGGTTATTTATTACTGATTCAGTATTGGATCTCATTATTGATATTCCTGGTTCAGTCTTGGTAGGGTGCATGTGTCCAGGAATTTATCCATGTCTTCTAGGTTTTCTAGTTTGTGGGCATACAGGTGTTCATAGTAGTTTCTAATGGTTATGTTTATTTCTATGGGGTCAATTGTAACATCTTCTTTCTCATTTCTAATTGTGTTTATTTGCATCTTCTCTCTTATCTTCTTTATTAGTCTAGCTAGTGTCCTATATATCATACTGATTTTTTTCAAAAGAATAAAAAACAACTCCTGGATTCAGTGATCTTTTGAATGTTTTTTATGTCTCAATTTCCTTCATTTCAGCTCTGATTTTGGTTATTTCTTGTCTTCTGCTAGATTTGGGGTTGATTTGCTCTGGAATCTCTAATTCTTTCCATTGTGATGTTAGGTTGTTAATTTGAGATCTTTCTAATCTTTTGATGTGAGAATTTAGTGCCATAAATATTTCCGTTAACACTGATTTAGCTGTGTTCCAGAGATTCTGTATGTTGTATCTTCGTTATTGTTGGTTTCAAATAACTTTTTGATTTCTGCCTTAATTTCATTCTTTACCCAAAAGTCATTCAGGACCATGTTGTTTAATTTCCATTCAATTGCATAGTTTTAAGTGACTTTTTTAGTCAGAACTTCTATTTCCCTTGCACTGTGGCCCAAGAGTGTGTTGAGTAAGATCTTGGTTCTTTTGCATTTGCTGCGGATTGTTTTATGTTTAATTGTGTGATAGATTTTAGCATATGCGTCATGTGTTGATGAGAAGAATGTATATTCTGTTGTTTTGGGGTGCAGAGTTCTGTAGAAATCTATCAGGTCTGTTTTGTCCAATATTGAGTTCAGGTCGTTGATATTTTTGTTAATATTTTACCTAGATGATCTGTCTGATACTGTCAGTAGAATGATGAAGTCTCACACTATTATTGTGTGGGAGTCTAAGCTTCTTTGTGTACCTTTAAAAACATGCTCTATAAATTTGGTTTCTCCTGTGTTACATGCATACAGATTTAGTGTGCTAATTTTATTTATTTTGGGTATATACCTAGCAGTATGATTGTTGGATCACACATTACCTCTATTTTTATTTTTTGAGGCATTTCTAAACTTTTCTCCACAGTGGTTGTATTAATTTACATTCCCACCAATAGCGTATGAGGGTTCCCTTTTCTCCACAGTCTGTCCAGTATTTTTTATTGCCTTTCTTTAGGATAAAAGCCATTTTAACTGGAGTGAGATGATATCTCATTATAGTTTTGATGTGCATTATTCTGATGATCATTGATGCTGAGCATCTTTTCATATACTTGCTTGCTATTTGAATGCCATTTTTGAGATATGTCTATTCAGATCTTTTGCCCAGTTTTGAATCCGATTATGAGATTTATATCCTATAAAGTTGTTTAAATTCCTTACATATTCTGGTAATTAATTCCTTGTCAGATGGACATTTTGGAAATATTTCTCCTATTTCATGAGTTTTCTTTTTTTTTTTTCTTGATTGTTTCCTTTGCTGTGCAGAAGCTTTTTGACTTAATTAGATACAATTTATCCATTTTACTTTGGTTGCCTGTGCTTGTGCAGTATTACTCAAGGTTCCTTTGCCCAGTCCAATGTCCTAGAGAGTTTCCCCAAGGTTTTCTCTTAGTAGTTTCCTAGTATGAGATCTTAGATTTAAGTCTTTTCTAATTTTTTTTTTATGTTTATTTTAGATCCAGGGATACCTATGAAGGTAAATGGCATGTCACAGAAGTTTGGTGTAAAGACTATTTTATCACCTTGATAATGAGCATCGTCCCCAATAGATAGTTTTTCAATAGTCACCTGCCTTTCTCCCTCCATATTCAAGTAGGCTTTTGTATCTGTTTTTCCCTTGTTTGTGTCCATGTGTGCACAATGTTTAGTTCCCACTTATAAGTAAAAACATATGATATTTGCTTTTCTCTCCCTGTATTCTTTCTCTTAGAGTAATGGCCAAAGGCTTCTTCCATGTTGCTGCAAAAATCATGATCTTGTTCTTTTTTATAACTGTGTAGTATTTCGTGGTGTATATGTACCACATTTTTTTAAAATCCAGTCTATCATGGATGGGCATTTAGGTTTACATCACTACTCACAGGAGCAGAGATTTAAGTTCTTAATCCATATTAATTATATTTTTGCATATGGTGAATGATAAGGGTCTAGTTCCATTCTTCTGCAGGTAGATATCCAGTTTTCCCAGAACCACTTATTGAAGAGATTATATTTTTCTCAATGTATGTTCTTGGCAACTTTGTTGAAAATAAGTTCACTGTAGATGTATAATTTTTTTTCTGGTTTCTTTAGTCTGTTCCATTGATCCATGTGTCTGCTTTTATGTGATTACTATGTTGTTTTGTTTACTATAGCTCTGTAGTATCATTTCTTTTTTAATTTTAATTATTGTGTTCACATAGTAGGTATATATATTTATGGGATACATTATATTTTTTTGATACATGCATGCAATGTGTAATAATTACATCATGGGAAATGGTGTATCCATCCCCTCAAGCTTTCATCATTTTTTCATTACAAACAATCCATATGCAAAAGAATAAAACTCAATCCATATCTCTCACCATATGCAAAAAATCCAATCAAAATAGATAAAGGACTTAAATCTAAGACCTCAGACTATAAAACTGCTAAACAAAACAAAACAAAACAAACAAACATAAAACATTAAGGAAAATCTCCAGGATGCTGGTCTGGGCAACACCTCAAAGATTTCTTGAGCAATACCCTAAGGGCACAGGCAACCAAAGCAAAAATGAACAAATGGGATCATATCAACTTTAAAATCGTTTGCACGCAAAGGAACTAATCGACAAAGTGAAGAGACAACACATAGAATGGGAGAAAATATTTGCAAACTACCCCTCTGACAAGGGTTTAATAACCAGAATATGTATGGAACTCAAACAACTCTAAAAAAAAAAATAATAATCCAGTTGACCTGGGTGCAGTGGCTCACACCTGTAACCTCAGCACTTTGGGAGGCCGAAGTAGGCGGATCACCTGAGGTCAGGAGTTCGAGACCAGCCTGGCCGACATGGTGAAACCCCATCTTTACTAAAAACACAAAAATTATCCAAGCATAGTGGCATGCGCCTTTAATCACAGCTACTCAAGAGGCCGAGGCAGGAGAATCGTTTGAATGCAGGAGATGGAGGTTACAGTGAGCCGAGATCATGCCATTGCACTCCAGCTTGGGCGACAGAGCTAGACCCCATCAAAAAAAAAAAAAAAAATCCAATTCAAAATAGGCAAAAGATTTAAATAGACATGTCTCAAAAAAGAGACAAAAATGGAAAACAGACATATGAAAAGGTGTGCAATATCATTGGTCATCAGAGAACTGCAAATCAAAACTACAATGAAATATTCTATCACCCAAGTTAAAATGATTTTTATCCAAAATACAGGCAACAGCAAATGCTGACAGAAATATGGAGAAAAAGGAATCTTCATAAACTGTTGGTGGGAATGTAAATTAGTACAACAACTATGGAGAACAGTTTGGATGTTCCTCATAAAACTAAAAACAGAACTGCCATATGATCCATCAATCCCATTGCTGGGTTTATACTCCAAAAAAAATAGAAAAAGAAAATCAGTATATTGAAGAAATATTTGCACTCACATGTGTGTTTTTTTGGAGCACTGCTCTCAATAGCCAAGATATGGAAGCAACCTAAGTGTCCATCAACAGGTGAAGAGATAAAGAAAATGTGATACTTATACACAATGAAGTGCTATTCAGGTAGAAAAAGAATGAGATTCAGTCAGTTGCAAGAACCTGTATGAAACTGGAGGTCATTATGTTAAGTAAAATAAGCCAGTCACAGGAAGACCACATTGCATTTTCTCACTTACTTGTGAGATCTAGAAACAAAGCAGTTGAACCTACTGAGTTAGAGTATAAAGATGTCTAGCAGAGGTTGAGAAAGGTACTGCAGGAGTAAGGGGAAACTGGGGATGATTAATGGGTACATAAAAATAGTTAGAATGAATGAATAAGACATAGTATATACCACAATAGGATGACTATAGTCAATAATAATTCAATTGCCCATTTGAAAATAACTAAATGGTGTTTTTAGTTTTTTTCAAATACAAGATTATATTATCTGCAAACCAGGATAATTTCACTTTTTCCTTTCCAAGTTGGATGCCCTTTATATCTTTGTCTTGAATGATTGCTCTAGTGCAGAATTCCAGGACTATGCTGAATAACAGCGGTGAAAATGGGCATCCTTATTGTGTTCCAGAACTTAGAAGAGAGAATATAAGTTATTCCCCATTCAGTATAATACTAGTTGAGGGTCTGTCATATGTGGCTTTTATTATCTTGAGGTATGTTCCTTCTATGGCCAGTGTTTTGAAGGTTTTTATTATAAAGTAATGTTGAATTTTATCAATTGTTTCTTCAGTATCAATTGAAATGATCACATGGTTTTATCCTTTATTCTGTTGATAGAATGTATCACATTGATTAATTTTCATATAGTGAAACATGCTTGTTTGCATCCCAGGGTAAATCACTCTCAGTCATAGCAGGGTGTGGTGGCACACTCTAGTAATTCCAGCACTTTGGGAGGCCAAAGTGGGTAGATCACTTGAGGCAGGACTATAAGACCAGCCTGGGCAATATGGCAAGACCCTGTCTCTACAAAACAAAACAAAACAAAAAGCAAAATTAACAGGGCGTGGTGGTGCATGCCTGTAGTCCCAGTTACTTGGGAGGCTGAGGCACAAGAATCGCTTCAACCTAGGAGATGGAAGTTGCAGTGAGCTAAAATTGCAACACTGAACTCCAGCCTGGGTGACAGAGCAAAACCCTATCTCAAAAAAAAAAAAAAAAAAAAAAAAAAAAATTCACACTCTGTCATGATGAGTAAATTTTTTATTGTATTTTTAAATTCAGTTTGCTAATATTTTGTTGAGGGTTTTTCCATCTAGATTCATCAGGAACATTGGCTTGTAGTTTTCTCCATTTAAAGTATCTTTGTCTGATTGTGGTATCAGGGTAATACTGGCCTTGAAGCATGAGTTTGGGCGTATTCTCTATTCCTCTATCTTTTAGAAGAGTTTGAGTAGGATTGGCGTTAGTTTTTTAAATGTGTGCTAGAATTCAGCAGTGAAGCCATCAGGCCCCAGGCTTTACTTTATTGACAGACATTTTCTTAAGGCTTTGACCTCATTGGTATTGGTCTGTTCAGGCTTGGAAGTTTTTCATAATTCACTCTTGAAAGGTTGTATGTGTTTAGGAAATTGTCAATTTCTTCTAGATTTTCCTATTTGAATTTAGTTGCTCATAGTAGCCACTAATGATCCTTTAAATTTCTGTATTAACATGTGTCATATCTCCTTTTTTATCTCTGATTGTATTTATGTGGGTCTTCTCTCTTTTTTATAGTGTGGCTAAAGTTTTCTCTATTTTGTTTCATTTTAAAAAACAACTTTTTGTTTTATTTATCTTTGGTACTGTTTTCTTTATTTCAATTTCATTTATTTCTGCTCTGATGTGTATTATTTTTTATTACAGTAACTTTGGCTTTGGTTTGGTCTTGCTTCTCTAATTCTTTAAGATGTATTGTTGAGTTGTTTATTTGAAGTTTTTTTTCTCCAGGCATTTGTAGCTATAAACTTTCTTCTTAGTAAAGCTTTTGTTTTATCCCATAGGATTTGGCATGTTGTGCTTCCATTATCATTTGTTTCAAGAAAATTTTCAATTTTCTTCTTAATTGTTTTATTAACACACTGGCCATTCAGGAGCATATTGTATTTGTATAGTTTTCAAAATTCAAATTATTGATTTCTAATTTTATTCCATTGTGATCAGAAAAGATGCTTATTCAATTTTTATGAATGATTTAAGACTTGCTTTGTGACCTAATGTATGATCTATCCTTGAGAATAATTCATTTACTGAGGAAAATAACGTGTTTTCTGCAGCTCTTGGCTGATATGTTTGGTAAATATCTGTTAGATTAATTTTGTCTATAGCTCAGACTAAGTGTGATGTTTCTTTGTTGATTTTCTGTCTGGAAGACTTTTCTGAAGTTGAAAATGGGGTTTTGAAGTCTCCAGCTACTACTGTATTGGGACCTAACTCTCTCTTTAGCTCTACTAATATTTGCTTCATATATCTGGGTGCCCTAGTGTTGGGTACTTACATATTTACAGTTGTTATGCCATCTTGCTGAATTAGCCTGTTTATTACTATACAGTGACTTATTTGACTTTTATCATAGATTTTGTCTTGAAATCTATTTTGTGTGATGTAAATATGGCTACTCCTGCTCTTTTCTTGTTTTCATTGACATGGAATATCTTTTTTTAATCCCTTTATTTTCAGTCTGTGTCTTTCTTTATATGTAAAGTGTTTTTATTGCAGGCAACAGATCAACGGGCCTGGGTTTTAAATGCATTCAGCCTCTATGTCTTTTGATTGGAGAGTTTAATTTATTTACATTCAATGTTATTATTGATAAGGAAGGACACACTTCTGCCAACTTACTACATGTTTTCTGGTTGTTTTGTGGTCTTCTCTTCCTTGTTTCTATTTTTATTGTCTTTTAGTGAGGGTGATTTTCTCTGGTGATATGATTTAGCTTCTTGATTTTTAACTTTTTGTATCCTTTGTGGGCTTTTTATATTTGAGATTACCATGGGGATTGCAAATACTATCCTATAACATATTATTTTAAGCTGATAATCATTTAATACTGTTTCCATAAACAAACAAGCAAAAAGAAACTAATAAAGACTCTACACCGTAACTTTGTCCTCCTACTTTTTAACTTTTTATTGTAACTATTTATATCTTATTGAACTGTCTTAAAAGCTTGTTGTAGTTATTATTTTTGATTAGTTAATTGTTTAGTCTTTCTACTTAAGATAAGAGTAGCTTACACACCACAGTTACAGTGCTATAATATGATGTGCTTTTCTGGATACTTACTATTAACACTGAGTTTTATACTTCAGATGATTTCTTATTGCTTATTAATGTCCTTTTCTTTCTAAATGAAGAATTCTCTTTAGCATTTCCTGTAGGACAGGTCTGGTATTGATGAAATCTCTCAGGTTTGGAGTCTTGGTGAGTCTTTATTTCTCCTTCATGTTTGAAATTTCACCAGATATAATGGTCTAATGTAGATTTGTTTTTCCTTCAGCACTTTAAATATGTCATGCCACTTTCTTCTCACCTGTACTGTTTCCACTGAAAAGTCTGTAGCCAAATATTTTAGAGCACGATTTTACTTTATTTGTTTCTTTTCTCTTGCTGCTTTTATACTCCTTTCTTTATTCTTGATCTTTGGAGGTTTTATTATTAAATGCCATGAGGTAGTCTTCTTTGGGTTAAATCTACCTGGTGTTCTATAACCATCTTGTACTTGAACGTTAATGTATTTCTCTAAGTTTGGGAACTTCTCTGTTATTATCTTTTTGAATAAACTTTCTACCCCAATCTCTTTCTCTACCTCTTTTTTTAGGCCCGTTACTCTTAGGTTTGCCTTTTTGAGGCTATTTTCTCATTTTTATATTCATGCTTCATTGTTTTTTATTATTTTTTCTTTTGTCTCCTCTGTATTTTCAAATAGTCTGTCTTTGAGCTCACTGTTTCTTCTTATTGATTAATTCTGCTATTAGAAGATGCTGATGTATTCTTCAGTATGCCAATTGCATTTTTCAGCTCCAGAATTTCAGCTTGATGCTTTATAGTTATTTGGATCTCTTTGTCAAATTTATCTGCTAGAATTCTGAATACCTTCTCTGTGTTATCTTGAATTTATTTGAGTTTCCCCAATACAGCCATTTTGAATTATCTGTCTGAATGGTTATATTTTTAAAAGATATCTCTTTAGGCTTGGTCCCTGGCAGCTTGTTTAGTTTATTTGGTAATGTCATGGGTTTGGTAATTCCTGAATGGTTTTGATACTTACTGATGTTCACCTGTGTCTGGGCATTAAGGAGTTATGTATTTATTTTAGTCTTTGCAGTCTGGGCTTGTTTGTACCCATTCGACTTAGGAGGACTTTCTAGATATTCAAAAAGACTTCTTTGTTGTAATCTATGCTGTGTCTATTTTAGTAGGAACCATAAGACATGTATTACTGTGGTTCTTTCGGACTGATAGAGGTATAGCCTTGATGATCTTGGCTAATATCCAAAAGCATTTTCTGAATTATCAGATGGAGACTCTTGTTCTTTCTCTTACTTTCTTCCAAACAAATGGAGTCTCTTTCTCTCTGTTCTGAACCACCTAGAGCTGAGAATTGAGTGACACAAGCACCCTTGTGGCCACCATCCCTACGACTGCAGTGAATCACACCTAAAGTTAGCACAGCACTGAGTCTCCCCCAAGGCCTGCTGTAATCACTTTCTGGTTGTGACTATCTTCTCTCAAAGCCCTGGGACTCTAAAATCAGCAGATGGCAAAGCCAGCCAGGCCTTTGTACTTCTCTTCTTCATGGTGAGTTCCTCCAGTCCTCGTGTGGGTCCAGATATTCCATCCAGGAACCAGAAACTAGAGTCTGAAACCTTAGAAATTCACCTGCTGTTCTATTGTACTGCTGCTGAGCTGGTACTAAAACCACAAGTTGCAGTCCTTTCCACTCTGGCCACTGCCACCTCAGGCACATGAGAAGTACTGCCAGACTACTGCTGATGTTTCCTTAAGGTGCAAGGGCTCTGTAGTCAGCATGAGGTGAATGCTTCTTGGTCTGAGACACCCTTCAGGGGAGTAGTTTCCCCTCTGGATCCAAGCATGTCCTGAAATGCTGTCCAAAAGCTAAGTCCTGGAATCATGGACCCCAAGAGCTTGCTTTGTGCTCTACTTCACTGTGACTGATCTGGAACATAAGGTGCAAGACAAAGTCCCCTTTACTTTTTCTTTTGCTTTTCACTAGCAAAAAGGAGTCTTGCCCTGTAGTCACCACCAATGAGAAAGTCTTGAGTCTCACCTAAGGCTGGAAAGTCTTAGGGCCTCACCCAAGGCCTTTGACATAGTACCTGGTTATTACTGCTTGTTATTCAGGGCCCAAGGTTTCTTCAGTCATCAGGTGATTAGTCCTGTTAGGACTCAGTCATTTCATTTGAGGCAGTGAGTTTCCTCCTGACCCAGAGTGTATCTAGAAATGTTCAGGAGCTAGGTCTTAAAAAGAAGTCCTCTCGAATCTGCCTGGTGCCCTGCTCTGCTGTGATTGTGCTGGTATCCAAGTGGAAGACAAAGTGCCCTGACTCTTTCCTTTTCTTTTCTCAGACAAAAGGAAGAGGTCTTTTTGGAACCATGAACTGTGAAGCCTGTGGTTGTGCACTGAATGACGTCAGCACTCCCTTATCTGCCCAGGCTGGTGTCTTAGTAGGTGGCATATCTCCCCCGGTCCACTCTCTCTGGGCTCAGTTTAGCCCTAGGACTCGCTCAGAAGTTTCATTCCTTGTAGCCTAGACTGTGTTTTAGGGTCATTTGGAGTCCCAGAGCACTTTAACCTGCAGTGGGAAAGCTTGCCAGAATTTAAGTTTTGACTGCTGGAATCAGCAGTTCCCCTCATTTTAGGGCTGATTTCAATGCACCTTCTGTGGGGCAGGCACAAGCTGAATTTGGTCCGGTTTTGCTTTCTGCTATAACAAGGGCAGCACTGAGTTCAGTGTCTCTCAATTGCCAGCTATCTTTCTCTCCAGGACACAGAAAAGCTCTCTGCACTATGATGCTGCTGCCAGGGTGTGCGGGAGTCATGTCTGTGATTCAACACTGTTTTTCCTACCAATTCAGTACGTCTTTCTGGATAGGAAGTTAATTACAGGTAATGGAATTAACCCGATTTTTGGTTTTTATGAAGATGCTTTTTTGTGTAGGCAGTTGTTAAATTAGAGTCCCTGTTGGGGGCAAATTTTGTTGGAGTGTTCATATATATATTATATATTATATATATTATATATATAATATATTATATATTATATATATTATATATATAATATATTATATATTATATATATTATATATATAATATATATTATATATATTATATATATAATATATTATATATTATATATATTATATATATAATATATAATATATATATGCGATTGTAACTTGGCTGAGATATTATCTGATTGTATTTCTGAGTTCTGATTTGTATTTATCTGATGATCAAGGATGTTGAGCCCCTTTTCATGTATCTGTTTGCCATTTGTATCTTTTCTTTACTCTGATAATAGCTTTTTTGTTGTTGCTGTGCAGAAGTTCTTCAGTTTAATTAGATCCCTTTTGTCAGTTTTTGGTTTTGTTGCAATTACTTTTGATGTTTTTGTCATGAAATCTTTGCCCATGCCTATATGCTGAATGATATTACCTAGATTTTCTTTAAGGGTTTTTATAGTTTTGGGTTTCACATTCAGGTACTTAATCCTTCTTTAGGCCTTTGATAAAATTCAACATCCCTTTATGTTAAGAACTCTCAATAAACTAGGTATTGAAAGAATATATCTCAATATAATAAGAGCTCTGTATGACAGACTGACAGCCAATATTATACTGAATGGACAAAAGCTTGAAGCATTTCTTTTGAAAACTAGCACAAGACAAGGAAGGGGTCCAGTTTCAATTTTTTGCATATGACTAGCCAGTTCTCCCAGCACCATTTACTAAATAGGAAATCCTTTTTCCATTGCTTGTTTGGATAAGGTTTGTAAAAGATCAGATGGTTTTAGGTATGTGGTCTTATTTCTGAGTTCTCAACTATTCTGTTCCATTGGCCTGTGTGTCTCTTTTTGTACCAGTATCATGCCGTTTTGGTTACTGTAACCTTGTATTATGGTTTGAAGTCAGGTAGCATGATGCCTCTAGCTTTGTTATTTTTCCTAAGGATTGTCTTAGCTATTTGGGCTCTGTTTTTATTCCATGTGAATTTTTAAATAGTTTTTCTAATTCTATGAAGAATGTCAATGGTAGTTTAATTGGAATAACATTGAATCTATGAATTAGTTTGGGCATCATGGCAATTTTCACAATATTAATTTTTCCTCTTCATTAGCATAGGAAGTTTTTCCTTTTGTTTGTGTTCCTTCTGATTTCCTTGAGCAGTGGTTTGTGGTTATCCTTGAAGAGTTCCTTCACTTCCCTTGTTAGCTGTATTTCTAGGTATTTTATTCTTTTTGTGGCAATTGTGAATGAGAGTTCATTTATGATTTGGCTCTCTGCTTGTCTGTTGTTGGTGTATAGTAATGCTACTGATTTTTGCACATTGATTTTATATCCTGAGACATTGCTGAAGTAGCTTATCAGCTTAAAGAGCTTTTAGGCTGAGACAATGGGGTTTTCTAGATAGAGGATCACGTCATCTGCAAACAGAGACAGTCTGACTTCTTCTCTCCCTACTGGAATATGCTTTATTTCTTTCTCTTGCCTGATAGCCTGGTCAGAACTTCCAATACTATGATGAAAAGGAGTTGGTGAGAGAGGACATTATTGTCTTGTGACGGTTTTCAAGGGGAGTGCTTCCAGCTTTTGCCCATTCAGTATGATATTGGCTGTGGGTCTGTCAAATAGAGCTCTTATTATTTTGGGGTATATTCCTTCAACACCTAGTTCACGGAGAGTTTTTACCATGAAGGTATGTTGAATCTATCAAAGGCCTTTTCTGCTTCTATTGAGATAATGTTTTGTTTTTTGTCTTTAGTTCTATATATGTGATTAATTATATTTATTGATTTGTGTATGTTGAACCAACCTGGCATCCAAGATGAAGCTGACTTGATTGTGGTGGATAAGCTTTTTGATGTGCTGCTGCATTCAGCTTGCTAGTATTTAATTGAAGATTTTTGTATCAATGTTCTTCAAGGATATTGGCCTGAAGTTGTCTATTTTCATTGTACCTCTGACAGGTTTTGGTATCAGAATGATCCTGGCCTCATAAAATGAGTTAGGTAGGAGTCTCTCCTCTTCAATTTTTTGGAATAATTTCAGTAGAAATTGTCCCAGCTCTTCTTTGTACCTGTGGTAGAATTCAGCTTTAAATCTCTCTGTTCCTGGGCTTTTTTGGTTAGTAGGCTATTTATTACTTTCTCCATTTCAGAACTCGTTATTCATCTATTCGAGTATTCAATTTCTCCCTGCTTCAATCTTGGGAAGATGTACGTGTTCAGGAATTTATTGATGTCTTCTAAGTTTTATGTTTTATGTGCATAAATGTGTTTATAGTATTCTATGATGATTGTTTGTATTTCTGTGGGGTCAGTGGTGACATCTCCCTTATCACTTCTAATTGTATCTATTTGATCATTCTCTCTTTTTTTCTTTATTAGTCTGGCTAGCCGTCTGTTCATGTTGTTAATTTTTTTCCAAAAAATGCTTCTCAATTTTTAATTTATTTTGAAGGGATTTTCATATTTCTATCTCTTCCAGTTCCATTCTGATCTTGGTTATTTTTTCTTTTCTTCTACCTACGGGATTTGTTTGGTCTTGGTTCTCTAGTTCTTTTAGTTGCAATGTTAGGTTGTTAATTTGAGATATTTCTAGATTTTTGATGTGGATATCCAGTGCTACAAATTTTCTTCTTCTTCTTTTTTTTTCATACGTAGTTTCGCTCTTGTTGCCCAGGCTGGAGTCCAATGGCACAATCTCAGCTCACTGCAAGCTCCACCTCCTGGGTTCAGGCAATTCTTCTGCCTCAGCCTCCTGAGTAGCTGGGATTACAGGCACGCACCACCATGCCCAGCTAATTTTGTATTTTTGGTAGAGACAAGGTTTCACCATGTTGGTCAGGCTGGTCTCGAACTCCTGATCTCAGGTGATCTGCCTGCCCTGGCCTCCCAAAGTGCTGGGATTGCAGGTGTGAGCCTCCGTGCCTGGCCATAAATTTTTCTCTTAACACTGCTTTAGCTACATCCCAAAGATTCTGGTATGTTGCCTCTTTGTCCCCATTACTTTCAAAGAACTTCTTGCTTTCTGTCTTAATTTTATTGTTTACCCAGGAGTCACTCAGGAGCAGGTTGTTCAGTGTTCATGTAATTGTGTGGTTTTGAGTTAATTTCTTAGTTTTGAGTTCTAATTTGATTGTGCTGTGGTTTGAGAGACTTCCTTATGATTTCAGTTCTTTTGCATTTGCTGAGAAGTGTTTTACTTCGGATTATGAAATCAGTTTTAGAGTAAATCCCATGTGGTGATAAGAAGAATGTACGTTCTCTTGTTTTGGGGTGGTGAGTTCTGTAGATATCTATCAGGTCCACTTGATCCAGAGCTGTGTTTAGGTCTCGAATATCTTTTCTAATGTTCTGTCTCAATGGTCTGTGCAGTATTGTCAGTGGGGTATTAAAGTTTCCCACTATTATTGTGTGGGAGTCTAATTCTGCCTGTCTTCAGGAACTGGCCTTATGAATCTGGCTGCTCTTGTATTGGGTGCATATATACTTAGGATAGTTAGATCTTCTTGCTGAATTGAATCCTTTACCATTATGTAATGCCTTTCTTTTTTTTTTTTAACTTTGTTGGCTTAAAGTCTGTCTCGTCAACACAGGATTGGGACTCCTGCTTTTTTCTGTTTTCCACTTGCTTGGTAAATTTTCCTTCCTCCCTCTATTTTGATCCTATGTGTGTCTTTGCATGTGAGATGGGTCTTTTTAAGACACCATACCAATGGGTCTTGACGCTTCATCCAGCTTGCCATTCTGTGCCTTTTACTTGGGGCATTTAGTCCATTTATATTTAAGATAAACATTGTTATATGTAAATTTGATCCTGTCATCATGATGCTAGCTGGTTATTTTGAAACTTAAGTGGTTGCTTCATAGTGTTATTGGTCTGTATACTTCAGTGTATTGTTGCAGTGGCTGGTAACAGTTTTTGCTTTCCATATTAATGCTTCCTTCAGGAGCTCTTGCAAGGCAGGCCTGGTGGTGACAAATTCCCTCGGCATTTGCTTGTCTGAAAAGGCTGAGTTGACTGAACCACAGAGACATCAGCTGCCTCTCCCTCTGGAGGCTCCATTCCAGGGAGAGATCAGAGTTTTTCCATATAACCCTAGATGGATTTGCTGGAATTTCCACAGCAAGGCTCCATGCAGTGAGGAGGGATGGATCAGGGTCCCACTTAAAGAAGCAGTTTGGCCACGATTTGGCACAGCAGTTGTTCTGCGTTGTGGGGATTCTTCATCGTCTGGACAACCTGGAACCCCCAGAGCCAGAAGCTAGAAAAGCTGAGTTGAACTAACTACCGAAATGGTAGCTGCCCCTCCTCCTGGGAACTTGTCTGTCTCAAGCAGTCTCCAATCTGCTGCACTGGCCGACTGGAATTCCAAGCCAATGGGACTTAATTTATGAGGTGCCATGAAAGTTGGGCCCATAGAATGAAACCACTTGGCTCCCTGAGTTCAGCCCCCTTCCTAGGGGAGTCTATGGATGGATCTCCCACCTTGTTGGGATTCCTGGAGCCACAGTCTGTAAAACCCCTGGGTATCTGTGTGAGCCTGAGTGATTGCTCTGACAAGACTCTGCACAGCTCTGTGTATAGGACCCAAGGCCCTGGTGGCATGGGATCATGAGGGAATCTCCTGATCATTTGGTTGCAAAGATCCATGGGAGAAGTGTGGTTTCGGCGAGGGGGAGGGGGTTGCCCAATCACTCACAGCAGCCCTTGACTGGGGGTGGTGGTTCCTTTGACTCTACACCACTTGTGGGTTGGCCATCACCCCACCCTGCTTTTCTTCATTTTCCATGGGTCGAGCCATCTGTCTAGTCAGTCCCAATGAGAGAATCTGTATATTTTAGTTGAAGGTGCTGAATTCACTCACTATTTTCGTTCTTCTCCATGAAAGCCACGTAACATAATTGCTTCTAATCAGCCATCTTGGCCCCTCTCAGTAAAGCTACATTTCTAAGAAATCTCTTGTCCCTCAGACAAAGAAATCAGCATGTCTTGCTGTCTATATTCAGCTACAGACAGATCCAATAAGTTTAAACATTATTTGGCCAAATCTAAATGATATTTCCCCTTATGGAAAAGGAGGTCCATAAAATGAGAGATTATTGTGAAGGTAAGCTGAAGAATTGGGGAGATATATTTTGATCTCTTAATTAAAACTATGCAATATAAATTCAAAACACTCATATTATTGGAATGGTTATTACAAAACTGGACAAGCTGTTAAGTTCAAGAGGTGAGAAAAGACAATTCCCCAAAAATGTGGTGACAAATAATCTTTGGATTGAGTCCTAAGCTTATTAAACCGTCAGTGTTGAATTATCAGTAAATCAAAAAGGATGTTAATGAGCATCTGTGCTTCAGCTTTCAATGCCATTTGGCAAACTAGCACAAAAAGAAAATGGTAATTAATAATAAAGGTGTGTTTATTAGTTTGTGCAATTGACAGAGGCTGTATATCTCTTCTACACAGTATGTGTCCTTTATAAAACTGCCAAACAATGGATGAAAAACCTGTTCTCTTTTCCTTTAGGTTGGAGCTTCATGACCTTGAAGTGCTGCTAGAGGAAAACTAATAAATGCAAAACATGAAAGCTTATTCTTTTTATTAAGAAACAAAACAAAGAGATATAAGGCAGTGAGCAAAATTTAGGTAACCCTAAATTCCTAGTTCCTTTAAGGGACTTCCATTAAGTATGCATTTCATAATACATTCTCTATACTATATCCTGTGATCTTTCTAAAAGCAAAGTTTGATCCCAACATTCCCCCATTGAAAATCCTTCAATGGGCTCTCAGAATGAGATCAACGTCGCCTAGTAGGTTCTATAAGTAAATTTATGATCAAGCCCTTGTCCACTCTCTAAACTTTTCTCAGTCCACTATCCCCCATCCCCTCACAAGCTACACTCTGATAACATATTGGTGAGGAGAAAGACACAGGAATGTTTATACACTTTTGGAATAAGTTTATATAGTCATTCCAGTTTGTGAGCAATGTGGCAACCTGTAGTAAAGTAGAAAATGTTCATAATCTACAACACTGTCATTCCACTTCTGGATATACTGTTGACAGCTTTCATACACACACATCTATAAAGGTGCACTGATACTTTCATGACAATGTTGATTGCAATAGTGAAAAGTGAGACAAGAAAACAAAAAAAAATCCTCATCAATAGGACAAGAAATAAATTGTGGTCTATGTACATAATGGAACAATACAGGAAATGATAATTAAAGTGGTAGTGGTATACTACATGTATACATGTCAAAAACTTTATTAGGAAATATTTAACTAAATGATAAGTATAATATACAATTTATGTGAAGTGTTTAAATGAATAAAAAATATTATATATTGTTTATGGGCACATACATATATGCCAATACCTAAAAAAGAAGGACATGAAACAACTTTAAGAGAAACATGGGAGGAAAATGACATCAGAGAAGATTACAAAGATACTGCATTTTTACCTATAATATTTTATTTCATATACATTTAATATATGTATTATATATAATACACCGGCTTTTGTGTTTTTCATTTTGTGACAGTTTTTGTATGTGCAAATAATGATTCTTAATAAAAGTTTTCAAACAAAGTAAACTACAAAAAACAATAGATTGAACACCTGTGTACTCACCACTTGGATTTTAAAAATAAATAAATACATATATATATATATATATATATATAATGCTTGCTTTTGTTGAAACTTAATAATCAATGTGAGAGTATTAAGAGGTAGAAACCTTAGAAGGTGATTAAATTATGAGGACAGAGACCTCATAGATGGAATTAGGGCCCTTATAAAAGGACTGGAGGGTACTACCATTAGCCCTTTCTTTGATTTCTGTCCCTTTTGCCATGTGAGGACATAATGGTTATCCCTTCAGAAGGACACAGCAACAAGACACTATCTTTGAAGAAGAAACCAGGCCTTCACCAGACACTGAAACTGCCAGAAACTTGATCTTGGACTTTCAGCACCCAGAAGTGAGAACTGTGAGAAACAAACGTATATTCTTTATCAATTACCCAGTCTCAGGTATTTTGTTATAGTAGTACCAACGGACTCAATATTCTTACGAATATATATATATATACACATAAAAATTTATATATACATATATCCTTAAGAAAATAAGCAAAATGTTAACTTTTACTAAATCTGGGAGGTGAATATACAGCTTTTCAATCTATGATATTTGTGGTTTAGTTTGTTTAACACTTTTTATTAGCCAGGCACTGTGGCTTTCACCTATAATCCCAGATCCTCAGGAGGCTGAGGCAGGAGGATCATTTGAGGCCAGGAATTCAAGGCTGCAGTGAGCTATGATTGCACCATGGCACTCCAGCCTGGGTGGCAGAGAAAAACCCCATATCTTTAAAAAAAGTTGTCACCATCATTTTACACATAAAAAATTGGCACAATATAAAAATACACAAATAAAAGCTAAGCCATATAATAGATGGAGCATAATAGGGAGGTGCTGTGTTGACTTTCTCCTCAGTTTTCTATCTTTTTTCTTCTTTCCTTTCAGGGTTATAACTGATAAAGGAAGGTATGTCTTTTCATGGGCTTTTATACAATGGGATTCCCTGAATGATGGAGTATGTTCTGAAGCTGTAGCCGTGCAATATGAAGCTAGATAGGGTGTGAACGTAGATATCTAGGTGAGTTGTAGTTGTAGTTTACTCGATTAAATGTGGCTGTTAGGTAATATAATTACCACCGGTTGCATTTTTTCCACAAAGACACTTATGGCCGGGTGTGGTGTCTCGTGACTTTAATCACAGCATTTTAAGAGGCTGAGGCAAGATGATCTCTTGAGGCTAGGTGTTGCAGACCAGCCTGGGCAACATAGTGAGACCACATCTCTACTAAACAAAAATAAAAAGTAGCTGAGTGTGGTGGTGCATGCCTAGAGTCCCAGCTACTTGAGAGGTTGTGGCAGGAGGAACACTTGAGCCCAAGAGTTCAAGGCTGCAGTGAGCTATGATCATGCCACTGCACTCCAGCCTGGGTAACACAGCAATATCCTGTTTCTTAAAAAAAAAAAGAAGAAGAAGAAAGAAAGAAAGAAAGAAGAAAGGAAGGAAGAAAGAAAGGCAGAAAGAAAGAAAGAAAGAAAGAAAGAAAGAAAGAAAGAAAGAAAGAAAGAAAGAAAAGAAAAGAAGAAAAGAAAAAAGAAAAAGATCCTTCTGAACTTAGTTGCTTACATTGCAATGGAGTGTAAGTTAGTACAAACAGTGTGGAAAAGCACTAGGTATTACCTGGTAAAGTAGTACCTGTGCTTAATACATGACCCAGAAATTACACTTCTATTATATACTCTAGAGAAACTATTTGAAATATGCACCAAGATACATATTCATAAAGCTGTTGTAATAGCTAAAAAACTGTCAAAGAAACAAACTCGAGAGAATGAATAAATTGTAGTTGTCACATGTCTAGTCTGTTTTTGCTGCTCAACAAAATACCTGTCTGGATTATATATAAAGAACAGATTTATTTTCTCACCATTCTGGAGAATGGAATGTCCAGGATCAAGGTGCCCAGAAAGTTTGGTTGTCTGGTAGGGGCTGCTCTCTGCTTCTGGGATGGTGGCTTGCTGCTACATGCTCCTGAGGAGAAGAGTGCTAGGTTCTCACATGACAGAAGGTGGATGGGCAAAAGGGATGAATTCCCTCAGCCAAGCCCTTTTATATGGGCATCTAATCTCATACAGGAGGGCTCCACTTTCATGACTTATTCACATCTTGAAGGTTCTGTCTCTTTATGCTGTTACACTGGCAGTTAAGTTTCAACATGAAATTTGGAGGGGACAAAACATTCAAATCACAGTATCACAGAATAGAATTCTATACAGTAAAGAAAATTAATGAATCAGTGCCACAAGGAATCATGGAAGAATAGATAAATAATGATTCTGCCTATATATAGGCTAAGAAAAATCTATATATAAATTAAGAGAAACACATGCCTATGATAAAACTGAATAAAATCGTTGGAATACATAATTCAGGATATTAGTGTTTTTTATGGGAAGAAGGAAAAACTATTAGGCAGCAGCATAGAGGGAACTATGAAGAAACTGTTAATATTTTATTGTATAGGATTGGTGGTGGGTTAGGTATGTTTATTTTTAAAAATATACATGTAAATGCTATATATAACATAATAATACAAAAGATATTTCTGGATGTAATGCACCAGAAAGGTCTCTTCTCATTGAAGATCTGAGGTCCACTGGGCCAAGTCATAGCCTTGCTAGAGTCATGGCCTGGCAATTTCCTTTCACCTATGCATCTTTGAATACATGCTTAAGTGTTTTGTCAGTGTGCTGAAAGCTGCTGAGCCGTTGCATTATAATTTGTGGAGTGCCTGACAGGCAACTCCATTCATACTTCTCTCATGTCCTGATAGGGAAAATTATTTTACTAGATATATATTTTGGTTTTTGAGGATTGTTATCCTTACAGTTTATTCAAAATGAAAACCTGCCTAAAAGAAGTACCACATAAGGCTCTGTTACCTCAGTGTGAATGAAACTATAATTTGCCTCCTTGGGAAAGCAGAAATATGAGAAGTCTGAGAACATCAGATGCCTGAGCATGGAGAAAGACAAGAAGAAATGAGAAGTGAGAGAGTACCACCAAGAAACTTTGTGAACTTGAAACAATTTGCTTGTACATGATATAACAAAATTGAAAGATATTGCAGTGCATATTCACCGAACCAGGTATTTATTAGCCTTCTGGTCCTGGTGGAGGATGTAGGCTTTAGAAGGGTACCTCTATGGTGTTTACATTGTCAGCCAAGAGTAATGAGATGCAGGCCTAATCTGACAAAGTAATACAGGGTCAATGTCTAAAGGAAACTGGTTAGACATAACGATTGATGAGCTGGAATGAGAATGAGGGGCCGAAATCATAGGGTTAGTAAAGCGAAGAGATCTCAAATTGCAGAAAACAAGCAGTGGGTGGAGACCTTAGGAAATCATGGCAACAACAAATATTAGGACTGCATAGTGTATTAGTCATCCAGAAGCTTGAAGCCTGCCACAAACACCTAAGGAATGACAGAAAAGCAATGTGCTTCCTGTATCTATTTTTGCTAGTTATGGCATACCAATGTGAACATTCAGTCAAAAATCTGGTGTTATTTATTCAGTAGTAAAGTTGATTCCAAAGTTTCAGACAGAAGGCCCAGTATTCAGCTATTTCTGAAGAAGGCAAGGTTGAAACTAGTAGTTTCAGCTCTGGCACATAAGCTAACATGAAAACCATTCCCAATGTAAGGGCCAAGTTTGACAAAATCAAATTTAGTTGTTTTAATTTCATGCAGCTGAGTTAAAATTGTTTGCCTGTTATGATGCCATTAGCCTTTCAACTAAATATGTACATTCATGATTGTTTGACAAGGGTATAAAGTCTTGAAAACACGCTACTGAAATATTAAACCTTACTTATTTAAATTTAAAAAGCAGTCCCTGGCACACAGTAGGCACTCAATAAATGTTTGTTAAATGGAGCTGAATATAGGAAATTGGAAGAGACTGTTCAGCTTTCCAAGAGTGTATTAAATTGAGTACACCATTTCTCAAGCTGAAAGGAAACTAAATGAAAGAAAACAGGTTTATTTGATTGTCTCACACACATAAGAACATAAAGTAATATGGAAAATTTTAGATTATTTATCCCAAATTTTGCCTGACTTAGCCAGATGAATAAGTCGTTTGTTTTTATAAATCTACATTACTCAGCTCCCTCAATCCTCTCCTTCCTTTTTATAAATTAAAAAAAAACACAAAGTGTTCTAAACTAAGTTTTGAATTTGTAAATGCAGTGTACCATCTATTTGGCTGTATATCGTCACAGGAGGTAAATATAAAGTCATTGCAAATGACTCAGGATGGAGATATGACAAGCTAAGTGGTTTCCTGATGTTCCAACACCTACTTTTCTGCCTTTTTCTGATTTAGCTAGTGAGGCCCTGGAGAGTCCACTTAAAAAAACGAAAAAAAAATCTGCATTATTCCCAGCCATAAGATTATATTTTGGTGGTCCAAGAGCTACTTTTTATTTGAATAAAACATTGACCTTAAAAAATATCATATCTAGGGTAATAAATGGGTATGCCTCAAACAAACTAGATTTCCCGAGAAGAGAGGTGTGATAACCAGGTGCTTTGTCTTAGAGCCATCCTAACATCAAATGTTCAATTCAACCTCTCAAAGAGCACATCCCCTAAATCAACTTGTTTCACAAACAGGTTGAAGGACAAATGGAAAATGACTGAAAATCCAAAATCATTTAATACTTCTAACAAAATGCTTTCTATAGAAAACTGTTGCAGAAAGTATATTCATCTTCTGACCTGAAATAATATATCTGCCCTTTGTCTCAACCTGCAGATCAGCCATGTGCTTTCATAAGTGTTTTGGTATCACGTAATATCTTAGGTTTATCTGTAAGTAGAATATTTATGTAGAGGTACACAAAACAGCACGTTCACACACATCAGAGTTCTCACACCCAAGTCATGTGACACAAATAACTCTCTTCCCTGTGATGGAAGAACCAAATATGTACACCTACAATTCATTTAATATTTCACAAAAAATTGGAGTGCTTGCTATACTAAACACTGGATTATCATATAACAAGTTACCTGCCTTTAAGAAGTTCATACTAAAAGGGGGCATATAAATTTGATAAGTGATATTATGCATGAAATGTAAATACTTAGAAAATGTGCAGAACATTTTACAGAGTTGATAACGTATGACCTGCATTTTGTGGGTATGGACAGAAGAGTTTGTTATTTATTAAAGAGGTAAAAGTGTGTTCAGGTAGAAATAATAGTATTGGCAAGAGCATGAGGTTGTAAAAGTGTGTTAAGTCTTCAGAGAGTGATGAGACATTTTCTGCAGCTGGAAGATACCATATGCGAGAAGAGGTGCAAGTAGGTGAGGCTGGGAAAGTTGATAGATAATAAATTGTAAAGAGCTTGGATATGTAACTAAGAAGTTAGACTTCATTAAGTATGTAATCAGGAACCAAAAAAAAAGGTTCATAAACTTGGTTTTAATGTTACAAGGGTTTCCCTCTACTAAATGACATTGGTTTCACTACCTAGAAGCCTCAGTTGGAGCTGAATTTGGAGCCGATTGGCAACTCAGATACGATGGAAGTGGCTTCATGTCAAGTCTCTAAGTGCCTTAGTGACTTCAAAATCTAAACTATGAGACACAGAAACTTTCTAATTTGTTATAATTATATTTCTGGCTTTATTCCTACACATGGTAGCCATTTGTGGCATGAGACCAATAGTAATTCAGAAAACCATGTTAAATACTGTACTTGATCTTGATTGTGTGACTGAAGCCCTCAGTTCTCTCTCTCCAAAACACATATGTCCTGACACAATGTGGCCTGAATTAAGCACCAAAAGAGATCATAAGGTTAATATATCTTCTTATAATTCATATATAGCACATTTAGAAATATTTTGACACTCCCAAGAAAACAAAAACAAAGCTAGAGACATCATTACTATCTGACTGTAAAATATACCACATAGATAAGACCTCAAAAACAGGCAATGAAAGCAAAAATGGGAATTATTTAAGACTAAAAAGTTCATGTACAGCAAGATAAACAGAGTGAAGGGACAACCTGTGGAATGGGAGAAAATTTACAAACTATTCACATGACAAGGGATTAATAGCCAGAATACATAAAAACTCAAACAACAGCAAAAGCCAAATATTTTGGTTTAAAAATGGAAAAATGCACAGAAGAGACATCTTGCAAAAGAAGGCATACAGTGGCCAACGTGCATATGAAAAAATGCTCCAGTAATTATCAGGGAAACACAAATAAAAACCACAGGATATCATCTGTCGCCTGTTCAAATGCTTATTATTCTAAAAGATAAAAATAACAAATTATGGCAAGGATGCAGAGAAAGTGGAACTCTTAGTGGGAATGTAAATTAGTACAATCATTATTGAAAACCGTGTAGAAATTCCTTTAAAAACTAAAAATAGAACTACCGTATGATCCAGCAGTCCCCCAATGGGTATGCATTCATTGATGAGTTGATAACTTTATATTTTTATTTCTTGAGGAAGCTCCAAATGGTTTTCCATAGTGATTGTACTAACTTACTTTACCACCAACAGTATACAAAGGTTCCATTTTCTCCACATCCTCACCAGTGTTTGTTATTGCCTGTCTTTTGCATATAAGCCATTTTAACTGGGGTGAGATATCTCATTGTAGTTCTGATTTGCATTTCTCTGATGATCAATGATGTCAGACACCTTTCATATGCCTATTTCCCAATCATGTGTCTATTTTTGAGAAATGTATATTCAAATATTTTGCCCACTTTTTAATTGGATGACTAGATATTTTTCCTGCAGAATTGTTTGAGCTCCTTACATGTTATAGTTATGAATCCCTTGTCAGAGGGGTAGTTTGCAAATATTTTCTACCATCCTGTGGATTATCACTTTGTCGACGGTATCCTTTGATGTGCAGAAGCTTTTTAACTTCATGTGAGTCCCATTTGTTCATGTTTGCTTTGGTTGCCTGCGCTTGTGGGGTATTGCTCAAGAAATCTTTGCCCAGACCAATGCCCTGGAGATTTTCCCCAATGTCTTCTTGTAGTGGTTTCGTAGGCTGAGGTCTTAGATTTAAGTCCTTAATCCATTTTGATTTGATTTTTGTATATGGAAATAAACAGTGGTCTAGCTTCATTCTTCTGCATATGGCTATCAAGTTTTTTCCAGCACCATTCATTGAAGAGACTGTCTTTTTCCCCAGTGTATGTTCTTGGCACCTTTGTCAAAAATGACTTCGCTGTAAACTTGCTGAATTGTTTCTGGGTTTTCTATTTTTTCCTTTGTCTATAAGTTTGTTTTTGTGCCAGTATCATGTTGTTTTGCTTACTATAGCTCTGTACTATAATTTGAAGTCAGGTAATGTGATTTCTTAAGTTTTGTTCATTTTGCTTAGATAGCTTTAGCTTTTCTGGGTCTTCTATAGTTCCATATAAGTTTTAGGATTTTTTTCTATTTCCATTTTGTTTCTATTTATATTTCAAGAATATTATTGGTATTTTAATAGGGGTTTCACTGAATATGTAGATTGCTTTGGGAGTATGGACATTTTAATAATATTGATTCTTCCAACCCATGGAAATTTTTCCATTTTTTGGTGTCCTCTTCAATTTCCTTCATCAGTGTTTTATAGTTTTCTTTATAGAGATTTTTTCCTTCTTCCGATAATTCCTAGGTATTTTATTTTATGCATGGCTACTGTAAATAAGATTACTTTTATCAATTTTTTTCACATTGTTCACTGTTGGCATATAGAAATACTGCTAATTTTTGTATGTTGATTTTGTGTCCTACAACTTTACTGAATTTTTTAATCAGTTGTAATATCTTTGTTGTGGAGTCTTTAGGTTTTTCTAAATGTAAGAACCATCAATGAACAAGGATAATTTGATTTCTTCCTTTCCAATTTGGATGCCCTTTATGTCTTTTTCCTGTCTGATTGTTCTAGCTAGGATTTCCAGTACTATGTTAAATAACAGTGGTGACATCCTTTCATGTTCCATATCTTAGACAAAAGACTTTTAGTTTTTCCCCATCCAGTATGATACTAGCTGTGGGTCTGTCGTATATGACTTATTATGTTGAGATATGTTACTTCTATGCCCGGGTTTTTGAGGATTTTTATCATTTTATCATGAAGGAATTTTGAATTTTACCAAATGCTTTTTCAGCATCAACTGAAATTACCATATAGTTTTTATTCTTTATTCTGTTGATGTGATGTATCACATTGATTTATTTGTGTTTTTTTATGTGGTTTGTCTGGTTTTGGTATCAGGGTAATACTGTCTATGTAGAATGAGTTTGGGGATATTGCCTCCTCTCGTATTTTTTTGAATAGTTTGAGTAGGATTGGTATAAGTTTTTTCTTTTTTTTTTTGTTTAATATAATTCAGCAGTAAAGCCATCAGGTCCTGAGCTTTTCTTTACTGGAAAACTTTTAATTATGGCTTTGATATCATTACTTGTTATTGTCCTCTTCAGGCTTTGGATATCTTCCTGGTTTATTATGAGTAGGTTGTATGTATCTAGGAATTCATTAATTTCTTCTAGATTTTTCTATTTATTGGCATACAGTTGCTCATTTTAGCCTTTAATGATCCCTTGAATTTCTTCAGTATCAGTTATAATGTCTTCTTTTTCATTTCTGATTGTAATTATTTGGATCTTCTCTTCTTTTTTCTTAGTCTGGCTAATAATTTATCAACTTTGTTTATCTTTAAAAAAACCAATGTTTGTTTCATTGATCTTTTTTATTACTTTTGTCATTATAATTTCATTTATTAATGCTCTAATCTCTTTTTTTTTCTTCTGGTACCTTGCAATTTGGTTTGCTCTTGATTTTCCAGTTTTTTATGATACACCGTTAGATTATTCATTTTATGTTATTTCTCTTTTCTTGGTGGCACTTATAGCTATAAACTTTCCTCTTAGTACTGCTTTTGCTGTATTCTATAGGTTTTGGTATGTTGTGTTTTCATTATCCATTTTTTCAGGAAATTTTCCAATTAATTTCTTAATTTCTTCATTGACCCACTGGCCATTCAGGAGCATATTGTTTAGTTTCCATGTATTTTTATAGTTTCAAAAGTTTCTCTTGTTATTAGTTTATAGTTTTATCCCATTGTATTCAAGAAGATGTTTGATATTATTTCAATTTTTTCAATGTTTTAAGATTTGTTTTGTGACCTAACATGATCCATCCTTCAGTATAATCCTTGTGCTAAGGAAAAGAAAATGTGCATTCTGCAGCTCTTGGATGAAATGTTCCGTGTATATCTTAGATCCATTTAGTCTTTAGTGCAAAATTAAGTCCAGTGTTTCTTTGTTGATTTTCTCTCTGGAAGATTTATCCAATGCTGAAAATGGGGTGTTGAAGTCTTCAGCTATTATTGTATTGGGGCCTATCTTTCTCTTTAGCTCTAATACCTCTAATAGCTCTAATCTCTGGGTGCTCCAGTGTTGGGTGCATATATATTTAGCATTGTTTTAATCTTCTTAGTGAATGTACACCTTTATCATTACATAGTGACTCCCTCTGTCTCTTCTTATAGTATTTGTCTTGAAATCTAATTTTTCTGATATAAGTATAGGGTGTCCTGTTCTTTTTTGGTTTTTATTGGCATGGTATATCTTTTTCCATCCCTTTATTTTAAGTCTATATGTGGCTTTATAGGTGAAGTGTGTTTCTGTTAGGCAGCAGATCAGGGGTCTTGTTTTTTCTTCCATTCAGCTAGTCTATGTCTTTTGATTAGAGAGTTTAGTCCATTTACATTCAGTGTTATTATTGATAAGTAAGGACCTACTCCTATCATTTTATTATTTGTTTTCTGTCTGTTTTATGGTTTTCACTTTTTTCTTTTCTGTCTTCCTGTCTTCCTCTACTGAAGGAGACTTTCTGAGGTAATATGATTTACTTTATTCCTTTTTACTTTTTGTGTATACATTCTATATTATTTGGTTTCAGGTTGCCACAAGGCTGCAAATACGATCTTATAACCCATTATTTTAAGCTAATAACAACTGAACACAATTTGCATAGACAAACAAGAAAAGAAAAAAACTAATAAAAATTCTGCACCTTAATTTTATCCCTCCACTTTTTGCCTTTTGTTGTTTCTATTTATATATTTTTATAATTACAATGTTTTTAAAAGTTGTTGTATTTATTATTTTTCATTGATTCATTGTTTAGTCTTTATTTAGGATGAGGGGTTTACACATCACAGTTACAATGACATTATATTATTTGTCTTTCTGTGTACTTATTATTACCAGTGAATTTTGTACCTCCAGGGGGTTATTTATTGCTCATTAATGTCCTCTTATTTCTGATCGAAGTACTCCTTTTAGCATTTCTTGTAGGATGGGTGTGGTATTGATGAAATCCTTCAGCTTTTGTTTGTTAGGGAAAGTCTTTATTTCTCCTTCATATTTGAAGGATACTTTCACTGGATATACTATTTTAGAGGAAAAGTTTTACTTTTTCCCCCCCTTCAGCACATTAAGTGCGTCATGCCACTCTCTCATGGCTTGTAATGTTTCCATTTATATGTCTGCTGCCAGACTTACTGAAGCTCTATTGTATGTTATTTGTTTCTTTTCTCTTGCTGCTTTTAGGATCCTTTCTTTATTCTTGGCGTTTGGGAGTTTGACAATTAAATGCCTTGAGGTAGTCTTCTTTGGGGTAAATCTGCTTGTTGTTCTAACACCTTCTTGTACTTAGACAGTGACATCTTTCTCTAGGTTTGGGAAGTTCTCTGTTATTATGTTGTTGAATAAACATTCTACCCTGATCTCTTTCTCTACCTACTCATAAAGGCCAATAACTCTTAAATTTGTCTTTTTCAGGCTATTTTCTAGATCCTGTAGGCATGCTTCATATTTTTTTCATTTGTCTCCTCTGATTGTATTTTTGAATAGCCTGTCTTCAAGCTCCCTAATTCTTTCTTCTGCTTGATCAATTCTGCTATTAAATAACACGGATGAATTATTCAGTATGCCAATTGCATTTCTCCACTCCAGAATTTCTGCTTGATTCTCTTTCATTATTTCGGTCTCTTTGTTGAATTTATCTGACAGAATTCTGAATTCCTTCTCTGTGCTATCTTGAATTCCTCTGAGTTTTCTCAACACAGCAATTTTGTATTATTTCTCTGAAAGGGCACATATCTCTTTCCCCAGGATGGTCCCTGGTGCCTTATTTAGTTCACTTGGTGATGTCATGTTTTCCTGAATGGTGTTGATGCTAGTACATGTTCTTCACTGGGCATTGAATTATTTGGTGTTTATTGTAGTCTTCACTGTCTGGGCTTATTTTATAGCCATCCTTCTTGGGAAGGATTTCCAGATATTTGAAAGGACATAGGTGTTGTGATCTAAGCTGTACCTGCTTTACAGGACACCCCAAACCCAGTAATGCTGTGGTTCTTGCAAACTCATAGAGGCACCACCTTGATGGTCTTGGACAATATCTGGGAGAATTTTCTGGATTACCAGGCAGAGACTCCTATTCTTTTCTGTTACTTTCTCTCAGACAAAGGAAGTCTTTCTCTCTTTTCTGAGCCTCCTAAAATTGGTGATGAAGTGACAAAAGCATCTCTGGCTACCACCACTATGACTGCCTTAGGTCAGACCTGAAGCAAATACAGCACTGGGTCTTGCCCAAGACCTGCCACAACCACTCCCTGACTACTCCTTATGTTTACTCAAGGCTTGGAGCTCTACAATCATCATGTGACAAAGTCATTCAGGCCTGTGTTGTTCCTTTCAGGGTGTCAAAGTCTGTTTCTTCCCTTCAGGGCATCAAGCTCTGCCTGACCCTGGGTTGGTGTAGAAGTGCCCTCTGGGCGTCAGGTACTAGGGTCAAAATCCATACAAGTCTATCTAGTGTTCTATTATATTGTGATGGAGCTGACACTCAAACCACAAGATGCAGTCCTTTCTTCTCTTCCTTCCCCTTTCCAAATGCAAAGGAGCTTCACCCCATAGCCACTGCCACCCCTGGCAAGGAGGAGTACTTCCAGACTACTGCATATGTTCACTTAAGGCCCAAGGTCTCTTTAAATCACCTTGTTGTGAATGTTTCCTGTCTCAGGAGTCACTCTTCAGGGCTGTGGGATCCCTTCTGACCCAGGGCAGGTCTAGAAATGCCATCCAAGAGTCACGTCCTGGAACTGGGGACCCCTAGAACCCACTTGGTGCTCTACATCTCTGTGGCTGTGCTGTTCCCTGAAGCCAGCAAGTCTCAGAGGTTTACCTAAGACCCTTAAACTAGTATTTACATATTGCTGCTTGTTATTCTGGGCCCAAGGGCTCTTCAATTAGATGGTGATGAATGATGCCAAGACTGGGCTCTTTTCTTCAAGGCAGTGGGTTCCCTTCTGGCCCAGGTTGTATCTAGAAATGACATATGAGAGCTAGCACATGGAATGGGGTCCTCACCACTCTGACTGGTGTCCTGTCCTGCTGTGGCTGAGCTGGTTCCCTAGATGCAGGACAAAGTTATTCCCACTCTTCCCTCTCCTCTTCTCAAGCAGAAAGAAGAGATCCCTTTTAGAGCCACAAGCTATGCAACCTTGGGTTAGGGACGGTGTGACACCAGTACTCCCTTGGCTGCCCCAGTTGTTGTATCAGTATGTTGCATGCTCCCACTTCTTTACTCCACTGTTTCTGAGCCCAGGTCAGCATTAGATCTCACCTGAGAGTTGAAGTCCTTATTGTTAGGCTGCCTTTCAAGTTTACTTGGAGACGCAGAATGCTGTAGCCCTCAGTGGCAAGGTTTGGCAAGGCACTCATGTTTGGACCACTGGGATCAACAATTCCCCTCTGGTGAGGGCTGATTTAAATGCTCCTGCCATGGGCAGGCATCAACTAAGTTTCATCCAATTTTTCTTTCTTCTCTAACAGGACAGCACTTTATTCAATGTATCACAATTGCTATCTTCTCCCTCCCCCAGTGCCCAGAAGTGCTCTCTCCACCAGGCTTCTGCAGGGGGCTTGGGGAGGTTTTTTTGTCAGCAATTCAGAGCCATTTTTTCTATCTGTTCAGTGCCTCTATCAGTGATATGAAATTAAAACCAGGTACTATTAGTGTCCACTTGATTTTTCGTTCTTATAAAGGTTTTTTTTTCTCTGTAGATAGCTGTTAACTTGATGCCCTTGCAGAAGGGAAGTGGAGCTTTCTATTCTGCCCTCTTACTCTGCCTCATCCTATTGAATCTAACATCATACTTAATGGTGAATGACTGAAAGTGTTTTCTCTAAGATCAGGAACAGGACAAAGATACCACGTTTTACCACTTCTACTCAATGCAGTATTGGAAGTTATAACCAGAGCAATTAGGCAAGAAAAAGAAATAAAAGGCATTTAAATTCAACTCATTTTCTGAGCTGAGCTGGGCCCTTAGAATTTCATAACACTCTTGAACTGCTCTTTATTTTAAAATCATATTTTATTTTATTTTATTTTATTTTATTTATTTTATTTTTTGAGATGGAGTCTTTCTCTGTTGCCCAGGCTGGAGTGCAGTGGCATAATCTCAGCTCACTGCAACTTTTACCTCCAGGGTTCAAGTGACTCTCCTGCCTCAGCCTCCTGAGTGGCTGGGACCACAGGCACATGCCACCACACCCAGCTAATTTTTTGTATTTTTAGTAGAGAGGGGATTTCACCATGTTGGCCAGGTTGGTCTCGAACTCCTGACCTCAGATGATCTGCCTGCTTCGGCCTCCCAAAGTGCTGGGGTTACAGGCATGAGCCACCACACCCAGCCTCAATCATCTTTTTATTATTTGAATGTGTCACATGCTCCCTGCTTTGAGGTACTTGCATATATTGTTTTTACTACCTTACATGTTTTGCCCAGTCTTTGCTAAAAGGAAACCCATACTCATTCAGTCCAATTTCAGTTCAAACCTCACTTCAAGAAAAATTTTCCCTGACTGTCCACCTCTCATTTATAAATTAACTCTAGTTAGTCTAAAAGGTCACTTTTTCCTTTATAATATATCATAGTTTGCATATACATGTTTGTGTGATTATTTTATTTTTAACTAGAAGATAAAATTTACAAGGGAAGAAAACATGTCTGTCTTCTTTATGATTTTTTCACCAGTGCATAGCACAGGTCTCAGCACAAACTTTGGTTGTATACACAAATCAACAAATGAATAAATGTAGGTCTTAGCCAACTTAGCTGGCACTCTCCCATCACCCGAGTAGACCAGATAGCCCTCTTTTCTCCTGAATGTCCTGATCCCCATATTCTGGGGTCCTGATGCTGGGCAGTAGAGACACAGAAAAAGAATTGGTTTAGAGAGAAAAACATAATTTCCACTAGCTATTGATAAAATATAAGAAGGCTGATGCATATATACTTATCTGATAACATTGCACTTAACACCATCACTAAGGGAAAATGGAGGAAATGGCTCTCCTGGTCCATGATGCTTCCCATCCATTCCACAACATGCCCATTTCTGACATTATCCTCAAATATGTTGTTGATGCTCACCTTAATCTCATTTCATTGGTTTCTAATATATGTTTTGCTAGGCATTTGTGGTGGTGGTGGTGTTGAATATACAGTTTCTCTACACACCCCTTCACAGGGAATACCTTAAAAACATTCCTTTCTTTCTACCTACCAGAGAAGGATCAGAAGAGCTAAGATCTTATGGGTCCCATTTCATTTGAACCTTAGGCATATTAATTCAAGGAAAAATTTACTATTATTTTAAACAATGGCATCCTAGGAAATATACTTGTAATGAACTTTTACTCTGAAGTTTATTATGTTAATTAGTCTATTTTAGGTATGTTACTCTCTGAAAAGCAACAATTTCTATATCTTTGTCATTGATTATATGGTTGTTCACCTAAAACAATATTATGGGGCTTCACCTATGTGAATAAGTTGCATTGATTGCCAAGTTCCAAGCTACTGTACTATCTGTTACTTGAGTCAGGCAACCTGTAATTTGGTGCAGCATTATTTCCACCATAAAATTAGAGAATACTGGAGCTGGAAGGGACTGTAAAAGGTCACTAATACAATTGCCTTATTTTACAGTGGAAGATAATGAAGCCAAAATGATACACTTATTCTGGGCCAAGTAATAATAGGATCTCGCCACCGCAGAAGTTTATCTCCCATAGCTATCATATTCATTACTTTAAAAATGCTCATCTTTCCTTTATTACCCCTCAAATGCCTACTTAATTCCTTCAACTCTATCTTTTCTCCTTCACCCTTACTATCCCTGATTATCTCCCACTGTCTCCTACCTATGATCCATTTCAGCAACTCAATGGTAGCATTGTCATTACCCTTCCCCAAAGCTACACATACAGGCTCAGTAGCAATGGGTTACTAATAAAATGAATCCCTTCAAGGACCAGGCCAAAGCTCCTAAACTAGCTCTGTAGGAGTCCTGTGGCCAGCTCCAACCCTCCATAACATCTGACCATTTTGATCTCTACACAAGCACAAAATTTCAGTAGCCTTTTTAATACAAAATTTAGATAATCTTTTTATAGATATTGTAATTAACAACTCCTAAACTATAAATGGCCTTGTTCCAAATTTGCTTAAAAACAGTTCTGTGAACACATGTAGAAAGGGACCCATTGCTGTCAGAAAATATCTTTGCTGAGATAGAAAGCCTAAAGTGACTTGATCTTGAGATAGATTATGAGGCAGTTTGGGTGATATAGAAAATGCTAGATAGGTTATTCAGGATGACATTGGCTTAAACAATCCTCTTTAAGAATCATCTCTGCTTTCTCTGAAACCCAAGACACACTTGCTTAGACAATGAATTCATAACTGTCTTTGTGACCACATGCTAGTGTTAGAATTTTGACACTACCATAGAGATTAACTTACCTCTTAACCTTATATTCCATTGCCAAAGAAAAGCAGTACCTTATGCTCATGATCCATCCATTTATCTATCTAGGTCATGAACATTCACTGACTGCCCAATATGTTATATGCCAGATACTATGTGGTGTTCCAGGGACACAACAGTCATTAAGTTTCCTGGACTTACTCTACTATTGAACACAATTTCTTATTTTAATTTTCCCAAGTTTATTGAGGTATAATTGACAAAGAAAATTATATATATTTAAGGCATACACTGTGATAGTTTAATATATGTATACATTATGAAGTAATTATTTGAATAAAACTAATAAAAATATCCATCACTTCACATGGTAACCTATTTTGTGTGATGAGGATACTTAAGATCTGCTGTCTTACCAAATTTCAAGCATGCAATACATTGTTATTAACTATAGTCACGATGTTGTACATTAGGTCTTTGGAATTTATTCACCTTGTAACTGAATGTTTGTAGCCTTTGACCAGTACCTCCCCATTTAACCATGCCCTGAAACTGGTAACCACCCTTTTACTCTGTTTCTATAAGACTTTCTTATGCTAACCATTCAAACAGGTGTGACATTATAGCTTATTGTGGTCTTTACTTGCATTTCCCGGTTTATTAGAGATTTTGACCATTTTTTTAATATACCTGCTGATCAATGATATGTCTTATTTGGAAAAACATTGATTCAGATCATTTGTTCATTCTTAAATTTGTGTTATTTGTTTGATTGCTATTGAGTTGTTTGAGTTTCTTATATATTTTGAATATTAACCTCTTATCAGATGTAAGGTTTTAAAATATTTTCATTTCATAGGTTTTCTCTTCACTTGATTGATTTTTTTTTTTTTTTTTTTTTTTTTTTTTTTTTTTTTTTTTTTTTTTTTTTTTTGCTGTGTAGAAGCTTTTTAGTTTGCTATGATCCCATGTGTCATTTCTGCATTTGTTGCCTGTGCTTTTGAGGTCATATCCAAAAAATCATTACAAAGACCAATGTAATAGAGCTTCCCCCTAAATTTTGTTTCAGCAGTTTTACATGTTCAGGACTTACATTTGAGTCTTCCATCCATATTCAATTTATTTTTGTACATGGGATGAGATAAGGGTCTAATTTCATTCTTCTGTGTGTGGATATCCAATTTCCCCACCAATATTTATTGAAGAGGCAGTCCTTTCTTCATTTAGTGTCCTTGACAACTGTAGAAAATCAATTGGCTGTAAATATCTGGGTTTATTTCTGGGGTCTTCATTCTATTCCATTTATGTATGTGTCTATTTTAACGCCAGCACCAGGCTGTTTTCATTATTATAGCCATTCAGTACTTTTTTAAGTCAGGTAACTTGGTGCCTCCAGCTTTGTTATTTTTGCTCAAGACAGTTTTGGTTAGTTTGAGTCTTTTGTGCTTCCATACAAGTTTTAGGATTCTTTCTACTTCAATAAAAAATGTTGTTAAAATATTATAAAAATTGCACTGAATCTCTAGATCGTTTTCGGTAGTATGGCCATTTTAACAATGTTAATTTTTTCAATCCATAAACATTGGCTATCTTTTTATTTACTTATATTTTCTACAATTTCTTTTGTCAATGTATTATACTTTTCAGTGTATAGATCTTTGACCCCCTTGGTAAAATTTATTCTTAAGCATTTTATTATTTGTAATGCTATTTTAAATGATATTTTTTAGTTTTATTTTAGCTTGTTGGTTGTTAATGTACAGAAATGCAACTGATTTCTGTTTGTTGATTTAGTATCCTTCAACTTTATTGAATTCATTTATCAATTCTAACTGTTTTGTGGGCTTGTTTGTGAAATTTTTAAAGTTATCTGTATTATAAGGTCATATCATCTGCAGAGGCAATTTTACATTTTCTCTTCTGATTTGGATTCCTTCATTTCTTTTTTTTTTACTCAATTGACTTTTTCTATGACTATCAATATTGTGTTGGGAAGTGGTGAGAGTGGACATCCCTGTGTTGTTCTTCATCTTAGTGGAAAAGCTTTCAACTCCTCATCTTTGAGTACGATGCTATCTGTGGACTTGTCATATATGACCTTTACGATGTTGAGGTGCATTCCTTGTATTCCCAATGTCTTGAGATATTTTATCATGAAAAAATGTTGAGTTCTGCTAAATAGCTTTACTGCACTTATTGTGATTATTGTATTCTTTTATCTTTCATGTTGTTAATGGTGTATATCACATTTATTGATTTGTGTAGATTGAGCCATTCTTATATCCTAAGGATAAATCCCATTTGATCATGCTGTTTTTTCCTTTCAATGTGCTGTTTAATTTGGATTGCTGAAATTTTGTTGAGGATTTTCTTTGCATCTATATTCATCAGAGATATTGGCCTGTAATTTTCTCTTCTTTAGTGTTTTTGTCTGGCAAAGAGAAGGTATCAAGGCAATGCTGGCCTCATAAAATGAGTTTATAAGTGTTCCCTTCTTTTAAATTTTTTTGGAAGAGTTTTAGATTGATTAGTGTTAATCTACTCAACAAAAAATCCACTTGGTTCTAGATGTTTCTTGGTTTGGAGGGTTTTTTTTGTTGTTGTTTTTTTTTTTACATTTTAAATCTCCTTACCTGTTATTGGTTTGTTCATATTTTCTATTTCTTCAAGATTCAGTCTTGGTAAGCTGTATTTTACTAAAAATGTATCAATTTTTTTCTAGGTTATCCAATTTGTTGGCATGTGATTGTTCATAGTAGTCTCTTATAATCCTTTGCATTTCTGTAGCATCAGTTGTAATGTCTCCTCTAGAATTTACAACTTTACTTATTTGAATCTTCTCTCTTTCTTCTTGGTTAGTCTAGCTAATTGTCAATTTTATTTAACTTTTCAAAAAACTAGCACTTAATTTGTTGATCTTTTATATTGTTTTTATTTTGTATATATCATCTATTTCTGCTCTAATATTTATTATTTCCTTCTTTATAACTTTGAGATTTGTTCTTTCTCCCAGTGTCTTCAGGTTAGGCTGTTTATTTGAGATTATTATTTTATCTTTATGTAGGCATTTATTGCTATAAAATTCCCTCTTAGAACTGATTTTGCTGCATTACATAAATTTTGGTATGTTTACTTTCCATTTTTATTAGTTCTGAGATATGTTAAAATACATGTTTTGATTTCTTCCTTGAAACATTGGTTGTTTAGGAGCATGTTGCTTAATCTTCACATATTTGTACATTTTTCTGTTTTCCTTTTAATTGATTTTTAATTTCATACCATTGTGGTCAGAAAAGATGCTAAATACAATTTCAATGTTCTTGCTGAATGTGTTAAGACTTGATATGTGGCCTAACATACTATTTATTCAGGAAAATGTTCAGTTTGTGCTTGAGAAGAATGTGCATTTATTTGCTTTCAGATAGAATGTTTTGTATATATCTGCTAGGTCCATTTGATCGAAAGTGTAGTGCCAGTCCAAGATTTTTTACTGATTTTCTGTGTAGATGATCTATGCACTGAGGAAAGAGGAATATTTAAATTCCCCCTTATTATTGTATTGCTCTCTATTTCCTTCTTCAGATCTGTTAATATTTGCTTTGTATATTGAGAAGTTCCAATGTTGCATCCCTATATATTCACAATAGCTATATCCTCTTGATAAATGGAATATTTTATCATTACATAATGATCTTTTGTTCTTGCTAAGTTTTTGACTTAATGTTTATTTTGTCTGCATGGAGTATCTCTTTCCATTCTTTCACTTTCAGTCTATGTGATCTTAAAGATAAAGTGAGCCTCTTATAGGCAGGATATAGTTGGGTCTTTTTATTTATTCATTTAGCCATTCTATGTCTTTTATTAGAGAATTTAATCTATTTATGTTAAAAAATTATTGATAGGTAAGGAATTACTATTGCCATTTTGTTGTTTCCTGGTTGTTTTGTCAAACTTTTATTCATTTATTTCTCTCTTACTGTTTTTGTTATTTGTGATCTTCACTATTTGTATAAAAACAGATTTTTAACAGCTTATCATCTAGAGAGTTACTGAGCATTATCACCATGAGAATGTAAATGGAACTGCTAGTTAAAATGACTGGTTACTTCAGTTTGAAGAGGAAAACAGCTGCAATAAAGCTTCTTAAATGTAAAAAAACAAAAAAACAAACAAACAAAAAAAAAAAACAAAGAAGCAGCAGCAGCCAGGTGTGGCAGCTCATGCCTATAATCCCAACATTTTGGGAGGCTGAGGCAGGAGGATTACTTGAGACCAGGAGTTAAGAGTTAGACTGGGCAACATAGAATCTCATCTTTAAAAATAAGAAAAATAAAATTATAAAATTAAATAATTGATTTTTTTAGTTGCTTTAATTCTTTTCTTTTTACTTTTCATGCTTTGTTTAGCAATTATAGATTTTTGCTTTGGGGTCACCAGAAGACTTATATAAAACATCTTAGAGTGACAATAGTCTATTTTAAGCTAATAACAACTTTGAATGCATACATACACTCTACACTTTTACTCCTGCATCACTAATTTTACATTTTCAATGTTATAATATATATCTTTTTATATCATGTATCCATTAACAAATTTTTTAATGCAAAACATTATAACAGGTTGTCAAATATACAGTTAATAGAATTATGTAACTATCACCTGTAAAAATTGGTATATCACATTAGATGATTCTATAAAATAAAAACACAAATCACACATTGACAATAACCCCTGCAATCCAAGTATACCCCCGCAATAGTGCAAATTACAAACACATTTAAAAAAAACCCTAAAGTCATTTATGTATCTAAACCAAAGTAACTGTGATTAAATACATTCATTCATCAAGTACAATAAATTTAGCATTGCTGCTTATAGTAACTAATAACACAATTTTAGGTGCAATTTCACATGCTTTAATAAATCTTCCAGTACAGTTCCCATAGTAAAGTGTCTGTGTATGCCATTTTCATTTATATGTAGGTGCATCATACATCATACTTAAAACTATTTCACTTCACAAACTGGTAATATATATTTTAAGTGGACAGCAGGTAAAAAATTTAAACCTCAATGATGACAAAATTTAAAATTAAAGTCTTGAAAGCCAATAGTGATTTGTTTACTTGCATAAATACTATTTTCACTTACTACAGGCTATTAAAATAAGTAATGAGAATTTAAATATTAACTCAAAAAAAGATAGAGGCTCAAAACCTTCCTAAGAAATTAATGTGTTTTCAAAGTAATAATATAATCAGACTGTAAGTCAAAAGTAATTTCATATTCATTGCTAAATTTAAAATATCAGTGATGTGAAGTGAAGATTAAGGCCTAAAATTGTTGTACTAAATTGTAAAATACAGTAAAGAAGATGCAGCTCATTTGCTTGGGAATATGTAATGGAATGTTTTTCACAGTAATGTTATATTAAACACTACTTTAAATGGACAGTCTAAATAAACATACCTTTGCCAGCAAGGAAAGTGAAAAATTAAGGCTTTTTATGCTATCTGTAACTACTACCCAAACTTAAATTAAATAGGGGTTACAATACTGCAAAATATTACTTCTAACTTCTTTAACATATTGTTAGTTGCTTCATTTCAACTCCATACTTATTAACTTATCTTATTTAGATGCATATTTTCCCATATCTCTATTTTAATTAAGTCCCCAGTCCCACCCCATCTAAACAGAGTGCTGAAAATGGTTAGGGCCTTATCTGTTTGGTTCACAGTTGTAATACTGGGGGCTAAAAATGCTTAACACATGGCATAAATCTAATAAATATTTTTGAATGAACTAAGAAGCCTGGCCTCCAAAGGCAACCCTACTTGTTTTTCCAAAGCATTAACAGATAATTGTCACCTCTTTAGACATCCAGATTGACAATTATACAAATTATTATAACTATAATTATTTGCAATTCTTTTGTCTTTTAACCTTTATGGTAGAGTTATAAGAAATTTTCATACCACTATTACAAATACTCTCAATTTGACTATATACTTACCTTTACTAGTGAATTTTACACTTTTGCATGTTTTTATGTTACTAATTATTGTCCTTTTGTTTCAGTTTGTAGAACTCCATTTAGTATACCTTGTAAGGCAAGTTTAGTGGCAATGAATGCTCTGAGGTTTTCTTTGTCTGGAAAAGTCTTTATTTCTGCATAACTTCTAAAGGACAGCGGATATTTTTTTTTTGGCGGCGGAGAGGGGGAGATAAAGTACTATTTCTTGGCAGCTCTTTTCCTGTGGCATTTTGAATATATCATCCACTCTCCTGTTCTGCAATGTTTTGCTGGAGAATCTGCAAGTAGTCTTATTGACATTCCCTTATATGTAATGTGCTTCCTTTCTCTTCCTGCTTTCAAAAGTCTTTATTTTTTTAATTTTTTATATAGTTTCATTACAGTATGTCTTGGTGAAGGCTCCTTTGAGTTGAATATGATTGGCAACCTTTGAGCTTCATGCATCTGGGTTTCCATATAACTCCTCAGATTTGGAAAGTTATCAGCCATCATTTCTTTAAATAAGCTTTCTGCCACTTTGTCTCTCTCTTCCCCTCTGAGATTCTCATAATAGAAAAGTTAGCTTTTTTAATGGTGACACATAAATCCCATAGGTTTTCTTCATTCTTTTTCATTTTTTTCATCTTGTTTCCTCTGATGGATGTTTTCAAATGTCCTATGTTAAATTATACAGATTCTTTCTTCTGCTTCATCAAGTTCTTTTGATACTCTCTATAGCTTTTTTTTTTATTTCATTCATCATATTCCTCTGCTTCAAATTTTTTTGTTTTTTTAATGATTTACAGCTTTTTATTAAACTTTTTATTTTGTTCATTTTGCCAATCACTTCAATATTCTGGGTAGAGTGAGAAAGAAGTTGGCCTCCTGGGCAGTACCCTGCACAATTCCAAGTGCCAAGAGCTCACTCACAATGTTTTCACTTTTCCCAATGGGAGATACCATGGACCAATGAGTCTTGCTTGGCAGAGAGCCCTACCACCTCAGAAGGGAGGTATGATGTGGATAATGTGAAACTGTTCTTTTTAGCCTCTTTAGTGCATCTATTTTTAGACTTTTTTCTTCTGTTATAAAACTTTGCTAGAACCTCTCTGCCTCACTTTCAGACTCCTACAAAAAATAGAGTTTTTAAAATTTCATTGAATTATCTGTGTTCTCTTGCAACATGCTGAGCTTTCTTAAGATAATTATTTTGAAATCTTTTTTGGGCAATTAATAGATTTCCCTGGCTTTGGGTTGGTTACTAAAATATCATTGTGTTTATTTGGTGGCATCATGTTTTGTTGGTATATTTGTTTTTCTTAAAGTATTGCATTGTTATCTACACATTTGAAGAAGCATTCACCTCTTCCGGTCTTTACTGACTGGCTTTGAGAGAGAAACAGCTAACCAAACAGTTTGGCTAGAAATTCTGAAGATTTATCAGACCTTTTCTGTGGATGTGTTCACTTCACATCACTTTTTCCATCTTTGGGGAGATTTCTTATTATTGTATACCTTCTCTCAATTCAGCAAAACCATGCCAGGTGCTGAGAGCATCCTGTCTGTTTTCACTAAGGTAATGTCCTAACAATGCTCAAGCTTATGTGCCTTCTCCTAATTCCACAGAGTTTAGCTGTCTGTCTGTGTGAGATACAATCAGTTGTCTTCAGGAATGTGCTTCCAGAGTCATCCTGGGGAATGGAGAGGTGATATATGCAGGATGTTTTTGGGTAACCATGGGCTTGTTGAGGGGAAGCCACACCTAAAGTAGTCCAAGCAATTCATGGGTAGTCTTTATGGTAGTTTTTGGAGCAGTTAGTAGGGTCTACATCCTATCTTCCCTGCTCCAAGTTTCTCCCAACCACTCTACTATACCAATCACCTCAATATTCTGGGTAGAGTGAGAAAGAAGTTGGCCTCCTGGGAAGCACCCTATACAACTCCAAGAGCCAACAGCTCACTCACAATGCATTCATATTCCCCGAAGGAAGAAACTATGGGTCATGGGTCTCTCTTGGCACTGATTTGTACCACCTCAGAAGAGAGGCGTGATATGGGTAAAATTAGACTTCTCTTTTGACTGTCTTCAATTCATCTATTTTTAGATGTTTTGTTCTATTCTAAAGCTTTGCTAGAACTTCTTTGTTGCATGTTCAGACTCTCACAAAGATAGTCTCATGCATGAGTAGTTGTTAAAATTGATGCTTCTGCAAAAATCTATTTTACCACCTTGCTGACATCACACTGAACACAACCACTAATTAAATAAATACATTGGCTGCCAATGTTCATATAATAAAGACATCTAAACTGACCAGGAGAATCAGATCTCTTTATATTATAACTTAATGGAGCTAAGGGTGCAAGAAAATACTACACGAAAAGGGAGACAAGTTTGGAGGAGAATTGAACTTTATGTGCTTCAAAATGTGGTCTAGGCCTACCTCTGACTAAAAGCCAATCACCATAATAGTTGTTCATAACAAAATCTTATAATGTTATACCCCTGTTCATCGACTTCTATTAGCTCCCTGTTGCTATCACAGTTAAGTTTTAACTCCTAACCACAACATAATGTAAGGACCATCACAGTTAAAGCAAATATCTTTCTCTGTATTTTTTTTAATATTCTTCTGTGTATACCTGTAGCCTCTGGCCAATGACACACCTTGCCACTTCCATTCTCCCATGATTTTAGACCTGCTATTTCCTAGAATGCTTCCCTCTCAACCTCCTGTTACCTAGAAATCACTTTATAATTCATTACAACTCAGTTCAAATTTAAAACTCTTAGATAAAGCTCTTACTGGCTTCCCCAGTTTCCCTCCCCAACCCTATCCTACCTAACAAACTCTGGGCTGTTTATTAAGTGATAGTAAGCTACAGTTGGCATCTTTTGAGTACTTACAATGTGCTCAATAGTATATTAGGCATTTTTTCATGTGCTATCTAATTATATGCTTAACATATTCTTTGAGGTAGATATAATTATGATTCCCATTTTAATGAAGAGGAAAACAATGTAAGAAAATAAAGTTAACTTGTGCGAAGTCACACGGCAGTAAACAATAGATTTGAGATTTAGACTTAGGGTGTTTGATTCCTGCACCCATGCCCTTACATATTTATTTATTCCTTCATCCCGCTTGTTCTTTTTTTTTTTTTTTTTTGTGCTTCTCTGTGTTAGGAACTTAGAATATAAGAAAAAAAGTGTTTCTGCATGAAGAGCTCTCTGTCATTATTGCCTCCTAGAGAGACAGCATTCAGAAGAACAGTCAAATAACTAAATTGAACTGCCCCCTATGGTAGGCAATATTTTTACTACTATTTCTTTTTTTTTTTTTTTTTTTTTTTTTTTGAGACAAGAGTCTCACTCTGTCGCCCAGGCTGGAGTGCAGGGGCACAATCTCCACTCACTGCAAGCTCCGCCTCCCGGGTTCACGCCATTCTCCTGCCTCAGCCTCCCGAGTAGCTGGGACTACAGGCGCCCGCCACTACGCCCAGCTAATTTTTTGTATTTTTAGTAGAGACGGGGTTTCACCGTGTTAGCCAGGATGGTCTCGATCTCCTGACCTCGTGATCCACCTGCCTCGGCCTCCCAAAGTGCTGGGATTACAGGCGTGAGCCACCGCGCCCAGCCTATTTTTACTACTATTTCTATCACTTACCACAGAGATCTATTTATACTTCTTTTGGCATAGGTGCTTCTTCTACGACTAAAACTCAATAAGATATGAACCGTTACCATGGCCTCAAGACCCTGCATGGAATGGCAATTTCATACCTCTAAAATCATATGTTATGGCACTCTCTTTAATCGTCTTCTGGTTACACTGGCTATACTTATGATCTTTAATAAGCTCTTATCCATCTCAGGACATGTTTTTACTTATCACAATCTTAATAAAAGGTTAAAGTGCCACATAAAATGAATATTCATATTTACTTTAACTACTATGTGCTGAATGTTTCTGAAGGAGGAAAGAGTGGATGCAAGTAGAAGGGTTAAGAAGCAAGGGCGATACATCCAAAAAAGATAAAGTGGTGGTTTGTTCTAGGATGATGGTAAATAGTGGGGGTTGTGGAGGCAAGTGGATAAATTGAAGACATATATTTTGAAGGAAGAAGTAGTTAGACTATGTGATTGAACCTAGAAGTGGGGCAAATGAAGAAAAGAAAAACTCTATGGATGTTGATGCTATTAATTAAATAGAAAACATTGAAATACTGCAGAAAGAACAGACCATGAGGCTTTGTGATAAAGGAGAAAGTGAGGGAAGATGACTTCTGCCCCAAGAGGCTATTTACTCTCTTAGGTAGGGCCAGTGTCATTTATTTCAGCCTTCTTGTGTGAATATAACCCATTCTTAACCGAGAAAATCAATACTGAGACAGCTGAGCTTTGAAATTTGATCCTCAGAGACAAAGAACAGCATCCTTCTGAGGACTGTTTAGACAAATACAACCTTTAGTTCAAGTAGAGGCTAAAATAGAGATGCCAGAATATTATCAAAAGCTAAATTTAATTGATGAGAAGAGGGGAAAAAATTGTTCATTTTGTGGAGGGCAAGAACTGTTTCAGAAACCAGCTGATTTCAGAAATCAGCTGTGACATTTGGTAAATTATTATTCAAACATGGCCTTGTTGCTGAGCTCCGGCAGCATGTATCTATCTTATCACAGCTTTGTACCCTAATTTCACCAACACAGGTAGTAAGGGCAAAAGTATTTTTTTAACAGATGCATAATGAGAGAAAATATTACTTAAGATGTAAAGACAAAATAAAGTTGAAGGATGCAATCAGAGAACTGAGCAGAAAAGAATGAACTTAGACTACAGACAAAGGAGAGGCACTAGTTGTATATCATAGTGGATAATATACTACATAGACTCTGGAGTATGATTACTTTGGCTCATGTTTTGTCCCAAGTACATTGCTAGATATATAACATTGGATGGATTAAATAACTTCCTTGGGTCTCAGTTTCCCCATATCTAAAATATTTCATGAATAATTCTCACAGTCATCTAAAATGGTGTACAATATACTGACTGCTGCTATTTATATTACTGCAGCAGATTTTATGACTAAATAATGTGAGCCTATTTATATTCTAGTCATATATTTTTATTGCACCCAAACATATCTTTTAAAAGGGAAACACATTATATGACAACAGCTGTCAATTCAATTGACAAGCAAGAGAAGAAAAGGGGCCACACAAGGACTAAAACTGGAAATTCAAAAACTGAAATTGCTTACCATATTTTAGGGGCCATAAATTTTCTCTTACTTCTGCTTCTCTTTGCAAATCTTCATTCTTCTCTTTCTGCATATTGACATTTATGGTTCACACATAAGATTACAAAGGGTCATAAGGCTCAGCCATTGAGTTTACATGACCTTTCAGCTCAGTAACCCACAGTTGTGAACTTCCTGCAGCATTTCTGTTGTCAAATTATGAGAGAATCTGACTGAACTAGGAATAGACACTTGAACTTTCATTTCTCCAGCTCTTTCTTTGTGCAGGGGTCCATGAACAGAGCACTTTAATCTAGAAGTGGTTATTTCTTGAACATATAGGCCACATTGATTGGACTGTCAGATCCAGCATCTGAGAAAAAAAAATGTACTCTTGATTAGTTGACAGCATCTGATTTTGACTTCTGCAAGGTTGAGAGCCTGGTTTTGCAGACTCAAAAAGTAATGCCAGCTATGACCCATTTTATGTTAAAACATTCCCCATTTTTTGCTTTATCTCTAATAAAATATTTTCTCCAAACTTCTGGAAGTGTTGACTTAATTTATGTATTTTTTCATAAGTTTCCTCTAACAAATTAGGTGGGGAGGTAGCCAGGCTACAGAAGCAGTACCAAGTGTTGTGTCAATAATTTCACAAGGAGAGTACAAACTTAGGGAGAATACCAATGAACAGTTCACTTTTCCTCTTCATCCACAGCTGACACTCCACCTAAAACTGCCAGTCTCAAGCCCATTGAAACCCTAAGGAAACTGTATTAGACGATTCTTGCACTGCTATAAAGAAATTCCAAAGACTGGGTGATTTATAAGAAAAGAAGTGTTATTGACTCATGGTTCTGCAGGCTTTACAGGAAGCATAGGGGCATCTGCTTTTGGAGAGGCCTCAGGAAACTATATTCATGGTGCAAGGCAAAGTGGGAGCAGGCACATCTCATGGTGAAAGCAGGAGCAAGACAGAAAGTATAAGGTAGGGAGGTGCCACACACTTTTAAACAACCAAATCTCATGTGAACTCAGACCGATATCTCTGTTATCACAAAGAGAATGGCCTAAGCCATTCATGAAGGGTCTGACTCCATGTTCCAAGCACCTCCCACCAGGCCCCACCACCAAATTTGGAGATTACAATTCAACATGAAATTTTGGCAGGGACAAATATCCAAATTACATCAGAAACATAAGTTAAAAGTAGCTTAGACAGTTTTTTCCCCCTAATCAATACTCTTAGTGATCATCTAACTCCAATATTTACACCTTTCAAAATCTTGGTCAAGTAATCGATGCACTTTTGAACACATATTTTTTACAGAGAAATGTTCACTTAAATTGCAGCCAGTCACAAGAAAAAGCATCACCTGTCCTTCCTAGTTAAATATAGCTTTGACATACAGACTAATACTAGAGCAAATCCGGCATTCATATTAATATAATCAGTGTCAGACACAAGATACAGAAATAAATATCACCTAACACTTAGCAGGACTTTGCCACCTGCTATAACACAACTATCTGAAAGTTTTAATGACCTCTAACAATAATACCCTATATATCTCCCCATTTTGGCTCATGGGGTAATACCACCATTCTTCTTGTCCCTTTTTTTTTTTGTTATTCTGAACCATGCCTTACCCCAAATTCTAGTAAGTTAGTTGGCTACCAAATCCCATATTTTACAGTTTCTCTCACAAGTCACCCCTCTTATTCCATTGTGTGGTAAGCCAAATAATGGTCTACCAAAGATGTTCATGCCCTAAACTCTGGGAATTTTGAATCTGTTTTGTAATATGTTAGTCTGTTTTCATGCTGCTGATAAAGGTATACCTGAGACTGGGCAATTTACAAAAGAAAGAGGTTTAATTGGACTTACAGATCCACATGGCTGGGGAAGCCTCACAATCATGGCAGAATGCAAGAAAGAGCAAGTCACATCTTACATGGATAGCAGCAAAGAGGGAGAATAGGAACCAATTGAAATGGGTTTCCCCTTATCAAACCATCAGATCTCATTAGACTAATTCACTACTATGTGAACAGTATGGAAGAAACTGCTCCCATGATTCAATTATCTCCCACTGGGTACCTCCCCAACAGGTGGGAATTATGGGAATACAATTCAAGATAAGATCTGAGTGGGGACACAGAGCCAAGCCATATCATTCTGCCCCTGGCCCCTGCCAAATCCCATGTCATCACATTTCAAAGCCAATCATGCATTCCAACAGTCCTCCAAAGTCTGAACTCATTTCAGCATTAACTCAAAAGTCCACAGTCTAATGTCTCATCTGAGACAAGGCAAGTCCCTTCTGCCTATGGGCCTGTAAAATAAAAAGCAAGTTAGTTACTTCCCAGACACAATTAGGGTATGGGCATTTGGTATATATAGCCATTCCAAATGAAAGAAAGTAGCCAAAACAAAGGAGATACAGGCCCCATGCCAGTCCAAAATCCAGTGGGACATTCAAAACTTAAAGCCCCCAAATGACATGCTTTGACTCCATTTCTCACTTATGGGTCACACTGATGTAAGAAGTAGGTTCCCATGGTCTTGGGCAGATCTGCCCCTGTGGCTATGCAGGGTACAGCCTTCCTCCTGGCTGCTTTCATGGGCTGGTATTGTCTGTGGTCTTTCCAGGCACATGGTGCAAGGTGTTGGTGGATCTACCATTCTGGGGTCTGGAGGATGGTGGCTGTCTTCTCACAGTTCCACTAGGCAGTGCCCCAGCAGGGACTCTGTGTGTGGGCTCTAACCCCACATTTCCCTTCTGCATTGCCCTAGCAGAGGTTCTCCATGACAGCCCCACACCTGCACAAAACTTCTGCCTGGACATCCAGGCATTTCCATACATCCTCTGAAATCCAGGCAGAGGTTTCCAAATCTCAGTTCTTGACTTCTGTGCACCCGCAGGCTCAACAACATGTGGAAGCTGCCAAGGCTTGGGGCTTCCACCCTCTGAAGCCACGGTCCGAGCTATATGTTGGCCCCTTGTAGTCATGGCTGAAGCAGCTGTGACACAGGGCACCAAGTCCCTAGACTGCACACAGCACGGGGACCCTAGGCCTTTCCCATCAAACCATTTTTTTTTCTCCTAGGCCTCCTGGCCTGTAATGGGAGGGGCTGCCATGAAGACCTCTGACATGCCCTGGAGACATTTTCCCCATTGTCTTGGGTATTAACATTTGGCTCCTCGTTACTTATGCAGATTTCTGCAGTGGACTTGAATTTCTTCTTAGAAAATGGGATTTTCTTTTCTATTGCATTGTCAGACTGCAAATTTTCCAAACTTTTATGCTCTGCTTCTCTTATAAAACTGAATGCCTTTAACAGTACCCATGTCACGTCTTGAATGCTTTGCTGCTGAGAAATTTCTTCTTCCAGATACCCTAAATTATATCTCTCATGTTGGAAATCCCACAAATCTCTAGGGCAGGGGCAAAATGCTGCCAGTCTCTTTGCTAGAACATAACAAGAGTCACCTTTGCTCCAGTTCCCAACGATTTCCTCATCTCCATCTGAGACCACCTCAGTTTGGACCTTATTGTCCATATCACTATCAGGCTTTTCGTTAAAGCCATTCAACAAGTCTCTAGGAAGTTCCAAATTTTCCCACATTTTCCTGTCTTCTTCTGAGGCCTCCAAACTTTTCCAACCTGTGCCTGTTACTCAGTTCCAAAGTCACTTTGACGTTTTTGGGTATCTTTTCAGCAACACCCCACTCCTAGTAACAATTTACTATATTAATCTGTTTTCGTGCTCCTGAGAAAGACATACCTGACACTGGGCAATTTACCAAAAAAAGGGGTTTAATTGGATTTACAGTTCCACGTGGCTGAGGAAGCCTCACAATCATGGTGGTAGGCAAGGAAGAGCAAGTCACATCTTACATGAATGGCAGCAAAGAGAGAGAATGAGAGTGAAGCAAAATGGGTTTCCCCTTATCAAATCATCAGATCTCGAGAGACTTATTCACTACCATGAGGATGGTATGGGAGAAACTGCTCCATGATTCAATTATTTCCCACCAGGTCCCTCCCATAATATGTGGGAATTATAGGAGTACAATTCAAGGTGAGATTTGAGTGAGGACACGGAGTCAAACCATATCAAGTGACATGGCAAAACAGACTTTGCAGATGCAATCTAGTTGTGAAATTTAAAATGCAAAGATTATCCTAGATTACCTGAGTGGGTCCAATCTAAATACACAATTTCTTAGTATCTGGGGCCTGTTTTCTGCTGCAGTGAGAGAAGGAAGTGATGATAAAAGAAGTGTCAGTGGGATGGCACCATGAGAAGAATTCACTACTTTATGGCTGCTTCTGGGAAGTATTGAACTACATGAAGGGGTCAGAAAGAGGCCCATATGCTATGGGTGGTTTCCATATGAGAGCCTGCAAGGAAATAGAGATATCAATTCTACAACAACATGAAATTGATTAAGGTTTTTTAAGCCTGACTTTTAATTTGTAACACAATTTTACAAATATGGATTTCTTTTATGACAACACACTGAAATCACCTGCTTTTAAATGTATTGAATAGCTGGAAGTTGGGAAGGCAGTTAGGAGAGAAAGGATTGCTGCCCTTAGATAACTTACATTCTAGTGTAAAAGCAAAACATTATACAGAAATGGGCTATAGGAAAACAGAAAAGAGAGAAATTAATTCTGAGTTTGGTGGCAGTATTTTTCAGAATTGAGGAAAGTATAACATTTGATCTAGTTCTTGAAAATAAAAAAATACATGGGGAAGAGTATTTCAAGCAAATAGAATAGCGAGAGAAAAGACTTAGAGATGTCAAAGTATATTCTACTTCTCAGCATCTCTCTGGAAAAAGAAGAGCTTTTATTCAACAAATATTTACTGTGTGCCTATATGTTCCAGGCCCTGTTCCAGCACCAGAGAGGAAAAAGTGAACATGACAGACAAGGTCTCTGTTCCATTTTATGACACTTTCATTCTAGTATGAAAAAATGGCAAGAGATAGAGGTGAAAAGGCAGGCTGGGGTCAAATAACAAAAGGCCTTCAATAGAGAGCCCAGAAATAATTCTGCACATCTACAACCATTTGATCTTTCCAAAAATTGACAGAAACAAGCAATGGGGAAAGGACTCCCTATTCAACAAATGGTGCTGGTAAAACTGTCTAGCCATATGCAGAATATTGAAACTGAATCCCTTCCTTTCCATTATCTACAAAAATCAACTCAAGATATAATAAAGACTTAAATGTCAAACCTAAAACTGTAAAAACCCTGGAAGACAAACTAGGAAATACCATTATGGACATAGGACCCGAAAAAAGATTTCATGATGAAGACACCAAAAGCAATTGCAACAAAACCAATAGTTGACAAATGGGACCTAATTAAACTAAAGAGCTTCTGCATAGCAAAAGAAATTATCAACAGAGTAAACGGACAACTTACAGAATGGGAGAAAATAAATATTTGCTAACAATGAATCCGATAAAGGTCTAATATCCAGAATCCATAATGAAATTCAACAAATTTACAAGCAAATAACCAACCTCATAAAAAGTGGGCAACGGAAATAACAGACTCTTTTCAAAACAAGACATACACGTGAGCAACAAGCATATGAAAAATGCTCAACATCACTAATCATTAGAGGAATGCAAATCAAAATCACAACGAGACACCATCTCACATCAGCCAGAAAGGCTATTATTAAAAAGTCCAAAAATAACAGATGCTGGCAAGGTTACAGGGAAAAGGGAACGTTTATACACTGCTGATGAGAGTGTACATTAGCTCAGACATTGTAGAAAGCAGTGTGGTGAATCCTCAAAGAACAAAAAAAAATGTAATTACCATTTTACCCAGCACTCCCATTACTGGGTATAAACCCAAAGGAATATAAAGACACATGCATGCATTTGTTTATGGTTGTACTATTCACAATAGCAAAGACATGGAATCAACCTAAACACCATCAACAGCAGACAAGATTTAAAAATTCCATGCATATGGCTCAAGCTTGTAATCCCAGCACTTTGGGAGGCCGAGGCAGATGGATCACCTGAGGTCAGGAGTTCGAGACTAGCCTGGCCAACATGGTGAAATCCTGTCTCTACTAAAAATAAAAAAATTAGCCAGGCGTGGTGGCACTCTCTTGTAATCCCAGCTACTCAGGAGGCTGAGGCAGGAGAATTGCTTGAACCCGGGAGGTGGAGATTGTAGTGAGCCGAGATTGTGCCATTGCACTCCAGCTGCGGGCGACAGAGCAAGACTCTGTCTTGGAAAAAAAAAAAATTCCATGCATATACACAATGGAATACCCTGCAGCCATAAAAAAGAATGAGGTCATGTCTTTTGCAGCAACACGGATGTAGCTGGAGGCCATTATCCTAGGCAAACTAACACAGGAACAGAAAACCCAACACTGCATGTCCTCACTTACAAGTGAGAGCTAAATTTGAGTACGTATGAACACAAAGAAGGGAACAGGAGACCTCGGGACCTACTTGAGGTTGAAAAGTGGGAGGAGGGTAAGGATAAAAAAAAAGCCTACCTATTGGATACTATGCTTACTACCTGGGTGACGAAATAATTTGAACACCAAATCTCTGTGACATGAAATTTACCTGTATAACCATCCTGCACATGTACCCCTGAAGCTAAAATAAAAGTTAAAAAAAAAAAAAGGACACTTCTGGGATAAAGGATAAGTTCCATACACTGTTATTGGGAATATAAGCTGGTGCAAACCTTTTGAAGATGAAGTAGAAATATCTAGTAAATCAGAAAATATACATACCTTATTATCTAATAATTCCAGTTCTTGCCGTATACTCCGTGGAAACATTCTTGCATGTGTGCAAAAGGAGATAGGTAAAGAGCATTCATCATCACATTGTTCATAATAGAAATAAATATATATATTGCAATATACTCCTCTGATGCATTATCTTGCAGCCATTAAGATGTATGAATCTGATTTTGATGCATTAATATAGATAGGTCACAAATACATAATATCCAGTAAAATAAAAAAAAAGCTAACAATTACATATACATAGTATAATTGTTTTATGTGAATATTTAAGCATATAAAACAATTTCCTACACACACACAGATAACAAAAGTCAAAATACCATCACATTAGATATTAGATTTTTATATATGAATTTTAAAGGGACACATTTAAGCTACAACATCATTTCTAGAGGATCAGCAGAAGGTGGTTTGTAATATTATTCTATGTATTTATCTGTGTATGTATGTGTAAAATATAACCTAAACATGGAGAATAACAAGGAAAAAATATTAATTTATTCAACTTTAAATCCAGATCTCTACTCTCTAATTAAGAATTTAGAACATTTCCAATTTCAATTTAGCCACATTTTAATATTTTACGTTTGTTATCTCATTTAATAATCTTCCCAATCACACTACCAGTTGGTCATTTCATCATCATTTTATGAAGAAGATAATTCGGTTTGGTGCCATGTCCCCACCCAAATCTCATCTGGAGTTTTAATTCCCATGTGTCAAGGGAGGAGTCTGGTGGGAGGTGATTGAATAGTGGGAGCCAGACCTGTCTAATACCTAATTTTAACTACTATTCCACATTGATTACAAAAGATAAAAATAAACAGGCAATATAACTTTTTCAGTCTTAAGGCGTACCCCTACCACACTATGTTTGGATTGTAGTTAAATAACATCTAATATTGAACATATTTTTCTCTTCTGTGTTTACTTGGCTGTACCTACTGGCCCATAGCACTTCATGACCTCAGGGACAATGAACGCTCAAGGGGTATTCATTTGCCTCATAAAAATGTTGAGAGAACCAAGTCAACTGAGTTGTTTTTTAAAAACTTATTTTTTAATACCTTTCAGTTTGGTGAGTTTTAAATTTTTTATTTATTTTTAATTGAAAATAAATGTTTTCATATGTGTATGCAACATAGAATGATTAAGTCAAAGTAATTAACATATGCATCTTCTCTCTTTTTTTATGGTGAGAACATCTAAAATCTACTCGGCAATTTTCAGGTATACATTATTATTAACTATAATCACTATAATATACAACTGACCTCAAAAAATAATTACTTCTCTACAACTGAAATTTTATACCCTTTGACAAATATTTCTTCATTCTCCCATCATCCTAGCCCCTAGTAATCATTCTTCTTCTTTTTGTTTCCATGAACTGACTTTTGTTTTTAGATTCCACATATAAATGTATCACATTTATTGATTTGCATATGTTGAGCCATCCTTGCATCCCAAGAACAGATGCTACTTGATCATGGTAAATTATTCTTTGAATGTGCTGTTGAATTTGATTTTGCTAATATTTTGTCGAAATTTTTTTCATCTCTGTTCATCAGGGATATTTGTCTGTAATTTTCTTTTCTTCTAGTGTCCTTGTCTGGCTTTGAAATTTGACTAGTGCTGGCCTCATGAAATGAGTTGGAAATACTCCCTCTACTTCTATATTTGGGAAGCAGTTGAGAAAGGCTGATAGCACTCCTTCTTTAAATGTTTGGTAGAATTCAGCCATAAAACATTCCTGAGATTCTCTTTGATTGTAGATTCTTTATTGCTGATTCTATTTTTTTACTCCTTATTTGTCTGTTCAGATTTTCTATTTCTTCATGAAATAGGTTTTGGTAGACAGTATATGATTAGGAATTCATCAATTTTTTCCTAGGTTATCCAATTTGTTGGTATATATTGGTTCATAGTAGTCTCTTATGATCCTTTTATTTCTCTGATATCAGTGGTAACATATTTTCATTTCTGATTTTTCTTAGTATAGCTGTTTGTCAATTTTACTATCTTTACAAAATGAGTGTTGACCTTTCCTATGTTTTTTTCTCATTTCTGTTTTATGTCTGCTCTAATTTTTATTATTTTTCTTCTGCTAACTTCAGTTAGTTTTTCTATTCCTTGTGGTGTAAAAGTAGGTTGTTTGTTTGGAAACTTTCTTTTTCCTTAATATATGCATTTATTTCTAGCAACTTCTCTCTTAGAACAGCTTTTTCTGCATCTCATATGATTAGATATGCTGTGTTCCTATTTGTATTGGTCTTAAGGAACTTTTAAATTTTCCTTTTGATTTCTTGTTTGATCTATTTTTTGTTCAATAGCATGTTGTTTAATTTCCACAAATTTTGAATTTTCCAAAATTCTTCCTGTTATTGATTTTTTGTTGCATACCATTTTGGTCAGTAAAGATACTAGATGTTATTTCAATCTTTTAAATTCACTGACTTGTTATGTGGCCTAATATAAGATCTATCCTGGAGAATGTTCTACATGCACTTGAGAAAAATGCGTATTCTGCTGTTGTTGGAAAGCATACGTGTATATGCCTTCCAGGTTCATGTGGTCTAAAGTGTCTTCAAGAACAATGTTTCCTTATTGATTTTCTGTCTAGATGATCTATTTGTCATTGAAACTGGGGTTTCAAATCCCCCAGTATTATTGTTTTGTATTTTTCCCTTCAGATCTATTAATATTTGCTTTATATTTTAGGTGCTCCAATTCTGGGTGCATACATAGTTACAACTGCTCTATTCTCTTGATAAATTGACTCCTTTACCATGATATAATGACCCTCTTTGCCTCTTGTCACAGTTTCTGTCTTAAAGTCTATGTTATATGATAAAACTATAGCTACTTTTGCTTTCTTTTGGTTTACATATGCATTAAGTATCTTTTTTTCTTTCCTTCACTTTAAGTCCCTGAGTGTCCTTAAATCTAAAGTGAGCTTCTTATAGGGAGAATATAATTGGGTCTTGTTTATTTATTCATTCAGCCACTCTGCATCTTTTGATTAAATAATTTAATCTACTTACATTCAAGAACTATTGATAGGTATGGACTTACTACTGCCATTAGTTAATGCTTTCTGGTTATGTTGTAGATCTTTTGTTGTTTCTTATACTCTTGCTGCTGTCTTTATTATTATTATTATTATCATCATTATTTTGGTGATTTGATGATTTCCTGTCCTGTAGTGGTATGCCCTGACTCATCTCTTGTTATCTTTTGTGTATCTGCTATATACAGTTCACTGGTAAAATAAATATATAATCAAATTCAGAATACTCATAATGATGGTTTGTAAATCACCTATAACTCAATAATTTAAAGGTAAAACTATAAAGCATTAAAAATAACTATATTACAATAATTTGTTAATGGATACACAGTATAATAAGATGTGAATTTTGACATCAAAAACATAAAAAGTGGGAGGGGGAGTAAAAGTGTAGAGTTCTTTTCATTCATTTAAGATTATGCTGTTATTAGCTTAAAATAGTCTTTTCTAACTATAAGAAATCTCATGCTGACCACAAAGCAAAAACCTGTAGTAGATACATATCTTTGTAGGCAGCACAGCCAGGTAGTCAGAGTCTTGAACATGGGCACATAAGAAGTTATAGTGGCTCTGGAGTTCCAGATGTAGTAGTGATTAACTTGATGTAACTGCAGCTCCGATGTCCTAGGAGTAGGCACACATAAAGCAGCCCTGGAGGAGGAATATGTAGTACGGGCATGCACAGAGTGACCAAGGCTCCAGAGAATGAGACAAGGCTGGCCTGTAGCTGCAATATCTCTGGTGTTTGCAGCATGGGTGTGTGTGGTTTGGCCACAGAGCCGAAGTCTGAAACACTAGAAAATGAGAAGTTCTTTGGAGCCAGTGTTTGAAGTGTGGGCATATGCACAGCGGTCACAACTTCAGAGTCAAGAGTGTGTGCAAGGTTGGAAGAGGTGATGGCTCCAGCCTTGAAACAGTGCACAGCTGCTTCTTCTTGGGGGGGGCGGGGGCACACCCACGTCTCCATCTCAGCGGTTTTTGGAGGGGATTGCTGTTGATTACCTCACTGGTAAAAGATGCTAGTGTTCTTTCCAGCATAGGCAACTGAAGACCATGATGTCACCCATTGCCTGGCTGATGCTGACAGCCACTGGCCTATTTCTTTGTTCCTACTATCTCCAGACATCTCAGGTATGCCAACTTCCCCAGGGATCTTTTCTGTGTCTTTACTCTTCATTTTATTGTATTGTTTCATTTTGCTTTTTTCTGTTTTTCTCCACTGTGTTGCTTCAAGTTCTTAAATTAACCCTTGATCCCTCCCAGGGCTATTATTCTTCATGAATAACTATTTGTTGCTTTCTGTAGATACTATGATTTGAATATTGTGCCTTCCAAAACTCATGGTGAAAATTAATCCCCAATGTGACAGTGTCAAAAGGTCGGGCGTTTCATAGGTGATTGGTTTGTGAGGGTATTCCCCTCACAAATGGATGAATCTATTCATCAGTTAATTACTAGGTCATCATGGGAAGGCAACTGGTGTCTTTATAAGAAAGGAAAGAGAGAACTGAGCTAACATGTTAGCACACTCAGCTCCCTTGCCATGTGATGCCCTGAACTGCCCTGTACCACCTTGGGACTGTACAGAGAGTCCCCACCAGCAAGAAAGCTCTCCCAAGATGTTGCTCCTCAATCGTTGAACTTCTCAAGTGAAACTTGGACTTCTCAGTCTCCATAACTATAAGAGATAAATGTCATCTTCTTTATAAATAACCCAGTCTCCTCTATTCTGCTATAAGCAATATAAAACAGACTATGACAGTGGGGGCTGAAAGGCTTGTCTACTACTTCACCACCTTGCTGATAACACCCTATCAATTGAGTTTTTAAATACATTTGTAAAACTCATGGAAAATGATCAATAGTATTGAAAGCCAAGTTTTTTTCTGATTTTGTAGGATCTATATTAAGACTTTGGAGATATAAAATGCATTATTATGGTAACAGCAGCCTGAATGTAAATACAAACATTTGAAAGATTACAAAATTATGTGGATAACATTTATGTTATAAAAATGAGTGAGGAAAGAATTCATGATTATATTATACTCTTTTACCATCTCCAAAAGAGATATGTTTGATGCTAACGCAGGAGTTTAGAGTAATAGTGTTAGAAGACACTGAGTATCTCTAATAAGGGATCCTGTGTTCCCCACACTCACTCCAGGTAGAGGGACAATGTGAAGGAAACACCAGATAAGTTGGAGGGTACTCTCTAAAGTAGAAGCAACCTTTGTCTAGCTGTTCATGTTGTCAACTGAGAATATAGTTAGACATGCATTCAGCATGGTGCTGGGACTCTCAACCAACAATGGTGAGTGAAAGTCAAAGTAGATAGACCTAAAGGTAGGCTCACTGAGTTATATGTACCTTGTTATAGAGCTTTGTAAAATTCCTATACTTCAGGTGAGTGCAGGGAAAGTTGAAATAAGGCAGGCCAAGGAGATGTATATTAGTGGTTTGGATAAGGAGGACACATAGTGCAAAGACTATCATCAACCAGAGGCCACAGTGGGTCCAGGATTATCACAGTAAATGCCAGTTGAAGTGGATGGCAAAAAAACAATAGCAATTAGCTACAGCTTAATTTAATGATAGCAAAGGTTATAGGACATGCATGAAGCTGGGGTCCATACTACTTATTTACATGGCAAGACAATATGGAATCCTCCAAACTCCACCCTATTTTTTATTGGGAATGGAACAAAACAATAGATATTCCAGAGTTTGTGTAATTTAAACAACAAAAACTAAAGTACAAGCAATTTTGAAATTATATTACCATGTGGATCCGTTGGTGGTGGTTCTCTTGTGTTGTGTGTATATAGCTGATCTTTCAAAAATGTATTTTGAATAACTTTAGACTCATACAGAAAATTTGTAAAAATAGTAGAGTTCCCATACATTCTTCACCCTGTTTCTCCTATTAACATCTTACATAACCATGGTGAATTTATAAAAACTAAGAAAATAACATTTATACAGTATTGTTACATAAACTACAAACTTGCTTCAGGTTTAACAAGTTTTTCCATTATTTTTTTTTCCAGTTCCAGGATCTAATCCTAAATACTACATTGTGTTAAGTCGCCATGCTTTCTTAATCTCCTTCAAGCTGCAAAAATTCTTTGGTATTTACTTGTCTTTTATGTCTCAATAATTCTGAAGTGTACTGGTCAGTGTATTTCTAGAAATAGGTTTTCTCTACTAGGTTTTCCCTCAAATAGGTTTTCTCTAATGTTTTCTCATGATTAGACTGAAGTGGTGCAATATTTGGAAGAAAACCACAGAGGTCGTGTTTTGCTTTTCTCACTGAATTATATTGGGATCACAGGATGTCTCTATTTCTCGTTACTGGTAACATTAATCTTAATCACTCAGTTAAGGTAGTGTCTGAGAGCTTACTCTACCATAAATTTACTATTGTTCTCCTGTTAGTAATAAATATTTTGGAAAAGGTATTTTGAGACTATTCATATGTGCTAATTTTCTGTAAATTTTTGTCCACTAATTTTAATGTGCTTCAGTAGATCTTGCCAAAAACAATTATTACTGTGGTGTTCTAATGGTAATTTTTTATTATCATTTTTCATCCATATCTATTAATTATAATTTTCTATAAAAAAGACATTATATTATTCTGTGGCTAACAATATTATTCTTGTTTATTATTTAAATTATTCCATTTGTGGTATAAGGCTTAAAATTAATAATTAACATTATGTGCTGCTTTGACATCTGCTGAAATCTGGATGGCCTCAAATGGCCAAACTGCAAGTTCTCCTCCACACTCTGTTCCCATAGATATTTTCCCTAGCCAAACAATCCTTTTTATAATGGGAACAAGGTACCACTGCTGTTTATCCCTAGGTAGCAAGTTTTAGTATTTTGTGAGCCAGTGGATTTGTGCAGACAAGCTAATCACATGTTTGTGCAAGAACCAGGGGCCATGCCACCCTTTTGATACTACAAAGTCTGATTTACACAGCCCTTGCTTTTTCACTATGTTCCCAGGTGCACCACACCTGTGTCATTGCATGTCATGCAGTGTTCTATTCCCCTACTCCCCAGGGTGGTGAGTATATGTGACTAACAAACTGTTCTCAATCTCATCTGACCAGTAATGTGTGTCATGTGTTCAGTCATTCCCTTAATCCTGAGGCAAGAAATCCCTCTCTCATGATGAGATGAAGAGAAGGTGATACAAACATCATAAGTTATTGGGAATTGCTATGGTCTGAATGTTTGCCTCCCTTCAAAATTCTTGTTGAACCCTAATCCTCACTTTGGTGGTAATAAGAGGCGGGGCCTCTCGAAGGCAATTTGGTCATAAGGGCTTTGTCCTCATGAATGAAGTTAGCACCCTCATAAAAGAGGCTTGAGTACACCTTTCACCCCCTTCTACATGGGAAGATGCAGCAACAAGACACTATGTTTGAAGCAGAGAACAAGCACTCACCTAGCAGTGGATCTGCTGATGCCTTGATCTTGGTCTTTCCAGCCTCTAGAATTGTTTGCAAAACATTTGTTGTTTATAAATTGCCTAATCTAAGGTATCTTGTTATAGCAAACTGAACAGACTAAGACAGCAGTTGTTTCAAATTGTTTTTTGATACAGTTTGAATTTGTGTACTCACCCAAATCTCATATTGAAATGTGATTACCAATGTTGGAGGTGGGACCTAGTGGGTGGTGATTGGCTAATGGGGGCTGATTTCTCATGAATGGCTTAGCACCATCTCTAGGTACTCTCCTCACAATAATGAGTGAGTTCTCCTGAGATCTGGCTGTTTGAAAGTGTGTAGCATCCCACCCCCGCCCTTGCTCCTGCTTTCACCATGTGAAGTACCTCATTTTTCTTCAGTTTCTACCATGATTGTAAGCTTCAGGGGCCTCCCCAGAAGCCAAGTGATGTCAGCACCATGCTTGTACAGCTTGCAGAACCAGGAAACAATTAAACCTCTTTTATTTATGAATTATCTAGTCTCAGATATTTCTTTACAGCAACATGAGAATGGACTAACACAGTTTCTTTAACCTTTTGACATGAGAAAGTGGTTAATTCTTTGGCTGGGACAGAGAAAATACAAGATGCACCTGGAGCATCTTGTGGCATCAGATGGTAAGGAAGTGCTCCTTTATATTTTGTAAAAGAGAAACAAAATCATAGTTGTTTTTTCTCCACAGGCTGTTGCATAGTTTCCACAGTTTCAGCCCTAGTAAATATGTGTTCACTCAAATTATTTTCTATATTCCCTTATTAATGGTAATTCTCAAAGAACTTTTGTAACAATCATACTGAGTCCTACCTTCCAGTAATGTGCCAGACTTTTTCACTGCATAGAGTCTACTAGTCCTTGTGTTTACAGCACATTAGTAATTTCCTGTGTGTGTTTCATTACCGTGATTGATTTTACAATATGTTGCTATACAATGAAAAGACTTGCTCCTTGGTAAGTCACATGAAGTCATTTATAGTAATCCTCATTTAACTAGCTATAAACTTTTCAAATACAGTCTGCAGGAAGCTGGAATTTGCAGCAGAAAACAAGAGAATGTAAATATTCCTACTTCAAAAACGCATGTCTGAAACTTTCAAACAAAAGAAAGAAGCTACAGAAAATACCTTGAGTAACCTGACATTTACTAATTTCATCCAAAAGGGCATCAAATCATGGAGGGTCTTTCAAGCCTTAAACAAGTGCGTTTGCTTTTTGGCTTGTTTATTTTTGTTTTAGCTGGGGCTTCAGATGGATGAGATGTATACCTAAATATGAAATTTCATTGCATAAATGGATAATAATACATTATATGCAGTGACTATTATCTAGTAAAATATAACATAAAACATTAAGTTGGTTTGGATGGTCAGGTTACAGGCATGATTATTTTGTTTAACGAGATTTAATAATAAAATTATGTTAATTTTAAAAATAAAATTATATGTTATTAAATAAATGTGATTGAAAAATACAGACATAGAAAAAAGAATACATGAAATCAAAGTTGTGTCCTTAAAGCTGTTACCATAGAAAAATACACATTTTTCAACAATTATGCTATAGCTTCAAGATTCTTTTAGAAATTCTTCTTGAAAAATGTCTTTAGAGTAAGTTTACAAGCCACTTAAACGAAAAATAGATCACTGTTTTAATAGTCACAATCTGTTTTTTTAATCAAAATCATATTCTCAGGCTTAATAATCCACTTTACTCACAACTTTGGCTCCAAATTTTTGCTATTGCTAGAAATAAAATTGAAGCACAAAAAATGTGATACCACTTAATCTATTCAAACTACCTGGGGAAGCACCCATAAGTAATTTCAGCTAGTTTCTGAGACATTCCAACTTTTACTTACCATCTGGTATATAACAATTTGCATACCATTGTTTCCCAAATCATACTTTTTTTTTTTTTACTTTTTTTACATTGAGAAGAAAAGATTAGACCATTTTCCTTTTTAATATATAAAGGTAACAAAGTGGTTTACATTCATTTTTCCAGAATATGAATTTATTAAAACTGATATAGTAATTGATTTCTTCACAAGACATCTATCTTCCCTCAACCTTTAACAAATTGTTTGACACATAGTGTGTGTTGAATAGATGTTTATCTAAAAAGCAGTAATTTAGTAATCTAAAAAGCAGGATTTCTTCACATCTATCTTCCCTCAACCTTTAACACACTGACACATAGCGTGTGTTGAATAGATGTATATATACATATATATGTATATGTATATGCATATATATGTATATATACACATATACGTATGTGTATATATACATGTATCTACATAAGTATATGTGTATATGTGCATGTACGTACATACGTATGTCTATGTGCATGTATGTACATATGTATATGTGTCTGTGCATGAATGTACATATGTATATGTCTATGTGCATGTATATATGTATATGTGTATATATGTATATATGTGTATATATGTACATGCGTATATATGTATATATACATGTGTATATATGAATATGTCTATATGTATATATACATATGTATATGTGTATATATGTATACATATGTACATATGTGTACATATGTATATATGTGTACATATGTGTACATATGTATGTGTACATATGTATATATGTGTACATATGTATATATGTGTACATATGTATATATACATATATGTATATATATGGGTCTATGTACATATGTGCATCTATAAACATGTACATACATGTATGTGTAGTTGTACATATGTACATATGTACATACATACACATGTGCATATGCATATGCATATACATACATATGTGCATGTGCACGTGCACATACATACATATATGTACGTATATGTATGTGCATATGCACATGCATACATATATGTACGTATATGTATGTGCATATGTACATATGCATATATGTACATATGTATGTATGTACATGTGTATATACACATATATACATATGTATACACACATATACATATGTATATACACACATATATACATATGTGTATACACACATATACATATATGTATATCTATACATATACATATATGTATATCTACACATATATAGGTATATATGTATATGTGCATATGTGTGTATATACATGCATGTATGTGCATATGCACATATACATATATATGTGCATATGCACATATACGTACATATGTATGTACGTGCATATGCACATATACACATACGTACATATATGTATGCATGTGCATATGCACATACATATACGTACATATATGTATGCATGTGCATATGCACATACATATACGTACATATATGTATGTATGTGCACGTGCACATGCACATATGTATGTATATGCATATGCACATGCACATATGCATGTATATGCATATGCACATGTGTATGTATGTACATATGTACATGTGTACAACTACACATATACATGTATGTACATGTTTATAGATGCACATATGTACATATACCCATATGTACATATACAGTATATGTACATATAGGTACACATATGTATATATACGTATATGTACATATGTTTATGTACGTATATGTACATATGTATATGTATCATTTATTTATATATCTATGTTGTCTTTTATATCCTGAATTTTTATGTATTTATTTATATTGTTTTTCAACTTTCTCGAGGATCTCATTCAGCTACCTTTCAGTTCATATTTTGAATTATTTATCTGTCATGTCAGAATTTTCAGTGTGGTTAGGATCCATTGTTACAGAGCTACTAGATCCTTTGGAGATATCAAAACACTCTCTTTGTACCACTCGAGTTCTTACACTGATTTCTTCTCATTTGAAGAAGCTTTCACTTATTTTTGAGATTGCTTTCATTTGTATAATTTTTTATTTTTTTATTTTCATTATTCTTTTCTCCACTGAGGTTCCAACTGTACTATATATTGTATATAATCATTTGGCTTCATTTTTGCATGTTTTCATGGGGCCAAGCTTCTGTGTGAATTCCTTGGTTATAGATTGCTTTTGTGCTGTGGCTTTCTCAAATGCTGCTTGTTGTAGCAAGTTATTGGATATATGAGCCAACTTACTGTCTTCTGTAAGGCTATGAGCACAGAGGTCTCAGGATAGTTAATTCATATCCTAGCACTATGCCCTTCTACCCACATGGTTTTTTCTGTGTGTGTGTAGTACAATTTTTTTGTGTGGTACTTAAGTGCCACAGTCCAGCAGGTGGCACTTAAAAGTAACAGCCAGCTCACCCTTGGCTACTGTGATAATGAATGGAAACACCCGTCTTGACTGGAGTGACTGGGAGACTTTGTAATTGGATACTCTCAGGTCTGAGGTGTGGTGCAGAGGGTTCTGCACCAACTCCTTGTTTTGGGCAGGCAGGAATGTAATTCACTTTATTATCATGCCCCTATCACAAGGCTCAGGACTTTCAGTCCAGATAGACATTATGGTTCATCTTCAGGCCACATTTTGATTGACATCCATGGTATACACCCATGTGGTGGCTAGCAATGAAATGCTCTCAGGGTGGAACGTCTTCCCTTAGCTCGAAACAGGCAGTTCTGTGGTTTTTCTACACTCAACTGCAGGGATGCTGCACTCTGTATAGGGAGGGGTTGATGAACCCACCCCTCATACAAGTTTTGATACTTTTAGTAAGGGAGTTGCTGAATTGAAATCTTTTTTTATTATTCACCAGTTAGTTTATTTACCATGTAGTTAAAACTTGCTGAATTGAAATCGTTCTTTTTTTATTATTCATCAGTTAGTTTATTTACTATGTAGTTAAAAACTATTTTATACTCTTTTTTGTTTCCTTATTTTAAATTCTTATTTTAGGTTTGGGAGAAATTTACATATTGGTTATATAGGTAAACTTGGGTTATAAATGTTTCTTGTATAGATTATTTTGTCATCCAGGTACTAAGCTTGGTACCCAATAGTTATTTTTTGTGCTCCTCTCCCTTCTCCCTTTCTCCACCCTTAAGTAGGCCCCATTGTCTCCTTTTCCCTTCTTTGTCTTCATGAGCTCTCTTCATTTAGCTCCTACTTATAAGTGAGAACGTGCAGTCTTTGGTTTTCTGTTCCTGTGTTTGTTTGCTGAGAATGATGGCCTCCAACTCCATCTAGCTTCCTGCAAAAGAAATAATCTTATTTTTTATGGCTGCATAGTATTCCATGGGGTATATGTGGTGTATATGTAAAATATTTTTTTCTTTTTTTAATATATATATTTTTATTATACTTTAACTTCTAAGGTACATGTGTACAATGTGCAGGTTTGTTACATATGTATACATGTGCCATGTTGATGTGCTGCACCCATTAACTCGTCATTTACATTAGGTATACCTCCTAACGCTATCCCTCCCCGCTCCCCCCACCCACAACAGGCCCGGGTGTGTGATATTCCCCTTCCTGTGTCCAAGTGTTCTCATTGTTCAATTCCCAACTATGAGTGAGAACATGTGTTGTTTGGTTTTTTGTCCTTGCGATAGTTAGCTGAGAATGATGGTTTCCAGCTTCATCCATGTCCCTACAAAGGACATGAACTCATCCTTTTTTATGGCTGCATAGTATTCCATGGTGTATATGTGTCACATTTTCTTAATCCAGTCTATCATTGTTGGACATTTGGGTTGGTTCCAAGTCTTTGCTATTGTGAATAGTGCTGCTATAAACATACCTGTGCATGTGTCTTTATAGCAGCATGATTTATAATCCTTTGCGTATATACCCAGTAATGGGATGGCTGGGTCAAATGATATTTCTAGTTCTAGATCCCTGAGGAATTGACACACTGACTTCCACAATGGTTGAACTAGTTTACAGTCCCACCAACAGTGTAAAAGTGTTCCTATTTCTCCACATCCTCTCCAGCACCTGTTGTTTCCTGACTTTTTAATGATTGCCATTCTAACTGGTGTGAGATGGTATCTCATTGTGGTTTTGATTTGCATTTCTCTGATGGCCAGTGATGATGAGCATTTTTTCATGTGTCTTTTGGCTGCATAAATGTCTTCTTTTGAGAAGTGTCTGCTCATAGCCTTTGCCTACTTGTTGATGGGGTTGTTTTTTCTTGTAAATTTGTTTGAGTTCTTTGTAGATTCTGGATATTAGCCCTTTGTCAGATGAGTAGATTGCAAAAATTTTCTCCCAATCTGTAGGTTTCCTGTTCACTCTGATGGTAGTTTCTTTTGCTGTGTAGAAGCTCTTTAGTTTAATTAGATCTCATTTGTCAATTTTGGCTTTTGTTGTCATTGCTTTTGGTGTTTTAGACATGAAGTACTTGCCCATGCCTATGTCCTGAATGGTAGTGCCTAGGTTTTCTTCTAGGGTTTTTATGATTTTAGGTCTAACATTTAAGTCTTTAATCCATCGTGAATTAATTTTTGTATAAGGTGTAAGGAAGGGATCCAGTTTCAGCTATCTGCTAGCCAGTTTTCCCAGCACCATTTGTTAAATATGGAATCCTTTCCCCATTTCTTGTTTTTGTCAGGTTTGTCAAAGATCAGATAGTTGTAGATGTGTGGTATTATTTCTGATGGCTCTGTTCTGTTCCATTGGTCTGTATCTCTGTTTTGGTACCAGTACTATGCTGTTTTGGTTACTGTAGCCTTGTAGTATAGTTTGAAGTCAGGTAGTGTGATGCCTCTAGCTTTGTCCTTTTGGCTTAGGACTGATTTGGCAATGCAGGCTCTTTTTTGGTTCCATATGAACTTTAAAGTAGTTTTTTCCAATTCTGTGAAGAAAGTCAATGGTGGCTGGATGGAGATGGCATTGAATCTATAAATTACCTTGGGCAGTATGGCCATTTCCACGATATTGATTCTTCCTATCCATGAGCCTGGAATGTTCTTCCATTTGTTTGTATCCTCTTTTATTTCATCAAGCGGTGGTTTGTAGTTCTCCTTGAAGAGGTCCTTCACATCTCTTGTAAGTTGGATTCCTAGGTATTTTATCATCTTTGAAGCAATTGTGAATGGGAATTGCTAAATTCTTTTCCTAGCAAGGAATATTAATATTAATACCCTGGGAAAGGAATGGATTCCTGGGGGAGGTCTATAAATGGCTGCTCTGGGAATGTCTGTCTTATGCAGTTGAGATAAGGACTGAGATACACCCTGTTCTCCTGCAGTACCCTCAGGCTTACTAGGGTTGTGAAACTCCACCCTGGTAAATTTGTGGTCAGACCGGTTCTCTGCTCTTGAACACTGTTTTCTGTTGTTTAAGATGTTTATCAAGACAATACATGCACCGCTGAACATAGACCCTTATTAGTAGTTCTGCTTTTGCCCTTTGACTTGTGATCTTTGTTGGACCCTTATGAGTAGTTCTGCTTTTTCCCTTTGTCCTGTTCCCTCAGAAGCATGTGATCTTTGTTAGACCTTTATTAGTAGTTCTGGTTTTTGCCATTTGAAGCATGTGATCTTTGCACCTACTCCCTGTTCTTACACCCCCTCCCCTTTTGAAACCCTTAAAAAAACTTGCTGGTTTTGAGGCTCAGGCAGGCATCATGGTCCTACAGATATGTGATGTCACCCCCAGCGGCCCAGTCGTAAAATTCCTCTCTTTGTACTGTCTCTCTTTATTTCTCAGCCAGCTGACACTTATGGGAAATAGAACCTATGTTGAAATATTGGGGGGCGTGTTCCCCCAATAATTAGATAATATAATTATTAATCTATTATATTACATAATATAATATAAATGAGTCAATTTAGAAAGAGGATATAACAATTTAAAATATATACGCACCCAACACTGGAGCACCCAGATATACAAGGCAGATATTATTAGAGCTAAAGAGAGAGATAGACCCCAATACAATAATGGCGGGAGGCTTCAATACCACACTTTCAGTATTGGACACTTCTAGATAGAAATCTAGAAGAAGCCGACAGATTCCTTAACATCCACAACCTACCAAGATTGAACCAGAAAAAAATCCAAAACCTGAAGAGACCAATATAAAGTAAGGAGATTGAAGCCATAATAAAAAGTTTCCCAGTAAAGGAAAGCCCAGGACTTGATGGTTTCTCTGATGAATTCTACCAGGCATTTATAGAAGAATTCATACCAATCTTACTAAAGCTGTTTCAAAAACAGACGAAAAGATTACACTTCCAAACTCATTGTATTAGGTCAGTATTACCCTGATACCAAAATCAGACTAAGACACTTAAAAAAAAGAAACATAGAAGCCAATATTTAATGAATATTAATGTGAAAAATCCTCAGCACAGTACTAACAAACCAAATTCAGCAAGACATTACAAAGATTATTCATCATAACCAAGTTGGATTTATCCCTGGGATGAAAGGATGGTTCAACATTTGCAAATTAATCAATGTGATATATCATATCAACAGAATTTAGAATAAAAATTATATGATCATTTCAATTGATTCTGAAAAGCATTTGATAAAATTCAACATCCCTTTATAATAAAATCCCTCAAAGAACTGGGTATAAGAGGGACATTCCTCTGCATAATAAAAGCCATATATGTCAGACCCACAGCAAGTATCATACTAAATGGGAAAATACCGAAAAGGTTTACTCTAATATTTAGAACATGACATAGATGCCCTCTTTCACTAATGTTATTCAACAGAGTACTATAATTCAGAGCCAGAGCTGTTAGACAAGAGACAGAAATAAAGGTCTTTCAAATTGGAATGGAAGAGGTCACATTAGCCTTGTTTGTAGATGATATAATCTTATATTTGGAAAAAAAATCTAAAGCCTATACAAAAACATTATTCAAACTGCAAACACATTCAGTAAAGTTGCATATACAAAATCAACATACAAATCTCAGTATAATTTTTCAACAGTGAACAATCTGACAAATAAATATAAATGTGATTCTATATAAAATAGCCACAAATAAAAATAAATATATAGGAGTTACCTTAACCAAGAAGTAAAAAACTCCATAATGAAAACCCTAAAACACTAATTAAAAAAGATAACTAAAAACTAGAAATATATTTCATATTCTTGGATTAGAAGAATCAATATTGTTAAAATATCCGTACTACCCAAAGCAATCTACAGATTCAGTGCAACCCTTATCTAAATACCAATGACATTCTTCACAGAAATAGAACAAAACTATCCTAAGATTTATATGGAACCACAAAAGACACAGAATAGCCAAAGCTATCCTAAATAAAATGGACAAAACTGAAGGAATCCCAATACCTGACTTCAAGTCATACCACAGAACTATAGTAAACAAAACAGCATGCTACTGGGATAAAAACAGACACATAGACAAATGGAACAGAACAGAGCACCCAGAAACAAATTCACACACTTACAATGTACTAATTTTTGACAAATGTGCCAAGAACATACACTGGGGAAAAGACAGTCTCTTCCATAAATGGTGCTCAGAAAACAGGATGGCCATATGTAGATGAGTGAAACTAGACCCCCATCTATTGCTATATACAAAAATAAATTAACATGGATTAAAGCCTTAAATCTAAGACCTAAACTATGAAACTATTACAAGAAAACTTTGGGGGAAATCTCCAAGACATTGGTCTGGGTAGGATGGTGGTACCATGTGTTTGCAGCTGGTGTCATGATTGTTTCCTGGGACTTTCAGCCCAGCAGATGGCTGTGGGGTCTGCTCGTCTGCTCAGCTTGTGTTACCCCAGCCCAGTGCATTTCTCTCAAGCATCTGTACCAGCTTTAGGCCTGACCAGCCAGGCTTGTCCCAGGTCTTCTGCACCCAGATCTCTAGGCTGTTCCAAATGATCAGGGCCATGGCACTCCCTGGGAATCCAGCTGCAACTGGCTAACAGGCCACACCCTTCTGGAACAGACCTGTCTTGTGGAGGAATGGACACACAGCTCCCACACCCATACACAAACCTGTGCTACAGTCTTCTCAGTGTTCTGAGTGTGGGGACTCTTCTCCTCCTTGAGCTCAGACTGCAGATCTAGCTCAATATCCCCGGGCAATGTGTTTGAATTCTGACAAGTTTGGATTGCACCCACTGATTTGTCTTCTGGCCCCTCAGGGTTAGCACTGGCTAGGCTGGGTGGGCCAAATTGCTCCTAGGTAGCCAGGAAAATAGGCTAGGCAGTAGAGACACAGTTCTGCAGGAACGGCCAAACACGAGGTCTAGGAAGTGGCCTGCAAAGGGGCACGTGGATTTGATGCTGCTGTCCCACGGGAAAGGCAGTCTTGCTCTCTCCCAACTCAGCAGACAGCAGGAGCTGCAGTCACTCAGAGCATGATGGAGAGCCTTGAGGGATGGATGCCTGTCGTGTTTTGCTGCAGCTGTACCACATGTCATGAAACCTTCTGGGTTTTGTGCAGGTTTGAGCTCTGCCTCTGCCTAATCTCTGCAAAGTTTCCCCTGCCAATTCAAATATCTATGGGGGTTGTGAGATCTCTTGTATCTAGGATCCCAGAGGTCTACAGCAGGAGTGTGGTGCTCAGGCGTTTCTTCACTCACCCCTTCCTTAGGACTTGTTCAGTACCAAAAGCCAGTCCCGGGACTTGGCAACTCCTTGCAGGCTTCCCATCTTCTTCCCTCTTCAACCAGGTTGTCTGTGTTGTCTCTCTATTGACTAGCAGTGTTTTGTCTCAAAAGATCTGTTCTAAGTGTGATAGTTTACTTGAAATTGTGGTTCCTCTTCATGGGAGAGGCATTTCCCAGCTGTGACTAGTTGGCCATTTTAGTGTCCCCAAACTGGCTTTTTAACAATAGCCATTCTGACTGGTGTAAGATGGTATCTCATTATTCAAGGCAGTCTTTTACAAGTCTAGTTAACCAATAGAAGTTAATTAAATGTGACTGGGTGTCATTTGCTATTGTTAGACCACCTTGTTCATGATGCAAATTGTTTTATTCACCTCATCTTCACCTCAATGGCAAGAGAAGGATTTCTGCCTCAGGTTATGAGGATGGCTTAACACATGACTCTGACACTCAACAGCAATTTTTTAGTCACATATACATTCATGCACTGCATAATGATAGTTTGGACAACAACAGACTGTGTCATCTCATAATAATACCGTATTTTTAGTCTACCTTTTCTGTTTAGATATGTTTACATACAGAATGTCATATTGTTCCAGTTGCCAAAAATATTCATTACAGTAACATGCTGTTCAGGCTTTTTGTGTGGTAGGCTATAATATCTAGATTAGTGTAAGTGCACTCTATTATGGTTGCACATCAACAAAATAAACTAACAACGCATTTCTCAGAACATATCCACATCTTTAAGAAATGCATGACTGTATTCACAGCCCAGGGGAAGGGGCAATGTGCCATGGAGGGACACACAGGTGTTGTGCTCAAGAACAGAGTGAACAGTCAGGGGCTGTAGGAGGCCAGCTTTGTAGCATAAAGAGGATGGGATAATCTCTGGTTCCCACAGGGGAATATTATTGGCTTGTTTGAATAGTTTTTCTAGCTGACAGGCAATTGAAACTTGTTACTCGGGGATAAATAGGCACTTTGGCCCATATGATAGGAAGTGTTATTTGACTAGGGGTCTTTATCTGCAGGAGCATAATGGGAAGCAGAACTTGTAGTTAGGCCATTGAAGTTCCTCTCAGTTTTCCCCAGATGTCAAGGCACATATTATAGTAAACCTGAATTTTAGGTCTTATAACATGGTCAAAAAGACATCTTGATATTTGAGATATTATATGGAATTTTTATCCTAATCATAATGGAATTTTTATTTCTCATTTTCCTCCCATGTAATTATGGCTAGCTCTTCACAGGATAATTCCAGGCAAAAGCATCTACTGTCAGGTCCTCTTATATAAGTTTCACCTCCACTGGTGATCCCAAATTTCCATATAGCAGGAATTTATAGTGTGAATCCCAAATATCTGAGACAGGTCTCAGTCCATTTAAAAAGTTTATTTTGCCTGAGTTAAGGATGTGTCCCTGACACAGCCTCAGGAGGTCCTGATGACATGTGCCCAAGGAGGTCGGGACACAGCTTGGTTTTATACATGTTAGGGAGAAATAAGACATCGACCAGTACATGTAAGATGCACATTGGTTCAGTCTGGAAAGGCAGGACAACTTGGAGCAGTGAGGGGGCTTCCAGGTCATAGGTAGATAAGAGATGAAAGGGTGCATTCTTTTGAGTTTCTGATTAGCCTTTCCAAAGGAAGCAATCAGATATGCATTTATCTCAGTGAGTAGAGGGAAAACTTTGACTAGAATAGGAGGTAGGTTTGCCCTAAGCAGTCCTCAGCTTGACTTTTCCCTTTAGCGATTTGAGGGGATCCCAAGATTCATTTTCCTTTCATGCATTTCCTCTTTTTTAAAAAAAATCATTTGGAGAAAGCATTTTAGAAGAAAATGAGTCTCTGGTCTCAGGTTTCATCTGATCTCTTATGGCTAAGATGGTTTATTTCTAGACTAGTAGGTCTCACATATTAGGAAAGCCCATTTGTAGCAGGTTGTGAAGTCTCACATCCTATGAAGAGAAAATAGGGGGAGGAAGGGAGAAAAACAACATCAAACCAAGAAAGAACAATCCTGGAAAATCCAAATAGGCCACATTACTCTGAAATCTACATATCAGCAGGCAAGTGGTAGTGATGGAGGGTGTCCAGGTTCTTAGCATCTTAAACAAAGAATTGGACAAAACACACAAACAAAACAAGGAAAGAATGAAGCAACAAACGCAGAGATTTATTGAAAATGAAAGTACACTCCACAGTGTTGGAGTGGGCCCAAGCCTAGGGGCTCAAGGGCCCAATTATGGAATTTGGCAGGGTTTAAATAACCACTAGAGGATTCTATTGGTTACTTGGTGAACACCCTATATAAACAAAAAGGGAGAAGTAAAGTTACAAAATTATTTACTCAGCATACACCCTATGAAGAGGATATTTTCTGTCATAGATGAAGTGTAAATTAGCCTTATGTTCCCTGCCTCCAGACCCTATTTTCTTGCTTTATTCCCCCAGTGAGAGATGTGATCCCCATAAATCTTTATGGGAGACAGAGGAACCTATGGTCTTTCTTCTGTACCTGCTTCATCCTGGCTTGGGGCGTAGTCCCTACTGTCACACATGTCCCTGTGAAGAGACCACGAAACAGGCTTTGGGTGAGCAATAAAGCTTTTTAATCACCTCGGTGCAGGTGGGATGAGTATGAAAAGAGTGTCAGTAAAGGGAGATAGGGTTGTGGCCATTTTATAGGCTTTGGGTGGGTAGTGGAAAATTACAGTCAAAGGGGGTTTTTCTCCTGCAGGCAGGGGTGGGGGTCACAGGGTGCACAGTGGGGGAGCTTCTGAGCCAGGATAAGGAATTTCACAAGGTTAGTTGCTCAGTTAAGGTGGGGCAGGAACAAATCACAATGGTGAAATGTCACCAAGTTAAGGCGGGAACCAGCCATTTTCACTTCTTTTGTGATTCTTCACTTGCTTCAGGCCATCTGGATGTATTTGTGCAGGTCACAAGGGATATGATGACTTAGCGTGGGCTCAGAGGCCTGACACATACCTATTAGAGATCATGGAACTCTTGCCCTGCTCTTTCTAGTGAAGGCAGGGTAGCTTCTGGATGCCGAGGGGTGGTGTTTTCACTTGGAACTGGCTGGAACCTTTGTTGCATAATTATCTGAAGCTTGGTGATTTCTAGGTGAGAGGAAATGAATTTGGTTAAAAGATTTAATGGGAACATCAGGGGTTGGATACCTATGCTCTCAGGAATGTTTGTTATAGAAGTTTGCAGGAGAGAAAAACAAAACCTTCTCTGTTCTAGAATGTATGTGTTCCTTAAATTCTCAGCACAAGTGACTTCATTTGTTTTGGTTTGGTCTGTTGGGGCCTAGTGCATGAGCTTAGTCCAAAACAATGGCCTCCCATAATTTTGTTTTTAAAAATTCCCTCTTTTTGGTCAAGTTCCCACTTAGGTAAGAGTGTGACCAAAAATCAGGCCTTAGCGTCACTCTCAGTTACCATCATTTTGGGTTTCTGGTCTCGGCATGCCATTCATAGGTTATGGTGTCCTCATGGTTGCACACTTCTTTTAGTTCTTGCCATTCCAGTTGAAGAGAGACAATTTGACATCTTAGAGATGGCTGCATGCAAGCATTTAAACCTGTGAGAGAATGCAGTGCACCAGGTAAACAATTATTATGACTATTGGGAAGATAATACCAAGACTTCAGAGTATGTTTCTTACACAAGGTTCCCATAATCCAAACTCCTAAAATCAATTAGATCAAAGAATGAGCTAGATAAAGAGTCTGTTCATTTGACTACGCAATCTCTTCATTAACCCCCTACCACTGAATCTCTACAATCTTTATTTGATGTATTTCTTCATAGGCCACAAGAGCCAGCAGTTGCACAGCTACTTCTCTGTTCAGACAATTCTATCATAACTTTCACAAGAGAATTTAAAGTCTGTTGTGTAACTGTAGCCTTTACAGTAGAATCTGCTATAGAGCCTATCATGGGGGATACATTTCTAATCACAACTTCTTTTACTTCAAACCATGGAAAAAGGACCTAACAAATGATGCTCTTGTAGAAGAGCAAAGGCCTCCTGGCAATGTTCTCTTTAACCCATGATGTGGCTTAATAGGAGTGAATTAATGTTCTGTTTCTGACTAATTATGAGGCAATGTATATACCAATAAAGTTTCTTATCTACATTGGGCCTTCATATTTTATCTGTCAAAGTATAAGTTTTTCCATGTATAAAGCTGGCTGCAAACTTCTTTACAAATAAAAGTATACCCCATAAGTGCACATAACGGACCCCTTTCCCACTTCTATTGTTCATAGAGGCATAAGCAAGGGAAAATATTCAAAGATAATAGTTTCATAATAGTAGAAGTTTTAATCTGGGAACTTGGAAAAAGCTGTTTACATCAAGGATGCCATTTCTTCTGGCGAGTAAATTCCCTGGTTAGTTTTACCTTATGTGTTCCAATGGGTATACAGTTCCAGGAGTGTGGAGGTACCCTTCTCAGTTGTGAGATTATGAATCCAAAGTTCAAGGTCCCGAAGTTTTGTTGGAGTGTGGATGGCAAGGACAGTCTTTTTCTGATGTTCTCCAAAGATCCAAACCATAAAAAACTTCATTTACCTGGTGAAAATACACTGTAGCATAATAATCTATTGTTATAACATCAGCCCTCTTGCATGGAAAAGCTTTTATACAACCAGAAAACATGCATGGAAAATAACAATTGAATGAAATTACTTTATAAAATGTTTAAGTGGCCCACTAGGTGGCCCAATAGGTGACCAAATGTACCTGAAGCTTTAACTATTTTCCCAGGAGTATGGAGCAAAACATTGATTGTAAACTATTTTAGTAATTTGTAAGCCACCACAACAATGTATTCAGTTTAGATCATTTTTTTTCCATGATGAGGCATGGAATGAAAACTTTTAATAATGAAAGCTTTAAGGACTCAGGAAGGACAATGTGGCCATCCTGGTTCTCCATGAGTCCATGCTTAATTAACATTTGAGTTATAGCCTCTTGAATATCAGTTATTTTTCCAAATTAGGTGAATAACTGAAGGGTTATTTGACAAATTGTTTTCTTGGTATTTAATTTTTGTCTCACTTGAATTAGTAGCTTTATAAAAGGAAATTTAGTTATTACTGTAGCTTACAATAACTAATGTCATAACCATAATTATGATTGATAGCATATAATATAACCTAAAGAAGATTGAACATCATTTTGTCAATCCTATGTACCTAAAGATTTCAAATAATCGTGTTTACCTATTTTCTGGATGTTTCAGGGGTGCTCTGCTGATTAATCCAAAAAGCCAAGCATCAGGAAAGATAATTTTGAAACTAAAGTTTGATTTGGGGAAGGCTGTTAAATATGTTCAGAGTTTACAACACTTGATATTATGAAATAGAATTCCAGATTACCATAAACTATTTATTTTGCCAAAATGATAACTCAGAAATCTTAAAGAAGGAAAATCCTGTTATAACCCTTTATGGATTTTGCCAAAGAGCAGATTAGTGTATTAAGAAAACCTTGTTGTGCTTTTATTTTAATACACAATTTACAGAAAAACCATATAATACCGTTTTTAGTCAATATGTTCACACAAAGAATTTATTTTGCAAGATTAATTTTTAGAAACTTTCCACCATTTGTTCAAACTTTTAGCTCTATTTTATCTAACTTAAAGTAATCCTTTAACCCTAGGCAAGAACTTACATTTTCATGCCTTTTTATAACCCTTTTAAAAAAAACACACATTCTATGTTTTTACACACCTTGCATGTACTCTTAGTAATGTAAAACCTGGTAAGTTATGTTAATTACATATAAGGTTTAACTATTTTCAGCATAGCTAAGGGTGTGGCCAACTCCACATGTCCCCAGGTCTTACCTAGTTGTAAAGCAGGCAAGTTAAACAATTTTCAAAAGCCAAAGAAGCAGCTTATGACCTTAAGGCATTTAGCAAACCTAATATTTGAACATAATTTAAACCACATGTTTACGTTTTGAAGACATTTTCATTTTACCAATAATCTTTAAAACCATCCTTATTTTCCAAAGATTACTCAAGTTACATGAACTAAATAAAAGGCATTGTCCTTTTTACTTCTCTGACAAAATATTTGATTTAAGTTCTTATTATTATTAAAGCAATTAATTGAAGCTCTTTGGTATTAATTAAAACTTTACAGAACAGATAAACAGTGACTTCTACCTTTCATTTAACTAGTTTGCACAGAAAGAAAGAGGTCAGAGTTTGGTAAGAAATTCTTACCCTTTTGCCAGTATGTCAGGTTTCTGGGTTCTCTCTTCCTGAGCAGCCCTATCTACCCTGCTCGACTGTATGCAAACACATAAGAATATTCACACATAGATCATGAATTTTGGAGAAATTAGGCAAAGAGAGAAATACGACTCAATTTCTATTTATGAATGCATACTTAACACAATTAAAGTATCAAGAAGCCTAAAATCCAAAAAGTTTAAGGTTAAAAGGCTAGTGTGCTCCATCAATTCCTGTGGGCCTAATAAAGGTAACTTAGGAATTCCAGATAAATTGAACAAATAATGACTTGCTAGAAATGCATAGGAAGCAAAATAACTGTTCACAGAACCAAATAAGAGCCTTGACTATTTTTTTTAAGTTGCCAAATTGCTGATGTATTTCATTAAATACTTCTTATTTTACTTTAATTAAAACTAGGAGCTTAAACTAAGAAAATGTTAATTAGTGAAATGTCTCCAATTCTCTATCAGGTTTTAAAGAATATTTTATTATCTAAAGTTTTCCACATCTTTCTCCCCTACTTAATGTTTTTTTTACTACATTGTTTTATAAATAACATCATTAAATCTGTAATTTAAACTAACTTTCTGATAACTTCTGAATTAGACAAAATTATTATCTTTCTCACTAATAACATAACCCTTTCTGGCACATTTTATATTCAGAATTACACGTTATCTAGAATTCTTATCTTAGTAACCTAAAATGTTAGTGAAACCCTAAAAAACTAGAAATCCTGAACTATCAGATATTGGCATTTATAAATAAGAACAATCCCACAATTTTTGAAACCTATTTTCCCACACTACAACCTCTTTTTAATTGGAAATGACCCAGATATTCAATGAGCATTAAAAATAACTTTAAGATTTTAATTTACACAAGAAGTTTACCTAAACCATTTATTATATTTACTGTACTTATTTTTTTACTTTTAACAAGGGAGGCATGAGACATTATTTAACATACCTAAAATAAACATTGGTTTGGTCTGGAAAGGTGGGACAACTCAAGTGTGAGGGGTGGCTTGGGGGTTTCCAGGTCACAGGTAGGTGGGAGACAAATGGTTACATTCTTTTGAGCCTCTGATTAGCCTTTCCAAAGGAAGCAATCAGATATGCATTTATCTCACTGAGCAGGGGGATAACTTTGAATAGAATGGGAGGCAGGTTTGCCTTAAGCATTCCCAGCTTTAATTTTCCCTTCAGTTTAGTGATTTTGTGGGCAGCCCAATATATTTTCCTTTCATAATTGCTTTCATTTGTCAAAAGAAAGCATGCAAACCAAGATCATTTTGTTTTGGCTGTGATTATAATTTCATAACCTTCTATGGCAAACACTGACATCTCAAAATATATATCAAAGACAAACATAAAATCCAGACAAAAATGTATGCTGACAATTCTGAAGGCATTTCTATTTTTATTCTACTAATAATTTTAAAGCTAGTGTAACGCCAAAGGTGCTTGCCTTAGCCACACCAAAGATTTGGTGGGGCGGCAGCCCGTGGTGAGAGAGACACACGGATCGGACCCAGAGAAAAAAAGCTGTAGGCTTTATTGAACAGAGTGACAGTACAAAGCTTCCACAGTGTGGAAGGGGTCCCGAGAGGGTAGCCAATGTTAGATTTTTTTATCACCTTTTAAACTCTTTAAGGTGGGAAATACACGTGGTGGGAAGATGTTACCAGACTGAGAAACAAAGGCAATTAACATGTCTCAGATCTTGAGGAAAACTGGAATTGTAACTTAAGGTTTATCTACTTTATAACCCTGCAGCGGCATGGCAAAGGAGACAGGATTTCACAGGATTTTACAGATTGTGTTTACAATGAATTGGAATTGGGAGCATAGATAAGGTCTGCTGGTCACAGAAAAAATGGGCTTTTAACATTCCTTTCAGTTTCGGGCGGGGGGCGGGAAGGGAGAGAGGGAGAGAGGACACAGGGAAGCTTACAACAAAATTTTCGCTGTTTACAGCTTTCTTGGGGAAGAAAACACATGCACAAATTCTGATGTTAGGAATAGTTTAAGCATATATCTTTAATATTATTCATCCAGGACCAAAGTAAGTCCTGATGCAGGAAATGAGTGAGTTTCACAGCTTTCTGAGCCCCTACTGGACCCACGATGCCCAGCTGACACCTCCTCTTGCTAGCTTGTTCAGTAAAGTTATACTTAAGTCATGTGAACTTGAAAATTGCTTAGACTTATTTACTCAATTTATAAGTGCTATTTTACTTATTTGCCAATTTTAGTAGACACAATATATGACAATAAGTGTACATACAAATAAATACATCCAGACATGTATGCAAACACATAAATGAAGATCCAATAGCTTGGAAACTTATCCATGAGATAGCAATACAAGCTTGCCAGTTTTACTTTGTTTGCCCCAACAGATAATCCAATGAAGTCTGTGAACCAAAACTTCAGGTAAAGCAGTTTCCATGGCAGTTTGATTTTTAAAGGCCAAACTTCCTCAGACTCCAAAGAGCACTGGGGCCAAACAGCACCAAAGGAGAGAATCATCTGAAACAAGTGTGAGTTTGCTTTGAGCTAAGCCACATGTAGGGACCAGGGACCACAACTGGAAAAGATAAAATAGAGTTCTTCTCCCTTCCTGGCAGGGCAGTTATCCCCATTCACTCCTCCGAGGCCTTCAGATAATACTGGAGAGTAACCCCAAGCCGGTTGCCCTCAATTCAGAAGAGGCTGATAGAAAGGAGCTGCGAAAGGACTGAAAAATGAAGAAAGAAAAAAAAGGGAAAAAGATCCTGTTCCCTTAAGCAAATCAAGCAGCGGTTGTTAGGTGCCTCAGCATGGAAACTCCTTAGCTTCACTGGCCATAGCCAGAAACCTGCAGTTGCCTCCATCTTTAGGCACTGCCCACCAAGGGTACTTAGTTGGAAAGGAAGAGAGTGAGAGAGAGAGAGAGAGAGAAAGAGGAGAGAGAGAGAGAGATTAATTCCCTTGTATGGAGCAGAAAGGAAAAGGAGAAAAATAAATCCAAAACATAAGGCTTACTTCCTCCAGAAACTATTTTCCTGCCTCACAAGTATAGAAGTGGCTTTTGTATGTAAAAAGGTTGATGTTATTTTCTTCTGAAGTTTAAGTTGTCTGGCTTCAGTTCACAGAGCTTTAAGAAAACACAGCTTAGTTTTCAGTGATTTCAAATGAGAAAAAATGAGGAAAAAATAAAAATAAAGAAAGAAAAAAAACTGAAAACATTATTTTGGAGACTTGTAGCCAGGAACAAATTTAGAATTCAGTCTAAACTGTAGAAAATAATAAACATTCAAAAACATTAGGCAAAAGGAGAATCTAACAGCAGGTGCATTATAGTTTATTTTGAAATGTAATTTCTCTCTCTCCAGTTCCGTTTTCACTAAAATCAAATTATAGGACAAATTCATTTGCAAAATGAGTTTTAGTCTTATTATACTTGGCCAGAGTATTTTCATGAAGTCAGCAAGAATAATTATTTGCTACATATGTCCCTCCTTTTTTCTTTAAACTGGCTTTACTAGAACTTCATTTCATAAGGAATCTCAGGTTCAACTTTAATACCTTAAGCTTAGCCTGTGCCTGCAAAAACCCATATTAATTGGGTAAATTCCTCACCTTGAGGGCCCAAGAAAACTTGGGGCTCCTGGGCCTGTCAGAAAGTAACATTCTTTACTTACCACAGGTCAGGAACGTATATGGGGACTGTGTAGACAATGTATGAGGTCAGCTTTCCCAAGGTGCTTTTTTTTTTTTTTTTTTTTTTGAGACAGTGTCTCACTTTGTCACTCAGGCTGAAGTGGCGTGTTGTGATCTTGGCTCACCACAGCCTCCATCTTACAGGCATGGGTGATCCTCCCACCTTAGCCCCCTGAGTACCTGGGACTGCAGGCATGCACCAGTATACCTGGCTAATTTTTTGTATTTATGGTGGAGACAGGATTTCGCCATGTTGGCCAGTCTGGTCTTGAACGCATGAGCTCAAGCAATCTATCCACCTCTGCCTCCCAAAATGCTGGGATTACAGGCATGAGCCACCATGCCCAGCCCCAAGGAAATTTTATTGGCTCTAAAAGTCAACTTTGATTCCTTAAAGAAGTCTGTATCTGATAGCATTCTATGCCAGTCAAAACCTTAGTAAAATAACCAGTGTCTCCAATTGTGTCCTGTTACAAAGCAAAACAGATTCTTATTGTAGTTATGCAAATAATGATGTTTCTGTAAATTGAGAATACTCACAACTACTTTCCAGATTTTGAAAAAAATAAGTAGAGGGAATTATGCCCCAGAATTTATTTGTAGGAGTACACTTTTCTCAATCGTTAAAAGCCATAAATAGCTCAAAAGAAAAGTTTCATTGGCTCTGAAAAGCAAAGAAATGGTCAGCAACATTTTAAGCAAAATGTCATAAAATGATTATTTCAGTCTTCTATTAGTTCAGACCATGAACTAGCTCCTGTTCTGCTTGATATTCATGAACATTTCAGCTCTCCATGGGAGTCTTAAAAGTTTTTTTCTATTCCAGGAGATTTCACAATCTCCAAAACCTACATTCTGGAACACCAGTCAGAGTCCTAGGCTGAATATAAAACCACATTTTTAAAAAGGATGAAAGTAAAACAACTGTGGTTAATATGGTTTGGCTCTGTCCCCACACAAATATCATCCTGAAATGTAACTCCCAAAATTTCCACGTTATGGGTGCAACCCTCTGGGAGGTGATTGAATTATGGGAGCAGGTCTTTCCTGCACTGTACTCATGATAGTGAATGAGTCTAATGAGAGCTGATGGTTTTAAAAAGGGGATTTTCCCTGCACAATCTTTCTTCTCTTGTCTACCACCATGTGAGATGTGCCTTTCACCTTCCACTATGATTGTGAGGCCTCCCCAGCCACATGAAACTGTAAGTGCAATAAACGTCGTTCTTTTGTAAATTATCCAGTCTTGGGTATGTCTTTATCAGCAGCGTGAAAACAGACCAATACATTAAGTTGGTACTGAGAGTGAGATGTTGCTGAAAAGATACCTGAAAATGTGAAAGCAAGTTTGGAACTGGGTAACAGGTAGAAATTGGAACAGTTTGGAAGGCTCAGAAGAAGATAGGAAAATGTAGGAAAGTTTGGAACTTCCTAGAGATTTGTTGAATGGCTGTGTCCAAAATGCTGATAGAGATATGAACAATATGGTCCAGGCTGAGGTGGTCTCAGATGGAGATGAGGAACTTGCTGGGGACTGGATCAAAGGAGACTCTTGTTATGTTTTAGCAAAAAGACTGGCAGCATTTTGTCTCTGCCCTGGAGATTTGTGGAACTTTGAACTTGAGAGAGATGTTTTAGGGTATCTGATGGAAGAAATTTCTAAGCAGTAAAGCATTCAAGATGTGACTTGGGTGCTGTTAAAGGCCTTCAGCTTTAAAAAGGAAATAAAGCATAAAAGTTAGGAAAATTTGCAGCCTGACAATGCAATAGAAAATAAAATCCCATTTTCTGAGGTAAAATTCAGTCTGGCTGTAGAAATTTGCATAAGTAACAAGACACAGAATGTTAATCCCCAAGACCATGGGGAAAATGTCTCCAGGGCATGTCAGAAGTCTTCATGGCAGCCCCTCCCATCACAGGCCCAAAGGACTAGGAGGAAAAAGTGGTTTCCTGGATTGAGCCCAGGGTCCCCATGATGTGTGCAGCCTAGGACTTGGTGCATTGTGTCTCAGCTGCTCTAGCCATGGCTAAAAGGAGCCAATATAGAGCTCAGGCCATGGCTTCAGAGAGTGCAAGCCCCAAGCCTTGACAGCTTCCATATGCTGTTGAGCCTGTGAGTACATAGAAGTCAAGAACTGGGGTTTGGGAACCTCCACTTAGATTTCAGAAGTTTTGTGGAAATGCCTGGATGCAGGGATCTCATGGAGAACCTCTGCTAGGGTAGTGCATATTGGAAATGGGGTTGGAGCCCCCACACAGAGTCCTTACTGGGCACCATCTAGTGGATCTCTGAGAAGAGAGCCACTGTCTTCCAGACCCTAGAATTGTAGATCCATCTCCAGGTTGCACCATGTGCCTGGAAAAGCCACAGACACTCAACACCAGTTTGTGAAAGCGGTCAGGAAGGAGGCTACTGTACCCTGTAGAGCCATGAGGCAGAGCTGCTCAAGACCATGGGAACTCACCTCTTACATCAGTGTGACCTGGATGCGAGACCTGGAGTCAAAGGAGATCATGTTGGGGCTTTAAGATTTGACTGCCTCATTGAATTTCAGATTTGCAGGGGCCTTGTATGCCCTTGGTTTGGGCCAGTTTTTTCCATTTGAAACCCAATGTCTGTACCTCCATTGTAACTAGGAAGTAACTAACTTGGTTTTGATTTTACCGGCTCATAGGCAGAAAGGACTTGCCTTGTCTCAGACAAGCCTTTAGACTGTGGACTTTTAAGTTAATGCTGAAATAAGTTAAGACTTTGGGGGACTGTTGGGAAAACATGGTTGGTTTTGAAATGTGAAGTTTATATAAAAAGTTTAAATCACTTGATATGATAAAATGCAATCATGGGTCCTTGTATAAGTCTCATTTATTTAGCCAAAGTGATAACTCAAAGATGTTGAAAAAGGACAAAATATTTATTTTTTGAGAGAGGAGACTTAATTTCTCAAACAATAAACCCCAATAAAAACAGCATGAGGCCCATTAAATGTGTTTTTCAAAATTTTATAAACAATCTATGAAATTTTAATCATCTTGACAATAAGATATAATTTTCACAAGCCTTTTAATATCCTTTATAACCTTTATTAAGGAGTGTGTTAATGCTCATTTTAATGTCTTTTTAACCTTTATTAAGGAGTGGGTTAATGCTTCAAGAAAACCTTGTTAATCTGACGCAGGGACCCATATGCTAGACTTGCATTAGAGTGCCTTTGACATTAATGGTTAATATATAGAGAAATTGAACTTATTTTATTTCTCAAAATCAGCCCTTACAATATCATGTGGCCATCTCTTTCAGAATAGTCTCTGGGCCTTGAGGAGTTAAACAGTTTTAATTTCCAGCCCTGTGTCTCATGAACACAGTTTATTTTGACTGGCATCTTCTACCAGGTCTGAAGATGAGGATTTAATTGCTGTCAGTGTTAAGATTTAGCAGGACTTGGTGTTCCTTTTATATCCAGGAGTCAAAGTCCCATAACTTAATGTCATGAAGACTTTTAAAGAACATACTAAAAATTCCACTGGTGTAATAACCTTAATTTAAAAAAATCAGTTTTTTCTAAGCAAACCAAACTTAGTAATAATGACATAGGAATTATTTTGATAAAGTGTAAGATCTGTTTATTAGGCTAGTCACCCAAAGGCAAAATAAAAGACCTTCTGCAGTGTGACTGCTATTCCCTATGGGAAATTTTATGTTGGCAGGAAACATTTCTTTTGGACCTCTAAGATAAAACATTTTTTGTTTTGTTTTTAACATCCAGCTACAACAGTTAGAATCCAAAGGAAAAAGAAAAACTTCCAGGAGTTGAAAATGAGTTGAAGCATAGAGTTATTATTTCAAGCTTTTTAAAAAGGAAGGGAAAGCTAAAAACAGATTGAACAAAAGTTGAACTCTGCATTAAAAAATTATAATGTCTTGCAATGTATTAAGAGTAAAGCAATAACTAAAAAATTGTAGTTTGAGCCAATTCTTTAGTATATAAGTGGTTTTTATTTTTATTAAAACCCAATCTCTAGAAAGACCATTATAATTTCCCTGTAATTATAGATAACTTGATCATATAATTTTTTAAATAAATCCCCTTATTGTGACTTGCATGGACCACTCATGATATGCTTGGACTTTCTGGTTTATCCTGAGTATCAATCTTTCTTAAACAACCAGTTATTTTATTCTAGGACAAAATTTACCATATGTAATAGTCTGTTCTCATGCTGCCATGAAGAAATACCCAAGACTGGATAATTTATAAGGGAAATAGGTTTAATTGACTCACAATTCAGCATGGCTGAGGAGACTTGAAGAAACTTACAATCATGGCTGAAGGCACCTCTTCCCAGGGCAGCAGGAGAGAGAATGAGAACTGAGTGAAGGGGGAAACCCCTTATAAAACCATCAGATCTCATGAGAACTCACTCACTATCACAAGACCAAGATGGAGGAAACTGCCCCCTTGATTCAATTATCTCCACCTGGTCCCATCCATGACACATGGGAATTGTTACAGTTCAAGGTGAGATTTGTGTGGGGACACAGAGCCAAATGATATTCTACCCCTAGCCATTCCCAAATCTCATGTCCTCACATTTCAAAACACAATAATGCCCTTCAAACAGTCCCCCAAAGTCTTAGCTCATTCTGGTATTAACCCAAAAGGCCAAGTTCAAAGTCTCATCTGATACAAGGCAAGTCCCTTTTCGCTATGAGCCTGTAAAATCAAAAGCAAGGTTACTTGCTAGATACAATTGAGGTGCAGGCATTGAGTAAATACACCTTTTCCAGATGGGAGAAATTGGTCAAAACAAAGCAGATACAGGCCCCATGGAAGTCCAAAATCCAATAAGGCAATCATTAAACATTAAAGTTTCAAAATGATCTCCTTTGACACCACATCTCACATACAGGTCATATTGATGCAAGAGGTGGGCTTCCATGGCCTTGGGTGGCTCCACCCCTGTGGCTTTGCAGGGTACAGCCCCTAATCCTGGCTGTCTTCACATGCTGGCATTGATTGTCTGCGGGTTTTCCAGGTACACGGTGCAAGCTGTCAGTGTATCTAACATTCTGGGGTCTGGAGGATGGTGGCCCCCTTCTCACAACTCCACTAGGCAGTGCTCCAGTGGGGATTCTGTGTGGGGGCTCCAACCCCACATTTTGCTTCTACACTGCCATAGCACAGGTTCTTCATGAGGGCTCCACCCCTATAGCAAAATTCTGCCTGGATATCCAGATGTTCCCATACATCCTGTGAAATCTAGGTGGAGGTTCCTAAACCTCATTTCTTGACTTCTGTACACCTATATGCTCAATACCACATAAAAGCCAAAAAGGCTTGGGGCTTACGCCCTCTGAAGCAATGGCCTGAGCTGTACATTAGCCCCTTTTAGCCACAGCTAGAGCTGAAGCACCTGGAACACAAGGAACACATGTTCTGAGGCTACACAGAGCAAGGGGACCCTGAGCCCAGCCCATGATACCATTTTTCCCTTTTACACCTCGGGGCCTTTGATAGGAGGGGCTGCTATGAAGGTCTCTGACATGCCCTGGAGACATTCCCCTTTGCTTGGTGATTAACATTCTGCTCCTCATTACTTATGCAAATTTCTGTAGCAGGCTTGAATTTATCCCTCCAAAATGGGATTTGCTTTTCTGACACATCCTGTAGCTGCGAATTTTTCAAACATTTGTGTTCTGCTTCCTCTCGTATGCTTTGCCACTTAGAAACTTCTTTGACTACCCTAAATTACCTCTCTCAAGTTCAAAGATCCACGTATCTCCAGGGCAGAGACAGAATACCTCTAGTCTTTTTGCCAAAGCCTAGCAAGAGTCACCTTTGCACCAGTTGCCAAGAAGTTTATCATCTCTATTTAGACCAACTCAGGCTGGACTTCATTGTCCATGTCTCTATCAGCATTTTGGTCAAAATCCTTCAACAAGTCTCTAGAGAGTTCCAAACTTTCCCACATCTTCCTGTCTTCTGAGCCCTACAAGTCCCTAGGAAGTTCCAAACATTCCCACATTTTTCTGTCTTCCTTTGAGACCTCCAAACTTCCAACCTCTGACTGTTACCCAGTTCCAATGTTGCTTTCATATTTTTTTCATATCTTTATGGCAGAACCCCATTCTCTGTGGTATCAATTGACTGTATTACTCCATTCTCATGCTACTATGAAAAAACACACAACGTGGTAATTTATAAAGGAAAGAGGTTTAATTGTCTCACAGTTCAGCATGGCTGAGGAGTCCTCAGAAAACCTACAATCATGATGGAAGGAAACCCTTCACAGGATGGTAGGAGAGAGAATGAGAATTTAGCAGAGGAAAACCCCATATAAAACCATCAGACCTTGTGGAAACTCACTCACTATCACAAAAACAGTATGGAGGAATTGGCCCCCATGATTCAATTATCTCCACTTGGTCCTACCCTTGACATGTGGTGATTATTACAATACACACTGGGATGTGGGTGGGAACACAGAGCCAAACCACATCACCATACGAGATTCTTTCTCATATAAAATTATTTTTCTTTAAGTTTCCTACCCAAAATACCACTTTATTTCTATAATTTTCTCTCTTATTTCCTGGTTCCTTTACCTTGTTTTATATATAATCTTTAAATAAGCTTTGATTAGACAAAATGTATTCACTTTTTAAAAAGAACTTTTTTTTAGAAAGAATGTTTTACTACAATCTTTTTTATTGGAAAATATCAATTAATGAAATAGCTGTTATTTAATTTAATATAATGCTAGATTATAAATTATGACGTTTGTCTACAAGCATTTACCCGATTATATTAACCTAATTATTTTATTTTAATAGTTTACCTAGATTATTTATGGAAACTTTGGTAGTCATCATTTAAAATTATGAAAACACTATTGCAAAATTGGAACTGAGACAGTGAAAGAGAGCTTACCTAAATGATTCCATCTTGCTTTTAACCTTAACACTGTCCTTGTTTATTCCTGGGCATAGACCAAATTAACTTTGGGAGAAACTAGTTTATAGTTTTGCTTTGAAACAAAGACAATGATAGTCCTTTCCCAAAGTAAACCTCCTTCTTGCTTGGGGACTAGACTGCCTAAAGCCACAAGATTAGAAATTATGGTTTAGGATTCATGCAGCTGGAGGCTACAAGATTCTAAATCTCCTCAAATTGCTCCTGGGGATAACGTAACTATTATAAAATATAAGACCAGTGCTTGAGATATTTTGCAGACCCTGCACTTGATGGATCAGCTGGCACCACCTAGATCAATGAACTGGCTCATCTGGTCTTGTGGCCCCCATCCACTAATTGACTCAGGGTAAGAGGAATCAACTCCCTTTGATTTAACCTCCAACCCAACCAATCAAAACTCCTGACTCACTGGAACCCTTCCCACAAAATTATCCTTAAAAATTATGATCCCCGCATTTTCTGTGAAAGTGATTTGAGTAATAATAAAACTCCAGTCTCCTGCACAGCTGGCTCTGTGTGAATTACTCTTTTTCTATTGCAATTCCCATATTTTGATAAATCAGTTCTGTATAGGGAGTGGGCAAGGTGAACCCACTGGGCAGTTATAGTTATTTCCTGGTCAACCATTTTATAGCCTGTGAATTTCAGGTGTTTACCTAATTAAGAATCTTAAGATTAAATATATGTTTATTTTAATAATAATTCAAGATTTAGCTATTTTTATTAAGCCAATATTAATGGCTTACTTATCAAAAATTACACAAGCAAAATCATTCTGTTTCAGGCTGGGTTTACACTTTTGTAACCCTTATGCCAAATGTTGACATGTTAAAGTATTTGGCAGGGATAAGTATGAAATCATTTGATCAATAAGTGCAAACAAAAATGTATGCTGGCAATTCTTGAGACATTTCTGATATTAATTTAACAATAATTTTAAAGCTAGATTTTTACATATTTTGCTTAAGACAGGTGAACTTGAAAAGCATTTGTGCTTATTATGTAATTTATGAGTACCCTTTAAGCCAATTTGGTACCTTGTGGCCAAAAATACAACAAAATACATGTACATACACATAAACACACATATACATACTAATACAACCAAAGATCCTATAGATTTTACTGCAGAATTCTAGCCATGAGATATTAATAAAACTCACTGGTTTGCAAAAACAGCAACAAAAAATATATGGTTAATTTCAAGCAGTGGATTTTATCTCAGTAGAAAAGTAAAAGTACACTTAAGGCAGAAAAGAAAGCAGAGAGATAGAGAACGTGGGAACTTTATAATTGCAGGTAGACCTTTGGGTTCTTCATTTTCCTTGATATAATCATGCATGAAAATACTACATATATCCATTTTACTGAAACTATTGCAAGAAGAGGCACCATAAAACCAAAGGAGTGCCTGAAAAGGAGGTCATTCTCCTTGTTTTTTCTCATTCGTAGATTATTTGTTTCCCACCATTTTTTTAAAGGAGAAACTAAGCTGCAGCCTAGTGGGTTGAGTGGGTTGCAGTGTGCTGCTTGTGGGTGGGACTCCACAGTGTGTTACCATTGAGTCATTTCCACCCTCTTACATGTCTCAGTTTCTCTCTCTGGAGGTCTAGACCTCCAAGAGGGCTCAAAATGCAGAGCGACCAGCTTCTATATGTACTTCCTGACCAAACCTTTTTAAACTAATTATGTTGGGGGTTTCCTGTAGGACTACTACATGTCACGGGGGGTCAACCACCTCTAAGATACTCCCACTCATCACCCAGGGTTGCCTGTTGGCTGGGAGGAGCAAAATGCCCTTTCTCTTAAGAGCTGAAGAAAATCAGTCTCTCATTTTTTGGGGGGGATTTATTTTTTTATTTTTTATTTTTTTTATTATACTTTAAGTTTTAGGGTACATGTGCACATTGTGCAGGTTAGTTACATATGTGTACATGTGCACATTGTGCAGGTTAGTTACATATGTATACATGTGCCATGCTGGTGCGCTGCACCCACTAACTCATCATCTAGCATTAGGTATATCTCCCAATGCTATCCCTCCTCCCTCCCCCCACTCACAACAGTCCCCAGAGTGTGATATTCCCCTTCCTGTGTCCATGTGATCTCATTGTTCAATTCCCACCTATGAGTGAGAATATGCGGTGTTTGGTTTTTTGTTCTTGCCATAGTTTACTGAGAATGATGATTTCCAATTTCATCCATGTCCCTACAAAGGACATGAACTCATCATTTTTTATGGCTGCATAGTATTCCATGGTGTATGTGTGCCACATTTTCTTAATCCAGTCTATCATTGTTGGACATTTGGGTTGGTTCCAAGTCTTTGCCATTGTGAATAATGCCACAATAAACATACGTGTGCATGTGTCTTTATAGCAGCATGATTTATAGTCCTTTGGGTATATACCCAGTAATGGGATGGCTGGGTCAAATGGTATTTCCAGGTCTAGATGCCTGAGGAATCGCGACACTGACTTCCACAATGGTTGAACTAGTTTACAGTCCCACCAACAGTGTAAAAGTGTTCCTATTTCTCCACATCCTCTCCAGCACCTGTTGTTTCCTGACTTTTTAATGATTGCCATTCTAACTGGTGTGAGATGGTATCTCATTGTGGTTTTGATTTGCATTTCTCTGATGGCCAGTGATGATGAACATTTTTTCATGTGTTTTTTGGCTGCATAAATGTCTTCTTTTGAGAAGTGTGTGTTCATGTCCTTCACCCAATTTTTGATGGGGTTGTTTGTTTTTTTCTTGTAAATTTGTTTGAGTTCATTGTAGATTCTGGATATTAGCCCTTTGTCAGATGAGTAGGTTGTGAAAATTTTCTCCCATTGTGTAGGTTGCCTGTTCACTCTGATGGTAGTTTCTTTGGCTGTGCAGAAGCTCTTTAGTTTAATTAGATCCCATTTGTCAATTTTGTCTTTTGTTGCCATTGCTTTTGGTGTTTTAGATATGAAGTCCTTGCCCATGCCTATGTCCTGAATGGTAAAGCCTAGGTTTTCTTCTAGGGTTTTTATGGTTTTAGGTCTAACATGTAAGTCTTTAATCCATCTTGAATTGATTTTTGTGTTGTAAGGAAGGGATCCAGTTTCAGCTTTCTACATATGGCTAGCCAGTTTTCCCAGCACCATTTATTAAATAGGGAATCCTTTCCCCATTGCTTGTTTTTCTCAGGTTTGTCAAAGATCAGATAGTTGTAGATATGTGGCATTATTTTTGAGGGCTCTGTTCTGTTCCATTGATCTATATCTCTGTTTTGGTACCAGTACCATGCTGTTTTGGTTACTGTAGCCTTGTAGTATAGTTTGAAGTCAGGTAGTGTGATGCCTCCAGCTTTGTTCTTTTGGCTTAGGATTGACTTGGCGATGCGGGCTCTTTTTTGGTTCCATATGAACTTTAAAGTAGTTTCTTCCAATTCTGTGAAGAAAGTCATTGGTAGCTTGATGGGGATGGCATTGAATCTGTAAATTACCTTGGGCAGTATGGCCATTTTCATGATATTGATTCTTCCTACCCATGAGCATGGAATGTTCTTCCATTTGTTTGTATCCTCTTTTATTTCCTTGAGGAGTGCTTTGTAGTTCTCCTTGAAGAGGTCGTTCACATCCCTTGTAAGTTGGGTTCCTAGGTATTTTATTCTCTTTGAAGCAATTGTGAACGGGATTTCACTCATGATTTGGCTCTCTGTTTGTCTGTTGTTGGTGTATAAGAATGCTTGTGATTTTTGTACAATGATTTTGTATCCTGAGACTTTGCTGAAGTTGCTTACCAGCTTAAGGAGATTTTCGGCTGAGACAATGGGGTTTTCTAGATATACAATTATGTTGTGTGCAAACAGGGACAATTTGACTTCCTCTTTTCCTAATTGAATACCCTTTATTTCCTTCTCCTGCCTAATTGCCCTGGCCAGAACTTCCAACACTATGTTGAATAGGAGTGGTGAGAGAGGGCATCCCTGTCTTGTGCCAGTTTTCAAAGGGAATGTTTCCAGTTTTTGCCCATTCAGTATGATATTGGCTGTGGGTTTGTCATAGATAGCTCTTATTATTTTTGAAATACGTCCCATCAATACCTAATTTATAGAGAGTTTTTAGCATGAAGGGTTGTTGAATTTTGTCAAAGGCTTTTTCTGCATCTATTGAGATAATCATGTGGTTTTTGTCTTTGGCTCTGTTTATATGCTGGATTACATTTATTGATTTGCATATGTTGAACCAGCCTTGCATCCCAGGGATGAAGCCCACTTGATCATGGTGGATAAGCTTTTGGATGTGCTGCTGGATTCGTTTTGCCAGTATTTTCTTGAGGATTTTTGCATCAATGTTCATCAAGGATATTGGTCTAAAATTCTCTTTTTTGGTTGTGTCTCTGCCTGGCTTCAGTATCATAATGATGCTGGCCTCATCAAATGAGTTAGGGAGGATTCCCTCTTTTTCTATTGATTGGAATAGTTTCAGAAGGAATGGTACCAGCTCCTCCTTGTACCTCTGGTAGAATTCAGCTGTGAATCCATCTGGTCCTGGACTCTTTTTGGTTGGTAAGCTATTGATTATTGCCACAATTTCAGATCCTGTTATTGATCTATTCAGAGATTCAACTTCTTCCTGGTTTAGTCTTGGGAGAGTGTATGTGTCGAGGAATTTATCCATTTCTTCTAGATTTTCTAGTTTATTTGCATAGAGGTGTTTGTAGTATTCTCTGATGGTAGTTTGTATTTCTGTGGGATCGGTGGTTATATCCCCCTTATCATTTTTTATTGCATGTATTTGATTCTTCTCTCTTTTTTTCTTTATTAGTCTTGCTAGCGGTCTATCAATTTTGTTGATCCTTTCAAAAAACCAGCTCCTGGATTCATTAATTTTTTGAAGGGTTTTTTGTGTCTCTATTTCCTTCAGTTCTGCTCTGATTTTAGTTATTTCTTGCCTTCTGCTAGCTTTTGAATGTGTTTGCTCTTGCTTTTCTAGTTCTTTTAATTGTGATGTTAGGGTGTCAATTTTGGATCTTTCCTGCTTTCTCTTGTGGGCATTTAGTGCTATAAATTTCCCTCTACACACTGCTTTAAATGCGTCCCAGAGATTCTGGTATGTTGTGTCTTTGTTCTCCTTGGTTTCAAAGAACATCTTTATTTCTGCCTTCATTTCGTTATGTACCCAGCAGTCATTCAGTAGCAGGTTGTTCAGTTTCCACGTAGTTGAGCAGTTTTGAGTGAGATTCTTAATCCTGAGTTCTAGTTTGATTGCACTGTGGTTTGAGAGAGAGTTTGTTGTAATATCTGTTCTTTTACATTTGCTGAGGAGAACTTTACTTCCAAGTATGTGGTCAATTTTGGAATAGGTGTGGTGTGGTGCTGAAAAAAATAATGTATATTCTGTTGATTTGGGGTGGAGAGTTCTGTAGATGTCTATTAGGTCCGCTTGGTGCAGAGCTGAGTTCAATTCCTGGGTATCCTTGTTGACTTTCTGTCTCGTTGATCTGTCTAATGTTGACAGTGGGGTGTTAAAGTCTCCCATTATTATTGTGTGGGAGTCTAAGTCTCTTTGTAGGTCACTCAGGACTTGCTTTATGAATCTTGGTGCTCCTGTATTGGGTGCATATATATTTAGGATAGTTAGCTCTTCTTGTTGAATTGATCCCTTTACCATTATGTAATGGCCTTCTTTGTGTCTTTTGATCCTTGTTGGTGTAAAGTCTGTTTTATCAGAGACTAGGATTGCAACCCCTGCCTTTTTTTGTTTTCCATTTGCTTGGTAGATCTTCCTCCATCCTTTTATTTTGAGCCTATGTGTGTCTCTGCACGTGAGATGGGTTTCCTGAATACAGCACACTGATGGGTCTTGACTCTTTATGCAATTTGCCAGTCTGTGTCTTTTAATTGGAGCATTTAGTCCATTTACATTTAAAGTTAATATTGTTATGTGTGAATTTGATCCTGTCATTATGATGTTAGCTGGTTCTTTTGCCGGTTAGTTGATGCAGTTTCTTCCTAGTCTCGATGGTCTTTACATTTTGGCATGATTTTGTAGCGGCTGGTACCGGTTGTTCCTTTCCATGTTTAGTCCTTCCTTCAGGAGCTCTTTTAGGGCAGGCCTGGTGGTGACAAAATCTCTCAGCATTTGCTTGTCTGTAAAGTATTTTATTTCTCCTTCGCTTATGAAGCTTAGTTTGGCTGGATATGAAATTCTGGGTTGAAAATTCTTTTAAGAATGTTGAATATTGGCCCCCACTCTCTTCTGGCTTGTAGGGTTTCTGCCGAGAGATCCGCTGTTAGTCTGATGGGCTTCCCTTTGAGGGTAACCCTACCTTTCTCTCTGGCTGCCCTTAACATTTTTTCCTTCATTTCAACTTTGGTGAATCTGACAATTATGTGTCTTGGAGTTGCTCTTCTCGAGGAGTATCTTTGTGGCATTCTCTGTATTTCCTGAATCTGAACGTTTGCCTGCCTTGCTAGATTGGGGACGTTCTCCTGGATAATATCCTGCAGAGTGTTTTCCAACTTGGTTCCATTCTCCCCATCACTTTCAGGTACACCAATCAGACGTAGATTTGGTCTTTTCACATAGTCCCATATTTCTTGGAGGCTTTGCTTATTTCTTTTTATTCTTTTTTCTCTAAACTTCCCTTCTCACTTCATTTCATTCATTTCATCTTCCATTGCTGATACTCTTTCTTCCATTTGATCACATCGGCTCCTGAGGCTTCTGCATACTTCATGTAGTTCTCAAGCCTTGGTTTTCAGCTCCATCAGCTCCTTTAAGCACTTCTCTGTATTGGTTATTCTAGTTATACATTCTTCTAAATTTTTTTCAAAGTTTTCCACTTCTTTGCCTTTGGTTTGAATGTCCTCCCGTAGCTCAGAGTAATTTGATCATCTGAAGCCTTCTTCTCTCAGCTCGTCAAAGTCATTCTCCATCCAGCTTTGTTCTGTTGCTGGTGAGGAACTGTGTTCTTTTCGAGGAGGAGAGGCGCTCTGCTTTTTAGAGTTTCCAGTTTTTCTGTTCTGTTTTTTCCCCATCTTTGTGGTTTTATCTCCTTTTGGTCTTTGATGATGGTGGTGTAGAGATGGGTTTTTGGTGTGGATGTCCTTTCTATTTGTTAGTTTTCCTTCTAACAGACAGGACCCTCAGCTGCAGGTCTGTTGGAGTGCCCTGCCATGTGAGGTGTCAGTGTGCCCCTGCTGGGGGGTGCCTCCCAGTTAGGCTGCTCGGGGATCAGGGACCCACTTGAGGAGGCAGTCTGCCCGTTCTCAGATCTCCAGCTGCGTGCTGGGAGAACCACTGCTCTCTTCAAAGCTGTCAGACAGGGACATTTAAGTCTGCAGAGGTTACTGCTGTCTTTTTGTTTGTCTGTGCCCTGCCCCCAGAGGTGGAGCCTACAGAGGCAGGCAGGCCTCCTTGAGCTGTGGTGGGCTCCACCCAGCTGGAGCTTCCCTGCTGCTTTGTTTACCTAAGCAAGCCTGGGCAATGGCAGGTGCCCCTCCCCCAGCCTCGCTGCCACCTTGCAGTTTGATCTCAGACTGCTGTGCTAGCAATCAGCGAGACTCCATGGGCGTTGGACCCTCCGAGCCAGGTGTGGGATATAATCTCGTGGTGCGCCGTGTTTGAAGCCGGTCGGAAAAGCGCAGTATTCGGGTGGGAGTGACCCGATTTTCCAGGTGCTGTCCGTCACCCCTTTCTTTGACTCGGAAAGGGAACTCCCTGACCCCTTGAGCTTCCCAAGTGAGGCACTGCCTCGCCCTGCTTTGGCTCGCGCATGGTGCGTCCACCCACTGACCTGTGCCCACTGTCTGGCACTCCCAAGTGAGATGAACCCAGTACCTCAGATGGAAATGCAGAAATCCCCTGTCTTCTGCGTCACTCATGCTGGGAGCTGTAGACATGAGCTGTTCCTATTCGGCCCTCAGTCTCTCATTTGTCTATGAAAACAACAGTTATTTCCTCACACAAATGTGCAGACAAGCCAATTGAGATTAATTTCAGGAGGAAAATTCAATGGAGAAGACTCTTTAGAATGCACCTCTGAAGGAGCATTAGGATTCTAAACAATAACTTTCTAGGAGAAAACAATAACGACAAAAAAACAGCCAAGACCACTTCCTGTAAACTGTCCTCAGCCACCCCTAACTTTGTAGCTCTCGTCCACCATTACACACACCAAGGTCAAATCCTCTCACAGTATAAGGTAATCTCTGGTACGCCTGAAACCAAAGAGGTCAAGTAATGCAATACAGAGGAGCAGAGCTTTAGATCTTGGAACAATCTACCCATGACTCTTGAAACTCCACAAAGAAAACAGAATGTCTCAAAAGGGGTGAGTGGCTCCTTTTTCCTGAGTTCTTTTAGGAGTTCGAGTCATTAGAAGCCTTCTCTAGATTTTTCTTGCTACTGAAGATGGTGAAGGGGGAAGGAGGTATAGGGCAGTGGAAAAGTAAACAAAAGAACATTTGTTTTTTAAGACAGGTAGCAAACACAGAAACAAAGCACATTTTTTTATGTGTGGGGTTTTTGTTGTTGTTGTTTTTCCCTCTTTTGCAGCTGTGAGGAATTTTAGCCAATTCAGAGAGGCCTTGTTACCCATAATTTGGAATTCTCATTCAGATTTGACAAAGTCAGGTAGAGTTGGTCAAATCTGACAGGAAAAAGACTGGAACAAACAACAAACAGAAAAACCCAACAATGTGACTACTGAGTACTCTAATGATAAGGAGAAGTTAAGACCAGTTGGTTGTTCATCTTTAGCCAAGACAAAACCTCAGTTCAGCTACTTACCTAGGGATGGGTCTCAGGCTGAAGACTGCTCTCTACCATCCTAGAAGCAGGGAAAAAAACTCAAACTTACCTTCCCTGTTGGAAGCAAGCTCAAACTCCATAAAGCAGTTATGTGTCTTCCATCATCATGGTAGAAGAAAAATTTGCCTTCCTTGTCAGAGGCAAGTAAAAATCCAAAAAAAAAAAAAAAAAATGAGTTGTACATCAAAATAAACCTTAGATATCAACCAAATTTGGGGAGGTCAGGGATTCTTTGGAGGAGGTGATTACAGGCCTCAGCAAACTGTCCTATTGGTTTGAGCCATAAAGACAGCTCAAGCTGGTACCAAGCACCAATATGAGATTTCTCAAAGGTCAGGGTCACCTCCACTCAGAATCCACTCATGGTTGTCAAAATGTAAATCCCTAATATCTGAGACAGTTTTCTGTCAATTTAGACAGTTTATTTTGCCAAGGTTAAGGATGTGCCCATGACACATCCTCAGGAGTTCCTGATGACATGTACCCAATGTGGTCAGGACGCAGCTTGGTTTTATACATTTTAGGGAGACATGAGACATCAATTAATATATGTAAGATGTACCTTGGTTTAGTGTGGAAAGGTGAGACAACTCGAAGTGAAGAGGGGACTTCCAGGTCATAGGTAGATAAGAGACAAAAGATTGCCTTATTTTGAGTTTCTGATTAGCCTTCCAAAAAGAAGCAATAAGATACACATTTATCTCAGTGAGCACAGGGATGACTTAATAGAACGAGAGGCAGATTTGCCCTAAGCAGTTTCCAGCTTGATTTTTCCCTTTAGCTTAGAGATTTCGGTGTCCCAAGATTTATCTTTCTTTCACAATACAAACAATATGTTTGTTAACGTATTTTAGGGCACTCATTTTGAGGCGGCATTTGCATAGGAAGCACATCGTTTTGATATTAAAAACATTTTTATTCAGGGGTAATATGACATATGTGAAGGGATACTGGAGATTATGTATGATCTAAACCTTCACCTTGGCACCGCCGCTACTTAGCTTTCTTATTTCTAACACATAGAGGAAGAGAATCCTGAGGCTGGTTTTATTTTTCTTATTTCCTTTACATTGCTTAATGTTTCAGTACAAAATCTTTTTCCTCCCTCTTTCATTTGCTTTTGCATTTTTATGTCTAATCCTTATTTTCCTCTATTTATAATTATCCCAGTAAGTTTTGACTTGATATTTAAAGAAATACTTAAACCAAAATTCTTTTGGCTGAGTGTCATGTTCAGGGCCCTCAGGTGATCCTAGCTGACTAGTTTCCTTCAGAGTGATGTCTCCCCTTCAGTATAATTCATGTCAACGATGAGAGTCTTAGATACTATCTGATGTTCAGGTGGTTTATTCTGGCCGTGCTCTTAGAAGATGGATAATGGGAGCAGGGCAGTGGCATGGGCCAGATACATTCAAGGGGCAGGTGACCACCTGACCAGGAGGGTTTTTATTTAAAGGCCATTTCAGAGTTTAGGTAACTCTTCTTCTTTTCTTATACCTGCATTCAGTTTGAGTCATTTACAAGGTGTTTATTTCATAAAGAGAATTTAAACAATTATTGTCAGAGTAAGCTTTGTTTTAAGGTTTATGAAAGTTGAATCTGTGCTGAGGTAACATTATCTCCGTGACAGCAAGGGATTTTTAGGTCCCATTATCATAGAGACTTGGTAATCCCCAGGTCAGGATGAAAATCCCTAGGCAAGGCCTAATCATACTGCTAAGTGACACATAGTATAGGTGCTATTAGATGTTTGACTGGGCCTTATGTCTATCATTAATCATATACCTACCATATGTCTCTTACACTATACCACACTGAAGAAAAGGTGAACAGAAGTCCATACACACTAGAATTTCAAAGGTGAAATGATTATGTTGAGATAATTATATTCTCACCTTATTTTACAAATAAAATAAAAACTAAGTCTCAGAAAAAAGGTAAGAAACTTGCTCAAGATCATAAAGTGGTAGAGCTTGAATTTGTCCACATTGACTCCACACCATAGGTACATTGTGGGAAAAAACAGGCCAGATTTGACACAGTTCTCTGAAATAAAAAAGACCAGTCACAAGAAAAGAAAAAAGTGATTGAAATGATGGGTTATTTGTCATTGTCTTTTCATAATGACTTTTTTGTGTGCCTTACATGAAGGGGAAGGCCCAGAAAGCCCATTTGTCTGTTCACTAACTTATTAGTGTCAATAGAAACCTTTTTGACTATAACTAGCCAGTCTATTTCTTACTTCTCTGTTGTGTTTATATCAGCATGTTACCGAAAGCAAAAAAAGAGAGGCTGAATAGAAGATGTTTCTTATAGAAGTGATAGTCTTGAGTTTTTTAATACTGATAATAACATCAATCTTTTATCAACTCCTAGTTCACACACATTTAAAGACACATACATACAGATCCTACTGTGTTCTGCATTATACGACGTCCTTTTCAAAACCAGAACACCTCAATAGTTGCTTATTTGCAGATAAGGTTGACTGAGGTCAGGTTGTGATAAAGCACATATTTTCAGCAATACGAATTCTCCCTTCCTAAGATCAGACCCTATTTCAAATTACCAGTTCATCATTTTCATATAGATTAACAAATCATCAAGGGTGACTAAAAAGCATGCTAAAAAATCTGATTAGCTGTAGATAGGTTATGTATAATTTTATTTCTCCAAAAGATTTTAAAATAAACCACTAATTTGAGTCACTAAATAATACAACTCTTTGAAAATTAAATCAGATGGTTTCTCAAATCACTATTTTAACTGATCACCATGTTTAGTGTTTTATAATTAGCATTTCTCTAGGAAAAGTGAGATTTGACTATTTGTCAGAGCCACTGAATAAAAATGAGTATATAAAATGTCCTTTTTTTGAGAGACATCCTATTTTTTCTAGTGTTCTTTTAGTTAATATAATGAAATACAAAAAGTAATATAAAAATAATTTCATATTATTCCTTATCTGTAGTCTAATTTTATTGAATAATGGAGGGTTTGTAGGTAGTGAAACTTTCTAAAGGCTGCGACAAATTACATATTTATTCAGCTAAATATGAGGTATTATTGTAGCAGCTTTCAAAAAAGAAATATAATAGATTTATAAAAGTTGAAAAAATGTTCTGTGCATTTGTTTCAAAAGTAGGTGATGGGAATATATATCTTCCTACTCCAGGTTAATATGAAATCCTATAGTAAAGACAAAACAATATTTTGTTCTGCAAATATGCCTACTTTGTGCTACATTCTTATATAAATACGTGGTAATGTCAGAGGAATCTGTTCAGGCAATATAACTACTAGTCTTGCCAGTAACATAGCTTATATTAACATACTTGCCTGATAGCTTCAAATTATATTAAGTATTTTAAAGCCAAATAATGGCCTTCATTACATTTCTCAAGGCAGATCCAATGCTGGGTATTTTAAGAGACTATTTTTCAGTAGCATAAGAATGAGCAATGTTTCTTTATTTTCTGTTATTTGCTCAATTTAATGGCATATTAAAATATATAGTACTCTCTCCTATTTTAAACAATCAGGACATACAAATGTGCAGGCTTCATTCTTACATTTTAGCATGCCTTTTGAAAGACAGGCAATGCTATTTTATTTTACACATATTTGCCTGGAGGAAAATATTTGATATTTGATAATTAAGGGCCTCTGAATTCAGTTATAATATCACTAGATAAGAATAGTTGTAATGCCTTATCTCAAATATCAAGAAAAATTGAGATCATACCAGTTTATTTTACAAGTCAATATGGAACATGCATTGCATCTGCATAATTATCTAGCCCCACACCCACCTCAGAGTCCAATTCTAAACAGCCATGGACTCAGAAAATAACTCTAAAACAAACATGGATCTTTCTCACTCCAAAACTAAATCAGACTCTCTTTATTTTCTGCATCTTTTTGTAAGATCCAAGGCAATCTATGTTCATAATTAACTCTTGTTGACTATTTATATATGTGCTAATCACTTCACACTTATTGTCTTATTTAATGTAAAAATTACCAAGAGGTCATAATGCCTATTATTTAATATCATTTTATAATTCTTTCTTAGGAACATCAAGTAAATAGACTTTTCTCAAGATATTTAGCTTGTGTTTATTTCAGTCATAGCTTGAGTATGAAACACTGAAATTGGACTAGGAGGACACAGTTTTTATTAACATTTATGGAAAAGGTGTCACATCAATTGTTGAATTTCACTGGGCAAATGGAACAATGTCTGGAAGAAACAAACACAGTAAGTCTTTATCAGTCCTATGTAGTATAAAAATACTGTTATTTTCCTCCAAATAAATATTAAGCTTAATTACTGAGGCATTAAAATGTTTAAATTGAGAAAAAGCAAGAGAAAAGTAATGCAATAGATAAGCGGAGTGGGAGGAAAGCATTAGAAAAAGTAATATTGTAGCATGGGTATTATCTAAGGAATCCAGGCCCAAAAGGGTAGGAAGAGCAGCATGTGTAGATTTGAATGCCTAAGATGGATAGGATCAATGAAATGTGTAAGAAGGCCACGGGAAGCGCAAATAGAGAATTTCTCAAGACGAACTCCTCAATGTTGTCTCTGATAAGTGTTGGTTACTTATCTGATTGTGCCAAAAAAAAATTTCAAAATGGCGGTGGAACTTTCCCCAGAGAGAGAGTATGGTGTAGTGGAAAGATGATGGACTTTTCCAGGCAGACAGACTGGAGTATGAGCCTTATCTCATGTATTGAATAGTTGATAATACCTCCTCAGGATTGTGTGAGGACTATATGAAACAGCATATGCACAGCCTTTAGCATTGTGTATAACACATAGTAGTTCCCCCACTCACTCACAAATACCAGTTACACTTTTTGAGTTCATACTGTTTGCCTTACTACAGTGGTTTTCTATTCTGTCAGTTTTTTTTCTAGTAATAAAAGAATTGAAAGTACTTATAGAAATACTGGAATTAAGAGTCAAGAAACCTGGATTCTAGCATTTGCTTTATCATTAGCTTGTTGCTGGACCTTGGGTAATCAGTTCACTCTTAAATGTTCCTATGTTCTTATGTAAAGAGGTAGAATCACATTATTTCTAAGAGGTTTACCAATTTGTATATTCTATCATTACTCCAAAAAAATAAATTCTAATAGACAAACTATTGAGTAGTTGTAGTTTTTGTGTAGCAGCAAAAACTAAGCTCTAAACTGAACCATGTAAGAGTATATATTTAAATGGATTAGAGTGATTTTTAAGAGGTAAAACTATTGCACCCCACGAATAGTCTGCAAAATTTAGAAATGCATCTTATTCAAACACTCAATTTTCTTCAAAAGCATAGACTTTTCAGCCTAGCTAGGAAAAAATTCATTATTATGACTATTCTTATATAAATACGTTTTCAGTTCACTTTGTCTTGCAGAATCACTGCACAATTTTTGGATACTATGATAGCATAAACATAATTACAGCGTTCTCATTTTATAGGCAAATAATTAAACCACAATGCAGAAAAGTTAAATAAATTATGCAATGCCCACTCATAAGATACAAAACTAAAATAGAGCATAGTTATTCTGACGCAAAAATTTTATTTTCCCTATTGCCTCCCCCACCATCACTACCTGCTTCCAGATTCCTGAAGGACTAGTTTGCTTTTGACAATCTCAGACACGTAATTTTCTCTTTTTAAAGTGCTACTTCAATCTTTTGAGGAGAAAGGATATTTCTAGTTTAAATCCAGCCCAAATAATACCATCTCAAATGAGAATATCACTTACAACCACCCAACATGTGCACTACTTCCCTTTCCAGTTGATAGTTCAGCACTTTGGGAAGAAAATTGATCTTTTACAGCCACTTAGTAGCATATTTCAAAATCTTACAGCAGTACTTTGCTAAATGGCATCCAGCTCATCTGGATGTGTTGAGTTTCCAGATCATAAACTCCTAAAGGGCAGAGTCTATGATTATTTGGCTAACTTTATATGTCTTATGACTGCGGGTGCTTAATAAATACTATTTCATGGTAATAATGATGATGATGACAAGTTAATGCTCCTCAAAGTGCCAACCAATCAGTCAATTTAGTGAAAGTCAAACTGGTCATTTGATATAAAAAATCTACTTAATTGATTGAATGAATTCTTGAAATTGCAGCTGGTTGTTTTTATGCTTGTATAGACATAACATTAAAGTTCCTTTCATATTGAGAAGGGTTAAGAGAATGGTGCAATATAGATATTCATTAATAGTCAATTTTATCACATCAATCAGAAGCTTTGAAAAAGTTGAGTGAAATTACTGTTGAGATAAACAAAATATAATCATATAATGGCATGTAATCTCAGGAATCTCAGGAATCTCCTTTAGGTACCCCTCCCCAGCCATGAATTTATGTCACTATATTCTTCTCAGATAAGTCCCTTGGCTTAACTTCATTGATCATGGACTGATGCAATTAGAATCACATATCCCAAGTGGGCAGCTTCCATGTGTCATTTTTTGGCCTGCATAACATTCACAACCATATCTATGTTAGTAAAATAAATCCATTGAAGTCACTAAGCAATTTCTATTGCCAGCAAAGGAATATTGAGGATCATCAGAATTATGTTGATAATTGCTTTAGCATGTCCCTTTACTCACAAATGAATATATACACAATTTTTTAAAACAAGCAAAGTTGGAGGAGTTACTACCTTATTTCTAATCTATTCTAAAGATAGAGTAATCATGAAAATGCAGTATTTGTGAAAACATAGACATATAGATCAACAGAATAGAACAGATTCTAGACATAACCTTACATCTATTTGGTCAATTGATTTTTGAGAAATTTGCCAACATAAGTAATGTGGAAAAAATATTTTTGAACAAATATGTTGGAACAATTTGATAGGCATACATATGCAAAAAAATTGAACCTCAACCATGTCTCACACTCTATATAAAAATTAATAGAAAATGTGTCACAGACCCAAATATAAGAATGAAAATTATAAAAATTTTAGGACAAAATAGGAGATAAGCTTAGCAACCTTGGATTTGACAAAAATTTCTTAAATACAAAAAAGAACAAATTAATGAAGAAAGTAATAAAAAATCACAGTTTATTAATATTAAAGCTTTTCTTTTTAAAAGGCACTGCTACAAATGTGAAAAGGTGAGCCATGGGCTTGAAGAAAATACTTGCAAAGCAAATATCTGAAAAATAACTTCTGTGTAGAATACCTAAATTACCTTTACAGTTTAATTGTTAGAACACAAAAAACAGAATTAAAATGGGCAAAATATTTGAATAGTTAACCAAAGACACTCAGGTAATAAATAAGCACATTAAGTGCTGCTTACTATCATTAGCCATTAGGAAAATGCCAACTAAAACCACAATAAAAACTACAACAGACTGTGTGCGGTGGCTCATGCCTGTAATCCCAGCACTTTGGGAGGCTGAGGCGGGCAGATCACCTGAGGTCAGGAGTTCAAGACCAGCCTGGCCAACATGGTGAAACCCCGTCTCTACTAAAACTACAAAAATTAGCTGAGCATGGTGGCACGCACCTGTAATCCCAGCTACTTGGGAGGCTGATGCAGAAGAATCACTTGAACCTGGGAGGTGGAGGTTGCAGAGAGCCAAGATTGTGCCACTGCACTCCAGCCTGGCCTCGATTATACAACAAAATTCCAGCCTGTGCACACTCCAGCCTGTGCAAAATTATACAACAACATTAAAAACAGCAATTTCTTATAACATTAAATACATACCTGTCATACATATCAGCCATTCCACTCCTAATCCTTACCCAACAGAAATGAAAGTATATGCACATACAAAAATTTGTACATGAATGTTCATAGCAGCTTTATTTGTAATAATCACAAACTGAAAACAACCCAAATGTCTCTCAATAGGTAAAGGATGAAAAATATTTGGTGTATTCATATACTGGGACACTAAGCAATAAAAATAAACAAACTATTGATAAATACAAAAACCTAGGTAAATCTTAATTATGCTGAATGAAAAAAGCCAGAAAAATGAGTATACACTGTAGGATATATATATGTATATCCTACAGGATACATATACATATATGTATATATGTATATGCATGTGTATGTATGTGTATCCTACAAGACATACATATATATCCTACAGTGTATACTCATTTTTCTGGCTTTTTTCACCCAGCATAATTTTTTCACTCAGTATCTTATTTCTACATCCTCTTTAATACATATACCTATATATGTATATGTATCCTACAGGATATACATATTTTTATATATATGTATGTATATAACTTTATAAAATTCAAACTAATCTATAATGACAAGAAGCAGATCAGTGGTTACTCGGGAAATGGTGGTTGGATTGGCTAAGGAAGGAAAATTACAGATTGGCACCAGGAAACTTTTGGAGGTAAAGGATATGTTTATTATGTTGATTTCGGTGATGGTTCACATATGTAAAACCAAATTTTACACTTTAAGGATTTGACTATATATTTATTCACACACACACAAACACACACACATATTTACACATGTCATCTAGGTACATGTGGCCATTGAAGCCATAGGAAGGATTATAAAATTAGACAGTGGGGATCTAGAAACAAACCTCGATTAAGTATAACATGTAACAGCTAGGCAGAAGAAGATGAGCTTTCAAAGAAGTAGGGAAGAAATGGGCAGAGAGACAGAGAAATAAAATCACAGATAAATATTGTATTGTAGAACCTAATGGAAAAGAGTGTTGTAAGAAGAGTTGAGTAGTTTGTCAGCAGTAAACATTGTTGCAAAGAGGTCCAATAAAATGGGAATTGTAAAATTGATTTTATTTAATGACACTGGTGGCCTTAGCCTGATATTTTTATAGAGGAATAGGGCAGAAAACAAAATTTGAGTGGGGGAATGGGAGATAAATAGATGGAGATAGTAAATAAAAGCAGCTTTTTAAAAGATTTTTGCCTTATAGTTACAGAAAAATGAGATATAGAAGGAAGTTGCCAGAAAGAAAGGGATAGCTATGGAAGGCTGTTTTTTATTTAATTGAGGAATAATATTCAAATATTTATATGAGTGTTGTGCTGGAGCTGCACATGAGAGTCAATTATTAAATTTTCAGAAATTTTGCAAGCCATCATTAAAAATAGCCATTATTAAAAAGTAACTTTATAAATTCAGAATTCAGTAAATTATATTAAAATCAAGGTAACAAATACTCAAATCTCATTACTTCTTAATTATTTAACTATTTTATACTACTATCTATACTCAAGATTATTTATGTCAATTGTATCTGTATAGTGGGACTATTATATAATAGTTTGAAACTGCACATCTCTTCTCCACTTTGTGTTCAATGACATAACGTTGTTAGGTTGAAACTGGCAATGATGGAAGTGTTTACACCACAAAAGTTGGTAAACACTTCAAATAACGACGTGGTTTTAAGAAGTTTGTTGTTATTATGGATTGTCTAGGAGGACATACAGAAAAATCTCAATAATTCTGATTAAATTTAGAAATTGTTGTGTTGTGGCTGTTATATTGTGAATAGCACAAAAAATAAGAAAAATATTTTCCTAGTATCCAAAAGCTATTAATGTGATTCACCAAAAGTCATTCACATCATTGATGAACACATTAATTTCTGACACAGTTTTTTTTTTATTTTTATCTTACTCATTGAGGAAAACAAAAATATCAATCAATATTCATGTCAGAACTACACTCATTTGTCAATTACAACCACAGGTTAGTCACAAATATATGAGTTTACCAAAAACAATTAAAACATTCTGTAAGTATCATTAGTTACATGGAATTTATGATAGAAAGACTAGAATATTTTACTATTACTTGTAAATTGTTTGCTATACAGCCTTTATGTTAGTAATATAAATAGTAAATTATGTACATGTATTCATACATGCATTTTTACAGACAGCCAATTATTAAAAAATTACTACCACATTTGTAACTCAGCAAAGCCATGATAAAACTGATCAGCTAAAAAAAATTCTGTTTATATTTTTTGAATAACTATTTTCTGAAAATGTGAAATAGACCTTGAAACAAAGACAACAGAATATGGCACTAGGACAAGAGTCAGAATATAGATATATATTTATGAGAGGTATTGATATGGTTTGGCTGTGTGCCCACCCAAATCTCAACTTGAATTGTATCTCTCAGAATTCCCACCTGTTGTGGGAGGGACTCAGGGTGAGGTAACTGAATAATAGGGGCTGGTCTTTCCTGTGCTATTCTCATGATAGTGAATAAGTCTCACGAGATCTGATGGGCTTATTGGGGGTTTCCACTTTTGCTTCTTCCTCATTCTCTCTTGGTGCCACCATGTAAGAAGTGTCTTTTGCCCTCCACCATGATTCTGAGGCCTCCCAGCCATGTGGAATTGTAAGTCCAACTAAACCTCTTTTTGTTCCCAGTTTCAGGTATGTCTTTATCAACGGTGTGAAAACAAACTAATACAGATATCCAATATAGTAAGCGATGTAGCTGTCAGCTGTGGTCAGGTTCAAAAAACACTGAATTTACAAAGTTGGATCAATAAAGTAGATTCATATCAGAACATAATTAAAACTCAAGTATTTCAATTTATTTGTCATTCAATAAAGGCCCTATAACAAACACAATAAATGATGTGGATCAGACACTGTACTAAATGTTTTGAATATGTTAATTCTTCTAAATATTTTAAAAATCCTTATGCATAGGTATTATTACTATCACCATTATATAAGATGAGGAAAGTGAGGCTTGGGCATGTTTATTAGCTTGCACAAGCTTACAGATCTATTAGTAGAAGGGAAAGCATTTGAACAAACTGACTCTAGAGGTAAAATTGCTGATGCAAGTAACCACTATACATCTTTGCCTCCATCCAATCTCATCTTATGTGGTTAACTTTTTCTAAGCTAAGTTGGGCTTTCCCAATAGAACAATAAATCTATAAAGAAAGGAATTCTCAACACTAACCATACAGTTTAAGGGTATAATTTGAACATAATAACTCCTTGAAAGTTTAAATTAATTAATAGAAAGAAAAAAATTCACCTGCTGGATATCAGGGTGGGTCAGAGCTCATAAAATTACTTAGAATGGGCTCTAAATCCAAATTCAGAATAATTCTAAATGAGGAAAGCAACAGATATTTATTTTGAAGATTATTCTGATATGTTAATATTTAGGTCTCAGAAATGTCTGTCCTTCCTTTACATAAACTCACTAAGTAGTTTATATAATTGTGAAAATTCTACACAATAAATTCACACATTTATAAAAAAAGTAAAAGTTTTAGAGGATAATATGGTAATCTCTATCAAAATTTATAAAGGATGTGTATCCTTTGAGTCAGAAAAAATTGTCATAAGAAATTTCCTAAGTACACAAAATTATGTGCATTTGTTCGTGTATATATGTATATATATGCATACTCACACATATATATTTAATTTTCAGCAGCATTGTTTTAGTAGAGAAAGGTTGATGACAATATAAATGTCCATTAGTATCAGAAGAGTTCAATTAAACATAGTTCACTTATATAATGCAATACTATGCAGCTACTCAAGTGGGTTACAACATTATCTATACATACACTGTCATCAAAAGTTGACATTATTAACAAGCCAATAAAACAATTTATGACACAAAATACATATCACGATTCCAATTTGGCAAATATGAGACGTGGAGATTTAATTGGTTAGAAGGATAGATAGATATAGGGGCTTGTAGATACACTGGACCATCCTTGAAAGTATATGCACATTCTAACGTGGGGACTTCTGGAAAAAGGGTGGACTGGGATGTGAGGTATACTTACTTTCACTTTGTTGCCTATCTGAAAATTTTTTAATAAGAAAAATAAAAACATAGGCATTTGGTAATTTTTTGAAAAAATACTAGCCTCAGCATTCCATTTTTGCAAGTGCCAGCATCAACAGCTATGGAGTCAGTGATCAATTATTTTGGTGGGTATGGTATACAAGGTCATGATCAAGCAACCCCGAGGTTCACTCTTTGTCTACAAAGTTAGATTAAGACATAAAGTCAGGTTAGTTAAATACATACATAACAGGTCCCAGCATGTTCTTGACATTTCCAGATGCCACTGAAAAGCTCTATTTGAAAACTTGAATAGAAATGTAGAAGATATGACATATTGTAAGACCATTACATCTTCCCATTTTCATATGGAGTGGCAAATGTTTGCCACAGGGGCACGTGGAAAGGTGGTAGAAAATCAAAATAGCATCCTAAACTTACAGAAATATATATTATTGTTCAAACTCTGCCAGCTTCCAACTTTACCATTGTTCGTGTGCAAAAATGAGAGTAAGTATAAATGTTTCTGACATATTTGACAATTATTCCATGCATATAAGCAAGCAGAAAAAGAGCATCCTAGGAGAAAAATTTTAAGCATATTGTAGCCTAACCAGCTGAAATTCATAAAGTCATTTCTGAATGGATTTCTCTTGTTCTAATTTAGAGTCTCACAGGAATGGTAAAAAATACCTCAATCTTAATACTGATTTCATGGACTTTTAATTAAGTTTGAAGAAAATGACTTGATTTCCTATCCTTATGCATCACATCTGAGGAAGTAGAAACATTTATACTCATGATTTAATATGGCCTGTCTAACTGATTGGTTCTCTTTTTTCTGGACATTTTTGGTGGTAAACATAGGTGGAAAGCTAATTCAAGAGGAGGAAAGTATGGGTATCCAGGGTGAGTGATATCAAAGATTGAAATGAGAATGATTTTAAAGGAGGCATAGTGATGAAAGTTGTACTTTAAGTGTGGAAAAAACAGTTAAGAGACTTCTAACTTATAGCATTTTAAAAACTGATCCTTAACTAATTATTTGTATTTGCCAAAATGGATGAATAGGTACCTGTTGCTTTTCTCCACTCAGTTATTGATAGGCAGTCTCTAAAACGGCCTCAAATATCTCTGCCTTCTGCAATTAACACCCTTATATAATCCCTTCTCCTTGAGTGTGGAGTGGACCTAGTGACTTGCTTCTGATAAACAGAACATAGCCAAAGTGATCAAAAGTGACAGAAAGTTACTTCCCTAGATTAGGTAACAAAACACTCAGGCTTTCATTTTGCTTGGCTCTCTCACCTTGCTTCATTCTTTCATGCTTTCTTTCTTGGAGCCATTTCTCTTGGGCAGCCTGCCGCCATGTTGGGAGTAGCTCTGTGGAGTGGTTCAAGTGGCAAGAAACTGATATCTCTGGTCAACAGCCATGCAAATTAGCTTGAAAGCGACTCTCTTAAAGCCTGTCGGCTGGGCGCGGTGGCTCACGCCTGTAATCCCAACACTTTGGGATGCCGAGGCGGGCAGATCAGGAGGTCAGGAGATCGAGACCATCCTGGCTAACAAGGTGAAACCCCGTCTCTATTAAAAATACCAAAAATTAGCCGAGCGTGGTGGCGGGCACCTGTAGTCCCAGCTACTCGGAGGCTGAGGCAGGAGAATGGTGTGAACCTGGGAGGCGGAGCTTGCAGTGAGCCGAGATCCAGCCACTGCACTCCAGCCTGGGCGAGAGTGAGACTTCGTCTCAAAAAAAAAAAAAAAAAAAAAATCCTGTCAAACTCCACCTCAGTGAGCTTGAAAGCAAATCCTCCTACCTTGCAGCCATGTTAGAAACTCTCACCCAGTTAAACTAGGATCAAATCTATGACCAATAGAAACTGTGAAATAAGTGTTTGTCATTTTAAACCACTAAGTTTTAGGGCAACTTGTCATGCAGCAATAAAAAAAAAAAAACATACAGCAGCAAATTTTTTCCTGAAAGATTAGTTTGAAGTTTTACAAGTCATCCCATTTTACATGTATGAGGAGAATGAGCTCCCTCTAATGTACAACATGGTGTCTACAGTTTATAACAGTGAATTGTATTCTTGAAATTTGCTAAGAGAGTAAGTAGGGACGTTTAAGTCGGCTGAAACTGTGCCCACAACCGCCCCTTCCCCCAGGTGCTCTGTCCCAGGGAGATGGGGGTTTTATCTATAAGTCCCTGACTGGGGCTGCTGCCTTTGTTTTAGAGATGCCATGCCCAGAGAGGAGGAATCTAGACAGGCAGTATGGCTGCAGCAGCCTTGCTGAGCTGTGGTGGGGTCTGCCCAGTTTGAACTTCCTGGCTGCTTTGTTTACACTGTGAGGGTAAAACTACCTACTCAAGCCTCAGCAGTGGCGGACGCCCCTCCCTCCACCAAGCTCCAGCGTCCCAGGTCAACCTCAGACTGCTGTGCTGGCAGAGAGAATTTCAAGCCAGTGGATCTTAGCTTGCTGGGCTCTGTGGGGGTGGGACCCGGGAGCCAGACCACTTGGCTCCCTGGCTTCAGCCCCCTTTCCAGGGTATCAATTGTTCTGTCTTGCTGGCTTTCCAGGTGCCACTGGGGTATGGAAAAAAAAAAAAAAAAAACGAACCGCAGCTAGGTAGCTCAGTGTCTGCCCAAATGGCCGTCCAGTTTTGTGCTTGAAACCCAGGACCCTGGTGATGTAGGCACCAGAGGGAATCTCCTGGTCTTCGAGTTGCAAAGACCGTGGGAAAAGCACAGAATCTGGGCCGAGTGCAAAGTTCCTCATGGCACAGCCCCTCACGGCTTCCCTTGCCTAGGGGAGGGAAATCCCCTGACCCCTTGTGCTTCCAGGGTGAGGGACACCCCACTCTGCTTCGGCTAACCCTCTGTGGGCTTCACCCACTGTCCAACCAGTCCCAGTGAGATGAACTGGGTATTTCAGTTGGAAGTGCAGAAATCACCTGCCTTCTGCCTCAATCTCGCTGGGAGCTGCATACCGGAGCTGTTCCTATTCGGCTATATTGTCAGCAGAAGAGGTCAGAATTGATCGCCAAAATCCTGAATTTTTGGGTAACAACATTTGTCAACCATCCACAAGTGTCTGTACTCCTTGGGGAGGAGAATGAAGAGGCTCTACATTATTTGACTAGTGACAGAATTTGGAGATGTTAAATCAGGTTATAGAATAGATTTTTATTTTGATGAAAATCCTTGCTTTAAAAATAAATTTCTCTCCAAAGAATTTCCTCTGAATGAGATTGGTGATCCATCTTCAAAGTCCACCAAAATCAAATGGAAATCTGGGAAGGATTTGACAAAACGTTCAAGTCAAACGCAGAATAAAGCCAGTAGAAAGAGGCAGCATGAGGAACCAGAGAGCTTCTTTACCTTGTTTACTGACCGTTCTGATGCAGGTGCTGATGAATTAGGAGAGGTAATCAAAGATGATATTTGGCCAAACCCATTACAGTACTACTTGGTTCCCAGTATGGATGATGAAAAAGGAGAAGGAGAAGAAGACGATGATGATGATGATGATGATAAAGAGGAGGAAGGATTAGAAGATATTGATGAAGAAGGGGATGAGGATGAAGGTGAAGAAGATGAAGATGATGATGAAGGGGAGGAAGGAGAGGAGGATGAAGGGGAAGATGACTAATAGAAAACTGATGGATTCCAACCTTCCTTTTTAAAAATTTTCTCCAGTCCCTGGGAGCAAGTTGCAGGCTTTTTTTTTTTTTTTTTCCTGAGTTGCTCTGTTCTTGAGGTCTCTTTTCTCTACACCATGGTTCTCAACTTATTTGGGGGAAAATACCTTGAGCAGAATACAATGGGAAAAGAGTCTCTACCCCTTTTTGTTCAAAATTCATTTTTATCCATTCCTGTCTGAACAAAAACTGTACAGAATCAACACCACTGAGCTCTGTGGGAAAAAAGAAAAACCTGCTCCTTTCGCTCTGCTGGAAGCTGGAAGGTGCTAGGCCCCTGTGTAGTAGTGGATAGAATTCTAGCTTTCTTCCTCTTTTCTCTGTATATTGGGCTCAGAGAGTACACTGTGTCTCTAAGTGAATATGGACAGTTAGCATTTAGCAACATGTATCTGTCTACTTTCTCTTGTTTAAGAAAAGAAAAAAAAATGGGGTTATAGAAGGTCAGCAAAGGGTGGGTTTGAGATGTTTGGATGGGTTAAGTGGGCATTTTAACAACATGGTTTCTCCTTTGGTATGTTTAATTGTGATATTTGACAGACATCTTTGCAGTTTAAGATGACACTTTATAATGAATTATCTCCTAATGATGACTTAAGCCCTGCCACTCAATGGAAGAATCAGCAGAACCTGTACAATCTTATTTGGAATTGACATTCTCCATTGCAATTTTATTCTTGTTTATTTTTAAATTTTCTTTCTGTTTCACTTGAAAGGAAAGATGATGCTCAGTTTTAAAATATCAAAAGTGTACAAGTTGCTTTGTTACAATAAAACTAAATGTGTACACACATACACAGACACAAAATAGAGTAAGCAGGTCTAAAGTGTTCTTACCACCAAAGAAAGGTAAGCATAAGAGGTGATGGTTATGTTAATTAGTTTGATCATAGTGATCATTTCACAATGAATACATATAAAACATTGTTGTACACCTTAAATATACATAATTTTTGTTTGCCGATTATACCTCAATAATTCTGGGAAAATATTTTTAAATACTCAGAGGTGATTATTTTATCAAAGTAAAATCTAATTTAATAAAATGTAATCACTTCCAATTATTAGTTTTGTTAAATTTTCTTTTTTTTTGTTTTTTTTTGTTTTTGTTTTTGTTTTATTAAAGTTTTAGGGTACATGTGCACATTGTGCAGGTTAGTTGCATATGTATATATGTGCCATGCTGGTGCGCTGCACCCACCAACTCGTCATCTAGCATTAGGTATTTCTCCCAGTGCTATCCCTCCCCCCTCCCCCCACCCCACAACAGTCCCCAGAGTGTGATATTCTCCTTCCTGTGTCCATGTGATTTCATTGTTCAATTCCCACCTATGAGTGAGATTATGCGTTGTTTGGTTTTTTGTTCTTGCCATAGTTTACTGAGAATGATGACTTCCAATTTCATCCATGTCCCTACAAAGGACAGGAACTCATCATTTTTTATGGCTGCATAGTATTCCATGGTGTATATGTGCCACATTTTCTTAATCCAGTCTGTCATTGTTGGACATTTGGCTTGGTTCCAAGTCTTTGCCATTGTGAATAATGCCGCAATAAACATACGTGTGCATGTGTCTTTATAGCAGCATGATTTATAGTCCTTTGGGTATATACCCAGTAATGGGATGGCTGGGTCAAATGGTACTTCTAGTTCTAGATCCCTGAGGAATCGCCACACTGACTTCCACCATGGTTGAACTAGTTTACAGTCCCACCAACAGTGTAAAAGTGTTCCTATTTCTCCACATCCTCTCCAGCACCTGTTGTTTCCTGACTTTTTAATGATTGCCATTCTAACTGGTGTGAGATGGTATCTCATTGTGGTTTTGATTTGCATTTCTCTGATGGCCAGTGATGATGAGCCATTTTTTCATGTGATTTTTGGCTGCATAAATGTCTTCTTTTGAGAAGTGTCTGTTCATGTCCTTTGCCCACTTTATGATGGGGTTGTTTGTTTTTTTCTTGTAAATTTGTTTGAGTTCATTGTAGATTCTGGATATTAGCCCTTTGTCAGATGAGTAGGTTGCAAAAATTTTCTCCCACTTTGTAGGTTGCCTGTTCACTCTGATGGCAGAGTGCAGAAGCTCTTTAGTTTAATTAGATCCCATTTGTCAATTTTGGCTTTTGTTGCCATTGCTTTTGGTGTTTTAGACATGAAGTCCTTGCCCATGCCTATGTCCTGAATGGTAAAGCCTAGGTTTTCTTCTAGGGTTTTTATGGTTTTAGGTCTAACGTTTAAGTCTTTAATCCATCTTGAATTGATTTTTGTATAAGGTGTAAGAAAGGGATCCAGTTTCAGCTTTCTACATATGGCTAGCCAGTTTTCCCAGCACCGTTTATTAAACAGGGAATCCTTTCACCATTGCTTGTTTTTCTCAGGTTTGTCAAAGATCAGATAGTTGTAGATATGTGGCATTATTTCTGAGGGCTCTGTTCTGTTCCATTGATCTATATCTCTGTTTTGATACCAGTACCATGCTGTTTTGGTTACTGTAGCCTTGTAGTATAGTTTGAAGTCAGGTAGTGTGATGCCTCCAGCTTTGTTCTTTTGGCTTAGGATTGACTTGGTGATGCGGGCTCTTTTTTGGTTCCATATGAACTTTAAAGTAGTTTTTTCCAATTCTGTGAGGAAAGGCATTGGTAGCTTGATGGGGATGGCATTGAATCTATAAATTACCTTGGGCAGTATGGCCATTTTCACAATATTGATTCTTCCTACCCATGAGCATGGAATGTTCTTCCATTTGTTTGTATCCTCTTTTATTTCATTGAGCAGTGGTTTGTAGTTCTCCTTGAAGAGGTCCTTCACATCCCTTGTAAGTTGGATTCCTAGGTATTTTATTCTCTTTGAAGCAATTGTGAATGGGAGTTCACTCATGATTTGGCTCTCTGTCTGTTATTGGTGTATAAGAATGCTTGTGATTTTTGCACATTGATTTTGTATCCTGAGACTTTGCTGAAGTTGCTTATCAGCTTAAGGAGATTTTGGGCTGAGACAGTGGGGTTTTCTAGATATACAATCATGTCATCTGCAAACAGGGACAATTTGACTTCCTCTTTTCCTAATTGAATACCCTTTATTTCCTTCTCCTGCCTAATTGCCCTGGCCAGAACTTCCAACACTATGTTGAATAGGAGTGGTGAGAGAGGGCATCCCTGTCTTGTGCCAGTTTTCAAAGGGAATGCTTCCAGTTTTTGCCCATTCAGTATGATATTGGCTGTGGGTTTGTCATAGATAGCTCTTATTTTGAAATACGTCCCATCAATACCTAATTTATAGAGAGTTTTTAGCATGAAGGGTTGTTGAATTTTGTCAAAGGCCTTTTCTGCATCTATTGAGATAATCATGTGGTTTTTGTCTTTGGCTCTGTTTATATGCTGGATTACATTTATTGATTTGCATATACTGAACCAGCCTTGCATCCCAGGGATGAAGCCCACTTGATCATGGTGGATAAGTTTTTTGATGTGCTGCTGGATTCGTTTTGCCAGTATTTTCTTGAGGATTTTTGCATCAATGTTCATCAAGGATATTGGTCTAAAATTCTCTTTTTTGGTTGTGTCTCTGCCTGGCTTTGGTATCAGAATGATGCTGGCCTCATAAAAAGAGTTAGGGAGGATTCCCTCTTTTTCTATTGATTGGAATAGTTTCAGAAGGAATGGTACCAGTTCCTCCTAGTACCTCTGGTAGAATTCAGCTGTGAATCCATCTGGTACTGGACTCTTTTTGGTTGGTAAGCTATTGATTATTGCTATTTTGAGATCCTGTTATTGGTCTATTCAGAGATTCAACTTCTTCCTGGTTTAGTCTTGGGAGAGTGTATGTGTCGAGGAATTCATCCATTTCTTCTAGATTTTCTAGTTTATTTGCATAGAGGTGTTTGTAGTATTCTCTGATGGTAGTTTGTATTTCTGTGGGATCGGTGGTGATATCCCCTTTATCATTTTTTATCGCGTCTATTTGATTCTTCTCTCTTTTTTTATTAGTCTTGCTAGCGGTCTGTCAATTTTGTTGATCCTTTCAAAAAACCAGCTCCTGGATTCATTGATTTTTTGAAGGGTTTTTTGTGTCTCTATTTCCTTCAGTTCTGCTTTGATTTTAGTTATTTCTTGCCTTCTGCTAGCTTTTGAATGTGTTTGCTCTTGCTTTTCTAGTTCTTTTAATTGTGATGTTAGGGTGTCAATTTTGGATCTTTCCTGCTTTCTCTTGTGGGCATTTAGTGCTATAAATTTCCCTCGACACACTGCTTTAAATGTGTCCCAGAGATTCTGGTATGTTGTGTCTTTGTTCTCCTTGGTTTCAAAGAACATCTTTATTTCTGCCTTCATTTCGTTAGGTACCCAGTAGTCATTCAGGAGCAGGTTGTTCAGTTTCCATGTAGTTGAGCGGTTTTGAGTGAGATTCTTAATCCTGAGTTCTAGTTTGATTGCACTGTGGTCTGAGAGATAGTTTGTTATAATTTCTGTTCCTTTACATTTGCTGAAGAGAGCTTTACTTCCAAGTATGTGGTCAATTTTGGAATAGGTGTGGTGTGGTGCTGAAAAAAATAATGTATATTCTGTTGATTTGGGGTGGAGAGTTCTGTAGATGTCTATTAGGTCCGCTTGGTGCAGAGCTGAGTTCAATTCCTGGGTATCCTTGTTGACTTTCTGTCTCGTTGATCTGTCTAATGTTGACAGTGGGGTGTTAAAGTCTCCCATTATTATTGTGTGGGAGTCTAAGTCTCTTTGTAGGTCACTCAGGACTTGCTTTATGAATCTTGGTGCTCCTGTATTGGGTGCATATATATTTAGGATATTTAGCTCTTCTTGTTGAATTGATCCCTTTACCATTATGTAATGGCCTTCTTTGTCTCTTCTGATCTTTGTTGGTTTAAAGTCTGTTTTATCAGAGACTAGGATTGTAACCCCTGCCTTTTTTTGTTTTCCATTTGCTTGGTAGATCTTCCTCCATCCTTTTATTTTGAGCCTGTGTGTGTCTCTGCACGTGAGATGGGTTTCCTGAATACAGCACAGTGATGGGTCTTGACTCTTTATCCAATTTGCCAGTCTGTGTCTTTTAATTGGAGCATTTAGTCCATTTACATTTAAAGTTAATATTGTTATGTGTGAATTTGATCCTGTCATTATGATGTTAGCTGGTTATTTTGCTCTTTAGTTGATGCAGTTTCTTCCTAGTCTGGATGGTCTTTACATTTTGGCATGATTTTGCAGTGGCTGGTACCAGTTGTTCCTTTCCATGTTTAGTGCTTCCTTCAGGAGCTCTTTTAGGGCAGGCCTGGTGGTGACAAAATCTCTCAGCATTTGCTTGTCTGTAAAGTATTTTATTTCTCCTTTGCTTATGAAGCTTAGTTTGGCTGGATATGAAATTCTGGGTTGAAAATTCTTTTCTTTAAGAATGTTGAATATTGGCCCCCACTCTCTTCTGGCTTGTAGGGTTTCTGCCGAGAGATCCGCTGTTAGTCTGACGGGCTTCCCTTTGAGGGTAACCCGACCTTTCTCTCTGGCTGCCCTTAACATTTTTTCCCTCGTTTCAACTTTGGTGAATCTGACAATTATGTGTCTTGGAGTTGCTCTTCTCGAGGAGTATCTTTGTGGCATTCTCTGTATTTCCTGAATCTGAATGTTGGCCTGCCTGGCTAGATTGGGGAAGTTCTCCTGGATAATATCCTGCAGAGTGTTTTCCAACTTGGTTCCATTTTCCCCATCGCTTTCAGGTACCCCAGTCAGACGTAGATTTGGTCTTTTCACATAGTCCCATATTTCTTGGAGGCTTTGCTCATTTCTTTTTATTCTTTTTTCTCTAAACTTCCCTTCTCACTTCATTTCATTCATTTCATCTTCCATTGCTGATACCCTTTCTTCCAGTTGATCGCATCGGCTCCTGAGGCTTCTGCATTCTTCACGTAGTTCTTGAGCCTTGGTTTTCAGCTCCATCTGCTCCTTTAAGCACTTCTCTGTATTGGTTATTCTAGTTATACATTCTTCTAATTTTTTTTTCAAAGTTTTCCACTTCTTTGCCTTTGGTTTGAATGTCCTCCCATAGCTCAGAGTAATTTGATCGTCCGAAGCCTTCTTCTCTCAGCTCGTCAAAGTCATTCTCCACCCAGCTTTGTTCCGTTGCTGGTGAGGAACTGTGTTCCTTTGGAGGAGGAGAGGCGCTCTGCTTTTTAGAGTTTCCAGTTTTTCTGTTCTGTTTTTTCCTCACCTTTGTGGTTTTATCTACTTTTGGTCTTTGATGATGGTGATGTAGAGATGGGTTTTTGGTGTGGATGTCCTTTCTGTTTGTTAGTTTTCCTTCTAACAGACAGGACCCTCAGCTGCAGGTCTGTTGGAATACCCTGCCAAGTGAGGTGTCAGTGTGCCCCTGCTGGGGGGTGCCTCCCAGTTAGGCTGCTCGGGGGTCAGGGACCCACTTGAGGAGGCAGTCTGCCCGTTCTCAGATCTCCAGCTGCGTGCTGGGAGAACCACTGCTCTCTTCAAAGCTGTCAGACAGGGACATTTAAGTCTGCAGAGGTTACTGCTGTCTTTTTGTTTGTCTGTGCCCTGCCCCCAGAGGTGGAGCCTACAGAGGCAGGCAGGCCTCCTTGAGCTGTGGTGGGCTCCACCCAGTTGGAGCTTCCCTGCTGCTTTGTTTACCTAAGCAAGCCTGGGCAATGGCGGGCGCCCCTCCCCCAGCCTCGCTGCCGCCTTGCAGTTTGATCTCAGACTGCTGTGCTAGCAATCAGCGAGACTCCATGGGCGTAGGACCCTCCGAGCCAGGTGCGGGATATAATCTTGTGGTGTGCCGTTTTTCAAGCCCGTCGGAAAAGCGCAGTATTTGGGTGGGAGTGACCCGATTTTCCAGGTGCCGTCCGTCACCCCTTTCTTTGACTCGGAAAGGGAACTCCCTGACCCCTTGCGCTTCTCAAGTGAGGCACTGCCTCGCCCTGCTTTGGCTTGCGCACGGTGCATGCACTCACTGACCTGCGCCCACTGTCTGGCACTCCCTAGTGAGATGAACCCGGTACCTCAGATGGAAATGCAGAAATCACCATCTTCTGTGTCGCTCACGCTGGGAGCTGCAGACCGGAGCTGTTCCTATTCGGCCATCTTGGCTCCTCCTCCTAAATTTTCTTATAACAAAAATTCCTAAAGTATAGCAACTTTAGGATATATTCAGTAATGAAATGTGGTAATTAGGTCATAAATGGAAATGTGAAAACAATTACATAAACTTTACTGAGTTTTTATTACATGCCAGGCACTATTCAGATTGCTTGTTTTTTACATATGTTATCATATTTCGTCCTCACAAAAGAGCTAATTAACTAGATGTTTCTCTACTGCCATTTTACCTATGAAGAAACTGAAGCACGAATAAGGATAGGGGTTAAGCCACTGGTCGAGTCATATAGCAAGAAGATTCAAACTTAGGCACTCAAAATTTACAGCTAGTGATTTTGATCACAGTACTATGCTACCTCTCTTGAATACACATTCAATCTGGAGACTACATTTTTTGTATGTGGTGTTATGCTCTGTTGGATCACAAAACAGAGAAATTGTAGATGCTAGATGTTCATGTTAAAAAGCGTAAACATTAAGTTGTGGTGAACCAGAGATTTCCTGGGAGACAGTATAACTTGAGTGGTTACAAATGAAAACTCTGGAGTAGAAGTGCCTAAATTCACACTCCAACTCAACCAATAGTTGTTTGTAGAATTTAAGGGGAGTTAGTTAACCACTCAGATTCATTTCATCGAATGAAAATGGTGACCATATTAATTCCAACTGCATAATGTTGTTATAAGCATTAAATTAGATAATATATGGAAAGGCTTGGAATTACACATGGGATACAGTAAGTAATTAATATATGTTAATTATTATTGTGATATTTACTACCTGACAGAAAACAGGACAAATTATAATGGAGAGATTTAAGCTCTATTCTTTCTAGAGGAAAAAAGCTATTCAAATAAGTGAGAAAAATAAGGCTAAAGAGAAATACAATTTTTAAAAAAGTCACAGGTATTGATAATCTAAAATATGTCAAATGTTCTCTTAGGTGCTTTGCATACATAATTTTCCTTAACACTCATAGCAGACAGGGTAAATAGTATGCTTACTTTACAAATAAGGAAACTTAATTAAAGAGCATATCCAAAGTTTAAAACCTGCCCAGTAACACAAGTTAGTGCAGTTATCAGGTACTAATTGGTATTCAAATCAAGGAACATCTGATTCTCTTTCACCAAGAGAGACTTCTGAGTTTACAGACCAAAGGCAAAAAGGAGAACTACCCTAAATTGTGAAGTCATAGTCTGGAATTCAGTAAAATATAGGTGATCCCTTTATTCTATCTGTATACGTGTATCTAGTGCAAGCCTCACACAAGCCTCTGTGCAAGCTACACACTGTTGCTACACAAGGTTGTATAGGATGTGCCCTGTGCAGCCGAAGGGAAAAGGAGAGCTAAAATCAAGCCTATTATTCATTCACCAAACATTGAATCTAAGGGGATACATTTACCACAGAATAGGTACTTTTTCCTCATTTTATATAAAACTGAAATATAGGCTGACATGGTTTGGGTCTGTGTCCTCTCCCAAATCTCATGTCAAATTGTAATCCCCAATGTTGGAGGTGGGACCTTGTGGGAGATGATTGGATCATGGGGGCACTTTCTCATGGTTTAACACCACTCCCCGTGGTGCTGTGTTGCAATAGTAAGTGAGTTCTTGTGAGATCTGGTCGTTTAAAAGTGTGTGGCACCTCCCATCTTTCCCTCTTCCTCCTACTCTGACAATGTGAACTGCCCCACTCACCCTTTGACTTTCACTATGAGTAAAAGCTCACTGAAGCCTTCCCAGAAGCAGATGCTGCCATGCTTCCTGTACAGCCTGAAGAACTGAGAACCAATTAAATCTCTTTTGTTTATAAATTACCCAGTCTCAGGTATATCTTTATTAGCAATGCAAGAATAAATTAATACAGAAAATTGGTACTGAGAAGTGGGGCATTGCTATAAAGATACCTGAAAATGTGAAAGCAGCTTTAGAATTGGCTAACTGGCAGAGGTTGGAAGAGTGTGGAGGACTCAGATGAAGACAGGAAGATGAGGGAATGTTTGGAACTACCTAGAGATTTGTTAAATTGTTGCCACAAAACTACTGACTATAATATGGACAATGAAAACCAGGCTGAGGAGGTCTCTTTTGAAAATGAGGAACTTAATGAGAACTGGAGCAAAGGTCACCTTTGTTATGCATTAGCAACGAGGTTAGTGACATTGTGCCCCTCCCCTAGTGATTTGTGGAACACTGAGCTTTAGCGTGATGATTTAGGATATCTGGTGGAAGAAATTTCTAAGCGGCAAGGTTCAAGATCTGGCCTTGCTTCTTCTAATGGCCTATGCTTATACCAGTGAGCAAAAAAAAAAAAAAAAGATGTATAAATGGAATATATATTAAAAGGGGAAGCAGAATATAAAAGTTTGAAAAATTTGTAGACCAGCCATGTGGTAGAAAAGAAAAGCCCATTTTCAGGGGAGGAATTGAAAAAGCCTGCATAAACTTGAATAAGTAAAGAAGAGCCAATTGCTAATACCTGAGATAATGAGGGAATGGCCTCAAAGGCATTTCAGAGGTGTTCATTGCAGACCCTTCCATCACAGGCAGATAATGGTTTTTCCTTGTCCCCCCCAAATCTCATTTCGAATTGTAGTTCCCATAATCCCTATGTATTGTGGGAGGGGCCAGGTAGAGATAAATGAATCATGAGGATGGGTTCCCCTATCCTGTTCTCATGATAGTGAGTTAGTTCTCATGAGATCTGATGGTTTTATAAGAGACATCCCCCTTTGCTGGGCACTCATTCTCTTTCCTGCCACCGTGTGATGAAAAATGTGTTTGCTTCCCCTTCTGCCATAATTATAAGTTTCATGAGACCTCCCTAGCCATGCAAAACTGTGAGTCAATAAAACCTCTTTTCTTTATAAATTACCCAGTGTCCAGTATGTTTTTATAGCAGTGTGAAAACTGACTAATACAGTAAATTGGTACAGGGAGGGAGACACTACTATAAAGACACCAAAAACCATTGGAAGCAACATTGGAACTGGTTAAAAGGCAGAAGTTGGAACAGTTTGGAGGGCTCAGAAGAAGGTATGGAAATGTGGGAAAGTTTGGAACTTCCTAGAAACATGGAGGGCTCATAGACAGGAAAATGTGGGAAAGTTTGGAACTTCCTAGAGACTTGCTGATGGACAATGAAATCCAGATGTAGGTAATCTCAGATGGAAATGAGGAACTTCTATGGAACTATGGTAAAGGTCACTCTTGCTAGGCAAAGAGACTGGTGATATTTTGCCTGTGCCCCGTGATCTGTGAAATTTTAAACTTGAGACAGATAATTTAGGGTATCTGGTGGAAGAAATTTCTAAGTGGCAAAGCATTCAATAAAAAGCAGAGCATAAAAGTTTAAAAAATTTGCAGCCTAATGGTGCAATAGAAAAAAAAACTCATTTTTCTGGGAAGAAATTCAACCCTGCTGCAGGAATTTGCATAAGTAACAAGGAGCAATAAGTAACAATGTTAATCACCAAGGCAATGGGAAATACGTCTTCAGGCCATGTCCCATCACAGGTCCAGGAGCCTAAATTGGAAAAACAGTTTCCTGGGCTGAGATCAGGGCCCCCCCAATGCTGTGTGTAGCCTTGGGACTTGGTGTCCTGCATCCCAGCCATTCCAGTGGTGGCTAAAAGGGGCCCATTTATAGCTCAGGCCATTGTTTCAGAGGTTGTAAGCCCCAAGCCTTGGCAGCTTCTACGTGGTGTTGGACCTGTGGGTGTGCAAAAGAAGTCAAGAATTGAAGTTTGGCAATTTGCCTAGATTTCAGAGGATTTATGGAAAGGCCTGAATGTCCAGGCAGTAGTTTGTTGCAGGAGTGAAGCCCTCATGAAGAACCTCTGCTAGGGCAGTGCTGAAGAGAAATAGAGGGTTGGAGCCCCCAGGCAAATTCCCCACTTGAGTACTGCATAGTGGAGCTGTGAGAAGAAAGCCACTGTCCTCCAGACCCAAAATGTGGGATCCACTGACATCTTGCACCATATGCCTGGAAAAGCCACAGACATGCAATGCCAACCCATGTAGGCAGCTGGGATGGGGGCTGTACCCTGCAAAGTGACAGAAGCAGAGCTGCCAAGCCTGTGGGAGCCCACCTCTTGCATCAGCATGACCTGGGTGTGAGAGATGGAGTCAAAGGAGATCATTTTGTAACTTTAAGGTTTAATGACAGCCCTATTGGATTTAGAACTTGCATGGGGCCTGTATCCCCTTTGTTTTGGTCAATTTCTCCCATTTGGAATGGGTGTATTTACCCAATGCCTGTATCCCCATTGTATCTAGGAAGTAACTAACTTGCTTTTTATTTTACAGGTTCATAGGCAGATGGGACATGCCTTGCCTCAGATGAGACTGTAGACTTGGGCTTTTGTGTTAACCCTGGAATGAGTAAAGACACTGGGGGACTGTTGAAAGGCCATGATTGTGTTATGAATTGTGAAAACATGAGATTTGGGAGTGGCCAGGGGCAGAATAATATGGTTTGTCTATATCCCCACCCAAATCTCATCTTGAATTGTAGTTCCCATAATTCCTATATGTAGTGGGCATGACCAGAAAGAGAAAATTGAATCATGGGGGCAGTATCCCCCGTTCTGTTCTTGTGATCATTAGTTCTCATGAGATCTGATGGTTTTATAAGGGGCTTCCCACTTCACTGGGGAATCATTCTCTCTCCTGCTTCTGTGTGAAGAAGGATGTGTTTGCTTCTTTTTCTACCATGATTGATTGTTGCCTGAGGTCTCCCCAGCCATGTGAAACTGTGAGTCAATTTTACCTTTTTTCTTTATAAATTACCTAGTCTCATGTATGTCCTTACAGTAGTGTGATAATGGACTAACACACAGGCCCAGAGGCTTAGGAGGACAGAATAATTTTGTGGGCCAGGCCCAAAGCCCCACCACTTTCTGCAGCCTCAGGACACTGCTCCCTGCATCCCAGCCACTCAACCCCAGCCATGGCTAAAAAGAACCCATGTACTACTTGGACTGCTGCTTCAGAGGGTACAAGCTGTAAGCCTTGGTGGCTTCCACTCAGTGTTAAGCCATTGGGTTTGCAGAGTGCACAAGTTGAGGCTTCAGAGCCCCCACCTAGATTTCAGAGGATATGTGGAAAAGGCTGGATGTCCAGGTAGAAGCCTGCTACAGTGGTAGAGCCCTCACAGGGAACCTCTACTATGGCAGTGTAGAGGGGAAATGTGAGATGGAGCCCCAACACAGAGTCCCCACTGGGACATTGCCTACTGGAGCTGTGAGAAGAGGGCCACTATTTTCCAGAACCCAAATGGTAAAGTAACCAACAGCTTGCACCATGTACCTGAAAAAGCTGCAGACACTCAGTGCCAACTCTTGAGAGTAGCTGGCACAGGGGTAGAGCTGCCAAAGGTGTGGGGAACCCAGCACTTGCATCAGAGTGCCCTGGATATGAGACATAGAGTCAAGGAGATTATTTTGGAGCTATAAATTTTAATGACTGCCTTGCTGGGTTTTGGAGTTGCATGTGGCCTGTACCACTTCTTTTGGCTAATTTCTCCATTTTGGAATGCATGTATTTACCCAATGCCTGTATTCATATTCTATCTTGGAAGTAACTAACTAACTAACTTGTTTTTGATTTTATGGACTCATAGGTAGAAGGAACCAGCATTGTCTCAGATGAGACTTTGGACTTTGGACATTTGAGATGCTGGAATGAGTTGACTTTGGGAAATTGTTGGGAAGTCATGATTGTATTTTGCAATGTGAGAAAAACATGAGATTTGGGAGGAGACAGGTGTGGAATAATATGGTTTGGGTCTCTGTGCTCACTGAAATCTCATGTTGAAGTATAATCCCCAGTGTTGGAGGAGGGGTTTGGTGGGTGATGATTAAATAATGGGAGCTATTTTTTAATAAGTGGTTTAGCAACATTCCCCTAGTGCTGTTTGTGTGATATAGTTCTATGAGATCTGGTTGTTTAAAAGAGTGTGGCATCTCATACCACCATATGTGACCCTTCAGACAGATAATTCAAAAAGCAGTGCTGAGGAAACTGAAGGAAATTCAAGAGAGCACAGAGACAGAATTCAGAATCCTATTAGATACATTTTAAAAAGAAATTGAAATAATGAGAAAGAATCAAGCAGAAATTCTGAAAAATACAACTGGCATAATGCAGAATTTAGCAGAGTATATTAATAGCAGAATTGATCAAGCAGAAGAAAGAATTAGTAAGCTTGAAGACAGGCTATTTGAAAATACAAAGTCAAAGTAGATAAAAGAAACAAGAATAAAAATCAAGGAAGCACACCTACAGGATCTAGAAAATGGCGTCAAAAGGTCAAATCTGAGAGTGATTGGCCTTAAAGAGGAGGTAGAGAAAGAGATAGGGGTAAAAAATTTATTCACAAGGGATAATAACAGAGAAGTTCCCAAAACTAGAGAAAGTTATCAATATTCAGTACAAGAAGGTTGTAGAACACCAAAGAGATTTAACCCCAAGCAGACTACCTTAAAGCAATTAATAATCAAAGTCCAAAGAGCAAGTATAAAGAAATAATTCTACAGCAGCATAAGAAAAGAAACAAATAACATACAATGAAGCTCCAATATGTCTCACAGAACACTTTTCAGTGGAAGCTTTATAGGCTGGATGAAAGTGGCATGACATATTTAAAGTGCTGAAGGGGAAAAAAAAATCCAAACCTTTGTAGTCTAGGATACTATAGCTGGTGAAAATATCCTTCAGGCATGAAGGAAAAATGAAGACCTTCCCATACAAACAAGAGCTAAGGGATTTCATCAAAACCAGATATGACCTACTGTAAATGCTAAATGGAGTCCTTCAATCTGAAAGGAAGGGATATAAATGAGCGCTAAAGAATCATTGAAATGTACAAAACTCACTGGTAATAGAAAAACACAGAATATTATAAAACTATAATTTTGGAGCATAATTAATTCACTCTTAAGTAGAAAGAAAGACTAAATAATAAAGCAATCAAGAATAACTATACAAACTTTTTAAGGCATAGATTGTCCAATAAGATGTAGAGAAAAAACAAAAAGTTAAAAAGGGGGGGAACTAAGTTAAAATGTAGAGTGTTTATCAGTTTTCTTTTTACATGTTTATTTGTTCATTTATAAGATCAGTGATGTTTCCAATGTAAAATAATGGATTGTAAGATAGTATCTACAAGCTTTATGGTAAACTCAAATCAAAAAAACATACCATGGATACACAAAAAATAAAAAGCAAAAAATTAAATCACACCACCTGAGAAAAAGACCTCCACTAATAGGAAGACAGCAAGGAAGGAAAGAAAAAGAAGAAAGAGAAGACCACAAATAACCAGAAAGCAAAAAAAAATAGCAAGAGTAAGTTCTTACTTGTCAGCCATAACATCGAATGTAAATTGGCTAAACTATCCAACAACAACAGCAAAAAAAAAAAAAAAATCATAGAGTGACAGAAGGGATTTTTTAAAAAAGACCCAATGATCTACAACATAGATCTTGCCTAAAAGAAGCATAAATCACCTATAAAGATACAAATAGACTCAAAATAAAGGGATGGAGAAATAGATTCAAAACCAATGGAAATCAGAGAAGAGCAGCAGTAGGCTTTATCAGACAAAATATTAGATTGGTGCAAAAGTAATTGCTGTTTTTCCCATTGAGAGTAATGGCAAAAACAGCAATTACTTTTGCACCAACCTACAGTTTTCAAGACAAAAACTGTAAGAAAAGACAATTTAGCTCATTAAATAATATATAAAAATATATAACAATTTTAAATATATATGCAACCTAGACTGGAGCACCCAGATATATAACGCAAATATTATTGGACCCCAAAACAATAATAGTTGCAGACTTCAATATCTCACTTTTACCATTGGACATATCTCCTAGACAGAAAATCAATTAAGAGATACCATAGTTAATCTGCACTACAGAAAAAATGGATCTAATAGATATTTACAGAACATTTCTTCTAATGGCTACATAATATATATTTTTTTCCTCAGCACAAGGATCATTCTCAAAGATAGGCCATATGTTAGATCACAAAACAAGTCTTAAAACATTCAAAAAATTGAAGTAATATCAAGCATCTTCTCTGACCACAGTGGAATATAAATAGAAATGAATAAAAAGTAGAATTTTGGAAACTACAAAAACACATGGAAATTGAACAATATGCTTCTGAAAGACCACTAGGTCAAGGAAGAAGTTAAGTAGGAAATTGCAAAATTTCTTGAAGCAAATGATAATGGAAACACAGTATATCAAAATGTATGAGACACAGTGAAATAAGTACTAAGAAGAAAATGTGTAGTTATAAATGTTAACATAAAAAAGAAGAAAAATTTCATATAAATAACCTAAGATGCATCTTAAAAACCTAGAAGAGCAACAGCAAACTAAGACCAACATTAGTAGAAGAAAAGCAATAATAAAGAACAGAACAGATGTAAATACATTTGAAATAAAGAAAATAAATACAAGAAATGAATGAAATAAAAAGTTGGCCTTTTGAAAGATAAACAAAATTGGCAAAACTTTAGCAAGACAAAGGAAAAAGAAAAAAGACACAAATAAAAACAGAGATGAGCAGGTTGTTCAGTTTCCATGTAGTTGTGCGGTTTTTAGTGAGTTTCTTAATCCTGAGTTCTAATTTGATTGCACTGTGGTCTGAGAGACTGTTTGTTTGTTATGATTTCCATTCTTTTGAATTTGCTGAGGAGTGTTTTACTTCCAATTATGTGGTCAATTTTAGAATAAATGCAATGTAATGCTGAGAAGGATGTATATTCTGTTGATTTGGGGTGGAGAGTACTGTAGATGTCTATTAGGTGCATTTGGTCCAGAGCTGAGTGCAAGTCCTGGGTATCCTTGTTAATTTTCTGTGTCACTGACCTGTCTAATATTGACAGTGTGGTGATAAAGTCTCCCACTATTACTGTGTGGGAGTCTAAGTCTCTGTAGGTCTCTAAGAACTTGCTTTATGAATCTGGGTGCTCCTGTATTGGGTGCATATATCTTTAGGATAGTTAGCTTTTCTTGTTGCAATGTTCAAAAATCACAAGCATTGCTATATACCAAAAATAGACAAACAGAGAGCCAAATCATGAATGAACTCCCATTCACAATGGCTATAAAGAGAATAAAATACCTAGGAATAGAACTTACAAGGGATGTGAAGGATATCTTCAAGGAGAACTACAAACCAATGCTCAAGGGAATAAGAGAGGACATGAACAAATGGAAAAACAAACATTCCATGCTCATGGATAGGAAAAATCAATATCATCAAAATGACCATACTGCCCAAAGTAATTTATAGATTCAATGCTGTCCCAATCAAGCTACCATTGACTTTCATCAGAGAATTGGAAAAAACTACTTTAAATTTCTCATGGAACCAATAAAGAGCCTGCATAACCAAGACAATCCTACGCAAATGGAACATAGCTGCAGGCATCAGGCTACCTGACTTCAAACTATACTACAAGGCTACAGTAACCAAAACAGCATGGTACTGGTACCAAAACAGATACATAGACCAATGGAACAAAACAGAGGCCTCAGAAATAATGCCACAGATCTACAACCATCTAATCTTTGACAAACCTGACAAAAATAAGCAATGGGGAAACGATTCCCTATTTAATAAATGGTGCTGGGAAAACTAGCTAGCCATATGCAGAAAGTTGAAACTGGATCCCTTCCTTACACCTTATACAATAATTAACTCCAGATGGCTTAAAGACTTAAATGTAAGACCTAAAACCATAAAAACCCTAGAAGAAAACCTAGGCAATACCATTCAGGACATAGGCATGGGCAAAGACTTCATGACTAAAACACCAAAAGCAATGACAACAAAAGCCAAAATAGACAAATGGGATCTAATTAAACTAAAGAGCTTCTGCACAGCAAAAGAAACTATCATCAGAGTCAACAGGCAACCTACAGAATGGGAGAAAACTTTTACAATCTATCCATCTGACAAAGGGCTAATATCCAGAATCTACAAAGAAATTAAACAAATTTACAAGAAATAAAACAAACAACCCTATCAAAAAGTGGGTGAAGGATATGAACAGACACTTCCCAAAGGAAGTCATTTATGCAGTCAACAAACATATGAAAAAAAAGCTCATTATCACTTGTCATTAGAGAAGTGCAAATCAAAACCACAATGAGATACTATCTCACACCAATTAGAATGGCAATCATTAAGAAGTCAGAAACAGATCCTGGAGAGGATGTGGAGAAATAACACTTTTACATTGTTGGTGGGAGTGTTAGTTCAATCATTGTGGAAGACAGTATGGCAATTCCTCAAGGATCTAGAACTAGAAATACTGTTTGACCCAGCAATCTCATTACTGGGTATATACTGAAAGGATTATAAATCATTCTACTATAAGGACACATGCACATGTATGTTTATTGCAGCACTGTTCACAATAGCAAAGACTTGGAACCAACCCAAATGCCCATGGATGATAGATTGGATAAAGAAAATGTGGCACATATACAGCATGGAATACTATGCAGCCATAAAAAAGGATGAGTTCATGTCCTTTGCAGGGACATGGATGAAGCTGGAGGCAATATCACACACTAGTGTCTGTTGGCGGATGGGGGGCTAGGAGAGGGATAGCATTAGGAGAAATACCTAATGTAGATGACGTGTTGATGGGTGCAGCAAACCACCATGGCACGTGTATTCCTATGTAACAAACCTGCAAGTTCTACACATGTACCCCAGAACTTAAAGTAGAATATAAAAAATTAATAAAAAATAAAAATAATAAAAAACAAATAACCAGATGGCAACACAATGCCATGATAAAATCTACACATATGAATATTAACCTTGAATGTAAGCAGGCTAAAATAAATAAATAAATATAAAAAGAGAGATGAAAAAGGAGACATTACAACTGCTACCACAGAAATTCACAGGATTACTATTGGCTACTAAGAGAAACTATATGTCAATATATTACAAAATCGAGAGGAATTGGTAAATTCCTAGACACATAGAGCCTACCAAGGTTGAACCTGGAAGAAATCCAATACCTGAGATCAAAAACAAGTAACAAGATCAAAGCTGCAGTGAAATATGCCATCAAAGAAAAGCCCAGAATCTGTTGGCTTTACTGCTGAATTCTGCCAGTAATTTAAGAAACTAATTCTAATTCTATTTATACTATTCCAAAATATAGAGGAGGAGGGAATACTTTCATATTCATTCTGTGAGGCCAGTATTATCCTGATACAAAAATCAAACAAAGACATATCAAAAAAAGAAAATGACAGGCCAAAATCCCTGATGAATATTGATGAAAAAATCTTCAACAACATACTAGCAAACTGAATTCAACAAACATTAAAATGATTTTTCATCATGACCAAGTAGGATTTACTCTTGGTATGCCAGAATGGTTCAACATATGTAAATCAACCAATGTGATACATCATTTCAACAGAATGAAGAACTAAATCTATATGATCATTTCAATTGATGCTGAAAAAGCCTTTGATAAAATACATCCTCCCTTCATTAAAAAAACCCTCAAAAAGCTGAGTATAAAAGGAACATACTTCAACATAATAAAAACTATATATGACAGAACCACAGCCAGTATCATACTGAATGAGGAAAATCTGATAGCGTTTCCTCTAAAATTTGGAACATGACAAAGATGTCCACTTTCACCACTGCTGTTAAACACAGTATTGGAAGTCCTAGGTACAGCAATCAGAGAAGTGAAAGAAATAAAGAGAATCCAAATTGGAATTTTTCTTTTAAAAGTCCTTGTTTGTAGAAAGTCTGATCTTATATTTGAGAAAATCTAAAGACTCCACCAAAACTATTAAAACTGAGAAACAAATTCAGTAAAGTTGCAAGATACAAAACCAACGTACAAAAATCAGTAGCATTTCTATGTGCCTACACTGAACAATCTGAGACAGAAATTAAAAAGTAATCCCATTTACAATAGCTACACACAAATTTAAATACCTAGGAATTAACCAAATAAGTAAAAAATTTCTACAATAAAAAATATAAAACATTTATGCAAGAAGTAGAAAAAAGATGAAAACATTGAAAGATTTTCCATGTTCATAGATTGGAGGAATAAATATTGTTAAAATATTTATACTACCCAAAGCAATTTACACATTCAATGCAATTTCTATCAAAATTCCAATTACATTCTTCACAGAAATAGAAAAAAAAATTATCCTGAAATTTACATGGAATCAAAAAAGACCCCAAATAGACAATGGTATTCTGAGCAAAAAGAACAAAACTGGAGGAATCACATTAACCGACTTCAAATTATTCTGCAGAGTTATAGTAACTAAAACAACATGGAACTGGCATAAAAACTAATACATAGACCAGCGTCATGGAATACAAAACCCAGACACAAATCCATACATTTGCAGTGAATTCATTTTTTACAAAGGCGCCAAGACCATACATTGAGGAAAGGACAGTTTCTTCAATAAATAGTGCTGGGAAACGTGGATATCAATATGCAGAAGAAAGTAACAAGACTCGTCTCTCTTGATATATACAAAAGTAAAATCAAAATGGATTAAAGACTTAAATCTAAGACCTCAAACTATAAAACTACTACAATGAAATGTTGAGAAAACTCTCCAGGACATTGAAGTGGGCAAGAATTTCTTGATTAATACACCACAAGCACAGGAAACCAAAGCAATCATGGACAAATGGGATCACATCAAGTTAAACAGTTTCTGCACAGCAAAAGAAACAATCAACAAAATGTAGTGACAACACACAGAATAAAATCAAATATTTGCAAAGTACCTATCTGTCAACAGAATTATAAACAGAACACATGAGGAACTCAAACAACTCTATAGGAAAAAGTATAACAAATTGATTGAAAAAAATGGGCAAAATATCTGAATAGATATTTCTCAAAAAAAAGACATATGAATGACAAGCAGGCATACAAAAAGGTCCTTGGCATCATTGATCATCAGAGAAATGCAAATCAAAATACAATGAGATATCATTTCACCCCAGCAAAATGGCTTATATCCAAAAGCAAGGCAATAAGAAGTGCTTGTGAGGATGTGGAGAAAAGAGAACACTCATACACTGTTGGTGAGAATGTAAATTAGTACAACCACTATGGAGAACAATTTGGAGCTTCCTCACAAAACTAAAAATAGAGCTACCATATTATCCAGCAATCCCACAGGAGTGGATATACCCACCAGAAAGGAAATGAGTATATCAAAGAGACATATGCCCTCCCATGTTTGTTGCAGCAGTGTTCACAATAGCCACAATTTGGAAGCAACCTAAGTGTCCATCAACAGATAAATGGATTAAAAAATGGGGTACATATACACAATAGAGTACCATTCAGCCATATAAAAGAACAAGATCCTGTCATTTACAACAACATGAATTTTAAAAAAAGAGCGAGATCCTGTCATTTACAACAATATGAATGAAACTAGGGGTCATTATGTTAAGTGAAATAAGCCAGGCACAGAAAGACAAACATTCTATGTTCTCACTTATTGTGGGACCTTAAAATTAAAACAACTAAAATCATGGAAATAGCAGAAACATGGTTGCTAGATTCTAGGGACAGTTGGGGAGGGGTTATTGGAGGGGAAATTGGCCTCATTAATGGGTACAAAATATAGAAAGAATGGATAAAACCTAATATTTGACAACACAACAGAGTGACTGTAGTCAATAATAATATAATTGTACATTTTAAAATAACATATTTGTTATATGTTATATAGTATAATTGGATTGTTTATAACACAAATGAAAAACATTTGAGGGAATAAACACCCCATTTACTATTATGTGATTATTACACATTGCATGCCAATATCAAAGTATCTCATGTACACCACAAATATATACACATACTACACAGCACAAAATTAAATGTTTTTAAGTTTTAAAAAATACAGCAATGAATTTTGTTGCATCAGTGGAGTCTTCCTATTGCAACGTATTTCTCTATAGCACGCAATGCTGTTTGATAACCCTTTACCCACAGTAGGACTTCCTTAGAAATTAGAGTCATTCTTTGCACATTCTGCCACTGACTTATCAATCATGTTTGTGTAATATTATAAATCATTTGGTGTCATTTCAACAATGCTCACAGTATCTTCACCAAGACTAGGTTCCATCTCAAGAAATTACTTTGTTCATCCACAAAAAGCAACTCCTCATCTCTTCAAGTTTTATCATGAGATTGCAGCAATCCAGTCACATCTTCAGGCTCTACTTCTAATTCTACTTCTCTTGCTATTTCCACCACATTTACAGTTAATTCCTCCACTGAAATCTTGAACCCCTCTCAATGTAATCCATGAAAGTTGGGATCAGCTTCTTCCAAAATTCTGTTAATGTTGATATCTTGGCCTCTTCCCATTAACCACAAATGTTCTTAATGGCATCTAGAATGGAGAATCCTTTTCAGATGCTTTTCAATTTACTTTACTCAGATGCATCAGAAGAATTACTACCTATGGCAGCAATAGCCTTATGAAATGTATTTCTTAAATAATAATACATGAAAGTCAAAATTACTCCTTGATCTATAGGCTACAGATTGAATGTTGTGTTTTGCAGGCACGAAAACAAGCTTAATCTCCTTATACATCTCTATTATAAATCTTGAGAGACAAGGTGCATTGTCAATACGCAGTAATATTTTGAAAGGAGTCTTTTTTCCCAAGCAGTAGGTCTCAACAGTAGATAAAATATTCATGAAATAAACAGATATGCTGTCATCCACTCTCTGTTCTTCTATTTACAAAGCACAGGTAGAGTAGACTGAGAATAATTCTTAAACGCCCTAGGATTTTTCTAATGGTAAGTGAATACATGTTTCAACTTAAAAAGTCCACGGCTGCATTTGCCTGTAATAAGAGAGTCAGCATATCCTTTGAAGTTTGAAGCCAGGCATTGACTTCTTTCTAGCTATGATATTCCTAGATGGTATCTGCTTCCAATAGAAGGTTGTTTCATCTACATTGAAAATCTGTTGTTTAGTGTAGCTATCTTTATCAATGATCTTAGCTAGATCTTCTGGATAACCTGTTGCACCTTCTACATCAGCATTTGCTGCATCACCTTGCACCATTATGTTACACAAACAGTTTTTTTTTCTAAACCTCATGAGCCAACCTTTACCAGCTTCAGAGTTTTCTTCTGCAGCTTCCTTACTTCTCCCAACCTTTGTAGATTTGAAGAGAGTTAGGGCCTTACTCAGGATTAGACTTTGGTTTAAGGGACTCTTATGGCTGGCTTGGTCTTCTATCTAAACCACTAAAACTTTCTCCATATCAGAAACACATTTGTTTTGCTTTCTTATAATTCACTTGTTCACTGGCTTATCACCTTTAATTTTTTTAAGAACTTTTCCCTTTCATCCACAACTAGGCCAACTGCTTTGCATAAAAGAAGTCTAAACTTTTGGTCTAGTTCAGCTTTTGACATGGCTTCCTTACTAAGCTTAATAATTACTAGATTTTGATTTAAAATGAGAGATGTGCAAATCATCTTTCCCTTGAACACACAGAGTCCATTGTGGAGTTATTTATTATCATAATGTCAATAGTTTTGTGTCTCAGGGAAGAGGAAGACCCGAGGAGAGGGAGAGAGATGGTGAAGCAGCTGGTCAGTAGAGCAGTCAGAACACAACATTTATCAATTGACTTAATCGTCATATGGGCGTGGTTCATAGCACTCCAAAACAATTACAATTGTAAAATCAAAGATCACGGATTCACAGATCAACATAACAGATGTAATAATAATGAAAAAGTTTTAAATACTGCAAGAATCACCAGAAGGTGACACAGAGACACAAAATGAGTACATACTATTGGAAAAATTGTGCCAATAGACTTGCTGGACATAGGGTTGGCACAAAAGGTCAATTTTTTAAAAGGCAATATCTGGGAAGCAAAGCACAATAAAACGATGCATGGCTGTATTTATGGTGGGAAATGGCAGAAAGCTATGACATGGGGTCAGGGGCAGGATATTTTGTAAGACTGTATAACCTGAAAAGGTTGTTCATCTTTAATTTTACAATTCAATTGCCTAAATGAAATTATGTCAACATTAATCTATTTCTGTAATATTATATTTATTCACCTCATGCAACTTTGACACATAACTCTAATAAGAAGTATTTCTCGTGTTAAAAAACCAAGGATTTCATTTTACATTTTAGAGAAAATGTTTTATCAGAAGCAAGCGCTTTAATTGTGGATTTTGAGAGTTCAATAGCAATATCACTTCAGTTGTAAAATATCCTTATATTGTCTGAGAGCATTTCAAGATATATAAGAGGATGTAATCTATAAACTTTTTAAATATTTAGTAAAGAAAATACACTTCTTCTTTATTAGCTTTATCATATAATGTCATAGTAACAAGAAATTACTTCCTAATTTTTATTGTAATGTAGTAGTCTCATTTACTAAAAAGCATTTTCCAGCTGTTATTATAGCATATACAAAATATTTAGAAACCAGAGCAGTGTGGGAATAGGGGTGTAATAGAGATTCTGGTATGAAAAGATAAATTTTGATGCTAGGAAAGTTTTGATTGGCATGCAATGAAAACTCATTAACACTAGCATAAGCAGAGGGGGGATTTTTCTTTTAATGATGCACTTCTTTTTTTTTCAGACCCCAAGGGCAAAAATATGGTCAGGCCTAATGAGGTACAGAAAACATGAACTGAAGAGCCATTTGAAAACAACTCATTTTGTGTGTTTGTCTCTCTGTTTTCTTGTGGCTTCATGGTCTATAATCATTGCTTGTGTCTGTTTTACTATTTCACATTTCTCTTTCTATAGCCTGGCTCTCACTGCTTGTTTCTATGCACAACATATGAGGATGACTCACAACTCTCCAGTCTTCCTTATGTTCCTTAAGGAGATAGATAGATAAACTTTACTTTAGGACAAATAGATTTGCTACTAAACCATAGCGGTGAACAAAAGTCCCAAAATAATAGAAACAAATTAGTGATTCTTGGTATCTAGAGTTATAGTGACCTACCATTAGGACTACATGCATCTGTCCCTCCTCCCACAATTGCCCCAAATACAGAGGTATAAACTGAGTTCTTAGCTACACTATTTTAATGAAGGCTTTTATGCACTTCTAAATAGATTACAGTGAAATTGAGAAGTGGGTGTTTGAATGTTTCAGTGACCTAAATAACCAATTCCATTGGAAATAAAAATATATATATAAGGGATTTCATAGTAAAATAAAGAGAATGTAGTAGTGAATGATATGAAAAAGTTTGCTCTGTAGTAATATCCACTAATGCAGTGGATATGAAAATTGAGCATAACCTAGAAGAATTGTTAAAACACAGATTGCTGGGTCCTATCTCCAGAGTATCTGATTTAGTAGGTAAGGGGCGATTATGGGTCATGATACTTTGAATTTCCAACAAGTTTCCTGGGACCACACATTAAAAACCACTGTTTAGCGTATTTGCCATTAATAGGTTTGCCTGAGTACAAATTGACTTTCAGGCTTATCTCATACTTAACTTGGTCAAAGATACTCTGCTGTGCTGGAAACAGGCAGGCTGGCACTAATGCAGGAAAGCAGAAGGCAGTAAGGAAAAGGAAAACATTCAGATCTTGCCTGGTATTTTATAATACTGACTTATAATCCATTATGCAGGTGCAAACATTATGCTATCTCAAGGTTCCTTTATGAACCTATTACTATGTATTTCTGTTGCTGCAGTAAAGAAAAATGAAAACAAAAACAAAGCAAACAAACCAAACCTAGCCTGATAAGGTATGATGTTTTAGACTAGATTGCTATGTACCACATAGAAATGAACTACATAGTGGTATAAAAATTGAAAAGGGAACAAGCATATAGGAGATGTAAAGATAAAGTGTTTACAGTTTCATAAATCACTATTTTACAAAAAGATTAAGAATAAACTAGTTTACTATTTTTTTCAGGAGAAAAATATCTTGTGAAAAAAATTGAAACAACAGGAAAATAAATTTAATAAAAAATGTTGCAAAGCCATTCTAATAAATGTGTTTAGCAAAAACATCAGTTTAGAAAAATCTCTTCATACAGTATGTCCTTGTCTCATATTGTGTTACTATGATCATATTCAAAATAACCCATATCTGTGGATACGTGACATCATGCATTTGTCAAAATTCATGGAACTTTATAACAGAAAGAGTTAAGGTTAATGAATGTAAATTTAAAATAAATCATGTAGGAGGTCAGGGGAGTCCAGGACAAAATATAGACCATGACAAAAGAATCTAACTGCATTTAAAATGTAGGCAAAAACCTCACTAAAAAGGTGAGGTGGGAGGGGGAAGATATTGACATAAGAAATTTTGAAAAGCAGTGGAGACTATAAGACTAAAGACAAAAGGATCTGTACATAAGCACTGTACACTAGTGGATAAAATAGTTTCTCTTAGGGATAAAGGTTGACAATTCTGAAACCACTATTTGTGTACCTTGGAAATGAACAATTAAGTAAATGGTGGCAAATGGTGGGAGCCAGGTTTCTTGTTACAGACAAGAAATGAGAGGAGGTTAGAATTATCTATGTGATAATGGATTCGAGTTGGAAACATTAACTTGAATTTATGTTTAGCTATATATATGTCTCCATGTGTATGTGTGTACACAAGTTAGCATACACACATATATTTCTTTGCTCTGTCAGTTGAGAGGGTCTAGAAACAATAACACCCTAGTTTCAATGAGCATACCCAGCACCCAGAACTTGATTTCTAATACCATACTTAATAAAAGGAACCAAGGTTCCTTGGAGAAATGGCTGATTTTAGAAATGGGGTAGGTAATATACAAGGTAAACTTGGAGCATACTGTAGTACCACAAATTAAGGAAATGCCAAGAAAAAAAAAAAAGACTGATTTTTGGAGCCAACTGAAAGGGTTTCCAACGGCTAAAGGTGGCACAGTTTGAGTAGCAAAATAAATAAAGTGATATCAAAGTATAACCAAAAATACAAAATAAATAAGTCCATACTAATATAAATCAAAAATTAAATAAAAAATGATAACTGGGGAGAAGAGAAAAATCTCTCACAAAATACAAATTTCAGATATTTATTTAGACTCTGCCCTCAAGGTGTTGTAGCATAACACTCAATTCTTAAGTGTGGGCTACACTGGGTATGGACAGAGGAAAAATAGGAGACATACAGTGGAGAAAACCACCTCAGCCAGTTAATCAATGTTAACATAAGTAATAAGCCACGTGGGTATCATGTACCTACGATATGATATGATGAGAATGGCACTTTACATCTGTGGTCTTCCTCCTGCAGATGACAATGTAATCACAAGAAAAACATGAGAAAAATACCAATTAAAGGACATTCTACAAAATACCTAATCAGTACTCCTCAAAATGGTCAAGGTCATTAAAAGCAAAGAAAGTTTCAGAAAGTGGAGCCTAAGAAGACATGACAACTAAATGTAATGTGGTATCCTGGATGGAATCCTAAAACAGAAAAAGAAAATTAGGTAAAAACTAAAAAGTCTAAAGAACATATGGACTTTAGTTAGTAATAATGTACCAATATTAGTTCATTAACTGTGATAAAAGTACCATCCTGATGCAAGATGTTAATTATAGGGGAAACTAGATGTGGAACACACAGACACTTTCTATGTCACTGCAAACTTTCTGTAAATGTAAAGCTCTTCTTAAAAGTTTATTTAAAAAATGCTATATCTCAATGGTAGAATTCTTTGCCAGAAATATCTTTTCCAAAAGCAAAAGTAATACTAAAATAAAGAGCAAATAATTTTATTTTAGGATTTGTATTTCTTCCACACTGTGTATCAGGATGGCATTTATCCATTTTGCTGCCTTTTAAGAGAGACTGGCTACAATTCTTAATCCTTTTTATTTTTACCACTTTTCCTTACCTCAGAGATCAAGGTACTGAACATGACAGTGTTGCGGATGATAGCTCCAACACTCTGAGGAAATCAGATTATAATTTCAAGGCAGTTCTGTTGTTAGCATTGCCCAAGTTTGGATCTACCTCAACAGGTCAACCTACATCTAAAGAATGAAAATTGCTGCCTTCTGTTCAACTGCCCACCACCACGAACACCAAATACAACAACAACTCAAAAAAAGCTATAGAAAACATTATTTTAAAAATGTTATTTTGATTTGTACATCCCTACTGAGTAATAATATTGAGTAGTTCCATACAGTGCATGCCTACCATACATATGCAATAGAGAATGAAATCAGAAATGGCTCATTTAAGGAGGTAACAATTTGGCTTGTGACCTGAAAGGGAGCTGGATATGTGTTGACTGAGAAAGGAGCCATTAGGACAAAGAAACCAAAAAGGCAAAAACGGAAGGGAAGGAACTTGGAAATGAAGGGAAGATGTTGATCATGCCTGTAATGGTATAAGAAAGGGTGCTAGATGAGATTAAAGAAGTGGGTAGTTAGTTAGAGTGGTACCTTGAAGGCCAGGGTTCATTGTTTGGATTCATTCTTAGTGCAGCTATAGTCATGTGAGGGTGGTAAGTATGGGAAGGAAGTGACATGATGTACTTTTTTAAAACTTTTATATTGAAGTAACAAATACAAGCATACATCAAAGTGAAAATGCCTTACAATACAGATTAAGAACTGATTTGTGGATGATTCTTCAAGTTTTTAAATGTTAATTGTCCTTTAATATCAATATATAAACTCTGAAAGCTGTCTCTCTCTTTGCTCACAAAAGAAAAAAAAAACTAAAACCTGTAAAAATTCCCACCATCAATATATGGTCTATTGGCCCAGATTCTTATGACTGCCCCTGGATTTCCTTTTGGCACACTCAGAAGATTAAACAACAGGGTAAAATGCAATACAACTTCCTCCCAATGATGTTTTTATGCTCAGATTTTTATATCCATTTTATAACTAGATTACTGATTGCCACCACTGGCAGAGGATTCTTAAAGAGGGAGAAACATTTTCTCCACAGACATTTTGCTGTTGTTGTTGCTGTAAATATGATGGTATATTTTCATTAATCTTATGTTATACATTGGATCCCTTATTCATAGATTTTTTATTGTGATGTAATTCACTTATCACAAAAATTAGCCCTTTACAGTATACAATTTAGTGGTTTTTAGTATATCCACAATGTGTGCAGCCATAACCACTAGAAATTTGAGAATATTTTCATCACCCCAAAAAGAAACTCTGTATCCATTAGCAGTAACTCCCCATTCCCCACTCACCCCAGTCCCTGGTAACTACAGATATACTTTCCATTCCTGTGTAATTGCCTACTATGGACATTTCATATAAATGGAATCACACAGTACATGACCTTTTATATCTTGCTCATTTCACTTACATAATGTTTTTAAGATTTATTCACATTCTAACATGTATCAGTATTTCATTCTTTTTTATGACTGAATATATTTCATTGTTATTTTTTATTTTAAGAAGCAAGGTCTCACTTTGTCACCCAGGCTAAAGTGCAGTGGCATGATCATAGCACACTGCAACGTTGAACTCCTGGGCTCAAGGCATCCTCCTGCCTCAGCCTCTCAAGGAGTTGGGATTACAGGCACACACCACCATTCCCAGTAAGTTTTTTTTCTTTTTCTTTTTTTAGTAGAAATGGGGTCTCACTCTAATGCCAAGACTGGTCTCAAACTCCTGGCTTCAACCAATCCCCTTGCTTCAGCCTCCCAAAGTGCTGGGATTACAGGCATGAGCCACCACACCAGGCCAGAATATTATTTCATTATATTGATACTATTTTGTTTATGTATTCATCATTTTATAAACATGTGAGTTATTTCTACTTTTTGGCTACTATGAATAATGTCACTATAAATATTCATATACAAGTTTTTATGTGGACATATATTTAAAATGCTCTTGGGTATATACCTAAGAGTGGAATTGCTGGGTTACGTGGTAACTCTATGTTTAACTTTTTGAGGAACTTCTTAACTGTTTCCCCAGTTGCTTACCTTTTTATATTCCCACAGTCAATGTATGAGGCTTCCATTTTCTCTACACCTTTGCCAATAATTATTAATAAATGTGTGGTTTTTTTAATTATAGCCAAACTAATGGGTGTTAAGTGATATCTCACAGTGGTTACATTTTGCATTTTCATAATGACTAGTGATGTTTAGCATCTTTATACATTGTATGCATACCAGTAGTTTTTTGTTATTGGTTTGTGTAAATGTTCTTAAAATCAGATGGAAAATAAAATGAGTCATAAAAAATACATTTATACTGTTTTTATATTTCCAATGTTGTTACCTTTTTGACATTCTTTTTTTCTTCATGTAGACTTGAGTTATTGTCTAGTGAACTTTTATTTCAGCTTGAAGGACTCACTTTAGTATTTGTTGTGAGGAAGATCTGTTAGCAAAAAATTCTTACCTCTTGTTAGCCTGTTGTGAACTCCATCTATTACTTGTCTTTTTAGGCAGCCACACTGTTCTACAGTTCCCACAAATGTTCCCAAGGAAAATGTTGTTCATATTAGGCAATCACTTCTTGTGGTCTTCTTACTTAGGCTATACCTTTTCCCTAAAACAAAAAAAATACAAGAATAGTCTTTCAAAATAAATATTTCTACCAATGGATTGAAACAGCACCTAGTGAAAATGGAAAAATATGGTATGTATGGAATATAATTGCCATCCAAGAAGCTCAAATGTTGGCCATGTCTCAGAAAAAGGAACTAAGAGATATATTTCCTTTTGTCCTAAATAAGAATGAGAAATCCCCCAACACATGCCAAAAACCATTGCTTAAATTGAGATGGAGAGTAGGTGTCACAGTCATTCATTAATGGTAATATCACATGTGTTTTTAAGTTCCCAAACTCCAGTATGTATAATTATCCTTTATTACCTATAAAAGAAGTAATTGTCTGGAAATAGTTTGTTGTTTTTACAAGTTTAATTTAAGACAGAAAGCTGTAAGATTCCAAAAGGCACAACCTGAGGATAACTGCAATTTTACTAAATATGTAAGAATATATACTGATACTTATATGGAAGCTTGGCATCAGAGTTCATCCAAAGCAAACTAATGGCAGCTGTAACAGACTACTAAAGCTCTGTTGTTATATCTACCAGGCATTGGAGAATGAAGATGCTGCGAAACTCTCTGAGTTTACAGCAGGTTAGCACTTTTTCACCTCTCAGAGCATGGAAGCAGCTCTTTATCCATATGCTATAATGACAAGCCTGGCTTAGTATATTGTCAGGATCTTCAGCAGGAGCTATTTATCTCTTTCCTTATGGTTCAGCCTGGTTTGCAGCTGTAGGGGAATATCCAGCCTCTAGGTAAGTGAAGTATAAGCACCACACTCACAGATCTAAAGATCAGAGGCACAGTATCAAGTCGGAGATGCCTCTATTCACACTATCATGCCTCCTAGTTTTAGTAAGTACCAGGATACTGCATTTCCCCCTTATGTTCAAAGCATTGCATGAACCATTATTTGTATAATACCATTATAGGATTAGGTGATGGTCAATTCATAAGGAAATAAAAAGAGAGTCAAAGCAAAGGAAATCTAATTTCCAAAGACAAGCTTTTACTATAGCACATTTTTTTCATCTGGTTTCAGTGCGAGAGCATGTATTATTATATTAAGACAGTGTGCTTGTTCAATCAGATATTGTCAGAGGTTTGAGAGCAATGAACTAGCAATTAGAAGGTATATTTTCTAATTACGGCTCATCACATATTAATTGTGTAGCATTTCACTTTCGTAGACTCAGTTTTCCACATCTGTTGAACAGGGATTGTCATAAGGTCATTTATATATGCTAAATAATGACAATCATAAGGTCATAATACAAATTAAAATTTAAAAAATGTATTTAATGCACTTAGCACCATTCCTAGCACCTAGTAATCTTAATGAATCCATTTGGAGAATGAGAAGGGAGGGGAGGAGGAGGAAAAGATGGAGAAAGGAAGGACAGATAGAGGAGAAGTAAATGTAAGAGGAAGAATAGTAGAAGCAGTAAGAAGCAATGGTGATTTTGATGGTGGTGGAATGGTTGTTAAAAACACGAGTTTTTGCCATGATGCTTCTGTGATCTCAAACAAAATAAATAATTCAACCATTTGAGCCTGTTTGTTTCAGAATTTTTAAATAGATAAATAATAATTGTCCATACTCAAGGGATACATAGTATATAGTGATTTTTGATACATATAATGTATAGTGATCAGATCAGAGTAAATAGCATATCTGTCATCTAGAGATAGGGAGATATTTCTTAAAGAATATAAAATTAGAGTTAAGAGGGTTATCTTTTAGTATTATATACTAGAAGCTATTTGTGTTAGTTTGTTCTCATGCTGCTAATAAAGATATACCCGAGACTTGGTAGTTTATAAAGAAAAGAGGTTTAATGGACTCACAGTTCCACATGGCTGGGGAGGCCTCACAATCATGGTGGAAAATGAAGAAAGAGCAAAGGCACATCTTACATGGTGGCAGGCAAGAAGGGGAAAATGAGAGCCAAGTAAAAAGAGAAACCCCTTATAAAACCATCAGCTCTAATGAGACTTATTCACTACCATGTGAACAGTATGGGGGAAACTGCCCCCATGATTCAATTATCTTCCACCAGGTCCCTCCCACAACATGTGGGAATTATGGGAGCTACAATTCAAGATCAGATTTGGTTGGGAACACAGCCAAATCATATCATTCCACACCTGGCCCTTCCCAAATCTCATGTCCTCACATTTCAAAACCAATTATGCCTTCCCCTCAACTGTCCCCCAAAGTCTTAAATCATTTCAGGATTAAGTCAACAGTCTAGTCCAAAGTCTCATCTGAGACAAGGCAAGTCTCTTCCACCTGTGAGCCTGTAAAATCAAAAGCAAGTTAGTTACTTCCTAGATACAATGGGGGTACAGGCATTGGGTAAATATACTTATTCCAAATGGGATAAATTGGCCCAAACCAAGGTGCTACAAGCCTCATGCAAGTCCAAAATCCAGGATGGCAGTCAAATCTTAAAGCTTCAAAATAATCTCCTTCGACTCCATGTCTCACCTCCAGGTAATGCTGATGCAAAAGGTCTGCTCCCAGGGCCGTTGGCAGCTCTGCCCCTGTGGCTTATCAAGGTACAGCCCCCATCTCGGCTGCTTTCACAGGCTGGCATTGAGTGTCTGCAGCTTTTCCACATGCACAGTGCAAGCTGATGATGGATCTCCATTCTGAAGTCTGGAGGACAGTGGCCTTCTTCTCGCAGCTCCACTAGGCAATGTCCCAGTAGGGATTCTGTGTGGGGGCTCCAACCCCACATTTCCCTTCTGCACTGCCCTAGCAGAGGTTATCCATGAGGACCCCACCCCGAAGCAAACTTCTGCCTGGACATCTAGGCATTTCCATACATCCTCTGAAATCTAGGTGGAGGTTCCCAAATCTCAATTCTTCACTTCTGTGCACCCACAGGCTCAACACCATGTGGAAGACACCAAAACTTGGGGCTTGCACCCTTGGAAGCTATGGTCTGAGTTGTACCTTGGCCACTTTTAGCCATGGCTTGAGCAGCTGGGATGCAGGGCACCAAGTCCCTAGGCTGCACACAACAGGAGGGCCCTGGGCCCAGCCCACAAAACTGTTTTGTTCTTCCTATGCCTCCTGGCTTATGGTAAGAGGGGCTGCCATGACAACCCTGAAATGCCCTAGAGACATTTTCCCCGTATTCTTGGCAATTAACATTTGGCTTCTCATTACTTATGCAAATGTCTGGATCCAGCTTGAGTTTCTCCTCAGAAAATGGGTTTTTCTTTTCTATCCCATTGTCAGACTGCAAATTTTCCAAACCTTTATACTCTGCTTCCCTTTTAAACATAAGTTCCAATTCCAAACCATATCTTTGCAAATCAATAAAACTAAGTGGTTTTAAAATCACCCAAGTGACCTCTTGAATGTTTTGCTGCTTAGAAATTTCTGCCATCAGATACTCTAAATTATCTCCCTCAAGCTCAAAGTTCCAGAAATCTCTAGGCCAGGGGAAAAATTCCACCAGTCTCTATGCTAAAACATAGCAAGAGTCACCTTTACTTCAGTTCCCAACAAGTTCCTCATTGCTGTCTGAGACCACCTCAGCCTGGATTTCATTGTCCATATCATTAGCATTTTGGTTAAAGCCATTCAACAAGTCTCTAGGAAGTTCCAAACTTTCCTACATCTTTATGGCTTCTTCTCAGCCTTCCAAACTCTTCCAACTTTTGCATGTTACCCAGTTCTAAAGTTGCTTCCACATTTTTTGGGTATCTTTACAGCAGCACCCCACTCTTGGTACCAATTTGTATTTGTCAGCTCTCATGCTGGTAATAAAGACATACCCAAGGCTGGGTAATTTATAAAGGAAAAAGGTTTAATGGACTCACAGTTTCACATGGCTGGGGAGGCCTCATAATAGTGATAGAAGGTGAAGAAAGAGCAAAGGCACATCTTACATGATGGCAGGCAAGAGGGAACATACAAGAGCCAAGCAAAAGGGAAAACCCCTTATAAAACCATCAGCTCCCATGAGACTTATTCACTACCACAAGAACAGTATGGGGGAAACCACCCCCATGATTCAATTATCTCCCACCAGGGCCCTCCCACAACATATGGGAATTATGGGAAATAAAATTCAAGATAAGCTTTGCGTGGAGACACAGCCAAACCATAGCACTGTTTACTGATAACTTCTTGAAAGTCTATCTGTCTGTCTGTCTATCTATCTATTTATTGTATCATCTATCTATCTAATGAATCTATCTATCTATTCACCTACCTACCTACCTACCTACCTACCTACCTACCTACCTGTTTACCTACCCATCTACCTCCCTCTCAGTGAGTCACTGGCTGATGAAAGGAGCATGGATGACATTCTGTAGGATTACTGTAGTCTTCAATAATACACAGTTTCAAATAACCAGAAGGAGAATATTGATTGCTTCCAACACAGAGAAATGATCAATATTTGAGCCCCAATTTTCTTATGTGTAAAATGTAAAATCTGATGTATTGTCATGCATACTCAGAAAGCTGCTGTAAGATGTAAATAAAATAATGGACATAAAAAACATTTTGATACCTACTAAATTCAAAAGAATCCTAAAAGATTATTACTCCAAAAAACAGTCCCTGTAGACCATGTTAGGCCACTACATAATAAAGATAAATGGTGCTTGGCATAGAGCTTCTTCCTAGTTTCTTCTTTATCATTTATGTGGACCTAAATTGAGATTACAGAAGAGACCAGGTATGATCTAATCACTCCCTGGGAGGTTTTTATATAGGCAAAATAGAGTACAGTATTTGAAGTTGAGTTGTATATAAAACATGTTACAGAGTAGAATTGGTCTCCATTGTATTACGTGAACACCTTTATTTATATGTGTAATTGCCCTTTTCCAAAACTATATGAATTCTTTGGGGGATAATACAGGTTGGATGGGTATATTAAACTTGATCAAATGTTCTGAGAGTCAATTAAAATCAAATCTATCAAACCGTTATGTTTTTGTTTCTGTTTTTTAAATGAATTGTCACACTTTTAGCACCCAAATACACAGTCCATAGATAAATTGATTCAATTACCTTTACAATTTCAAATATTGGAAGAAAACATTTTTAACAAGTTGTCTGGACCCTTCCGTTCTTTTGATGAACAGGAGTGATGGCATGACATCCCCATGATATAGTTTGGCTGTGTCCCCACCCAAGTCTCATCTTGAATTGTACACTCCCATAATTCCCATGTATTTTGGGAGGGACACGGTGGGAGATAATGGTATCATGGGGTCAGTTTCTCTCATACTGTACTCATGGTAGTGAATAAGTCTCACAAGATCTGATGGTTTTATAAGGGGAAACCCCTTTTGCCTGTCTCTCATTTCTCTCTTGCCTGCCACCATGTAGGCCATGCCTTTCACCTTCCTCCATGATTATGAGGCCTCCCCAGTTACGTGAAACTGTGAGTTCATTAAACCTTTTTTCTTTCTTTATAAATTAGCCAGTCTTGGGTATGTCTTTATCATCAGCATGAAAATGGAGTAATACACCCCCCACTCACACTCCTTGGTGCTGCCCTAAATATTTTTTTTAAGGGTAAAAGAAAGGCTTCCTTTCCATGCTCAAACCACTTACATTCTAGGATCCTGTCTTCAGACTGACACGCCTTATTTCCTGGAACCTCAAAATTCTGGATGGCATTTAAATAGTGAAATTGAGGTCTCAGGATTGCGTCCATGCTCTTTTCAGTCAGCCAGTGGGTCTTTGAGAAGGATGTAGATGGGCAGGTAAATAGGTAGGGAGCAGGTAGGTGAGTAGATAAATAGATTACTTAGATACATAGAAAGACAGACAGACAGACTTCAAGAAGTTGTAAGTAAGAAGAGATAGCCAATATGAAATTATCTTAATTATGTAAAAACCTATTTCTGTAATATTTTCTTCTGACAAATTAAGTAGCATTGGGTGATTTATGAAAAGATGTTTTCATATGCAGTGATTTCTTTGTTATAAAATAAATACCTTAGGTCTTTAAGCATTTGAAAGTTATTTGACAGTAGAGTTCTGTATTTTTATGAGTATATACTTGTCAAAAACGAAAGCCTTCAATAGAGTGGAAATCAATTATTTGTATTTAGATTGTTTTCCTGAAATAAAATTTAACTTGGATTTCTGCTTTTTTGTTTGCCAAATCTAGCAGCCCTATGGTAAAATGATAAGCTCAGTATGGGTAAACCCAGATAACTTCTAAGTGTCCTTTCAGCTGGGAACATCCACATTGCTGTTGCAGGACCAGCCTGGCAAGCAATATGCATATGTGGAATGGATACTAGTATACGCTTGGAAGGCAGTGGTTCTGAAACTTCACTCTTGAGAAACATTTAAAATATCAAATCTTGTGCAACACCCTAAGAAATTCTGATTCACCAGTTCTGGAGTAAGGCCACTGAAACTGCACCATTAACAGCAACTCAAGTAACTCTGATGCAAGTATTCAAAATCCTCATTTTGAAAAACACTGGACTTTCTCTTACAAATAAATGCAGGAATCATGACTACCTGGATCAGAAAATTATATCATTATTCATTTATGACCATACTAAAATCTAAATACTGCTTGTCTAACCACGCAAAAGACCCACTCTGGACTACTCTGCCAACATTTTGTTGACTAAAATATATTTAATGCTAAATTGGTCATGAAATTGTTTTACATTAATTTTTGTGAAAGTGGGAAAATTCAACTTAATCATATTCATATATACATAAAAGCACTGTAGAAAAAGACAATAAAATTTTCATTTAATAAAGAAAAATAACTTGTTGAATCTTATGCATGGAAATAATAGAATAAGCTTTTGATTAGAGGAGGAGTGTGAAGCACTTCTTCTGAGAGAAAAAGCTCATTATTTTAATACAAATCAACCTGCTATTAAGGCAAAACTCTAAAAGGTCAAAGAGCGCTATATAAAACCCATGCACTAAACTATTTTTCAGTGAAGATTCAGTATTCTCTAACAGCCATTTTCCCTCAATTTAATATTTAAATGTTCCCTCCTGTAATAGCAATTTAAAAAGGAGATTATGTCTAAAAGTTAACATTTAACTAATAATCTCACTAGAGGGTATTCCTGCAAGCACAGCTAGTTAAACTTTGGTTGTTCATCAGACTAAAAGCCAGGTTGACTGATTTGGTGGGGGGCAGAAACTAGCTTTCAACTGACCTGATCATTAATAGTTTAAACGTACACAAATATTGTATATGGATAAATTCACACATTCAGATATCACTAGTAGGAAAAATTACTGTAATTTTATTGTTTGTACGATTAAGGCAAAAACATGTTTTTGCTAGGAATTATCCCACTGTAAACAAATATTTGATTCTCTACACTTAATTACTCTTAAAAACTGGATTTTAGATGAGGTCGGGCGCGTTCAGGGTGGTATGGACGTAAAAATGGCATTCATGATGTCTGAAACAAGCCTAAATAGAATTCAAGATTAGACTAAATGATTTTCACAAGGTGCATTCAAGGTTTTACATTCTATGATTGGAAAAAAAAATTTTTTTGAAAACTTTTTATTTCACATTCTTTCCTGTAGGATTTTGCTACAAATGACTTTGGGAATGAATACAGTGGAATGGTAACTTTTCAGTGGTTCAGAATTGAATTAGACTACTTGTGATTGTGATGTTTGGTTTCCATTCAAATATATGAAGTGAGATGTCATATCCTGAATATAGTTTCTCTTCCCCAATTACTGATAGCATGTCTGTCAGCCAGTAAAGATTAAGAACAGAGTTTCTCTAAATTCCTCTGATTATTTCACTAAGGCACATTAAAATACTTAATTTTGGGAAACCAAATATCACAGATTTCTCCATGAAGTCCTAAATCTTCTTTAAAGTCAGAATAGGTATCTTAGTTACTGACAGTATTCAGGTTTTTTTCTCCCTTGGTGATGATATGTCATTCCATCAGTGAAAAAATATTTTTCTCCCGGGGTAAGAAAGGTATTCTTGTAATACATTACCATCAATCCTTAAACAGTAACAGTCTTGGCACTTATCATAAAACCGACCCATCTCTTATAACCAGAAAGATTATCTTAGACTGTCCTTCACATTATACTTTACTTACTGCCTTGTAAGAATAAGAGTTGCTCACTGTGTTTATTTGCTGTCCTCCATATTCTCCACTGCATCACTGGTGTATAATGTTAAGAGTTTCATTGAATATTATTTGAAGTATTACAAAAGACAGCTTGCTTCTTAATCTATGCATCTTTGGGGTTTTTGAAGAAGAAATTTAATTCTTTGATGTAAAAAGGAACTGTTAAAAGAGTTGGAAACTCTGCACCTGTGTATATATACATTTTTAGCAATAAAGCAGCATGGACTGAGACTGCAAAAAAAAAAAAAAAACTGGATTTTAATATTATCAAAAGAAACTCAGGTGAATTGATTAGAAAATGCTGCAGCAGAATTTCTCATGTAACTTTTGTTTCTATCATATGGGAGTGAAATCATTGAATTTAACATAACAGACATCTGACTCTGGAGCCAGAATTATTGGGTTTAAATTCTGAATGTGCATCCTACTGCAACCTACTGTGTTTCCGTGGAAACATACTCAGCTTCCCTTTGCCTCAATTTCTACCTCTCTATAATAGGATTAGAACCTTCCTTTTGGATTGCTCTGGGGATCAAATGAAATTAAAATTATGTGGGTAATGTTCTTATAATAGTTTCTGGTGCCTGCAAAGTATATATAAGTTGGGGGGAAGGAAGGTCATTATTATTATGTTTCAGGTTTATGGCCTTTTCACACATAGCATGGTTGATGGCAAATCTTAAGTACTATTTTGTTCAGAGTTCATTCTAGGGGATCAAATAATCTCTGATACAGTATGATTAATTCTCAGGTAAAAAGTATGACAGATGAAACTACAAAGCAGTCAGATCTTTCATCTTTTGATTATGTACAGTCATGCATCACTTAACAACGTGGATATGCTCTGGGAAATGCATCTTTAGGTGACTTTAGCACTGTGCAAACATCATAGAATGTACTTACACAAACCTAGATGGTATGTATAATATTATTTATATATTTTTAAATGGAAAACCAAACCTCTCAGCACCAATATTGACTGTCTACAATGCCAATACCAAGTACCATATATCAGGTTTCTACAAATGCTCCATGATAATTTTATGGGATCACTGTAATATATTCAGTCCATCATTAACTAAAATGTCATTATGTGGTGCATTACTTTAATTAGTTTCCTGGCTGTCAGTACACTGTGTATGTATGTTAAGATAACTCTGAAGCATATTATCTCACAATGCTGAAGGTGGCACACCTTTGGAAGATAGAACCATTTCCTTCCCGGTGCCACTTGTAAGTCTAAACGCTCTTCTAGAACTCCAATCTGGTGTTGAGACAATTTGTTTTGTTTGTTCCTCCAGTCCAACCCTGTATGTTCACTTTGTGTTTCTTTACCTCTTAATTTCTCAAACTACCTGACTTTCATTGTTACCTAAAGTCCTAGAAATCTGACTTCTGTTTTGATTCAGTTCTGTGAGCTTTATGTTCAAACGTGTTCTTGCACACCCCCTTCCTCTGTTCTGCTCTTCCATTGATTCTGACTCAAATGGTATAACTTATACTCTGGAGCATTATACTTCTGAAAGAAACCACTATAAGGCCTTTCATGAGGTTTTGCATACACATCCACTTCCTGGAAGTTTCTGTGAGTCAGTACAGAGGTTTCATGAGATGTCCTATTTATAACTGTGTCTCCCTGATTAATAACAGTACCTAGCACAAAATGCGTAAGAAATATTTGCTGAATGAATGAACGACTGCATAGAAAACAGTTGTTATCTTCATATATATATATATGTCCTTTATTTATGTTCTTCTTCTCTTTGTTGCCTGACTTTGTGCTTATATTTTTTTTAATTTTAGTGAACTGATTACCACTTAGTCCCTCCACTACTTATGGTTCACTTAATGTTTTCTTTAATTCCAAAACCTTTTGCTACTTGATGTTATTAGCAAAACTGTTCATACCAAGAGGTACTATTGCTAGCCAGAAAGATTTCATCAACATCTCTAAAACTTGGTTTGCATGTAGACAATTAATATGCTAGGGAAACAATCAATACACAATCAATGTACTAGATTTTAATTTCAGTCCATGTCTTCTGTTTCCAGCCGAATTCATCATGACTCCTAGGGAGAGAATATTTATTCTAGAGGGCAATTCTATAATAAACAATTCCTACCTTTTTCTCAAATCTATATTTGCCTATCAACCCAGAATGCAATAAACACTATCAGGTTAACAGTTGATCAATAATTTCAGGCAATGATGGGAAATGCCAATACAAAGAGCATAGAAGATGAACAAAGGCAGATTTGGGGCACACTGGGTGACATCCTAGAAGAAAGTAACTGAAACCTGCAGAGTAGTTAGGTGCTTTACATGATAGATTATTGATGAGTCTCAGTTTGTATCTTGGGGAAAGAATGCCAAATAAATGTCACAAGGAGTCAAGACATTAATCCCATCTAATATGGAATCTCTAAAGTATTGTGGGAAATGACCTCCAATGAACAGGGGAAGCATCTGACACAGTCCGAACTTGATTTTCCAGAATATTCTGCAGTGGGCTTCTGGTGTTTGGCTTAGATGGCAGGTTTGGCCTGAGGGGAGAGATTTCCATTGACTATTCATAAGGCAGAATTGACCAGATATATTTATGCATCTAACATTTCCATGTGGGTTACCTATATTGCCAAACGTTTTTTTTTTTTTTCAGAGTTCTTTTTTTTATAATCTAAATAGTTTAAAACATCTTTTGTAACTTTGATGTAACATTACATTCCCTTTTAGAAAGTGAAAATTGCTGCTCTCAAAATGAAAACAAATTTTAAATCAGAGAGCTTGAATTTAATGCAGGGGGCGGCGGATGGGGGAGAAGCCAAATATGTAAAGCAGTCTAGCAGCTGGCACTCATATTGGCAAAAGCTGTCTCTAAACATGTAAAGTGAAGAGAAATGCGGTGGTTTTTCAATAATTCCAGAAGTTTCACACCTTGTTTGTAATTATCTGAGCATTCAAACTAAACTGTATATTTGTCTCAATGACATAAAGAGTTAACTCAAACCTTCCCTTAACTTCATATAGAGAAAAGCAAACCTTATCTATAGTACTATACATTGAGATGTTTAGAAAAATCTGGTTAATTGACTGCATTTTAAAATTTCTCATCCAGATGCTTAGCAACATGGGGCCAAAACTAAGGTCAGTGAGACTATTTGCAACTTTTTTCCAAAGGACAGAGCAAATTGTTCCCAAAATATTTTGTGATGGAGAGAGAAATATGAGGTTGTCCCAGTCCAATACACTTAGAGTGTTAGGGTATTATTGGGCAGAAAGCTGCCTGAATATCCAGAGCCTAGACAAACTTGTAGAGATACAGCTAAGATCCTCTTCCTATGATGTGAAATCACTACTGGCTACCTCTTTGTCAGCAAATATTAGTTCAGTTAGAAGGTCAAATTTTGATAAAAAGATGACTTGAAAAATGAAAGAGGCACTTAAAATGTCTCAAAAATTGCCTAAATTTTCAGTAATAAAGCAAAATAAAATGAAGACATAGCTGTTTAACTGTGAACTCTGACTTGGTAACGAAAGAAAGAAAAGAAAGAAAGAAAGAAAGAAAGAAAGAAAGAAAGAAAGAAAGAAAGAAAGAAAGAAAGAAAGCAAGCAAGCAAGCAAGCAGATCTGGTAGCAGTGTTGACAATGTGATTTTCAAACCATTCAATTTCAATATTTCCCTTTACTAGCTCTACTTATATTGTGCCTATGTGTGAACATAGAAGAGAGAGAGTAAGAGGAAATGGATGAAAGAGGGGAAGGTAGGGGGACAGATAAGAGAAAAAAGGGAAAAGAGAGGCTAGAGGAGAAAGAAAAATAAAGAGCAGTTTATTTAATTTAAACAAGAGGACCTCAGTATGACAGAAAAAAACAATTAGACATTTCCATGTAACTCGGGATTCTGTCAAGGCTATCTGTTGTGGTGAGGTCTAATTGGTAGATATGTCTGGCTCCCAGGCCCACCCTGACAGGATTGGTATGAGAAGAGATATCTGGAAGTATCCACCATTCTCTGAATATTGGTTGGCTAGCCAGTCCCTTTCAGCAAGTTGATGGCAGTCTCCAGTACTGCAATTCACTGAATCAACCATTCCCATTGTGAGACAGAGCCACCCACCAAACACTAATTTGACTCCAAAGTCTTTTTTTTATTGTCGAGCAAAAGAATGTGACAAAATGACTGAAAACCAGGCATGGTCAAGATTCCCATAGATGAGCTGGAATGGGAATCAGAATGTAGCTCTTCATTTTTATAGGTAAATAATGAGATCTCATTGGTAAGGTTCTAACAGAACTCTTTATCAGTGATGCAACCACCAATGGCATTGATAAAGGTTATTGGATTATAGAGAAGTAAATAAATGTATTGAAGAAAATGAGACTACCAGCACAGGATGTGAGTAAGAGTTCAAATTAATGCTGGCAGAATGGAACTAATAGAAGAAACCTGTGCAACAATCCACTTCTCTAACAGAGTTCTAACATTCTTTTATATGAGAACATTTGGATGCATAATTTTCCTGTCAAGTTAGGTCTTCAAAATTTGAAACCAAGATTTTCCTGGCATGTGAATACAGTTTTCTTCTTTCTTTGTGACAAGATATATTTGACAGGTGAACTAACTCCATAAGACATTTTATATTGACATTTCTTTTTAGTTTTTTTGTCTCCGTACTAACAATAACATACACATTAGGGAGCCACAAGTCTTTGTGGCCTCAGCCCCATTCTTTAAAGTATGATCCATGTAATTTTTTTCTGGCTCTATACGTTAGGGAAAAGGAAACAAACTGGCTTTTTAAATGTAGTTGTTAGTTTGGGGACATGCCTTAAATATATTAATTATGTTTCTTAGTGTTTCAAAACACTTAATCCATGAGCTCTGTAGTCCAGTCACCCAAAAGAAACATTAGGTTAGATTATTTCTATGCGAATCACACAAGTTTGTTGAATTTATTTCCTTTGATCTGATATTCTCAAAGTCTATTTCACTTAGAAGTCTCCATAGTGAAGATTTCTTTTAATCACATATGACCATGAGAACCCAGGTTCTTTTTATCTCTGGAAATCTCTTGCAAATGTGCATTTTATAAGGCTGTGTCTATAGAACACTGTCAGAAAAAGGGCTGTTGGGACCGAACGGAGATCCTTTCATATCCATATACTCAATTGTACTTGCTCAAACAAGTTGTACTAAATGACAAATGTTAACGAGTTGACCTTAACTTCCTCCCCGCCATGCCCAACACATGCTACATCTTTAAAATTCTAAGTGGTAAATTGAGAATGAGATATGAGATATGGGATCATTGATTTTCTTGTACACAAAATGATCAAGCCTCAGAAATAATAATTCATCACCACAATGCATGCAGGTGTTACACAAATGAAGGTTTTTTAAAAATAGGAATTAAGAGAGGAAATGCCTATTATAGATCATTGATAAAGAAACACACTTTATGATTTGATTTGAGAACATCAGTTTATTTAAATTCAAGCCTGTTGACTCCCTTAAACATATTTGTATAATTCCTATAAATTTAAAGGTTTAAGACTGCCAGCTGAAAAAAAAAAAAAACTAATACTGCTGTCTTTGAAATCATCAAGAGAAACCTTGCCTCCATTCAGGAATGTAAAATAGCTTTGAAATTGATGTGTTTGGTCATTAAGCACAAACACTTGACACATTCCTTTGATTTCATAGATTGTAAATCCCTGCAGTACTGCAAGAAGCCATTTATGAAATTGAGCTATTGATTGTTCTAATCTATACAGTAATTACTAGTGGCAGCCTATTGAATAGGTGCTACCTCTACAGTGTGCTCAAGAGGCACCATACAGGGTTATAGTCAAAAAGTTTCTTTGGCCCTCAGCATTCGGATCTGCTGGAGTTTCTTATTAAAATAGCAATATTCTTGTATAGGGACACACCCTAAGAATTTTTTTGTTTAGTAATTTATTCGCTCTTTTAAAAAATATATTGAGTTTCTGCTAGGCACCAAGAGGATTTGAGAAGACCCAAACATGAATATGAATATGATTATTACTTTCAAGAACCTTATCACCTTGCAAGAGAAGATATGATATGCACACACATAAATATGAATTAATTAGAATGGGGAGAGTTTAGCTGGTAAGTAAGAAGATGAATGAAAATCAGAATAGCCACCTGATAGGAAGACAAGGTTAGAAGAAGGCTTCTCCCAAAAGGAGTAAGAGGAAACTGATGAGAGGAAACAAAACACACCTTTATTTTGTACATCATAATTATATTATTTCATTTTGCCTTTCTTGAGTTAGCCAGTATGAAGTGGAAGGTAGAAAGCACTTATGACTTAAGCATAACCACCTACTTCTTAGCAAGGATGTCAAAGTAGGGGAAGTTAAAGGCCTAACCATCCAAAGTCAGCTAAGAAAACCAACAGCCTCAAGGAAATAAACTACAAACAATCAAATGAATAGCTTAGGCCTAGAACTTTTAATAAATATGTGCTTATCCCTCAATAGTCTAAAAAAGAAAAACAGAAAATAAATCAATATGGCAAATACATGTAACCTGCAAGAAGTGAAAATTAGACCTAGGTGCAAATGATGAATTTAGAATTCAGTTTGAAATTGAAAATATATTGTGAATGTACTGCTTTCTATTTCTCTTCACTAAACTTAAAATATTGTAGATGTAGTACTTCTTTCATGAAACTAATATTCACAGAATTTGGCTAAAGGAAGAAGTTTAAGAATCACTGGCAACATTGATATCATAACCCAATAATGCTCCAAAGGAAAGTCTTGTAATGATACCAGGAGAATAATGACCACTATCATCCTTATGCAGATTGATAATGATGATGATGATGATGATGATGATGATGATGATGATGATGACAATGGTGTTACATAATTCCAGAAAAAGAAACCATTGTCTGCTAAATAAAGTGAAGTATATTCAAATTTATCTGCTTCATCTATCAGGTACATATCATTCTAAAATGTTGTAATATAGTCTAAAAAAAAAAATATATAGTCTATACTTGAAAGTTTCCTACAAACACATTTATTGATCCCCAAGCAAATTATCTACATGGAGAATAGCATTATAGAGTTTCTTTATATATTTATGCACACATACACACAAACACTTTATATCCAATGTCTAGAACCAGCTTCTATTAGAAAAAATAGAGGTATTAGATAATAATTGTAATGTTATTATTCCAGGCAACTTTTCACTTATTTCACTCTGAAGATTTAAATATTTTTATCAAGACCTTTTGATTTTTGACCTTTTAATATTCAGTCATCACCAGTTGCTCTGTCCCATAGACTATCATGGATCACTTTTTCACATAGAGCAAACTACCACATAGTGGAAGAAAAGTACTATGTAACTATTTTTTAAAAGAAAGCATTACCTGCCTTTGTTCTTTTCAGAATATGTTGAAAATAAACTTTAAAATCTGGGGAAGGCAATATCCGGTGAGAAGTAGTCTTTCTGACTGAAAAAGCATAAATAAATAAATAAACAAATAAGAAGTGTTTTATTGAATAAATTATTTTAATGCTTTTGAAATTTTTCTTAAATATGCTTAGGAAGCAGATTAACTAGAGAAAAATGAAGAGGAGTACCATTATATTTTGCAAATTGGTCATTAAAATAGCTATATTCGTTCATTCACAGTGATAGGCACTGTCCTATGTGCTGGGAACACAGAATTAGACAAGACAGATAATGTCTCTTTCCTAAGGAAACCTATAATATTGGGGGTGGGTGTAGAATAGCCACTGTACGAGTGATTACAAAAGTATTTACAATTGAGATGAAAGGCATGAAAAGTGTATAGGCCTATGGGGATATATAACAGAGAGACCAAACCTACTCCAGGAGCTCAGGGAATGTCTCCCTGATAAATCCACATTAAAGGTGAAATATGTAAACTCAATTATCTAGAAAAATACAGGAAAAGATATATGTAAGAGCCCAAATAATGGTGTATTAAATAAATAAACAAAGGTTGATAAATCTTGAGAAAAATGGGTAAACAGGTAAATTGAAGGAGGAAAGACTGGAAAGGTGGCGGATCCAAAAACACACATGATATTGGAAGACATATTGAGGATTCTGTAAAATGCCATAGAAATTCATTCCTTCATTCATTTTATAAATACACATGGAGAATTTATATATTAGTTATTCTTCTAAATGTTGGAAATATAAGACCTCTGTTCTTGTGGAGCTTACATTATAATGATGAGAGTCTGACAATAAACAAAAATAAATAAATAAAATATATAGTGTGTCCAATGGTGATAAGTGCTATGGAGAAAAATAAAGCAAAGACTGCCAATAGGGAACGTGCTTTGAAGGGGCTGCAATTTTAAATAGATTGGTCAAAGAAGGCCATAATGAAAAGGTGAGACTTAAGCAAAGACTGGAGGGAGACATGGGAGGGAGCCATGAGGATTATATTATTCATTGCTGTGTAAAAAATTATCAGAGATTTAGAGATTTCAGACAATTCACATTATCTCACAGTTTCTGTTGGTCAGAAGTCTGGGTATGGCCTAATTGGATTATTTGCTCAGAGTTTCACAAAGTTGTAATCAAGTTGGTCCCTGGGGCTACAGCCAACTTTGAGGATTAGGTTTTCTTTCAATCTCATGGAATTGTTGGTAGAATGCATTACATTGCAGCTGTAGTATGATGGCTTACTTCTTCAAGCCCAGCAATAATGAGAGAGTTTCTGCTTCTTTGAGTCTCTGACCTCTAGACCCTCTTTTAAAGAGCTCACCTGATTAGGTCAGGCTCACCCACAATAATCTTTCTTTTTTATGAACTTGAAGTCACTTGATTAAATAATTCAATCTGCACAGTTCCTTCACTTTTTAAATATAGCATAATGTAACTAAAAAGTGACATCCCATATTCTTCACCATATTCCATTGGTTAGAGGCAAGTCATAGGTTCCACCTGCACACAAGAGATGGGGATTATACAAGAGTGTGACTTATTTGGGTTTACTTTAAGGTGTGTCTGCTACAAAGATATTTGAGGGAAGTGAGTTCCAGGCAGAATGTGTATGGCACTTTGAGGACATCAAGGAATGTAGTGTGGCTTTAATAGTGAGCTAAGGAATGTAACAGGAAGATTAAATCAGATGTGGGAGCAGATCCTATAGAGTCTTATAGGCCCTTTAATAACCTTTAGCTCTGAGTGTGATGAAAACCCATTAGAGGGTATTCAACAAAGGAGTGACCTCATTTGACTTTTTTTTTAAAGTTCATTCTGGCTGTTGTGTTGAGAATAGACTGAAAAAAATAGAAGTCCATAAATAGACTTAAATTGACTTAAATAGAAATGGAAGAGATGGACAAATTAATGACTCCTGTTCTTCAAAAAAGAGGTAGTCTACTAATACACATATACTTTTGTTTTTTATATCACTAGAGCCTTTCAAAATTCTTGGATACACAAGGCACAGGCTGCTTTAAAGCAAAGTATGGCTAGGCGGGCATCTTCTGGGAAATATTTGGTTATCTAAAAGTTTTATGTGATCAGAGAATGAATTACATAAGATTGAATCTCACTAAGATTTTGGTAATTTAATTATTGATGTAGTTGTACCTATGAAATCATAGAATTTTAGATGTGGAAATAATTTGAAAGTCAACTAGGAAGAGAGTAACATCACACAATGGTAAACTAGAAAGCTCCAGGCCCTCATTTCCCCAGGGAAACATTAGACAACAGGAGGTTGGATAAAATAACCTTATAGAAGCTCTGAAAATCAGTTAAAGATCTAGAACAACCAAATAAACCCTCGATTTAGAAAAAAGTCACATTCAAAATGGTAGGAAATATTGTGGCTTTTTAACTCATCCTTGTCCTACCATCTCTTCAGCACGATGAGATGTAGATTATAAGAAGTGATGGTCCTATCCCTAGTTGTCTGCAAACCAGAGAGAGCAGAGCACACTGAGTTTGCAAGTTTCTAAACTGTCTGTAGGCTGCCACATGTTTTGGTATCTCTATCACTTAACTCAAAGTTCATATGGCCACAATTAAGTCCAATCTCAGGCTAAGGAAGCCCTGCGAAGCAGCAGGCATGGCTTGTTAAAACTACATGGGAACTATAGAGTTGCATATGCCTGAAGCAAGAGATTATTGAGGAAGAAATAGAACAAAACAGCTAATAAACCTGACAAAAAGCAAGGGTAAGATTCTTCAGAAAAGTAATATATTTAAAACCAACTATACAAACGGGGGAATTGGAAAATATACACACAGACTCCCAGAGAAAATTCATGCTCATGAAGGCCTATGAACACCTTAAGCCTTAAGATTGGATTGATTAGTGAAGGCTTTCACCTACTCTGGGTCAATCTACAAAGATTGGAATAGGTGACTGTTTTTTCAAATGTACAGTTTTCAATAGAGGATGACAAAGCATACAAAGAAACAGGAAAACATGTCCATTCAAAGGCACAAAATAATTTCAAAAACCCAAGCCTGAAGACAAAAGTTTTACACTTAGACAATACTTTAAAACAACTGTGTTAAATACGCTCAAAGAGCTAAGAAAATCATGGACAAACAAAAGAAATAAGGAAAACAATATATGAACAAATTGAGAATATCAACAGAGATGTGAAGTATAAAAAAGAACAAAATAACAATTTGGGAATTGAAAAACGCAAACAACAAAACAAAAAATTGACTAAAGGATTCAATATTATACTCAAACAGACAGGAAGAAAAGCAAATATGAAGACAGATCACTTGAAATTATTGAGTTTGAGGAGCAAAAATTATAAATAGATAAATAAAATGTGAACACAGCCAAAGGGGCATGTGGAACATCATCAAGAAGATCATTATAATTATTATGAAAGTTCCAGAAAGAAAAGAGATAAATGGAAAGTGAAGTTATTTAAAGAAACAATGGGCAAAAATTATAATTAGAAGAAAAACATGGATATGCAAATCCAAGAAGCTCAAGTGAATAAATAATAGCAAAATTATTCACAGTAGTCAAAAAGTGAAAGCAACCAGTGCTGGTGGACAGATGAATAGATTTAAAAAGGCAATAAACTGGTCCCATTCCTACGAAAATATTCAAAAAAATTGAGAAGGGATTCATCCCTAACTCATTCTGTGAGGCCACCATCATCCTGATACCAAAACGTGACAGAGACACAAGAAAAGAAATCTTCAGACCAATATCCTGATGAACATCCATGCAAAAATCCTCAAAAAAATACTGGAAAAGAAAATCCAGCAGCACATCAAAAAGCTTATCCACCACAATCAAGTAGGCTCTATCCCCAAGGTGCAAGGTTCATTCAACATATGCAAACTAATAAATGTGATTCATCACATAAATACAACCAAAGACAAAAACCAAATGATTATCTCAATAGAAGCAAAAAAACCTTTTAATAAAATTTAACAATGCTTCATGTTAAAAACCCTCAGTAAATGAGATATTAAAGGAACATGTCTCAAAATAATAAAAGCAATCTATGACAAACCCACAGCCAACATCATAATAAATGGGCAAAAGCTGAAAGCATTCCTTTTGAAAATTGGCACAAGACAAGGACGCCCTCTCTCACCACTCTTATTCAACATAGTATTGGAAGTGCTGGCCAGAGAAATCAGGCAAAAGAAAGAAATAAAAGGCATCTAAATAAGAATGGCAAACTATCCCTGTTTGCGAATGACAGGATTCTATATCTACAAAGCCCTATAGTCTCGGTTCAAATGTTCCTTAAGCTGATAAACAGCTTCAGCAAAGTCCTGGGATACAAAATCAATGTACAAAAATCCTAGCATTCCTATAAACCAACATCAGCCAAGCTGAAAGCCAAATCAGGAATACAATCCCATTCACAACTGCCACAAAAAGAATAAGATACTTAAAAATACAGCTAACCAGATTGGTGAACAATCTCTACAATGATAACTACAAAACACAACTCAAAGATCTGAGAGATGACACAAACAAATGAAAAAACATTCCATGTTCATGGATAGGAAGAATTAACATTGCAGAATTGGCCATACTACCCAAAGCAATTTATAAAATCAGTGTTATTCCTATCAAAATATCAATGACATTCTTCACATAACTAAAAAAATCTACTTCAAAATTCATATGGAACCAGAAAAGAGCCTGACTAGCCAAGGCAATCCTAAGCAAAAATAACAAACCTACAGGCATCACGCTACCTGACTTCAAACTATGCTGCAGGGCTACAGTAACCAAAACAGCATGGTACTGGTACAAAAACAGACACATAGACCAATGGAACAGACAAGAGAACACAGAAATAATGCTACACACCTACAACCATCTGATCTTTGACAAAGTTGACAAAAACAGAGAGTGGGGAAAGGACTCCCCATTCAGTAAATGGTGCTGGGAAAACTGGCTAGCCATATGTAAAAGAATGAAACTGGACCCCTTCCTTATACCATATCCAAAAATCAACACATGATGGATCAAACACTTCAATGTAAAACCCAAAACTATAAAAACCCTAAAAGACAACCTAGGCAATACCAGCTGGGACACAGAAACAGGCAAATATTTCATGACGAAGATGCCAAAATTAATTGCAAACAAAAGCAAAAATTAACAAGTGGGATCTAATTACACTGAAGAGCTTCTGCACAGCAAAAAAAAAAACAAAACCTGTCAACAGAATAAACAGACAATCTACAGAATGAGAGAAAATATTTGCAAACTATGCATCTGACAAAGGTTTAATGTGCAGCATCTACAATCTTGTAGATTTAAACAAACCTACAAGAAAAAAAGCATTAACAAGTGGGCAGAGGACATGAACACTTTTCCAAAGAAGACATAACATGCAGTCAACAATCATATGACAAAAAAGCTCAACATCATTGATTATTAGAGAAATTCAAACCACAACCATAATGAGATACCATTTCACACCAGCCAGAGGGCTATGATTAAAAAGTAAAAAAATAACATGCTGGTGAGGTTGTTGAGAAAAAGGAACACTTATACACTGTTGCTGGTATTGTAAATTAGTTCAACCATTGTGAAGGACAGTGTGGTGATTCCTTGAAGACCTAAAGACAGAAATGTCATTTGACTCAGCACTACCCCTACTAAGTATGTACCCAAAAGAGTATATATCATGCTATATGAAGACACATGCCTGTATTTATTCATTGCAGCACTATTCATGTTAGCAAAGACATGGAATCAATCTAAATGCCCATCAATGATAGACTGGATAAAGTAAATGTGGTACATATACACCATGAAATACTATGCAGCCATAAAAAGAATGAAATCATATTCTTTGCAGGAACATGGATGGAGCTGGAAGCCATTATCCCTAGCAAACTAATGAAGGATCAGAAAACCAAATGCTGCATGTTCTCATTTATAAGTGGGAGCTAAATAATGAGAACACATGGACACAAGGAGGGGAAAAACAGGCACGGGGGTCTCCTGGAGGTTGGAGGGTGGAAGGAGGGTGAAGATCATAAAAAATAGCTAATGACTATAAGGCTTAATATCTGGGTGATGAAATATCTGTACAACAAACCTCCAGGACACATGTTTACCTGTGTAACACACCTGCATGTAGCCCCAAACTTAAAAGTAAAACATACAAACACACAAAAACAAAAGGCAATACATACCTACAATGGAATATTATTCAGTCTTATAAAAGAAAGAACTCCTGATACATCAGCAGCAGTCTGCTGCAGGAGTGAGGGGAGCCAAAAACAGCCCTATCTACCCTTTCCTGGAGCCCCAAGTCCCTCCAGGTTTGATCCCTGGAAAGTTCTTCCATAATATGGAAACTTTGAAGACATTATGCTAAGTGAAATAAACCAGTCACAAAAAGATAAGTACTGTCTAATCCCACTTATATGAGGTACCTAGAGTAGTTAGATTCTTAGAGACAAAAGTAGAATAGTGGGTTCTGGAGGTTGGAGTAAAAGGTGGGTGTATGGTAAGTTATTGTTTAATGGGTACAGAATTTCAGTTATGGAAGATGAAATAAGCTCTGGAGGTGGATGATGATAATGGTAGCACAACAATGTGAATATACTCAATGCTACTAAACGCTGCATTTAATAATTGTAAAAATCTAAAAATTGATGTTATACATATTTCACCACAATAAAAAAGTAAACAAAAAAGTAAATATATAAGTCATATAGGCCAGCCTGGCAACCCCAAGGAGAATTTTAAAAGTCATTTCTGACAGATGATTTTTCAGCCTTGCTTGAATACTTTCCACTTACAACAATTGCATGCAAGATGATATGATTTGGTTCGTGTCCTCACTCAAATCTCACTTCAAATTGTAACCCCCACATGTCAAGGGAGAGACCTGCAATCTTCACGTTAGGGAGAGAGGTGATTGGATCATGGTGGCCATTTCCCCCATGCTGTTCTCGTAATAGGGAGTGAGTTCTCACAAAATTTGATTGTCTTGTAGTATTTGACAGTTCCTCCTTCACATGCTCTCTCTCTCCTGCTGCCTTGTGAAGAAGGTATTTCCTCTTTGCCTTCCAGTGTGATTGTAAGATTCCTAGGCCTCTCTCTCCAGCCATGTGGAACTATGAGTCAATTAATCCTATTTTCTATGTAAATTACCCACTTGGGTAGTATCTTTATACCAGTGTAAAGCAGACTAATATACAAGATCTACCCAGTAAAGTTTTACTGAAATATTTTTTTTCTTTCAGCTTCTTATGCTCTTAATACTGCTTTATACTACAATTTTATTCATACTTGTGATAATGTCTTTCTTTTATCATTTATACCTATTATTTTAGTGCCACTGTGTTTTCTATAGAGTAGTAATTATCACCTGAATGTGAGTTTGTTTGGATGTCTGTGGTGAGGGATTGTTTAGGAAGTCCTTTAAATCTGCATCAAAAATATTAAGGCTCTTCAAGATGGTTGATTAGAGATGTTGGATGTCAGTTCTCCTCAGAAAGAAGAACCAAAGTTATAGATGAATAATCATAACTCAAATATAAGTTTAGGTGGTGAGTGCCAGAGCTTATCAAAGAACTCACAGGAAGAAGCTAAGACGCTGTAAAAGGAAGGAAGCAAAAGTTTGGCAGAGATCAAACCTGCAGGGACTTGGGGTTCCAGGAAAGGGTAGATAGGGCTGTTTTTGGCTCCCCTCACTCCTACAGCAGACTACCGATTTCTGAACTGTTGGAGAGACCTCCTTTCCTATCATGAACCCGAGCATTGGTGTGGGCGGCAATTTGGGAAATTTGTGAGGTCATTGCACTGTGCTGCCTGCTCTTGCAGGGTTGCTCAATGTCCTTTGAGACCTGAGGTGCAGTAGTAAGTGCCATACTCAGTGTGCACTTGTTGTGGGAGTCTGGCCTGCACAGAGAATTTCAACCCTTATGTCTCCACATCACTAAATTCTCTACAGATATTCCTAAGCATCTACTTGGATTGCTGCAGCCATATAGGCCTGTCTAGACCAAAGAAGCTGCAGGATTCCCAGCCAGTTTGGTGCACAGGGTATGCTGCTCCTTGGGAAAGGGAGAGTGCAGTTCACCCAGGGAGTATGCCTTGGAACAAGGATAATCAGAGTGCATGTTCTCCTGGGCCCAGTAGTTCCCTGCTTGTGGGCTGTAGGTGACTGTGCACCATCCATCAGAGACACAGGTGCTATGCTGAGTGCTCCATGGGGAAGCAGAGTGGTTATTCCTCAGCATCCAAGCAGCCTCTGTGCTTGGGCACAGCAGTGGAGAGGGAGAACTCTCCTTCAAACTGCTGACCGCTATGGAAACAGCCATGGCTGCTTCCCTGGAAGCATGGCATGGGTGTGTCTATGGATGTCCATCATGGAGCTACTTTGGGTGTTCATGCACCCACTAGTGGTGTACTCTTGCACAAAAGGTGGAGCCCCTTCTCTTCTCTACATAGAGAGGCAGTGTTCCTGCAGCAGAGAAAAGGCTATCCATGAAGTTGTATGTTTTGGGCTAAAGAAAGTGGTTCTACATCAAAGTCATTTTGGTGGGCAGCCATGGACAGATGTTTTCCACAGCTCTCAGCTATGTTGTGGTCTGGAGAGTGATGGTTAAGTCTGTTCAAACCAAGAGACACAAACCCCAGGAAAAGGGAGGGATGAGAAAGACAATCACATTCCTGCTTGCCCAGGATATGGAGCCAGTGCCACCCTTTCTCCAACCTTGGAAATCCTTGGTGCTTTTCACCAAGAGCTACCTTGCCACCCAAGGTCAGGGCTGGTGCTTCTGCTGGGCATTGGGGTATCTAAGGGCAACAATGGCAGTCCAGCTCTGTCCAACTTGTCCCCACCTTAAGGAATGAGCAGTGAACTCAGGGCGCTAGGCATTCCACAGACCAGCCCATCAGGTGAGGCAACAGAGAACTCCTTCTGACAATCAAAGGTCAAGCAAATACCCATCTATTTCTGCCAGAAGGCTCTTACCTGCAAGTGTCACCTACTAGCCTGGAGGTCAAACAGCACAATCCAATACAAAATCTGCTGACTTAAATATACAGCACCTAGGACTTCTGACTCCACATCTCTGCAAGAGGCTTAGAACACACTCAAATGCACAGTATACCACTACTGCAATCAATATTCAAAGAAAAAAAAACAAAAAACAAAAAAACAACAAAAAAAACCCCACCACAGTAAGGCTATCTATGACCAAGGAAATTAGACAGAATTTTGTCCCCCTGAAAATACCCAGAAGCAAAGGCAAATGACCCTACTCAACATACATTACAGTTATACCCAAAAAGTAGAAAAAAAAGTCACATCCAAACAAAAGTAAATTCAAAAATAAGAAGTGGCTGGGCGCGGTGGCTCACACCTGTAATCCCAGAGCTTTGGGAGGCCGAGGTAGGCTGGTAACTTGAGGTCAGAAGTTTGAGACCAGCCTGGAAAACATCGTGAAACCCCATCCCTACTAAAAATACAAACATTAGCAGAGCGTGGTGGCACATGCCTGTAGTCCCATCTACTTGGGAGACGAGGCAGGAGGATCGCTTGAACTTGGAAGGTGGAGGCTGCAGTGAGCTGAGATCGCGCTACTGCACTCCAGCCTGGGCAACAGAGCCAGACTCTGTCTCAAAAATAAATAAATAAAAAACAAGAAGTAATAGTTTGTCCAAATGAGAAGGAACCAGCATAACATTCCTGACAGTATGAAAAAACAGGATGTAATGACATCCCCAAAGGATTAAACTAGCTCTCTAGCAATGGATTATAATCAAAATGAAAATTCTGAAGTGTTATAGAATTGAAAATATGAATTGTAAGGAAGCTCAATGAGATCCAAAGGCAAGTTGAAAACCAACATAAAAAAATGGAAATCAATTCAGGACATGAATGAAAAATTTATTTAAAAAAACATGAAAATTTAATAAAAGCCCAGACAGAATTTCTGGAAAATAATTTATTGAAGGAATTATAAAATACAGGTAAAAGGTTTAGCAACAGACTAGACCAAGCAGAAGAAAGATCTTGAAGACAGGTGTTTCAATTAATCCATCCAGACAAAAATAAAGAGAAGTGTTTGAAAAATGAACCAAGCTTTCAAGAAATATGAGATTATGTAAGGTGCCGAAATCTATGATTCCAAGGTAATCCCGAGGGAGAAGAAAATAAAAGTCAAAAGTTTCAGAAATCTATTTGAGGGAATAATTGAGGAAAACTTCCCTGGTCATGCTAGAGATTTAGATATACCCATAAGAGAAGCTCAAAGAACTCTTGGGAGATACAGTGCAAGACTAACTTCACTGAGGCATACAGTCATCAGGCTAACCAAAGAGAAATGAAGGAAAAATTCCAAAAGCAGGGAGAGAGAAACATCTAATAAACGATAATAGAAATACTATCAGCGTAGGGGTAGACTTCTCAGCAGAAACCTTATACGCACAAAGATATTGGGGTTCTATTTTCAGTCTTCTTAAAGAAAATAACAGTCAGCCAAGTTTAGTTTGTATCCTGCTCAACTAAGCTTCATAAATAAAGGAGAAATAACATCTTTCTCAGACAAGCAAATGTTAAAGGAATTAATCACCAGTAAAAGACATGCTTAAAGGAGTTCTAAACATGGAAACTAAAGGGCAATACTTGCCATCATAAAACATGTGAAAGTATAAAACTCACAGTTCTTATAATGCAATAACACAATTGAAACTGCAAAGAAAGTAGGTAACAATTAACATTATGATAGGATCAAAATCTCATACATCAATATTAATTGAGAACATAAATTGATCAAATTCTCCACTTAAAAGATATAGATTGGCTGAATGGATTAAAAAATAAGACCCGATCAAATGTTGTTTTCAAGAAACCCACCTAACAAATAAAGACAGTTACAGACTCAAGGTAAAAGGATGGGTAAAGATATTCCACACAAACAAAAACCAAAAGCAAGCAGGAGTAGTTACACTTATATTGGGTAAAACAGTCTTAAAATCAACAACAACAATAAAAAAGACAAAAGAAGGTTATTACATATTGATAAAGGGTTCAATTCAACAAGAAGATATAACAATCCTAAATATAGATGCACCCAACACTGGCACACAGATTCATAAAACAAATACTACTGGACCAATGAAAACAGATAAACAGCAGTAGAATAATAGTGTGAGACTTCAACACCCCACTGACAGCACTAAAAGATCACCGAGGCAGAAAATCAAAAAAGAAACTTTGGATATAAACGAGACTCTAAACCAAATGGACCTAAAAGGCATTTACAGAAAGTACACTAAAACAGATCATATGTTAGACCACAAGACACGTCTTAATACAGTTTTAAAAATCAAAAGTACATCAAGTATTTTGTCAGACCACAATGGAATAAAAGTAGAAATAAATTTCAAGAGGAAGTCTCAAAACTATGTGAAGATATGGAAATTAAACAACCTGCTTCTGAATGACCTTTGAGTCTATGATAAAATTATGGAAGCAATTAAAAAATTTATTGAAACAAATGAAAACAAAGACACAACATACCAAAACCTCTGGAATGCAGCCAAAGCAATGTTAAGAGGGAAGCTTATAGCATTAAATGTTTATATCAAAAAGATAGAACGATCACAAACTGACAACCTAATATCACACCTCAAGGAACTAGATAAAAAAAAAAAACAAAGCTAGCAGAAGAAAATAAATGACAAAGATCAGAGCAGTACAAAATGAAATTGAGAACAAAATGCAATACAAAGGATCAATGAACTGAAATTTATGTTTTTGAAAACATAAACAAAATTGAAAGATGGCTAGCTAAAATAACCAAGAAAAAGAGAGAAGATTCTAGCAAGCACAATCAGAAAAAAAGGAGATATTACAACTGGTACCACAGAAATAGAGACCATCAGGGATTACAGTGAGGATCTTTATGCTAACAAACTAAAAAACCTAGAGGGAATTTATAAATTCCTGGAAACATACAGTCACCCAATATTGAACCAGGAAGAAATAGAAATCCTGAACAGACCAGTAATGAGTAGTGAGGTTGAATCAGTAATAAAAATTCGCCCCAAAACAACAAAAAACACAAGGACCAGACAGGTTCACAGCTACATTTTATCAGATGCAGAAAGAAAAACTGGTACAAATCCCACTGAAACTGTTCAAAAACATTGAGGAGGAGAGACTTCTCTCTAACTCATACTACAAAGCCAGTATTACCCTGATACAGAATCCAGGCAAGGAAACAACAAAAAAAGAATACTATAGGCAAATATCACTGATAAACAAAGATGCAAAAATCCTGAACAAATATTAGCAAACCAAATTCAACAGCACATCAAAAAGACAGTACATGATCAAGTGGGTTTTATTCTTGGCATGCAAGGGTTGTTCAAAACACACAGATCAATAAATGTGATTCAAGACATGAACAGAATTAAAAACAAAAACCATATTATCACCTCAGTAGATGCAGATAATGTGTTTTATACAATTTAGCATCATTTAAGATAAAAACTCTAAACAAACAAGGCATCAAAGGAACATATCTCAAAGTAATGAAAGTCATATGTGAGCCGGGTGCAGTGGCTCACGCCTGTAATTTCAGCACTTTGGAAGGCCGAGGTGGATGGATCACAAGGTCAGGAGTTCGAGACCAGCCTGACCAACATGGAAAAACCTCATCTCTGCTAAAAATACAGCAATTAGCTGGGTGTGGTGACCCGCACCTGTAATCACAGCTACTCAGCAGGCTGAGGCAGGAAAATCGCTAGAACCCAGGAGGCAGAGGTTGCAGTGAGTCGAGATCGCATTACTGCATTACAGCTTGGGCAACAGAGAGAAACTCCATCTTAAATAAATAAATAAATAAATAAAAATAAAAAATTAGAGCCATAAGTGAAAAACTCACAGTCAACATCTTACTGAATGAGGAGATGTTGGTAGCATTCCCCGTAAGAACTGTAACATGGCCAGGATGTCCACATTTACCACTGCTATTCAATGTAGTACTGGAAATCCTGGCTAGAGCGATATGGAAGACAAATGAATAAAAATCATGGAAATTGGAAAAAAAGGAAGTCCAATTATCTGTTTGCTTATGATATGATCTAATACCTAGAAAATCCTAATAACTGCTCCAAAATAATCTTAGATTTGATAAACGACATCAGTAAAGTTGGATACAAAATCAATGTACAAAAATAGTAATATTTCTATACACAAATAATTATCTAGCTGAGAATCAAATACAAATACAATTTCATTTATAATAGGTACAAAAAATAAAAGACCCAAGAATATATTTAACCAAGGAAGTGCAAAATCTCTACAAGAATAACTGCATCACACTGATGAAATAAATCCTATATGACACAAACAAATGGAAAATCATCCCATGCTCATGCACTGGAAGAATCAATGGAAATTGGAAATTTTTAAATTTGGAATTTTAATTTAAATTTTAAATTTGGAATTTTTAAATTGGAAATTGGAAATAATTAAAATGACCATACTTCCCCCCAAAATATACAAATTCATACAATCCCTATCAAAATACCAATGTCATTTTTCAAAGAAATAGAAAAAACAATCCTAAAATTCATATAAAACCAAAGAAGAGCCCAGGATAGCCAAAGCTATCCTAAGCAAAAAGAATAAATCTGAAGACATCACACTACCTGATGCCAAATTACATTACGAGGCTATCATAACCGAAACAGCATTGGTACTGGTATAAAAATAAATGCACAAATCAATGGAACAGAATATAGAACCCAGAAAAAAAGCCACATATTTATAGCTAAGTGACCTTAGACAAAGGGCATACACTGGGGTAATGACACCAATTCCAATAAATGGTCCTTGGAAATTTGGCTAGACATATGCAACAGAATGACACTGGATCCCTATTTGTCACCATGTACAAATATTATCTCAAGATGGATTAAAGACTTAAATGTCAGAAATAAAACTGTACAAATACTGGAGGAAACCCTAGGGAAAAATTTTCTGGACATTAATCTAGCAAGGGATCCATGATTAAGACTTCAAAAGCACCAGCAACAGAGACAAAGATAGACAAATGCACCAAAACCTTTAAAATACAAGTTTGCTATTTACTTTCCTTATATTAATACACATATTTGTTTTGTATTTTAAAATACACTAAAGAAGTCATAATACTGAAAGCACAAGAAAGTGGCAACCATCCATGAGTTAAAATAATTTTGAAGATCAATGCTTTAGGAAACTTTTTCTATTTCATTGAGATAACAGATTTTCTCACTAGACTTGTAGCAATTTATTTATATATTTATTCATTTACTTTGTCTTTTTTAAGCTTTTCTTTTAGGGTCAGGGTGCATATGTAGGTTTGTTATGTAAGTAAATTGTGTGTCATGAAGGTTTGGTATACAGATTATTTTGTCACCCAGGTAATAAGGACAGAACTCAATAGGTAGCTTTTTGATCCTCACCCTCCTCCCAGGTAGTTTTTTGATCCTCATTCTTCCCCCAGGCTCTACCCTCAATTAGACCTTGGTGTCTGCTGTTCCCTTCTTTGTGTTAATGTGTACTCAATGTTTTGCTCCCACTTAAAAGTGAGAACATGCAATATTTAGTTTTCTGTTTCTGCATTAATTTGCTAAGGATAATGGCTTCCAGCTCCATCCATGTTGCTGTCGAAGCCATGACCTCATTATTTTCATTGCTGTGTATTATTCCATGGTATATATGAACCACATTAACTCTATTTAATCTACCATTGATGAGTATTTAGGTTGATTCCATGTCTTTGCTATTGGGAATAATGCTGCAATAAATAAACAAATGCATGCATCTTTATGGTAGAACAATTTATATTCCTTTGAGCATATGCCCAATAATGGGATTGCTCAGTCAAATGGCAGTTCTGTTTTAAGTTCTCTGAGAAATTACCAAACCGTTTCCACAATGGCCGAACTAATCTACATTCCCACCAGCAACGTATAAGCGTTACCTTTTCTCTGTAGCCTTGCTAGCATCTGTTATTTTTTGACTTTTTAATAATAGCCATTCTGACTGCTGTGTGATGGCATCGCATTGGTTTTGATTTGGATTTCTATAATGATGAATATTGTTGAGTATTTTTATATGCTTTTTGGCTGCATCTATGTCTCTTTTGAAACATGTCTGTTCATATCCTTTGACCACTTTTTAATGAGGTTGTTTAATTTTTGTTTGTTGATTTGTTCAAATTCCTTATAGATTCTGGATATTAGACATCTGTTGGATCCATAGTTTGCAAATATTTTCTCCCATTCAGTAGGTTGTTTGTTTACTCCGTTGATAGATTCTTTTGCTGTGCAGAAGCCCTTTAGTTTAAGTTCCATTTGTCAATTTTTGTTTTTGTTGCAATTGCTTTGGGAGTCTTCGTCATGAAATCTTTGCCAGAGACTATGTACAGAATAATATTTCCAAGCTTATCTTCAAGGATTTTTACAGGTTTAGGTGTTAAATTTACATCTTTAATCCATCTTTAGTTAATTTTCATATGTGGTTTAAGAAACTGGTACAGTTTCAGTCTTCTGCCATCACTACCCAGTCATCCAAGTATTATTTATAGAATAGGGAGTCCTTTCCCCATTGCTTATGTTTGTCAATTTTTTTGAAGATATGATAGCTGTAGGTGTGCAGCTTTATTTCTGGACTCTATTCTGTTTGATTGGTCTATGTGTCTGTTTTTGCACCAGTACAATGCTGTTTGGCTTACTCTAGCCTTGCAGTATAGTTTGAAGTCGGGTAGTGTGATGCCTCTATCTTTGTTCTTTTTGCTTAGGATTGCTTTGGCTATTCAGGTTTTTTTTTTTTTTTTGATTCCTTATGAATTTTAGAATAGATTTTTTTTCTAATTATGTGAACAATGTCACTGGTAGTTTGATAGGTATAGCAATGAGTCTGTAAATTGCTTCTGCTTTAGGTAGTATGGCCATTTTAACAATATTGATTTTTTTCTATCCATAAGCATGGAAAGTTTTCTATTTGTGTTATTTCTGATTTCATTCAGCAGTGTTTTGTAATTCTCATTAGAAATTTTTCACCTCCCTGATTAGCTGTATTCCTAGGTATTTGATTCTTTTTTTGGCTATCACGAATCAGATTGCATTCCTCGTTTGGCTTTCAGCTTGGACCTTGTTGGTGTATAGAAAAGTCACTCATTTTTACACATTAATTTCCTATCTGGGAAAGTTGCTAAAGTTGTTTATCACATCTAGAAGCTTTTGGGCAGAGACTATGAGGCTTTCTAGGTATAGAACCATACCTTCTGCAAACAGGGATAGTTTGACTTCCTCTTTTTCTATTTGGATTCCTTTTATTTCTTTCTTTTGCCTGATTGCTCTGGCTAGTACTTCCAGTACTGTGGTCAATAGGAGTAGGGAGAATGAGCCTCCTTTTCTTGTTCCAGCTCTCAGGAAGAATGCTTCTAGCTTTTGCCTGTTCAGTATGATGGTGGCTGTGGGTTTGTCAGAGATGGCTCTTACTATTTTGAGGTATGTTCCTTCAATGCCTAGTTTGTTGAGGGTTTTTAGCACGAAGAAATGTTGAATTTTAGCAAAATCCCTTCCTGCATCTATTGAGATTAATATGTGTTTTTTTGTTTTTACTTCAGTTCATAGGAGGAATAACATTTATTGATTTGTGTATGTTGAACTGACCATGCATCCCAGGCATAAAGCCTACTCAATCACGGTGGATTAGCTTTCTGATGTTCTCCTACATTCAGTTTGCTAGTATTTTGTTAAGGACATTTGCTTTTATGTTCATCAAGGCTATTGGCCTGACATTTTCTTCTTGTTGCTGTTATGTCTCTGCTAGCTTTTGGTAGCAGAATGATGCTGGCCGCCTCAAAAAATGAGTAAGGGAGGAGTCCCCACTTCTCAATTTTTTGGGAATTATATTAGTAGAAATGGTACCAACCCTTCTTTATACATCTGACACTGTAAACATTTCTTTGTGAATCCATCTGACACTGAGCATTTTCTGGTTGGTAGACTTTTTATTACTAATTCAATTTTGAAACTCATTATTTGCCTATTCAGGGATTCCGTTTTTTACCAGGAGGTTGTATGTTTCAAATAATTTATCATTTTTTCTAGGTTTTCTAGCTTTTGTGCATAGAGGTGTTCTTAGTAGTCTCTATTTTTAAAAACATTCTGTGGCATTGGTGCTAACAGAATGGTCATTTCTGATTATGTTTATTTGGCTTTTCAGTCTTTTGTTTTTCTTTATTAGTCTCGCTAGTGGTCTGTCAGTCTTATTTATACCTTAAAAATACCAACTTCTTGTTTCATTGATCTTTTGAACTTTCTTTTTCATTTTCATTTCATTCAGATTAGCTCTGATTTCAGTTATTTATTCTGCTACCTTTGAGGTTCATTTGCTTTTTTGTTGTTATTACTTCTATGTGTGATGTTAGATTGTTAATTTGATAGCTTTCTAACTTTTTGATGTGGGAATTAGCACTATAAAGTTTTATCTCAATATTGCTTTAGCTGTGACCCAGACATCCTGGTATGTTTTACATTTGCTTATTATTTTTTGAATTAATAAATCAAAAAAGTCTTGATTTCTGCCTTAATTTCCTTGTTTATGGAAAAGTCATTCAGAAGTAAGTTGTTTCCTTTCCATGTAATTGTATGGTTTGAACAATTTTCTCAGCATTGATTTCTATTTGTGTGTGTGTGTGTGCTGTAGCACCAGAGTGTGGTTGGTATAATTTGGGGGGTTTTATTAGGCGTTTTTGGTTTTCTTTTTTTTTTTTTTTTTTTTTTTTGCATTTGCTGAGAATTGACTTATGGTCAATTATGTGTTTGATTTTAGAGTATGTGCCATGTTCAGATGAGAAGAATGCATATTTTGCTCCTTTTGGGTGGAGAGTTCTATAGATGTCTGTTAGTTTTATTTGCTCAAATGTTAAGTTCAGGTCCAGAATATCTTTGCTAGATTTCTGCCTCAATAATCTGTCCAGTACTGTCAGTGGAGTGTTGAAGTCTCCCACTTTTATTGTGTAGTTATCTAAATATCTTCATATGTCTCTATGAACTCATTTGATGAATCTGAGTGCTCCTGTATTAGATGCATATATATTTAGGAAGGTTTTCTTGTTGAATTGAACCATTTGCCATTATGTAATGCCATCCTTTGTAATTTTTAAAAATGATTGTTTAAAGTCTGTTTTGTCTGAAATTAGGATAGCAACACTTGCTTTCTGTTTTCTGTCTGCTTGATAGATTTTTCTTCATCCCTTTACTTTGAGCCTATGGGTATCACTGAGACTTGCAGCAATTTAGGCAACTCACATTCCTCAATCCATTTTTCAGCTTTAAGTCTTTGCCAAGGTGGAAACCCTTCTAGTTTGTATATCTTTTTCTAAACATCTGAAGTCCTCATTTTATTATTGTCATTGTTTGAACTACAAACAAGATGTTTACTTTTTCAAAGACAGATACTTTTCAAGTACATTAATAGCCTCCTTTAGCAGAAAGAACAAATGGAACCACAGCATATTATAGGTGTCTTAAGTGTGATGTCTATAATTACAAATCTCATGGTTGGTAACAATATAGCAGATACAATCTTTTAGAAGTAAGAAATAACTAGCTGGCCGGGTGCTGTGGCTCACGCCTGTAATCCCAACACTTTGGGAGGCCGAGGCGGGCGGATCACGAGGTCAGGAGATAAAGACCATGGTGAAACCCCGTCTCTACTGAAAATACAAAAAAAAAAAAAAAAAAAAAAAAAAATTAGCCAGGCGCGGTGGCGGGTGCCTGTAGTCCCAGCTACTCGGGAGGCTGAGGCAGGAGAATGGCATGAACCCGGGAGACGGAGCTTGCAATGAGCCGAGATTGTGCCACTGCACTCCAGCCTGGGTGACGGAGAGACTCCGTCTCAAAAAAAAAAAAAAAAAGAGAAAAGAAAAGTAAGAGATAACTATATTAGTGTTTCTGAAAGACAATCCTAGGGGCGACCTGCAACCTAATCAGCTGGTGTGATTATTAAAATGTTGACTCGCAGGCCCCACATCAAACCTATTAAATAAGAACTTCTAGGAGTGGTAGTTGAGAAACTGCTTTTAAATGTAGTGACTCTTATTTCCACTAACTGTAAGAACAGTGATATAAATGTTAATACCCTACTGTTTGGAATAAATTAGATGTATGTTTGAATCCCATTTCTATCACTTAATGATTTTACTTTTGTTGGCCTCCACCCTACTCATGTCTTGTCAATTCCCAACTCCCACCTCTCTTACACATTTGCTCTATTCCCAACTTCATCTCTTATATTAACCTCTCATAGTTCAAAGCTGAGAATTTTTCAGTTAGAATTGCCTATTCACTATCTATGTGTATTCTTTCTAAGTCACCTCACCGAATGATGTCTCCTTTCTCACTGCACAAAGGCAATTGGTCTAAAGGGTCGTCATTTTGTTTCCTTCATACACTCTAATAAAATGGCTGCTAATTTTTTCCCCTATACATGACAACTATGTGGTTAGATTTTACTGGTTAAGTGAATCAGAGGAATAATTATTGTTGCTACTTGTTGATTCTGATTCCAACTCTTGTTACAACCTCAAATTCATTGCACAATCTCAGGTACAAAATTTCAGAATAAAATGCTCCAGATATATCCAACTTTTCCCATCCCAACATGCAACTCTCCTCTGTGTACTCATGGACACCTCACTCCCACCGTCTCACCTTTTCTTCCTCATTCTATACCATCACAAAACTACAGATTCCAGCTTTGTGCCTGGGGAACGGGATTCACGAGCAGCTTCATAGAGAAAGCTGCATTTAAGCTGATATTAAAGACTCGGCCACAATATGAGTTGTGTGGTGAGAAGTAGTGTTAGGTGTTTTATGAATATCATTTTAGTGTTTCTCAAAATGTGGATTTTAAACATGCAGATTTTCTAGCTCAATCCTAGCCTTAAAAAAATAGAATCCCTGAGAGGGGGGTTCAAGAACTTGTATCATAAGACATCCTCAGGTGATTCAGCTATACTGCAGGAGTCTATATTATAGACTGCATAAAGTTAGCCTTACAAAAATCAAAGTCATAACATTTTGCATGCTTCCAGACATATGACTCATAATTTCAGCTGTGGTGAAAACATACCTACTTGCTCCCATTATTTATAAGAAAGCATTGCATTCTCTAATATGTACTGTTTTCTTTTTTAGATGTTCTTGAGAAAGACAACTTGGTGTGCAGTTGGGAAATAAAGGAGTTTGGAAGACAACCACAAATGGAGAAGAAAATGTATATTCTTTCAATGTAGCATATCAGAATGGTGAAAATATTTGAAAGGCTAGTTTTGGATAGAGAAGTTGTTGTAACTTAATGCTCAGGCTTTGGTGTAGGTATGAACTTCTATGTTGCATTTTCCAAATTTGTTTTTGAAGGACCTCTAACAAATGGCATTACATAGAAATGCACTGTATTTACATAGAATTTGAAAAAAATGAAAATTAATTGCCCTTTCGGCTAATTTGTAGTGGACTCATAAAAATGCTTTTTTATTCTGTAAAGCCTGTCAATATTCAAATTCCTCCAGCATACCATCTGTTCAGTCTTTGGTGCATCTGCAAGTTCTATCTCAGTGACAGAGAGATTGGAGAGCTGTGCAGCTTTAGAATATTTTATGCACATTGAGACATCGAAGTATTTTAAAAGTATATTACTACTGAAAAGTCTCATGATGTTTGTTCCCTAAAATGTAGGCATTTTAGTCAATGAAATAAAGTAATATTCATATAGCTGCCACAGGTTCTGTTAATGTTATTTGTCTTAATTAAGAAATTATAGCTGTTAGTTTTCTTCATTGGACATTCTAGCTGAAATTATTGATATACCTTACAGACAACATCCTGATTTTTATCGAAGTTTGTAATTTATTAATTACAAAAGTCCAAATATAGTTTGATTGCATGTTTCTATTTGAGGCTGTTTTTATAACTTTTAGGTGCTCATAGAATTCATTTTATAGGAAGATGTTATGGTTCCAATTTTACATGTTAAAGTTAGTATTTATATGTATTTTGTCCCTTCGACAAAGGAAAGTACATTTGTTCCAGGAGTTAAAAAATTTTCTCCACTAAAGGTCTCAAGTTAATCAAAGTATAGATTCTTAAGAAAATCCATTGTCACAAGATATCTTATTGAATTAAGAATTGCAAGTTGTTAAATTCCCATGACATTGTTTCCAGAGTTGACAACTAAAAAATAATTTAATGATTAAGTCATTAAAATGTATTTTATTGCTAAATGTTCATTATTTCAGAATTGGCCTGTTATCTATTTATTTCCTGATGGTTGATACTATTTTATTTTTATTTTTAATTTTTGTGGGTACATAGTAGGTGTATATGTTGATGGGGTCCATGTACATGAAATGTCTGATCCTTGATAGTAAAGCAAGGATAACATCAACATTGTGTTACAGATTGTTTTTTCTCCTTGATGTTACCAAAAAAGCATGCAAAAATAATGTTCTGATATTTAAAAGATGATTTGAGATACTGTGTTTAATACAATATAAAGTGGATAAACTTAGAAATGTTACTGTGGCTGCTATTAATTGTTGACCTAATTTACCAGCTAGTGAAATGAGTTAGAATCCAAACTTCTTGAATTAACGTGAATGAATAGAACCTGTCTGTTTCAGAGGACATCTTCTCACAGGGAGGTAAACAGATTCTTAAGGGAAAATGTTTCATAGATGCTATTAAATACACAAGGCTGAATTTGTTGCTTATTGACATTTTCTTAAACTAAATAGTTTTTATTTATTCTTGAAGGTGGAACCAGCTACCCTTTGATGAAACATCAATGACAAGATTATTTTTGATGAAATGCCGAGCACTCGGTCAAAAAATTGAGTGTAAATTAGTATAACCATTGTGGAAAGTGGTGTGGCAATTCCTCAAAGAGCTAAAAAACAGAACTTCCATTCAACCCAGCAATCTGATTACTGAGTATATACCCAAAGAAATATAAATCACTCTATCATAAAGAGATATGCACGCATATGTTCATGGAAGCACTACTCACAATAGCAAAAACATGGAATCAACCTAAATGCCCATCACTGGTGGACTAGATAAATCCCGATCTATCGTACACCACGGAATGCTATGAAACCATAAAAAGAATAACATCATGTTTTTTGTAAGAACATGGATGGAGCTGGAAACCATTATCCTTAGCAAACTAATGCAGGAACAGAAAACCAAATAATGCATCTTCTCTGAAGTGGTAGCTAAATGATGAGAACAACATGGACACACGGAGGGGAACAACAGACACTGGGCCCTACATGAGGGTGGAGGGTGGAGGGTGGGAGGAGGAAAAGATTAACAAATTAGTACTAGGCTTAATACCTGGGTGACAAAATAATCTGTACAATAAACCCCCGTGACACGAGTTTACTGATACAATAAAGCTGCACAGGTACTCTTGAACTAAAAAGTTAAGAAAATTCTTTAAAAATAATTGTTCATAAGTGTAAAATAGGTCTAAGGGCAAAGGAGGGAGAGAAAGTAGGGGCTGTTGTGCAACTAGACAAAAAAGCAGTTTCTCTACACAGTTTTTCTTGTGGACAATAAAGCAGAAAATGTCACTTATAGCCACCTAATGAGGGTATGATGGACTCTAGCCTTCCTAATGTGCACATTTAGACATCATGGCATTAGTAAGAATTAGTAGAGAGCATCCCTGGTAACTGAATGCTGATTTTCAAAGTGTCCTTGGCTTCCAAATAGCTAAAAAGGCATTGGTGAGCAGATGTCCACTGTGTGATGAAAAGTCTAATTGTATTTGCCTTGTCTAAGAGAGAGACAGCCAGGACAGTCAGGCAGGTCAAAGAATGTGGGCAGGACTTACGTATTGCATCTGAAGAGAAAACTTGGAAAACTCAGTTGGATAGCTAATGAGACAACTTACAGGCCCCAGGCTGGGTCTGTGTCTGCAAAATAATTAAGGAAAGGTGAGAATTGAAGGCTTAACTCAGAAAATGCAGGCCCACAAACCTTCTGAACACTATCATAAAACACAGGAGCATTGAAACCAGACAGAACTGTGCTTTTGGATTCTGGCTATAGCATCTAAAAACTATGAAATTGGAGAAACTAATTCACCTCTTTAAGACTTAGTCCTCTCAGCCATAAAATGATGATGATAATCATACCATAGGTTGCTGTGAGGATTATGTAAAATAATGTATATAAAAATAGCACTTAGTATATTGTTTGGTTCATAGTAAGAGCTCAATAAATATCAACAGTTTTTAGCAGTTATCTAAACAATGAAGGCAAATGTGTTTGAGAAGCTCTCTTACATTTGATTTCTTGAGGCAGAGCCTGAGAAATCAGCTATGGTGGGCTGTGTTTACATCATGGAAACCAGCAAATGCTATAATCACCCTTTCTCACACTGTCCCTCCAGCTAATTGTTAATCATTTACCAACACATTATTCAATGTAACTAAATAAGGGAAAGATATTTTGAAGCTTGATGCCCACACACAATTTTGAACGCAGGGTAAAGGCGGAATTGAGACAGGTCCCAGATGTCTAGAAACAGCTAAAGGACACAACGGCTTTCTTAGTATATACAAATATTACCCTAAGTACCTAATTTTAAAAGTATCACACTCAATCATTTTTGTTTTTATTACTCACCCTTTCACCATCCTCTGTTGATAATAATCTGGTTCTAGCAATGGATTGGACTGCTGCAATAAAATGAATTTTATCAATACACCACGAAGATTCAGCTGGACAAGAGCACAAAACCGACTCAGTTAACAATCCAACGTCACTCAGAAGGACAATGGAATAATGTACACCACAGCTGACTTCCCCAAAAGGATGCTATATACTGACCCAAAAAGACAGTTCAAAGTTTGTGGCACTACTTCCCAAACCAAGTAATTAAATTCACTAGAAATATTTTGAAGCCATATTTAGGATCCTTGCACATTATTCTAATTCACTTTCTTGTAGACAACTTTATACAAACAGTTATAAACTGGGTCGGACTGGGAATGTCATAAAAATAAGCCTCAAGGATTCCTTTTAGTGCTTAAACAATATAATTTAAAGTAAAGGTGTTTATTTTTTTCTTTCAAAATCCCCAACCATCACCTCACTGTTTGGGGAAAATAAAAACAAAACAAAAGAAAAAAAATCACTGAACCTTATTTTCTAGATTTACTAAGTCTCCTCTGGGAGTAAAGAAGCATTGAGAATAAAAGCTTTAATTATACCCCTGAAGGTGCTTCCCCACCCCAACTACATGTCAGGCATTGAAAGAACAGGAAGCTGCTCAGCTTCATCAAACAGCAGGTGGTATTGATGGATTACACTGCCAGGTATCCTAAATCTGATATATAAAAAAAACACAAGCAGCAGATTTTTGAAGTTTCCCTGAAACTCTTGGAGCAATACATTCTGAATCTACAAGCAGTCTGACATTTGGATGGACCTTTACATTTATCCATGACATTGGATAAAATGGCATTATTAATACAAATTAGGATAAATAATACTGAATACAAAAGTAAGTATGTTTGGGTTTATTTTAATAACTTATTGGTTGGCTATATTTTTAATTATACAAACAATATATGTCCATGTTTTAGAAAAAATAACATTATAATATTCTTCAATTATTCTTATGGCCAGCCATTACCAATTCTTTAGGATTCAGTTTCCCTGTGACCTCCACTGAGAGACTTTCCTTTTCTAAAGCACCCCTTCCTGTTTCTACTACTCACCATTGTGGTTCCTTCTCTTTTTTTGTTCTTTATTATTCATTACAATTTGTAATTAATTCATCTAACATATCTCATAAAACCTAAAATGACATTGTTACTAACATCATTATTTTATGAATCACTAGGAAAGGAAAGGGCTTGTAATTAAATTGTTAGAGTGCTTTATTATCGCATGAATTTTTCAATGCCAGCTTCATAATGTAAACTTCATGGGTACAGTGACTGTTTCTGTCTTTATCACTGCTGAAGTTTTAGTGCCTAGCACAGTGCCAGGCTCATTAAGTGTATATTGAATGAGTGGATCAGGTCATGTTAATCATACTGTTCTGTATTGTTCTATGTCAGTACATTGTTTGCAATATTTTTATAGTATTTATTTTTAACATTTGTATAGTACCCCATTGTATTTATTTAATCACTCCTTTTTGATAAATATTAACAGTGTTTCCAATTTTCCTGCTATTAAACAATGTTCAGTGAGTATTTGTGTACATATAATTTGAGTATTAGTGTACGTACGACTCTAAGATAAACTCTTAGAATTGGAATTGTCAGAAAGTATACCTATTTTTAATTTAGATATATCGATGAATACAGGATTTTGTTTCTGTTCTTTGAACACACAGCATAGAAGAGATGTTCTTACTGTAAGAGTTATGTTTTGAGCAGCATATTTGGAAGAACATTTTTCCACTTTTATAGTTTTTCTTCTCAGTCTCAAGAGGTAACTATTCATCTAGCTTTGTTAAAGACATGCTCCAAGATGTTCTATGTTTCACCAACATCTCTGCTTTGGAAGAGACTAGGTAACACCTACTTCCTTAAATCTATCCCATACACTATCACCAGATTAATCTATTGAAACACTGTTTTAATCACATTAATCTTTTGTTGGAAAACTTGCATTGATTTGAGATTATGCACAATTTTGAATTTTTTTCATACTTTTCTGTTTTCCAAATGTACTAGTATACACATGTATTGGTTTTATACTTTAAATATATAAATGTTATAAATAAATGAAAGAAAGCAGTTTCTGTTGCTTGAAAGCCAATAGCAAATCAATATAAATGTATTTACTTCTCTAACCAAAAAAGAAAAACTCTAAACTCTGTGTGTGTGTGTGTGTGTGTGTGTGTGTGTGTGTGTGTGCAATTCTAATGGCTTCCCACTTTGCCAAGTTTAAAATATCTCAGCCTGATATTCAAGGCTTTCCATGTTCTGTCCTCAACATAAATTTCCATGGTTGTCACTGATCAATCACCTTTGTGAACTCTTTATTCAAGGAAAATTAATCTGATCATGGTCTCTGCAACATGCCTTCCACTGTAGCTTTCTTTCTTCACATCATTTTCCTGACCACTTAAAATCTTTATTCTTCTTCTTCACTGTAAATCCTAAAAATCTCTATAGGTGAAAATCAAATTCTATCACTTTGGAAAATATCTGTCTTTCATTAGTTTACTGTGAAAGCTTTTTTTTCATCAGGTGAGATAACACTAAGTTGACAACTATTTTATATAGAAAAATTATTTGTTAGTTTTTCATATCTGTAAATGTTGTCCAAATAATTATAAAAACCTAGAGCTGCATTGTTTAATAGTCACATGTGATTGTTTAGACTTTAAGTTTATCTGAATTTAAATTAATGAGTTATTAGCTTATCACTAACTTAGTCAAGCAGAGGCTTTAGCAGCCACACATGATCCAAACTACAGACTTCACAGAATTAGTTCAGAAATACCACTAAGCAAACAAACAACAACAGACCCTGGTGGGGGGTGGAGGGAACATGATTTCCAGAGTTACATTATATTACTTAAAATTTTCAATTTTAACTAAAAATATATAAAGCATTCATAAAAAAAGTATTGCTCATATACAGTAAATAAAATAGTCAATAAAAACTGTCCCCTAGGGAACCCAGACATTGGACTTACTAGACAGAGACTTTAAATCAGTTATTTTAAATATAGTCAAAATATGTTAATTAGAGGAAGTAATGTCTAAAAAACTAAATGAAAGTGTAAAAGCAATGTCTCTCTGCATAGAAAATACTAACAAAGAGAAAGAAATTATTTTTAAAGGAAGAACCAGGTAGAAATTCTGGCGTTGAAAAGTATAATAACTGAATTAAAAATTTGACTAGAAATAGTCAACAGCATCTTCGAGCAAACAAAAGAATCAGTGAACTTGAAAATAAGTAGAGGTTATGCAATACAAAAATTAGAAAAAATAATGAGGAAAAATAAATAGCACCTCAGAGACCTGCAGAACAACACGAACATACTAAGATACACATAGTAGGATTTCCAGAAGTAGAAAAGGAAAAGAAGAAAGCAGAAAGAATATTTCAAAAAATTATGGCTGAAAATGTCTTAAATTTCATGAAAATATTAATGTATACATCAGCTCAGTAAACTCCAAATAGCTCAAATAAAATATAATTTAAAATAAGTCCTCAGTTGTGCTAATTACATTTCAAGTGTTCAGTAGCCACATGTGGCTAGTGGCTACCATGTTGAATATTGCAGATATAGAAAATTTTCATAATTGCTGGAAGTTCTATTTGACAGCACTGACCTACCCTATAAGACTTGTACATTGACATTTGTTGTTCTCTAGTTCCCAGTTTCTGAATATCTCCAACCCACTTATCTATAGCCACTCATACACAAAAACACACATACACACACATCTATAAGCTCAGCCTTGTTTCTAGAACAAATTATACTCTATTATATCAGCAAGAATTTTAGGAGCTCTAATTTGTGCCACAAGACACAGTATTAAGTTACTCTTTCTCATAATCCCATCCTTGCCTTGTGCTCTATTTTTGGGTACTAAGTTTCTAACTTGCTTTTAGAACAAAGTGGCCATCTTGAGTCCTTGTTATTGTTGATTCCTATTTACATTTGTTTCATGTGCCAAAGTACAGTTCCCTGTCTTATTAGAGTTTAGGATCATAGTTCTTCTATGACTGAACTCTGCTTTGCCATTGCCAATTTCCTACACATGGACACTAACAACCTTCAAAACTAAAGTTCAAAGCTGGAGCTGCTACTTTTTGTTCACATCTTTATTAAACAGTAATAATAGGAGAGTGTTCTCAATAAATTCCAGACACAGCCTAGCTGCCTTAATTCTCAGTATATCTCCAAATTATTAATTATATTACTTTTATTTTAGAGATATGGAACTTGAAGCTCAGAGAGATTATGTAATGTGTCTAAAGTCATCCAGTGAATAACTGACAGATTTGGAGGTTTAATCATATTCATGTGACTCCATAATCTATGTCTCTTCTACCATTCTGTATTCTCAACATCAGAGATTAGCTCTTTATAGTATATCCTAAGCTAGTGACTGGTGACATGTAACCAGAAACGATCTTTTACATAGTTATGTAGCAGACATCCCTTATTCCAATGATCTGCCTCAATTGTTGCCTCTTCCTATTTGGAGTTGCTTATTGCTGTCTTTGGCCCACCTACTTCATTACTGCCTGATAAATCCTTGATGTTGAGGGTGGTAGTGAACTAATTGCCTGTGATCTGAATATCCTGTTTTGTTTGTTGAATTGGACTTCTTTCCAGGACCTACATTTGAGTTTGCCTCACCAGATCCTACTCTAACACAAGGAAGACATCTAGTTCCCTGACCCTAATCTCCCTCAGTCCTTTCAATATTAATGCCATTAAACAAATCAAATGTGGTCTAAATATAACAGTGCTTGGCCCAGAGCCTTGCACATTGTAGGGATAAATAGATATTTGATGTGGTAATGCAAATAGTGAATTCTTAATATGAAATGTTAAAAATGTGCATGCAATAAGTCTTAATTGTTCAGACACTTTCAGGTGTGGATGTCCCTTATGTGGTAGAAATATCATCGGAATCAAAAAAGGAAGCATTAAGAAGTAACTTAGAATCACGGAGGAGGATGACACTTGAGGCAAGCTAAACACAACCAATAATAAAAATAAAGACTATTGTTTTATTTATTGTTGTTAATAATATTAGTAATATAAATTTGAGAAGAGGATAATAAGTTACCATTTGAGTGGAGAATATATCTCAAACATTATGGTACATTCTTTACATATATTATGTAATTTAACCTCCCAATATTGAAACATAAGTTAGTAAGTCATATCTTTTTTCTAAATAAAAGTTTAAGTACCTTAACCAATTTCACAAAGTAACTCCAGAATCTCTGCAAAAAATAAATTTAGGAGTGGTAAACAAAGGAAAGAGTAAAGGGATTTGTCTTGAAGTTTTATTGGCAGAGTAACACATTGTCTTTGATTATGGGTGTAACTTTAATTGGTGGCTAATAGGAATTATGGGCAGTGGAAGGCAGAGATAAAAGCACTGCCACTGCTAAACTAGTAAACTGTGTGCTAGGATTTCAATATAGATTGTCTGAATTCAAACTCGGAACTATAGCACAACTAAAATTTCACTCAAATATACACTTCAAATAGGAATTCCAACACTCTCCCCTGGGAGGTGAGTCCTGTGATCTGATCAGGGTTTTATCCCTAAGGAACAGGTTATTTCAGGAGTAATTTCAATCTGGAGCTTCTATGTTTTAACAAAGCAGTGGCACTTTTTTGCAAAACAATTACAAGATCCTTCAGATTTATGTTTGCAGAGATTTTAGGTCATTGTATCCAGTGGTTTTTCTTGGCTGCCCAAAGGCCGTGAATGATCTTTGAAGAGGTCTTTCTTGATTCATCCATTAGTATGACTTCTTTTTTCCTGTCCCCCAAGAACAACCAGCTGACCAATAACTTCCACAATGCAGATGATTTCTGCATCTGTCAAGAGAACTCTGCAAAAGGAGACTGAGATGGCTGCTATGTTTCTTTCTTAAAAACTGACCAAATTGCCTATCAACAGTGTCACCTCTCAAGGCAACTATCAAATAAGACAAACTGAGAATTTGGAAAAGTTTCCAAAGAAGAAAAACGGATCAAGTCTTTAGCTACAGAGATCATCTCACTTTTGTCTCTCAACTTTCAGGGCCTGGTGCTGTGTGAGAAGTGAAAATTTCCTCAGTAAGCAAGTTATTGTGCAAGGTCTGCCCATTAACTGATTGCTGAACAAGTGACAACACAGAATCCCTATGGGTTTTGGAACTGTGCTGATTTCAGCCTCCCTTTGTGCTATAGCACTCAAACTATAAAAAGGTACATAATGACTCAGGTCACATATGAATTTTTATTTTCATTTTCACTGCTTATCCAAACATAGAAAAGCAAATGCTGCAGACTCATGCCTTCTGCTTATCTGCCACTGGTGGGAAGTCCTCTCAGTACCTACAGAGGTGCTAATGCTTAAGGAGGAAGCACAGAGGGTTCAGATATAGATTGATACCAATAAATGTTCTAATACATAATTTAAAATCTTTTCCTGAAATGTCCTTAGTGATTCAAAATAAAAGAAAGCTACAATGGTTCTTCAACAGCTGTTTCTGTCTGGTGAAAGCTAGATGGCCACGTTGTGCTGTAGGGGAGTGATTTCAATCAGACAAAGGAGTTTGTGCTTCCCTGTAGTTTCTCAGTGATATTCATTTTTAAAATGAATGTTTAGTCTTTCAGGCCACAAAGTGTTCAATTGAACAAATTCTAAGTCATTTATTGAAAGGTACTACAATGACCTAAAAGATATAGTCATTATCAAATAGGAATGCCTAGATACAAAGAAAGATAATGCAAACTGAATTAAAAATACAGAAGAACAGGGCTTCCAGGCAAAAGAAAATGCAGGAAACTCTCCCTTCTCCCAAGGTTGACACTACTTTAGGTCTCCTTTCTGTGTGAAAAGGATTTGCACTAGGCTGGGTAAAGCAGGGCTTTTTATACTGTAATGATGCCTTTGCTTTCCTCAGTTCCTTAAAGCTGAGTTTTATTGGTGCTTCCATTAGGCAAATATATGTCCCAGCTCCTGACTGAGACAGAGAGTGTAGCTATAATGTAAGCCACAATCATCACTGTGGCTTAGGAGTAAGCTACCATCCCAGTCTGGATTTTAGTCACAAGTTTGGGGTTCCTAAATTGTTTTCTAGTTTTACTACATATGCCATTAATTTTGTGTCTAATGATACTTATGTGCCTAGTTTGCCGCAAGATTCCAGCTCTCCTTGGCTACTGTCATCTCAGTACTGATTTAGTTCTTATGTTTTGCTTTGGCCCTTAAATTTGAAGAGCTGTGTTCTAGAGTCAGCCTTCTTCATTCATATACTAACTCTATCATTGAATTGCTATGAGACTCTGTGCAAATAACTCAATTTATTTGAACTTCAATTTTCAAAACTGTAAAATTGGAATACTAATCATGCATCATAACGTCCTTGAGAATATTAAATAAGATGAGGCATTTAATGCACTTAACAGAGTGTCTTAACATAACAAGGACATCCTAAAAGATACCCATTGTTATTACTATCATTAGTTAGTCAACTAAGTTGCTTGGTACCCTGATCCACTTAAATGTCGGGAGCTTTCTCTGAGCTGCAACCAGCACAGTAGCTAGATGGGAGGTTGCGAGGAAGAAAACAGCTAATGCTCTACCTTACTCTTGTTAGTTGAAGTCTCTCCTTATACACAGATCTTCCAGATGATGACTACCACACTCCTACATAACTCTCTTCCATCTTACTCAGTTTTGATTGACTGGATTCTCTTTACCTGACTGAACTATTTAAATCATATTTATCCCGTATCCATATGGCTATCTCCTCAGTTCTATCAACCTTGAGAGTATGGTTTCATGGTTTGAATATGAAGCCTCATGCTGAAATATTAATTCCCAGTGTGGCAATGTTGGAAGGTGTAATCTTAAAGATGTGAGGACCAATGAGAGGCATTTGGGTCATGGGGGCCTTGCCCTCCAGGATGGCTTGGTGCTGTTCTCATTGTAGTGAGTGAATGTTTGCTCTCAAGAAACTGGATCAATTATCACAGGAATGGATTTGTTCCCATAAGAGTAGGTTTTTTATAAAGCAAGGATGCTCTTTGTGTTTAGACCATTCACACATGTATGCTTCTCCTTGATGTTATGCCCCATTATTATGCAGCAGGAAAGCCCTCTTCAGAAGTTAGCACCATATCCTTGAACTTCCAAGTCTGAAGAATCATGAGCGAAATAAACCTCTGTCTCTATAAATTACCCAATCTCAGCTATTCTATTACAGCAATAAAAAATGGACTTACACAGAAAGCTAAACCCTCAGCTCTGTCAGCACTGATTGGATGCTCACATGTAGCCCTGCAACAAGATCCCAACACCTTCCTCTCACTACTTCTTTAATATTGCCTGAAGTAAGACTGAGTGATGCCAATAAATGATAAGCAAATATCCACTATTGGGGGTTCTCCTTTCATAGCAGAACTAATATAGGTGACTATCTGATATAAGAAAAAAGAAGACCTTGTTCTTTACCCATCCTCAAAAAACATATTTTCTACTTTCAGGATGATGTCAAAAATCCTATAGCTAAAATGTCCCTAATTTATGAAAATGAACACAATCCTTGGATTAGGCAAATGTCCATGCAAGAGCTAACATCAATCTACCACCTGCCACAGATTGACATCTCCTGCACTATGTCTCTCAATAATCACATTCCCTATCTGATGGGCCTTTCTGTATACTCAACCCACCACTTTCTGATAAAATCCCAACCATCAAAATTCATATTATCAATACCTACCCACTCATGAGAATCAATATTGTTAAAATGCTCACACCACACAAAGCAATCTACAGATTCAATGCAATCCCTACCAAAATACCAATTGACATTCTCCACAGAAATAGAGAAAACAATTCTAAAATTAGTACAAAATCACAAAAGACTGAGAATAGTCAATGCTATGCTAAGCAAAAAGAACAAAACTGGAGGAATCACATTACCTGACTTTGAATTATACAAAAGAGCTATAGTAACCAAAACAGCATGGTACTGGTATAAAAACAGACACATCAGATACATATACTAATAGAATAGAAATCTACACACCTACAGTGAATTAATTTTCAACAAAGGTGCCGAGAACATACACTGGGGAAAAGACCATCTCTTTAATAAGTGGTGCTGAGAAAAGTGGATGTCCATATGCAGAAGGATGAAACTAGGACACTTATCTCTCATCATATACAGAAATAAAATCAGAAAGCATTAAAGACTTAAATTTAGTAACTCAAACTATGAAACTACTACTACAACAAAAACATTGAATAAAATCTCCAGGATATTGGTTTTGGCAAAGATTTCTTGAGTAACACCCCACAAGCACAGGCAACCAAAGTAAAAATGGGCAAGTGAGATCACATCAAATTAAAAAGCTTCTGCATAGCAAAGGATCCAATCAGCAAAGTAAAGAGAAAATACACAGAATGGGAGAAAATATTTGTAAACTGCTTTTCTGGTAAGTAATTAATAATCAGAATATGTAAGGTGCACAAACAACACCATAGGAAAATATCTAATAATCCAACCCCAAAATGGGCAAAATATTTGAATACACATTTCTCAAAAGAAGACATACAAATGGCAGACAGGTATATGAAAAGGTGCTCAACATCACTGATCATCAGAGAAATGCAAATCACAATTAAAATGAGATATAATCTCACCCCAGTCAAAAAGGCTCGTATTCAAAAAACAGGCAATAACAAATGCTGACAAGGATGTTGAGAAAAGGGAACTCTTATACACTGTTGATGGGAATGTACAACCCACTAACAGTGTATAATTAATATAACCACTATGTAGGACAGCTGGAAGTTCTTCAAAATACTAAAAATAGAGTTACCATAGGATCCAGCAACCCTACTTCTAGGTATATACTTCAAAGAAAGAAATCAGTATATGGAATATATATCTCCACTCTCATGTGTAATGCTTGAGCACTGTAATGCTTGAGAGGATTGATATCCCATTTTCCATGATGTGATTATTATACATTGCATGCCTATCTCAAAACATCTCATGTACCCCACAAATATATATACCTACTATGTACCCACAAAAAATAAAAATAAAAAACTATTAAAGAATTTACTCACTCCTAAACTAGTCCCACAGAGCATAAGAAAGAGATAATAGTCATTTTCCAACAGTGCATATTCCAAATCACCTTGCTATCATTTTGTATATTAGTAAATTATAAAAGTAATCTGTTAGTTTATTGGTGTTTTTTTTTTTTTTTTTTTTTTTTTGAGACGGAGTCTTGCTCTGTCGCCCAGGCTGGAGTGCAGTGGCGGGATCTCGGCTCACTGCAAGCTCCGCCTCCCGGGTTCACGCCATTCTCCTGCCTCAGCCTCCCAAGTAGCTGGGACTATAGGCGCCCGCCACTATGCCTGGCTAATTTTTTGTATTTTTAGTAGAGACGGGGTTTCACCGTTTTAGCCGGGATGGTCTCGATCTCCTGACCTCGTGATCCGCCCGCCTCGGCCTCCCAAAGTGCTGGGATTACAGGCGTGAGCCACCGCGCCCAGCCTGGTGTTTTTAACTAGAAGGAAGTTGGTAAACTAAGAGTACATGAAAGTTTAAGTAGGCTGATGCCTCCAACAGTAACTCACAGTAGAATCAGGAAGTAGACATACACAATTCTATGTAGATGTGTATGCTTGCATGTGTGTGTATACTCATACTGAAAGTGATGGGTTAATAGAGATAGTATGTACAGCACAGAGAGATGAGGCAGGAAGAGCAAGGTGAGGTGAGGTAGAACTAACAATGAGAAATTTTAAAATTATAGTTACTAAAAACAAAGTCACTGAAATGTGGTGTCTCCTATGAGAGGAAAATGGTAATGTTACAGACCAAAAGTTTTAGAACAAGTCCATAATTTCACACAAATATATGTTCATAGAAACAACTTAAAGCTTCATATTAATATATTAATGTTTTGGATATTTTGACGTTTAGTTTAAAAGAGTGAGCTCTTTTCTGTGTTGACAAATGTTATTGGCACTTCAATAATCTAGCCCAATATACTATTCAAAGACATATGTGTCCCTATTTCTAGATGGATAGGTCCAAGTGGAAGTGATAAAAATACATATTTTATAATATATGCATTACTCAACCAAAGGTAACCATTGTGGCATTCTTCCTGCAACAATTTTGAAGATGATCACATGATGCAAAAATTAAATATAAAAATGTGTGTAGTGAAAAGTCTTCTTCTCATACCTTTTCTGTCTCTGGCCAATTTCTAATCTCATTCCAAATATTTTTCATTTTGAATGTTGAGAGAGTGTATATGTAGATTAATTTTCTAAAACTTAATGTATTTAAATATTGAGATATATCACAAGATTGAACTACATGTGGGTTATACCATTAGCACTTCCATCAACAATGTAGAGTGCCTATTTCCTCATGCCACAGACTAACTTGCCTCTAGATTTTTTTTAGTCTGAACAGTGATAAATGGCATCCTAATATAGTTTTTATTAGCAATTCTCTTATTATGAGTGAAAAGGATAACTGAAAATTAAATACAAATGAGGGCCACATGTAATTTTATTTCTGTAAACTGTCTGTTTATATACTTTGCCTACATTTCTATTAACTTACCTTTTCCTATTTATTTGGAGATGTTTTTCTATATTTGAGTGATTAACCTCTTGTATATGAGTTATTTCATGCCCTCTGCTTTGCACTGGGCTGTCCCATTTCTTACTTCAAGGCTTTTATTACCAATTCTTGCTTTCTCATATAAACTTGAAACATGAGAATTATAAATTTCCTATTACATAGCATTAAAAATCCATCCCTGAGGGGGGCAGAGCAAGATGGCAGAATGGAAGCCTACACCATTTATCCCTCCGTCTGGAAATCCAGATTTTAACAACTATCTGCACACAGAAAAGCACCATCACAACAATCAAAAATCAAGTAAGTAATCACAGTACCTGGTTTTAACTTCATGTCACCAAAAGAGGCATTGAAGAGGGCAAGAAAGATAGTCTTTGATTGCTGATGTCACCCTTCCCTTATCCCCTTGCAGCCATGGAAAGAGAATCTGTGCACTTTGACAAGGGAGAGTGCAGCAACTGAAGAACATCACATTCAACTCAGTGCTGCCTTGGCACAGCAGAGAATAAGCCATGCTGGGCTCAGTCAAGTCACATGCACAGAGCAAGCATTTGGACCAGTCCTAGCCAGAGGGGATGTCATCTATCCCAGGAGTCAGAACTTGGGTTTCTCAGCAAGCCTCGTCATCATGGGCTAAAGTGCTCTGGGGTCCTAGGTAAACTTGAAAGACAGTCTAGGACACAAGGACTTCAGTTTCTAGGCAATTCATAGTACTAGGCTAGGCTTAGCACCAGTGAACTAGGGTGGCACATGACCCATGGAGATACTAGCTGGCATGGCTAAAAGAGTGCCTGTGCCATCCATTCCCCAACTGCGGGCAGCACAGCTCACAGCAATGAAAGTGACTTTTTCCTTCTGCTTAAGGAAATGACAGTGAAGAATAAAGAAGACTTTGTCTTTTTGACTACCAGCTCAGCCACAGTAGGATAGGGCAACAGGTAGAGTCATGAGGCCCTAGCTCTCAGATCACATTTCTAGACACACTCTGGGCCAAAAGGAAACCCACTGCCTTGAAGGGAATGACTCAGTTTTGGCAGGATTCATCACCAGCTTACTAAAGAGTCCTTGGGTCCTGAATAACCAGCAGCCATACTGAGGGAGCATGCCACGCACTTTAAAGCTCTGAGAAGTTCTGGCTTCAGGGGTGACCTAGCACATTCCCAGCTGTGGTGGCTGTGGTTAAAGAAAGAGTCCTTCTGTTTGAGAAAATCAGAGAGAAAAGTAAAGGGGAATTTGTCTTGCACCCTAGGTACCAGCTTGGCCACCTTGAGGTAAAGCAACAAGCAGTCTCTTGGGATTCCTGAGTATAGGCCTAGGCTCTTGGACAGCATTTCTGTACCTGCCCTGGCCCAGTGGGGAGCCCATTTCCCTGAAGGGAGAGTTCTATGCCTGGCAGCATTCACCAAAAGCTGAAAGAAGGGCCCTTGGGCTTTAACTGAACATTGGTGGTGGCCTGGCAGAACCCCCCAATGGATTGGTAATGGTGGCCACAGTGAAAAGCTCTTCTGTCTGTGGAAAGGGGAGGGAAGAGTGAGAAGGAATTTCTATTGTTGTTTGAGTGCCAGGTTGGCTGCAATAGAATAGAATATTAGGTAAGTTGCTAAGGTCTTTTATTCCAATCCCTGCCTGCCAGACAGCATCTCTGGACACGCCTGGGGCCTGGGGCAGTCCCAGTGTTGGTGACCCACAAAGTTACTTGTATCACCAGAGCTTCAGTTCCAGGTGGCTCAGCAGAGAGAAAGAAACTGTTTTGGACAAAGTGAGAAAAAGAACAAGGGTCTCTGCCTGGTAATCTATATAATTTCTCTAGAACTTATCCAAGACCACTAAAGCAATACTTTTATGAGTCTGCAAGGCCCACAGTACTATGTGGCTTGGGGCTCAAATCCCTTTGAATACCTGGAAACCCTTCCAAAAAGCACACGCTCAAATAAGCCCAGACTGTGAAGACTACAATAAATACCTAACTCTTCAATGCCCAGATACTAGTGAACATCTACAAGCATCAGAACCATCCAGGAAAACATGACATCACCAAATGAACTATATAAGGCACCATGGACCAGTCCAGGAGAAACAGAGATATGGGACCTTTCAAACAGAGAAGTCAAAATATCTATTTTGAGGAAACTCAAATAAATGGAAGATAACACAGAGAAGAAACTCAGAATTCTATCAGATAAATTTAATGAAGAGATTCAAATAATTTAAAAGAGTCAAGCAGAAATTCTAGAGTTGAAAAATTCAATTGACATACTTAGGAACGCACCAGAGTCTCTGAATAGCACAACTGATCAAGCAGAAGACAGAATTAGTGAGACTGAAAACAGGTGCTTTGAAAATACACAGTCAGAGGAGATAAAAGAAAAAAAAGAATAAAAGCAATAAAGCATGCCTATAAAATCTAAAAATAAAAAATCCAAAAAGCCTCAAAAGGCAAACATAAGAGTTATTGCCATTAAAGACAAGGTAAAGAAAGAGATAGGGGTAGAAATTTTATTTAAAGGGACAATATCAGAGAAGTTCCCAAACCCAGAGAAATGTATGAATATCCAAGTAAAAGAAGGTATCCAAGTAAAAGAAGGTATCCAAGCAAATGTCTGTGACTGTGGTGTATAAACTACTCTTGTCCTAAGTAGAAAGGCTAAATCATGAACCAATCAAAAATAATAACTACAACAACTTTAAAGTCATTGACAATATAATGGATGCAAATAGAAATAACAAAAAGTTAAAAAGCAGGGGGACCAAGTTATGACATAGAGTTTTTATTAGTTTTCTTTTTGCTTGTTTATGCAAATATTGTTAAGTTATCATGTTAAAATAATGGGTTATAATATTTTCAAGGCTCATGTAAACCTCAAATCAATAAACATACAGTAGACACACAAAAAATAAAAGGCAAGAAACTAAATTATATCACCCCAGGAAGTCACCTTCCTAAAAAAAGACAGAAAGGAAAGAAAGAAGGAAGAGAAGACCACAAAACAACCAGAAAACAAATAACAAAATGTCAGGAGTAAGTCCTTACTTACAAATAATACCAATCAATGTAAATGTACTAAACCATCTAATAAAAAGAGATAGAGTGGCTGAATGGGTGAAAAAACAAGAACCATTTATCTGTTGCCTACTAGAAATGTACTTCTCACATGAAAACATACATAGACTGGAAATAAAGGATAGAAAAAGACATTCCATGCCAATGAAAACCAAACAAAGAGCAGGAGTCACTATACATATATAAAACAAAATATATTTAAAGAAAAAAATATAAGAAGAGATGAAGAAGGTTACTATAAAATGATAAAGGGGTCAATTCAGCAAGAGAATATAACAATTATAAATATATATGCACCCAACACTGGAGTACCCAGATATATAAGAAAATACTATTATAGCTAAGGAGACACAGGCTCCAATACAATAATAACCGGAGACTTCTACACTCCACCTTCAGCATTGCACAGATCTTCCAGACAGTAAATTACCAAAGAAACATTGGCCTGAATCTGTACTATAGATAAAATAGATTTAATAGATATTTACAGAACATTTCATGCAACAGCTGCAGAAAACATATTCTTTACCTCAGCACATGTATTATTCTCAAGGACACACCACATGTTAGCTCACAAACAAGTCTTAAACATTCCAATTAATTGGAATAATATCGGGTATCTTCTCTGACCACAGTGGAATAAAACTAGAAATTAATTACAACAGGAACTATGGAAACTATAAAAATACATGGAAATTAAACAATACCCTCCTAAAAAACCAGTCCTCCATAAAGAAATTAAGAAGAAATGTGAAAAAAATGCCTTGAAACAAATGATAATGGAATTACAACATAGCAAAACTTCTGTGATATAGCAAAAGCAATACTAAGAAGAAAGCTTATAGTTATGAGTGCCTACATCAAAAAAGAAGAAAAGCTTCAAATAAACAGTCTTATGATGCATCTTAAAGAACAAGAAAAGCAAGAGCAAACCAAGTATAAAATTAGTACAAGAAAAGAAACAATAAAGATTAGATCAGAAATTAATGAAATTGAAATGAAGAAAGCAAACAAAAGATCAATGGAAAAAAGTTGTTTTTTTTCGAAAAAATAAAATTGACAAACCTGTAACCGAACTAAGAAAAAAAAGAGCTTATACAAATAAATGATATCAGAAATGAAAAAGGAGCTATTACAACTGATACTGCAAAAATTTAAAGGACAATTAATGGATACTATGAACAACTAAATTTCAATCAATTGGAAAATCTAGAAGAAATGAAAAATTTCCAAGTCCACACAATTTATCAAGATTGAACCAGAAAGAAATCCAAAACCTGAACAGATCAATAACAAGTAACAAGATCAAAACCATAATAAAAAGTTGGCCAGTACAAAAAAGCCTGGGACCCAATGGCTTCACTATTAAATTCTATGAAACATTTAAAGAAGAATGAGTACCAATCCTACTCAAAATATTCTGAAAAGTAGAGAAGAAAATACTTCCATACTCATTCTATAAGGCCAGTATTACTCTGATACAAAAACCAGGCAAAGATGCATTAAAAAAGAAATACAGGCCAATATCTCTGAAGAAAATTGATGCACAAATTCTAAAACAAAACACTAGCAATGTGTATTCAATAATACACTTAAAAGACTGTGCATCATGACCAAGTGGGATTTATCCCTGGCATGCAAGGACGGTTCAACATACACAATTAAATGAATGTGATGTATCATATCAACAGAATGAAGGAAAAAATACATGATTAACTCAAATGATGCTGAAAAAGCATTTGATAAAATTCAACTTCCCTCCAGATAAATAACCTCAAAAAACTGGGGATAGAAGAAACATATCTCAACATAATAAAAGCCATATATGACAGACAAACAATGGATCTGGAAAACAACAAGGATGGCCATTTTCACAACTGTTATTCAACATTGTATCAAAAGTCTTAGCTTTAGCAGTCAGACAAGAGAAACAAAGGGCATCCAAATTGGAATGGAAGAAATCAAATTATTCTTGTTTTCTGATGACATAATCTTATATTTGGAAAAAAACAAAAGATTCAATGAAAAAAATTAGTAAGCAAATTCAATAAAGTTGCAGGATACAAAATCAACATACAAAAATTAGTATCATTTCTATATGGTGACAGTGAACAATCTGAAAAAGAAAAATATAATCTAATTCACAATAGCCACAAATATAATTATACCCTTAGAAATTACTTTAACTAAAGAATTGAAAGATCTCTATAATGGAAACTGTAAAACTATAAATCACTTATGACAAAAATGAAGAAAATACAAAAAAATGGAAAGATAATTCATGTTCATGGATCGAGTGAATCAATATTGTCAAATATCCACACTACCTAAAGCAATATACAGATTCTATGCAATCTCCTTCAAAATACCAATGATATTCATTACTGAAATAGAAAAAAATGCTAAAATTTATATGAAACCTCAAAAGACCTGGAATAGTCAAAGCTATCCTAAGCAAAAAGAATAAAACTGGAGAAATCACATTACCTGACTTCAAATTATATGAAAGAGGTATAGTAACCAAAACAGCATGGTACTTCCATAAAAACAGACACACAGACCAATGGAACAGAATGGAGAACTCAGAAAAAAATTTACACACCTACAGTGAAGTAATTTTTGATAAGGGTGCCAAGAACATATACTGGGAAAAAGAATCTCTTCAATAAATGGTGCTGGGTAAGCTGAATATTTATATGCAGAAGAGTAAAACTGGATCTTTATCTGTTGTTGCATACAGAAATCAAATCAAAATGGATTAAAGACTTAAATCTAAGACTTTAAATTATGAAACTTCTACAGGATGTAATTGGAGAAAATCTCCAGGATATTTTCCAGGGCAAATTCTTCTCCAGGGCAAAGATTTCTTAAGAAATACCCCACAAGAACAGGCAACCAATGCAAAAATGGATAAATAGGATCACATGAAGTTATTATAAAAATCCTCTGCACATTAAAGAAAACAATCAACAAAATGAAAAGACAATCCACAGAATGGAAGAAAATATTTGCAAACTACCCATCTGACTAGGGATGAATAACGAGAATATATAAAGACCTCAACTAATGCTATAGGAAAAATTCTAATAATCTGATTTAAGATGGGCAAAATATTTAAATAGACATTTCTCAAAATAAGATATACAAATGGCAAACAGGCATATGAAAAGGTGATCATCAGAGAAATGCAAATCCAACCTGCAATGAGATATCGTTTCATGCAGTTAAAATGGCTTATATCCAAAAGTCAGGCAACAACAAATGCTTGTGATGTTGTGGAGAAAAAGGAAGGCCCATATAGTGTTGATGGAAATGTAAATTAGTACGACTACTATAAAGAACAGTTTACAGGGTCCTCAAAAAGCTAAAAATACAGCTACTATATGATCCAGCAATCACAGACTGGGTATATACCACAAAGAAAGGAAATCAGTGTATTGAAGAGATACCTGCACTTCCATATTTGTTACAGCACTATTCACAATACCCAAGATTTGGATGCAACCTGAGTGTCCATCAACAGATAAGTGGGTAAAGAAAATGTAGTACTTATACACAATGGAGTATTATTCAGCCATCAAAAAGAATGAGACCTAGTCATTTGCAACAACATGGCTGGAACTGGAAGTCATTATGTTAAGTGAAATAAGCCAGGCACAGACAGACAGACAAACATCGCATGTTGTCACTCATTTGTGGGATCTAAAAATCAAAACAATTGAACTCATGGAAATAGAGAATAGAAGAATGGTTACTAGTGGCTGGGAAGGATAGTGAGGGATCATTGGAGAGGAGGGGATAGTTAATGGGTACAAAATTAGAAAGAATGAATAAGATCTAGTATGTAACAGCATAACAGGGGGACTATAGTCAATAATATTTTAATTGTACATTTAACATAACTAAAAGAATACAATTGGATTGTTTGTAACACAAAGGATATGTGCTTGAGGGAATGGATACTCAATTTTCCATGATGAGATTATTACACATTGCATTACTCTACCAAAATATCTCATATGCCCCATAAATATGTACATCTACAGTGTACTCATAAAAATTATAAAATTACAAAAAATCCAGCCTGTATCTTATACTCATTGATAGTAGCAGCTGAATATTTTGTTTATAACATCACAAATGGTGTTACCACATAAAGTTGAAGATAATTAAATTTAAATTTCAGATAAACAACTTTTTTTTTTTAGACTGAGTCTCACTCCATTGCCAGGCTGGAGTACAGTGGTGTGATCTTGGCTCATTGCAACCTCCAGCTCCCGGGTTCAAGCGATTCTCTTGCCTCAGCTTCCTGAGTTGCTGGGACTATAGGCACCATCACTACTTCCAACTAATTTTTGGTAGAGATGGGGTTTCACCATGTTGGCCAGGATGGTCTTGATCTCCTGACCTTGTGATCTGCCCACCTCAGCCTCCCAAAGTGCTGGTATTACAGGCGTGAGCCACCGTACCGGGCCAACAACTATTTTGTTTTTTTTCTTTCCTAAGTTCATTCCAAACGTTATATAAAATATAGATATACTAAAATACTGTTCTTTTTTTCCTAAAATTCAAATTTGACTAAACATCCTGATTTTGATTTGCTAATTTTCAGCATCCTGATTATATTTTCATATTTTTCTGAGACTAAGATACCAAAACTATTGTCCATTGATCTTGATGCATGTCCATGACTGATATTACATGGAATGATAAAACATGATAATAAAAATAGCCAGGATGTATTAGAAATATTTTATGTTGCTCAAATTCAATCACAAATGCCCTGTGTAATATGCCCCATAAAGAGTCATCTGTCTTATTACTAGACACTTTCAATGGCAAGAAATTGCCACTTTCTTAAACACAGTGCAATTGATGCTTGAATTGATAATTTAGTAAATTATTTGTTGAACTAAACAAATTCTTTTTGTGAAGATTTCTCATATTCATCTTAGTCTTAGAGGCCACTAAGAAAAAGATAAATCCCTTTTCCATGTGTCAACACTTCAAATTTCTGACTATAGTGGTCAAATCTTGGTATAAGTTTTGCTCTTCAATAAATATTTTCAGTTCCTTCAACTGTCTTCTATAAACTATTACTTCAAGTCATCTCATACACTAGCAAATACTTATTTTGTACCTTCTGTGTATCAGGCACTGTGCTCAGTGAAATGACACTGTAGTGAAGAGTATAAAATTTTCCACCTCTCAGGACACTTTTAGTCTAATGGGGGAGGATGTGTAAGAGGACAAACATATACAAAGCTTTGTAACAACTCCTATAATAAAATTATGAATGAGATCATTAAAGAACATAAAGGAAGGAGAATCTAAATCTACCTGGAAGACACAAGGGAGAGGGAGTGTGAGGGAAAATGTTCAGAGAAGGATTAGTGTGTTACGACTGAGAAGTGTTTTAAATGTTCCATGGGAATTTTTCATTTGAACAAGGGGACAGAGAGCAGAGATTGCTAAATTCAACTGGTATTTTAAAATCCTTATGCTGTGTGACCTCTCTGCTACATCAGAGAAGTTGATTACTTCCTTCTTGAAGCACTAAGTTTCTATTACATCACACTCTGCTCTAACCATTCTTTCTCCCTTTCAAGGGCTCCTTCTGGTTCTGCCTCTTTTCCTTCATTGTTGTTCTGTATGGCTCTGTCCCATATACACGGCTTTTCTCATTTTATGAGAAAATGAGAAATTTCATTTACTTTAGCAATTTCATTTACTTTTGTGATATTTATTGTTACCTTAAATGTTGATAACTTTGGAACATATATCTCCATCCCAGACTAAGCTTTATACATATGTGTAAAATGCCTACTTGACATTTTTACCTAGATGGTCCACAATCACCTTAAACTCAATATGTCCAAACCAAAGTCCTTATCCCATGTTCATTACTGACATGGAACTAGCTCTACCTACAGAATCATCTACATTAGAAATGTGGGGGAATTTCTGACTTTGCTTTATTTTTCTATACATACACCACCAAATCCTACATATTCATTTGCCTCTTTCTCTCTTTCAAATCTGTCTTATATAACTGCCCTAAGTTCAGGATCTCATCATCTATACCTTGGACTTACACAGCCAAGCCTTAACTCACCTTCCTGACTCTAGTTATTTTCATCACTCATCAACTCTTCTCACAGTTACCAAAATGATCTATATCAAATACCAGTCAGGGAACTTGACTTCTGGCACAATGGCATTAGGAGTTCCACAGATACAGTCCCCAGTGAACCTGGAGAAAACTAAAAACAAACAATCAGAAACATTTAACATCTCTGGAAATGTTCCTAAAGGCAAATAGCAAATGAAGAAAAATCTGTTCTAGAATATACATGAAAATTCAGAAATAAAGGCCAGAGACTGTGATATTTGATCCAAAACCACTTCTTCCCCCACCCCAGCCTAGCAAGACAGAAACTTCACTCAGACTGCTTCGGCTAAGAACACTGGACTCCCTGTCCCCACAATGCCTAGAGGTAGTAACAGGCCATAAAATAGATAGCTCCTAATTTCTGCCCAAAGAAACCATCTTTATCTGTAAAGGAGAATAAAGTTGTAGCCTAAACCCTCTTTAAAAATTAAGGGGTTTATTTTTGAGGTAACTAAACTGTTCTAAAATTGACTATCATGATGGTTGCACATATCTGTGAACATACTAAAAAACAATGAACTGTATACTTTAAATGTGTAAAGTATGTAGTCTGTGAATTATACCTCACTAAAGCTGTTAAAAATAATGCTAAAATATAAAACACCATTATCAAAGACCACTATATTTTTTAAGAAATGATAATCAGATAATTTTATTTTTGTTACGAAAATTATTTCATGGCTCTTTGATGCTCACAGAATAATATCCAAGTTTCTTACCATGATCCTTGTAAGATAGCTCCTTCCTGCCTCTGCAGTCTTAGCTAATGTCAGCTTTCTATCTCTCACTCTGCCATATATCAATATCAAACGCTTTGTGTTTCCTACATTTACCTTTCTATTCATTACCTTCATAACTTTGCTCATGCTCTATACTCTCTATCAGAAATTATTTGGTTAATACTTATTTACTCCAAGTTCAGGTCTCATTTCCTCCAAGATAATTTTCTACCCTGTATGTAGTCCTACTGACTTATGGTAGTCTTCTCCTCTGAACCTTCGTAAAAGTCTCCATCTTTACATCATACGTATTATAATAATTTACATGGCTTTTTCTTCCACAAAACTGAGAGAATTAAGGGCAAAAATGAGTTTTTATCTCTAATACATAGCCCAATGTCCAATATTGTATTTGTTGTAGGTGTAAATACCAGTAAATGCAAAAGCACGAGGAAAGCACGAGGGAAACTATAATTAAACTGAATAAGAAATAATATACTAAAGTGTCAAATTCAGGCAGTGCTAAGTGGAGATGAAGAGAATAGAGGGGTTGAAGAAAGATTCAAGAGTAGAAATGGCAAAATGTAATGATAAATGTTGGTTGTGTGGAGTAAGGTTAAAGGAATCAAGTCTGGTTCCCAGGTTTCTGGTTAAAGCATGTGGGAGCCATACTCAGATAATAAAAATATCAATGGAAAAATAGATTTCATTGTGTGAGCATCGATGTGGTAGTAGATGGTAGCATAAGCGGTGGAGATAATAATTTTAATTTTTGATTTCTTGAATTTGAGATGTCAAGTGCACAACAGACTAGAGACAACCAGTAAGCAGTTGGAAATGGAGAAATATAGATGTGAGAACTAGAGAAAAATTGTGGCTGCTGATATACATTTGAGAATTATTAATTTCCAGATGGGATTGCAATTGTTGCCTTAAGGTGTAGATTTAGAAGGAAATGCTCACTTAGAGGGAAGGGCCCAGAATTTAACACAATACTCTGGATGTCCTCTGTGAAGCACAAGAAACTAATGAGACTATGGACCTATCACATCCTTCCATTCAGACACTATATTTTTATTAATATAACTTAGGGTTACATTAGCTTTCTTAGCAGATACATTATAGAACTGACTGATAATGATCAGTGAAAATGTTTAAGTCTTTTACTTATAGTGGTTGTATTCTCAAACTGTTACATATGCAGTTGGTTTTCTGGACATAAGTATATAACCTGGCATTTATCCACATTTAATTATATCTTGTTATCATTGGCCATCATCCCTCTAGCACATTCAGATCTCACCAAACCTCATTATGCCCTTTAATGTATTTACTATTCTTCCTAATTCCTTCACACATATAGATTATATGATTATGTCATTCACACAACACAAGAATTTAACAAATTGTTGGGAGGATGAGGCTGAGGACAGATTCTTCACTAAAAATTTTTCTTCAGAATAGCAACATATTAATCAGCCTCTTTGGCTGGGGCCACTTCAGCAGTTAACAATTCTCCCAACTGTACTAGCAACTAGCCACATTTCTCCATTTGTCCACATATATCTCATTACCTACCTAATCAAATATCATTGATACAGTTTGGATTCACTTATTTAATGAATTCCCATGATATATCATTCGAGTTAACTTTAGTAGACAAGGTAACTAGTTATCTTGTCAAAAAGCACATTAGTTTATCTTGGTATCATTTATTTTTAGTAGGCTCAAATCAGATAGATACCAGTGACAACTGCATCTCGTGGCTCACTATGCTTTTAATAAAGTATTCTAGAATTTGGCTCAGGATCAATGTCAGGCTCACTGTTTTTTGTTAAAAATTGGATGCTTTTAGCTCATCTATAATTTTCTATCACCCAATTTATAAGAGGGAGATATTAAAGCATTTAATTCTATTAAACATGTTCATAAAAACCATTGCATACACAGGAGATTAATAAAGGCTTCAATATGGCAATGTTAATAAAAAAAGTAGATAGTTATGGTTGCCTTCAGGATTATTAAGCAATGTCATATCTGTCTATGCCCTGAAGATGTTATTCATTTGAGCCTGGAGGCTGGAAAGTCAGTCATGTTGAACAGTCCTAGGATCATGGAACCTGGGAGGGCAGGAACATTGCAAAGTAGTGGGGCTACAGAGTTTCTGCAGGGTAGCTTGAGGAGAAAGGGGGAAAGACAATGCCAATGATGGGTTTCATCATTGGCATTCATCCCCTTTGGTTGCAGGTTCCCAAGTGGACAGTGAGAAACACCACTTACTGTGATTTCCCGGGACTTAAATTATATGTTGCCTGGTGAATTGGATACTGAATGAAGAAAATGTGGACCAGTTTTATAAGTTATGTGCTCTCTAGCTCTGCACCAAGTTCAAGTTCCTTGTAGCCATCTTAGTTTTCTCCTTTTCTATGCGAAAATAATTCTCCTTGACAGAGAACATAAGAGTCAAGAGTTAAATAACTAATTTCCCTCTATTATTTATAAACATTACCTGATCTACCTCAAACGGCAAGCAAATATCTTTTTTAGCCATCTTATTATTCTGTACATAGCTTTAATAGAATTATCAACTCATCCCAGTTTGCCCAAAACTATCTCAGTTTTACCACTGAAAGTCTCATGTTATGAGAAACCTCTCAGTCTTGGGACAACTGAGATGGTTGGTCACCATACCTTTAAAAGTTCTTATGGATATTCCTAGGATTTGTTGCAGACCTCAGATAATTTGGGGAATTAGCCTCCCAGAGAATATTTTTATTGGCCTATGCTTCTCTCTCCTATGTGGTTTTGCCACATCCTTCATGCAGCATCCTAGAGAATACACTCATTTCTTTAGTTCTTGTCTCCATTTACCATCATTGGAATCAAATTTATAAAGAGTTTTCCCTTGCAGGAACTCTGTCTTACAAAGTTAAATTAATCCTCTAGCACTTTGGCATCATATTGTAAACATAATACAAGGAACATAACTATATTAATTTTCTAGGGCTATCACAGCCAACTGAGGGGCTTAGAGCAACAGAAATATATTCTCTCACAGTTCTGGAGGCTGCAAGTTCAAAACAAAGGTGTCAGCATGGCCATGTTCCCTCCAAAGTCTCTAGGGAAGAATCCTTCCTTGCCTTTTCTAGCTTCTGGTATTTGCTGGCAAACTTTGGCATTCCTTGATGTATGGCAGCATAGTTGCAGTCTCTGCAGCCTTCTTAATATGGCCATCTTCCTTCTGTGTGTTTGTGTCCAAACTTCCCTTTTCTTATAAGAACTCCAAGCATCAGATTAGGGCTCATCCTAACACAGCAAAACCTCATATTAATTTGATTGTATCTGCAAAGACTCTATTTCTAAATAAGGTCACATGCACAGGTTCCAGGTGAACATTAATTTTAGGTAAACATTATATAACCTAGTATAATAAGCTGTAGTAATTTAAACAATAAATCTACAATTAATAAAAGAATGTCCAATTCAGTTTTCATGTATTTCATTCAATAGTTCTATATTTATTCTTATTTATACCACTTAATCATAGTCATGATTACATTTCTCAACTGTCTCTCTATTATTATGGCAGATATAGCCTTGGATCTTGAAAATTCTACTTAACTTCTATGATTATTAGTCAAGTGGGATATTATGTCAGCTAAATGTTTCTGAAAATGTTGTATAAATTCAACTTCTGCAGTGTTGTACCTGGGATTCTAAATATATTCTAAATATAGAACTCTTGAGTTAGCTGGATACATAGGCTTTTGATTGATTCCCTTGGACTATGAATTATAAATATATTTCATCACACATATCATAAATGAAAAAAAATTCTTAATTCTTCCGCTCCACCCTCTCCCAGTCCACCTTCAAAACAACATGTTATTCCTACATGGATTGGTATGTCACGAAAATAGATTGCATTATTTCCCTAGGCCAAGGCCAAACAGTGAATCTGTGGTCCGCTTAGTCTTGTTCTCATATTCAGAATATCAGGTATTCTGTGATAGTTCTAATTTACAATTTATTCATTTTTACGTTTCTTTCTGCCACTCATTCAAATAATAATACACTGAAGTAAACCATATTGATTGGAAGCAAACAACTTCATATAAAAAAGCTACTTCTACTGGTTAAATTAAATTTTGTTTTCTACAAAATAAAATTTTCAGAAGACATTTAGAGGCTCCCAAACCTGGCTGTTTCTATAATTTTCATTTTGTATGGAAAATAAACATAGATTTTTATTTCCAGCTCATCTCCTCACCTTTTTGTCCTTTCTTCCCAGTAAGTTGTATTTTGATTAATTGACTTGGCCACAACAAAAGTTATAATCTGGCTAACCAAAAACAATGCTCAATACAAAGCAATGGGTTTGGGCTGTTATGGCACAGATCAATGTTTTATGAATTGAATCTTTAAAGGTTGTAAAAATCTTTAAATCTTTATCTTTACATGATAGATACAATTAATAGTTCACAATAGATGGCAGGAAGTTAATCGGTTTTGCAACCTAAATTTGTATTACCATGTTTTGTGTTTGCTGAATGACTACACAGAAAATACTCCTCTGGCTTGAACCTTATAGTTCCTACAGTAATATCCTGTTGCTTCTTCCCCTCTTCTAACCTTTAGTCTGGCAATGGAATATGGAAGGCTTGGCTTTTAGTCTGGTTCTAGTCTGTTTCTAATCTAGTTCTAGTCTGTTTCTAATCTAGTTCTAGTCTTGTCAATCCTCACCTTGGGTTGTTTTATTCAAGCCTCAGTTTTCAAAATAGAAAAATGTTGGTAAAATCCCCTACTCTATTTTCCTCAACAAATAAAGTGTATAGTTGAGAATTTCCTAAACAAGCAATGAAATTAATGATAGAAACCTTCCCAGTGCTTCGGGGAGGTTATAAACAAAAGATATCTAGAACTGTGCGTATTACTTAATAGTATATACACATGGGCCAGGACTACTTACAGGGGAAAAAGATTTCTACCTCATGGGAAGATTGGACTAACTGAGAATAGAAATCCAGGCTGACTGCCTGGATTCTAAATCCTGTTCTACCACTTACAAGCTGTATGAATTTTGACAAGTAATTTAAGTCCCCTGTACTTCAATTTCCTCATCTTTAGAAAAAAATAGTGGAAATTATAGACCCTAATGCATATTTTTGTTGTTACTATTAAATGCTAAACTATAGATAAAGCATTTGAAACAGCATCAGCATAATGAAAGCAATCAATAAATGTTAAAGAGTCATAGCACTGGTGGTGGTATTAATAATGGAAGTAGTAGTTGTAGTAGTAGCAATAATACAAATATTAATAATAGCAGTAGTAGTATAGTATCTTTAGAATTATTGGCCTAAGTGTGCTTCAGCTATGAATAGAAAATTAAGGGGTATTACCTAGTAATTCTTTGTTAATAATTAGGATACTAGTTTTAACCCAAACATCTTCCTATGTAACTCCAGAGATTGTTATTTCTCATCTTTCTAAGGTAAGCAGGGAGAGAACTGAAAGGAACCAGATACATGCCATGGTAGAGTTTCAGGTCTCTATTTCATTTTTGTATTGTTGGTTATCATTCTTGTGGTTGCTTTTGTGGATAAAATTAAGAGAAATGAAATCTCACCTCTTGGAGAGAAATAGAGAAATGAAATCTCACCTCTTGGAGAGAAATAAAGAATGGTGTTGGCCAGCAGTGTTGATTATGGTGGCAATGATTAAAAAAAGAAGAAATAAATCCTTCAGAGTGTCCTACAGATAGTGGCAGGTCTGTATTGCTGCCTAACCTGTGACCCAACAAGAGAAGGTCAAAAGACCTTTAGAAGGAGGCACGGAGTAGAAATATAGCCCAGATAACTGGAGAGGTTATAAACAGAAATAAAGGATGACTAAACATCCTCTAAGATGGTGTTGGAGGGAGAACAACCAGGCACAGTTTTCAGTGGTATGAAAGGTCACATTAGGACTGCTATCTCTAGGCTTATAACTGAAAAGGAATTATTCTCATGAGTTTGGGACACTTCAAAATACAAAGTGAACAGAAAATTTACTGTAATTTCAATATTTATTTTCCTAACACAGTCTATACTAGAGCAAAGAACTCAGCAAAATATATTATTATTACCGCTATATTAATTGTACTTGGAGGCAATTAATCACTTCCCCAAGGCTTTGGACTGTCCTTTCCTGTAAACAGAGTACACTGCTGAACAGTTCGATGGTTCTCATATCTCAGTAGAGTGGTATCTACCTGGAAAGCTCAGTGAAAATATACATCCCTGGTTCTTACCTGCAGAGATTTTATTAGAGCATTAGCTTTGGGGTAGGAAGTTCTTATGAATCTGCATTTTTTTGTTTAATAGTTCCCTAGGCAAGTCTGATGAAGGTGACTCACAGACCACATTTTCAGAGACAATGATATCCATGATCTCAGGGATACTTTGAAATTCCCTAGCTCTTCCAAAGTTTTCAAATAATCTCAGTGAAACAATGTCTGAAATATTATTATTGATGAAATGATTTACCCCTCTGTGGTGGCACACTTCCTTTAGGGAACAGTTCAGAGTCTTTTTGGGTTTTTTGAAATTGTCTCTCCTGAGACTTTGTCAAATTCCCCTTCATTGTGAATCACTGCCACTAATTAAGCCACTTTTATGAATATATGTCATATTCTTAAGTGTGTTGAAAGGTGTTCTTTACAATAATAATGTCTAACAATTTTTTTTAATTTATTATACTTTAAGTTCTGGGATACATGGGCAGAACGTGCAGGTTTGTTACATAGGTATACATGCAACGTGGTGGTTTGCTTCACCCATCAAACCACCATCTACATTAGGTATTTCTCCTAATGCTATCCCTCCCCTAGCCCTCCACACCCTGACAGGCCCTGGTGTGTGATGTTCCCCTTCCCATATCCATGTGTTCTCATGTTCAACTCCCAAATATGAGTGAGAACATGTGGTGTTTCGTTTTCTGCTCTTGTGTTAGTTTGCTGAGAATGATGGTTTCCAGCTGCATCCATGTCCCTGCAATGGGCATGAACTCATCCTTTTTATGGCTGCATAGTATTCCATGGTGTATATGTGCCACATTTTCTTTATCCAGTCTATCGTTGATGGGCATTTGGGTTGGTTCCAAGTCTTTGCTATTGTGAACAGTGCCACAATAAACATACGTGTGCATGTATCTTTATAGTAGAATGATTTATAATCCTTTGGGTATATACCCAGTAATGGGCTTGCTGGGTCAAACAGTATTTCTGGTTCTAGATCTTTGAGGAATCGCCATACTGTCTTCCACAATGGTTGAACTAATCTACACTCCCACCAACAGTGTAAAAGCATTCCTATTTCTCCACATCCTCTGCAGCATCTGTTGTTTACTGACTTTTTAATGATCACCATTCTAACTGGCATGAGATGGCATCTCACTGTGGTTTTGATTTGCATTTTTCTAATGACCAGTGACGATGAGCTTTTTTGCAGATGTTTGTTGGCTGCATAAATGTCTTCTTTTGAAAAGTGTCTGTTCATATCCTTTGCCCACTTTTTGATGGGGTTGTTTGTTTCTTTCTTGTAAATTTGTTTATGTTCTTTGTAGGTTCTGGATATTAGCCCTTTGTCAGATGGATAGATTGCAAAAATGTTCTCCCATTCTGTAGATTGCCTGTTCATTCTGATGATACTTTCTTTGCTGTGCAGAAGCTCTTTAGTTTTAATTAGATCCCATTTGTCAATTTTGGTGTTTGGTGCCATTGCTTTTAGTGTTTTAGTGATGAAGTCTTTGTACATGCCTATGTCCTGAATGATATCGCCTAGGTTTTCTTCTAGGGTTTTTATGACTTTAGGTTTTACTTTTAAGTCTTTAATCCATCTTGAATTAATTTTTGTATAAAGTGTAAAGAAGGGGTCCAGTATCAGTTTTCTGCATGTAGCTAGCCAGTTTCCTCAACATCATCTATCAAATAGGGAATCCTTTCCCCATTGTTTGTTTTTGCCAGGTTTGTCAAAGATCAGATGGTTGTAGATGTGTGGTGTTATTTCTGAGGCCTCTGTTATGTTCCATTGGTTTATATATCTGTTTTGGTACCAGTACCACGCTGTTTTGGTTACTGTAACCTTGTAGTATAGTTTGAAGTCAGGTAGCATGATGCCTCCAGCTTTGTTTTTTTGCTTAGGATTGTCTTGGCTATATGGGCTCTTCGAACCAACCCATATATTACATAATACATATATTTATGCTGAATATATGCAAATGTCCATCAATGATAGACTGGATAAAGAAAATGTTTCACATATACACCATGGAATACCATGCAGCCATAAAAAAGGATGAGTTTACTCCAATAATAGACAAACAGAGAGCCAAATCATGAGTGAACTCCCATTCACAATTGCTACAAAGAGAATAAAATACCTAGGAGTCCAACTTACAAGTGATGTAAAGGACCTCTTCAAGGAGAACCACAAACCACTGCTCAAGGAAATCAGAGAGGACACAAGCAAATGGAAAAACATTCCATGCTCATGGATAGGAAGAATCAGTATCGTGAAAATGGCCATACTGCCCAAAGAATTTATAGATTCGGTGCTATCCCCATCAAGCTACCATTGACTTTCTTCACAGAGTTAGAAAAAACTACCGTAAATTTCATGTGGAACCAAAAAATGTCTAACAATTTTTGAGCACTGCTTACCAAGCACTATAATAAACACTTAACATTACATTAGATAGAAACTTATCTCCATTTGATAGATTAAAAAAACTGAGGATTTAAGAGGTTAAGAACTTGTACAAAGTACACATTCATAAGTGATGTAGCAGAGGTTAGAGCATACAACTCTATGACATCAAATTCTTTGCTCTTAACCATACAGCAAGAGTGCTTTGGAGATACATTCCAGTGGAATAAGCAGTCCCTCTCCAAGAGCCTCATATAAAGGGCAATGAACCCTTAGAAGATTAGTACAATGTATCACCTGAGAGACTTGAGACAGTGAGCAAGTTGGCCCTGCCAGGTTATTATCTTTTGTAAATAGTGAGTCTTTTCTGCTTGTCTGGGCAGAGTGAACAAGTGAAGGACAAAACTTGATAGAGAGAAAATAAATGTGCTAATTCAGTTTCTCTGAAGTTTATATCAAAATCAAAGTTTCAACTTCAAAGCAATAGATGTGGGTGCCTGAGAATTTATCAGAAACACTCTAATGTCTTAAACAGCTGTGAGAAAAGTAAAATGAAAGTATGAGCAAAAATTCCTTTCCGGGGCTGCCATAATTTGAATGTGTCCCCCAAAGTTCATGTGTTAGAAACAATTTTCAATGTAACAGTGTTGAGAGGTTGGACTTTAAGAGGTGATTAAGTCATGAAGTTTTTGCCTTTATAAATGGATTAATGTTGTTATCATGGAAGCGGGTTAGTTATTACGAGAGAGTGGGCTTGTTAGAAAACAAGTACAACCCCCCTCTTGCTCTTGTGAATTCTCTCTTGCCCTTCTGCCATGGGATGATGCACCATAATTGCTTTCACCAGATGCAGTCCCCTTGATCTTTGACTTCACAGCCTCTAGAACTGTAAGAAATAAATTTGTGTTATTCATAAATTACCCAGTCTCAGGTATTCTGTTATATATGTACCAAATGGACCAAGAAAGGGGCTCTGTTTGGTCAGATTTGGGCCTGGAGGTGCCTTCTGTACTGACTTGCATAATAGACAACTGCCAACAGAAATCTTTGGCGCAACCACCAAATAACAGGGGCTCCCAGGCTTTCATGCTCTTTGGCACACATGCCCTCCAGTTCCACTATAGTCAAGAAGTATTAACAATAAAACCTCATTTAAATACAATGAGATTGCTCTCATCAATTGACTCTATCAATTGAAGGCTGACCAGAAAATCCTTTTGGTTTCAGGCTTTATTATAGCACTAATTCAACAATATGCATTTGCATTCTCTTGCTAAAGACAATACAATAAATATAACATTTTTCTTCTTTTCTGAGTAAGAATATTATAGGCCACACAAATGATTATTCTAAACACACGGTCAACATTTGTAGATGTTCCACTGGAAAGGTTCCTAATCTATGAAGAATTTGGGGCAGTACCAGGGAATGCCGTCTAGCTGCCCAGGTAAGTCCTAACCAAGAAGCATGTCCCTTTCTGAGTTCATCATACTCCATGGTTTATTTTCATATCAGCAGGCTTGGAAAAAATGATGTTATTAAATTACAAATAAAAGCATAAACTTTAAAGTTGGAATAGTAAGCCAATATCATGGATATCAATTTATATAATCAAATTATCAAAGTATCAAATGCTATTTAAAAATAAAACTGTCACAAAGACCAGAATTTTTGTATTGACTTGGCCAGTGCTATCAAACCCTGGCTAACTAGATGTATGCCTTTAGGCATGTCACATAGCCTTACTAAAACCTCAGATTCCTTATATTTAATGTAGGGACAATAACAGTAACTACCTTACACAAGGCTCTTGAGAAGTCTAAAGAAAAAAAATGCATGTGAAGCTCTTCTCTTAGCACAATTTCTGGTACACACTCAGTCCTCAAAAGTCCTATCTGATATTATTATTGCTATTATAAAAACATTACTTAGTGAGGTTTCTTGTTAGAGATAACATCTGACGACCCAACGACCCTGGTTCAGCTTTCCATGAAGATTAAGCAAAAGCAAAATGGGTAATCACTCTGAACACCAAAACCAATAGCTCTCCTGTTGCCATATCTTTGGGGGCATTATTGCTAATTACAAAACCACTTATTTTCAAATAGAAATCATAATCATCACTAGGTGCTGACTCAAGCACTGTCACTTGAGGGAGAGCAAACTCAATGTCTTGATGGACAATAAGGAGACACATGATCCTTTTCCTACTGCCTTCACTATGACTAAATATCTAAGACTTATACCAGTCTGAAAATTGTGAGCAATCTCTCCATTACAGAAATATTAGGAGTTATTTTATTGTGAGTTATTCTATTGCATTTTTAGTTCAAAGCATCGACAAACATGGTGATAAAGGTGTCCAAAGATAAGCAATTACCAAAGATAGGCAATGCAAGCCTAAGGCCAAGGCCTGACTAATTTAGCTGGTAAATATACAAGAAGGTACTTTTAGATTCAGAGAGTTTATTACTTACGTAGATAGGAAAAGGAAGAGTAGGCAAAGGTGCCAGGACCCCGTGATCCTTGTTTCATACAAAACAAGAACATTGAAACAAAAAGCGCCAATTGACAGCAACAAGAGTTTTAGGATACTTTATGCCAATACTATACTTCAGCTAAGAGGTTTTATAGTCTGCAGCTCCATTCTGAGGAAGACAGTACAGAAATCCCAATATCTCACTGGAACACAGGAGTTAATGAGAAATTATCTCATGATAGTTTCACAGATGAGATAGGTAAGTAAGAGATGACAGTTACTCACAGGCCTCCCATTTTCTCAAATTCCAGGAGGATTACAAGATATTTGCCAAGATTCAGATAAGTTTTTCTACAAGCCTTTGTCTGTATGACCTACGTGGTTACCCGCAAGATTTCCAGGACATCATAGTGTAATCATTCTCCTATGGGAGGTAGACAATTATACTTCAATTCAGAAGAATCACACTAAAACAAAATAAGAGCTAGAAATTGGGTGTTATCAATATCAACCTGTTCTCAAGGGCAGATTGGAGTGGGAGATTCTACTAACATACAAGGGTAGAGTTGCCTCATTCTAGCTGCTTTTTCACAAAAGGGTCTGGAATTTAAGTTTTCCTGTCATAGAAATAAGAAAGTACTCTAATGGGATGTGTGCACATGTATTACTTAAACTAACAGGCTTGTACCATATGATAATGCCAATTTGCTGTGTGGTTAACAGGTGTATGACCCTTACTATATAGTATTTCCTTTGAAATGATCTGGCAACATTGTTCAAATGAATATTTGGAGGTGAAAGGACAAGACACATGCTTGTTTCGTGGCGCACAATGATTCTAAGGAGATCTCTTGTGAATTCATGATAAGTTATTACAGTAGAGCCAAACAAAGTAAAAACAAATTCAAATCTTATGTATGGACATTAAAAAATACTATAGGACAAGAAAAAGGTAACCTTATTATATGTTTAAAAAAGAAAGGTACTTCTAAAAATTAGATAACAAAGAAAACAGGACATTTGTTTTAAATTATTTCTTTTTTCTTTTCCAACTTTTATTTGAAGTTCAGGAAGTACATGTGCAGATTTGCTATATGGGTAAATTGTGCATCATTGGGATTTGGTGTACAAATGATTTCATCACCCATGTAGTGAGGAAAGTAGCCAACAGGTAGTTTGTCTATCCTCACCCTCCTCCCAACCTCCATGCTCAAGTAAGCCCTGGTGTATATCATCCTCCTCTTTGTGTCCATGTCTACTCAATGTTTAGCTCCCACTTATAAGTGTGAACATGTGGTATTTGGCTTCCTGTTTCTGTGTTAATTTGTCTAGGATAATGGCCTCCAGCTGCATCCATGTTGCTGCAAAAAACACGAGTTTATTCTTTTTTGAGGCTATATAGTATTCCATGATATATATGTACCACATTTTATTTAGTTGTTTGATGTTGATGGGCATCTAGGTTAATTGCATGTTTTTACGATTGTGAATAGTGCTGCAATAAACATATGTGTGCATGTGCATTTTTGGTAGACTGATTTATATACCTTTGGGGATATAATGACATATACCTTTGGATATTACTGGATATACACCTAGTAATAGAATTGCTAGGTTGAATGGCAGTTCTAAGTTCTTTAAGAATTCTCCAAACTGATTTCCATGGTAGCTGAACTAATTTACATTCCCACCAGTGGTGTATAAGCATTCCCTTTTTTTCAAAACCTCACCAACATCTGTTATTTTCTGACGTTTTAAAAATAGACATTCTGACTGGAATGAGATGGTATCGCATTGTGTTTTTTATTTGCATTTCCCTGATTAGTGATATTGACATGATTCCCAGCTCAGCAGTGTTGGGACATGGAGCCTTTTCAGCAGTGTTTAGGTCATGAGGGCTCTGCCCTCATGAATGGATTAATGCTACTATAGAAAGGGCTTGCAGGAGTGGGCTTGCTTTTTTTTGCCCTTCTGTTATTGAAAATGATGTAAGAAGGCCCACACCAGATGATAGTGCCTTGATCATAAACTTTTCAACCTCCAGAAATGCGAGAGAAGAAATATCTCTTCCTTATAAATTACCCAGTCTCAGGTATTTTGTTACAGCAGCATGAATGGACTGAGACAAAGGTAAAAAGTGATATAACAAGAAATTAAAATATAAACATATTTTACAGCTTTAAAAATATAAATATGAGAAACTCAATTAAATGAGTAATTTTCTAAATGACAGGAATCACCAAAGTTAAGTAGTAGAGAACTGAAATACCTAAGATCAATAACCATAGAAGAAAATGGGTAAGTTGTGACACAATGATCAAAGAAGTTTCCAAACCCAGATAGATAGTTCTGTAACTTCTAAAGAGCATAAAATTTTTATGGCACAGAAGTTTTTTTTGGACCATAGATGAAAATGGAAAAAATTAAATTAATTTCATGAAATTTATATGCCTCAATACCAGAATGTAACATATACAGGAGAAAAATATAAATTGCAAAGCAATCGCACTTATGGATATACAGCAAAAAACTGTAAAGTACTAGCAAATAAAATCTCTGACTTGTACGTATTTAATAAATATAAGTGTGATTTCTAATTAAGCATGTATTAATATCATACACAACATCACTAGGCTATAGCAGAAAAAGGAACAAACCAACAAAAAATATTGGAAAGGAAATTTAAAATTGTCATTATTGGTAGATAATGGTTGTTTACCCAGAATAGAAAATTTAAAATAATTAACTGAACAAGTATTAGATTTGTATATACCAGTAGTTCAGTACTGAGGCCAGTTTCTAAAAAATTACTCAAAAATATCATGAACTACCCTAAATGGTAGATGCAGTCAGAAGACAAAGGGAAACATTTCATTCCTTATGTATTGAATTATGAATATATTTCATATATGTGAAATTCCATTGTGTGTGTGTTTGTTTGTGTGTGTGTATATAAAATCAACGCATAAAAGTTAGCAAGAAAAGAAGAAAAATGTGATGGCTATGTCAGAAAATCTTCAAAATTTTTCTGAAAGAAATACAAGTTCACTTGCTTCATAAGAAGAATAAAGGTTGCAAGCATTGTAATTCTTTCAAATTTTAACATGCAAATTCATTCAATTACAATAAACACTATGGCTTTTTCTTTATTTGAAGAAGCAATTCATTTGTAAGGATAAATAGTAAAATTGAAAAAAAGATTGATGGAAGAGAGCACCTAGATATATTATTTTTGAAATCTCGTATATTTATTATTAAAGTAACAACTACCAAAATGTGTTGTATTGACAAACTATTCAAATAATGCATCAAAAAATGAAGTGTTCACAAATTGGTAAATTTGGATGCGTTAATAAGTATGATGTTAAGATCAGGTACTTTATACCTAATGGCAGTACACCATTCCTGAAAATCAGGTATTGTGTATAAAACATTAATCAAAAACTTCCCAATAACTTAAATTAGAAAATTTATAGTGTAGTATTTTTACATGAAATCTCCAACTAATTTCCTAAAGCAAAACTACCACACAGTAAACCTATCCCATTACAAAGTAAAATGATTGAAGCATTTCTTTCAGATCACCAAAAAAGTAATATTGATGATAACGAACCATCATTATGTAGTAATATGGTCTCTGAATTGCCTTTGAAGTGACATTTAACTCCAGTGGGTGCTAGGGTGTGAGGCTGTAGAAACCAAAATGACCCAATATTTTGTAATTAAAAGTCCTTGCAAATATATGTTTACACACATTTGTATACACATACATACATGCATGCACCAGACATATTACAATTTAATATAATAAATAAAATAATACAAGCTAGAATAATAGTTAAAATTTATGACTCAGCATAAAAATACTTCAAATTATAAAAGGGAAGGAAAGATGGCTGACTAGACACAGCCAGGAAGAACATCTGCCACCAAAGAATCAGGACATTGGGAAAACTGGCACACTCCTAGCAGATCTTTAGAGGGAAGGCATTGAGAGTGGAAGGATGGAAGCCACAGATACTGTGCTGAAGGGGGAGGAAGCTGGGCACCCTGCACGGGGGAAGGGGGAGGAAGCTGGGCACACTGCACGGGGTTACCCCACACCAGGACTCATTCTTGGCCCCCAACAACTCCTGGGGAAGGCATGAGTTGAACAGGCAAGGAGTAACCCACTCTCACCATGAGCCTCTGGAATCCACAACCACCACGGACACTTGAATTGCCAGGAAGAGCTGCTCAGAGAGGTCATATGGGAAGAACTCCAGCTCGTGCAGAGCTCAGAGGGTTTGGTGTGGGATCATCTATAGTGGAGCAAGGCCAAGGATACCCATCCCTCTAAGCTTGGCTTGCTCCCATAGGAGACTGTAACCCTAGGGGAATGTCAGACCTCAACTCTGCAGGGCAGTCTTGCCCATGAGATGGGGCCAATACAACCTGGGTAACTTGCGGTCTGCTGACCTCTCACAGGGCCTCAGCCTGGTGGTGCCTGATTGCAGTGCAACCTTGGGTGCCCAGCGGGGATATCTCCTGTTGGCCACATCATATGAATAGCTCCTGTGCTGGTGGGCTACACCTGACTATCAGAAAGATCTAACAGAATGGCCTCAGGGGACACACACCAGCCAGCCCATGCCCTCTCCTCACTGCAGCCTCCCTTGTGCCACTTTGCCTGCATGCACTCACCCACAGGCAACCCCCACATTGTTTTGCTGGGGCGTGTGCTCACAGGACAACCTCGCTTAACCTTCCTTGTCAGCATGTGTGTGTGCATGCATCATGCCATGCCACTGCTACCAGCGAGAAAGCAACTCCCTCCTCCCACCACACCACCATTGTCATTAGAGTCTTAGCGGGTATGAAGCCCACCAGCCCTGCCGCTGCCAGTGTCCCGCCCCTGAGCTGTCATTGCTACCAGTACAAAACTAGACACAGGAAAAAGCAGACCTGCTCCTTCCCTGAGCGGCCAGCAATGCCCACGTGACCACACACAGTGGATGAACACAGTTCTGCACCCACCAGAGCCCTTCCTTGTGCTAACATCATCACTGGTGCAAACGCAAGCACAGTTGCTGGTTGGGGGGAGGGCCCATGTGACCGAGCAATGATGCCACCATCACTGCTGGGAATATCCAAATGCAGGCCAGCACTCCAGCACCCACTCGCACCCTACTGCAACTGATGAGCATGCACCCACTACATTGCAGGTGCCACTGGTGGCATGTGCAAACGAGGATGGATCCTGCTGCCACTACCCTGTGAAGCACTTTGGCTGGTACTACGAATCAGAGTGTTGTGACTAGTGGTCTGGAAAAGGTTGGCCCCTCTAGGGTAGCAGGTTCTTTTTTTTTTTTTTTTTTTTTTGAGATAAAGTCTTATTCTGTCGTCCAGGCTGGAGCGCAGTGGCACGATCTCGGCTCACTGCAACCCCCGCCTCCCGAGTTCAAGCAATTCTCATGCCGCAGCCTCCTGAGTAGCTAGGATCACAGGGGCCCACCACCATACCCAGATTATTTTTGTATTTTTAGTAGAGATGAGGTTTCACCATGTTGGTCACGCTGGTCTCAAACTCCTGACCTCAGGTGATCCACCCGCCTCAGCCTCCCAAAGTGCTGGGATTACAGGTGTGAGCCACCGCGCCCGGCCGGGCAGCAGGTTCTTAATCTTGAGTCAGAGAACAAAGCCAGGGGCTGATATTAGTCCCCCAGAGTTAGAGCATGCAGTTCAGGATTCCTGAACTGAGCCTCCGGCCCCTTAAATCTTCTAGAAGTGAAGCCAGTCAACTGAAACCAATCGACTGAACCCAACTTATAATCAAACCCACGAGGTCATAAAATAGCTCAATAAAAAATATCCAAAGACAGCAATGTCAAAGTTTGAAGGAACATCAGTTCACAAACATGATAAAGAGCCCGTGCAAGAACTCTGGCAACTCAAAAAGGCAGAATGCCTTCTTTCCTCCAAAAGACTGCAGTAGTTCTCCAGCAAGCATTCTTAAGCAGGATGAAATGACAGAAATAGAATTCAAAATATGTGTAGGAAAGATCATCAAGATTAAGAAGAACATTGAAACCCAATCCAAGGAGGCTAAGAATCACAATAAAATAATACAGAAGCTGACAGACGAAATAGACACTATAGAAAAAAATAACTAACTTGATAGAGCAGAAAACACACTATAAGAGTTTCATAATGCTATCCCAAGTATTAATAGCAGAATAAACCAAGCTGAGAAAATAACCTCAGACCCTGAAGAATGGCTTTCTGAAATAAGACAGTCAGACAAAAATTTGAAAAATGGAACAAACAAAACCTCCAAGAAATATAGAATTATGTAAAGGGACCAAATCTATGACTAATTGGCATCCTCCAAAGAGATGAGGAGAATGCAAGCAACTTAGAAAACATATTTCAGGATATCATCCTTGAGAACTTCCCCAACCTAGACAGAGAGGCCAACATTCAAATTCTGGAAATTCAGAGATCTCTCACAAGATACTTCATGAAATTATTCCCAAGACAAAAAATCATCAGATTTTCCAAGTTCCAAATGGAAGAAGGAATGTTAAAGGAAGCTAGAGAGAAGGGGCAGGTCACCTACAAATGGAAGCCTATCAGACTAATAGTGAACCTCACAGCAAAAACCCTACAAGCTAGGAGACTTTGAGGGCCTATATTCAACATTCTTAAAGAAAAGAAATCCCAACCAAGGATTTCATATTCAGCCAAACTAAGCTTTATAAGCAATGGAGAGATGAGATCCTCTTCAGACAAACAAGTACTAAGAGAATACATTACCACCAGACCTGCCTTACGAGAAATCCTGAAAGAAGCACGAAATATGGAAAGGAAAGGCCATTACCAGCCTCTACAAAAACACACTTAAATACATAGACCAGTGACATTATAAAGAAAGCACACATATAAATCTGCAAAATCATCAGCTAAAAACATGACAGGAACAAATCCACACATATCAATACTAAGCTTGAATGTAGAAGAGTTAAGTGTCCCAATTAAAAGGCACAGAGTGGCAAGATGACTAAAGAAGCATGACCCAATAGTATACTTTCTTCAAGAGATCCATCTCACATTCAGTGACACCCTTGGGCTCAAAATTAAGGGATGAAGAAAAATCTCCTAAGCAAATGGAAAACAGATAAAAGCAGGGGTTCCAATCCTAGTTTCGGACAAAACAGATTTTAAACCAACAAAGATCAAAAAAGACAAAGAAAGACATTACATAATGGACCCAACCTAATGGACCTGATAGACATTTACAGAACTCCCCACGCAATAGAGAAACAACAACAAAAACAAACAGAATATACATTCTTCTCATTGACACATGGCACAAACTCAAAAATAGACCACACGGTCATGCATAAAATAATCTTCAGCAAATGTAAAAGAACAAAAATCATAATAGCCACTCTCCCAGACCACAGCACAATAAAAATAGAAATCAAGACTAAGAAAATCATTCAAAACCACAAAATTACATGAAAACTGAATGACCTACTGCTGAATGACTTCTGGGTAAATAATGAAAATTTGGAACAAATCAAAGTTATGTGAAACAAATGAGAACAAAGATACAACATACCAGAATCTCTGGGACACACCTAAGGCAGTGTTAAGAGGGAAGTTTATATCAGTAAACACCCAAATCAGAAAGTTAGAAAGTTATAAATTTAATAGCTAACATTACAACTAAAAGAACTAAAAGAAGCAAGAGCAAACCAACCCTAAAGTTATCAGAAGACAAGAAATAACTAAAGTTATATTTGAACTCAGGGATATTGAGGCAAGAAAAAACATTCAATATATCAATGAGTCCATGAGTTGCTTTGTTAAAAAAAAAATAAGATAGACTGCAAACTAGACTAATGAAGAAGAGAGAAGACCCAAATAAACACAATTAGGGATGAAAAAGGGGATGTTACCACAGACTCCATAGAAATAAAAGTAACCATCAGAGGCCACTATAAACACCTCTGCACACAAACTAGAAAATCTAGAAGAAATGGATAAATTCCTGGACACATACACCCTCCCAAGACTGAACCAGGAAGAAAATGATCCCTGAACAGACCAATAATGAGGACCAAAATTGAATCAGTAATAAATGTCCTACCAACCAAAAGAAGCCCAGAACCAGATGGATTCACAGTCTAAATCTTTCAAAAGTACAAAGAAGAGCTGGTACCATTCCTACTGAATCTATTCCAAAAAAAATTGAGGAGGAGGGACTACTGCCCAACTCATTCTATGAGTCCAGTATCAACATGGTACCAAAACCTGGCAGAGACACAACAAGAAAGAAAACCTCAGGCCAATATTCTTGATGAACATAGATGCAAATGCCCTCAACAAAATACTAGCAAACAGAAGCAAAGCAAGTCTCTGTGAAGTTCCAAACTTTCCCACATCTTCCTGTCTTCTGAGCTCTCCAAGTCTCTAGGAAGTTCCAAACTTTCCCACATTTTCCTTTCTTCTTCTGAGCCCTCCAAACTGTTCCAACCTCTGCCTGTTACCCAGCTCCAAAGTTGCTTCCACATTTTTGAGTATCTTTACAGCAGCACCCCACTCTGCAGTACGAATTTCCTGTATTGGTCCACTCTCATGCTGCTAATAAAGACATACCCAAGACTGGGTAATTTATAAAGAAAAGAGGTTTAATTTCCTCACAGTTCCACATGGCTGGGGAGTCTTCAGGAAACTTACAATCATGGAGAAAGGAAACTCATCACAGGACAGCAGGAGAGAGAATGAGTGTCCAGTGAAAGGGGAAGCCCCTTATAAAACCATCTGATCTTGTGAGAATTAACTCACTATCATGATAATAGGATGGGGGAATCTGCCCCCATGATGTAACTATCTCCACCTCTTCCCTCCTGTGACACATGGGGATTATGAGAACTACAATTCAAGATGAAATTTGGGTGGGCAAACAGCCAAACTATATTAGTCTATTTAGAAATCTGTAGTTAAGAAAGACCCTCCTTGCATTATTTCAAAAGGGCTGAGCTGTAGTTTTCCTTTCGGGACATCTCAAACCCGCAACAAGTCTACAGGCAATAGAGACACCCATGCTTCTTATGTTTCCTGTAAGAGTTTGTTGAGTCATTTTTAGAGTTTGATTGGCTCTTTCTACTTTCTCTGAAGACTGCAACCTTCATGCTGAATGAAGGTGGTACTAGATTCCTAGGGCTGAAGATACGTTTTGTGTTATTTTTGCTGTGAAATATGGGCCATTATCACTGTGTAAGCTCTTAGGCAGCCCAAACCTAGAATTATTTCCTTTAATTAGAGTATAGAAACCTCAATTGCTTTTACAAACGGGGTAGGAAAAGTCTCAATCCAACTAGTAAAGGCATCAAAGAATGCTAATAAATATTTAAACCCTTTATATGGGGTCATCTGAGTATAGTCTATTTGCCAGTGTTCACCAGGGTAATACATTCCCCTATGCTGAACAGGACTTACTAGAGGAGGAGGTAAACGTTGGTTACATGGGTTATTTCAGGCACAGAGTTCACAGGCCAGAGTTACATGCTTTACAGTTTTAAGTAAGCCTTTCCTATAAAAATATGAGACATTAATATGAAATGAAAATTTCTTCCCGAGTAGAAACATACATATGTTTAACTATTTTCCATTGATTAGCATCCAGTGTCAACATCACTAATTAGCCAGCTGGAAGGATCTTGAATTACACCATGACCTTTAGCCCAGTTTTGCTCCTCTTTAGTATATTCTGGTTCTATTACTAGGAAGGCAATGGGCACTAACATGCCTACAATACCTCCTTTAATGCAGTGGCTTTAACTACAGCATCTTCAAAGGAGTTTCTCCTTATCACATTGGAATCTCCTTTTTTATGGCCTCTGCAATGAATTACAGCTACCTACTCGGGCAGCAAAATGACATCTAATAGATTTAAAATTTCCAAACGATGTTTTATAGGGGAAACCTTAGTGGTTAGTAGCATCTCCGTTCCTTTAAGATAGCAGCATGAGCATGAAACACCAGAAAACATACCTGGAATCAGCAAAATGTTAATAAATCCTTTCCCAGTTGAAGGGCTCCAATAGGAGTCACTAATTCTGCCTTTACAGCTGAGGTAGAAGCCAGTAAGGTCTGAGCTTTGATTATCTCCTGTTGACTGACAATAGCATACTGGGCTTGCCTGTTTCACTGGTGCACAAAGCTACTTCCATCTTTAAATCATTCTACCTTAGAATTATCTAGAGGCTAATCCTTTAAGTCTGGCTGGCTGGAATAAACTTGCTCCATCGCTTGTATGCAAGAATGATCTAAGGTGCTGTGAATTCAGATAGATAGGTAGCTGGGTTCAAATTCTGGCATACTTCAAGAGTTACATCAGGAGTTTCTAGCAACAAAGACTGATACATTAATAAGCATCCCCCAGTCATCCATTGGACCTCTTAACTACTAAGAATCCTTTTACTTGTTGTGAGGTCAAAACCTCTAGATATTGTCCCAAAGTTAGTTTGTTGGTTTAATCTACCAAAAGAGGAGTTGCTGAAACTCCCCTGAGGCATCCAGCCAATCCTGATGCTACATGGTCTAATTGCTTAGAAAAATATGCCACTGGTTGAGGATGCCTCCCAGTTTCTGGAAAAGGACACCCAGGGCAGTTCCTTGTTTTTCAGACACATAAAGGAAAAAATAGCTTATCAAAATTGGGGATCCCTAGGGCTGGAGGTGTTTCCAATTTGTCCTTGGTAGCATTAAAAGTATGTTTGCAATTGCTATCCCATCCCAAAGTATCTAAGTCTATTCCTTTTAGATTCTCATAAGGAAGCTTGGCCACATGCCCAAATGAGGGCACCCATAAATGTCAGAATCCTGCCATTCCTAGGACATCTCATAGCTGCTTTCTCATTTGGGGTTTTGGAATGCCCAAGATAGCATCCTTTCATTCCAGAGCAATTGCCTGGGTAGCAGGAGTTAAGCCATATCCTAAATATTTAAACTCTTGAATTGAAATGTGGGCCTTATGCAATGGAACTCTATACCCATCAGCTCCCGGAACATTTAGAAACTTAATATTTTTATCCAAGTCCCTTTTGGTTGGGCTAGCAACCAAAAAATTTTCTACATACTGAATACTAGCACCCGTATTAAATTGTAACATCATTAATTCTCTAGCCAATGCATTTCCAAATAAATGAGGGCTGTCAATAAATCCCTGGGGAATAACTATCCAAGTTAATTGAGAAACAAAATGACTATGGGGGTCAGTCTATTCAAAAGCAAAGACAAATTGCAAATTGGAGTGTACAGGAATACAGAAAAGGGCATCCTTGAGGTCTAAGACTATAAACCGATTGGCATCCCCAGGGACCTGAGCTAACAGCATATAGGAATTGTGTATTGTAGGATGAATGAGAATGACAGACTGATTGACAGCTTGAAGATGTTGAACAAATCTATAATCTCCATTAGGCTTTTTAACCAGAAAGATTGGAGTATTACAAGGAGATTCACAGGGGCTTTACAAACCGAATTGCAGAAGTTTCTTCATGAATGATTGAATCCCTCTTTGTGACTCTGGCTTCAAGAGGTATTGTATTTTCCAGGGGAAGGGGGCACCGGGCTTATGTTGAATGCAGGATGGAAAAATGTTTAATGCCTTGCCTGGAACCTGGGTGTTCCATAATATAGGATTTACTTGGGAGGTTATTTCAATAGGCAAGCTAGCTAAGTCCCCTATTGATATTTCTCCTTTATCACAGGAAAGGAGAAGGAGCAATCCCTCATTTACCTTGTGATCTCCGAAATATGCCACTGTTTGCAGCCTAATCAACAAATCCCTTTCCAACAAAGGGGTGGGGCATTCAGTCAAAATAAGAAAAGCATGTAAGAAAACCAGAGTCCCTAAAGAGCAGCTTAAATTACAGGTGAAAAATGGCACCTATGAGCTTGCCCATCTATCCCTGTGACCATACAGTTTATTGGTGATGGAGACCCATTATAATGGGTCAAAACAGTGTAAACATCCATGTCCAAAAAGATGTTAATATTCTTACCTGTCACTTCAAGGGTTACCCAAGGTTCATCTGGAGATATGGCTAGTTGTCCAAAAGGAATTGCAGTGGAAGTTCACAGAACCTGTCACTCTTGGGCTTGCTCCGCTATTTTGGTCGTTATTGGTTCGGTGCTGATGGTTTCCTTCAGAGCACTGGGCATGCCCTCTTCCAAAGGCCAGTTTTCCTACAGTGTGCACACTGATTTATGCCCAAGGCATGGTGACTCGGAAGCCTAGCTTGGGGCTTTTCACTTTCTAGCATTTCTTATCCAGGTCAAGAACCGCAATGCTGACCATGTGTGGAAGGTAATTTTAAGGCTACAGCCACGAGCTGCACCTTGTGGAAGGTTCTTTTAGCTCTTTCTTCATCCTCTGTTCCTATTATTAAAAATTATAAATGTCATATCCAAAAGCTGATTTATAGGAGTCTGGGGACCCAAAACTGCTTTCTGTAGTTTCCTATGGATTATCAGGGACAGAGGGGGCTATAAAATATACTCCCAATAAAGTCTGTCCTTCCCTTGAGGCGGGATCAGTGTTAGTATATTTCCCAATTGCCTCAACTAAACTCCCTTGAAACAATGCTGGATTATCATCTTTATCCTGAGTAACTTCCTTAATCTTTTCATAATTAGCAGACTTTTATATACATTTCTTCATTGCTTCCAACCAGCAAGAGTCCATACAAGAGACCATCTCTCCTCCCCAAGTCCTCACTGCCCCTTTGAGAGTTTCATCCCCCATCTTGTTGTGGACTGCTGCATCCCCTACCTGGTAGACATTATTATTAGGGTTATGGGCCAATACTACATCCACATAAGTTCTAGCTGTCCCGAAAATTCATTGTTTCTCTTCTGCTGTACAAAAAATAGAAAACAAAATGTGCAGACACTGCCAGGTCAAACTATAGCTCATAGTTAATCTTTCAAACTTATCTGTGAGTTTTTCTAGATCTTCAGATAAATGAAAATTTTTTCTTTACATAAAGCCAAATCAGACATAGAAAAGATAACATGTGCCCTTACAGTGCCTTCTTTCCTATCTTTCACTTCTCAAAGCAGACAAAGATTGCCCTTTGGAGGTTGATAAGAGGCTCCACTAGGAGTAGTACTGGCAGGGCTAGGTTCCTCAGGGCATGGTGGGTATAGGATTAGGCTACACAGATAAGGAGAAGGGGATGAAAGAGTTTCAACAGAACTTCCAGATGGGCTAGGAGGGAAAGGGGCCTATGCACCTGAAGCATCAGAGCTGACAGAAGGAGGTCCTACTTCACACAAAAGTGCCCGCTGAACTGCAGTGGGGAGAGCTTACTTCAAGGGATCATCTAGTATTTCTAATTATTTTTCTTCCCTTCCTTTTATTAAATATGCACACACCTGTTGCAGTGTTTTATCCTAACCCAGCAGTAAAAGCCCTTGAATGTATGGTATTTTCCTCCATTTTTCTGCTCCCTTATGAAACAAATCAAGTTGAAGTATACTATTAAAGGCCATAGTCCAGATAAGTAACAATTTTGCTTATCTTTCTTAGTGATATCAAGGCCAGACAATATTACAAGAAGATGTAATTTTTTTAAAGTTCATCTTGCTTAAATTGGTCCCAATGTTAAAGAATACATCCTACTGGTGAATTCTTTGGGACTGATGATGTGGTCCCCATGAAGGAGGCAGATAACATTAAAGGAAAATTTCTAAGCCTTCAAGATTGTACTGTCACTGGCCAAGATCCATTAAAAAGAACAAGAGAATGTTTAAGGCCAGATGTGTTAATGAGAGAATCCTTGCTGAAAATTGGATTTCCTTATGTATAGCAGCCAGATAATATAAATGAGCTAAGCCATATGCCTTAGATAACCTACAATATGGAAATTGACAAAAGAAATGTTGGATAAGGCAAGGGTGATGGGAAGGATTTAGGTGGGGATGACCAGAGTGAGCAGGTTCTGGTCAATAGTAGCAGTGTAGATTGGACAAACAAGCTGATTTTCCTGAATCCAAGAAAGAAAATAAGGTTTGTTAGTGAGCAAATGAAATAAAACAGGAAGGAAAAGTCCCTTGATTTCCATCCTGGTGCTTTTTAATTTTGCCTAATGGACTGATATGGCTTAGCTCTGTGTCCTCATCCAAATCTCATCACGAATTGTAATCCCCACATGTTGGGGGAGGGGTTTGGTGGGAGGTGATTGAACCAGGGGGCAGACTTCCCACTTGCTATTCTCATGACAGTGAGTTCTCATGAGACCTGGTTGTTTGAAAATGTGTTGGACTTCCCTGTTTGCTTGCTTTCTCTCCTGCCAACATGTGAGGAAGGTTCTTGCCTCCTTTTCACCTTCTTCCATGATTGTAACTCTCCTGAGGCCTCCAAGTCATGTTTCCTGTTAAACCTGAAGAACTGTGAGTCAGCTAAAACTCTTTTCTTCATAAATTACCCAGTCTCAAGTAGTTCTTTATAGCAGTTTGATAATGGACTAACAATACAGAACATTGGTACCAGGAGTGAGGTACTGCTATAAAGATACCTAAAATGTGGAAGCAACTTTGGAATTGAGCAACAGGCAGAAGTTGGAACAGTTTGGAGGGCTCAGAAGAAGAAATGAAGATGTAGGAAAGTTTTGAACCTCCTGGACACTTGTTGAATGATTTTGACCAAAATGCTGATAGTGATATTTACAATGAAGTCCAGACTGAGGTGGTCTCAATTGGAGATGAGGAACTTCTTGGGAACTGGAGTAAAAGTCACTCTTGCTATGCTTTAGCAAAGACACTGATGGCATTGTGCCCCTGCCTAGAGATCTATGGAAATTTTACCTTGAGAGAGATGATTTAGGGTACTTAGCAGAAGAAATTTCTAAGCAGCAAAGCATTCAAGATGTAACCTGACTGCTCCTAATGGCATACAATCATATGCTATCATATGCTTTCAAAAAAGATGGCCTGAAATTGGAATTTATGTTTAAAAGGGAAACAGGGCATAAAAGTTAGAAAAATTTGCAGCCTGACCATGTAGTAGAAATGAAAAAAAATAAAAAAATAAACATCTGAGGAGAAATTCAAGCCAGCTGCAGAAATTTGCTTAAGTAAAGGGGAGCTGAATGTTAAACACCAAGACGATGGAGAAAATGACTACAGGGCATGTCAGAGACCTTCCTGTAAGCACCTTGCATTATAGACCTGGAGGCCTAGGTGGTAAAAAATGGTTTTGTGGGCCAGGACCAGAGCCCTGTTACTCTGTGCAGCCACAAACATGGTACCCTGTGCCTCTGCCACTCCAGCTCTACCCATGGCTAGAAGGGGCCAAGGTACTTGTTATTGGTCTATTCAAGGATTTGACTTCTTCCAGGTTTAGTTTTGGGAGGGTATATGCATCCATGAATTTACCCATTTCTTCTAGATTTTCCAGTTTATTTGCATAGAGGTGTTTATAGTATTATCTGATGGTTGTTTGTATTTTTTTGGGGTCAGTGGTGATATCCCATTTATCATTTTTTATTGCATCTATTTGATTCTTTTCTATTTTATTCTTTATTAGTTATTTCTTGTCTTCTGTTAGCTTTTAGATTTGTTTGCTCTTACTTCTCTAGTTCTTTTAGTTGTGATGTTAGCGTGTTGATTTGAGATCTTTCTAGCTTTTTGATGTGGGCATTTAGTGCTACAAATTTTCTTCTTAACACTGCTTTAGCTGCATCCCAAAGATTCTGGTACGTTGTCTGTTTGTTCACATTGGTTTCAAAGATCTGCTTGATTTCTGCCTTAATTTCATTATTTACCCAGGAGTTATTCAGAAGCAGGTTGTTTAATTTCCAAGTAGTAATGTAGTTTTTAGTGAGTTTCTTAATTTTGAGTTCTAATTTGATTGCACTTTGGTCTGAGAGACTGTTTGTTATTATTTTAGTAATTTTCCATTTGCAGAGGAGTGTTTTACTTCCTATTATGTGATTGATTTTAGTATAAGTGACATGTGGCACTGAGAAGAATGTATATATATTCTATTGTTTTAGAGTGGACAGTGATCTAGATATCCATTGGTCCACTTAATCCAGAGCTGAGTTCAAGTCCTAAATATTCTTGTTAATTTTCTGTCTCAATGATATGTCTAATATTGACAGTGGGTCGTTAAAGTCTCCCACTATTATTGTGTGGGAGTCTAAGTCTCTTTATAGGTCTCTAACATCTTGTTTTATGAATCTGGATGATCCTTTGTTGGGTGCATATATATTTATGATAGTTAGATTTTCTCATTGAATTGGTTCCTTTACCATTATGTAATGCCCTTCTTTGTCTTTTTTTATCTTTGTTTGTTTAAAGTCTGTTTTGTCAGAAATTAGGGTTGCAACCCCTTCTTCTTTCTGCTTTCAATTTGCTTGGTAAATTTTTCTCCATTCCTTTATTTTGAGCCTATATGTGTCTTTGCACATGAGATTGGTCTCTTTAACACAGCACACCATTGGGTCTTGACACTTTATCCAATTTGCTGGTCTGTGTCTTTTAATTGGGGCACTGAGCCCATTTACATTTAAGGTTAATATTGTTATATGTGAAATGATACTGTCATTATGATGCTAGCTGGTTATTTTGCACACTTGGTGATGCCGTTTCTTCATAGTGTCCTTTGCATGTCAGAAAAGGATTTTATTTCTCCTTCACTTATGAAGCTTAGTTTGGCCGGATATTATATTCTGGTTGAAAATTCTTTTCTTTAAGAATGTTGAATATTGACGCACTTTCTTCTGGCTTTTATGGTTTCTGCTGATAGGGCCACTGTTAATCTGATGGGCTTCCCTTTGTAGATTACCTGGTCTTTCTCTCTGGCTGCCCTAAACACTTTTTCCTTCATTTCAAACTTGGAGAATCTGATGATTATTCATCTTGGGGTTGACCTTCTCATGGAGTATCTTACTGGAATTCTTTGCATTTCCTGACTTTGAATGTTGGACTGTCTTGCTAGGTTTGGGAAGGTCTCCTGGATGATATACTGAAGTGTGTTTTCCAACTTGGCCCCATTCTCCCTGTCTCTTTCAGATACAGCAATCAGTCATAGGTTTGATCTTTTTACATAGTCCCATAGCTCTTGAAGGTTTTGTTTGTTCCTTTTAATTCTTTTTTCTTTAATCTTGCCTGCATGCCTTATTTAAGCAAGTTAGTATTCAAGCTCTGATATTCTTTCTTCTGCTTGACCAATTCGGCTATTAATACTTACGTTTGCATCACAAATTTCTCATGCTGTGTTTTTCAGCTCCATCAGGTCATTTATGTTTCTCTCTAAACTGGTTATTCTAGTTAGCAACTCCTGTAACTTTTTATCATGGTTCTTAGCTTCCTTGCATTGGGTTAGAACATGCTCCTTTATCTCAGTGAAGTTTGTTATTACCCACCTTCTGTAGCCTACTTCTGTCAATTCATCCATCTCATCCTCTGTCCAGTTCTGTGCCCTTGCTGGAGAGGTGTTGTGCTCATTTGTAGGAGAAGAAAAATTCTGACCTTTAGAGTTTTCATTGTTGTTTGTTGCTGTTGTTGATTTTTTCTTGTCTTTATGAGTTTATCTAGTTTTGATCTTTAAGGCTGCCACCTTTGGTTGAGGTTTTTGTGGAAACATATTCATGATGATGTTGTTTCTTTCAGTTTGTTTTTCTTTCAATAGTCAGGTCCCTCTTCTGTAGGGCTGCTTTGTTTTGCTGGGGGTTTACTTCAGGCCCTATTCTTCTAGGTCCCTCTTGTATCATAGATGTCACCCGAGGGGGCTGGAGAACAGCAAAGATGGGTGCCTGCTTCTTCCTCTGGGATATCTGACATTGAGGGGCACTGAACTGATGCCAGTAGGAACACTCCTGTATATGGTGTCTGCTGACACAGTTTGGGGGCATGGGAACCAGGACCTGTTTAACAAAGCACTTTGGCTTTCCCTTGGTGGATGTGGTGTGCTGCACTGGACAGAAACCCACTTGTCTGGGCTGCCCAGATTCCTCAAAGCTAGCAAAGGAAAAGACTAAGTATGCTGGTCTGCAGAGACCATGGCCACCTCTCCCCCTAGGGGCTCAGGCCCAGGGAGATCAGAGCTCTGTCCCTCTGTCCCTGGGTGGAGTTGCTGGAGTTCCTGCAGAGAGTCCCTACCCAGTGAGGAGGGGTGATTAGGGTCAGGCCTAAGAAGGCAGTCTTGCCATGGTCTGCCACAGTTGATGTGCTGTGCTGTGGGGAATACCTCTTGGGACCAAGCTGTCCAGTTTCCCCCCCAGCTCCAACAGGGGAAAAACATGGCCTGGAGCTATAGTGATGCCTGGACCCTTCCTCCCAGGGAGTTCAGTGTCTGTCTTAGGCAGCTAGCAGGCACAGTGATGGCTGCTGTCTCTCCCCTAGGGAGCTCAGTATTCTTAGACAGCTGGCAACCCCAGGGATGGCTGCCACCACTCCCCTAGGGAGCTCAGACAGCTCAGACAGCAGGTAGCCACAATGATGATGGATGCCCCTCCCCCGGGAACTCTTAGGCAGATTCCAGCTGAGTGGCTGTTGAGAATCTGTGCAGCTGTATTGTTGGGACCCAAGGCCCTGGTGGCATGGGCTTATGAGTGGGATCTTCTGAACTGTGGGATGCAGTATTATTCAAAATAATTAGTAATGTAACTCCATCAACAGGTGATGGGTAAAATGATATAGCATATCCACACAATACATTATTTCTCAACAATAAAAGGGGAAAAAACAACCCAACTACTGATACAGGCAACAGCATGGATAAATCTCATAGCCTTTTTGCTGAGCCAGCTCGTATGACTTTGAGAGAGCCATTTGTGGGCATCTTTTCTCCCACCTTCACATTCAATGATGTCATTGCTACCTTGAAATGTACCCAGTATTAACAATTATGTCACACATCCCAGAGAGAGATTTAATCAATTTCTATAGATAGCCATGAAACTATCAAAAGAGGGGTTCCATTTGTTTTATTTTTCATCTAAGTGCTCCTAGGAAAAAAAAACTGTAGAAAGAGAAACTATGCCTTTATATGTCATATAATTATAGACGGTTCTGTAAAACTATGCTCCTCCTCAAATCCTGTACATCATTTTGTAAAATACCTCTCATTAGCAGGTTTTTCTAAAGTGACAATGAAACTTTCTCCCAGAATATACAGTTTAGTAGATACATTAGCAACAAAATTTAAATAGAAGTTTTTTAAAAAATACAATAGACTCCAGAGAACAGAAAATGAGAACACCACTAGAATAAGAAATAGAAACAATAGGAAAGTGGCTTGGAAGGCAATGAGAAACCAGCAACATCTTTTTCCACTTTAGAAGGGCAGCCAGACCTAGGAATGAGATGCAGAATGCATTTCTAATACAAATAAAATTGCACTGCCAAAAGCCATGCAATTTAAATAAATGGTGTAGAGGAAAGAACCTCTGACTAATCCTCTGGTAACCTAAATCAGAGAGTAATTCAGTACACTTTTGGAAAGTTCCTTTTGCTCTCTAGGCAGTTTCACCTTTTATGAAGTGAAGAGGTAGGATAACATGACTTCCAAGCCTGGTCTGCTTCAGACATTGTGATTGTGATTCTGCTTCAACTACAGTACGTGTTATCTTCTAGGATAAGGTGCACTTCCATAATAGGGGTGCATTTCTTGGGTCTCTTCAGCAGAGAGGACAAACTGTAGGTCTTGCTTTGATACCATGTACAAGAGAGGTCAAACAACAGCGAAGCATATCAATACCAACTTCAATTCAATTTGTTCCTCAACTTTCTCTGCATCTTGTACCTCTAAATCTCTCAACATAAAAACTGGTCTTAGATTATGTTCTGTGTTAAAGCAGGGACCAATTTATAACTTCTGTCTGTGCCTTCCTCTTAGAGGATGATTACTGTTTGAGGAGGAATGACACTGCATTTTCATTAGAGATAAGAATTTCAAGCAATGCATTCGAATGTGGGTTTAGAGTTGTGGTATCACTTTGTGACTAATTCTCAGGCATGCACTTAGCCTTGGAATATCAATCAGTATGGTGGTGAACTTTAGAGATAAACTGTCTGTGCAGCCAAATGATACAGAAAACTAAAAATATAGATTTGAAATGATAAAAGAGACACCTTTGTGGGTGCTAGTCAGAGCTTCACATCAAAAGACTAGAGTTGTTTGTGGTCAAATCAGTAAAAACTGTGGCCTTTAAGTCATTTGAAATGAGTTCTTGCCTAGAGATAGCAGCAAGCTAATTAGCTTCTCCACTGATAAACTTAGTTCAGAAAAGAAGACAAGCTTATCCAGGAACACGGAATAGAAAAGAAAAGCTAATCATTTAAAAATAAGTCTGAGAGCAGTGGCTCACGCCTATAATCCCAGCACTTTGGGAGGCCAAGGTGGGTGGATTGCTTGAGGTCAGGGGTTCAAGACCAGCCTGACCAACATGGTGAAACCCTGTCTCTACTAAAAATACAAAAATTAGCCAGGTGTGGTGGCAGCCACCTGTAATCCCAGCTACTTGGGAGGCTGAGGCAGGAGAATCACTTGAACCTTGGAGGCGGAGATTGCAGTGAGCTGAGATTGCACCATTGCACTCCAGCCTGGTTGACAGAGTGAGACTCCATCTCAAAAAAAAAAATGAATAAAAAATAAATAAATATCTTCTCTCTTCCTCTTCTCTCTCTCTCTTTCCCCATCTCTCTCTCTCTGTCACACACACACACACACACACACACACACACACACACACACACACACACACATATAACCCCATAGAATTCAGTAGTGTCCCACACAAAGTCAAAAAAATCTCAAGCAACTCAAAAATAACACAAACAACACTCCCCAAAACTGGGCAAAGAAACTGTACCGAAAACTCACAGAAGAATATGTAAAACTAGCCAATAAGCATATATGAAAATATACAAAATATCATTATTAATTATTATTCTTTCACAGACACAGAGCAAAGAAAACCCATGATAATTAAAATTTTAAAAAGGGGCTTTTAACTGGGCATATGCAGGGGCTAGAAGGAAACTTTTGAGGCCTACACCATTGGTTCCCATGAGGAAACTCTCCACAAGTGTGAAGATGGCTAGTGGGAAAATCCTGGACAGTGGGCACACTGCAGTCTAGGTAGATAACTCTCAATTAGCAGGCATGTTAGAGAGGCAATCTCTTGGCTAGCCAGCACCCAGGAATGGAAACGCTCACCCTGTGCTAACCAATGTGATTCCTTCACACTGAGATTAAGGAGGCCCATGTAGTCAGGAGTTTTTCTTGTTTCCAAGAGGATTGATTTGGAACTCACGTATAGCTCAGACTCCACTTCAATGAAGGACTTGTTGCCCCAGCTGCTCAGAATGACCTTAAAAGCTTCTAGCTGCAGACAGCTGCCTCACTCAGGACCACACTCATTCCCCAGTGGCCCATATCTAATGACTGATTTATGCAGGAATATGAAGACACAGCCATACCTGCCATATTTGGAACTATTTTGAAGGACCATTCTAGCTTCAGATCTCTGTGTATGGTCTTGTTGGGTATGCATCACAGTTTAAATTCTCCCTTTACTCAGCCCTGCTTTCTTCCCTTCCCTTCTATAAATGTTGCTGCTAATAATATTTCTTAGTAAACATCTTGACCACAAGGGTCAACTGGGTCTTAAAGCTGGCTTTCAGAGGAGCCGAATCTACTACAGAAATTGCATGAATAAGTAAATATTGATGATAATGGAAGAAATCAAAACATATTAGATGTGAGATAATCATTAGACATTAAAATGGAGATACTAAGCAGCCGATGGAATACACAGAGATGAGGTGCAGGATTGAGATAGAAATTGGAAAAATCACAGATGTATAGACTCCCCTCTGCCATCCAGAGACAATGAGGGGCCACTGAGGGACATCCCACCACCACAAGTGCCCAAACAGTAAATGGCCTGAGATTCCCCTCCCACACCCATAGACATCATGCAATACCAGCAAGAATGATCCTGCCACAATGAGCTGCAGACCTGACCCACAGGAGTCATCCCAAAATAACACACACTAGTGCAAGAAGTCATCTTCATCCCAGTAGGACCAGGGACTCTCTTCCCCCTCCTAGAGATACCAGGTGGCTCAAACTGGAGAATCTCTTTCCATTCCATCAAAGCACCACCAGCAACGACCAGTGAGAGCCTCAGTACTCCTAGGTAAAACAAACAGACCAAAAAAGCACCACACAAGCTTTAAAAATCAGATTGCCATTGGAGCTATAGCCCCTTAAAATAGGCCAGGACCTGCTTACTAAATAAAAGTAGGGCGACTGCCTACTAAAAAAAAAATTGAATAGGATCCAGAGTTTTCTAATATTATAGACAAAATGCCCAGGATACCACCAAAGAATCAAGAAAATCACAACTTGAATGAGAAGAAAACAATAAAATGACATCAACGTTATGACGAATCCATTCTTTAAGATGACATGATTGTCTAAGTAGAAAATCTTAAGGAATCTATAAAAACTGACCCTTATCTAACTCAAACTGATAAGTGACTTCAGAGCAATCACAGGCTATAAGATTAACAGAAAAAAAAATCAAGCACATTTCAACATACTAACAATGAACACATGCAAACTAAAATTAAAAACACAGTATTATTTAAAATCACTCCAAAACTGAAAATAACCTATATGTACCTCAACAGCTCTATTGCTATACAAGTCGGGTACATCCGCATCATACAATAATACTTAGCAAAATGGAATAAAGTATTGATACACATAACATCCTGCATAAAACTCCATGGAAATCTCAAAATATTATATACTGCATTATTTCATTTATACAATATTCTTGAAATGAAAAAGTTGTAGAAATGGAGACTAGATTAGCAGTCAAGACCCGAGAAGGGAGTCTGGACAGGAGGAAAGTTACTATGGTTATTAAAGGGCAGCATGATATTTCGTCTTTTGATGTTCAGCATTTTGACTATAGCAATATCAGTTTCTGGGTTATAATACTATACTACAGTTTTGCAAGATGTTACCATTGGGGAAATCTAAATAAAGTGTATACAGTGTCTCTCTGTATTATTTCTCATATTTATATGCAAATCTACAATTATATCAAAAAAGGCTGGCTGTTTTATGAGTTAATATTTTGCTAGGATGTCAAACATAAAAGTAAGGAGACCTATTAGGACATTATTGCAGTAAAGCAGATACACCAGAATAGTGGTCAGAACTAAGTTGGTAGTTGCACAGGTGACGAAAAGTATATACATTTGTGATATGTTTCAGAGGTAGAACTAACAAGAGTTGCTAATGGAGGGAGGGGGGAAAGAGAAATCAGGAAGACGCTGGGGTTTTTTACTTGAATCCTCTCGGGGAAGGAGAAGACCATGTTTAAGAAAGAAACCAAGATACATTAGATTTGAGATGTCCATTAGGCAATAAAATTGACATATTAAATGGAGAACTGAGTATACAATATGGAGCTCAGATAAGAGATATTAGATAGAGATAGAGATTTAGAAACCCACCCGTATATGCAGATGGTAGTTAACACTAGGAACTAGACGAGATCACTTGGAAAGAGAAGATTGACCGAGCAAAAAAGGAAACAGAACTTGAACTAAGACAGTAATTTGTATAGATATCGGAAAGAAAGGAGTATCTAGTAAAGAAACACGAAAAAGAGTAGCCAGAGAAACAAGAGTGTGAGGTCTCAAAAGAAAGAGAAACTGCTGCGAGAATGAACTGGTCAATTTTATTAAGTCTGATGAGATACAAAGTTAGATGAAAATAGAAAATGATTTGGCATCGGGGAGGTCTTCAAGTTCCGGGTGAACTTGACTAGAGTAACCTCAATGGAGTTGAGAAAGTGGCTTAAGGAAATAATCAATAAGGAAAGAAGTAGAGACACTAATTTATCTTTTAGTTTGAAGACAGACAAGATGATTGATGGAAGTGGTATGGAGATGAGTGTACATGTTTGTTTGTTTGTTTAAAATCTGAGACACCAGAACAAACTTGTATACTAATGAGTAAAGTGAGGCACAAGAAATTGATGATTCAAGAAAGAGAGAGGAGAGAATTTCAGGACTAACTTCTCTGAAAAAATAAGAGGGCTGGGATCTAACACCCCTGTGGAGAAGTTGGCTCTTTACTTGAAGAACGGCATTTCATTCCAAAAGGTACTAACGGAGGCTGGAAAGGAGATTTGGTGACAAAATGATGAAGACATTTCTAGTTGGTACCATCTATTTTCAGAAACATAGCAGAAAACAATGTTGGCTTTGGAGTCAGAAACATCTTTGTTAAATCCGAATTCTTTCACTCTCTCTAGCTGTTTACTTGCCTGATCTGTCCCTTAACTTTGTGACCTTGTCTCCTACCACTCTTCTCTTCCTTGCTCCACTCGAGTCATACTCGCCCACATGGCAAACTCACCAACACACTCCTGCCTCAGATCTTCAGACTTTCTGTTACCTTTCATTGGGATGATATTTGAACAGATATATGTATAGCTTGTGTTACGGAAATAAAGGCTATAGACTCATTCAAATTACAACTATTTTTACTACTACCACTCTCTTTCTCTCTCTCAAGGAAAGAGAGCAGGAACACAGACTATAGGCAGACAAGACAACTCCACACCTTCAGCATTTTAGTACTGTATTAGCCTGTTCTCATGCTACTAATAAAGACAGACCCGTGACTGAGTAATTTATAAAGGAAAGAGATTTAATGGCCTCACAGTTCCACATAGCTGGGGAGGCTTCACAATCATTGCAGAAGACGAAGGAAGAACATAGGGATGTCTTACATGGCAGCAGGCAAGGGAGCGTGTGCAGGGGAACTGCCCTTTATAAAACCATCAGATCTCGTGAGACTTTTCACTATCACGAGAACAGCACAGGAAAGACCCACCCCCACGATTCAATTACCTCCCACCATGTCCCTCCCATGACAGATGGGAATTATGGGAGCTAAAATTCAAGATGAGATTTGGGTGGGGACAGTTAACCATATCAAGTACATTGAAGTTACAAATATATAACAAAATGAAGAAGAAATATGAAGAACTAGCCTAGTAACTTGAGTAAGTTCTTAGAGGTTTCTCTCTGAAAATTTTATTTTTCTGCAGTTAGGGGTCTTTTATTCCAATAACTGTTTTTGTCTCTTTCTTGTGATACAAGGATACCTTGCTACAAAGAGGAACTTTGGGCAGTACTATCTTATGGTACTGAGGAGGATTTGAGGCTATAGATACTTCTGGCAGTGTCATGGTGAGGGGAGGCTTTATCACTCCCTCTCTCACCTAATTCAGGTTTCTGCAAAAACGCCACTTTATCACAGGTCTTCCCTGAACACCCTTACAAAAGCAGCACTCTTGTTCTCTATCCCTATCCTATAGATAGGGTATATCTCTATCCCTATCCTATAAGGTAGGGTATATCTTATTTTTTTTTTTCCTAGCACCTTTTGTTTCTGAGACAAAGTTTCACTCTGTCCCCAGGCTGGAGTCCAGTGGCAAGATCTCAGCTCACTGAAGCCTCAGCCTCCCTTGCTCAAGCATAGCTGGGATGACAGATGTGCACCACCATGCTCAGCTAATTTTTTTTAACGTTTTGTAGAGACGAGGTCTGACTATATTACCCAGGCTGGTCTCAAACTCCTGGTCTCAAGCCATGCCCCTGCCTTGGCCTCCCAAAGTGCTGGGATTACAGGCATGAGCCACCATGCCCAGCTTTTATAACACTTTTTAAAATTTCTTAGCACTAATCATCACTACAAATATTTCATGTTGTCTGCATTCCTCTGTTTCACATAAACTCCATGAAGGATGATATATTCTTTTGTTCATTGATGTTTCCCCAGCAACCAGAGCAATGCCTAGCATATACTCCACGCTGAATATATACATGGTGAATGAATGCATGTATAAGTGAATGAAGGAATCTTCTCTCAGCCTCAGTTTTCTCTTTCATAAAATAAGGTTAATAATCTCTATCTCCATGAGATTTCCATAAGATTCCATTAGAAACTAAACAAAACAACATATGTAAAAAGCCCACTACTATATCAGGCACACAAAGACACCCCCCAAAGATAATGGTAGCATTAGTTATTATTTTATTTTTCTAAATACAATTAATTTACATCTACAAATACAAACACCATGGGGAAAACCTCAATGAAAGCATATCAATAAGACAAATAAGAATTGGTCCACAGTTCCCACAATAGACACCATTTTGGCTCACTAATTGTATTATCCATATAAGCCTCTTAACCTTTGGGTCAAATTAGTTAATACTAATAAATATTAAAGATACTTAAATACTTAACTGGATACTAGTTAATACTAGTTAACAGTTATATTGCTAGTTCATAGCAGGCTATTAGGTAACTAATGGTTGGATAACTAATTACTAGTTAATAGCCAGATAACTATGAAAAAGCTAGCTAATAGCTAGAAAACCAGTTAATATAGTTAGTATCTAGTTAATAGCTAGTTAGGTTAGAAGATAATTGCCAGTTAATAGCTAGATAATATACAGATAACAGATAATCACAAATAACTAATTAGCTAGCTAACTGCTAGATAACTGGTTACTAGTTAATTATTTTAGTTCAATTAAAAGCTAGCCAGCTAGTTAGTAACTAGTTAATAGCTAGGTAATATTGGTTAGTAGGTAATTGGTAGTTAATACACAGTTTAAAGATAGTTAATTGCAGGATAACTTCTTACTAGCTACTTAATTGCTAAATGGCTGGTTACTAGCCACATAATTTTTAGATAAAGTTAATAGCTAAAAAGCTAGTTAACAACTGGTTAATAACTAGTTATGTAGTTAATAGTGGATTAATACCTAGATAATTAGAGAAGGGCTATGTAATATTTAGATAACTGGATACTATTTAATACAAGTCAACAGCTAAATTGCTAGTTCATAGCAGGGTATCAGCTAGCTAATGGCTGCATAAATAAATAATTGCTAGTTAATAACCAAATAAGTATATAACAGCTAGTTAAGAGCTAGAAAACCAGTTATTGCATGGTTAGTAGCTAGTTACTTGTTAATTGCTAAGTGTCTAGTTACTTGCTAGAAAACTAGTTAAGGTCCAGTAAATAGCTAGACAGCTAGTTAATAACTAGTTAATAGCTAGTTATTAATAGATAATTGCTAGTTAATAGCCATCTAATAGTAGATAAATGCTAGTTAATATGACATAATTGCTAGTTAATGTATGGTTAACAGCTAGCTATTAGCTAGATAAGAAGTTACTAGCTAGTTTATTGCTAGATGACTGGTTACCACCTAGATAACTATTTTAGTTCGAGTTAATAGCTAGACAACTAGGTAATAGTGAATTAGCAAGATAATTCGTGGATAGTTAATATTTACTTAACTGAATACTAGATAATAAGTAGTTACTGGCTATATTGATAGTTCATAACAGGCTATTAGCTAGCTAATGCATGAATAACTAATTGCTAATTAATGGCCAGATAACTGTATAATAGCTTAATATCTGGAAAATCAGTTTACAGTAGCTAATACTAGATAATTGCTAGTTAATAGCTAGCTAATATATAGTTAATAGCTAGAAAAGTAGTTACCAGCTAGATAAGTAGTTAAGATCTAGTTAATAGCTGGAAAGCTAGTTAATAGCTAGTTAATGGCTAGATTATCAGTTAAGTTACAGATAATAGCTGTAAAGCTAGTTGCTAACCAGTTAATAGCCAGTTAACAGCTGGTTAATTGCCAGATTGTTAGTTAAAATCTAGTTAACAGCTGGATGACTAGTTAATAGCTAGTTAGTAGCTAGTTAATTGTGAGATCGCTATTTAAGATCTAGTCAATAGCTGAATAGCTAGTTAATAGCTAATTAATAGTAGAAAATGGCTAGTTTATAGCCTGTTAATAGTTGGTAATTACTAGTTAATAGCTAGTTAATACATAGGTAACAAGTATTTAATTGCTAGATAACTAGATACTTGCTAGTTAATTGCTAGATGACTTGTAACTAGCTAACCACTCAAGTTCTACTTAACAGCTGGACATCTAGTTAAGTAGTTAATGGTTAATTATCTGATTTCTAGATGACTAGTTAAAATCTAGATAACAGCTAGTTACACAGTTAACAGCTAATACACAGTTAACAGCTAATACATAGTTAACAGCTACTTAATTGCCAGATAACTAGGTACTGGCTACCTAATTGCTAGATGAGTGGTTTCTAGCTAGAAAACTAGTTAATATCTAGTTAATAGCTGGACAGCTAGTTTAATAGCGAGTTAATATTTGGTTAGTAGATAAGTTCTAGTTAATAGTTAACAGCTAGTTAATATATAGTTAATAGCTATTAAATATACAGTTCATATGATGTTACCTAGTTAATGCCTGGATAATTGCTAGGTAACGGCCATATAGCCAGTTAATCTAGCTAGGTAATTGCTAGATAATCACTAGATGTTAGCTAGTTAATGTCCAGATGATTTGTTAAGATCTAGTTAATAGCTGGACAGCTAGTTAAAAACTAATTACTAGCTAGTTAACTTTTAGATGACCAGTTAAAATGCAATAAATAGTTGGACAGCTAGTTAATAACTAGTTAATAGCTAGTTATAATAGATACTTGATACTTAATAGTAGATATTTGCCAGTTGATAGTTAATAGCAGATAATTGCTAGTTAATAGCTACTTAATAGTAGATAATTGCTAGTTAATAGCTAGTTAATATATAGTTAACAGCTAGTTAATTGCTAGATGGCTGGTTACTAGCTAGATAACTATTTTAGTTCGAGTTAATAGCTAGATAGCTACTTAACAGTGGAATAATAACTGGATTAGTGAATAGCTAGTAATGTATATCAGCCAATTAATACCTAAATTACCAGCTAGTTAATTGCTAGATGGCTGTTTACAAGCTAGATAACTATTTTAGTTCAAGTTAATAGCTAGACAGCTGCTTAATAGTGGAATAATAACTGGATTAGTGAATAGCTAGTTAATAGTTAACCAGATAGTAGTTAATAACTGCTTATCAGCTATATTGCTAGTTCACAGCAGGCTATTAGCTAGCTAATGCCTGGATAAATAATTTCTAGGTAACAGCCAGATAACTGTATAATAGCTAATTAATAGCTATAAAAACAAGTTCATAATTAGTAGCTAGTTAATAGCTAATAGTAGATAATTGCTAGTAAATAGCTTAATTTATGATTAATATCCACTTGACAGGTTACTAGCTAGATAAGGAGTTAAGATCTAGTTAGTAGCTGGAGAGCTGGTTAATAACTTATTAATAGCTAGTAATTTGCTAGTTTACATTTAGTAGCTGGACAGCTATTTAATACATAGTTAACAACTACTTAATTGCTAGATAACTAGGTACTGGGTACCTAATTGCTAGATGAGTGGTTTCTATCTAGATAACTAGTTAAGATCTAGTTAATAGCTGTACACCTATTTTAACAGTTCAATAGCTTAATAGTTTAATAGCTAGTTAATATTTGGTTAGTAAATAAGTTGTATTTAATATATAGTTAATAAATTATACAAGTAGTTAACAGCAAGTTAATATATTAATAGCTATTTAATAAATTAGTAATTTGCTAGTTAACTGCAAAGATTGTTACTAGCTAATTAGTTAAGATTAAGAGCTGGACGGCTAATACCTACTTAGTAGCTAATTGCCACATGACTAGTTAAGGTCCAGTTAATAGCTGGAGAGCTAGTTAATAACAAGTTAATAGCCAGATAGTAGCTAATTACTAGAATGTTACTTAAGATCTAGTTAATAGCTGGACGGCTAGTTGATAACCAGTTAATAGCTAGCAAGTGGCTAGTTAATTGCTAGATTGTTAGTTAAGATATACTTAATAGACAGAGGGCTAGTTAATAAGTAGTTAATAGCTAGTAAATAATCACTAGTTTATAGCCAGTTAACTAGTTAATACCAAGATAGTAGCTAAATAATTGCTAGATTGTTAGTTAAGATCTAAATAGCTCGATGGCTAGTTTATAACTAGTTAATATCTAGTTAGTGGATAGTTAATTGCTATATTGTTAGTTAAAATCTAGTTAATAGCCAGATGGCTAGTTAATATGTAGTTAATAGCCAGTTAGTAGTAGATAATTGCTAGTTTATAGCCAGTTAATTGTTGATAATTCCTAGTTAATAGATCATACATAGTTAACAGCTATTTAATTGCTAGATAACTAGTTACTTGCTAGTTAATTGCGATAGCCAATGGTTGATAATTACTAGTTAATAGCTAGAACATAGATTTAACAGCATTTAGTTGCTAGATAACTAGTTACTCGCTACTTAATTGTGAGATGACTAGATGACTGGTCAAGTTACATTTAATAGCTGGACACCTAGTTAATAACAAGTTAATGTTAGTTATTAGCTAATTTCCAGATGACTTAAGATCTAGATAATAGCTGGACAGCTAGATAACGAGTTAATAGCTAGTTAATAGCAGATAATTGCTAGTTAACAGCTAGTTAATATATAGTTAACAGCCAGTTAATAGGTAGTTAATAGCATATAATTGCCATTTAATAGCTAAATTATGGTTAATAGCTAGATGACCAGTTACTAGCTAAATAAGTATTTAAGGTCTAGTTACTATCTGGACAGCTAATTAGTTAAAAGCTAGTTAATTGCTAGATTACTAGTTAAGTTCTAGTTAATAGCTGGACATCTAGTTAATGACTAGTTAACAGCTAGTTATTTGCTAAATTGTTAGTTAAATCCAGTTAATACCTGGACAGCTATTTGATAACTAGTTAATAGCTAGTTAATAGCAGATAATTGCTAGTTAATAGATTTTTGCTAGCTTATATTGCTAGTTTATAGCTCAGATAATTGCTAGTTAATAGATTTTTGCTAGCTTATATTAGATAATTGCTAGTTTATAGCTAGTTAATAGTAGATAATTGCTAGTTAATAGCTAGTTAATAGTAGATAATTGCTTGTTAATAGCTAGTTAATACCTAGTTTACAGCTACTTAATTGCTAGATGACTACTGGCTAATTGCTAGGTGACTGGTTACTAACTAGTTAAGATCTAGTTAATAGCTGGAGAGCTAGTTAATAGCTAGTTCATATTTGGTTAGTAGGCAATTACCATTTAATAGGTAGTTAATAGGTAGCTAGTTACCTAGCTAATATCTAGTCATCTCTTCCTGCTGCAAGAGTCTGATGTCTTACCACATTTAGAAAAGTATCTACAATAAGAACACATGGACACAAAGAGGGGAAAATGTACACTGGGTGTTATCACATGGTGGAGAGTGGTAGGAGGGTGGGGATTAGGAAAAATAACTGATCAGTACTAGGCTTAATACTTGGGTGATTAAATAATCTGTAAAACAAATCTTCATGACACACATTTACCTATGTAACAAACCTGCACATGTAACCATGAACTTAAAAGTTATTAAAAGAAAAAGATCCATCTCCTGGCTCCCTGGACATGTTTGAGAGCCTTTTTGTTTGATAATGCATCTCCAAGTGGGGATTTAGCATGCAGGACTCAATGTACAAGTGTTCATCTATACTTGTCATTTTGTCAATATCACTTGTGGCGTTAGGTAAGAAACAACTCTGCATATCACCAATCGTATTGGGTCTATAATATGGAAAGGCACATTGGGTCATTGAGACCTCAGGGTATATGTGGCCTGAGAGATAACTAAATAGGGGCTTTTTATCTCCTCCTTTTTTTAGCTTCCACTTTTGCAGTCCCAATTTCTTTAAAACATGTGTCTTGAGCTAAATCAATAGATTGTACATTTCTCCATTCACTCTGTTCCAAAACAAGTTTTAACCTAATCCTCCTATTATCATCTGGGCATAAAAAATTATTTATTTGCCCACATCCTAGTGGGAAGCTAAATCAATAAGGAAAGAAGGATTTCACTTAGCCAGCATTAATTTTTACACCAGCTCTCCAGAGAAGGATACTAGTTTTATCATCCTTGGTCCCAAAATTGTTTGCATTTTCTTCACTAAAAACCATTTCATTATTTAATAAACCACATGATTTTCAATTCTAGTCTGTGCTAATTGATTTTTTCCTATGTATATCTTCAGTAGCTGGGAGAGCTTTCTCTAGATAGGGTAGCTTTCATTTTCATGTCTTCCTTATACACAGAACTCCATTCTGTTAGCAAGTTCCTCCATTATAGCTGAAGATCACTGTTCTCGAACTCCTTCCTATTAATTAATCACTATCTTTATACATATAATAGTAGTATAACTGCCAGCAAAAAATAAAATAAGTTTAGTCTTAAAACAGGTTTTCCTTCACTGAAAACTACTCTAGACAGCATAAACATTGGCTTCAGTATGATATTTTGCCATATAAATAACATAAATTGTCTTGTTATTTTTCAAGCACTGGTTGCAAAACGACAAGCGTACAATTGCAAACTGAAATCTGTCAACAGGAAGCTAAGGCTGAATTCTGCTCAAAATGGCAGTTGTGAACACCTTTGTTAATTAGCATCCTATCTACATTTATCATGAATTTTAATCTTTTGTTTAAATGGGAGTGACTTTTATATCTGAGAGAGGGGTAATGTTTAGTAATAAGCTTAAAGCTGACAAGATGTGAATTGCAGATCTTGCATTTTCTAAACAGAATCCACTGTGCTTCATTCACGTGCATTGCTATGTCACAGACTTTAGTTCTCACAAAGGCCCAAGTCTCAAGTCAATAAATAATCATGAGCCACAACACAGCATAATCCTTATTCACACGTTTTTCTATTAGCTATTCTTTATAACATAAAAGATGATCTTTAATATTGACCTCAAGTGGAAAAAATTATAATACTAATAGAAAAGGCTTGTATGTAATGTGTGGATTTATAATATTTCATCATCCTCAAATTGACTTGGCCTACAAAAGGTACTCTACTGGAGGGGTGTAGTGTGAGGAGGGAGACATATACAAGTCAAAATCTTATGTTTTATCCCTTAAACAAGAGCTTCAAAATTGTATTTATTGAATAATTGTATTTCTTGAAAATAAGCTTTGGTGTTAGATAAGAATTTGAGTACTGTCTGTATTACTTATAAATTACAATAATTCACTTACTATATCTCAGTCTCGGTTTCTACAACTAGAAATAGAGCTAATAATATAATATTGGAAATAACTGTTGGGATTATTGTAAGGATGAAGTGAGGAATTACATGTATACCTTTTATTATAGTTATTGAGGCACACCTTCAAGAATACTTCTATCTCTTTACAAAGGGGTTAAGAGATAACATACAGCCCATTTACTTTCACCTCCAAAGAAATGAGGAGAATGCCAGTTCTCTGTAATAAATCAGTGGAGAAGGAATTAGGCTGGTCCTGGGGTTGCTTCAGTGTCTGCCTTTGGGGAGATAGGTGCTTGGAGTAGACTTATTCTTTCAATGGCTTCTTATTAGAGAGTTGGGAAGAGATCCACATATTTTAGCCCTGAACGTTGCCCAGGAGTCAGAGGAGGAGTAGAGAATTAGATACAGTGAAAACATAAAAACTCACCAACATGACATGACTGAAGAGAACACAGATATATTTCTGTAAAATGAAAGGCTAGCATCTGAGATGAAAATCTAGAAGAAAGAGAGTAAACCAGCCTCAAATTCTGGATTAAAAAGATCTGCATAATTTGAAAAATCAAAATTATTTTTTCAATAGCATTGTAATTGAGTACAGGTGTAACCTATCATGGTAGTTTTATTACCAGTTATGTGGTAGGGATATTTTAGCATGATCCATTTTCATAGAAGCCATTTTTTGCCTATTCTAAATTATAAGTATTAAAAGGATGCATGAATTCATTAAATTATTTTTAACTCAGCTCATTATTATATTCAGCTTGACATCTCAGGCAGTTGCAAATTTTTAACTAACTTACCAAAACGTCCTTTGTTAAGAATTAAGTTGCAATCCTTCCAACTTCTTATAGTTGAAGTAAAAACCTTTCAAAAACAAAAAGATATCTATTTTGAAGGTATATTACATATAGAACTATAGACAATCAGAGCCAGAAAGACAGTAGAAATGGTTTAGTTCAACCCTCATTGCACATATGAGGAAACAGAATCATTCCCTGATACCCATACTAGGTTGAGAAACGTAGTGAATAAGAAATGAACCTGTGACATATTTAGAGAACACATAATATATTTAAGGCATTATACTACAGAGTGTAATAAAAGGAACTGATTAAGACATTCTTTCTGTACTGCAAAGGCTAATGATTTAGCCCAAGGATTAGACGTGTGTTTGTGGAGCAATGGTATGAGGTAGTTCATTATAATTAGTAGGCCAAGTGCGGTGGCTCATGCCTGTAATCCCAGCACTTTGTGAGGCTGAGGTGGGAGGATCACTTGAGGTCAGGAGTTCAAGACCAGCCTAGCCAATATGGCGAAACACTGTCTCTACTAAAAAATACAAAAATAAGCTAGGTTTAGTGTCACACACCTGTAATCACAGCTACTCAGGAGGCTGAGGCACGAGAAACTCTTGAGCCTGGGAGGCAGAAGTTGCAGTAAGCCCAGTAAGCCAAGATTGTGCCACTGCACTCCAGCTTGGGTGACACAGACTGTGTCTCAAAAATAATTAATTAATTAACTAAAAATAAGTAGTACAAAATGCTGAATAAATTAAGTTGGAAAGATGTTCCTGGAGAGTCTTATATTGAAAGAAGCTTCTTGTGCAGGGTAGCATTTTAATTCAGTCTCTAATTTTTGCCCCTTCTGTTATTGTATATCAGTTCACTTATTAATAAATGAACCAGGCCTACCCAGTGCTAAAACAGCCCCTGCTGCCTTAAGCTTCAAGTATACTCAGTGTCAGGTTGATGCCCATGGCCTTAAATACCAGGCGGATACCAACAGATACAAGTTCCAGGCCTGGCCAATGTCAGGCCAGTCCCCAAGGCCCCAGCTTCCAGACTGGCCCTTGTAGTTCCATGTTTCAAAAGACCTAGGTTCCAGGCCTGCTCCAGCAGACCCAGGGTCCAGACCTGTCCCAGTAGACTCCAGAGGTGGACCAGCCCCCATGAATGAAAGCTCTCTAGGGCTGCCCCTTTGTACCCAGATCCCAGAATAGTTTCCAAGGCCCCAAGCCCCAGGACATCCCTCATAGACCTAGCCTTTAGGCCAGCACCTGAATATTATTATCCACACCAACACCAGCAGATACAGGCTCAAAGCTAGTCATCATGACTTCAGGCCCCAGGCCAGTCCCAGTGGCTCCAGGTACAAAGCTAGTTCCTATGATCCTAGGATCCAGACCAGTCAATCACAGACCCTGGTTCTATGCTGGCCCCAGCATAAGGTTGCTCCCAGCTTCAAGGACTGTCCCTGGGGAACCATGTTCCAAAAAATACAGGAACTAGTCCCACTCCTAAATCCAGGGACAATGTATGGAGTAAAAGTATAAAGTTATGTATGTGATCAATGCTATCAGCTTAAAATAGCCTGTTATGACTCTATGATTTTGTAAACTGTATGTTAATCACAAAGCAAAAAAAATTAGTAGATACGCAAAGGTGAAAAAGAAAGGAGTCAAAGCATTTTACTAGAAAAGAATAACCTCATCACAGAGGAAGGCAGCAAAAGAGGAGGAAAGTAACAAGGGTTCTACAACCAGAAACCAATGAACAAAATGTCAGTAAATTCTTACTTCAAAATAATTACCTTGAGCTGGATGCAGTGGTTCATGCTTGTAATCTTAGCACTTTGGGAGGCTGAGGTGGGCAGATCACTTGAGGCCAGAGGTTTGAGACTAGCCTGGCCAACATGGCAAAAACGTATCTCTACTAAAAATACAAAAATTAGCCGGGCATGGTGGCGCACACCTATAATCCCAGCTACTCAGATGGCTAAGGCATGGGAATCACTTGAACCTGGGAGGCAGAAGTTGCAGTGAGCCAAGATTGAGCCACTGGACTCCAGCCTGGGCAATAGAGTGAGACTCTGTCTATTAATAGAAATTAATAATAATAATACCTTGAATATAAATAGATTACATTATACATTAAAAACACAGAATGATGTTGAGCATGTTTTCATATACTATTGGCCATTTTCATGTTTTTATTTAAGAAATATCTATTCAAATTATTGGCCCACTTTTTAATCAGACTATTTGGTTTCTTTTCTGCTGAGTCGATTGAGCTTATTATGTAATTTGGATATCAACACCTTGCCAGATGTAGATTGAAAATATTTTTTCCCATTCTTCAGATTATTTCTTCACTCTGATGATTGTTTCCTGTGCCACACAGAAGCTTTTTAGCTTGGTGTAATCCAATTTGTCTATCTTTGCATTTGTTTCCTGTGCTTTGGAGATCTCTTCCCAAAAATATGTGCCCACACCAATGTCCTGAAGAGTTTGCCCAATGTTTTCTTCTAGTAGTTTAATAGTTTTGGGTCTTACATTTAAGTCTTTCATTCACTTTGATTTGATTTTTGTATATGGTGAAAGATGAGGGTTTCTAGTTTTATTCTTCTGCATATGGATATCCACTTTTCTCTGCATCATTTATTGAAGATAAAAAAAAGCCCAAAGTTAGAAGGAAGAAAATATTAGAGATCAGAGCATAAACAAATGAAATAAGATTTAGAAAAACATTAGAGAAAGTTAATTGAATGGCTGCTTCTTTGAAAAGCTAAAGTCTACAAACATTTAGCTACACTAAAATAAGAGATACAATTCAGATACATAAAATCAGAAATGAAAAAGAGGTCATTAACATGGTACCACAGATACAAAATGGTCATAAGAGACTACTATAAGCAATTGTATGTCAAAAAATCAAATAAACTAGAAGAAATAAATTCCTAGACACATACAACCTACCAAGACTAAATCACAAAAATAGAACATTTCAATAGACCAATGAGAAAGGAAATTGAATCAGTAATTTAAAATGTTCCATCAAAGAAAACCACAGGATCTGATGCTCTCACTGGTGAAATATACCAAACATTTAAAGAACTAATACTAGTCCTTCTGAAATTCTTCCAAAAAAAATAAGAGTACATGCTTTCCTTATATTATGAGGCCAGCATTAGCCTGATACCAAAACCAGACAAAGACACAACAACAACAACAAAAACTATAGACCAGTGTCCCTGATGAACACACATGCAAAAATTTTCAAAAAATTCTAGAAAACAGAATTCAATTGCATATTGAAAAGATCATTCACCATGATCAAGTGGAATATCACAGAGAGGCATGAATATAACCAAATCTATAAATTTGATACACCACATTGACTAAACAAAGGACAAAATCCATACGATAATCTCAATAGATGCAGAAAATGCATTTGACAAAAGTCAACATCACTTTATGATAGAAATTTTCAACAAATTAGCTATAGTAGGAACACACATCAAGACACTAATGGCCATATATGACAAACCTACAACTAACACCATACTCAACAGTGAAACATTGAAATATTTTTCTCTAAGATCAGGAACAAGAAAAGAATGTCCACTCTCACCATTTTTATTCAACACGGTACAGGAAGTCTTAAGAGTAATTAGGCAAGAGAAAAAATAAAACACAACCAAATAGAAAAGAAAGATTTTTAAATTGTCATTGTCTGCAGATGACATGATCTTATATAGAGAAAAGTCTAAAGACTCCACCAAAAATTGTTAGAAATAACAAAAAAAGTCAGTAAAGTATACAGAACCAAGATACAAGAATCAGTAGTATACCTATAGACAACAAAATTTCTCAAAAATTAATTAAGAAAATCTGATTTATAATAGCTGCAAAAATAGAAATACTTAGGAATAAATTTAACCAAAGAAGTAAAACATCTACACAACAAAAACTATAAAACATACTGAGAGAAATTTTAAAATATATAAATAAATATAAAAATATCTGGTGTTCATGGATTGGAGGAAATAGTGTTAAAGTATCTATACTACTCAAAGTAATATACACATTCAATGCAATAACTGTCAAAATTCCAAAGAGATTTTCCATAGAAATAGAAAAGGCAATTTTAAAATTCATGTGAACCATAAAAGACCCCAAATAGCCAAAGCAATCTTGAGCATAAAAATAAAACTATGCAGAAGGCATCACACTACCTGATTTCAAAATATAATACAAAGCTATAGTAATTATAACAGCACAAAGAGACAACCTACAGAATGGAAGAAAATATTTGCAAACCAAACATCTGATGAGGGGTTAATATCCAAAATGTATAAGGAAACCAAACAACTCAATAGCAAGAAAACAAATGACCTGATCAAAAAATGGTTAAAAGGAGCTGGCCATGGTGGTACATGGCTGTAGTCAGTCCCAGCTCCTCAGGAGGGTGAGGCAGGAGGATCTCTTGAGCCCACAAGTTCGAGTCAAGCTTAGGCAACATGGAGAGATCTTATCTTTAAAAAAAAAAAATGGTCAAGTGATCTGAATAGACATTTCTCAAAAGAAGACATACAAATGGCCAACAGATACATGAAAAAAATGTTCAAAATAACTAATCTCCAGGAAATTGCAAATAAAATTTACGATGACCTATCACCTCACACTTGTTAGAATGGCTCAAAAAATAAGAGATAAGTGTTGGTGAGGATGTGCAGAAGGGGAACCCTTGCACACTGTTGGTGGGAATGTGAATTTGTACAGCTATTATGGAAAACAGTATGGAGGATCCTCAAAAAAAATAAATATAGACTACAATATGATCCAGCAATTCCACCACTGGGTATACACAGAAATGAAATACAGTCATTATTTTGAAGAGATGTCTGCACTCCCTTCTTGTTCATAGCAGTATTGTTCAAAAGAGCCAAGGTATAGAATCAACCTAAGTGTCCATCAACAGATGAATAAATAAAGAAAATGTGGTATAAATACACAATGGAATACTATTCAGTTTTTATAAAGGATCCCTGTCATTTGTGATGACATGGATGAACCTAGAGGACATTATGTTAAGTGAAATAAGCCAAGCAAGGAGAGACAAATACAGCATGGTCTCACTCATATGTGGAATCTAATAACATTGAACTCACAGAAGCAGAGAGTATAATAATAGCTACCAGAACCTAAGGCAAGGTTGGTCAAAGGATCAAAAATTTCAGTTATATAAGAGAAGCACATTCAAAAGATCTATTGCACAATGTGGTTACTACAGTTAGTAACAATGTATTATGTTATTTAAAACTGCTTAAAGAATAGATTTTAATGGTCTGGTCACAAAAATAAGTATGTGAGATAATGCACATGTTAATTATTTTGATTCAGCCATTTCCACAATGTATACATATTTGTAAACATCATCTGTACAGAATAAATACAATTTTTATTTGTCAATTATAGATAAATTAATTACAATATATTACAAATATACTAAAGAAGATTATAATTTTTTTCCAAAATTCACATTTTCAATGAAATTTGGCTTAGGAAATACATCAAAGAAAATTGGATTCCTAAAGTTTGTAGACACAGATATTACACCTTGATTCTCTTTCTTTGTGGTTCTCAAACTTGAGCATCCATCAGAATCACCAGGGCTTGATAAAACACAGATTTCTGGAACTCACTCCAAAGTTTCTGATTCTATAGGTCTTGGAGAGTGGAGCTCCAAAATGTACATTTCTAATTAATTTCCAGGTGATGTCGATGCTGCTGGCCCCAAGACCACACCAACCATATGTTATTTTAATATGCCATACTAACTAGTCACATTCATTATATGTAGAATGTATAATTTATATTAAGTGATTTAGATGTCTATTAATCATTAGCACAGAAAAAGGAATACCATATTTTGACCAAGGTAATAATATTCTAATTTTGAAAATCACTTTTTTTTGGTTCCATATACTTAATTCTGTGGCACTAGTATATTTTATGTTTTCCTATTAACCTATCTAACTGATTCCTTTCATTATCATCAAGAATAATTGGCCACTTATTATGTCCTCAATAAATTGAGATAAAGTTGTGTATTACCTGATCTTTGCCTCGTGGTATCCATCTAGACTCCTAAAGTCTCTGAGAAATTACTCTTTTATATTTTGAAAATTTGTACATCACAGTATTGCAGTTATGTAACAAGCATAAGTGGGTAAAGTGGTTGGTGTTTTAGTAAAATGGGATAAATACAAAAGAATTGCCTGGCTTTAACAATTCTCTTTCTTAGAAAATAAAACTCTACTACTTACTTGTTTGTAAAATACCATTCCTTGTCACTACTCTCACTACTTGTGACATACCATAAGGTAATTTTGAGACTTCAGTGAGAATGCAGGGGAAGAGGCCGCATGCTTGCCACATGCAACATACAGGATTATTAAAATGAAGGTGACAATCTGGTTGCATGAGAACATCATCATGTTGTTTCCAGTGAATGCACAGCTTTTTATTGCATAATTACATGAATATATTCATTTGTGGAAAATTATTTTTTCTCACCAATGTCATCTATAAAATAATAAAAAACAGATTTGTTTCATTTGCCCCAGCTGCACATGCTATCTTAGCAATCCTTTGAAGACTTCTATGTACTATGGCTCCAGTGAGAAATTTCTGAGTGAAGACAAGATAGCTTGATGGATGCTTCCCTACAATGCCCTCACAAAGGCATCAGGGTCACTTGATCAACGAAGGCACTATTCATCCCTGCCTCAAAATCATCAAAATAGTCAAAAGCTCAGTTTTAAAGCAGTTTCTGCATTTTGTAAACCAAAAAAGCCACATGAGTGCCTGACTTTTCCCCTTCCCTGATAGCACATAGGGCTATCCTTCAGCATACATATCAGAACCAAATATGTATAATAAATAAGCACATTAGAAAAAAAAGAGTGCTCTATATATTAGAATTGTTTGGGCCTAGTTTTACCTTAGAGCTGTTCCAAAATTAGTTGGCATTCCACTTATACAGTTCAAGCTCCTAAAATACAAAGACTCAGTTATCCATTCTAGACATATGCTAATCATCTTGGAACTACGCTCAGTGAGAGAGCATGCCAAGCAAGTCTGGAAACAATCACAGTCTGCCGTACATCAGAGAACTCCCAGATGTTTGCCTGATGCAGGCTTCCCTGGCAGGTGTCACCATAAGGAGATCCCAACCAGTGTTCTGTCAGCACAGAAAAGGCATGTGATACACCTTTTCACTGGTGGATACATCAGCCATCTTCTCCAGATTGGAAACAAGGACCATATGGCATTTATTTTAAAGGATGTCACTAAGGTATCTTTCAAGGTTACTAAATGAGTCCTTCACCTACCTTTTTAAAATAGACAGTTGCTCATTTTACCATCCAGGAAGTTTGAAGGTTCATATTTATTGAATCCCATTGTATATATCATAGCTCAATGCTTGCGGATCTTACACATAGAATTGTTTGAGACTGTGGTCAAAATATAGGGGAGGAAAGTGATTATTAAGGCAAAAACAAAATCACTGGTGGAAAGCAAAAGAAAATTTATTCTCTAACATCAGGCTTTTCATTTTGTTTTCAAATCCCTATTTTAATTTCAAGTCTCCTGCCCAGTAGTAAAATCTCAATGATTCTGAGAGCAAGCTGGAACAGGAGTACATCTCAGAGGGATATCAGGTCTCCCAGTGTTTGCTTACTACACACACATGCACGCGCGCGCGCACACACACACACACACACACACACACACACACACACACCAATGGGCTACAAACTCATACCTATGCCCTGCAAAAAATTCAAAATATCCAACCCTAATGACAATATTAAGCTGAGGAATATGCAGTATGTCAAAGGCAGTGTTTCTCAGTGAAGTCCTTGGACTCCTTGCATTAGAATATACTGGAGTGCTTGTGAAAAATATAGATATTCAAGCCTAGATATCTACATACTGATAGCTACGTTACTGGTATGCTGGATCAGTAAGTCTAAGTCTTAGGTTAACCTAAATGATACTTTGCTCAAGTGAAGTCGGGAACACAGTGTGTAGCCTTGAAATTCACCTCTTAATCTCCTTTATCTTGCCAAAATAATCTAAGATGTTTTATATAAATTTCCTCAGGGTGTCCCAAGGTCCCAAAACCAGCTATACTTGAGTAACAAGATTTTTAGGACAGCTTCACTGTGGAATTGTACTCAAAACTACTTTGAGGAAATTTGAAAGCAACCCTAGAGGCTGCCGGGTCTAAAAGAGGTCTGCATTTTAATTATTTGGCCTCTAAAGCATGAAGTCTTAGAGCTTTTAAATGGGCTTACTGATTTTCAGCTGGTGGAAAAAATTCTTCTCCCAGTCAAGCTGAAAATCTCAAGGATATTTATTATTCTTCTTAAGCCATTAGGTCTCATATTTCAAGGGAAAAAAAACCATAAAACCTTGCTTATTCTATTTTTTAAAAATATTTCTTTTACAAATCTTTCTCTTCAGCTTCACTTCTAAATACAATAGTTTTGATGTCAATGATTGTATGGCTGAATTAATGTAATAAACTCGTAGCTGACTCCCTTATTCTTATCTCTCTCCTTTTCAATCATTCTTATGCACTTGTTCAAACTCAAACCTGCTCAAAGACTTATGATTCCTTATCTCCTAAAACAGCAGTCTAGACATGCCTGTATTTCAGTCATGAGATATGTCACAAGTTCCCCCTTTTCCTTCTGCTAGTATAAATCCTCTCTATTTTTTTTTAAATTTTGCTTCTAGTCCATCTATGTGAAAAGGCAAATAATAATACCCAGAAATATGTATCTTTTCTTCTTAATTAGATTCTAAACTCCTTTAGGGCTGGGAGAAAATCTTTGTAATCCTCTCCAAAACCAAGCATATTGCTTAAGTATTTGTTAAATAAATAAAATATTGAATGATCCTGGATTAAGCCACGAACATCCATTCTTAGCTGCTGACCTGAGATGCCTCAGAGCAGTTTGTGGATTTTCTATGGGCTAAGTATAGGAGTTTGATCCTATTAATCACCTCCCAACTTACTCTTCAACGAGAAGCAATTGGTCCCAGAAGTTTGAAGCTTTTTCCTCACACGTGCAAAAACCAAGCAATTCTTCAAGAAGGATTTATCTTGGGAAAATGATACAAATTCTATGTCTAGCTGGATCCTGTTAATAGTTCCAAATTTCAATGTGTGAAAAAGATTCCAATCTTTACCACAGTGAAAAGTCTGTGATGTGAGAACCACTTGAAGAAATTTTCCTTCTCTGATGAATGGCAGTAGACCATACAAAGATTTTAGTGGCTACAGATGCTACTGATTTAAGACATTGTAATAATTCCTTCAAAGGCAGTAAAACCAATCACGTCAAGCAATGTTTTAGTGCTTGCATGACTGAAATCAATTCAAATGCCAAGTTTGAGTAGCAGAATTGCATGTGTTGCTTAAAGATAATGCTGTGTTTCTTAGGGAAAAATGTATTAAATCAAAGGTATTTTTATGGCCAAGCATGTTATTGTACCATTATCATTATTATTATTATAAATTGCAATCAAGAGACCTGAAAAAAAGAGGGATGCATAATATTTTGCCTGAATATACATCACTAAAAATCAAAATTTTCTCCCTATTTATACCTATTAGACTATCTCCAGCACACACATACACATTCAGAGAGAGAAGGTGCTTGCACTTAATATTTTTTAAATTTTTAATTAAAATTAAAACCAAATGGAAATTACATTTTTTAAAGTTAAAAATTGCAAATGAAGTATAAATTAGGATACCTCTGCTACAAGTCATGTATTACAAATTCAGTGAACAGATTGGGTTTTAAAATGTGATATCTAGAGTGCTAAACTTTAAATAACATTATATATATTCTGATTTGACTGCCATACTTCTAAATTTATCTTTTGAGTATTTTTACCAAAGAAAATGATTTTTCCCATGAAGTTGTAAGCAGCTTAAAATAGTATTCAAGACAAATAGTTATGTTGAAAATGTTTTATAACAAAATCTAATGTTTGAAATTCACAAATTATCCAGGAAGAATCAGAAAAAAATAAGTTTTTATATCATCTAAAAATAATCAATTATTCAATGAAGTCATAATTATTTGAAGTCAATCAAATAATAGTGGTTGGACTTGGCAGCTAAACCAGTGAGCATCCAGATGCTTCCATTTCCTGGATTTAATTTTACATGACTGACAGTTCTATCACTCATCACATATTTAGTGTCTTGTTACTTTAATTAGGATAAACTTAAGGGGGAAAAAGTGTTTTGGTACAGGGATTGTTTCCATTGGATACTTCAGAAGCATGAAGAAGATAGTTGCAATTAGGAAAACAGTATCATTCAAAATATTAAAGGATTAAATAAAATATAATAAAAGATCTTAAAGTGTCCTTGGGGATCACTGGTTCAACCGCTTCATCTACACATAGGAAAACCAAGTCCAAAAAAAGTAAAATCAGTCATCTCTGCTCAACCTCCAAGGCAGGGTTAATTGTCCTTCCCATTATCTTGTGCTTTCTCTTGAGGGTAAAATACAAGTTTTCTATAAAATACAACTTATAAACAACTAAGAGTGTAGGTTTTGTTTTACCAGAGAGGTTCAGAAAAGGAGTCTTTATAGATTGCAATGGGTTTAACTTACAATGATGTAATTAATTAAATGTACACACAAAATGATAAACATTTATAAAGGAAGTGCCTGTCACAACCTTGGTCCCTCTGAATTCAAACGTTATCTCCTCGTTCTTCTGCTCTGACTTTCCTGACTCCTTTACCAACTAAGATGCCCTAAGCAAACTGCCGAAGAGTGAGAAGACGTCACTGCTTGCACTACCAGGTCTGGATAGTTTCAAATCCTATACACCTATGTCCCTCGTAAACCCTGAAAGGATGCATTGCTAAGAGTAATTAGAAGAAAACACAAAAAGAAAATGGCAACCACCTGAGAGATGACCAGGCTAGCAAGCCTAAGCCAAATACTGAGTAGAAAGCAGAATGAGTTTGCCTTTCACCTGTGGTGCATACCACAAGGATGGTTGCTGTTTCCCTAAAGGATTATTATTTTACATGACATAAAAATAATCATTCTAAAGTATGTAATTCAGTAACACTTAGTACATTCAAAATGTTGTACAATCTTAACCTCCTAATAACCTCCAATCCACTTTCTATCTCTGTGAATCTACATATCCTGGACATTTTACATAAATGAAATAATACAACATGTGGTCATTTGTATCTGGCTCCTTTGACTTAGCATATTGTTTTTTAGGTTCATCCATATTTTAGCAGCTATCAGTGCTTTATTTCTTGTTATGGCTGAATAATATTCCATTGTATGGCTATACCACATTGCTACATTTTGTTTATTAAATCAGTTGATAGAAATTTTGGTTATTCCCAACTTTTGGCTATTTTGACTAGTGCCACTAAGAACATTCATGTACAAATTTTCATTTGATTACCTGTTTTATATTCGTTGTTCGTATTTACATAGGAGGAGAGTTGCTGAGTCATAAGGTAATTCTATGTTTACCTTTTTAAGGAATCACCAATCTGTTTTACAAAGTAGCTATACCTATTTTCATCCCATAAGCAGTGTACAAATGCTCTAATTTAAAAGAAAAGCCCAGGCTCTGATGGCTTCACTGCTGATTCTACCAAACATTTAAAGAAGCACTAATATCAATCATTCTCAAATGCTTCCAAAAATTTGAAGAGGAAATACTGCCGAACCTATTTTATGAGACCTACATTACCCTGATAGAAAAGCCAAACAAATACACAAATAAAATTGCAGGACAATATCCTTGAAGAACACAGGTGCAAAAAACCTCAACAAAATACTAGCAAATGAAATTCAACAGCACATTAAAACAATCATTCAACATGATCAAGTGCAATTTACCCCAGGGATGCATGGATGGTTCAACATACGCAAATTTATAAATGTGATACACTACATTAACAGAATAAAAGACAAAAATCATATGATCTCAATAGGTGCAGAAATAACACTTGTCAACATTCACCATCCTTTTATGATGAAAACTCAACAAATTAGTTATAGAGGTAATGTATCTCAATGCAATAAAGCCCATATATAACAAATGCACAGGTAACATTATACTCAATGGTGAAAAGTTGAAAGTTTTTCCTCTAAGATTGAGAAAAAGACAACAAGGCCCACTCTCACCACTTCTATTAAACAGTACTGGAAGTCCAAGCCAGAGCAATGAGGCAAGAGAAAGGAATAAGAAGCATTAAAACAAACGAAAAAAGTTACAGCATGATATTATAATATACATAATCCTAAAGACTCCACCAATAATATGTTAGAACTAATTTAAAAATTTAGTACATTTGCAGAATACAAAATCAACATAAAAATCAGTAGCATTCCTGTCTACTAATAACAAAGTATCTGAAAAAGAAATAAAGAAATCAATCTAATTTAAAATAGACACAAAAGGCAAAACACAGTGGCTCGTGCTTGTAATCCCAGCAGTTTGGGAGGCCGAGGTGGATGGATCACTTGAGGCCTGGAGTTCCAGTCCAGCCTGGACAACATGGTGAAACTCCATCTCTGCTAAATATACAAAACTTAGTTTGGTGTGGTGGCTCATGCCTGTAAACCCAGCTACTTTGGAGGCTGAGGAACAAAAATTGCTTGAACCCGGGAGACAGATGTTGCAGTGAGCCAAAATTGTGCCACTGTACTCCAGCTTGGGTAACAGAGCAAGACCCTGTCTCCAAAAATAATAATAATAATAATAAATAAAAAAATAAAATAGCAACAAAAAACTTCAAAATATATTTAACAAAGGAGGAAAAGACATATACACTAAAAACTATAAAACATTAATGAATGAAATAGAAGAAAACTAAAAAAAATGGAAAAATATGCCACGTTTATGGATTGGAAGAATTAATATTGTTAAAATGACCACGCTTGTTCTCATTTATAAGTGAGAGCTAAGCTATGGGTACACAAAGGCATACAAAGTGGTATAACAGACATTGGAGACTCAGAAGCAGGAGGGTAGGAGCATGGCAACAGATAAAAAGCTACGTCTTAGGTACAATGTACACTACTTGAGTGATAGATGGACTAAAATTTCAGACTTTACCACTATACAATTCATCCAGGTAATTAGAAACCACTGGTACTCCAAAAGCTATTGAAATTTAAAATATATATATTTAAAATGACTATACCACCTAAAGTGATCTACAGATTCAATGCAATCTCCATCAGTTACAATGCCATTTTTTACAGAAATTTTAAAAAGTCCTAAAATAAGTATGAAACCTCAAGAGTTTCTGAAGCAATCTTGAACAAAAATAAATAAATAAATAAAATTGGAAGCCTCACATAGACCAATCTTATAAATATACTAAAAAGCTATAGTAATAAAAACAGCATGATATTGGCATAAAAACAGATAGACTAAGGAAACATAATAGAGAGCTCAGAAATAAATCTACACATTTACTCTCATTTGACTTCCTACAATGATTCCCAAAACACCCAAGAGACAGTCTCTTCCGTGCCGGGAAAACTGGATCTCCATATGCAGAATAATGAAATTAGGCCTTAATCTCACACTATATACAAAAATCAACTCAAAATGGATTAAAGATGTAAATGTAATACCCGAAACTGTAAAACTTTTAGAAAAACACATATGGTAAAGCTCTATGACATTCATCTGGAAAATTATTTTTTGGATATGACTCCAAAAGCACAGGCAACAAAAGCAAAAATAGACAAATGGGATGACATCAAACATAAAAGCTCTTCCACAGCCAAGGAAATGATCAACAGAGTGAAGATGTGACCTACTATACAGGAAAAAATATTTGCAAACCATATAGCTGATAAGAAGTTAATGTCTAAAACATAAGGAATTCAAACCACTTAATAGAAAAGAAAAATCCCAAACACCTGATTACAAAATGAGCAAAGGATCTGAATAGACATTTCTCCAAAGAAACCATGAAAATAGCCACTAGGAATATGAAAACATCTTTATCATTACTAATCATTAGATATTGCAAATTAAAATCACAATAAGGTATCACCTCATACCTGTTAGAATGGCTATTAAGAAAAAGAAAAAACATAACAAGTATTGGCGAGGGTGTGGAGAAAAGGGAGCACTTGCCCACAATTGGTGGAAATGTAAATTGATATACCCGTTATGGAAAACAGTATGGAGCTTCCTCAAAAAATTTAAAAAAAAAACTACCATATGATCTAGCAATCTCACTACTGCATTTATATGAAAAATACTTGAAATCAGTATGTTGAAGTGACGTCTGCACTCTCATGTTCATTGTAGGATTATTTGCATTAGCCAAAATACATAATCAATCTAACTGTTCATTAATGGATGATTGGATAAAGAAAATGTGATATGCATGCACAATGGAATACTATTCAGCCTTATTAAAGAATAAATTCCTGTCATTTGGACATGGATGACCCTGGAGGGCATTATGAAAAATGAAATCACCCAGAAACAGAAAGTCAAATACTGCATAATATCGCTTATATGTAGAATCTTTAAAAAGTTGAACTCTTAGAAGTATAATAGAAAGTAGAATGGTGGTTACCAGGGGCTGGGATGAAAGAGGGGTTAGGTAAACATTGGTCAAAGTATATAAAACTTCAGTTAGATGGGAGTACTAAGTTCAAGAGAGCTATTTTACAACACAGTGACTGTAGTTAAGGCCAATGTATTGTACCTGAAAATTGTAAAGAGGTCAGATTTTAATTGTTCTCACCACAAAAATGGTAAGTATGTGAAGTGATGCATATGCTAATTTGCTTGATGCAGCCATTCCACAATGTATACATATTTCAAAATGTCATAGTGTACTATATATATAGTATGTATATATGTGTATATATGTATATATGTATATATGTGTAAATATGTATATATGTGTATATAGTATGTATATATGTATATAGTATGTGTGTGTGTATACACACACACACACACACACACACACATTCGTCTTAGGCCAGGTACGGCAGCTCATGTCTGTAATCCCAGCACTTTGGGAGGCTGAGGCAGGCGGATCACGACGTCAGAAGTTTCATACCAGCCTGGCCAACATGGTGAAATTCCGTCTCTACTAAAAATATAAAAATTAGCTGGGCGTGGTGGCACGCGCCTATAATCCCAGGTACTCGGGAGGCTGAGGCAGGAGACTCGCTTGAACCCAGGAGGCAGAGGTTGCAGTGAATCGAGATCACATCATTGCACTGCAGCCTGGTCGACAGAGCAAGACTCCATCTAAAAAAAAAGAAAGAAAAAAGAAAGAAGAAAAGACAAAGAAAGAAAGAAAGAAAGAAAGAAAGAAAGAAAGAAAGAAAGAAAGAAAGAAAGAGAGAAAGACAGAGAAAGAAAGAAAGAAAGAGAAAGAAAGAAGGAAAGAAAGAAAAGGAAGAAAAAGAAAGAAGAAAGAAAGAAAGAAAGAAAGAAAGAAAGAAAGAAAGAAAGAAAGAAAGAAAGAAAGAAAGAAAGAAGAAAGGGAAGGAAGGAAGGAAGGAAAATGTAAAAGACTGAAAAATAAAAATAAAAAAGAAAGTCTATTGATGGCAACACTAAGTTTAATGAAATAAAAAATTCCTGATGACTGAAGGCTGTAACATGACCTAATCCTAGTGAACATAGGGAGAGTTCTGCTAAATCAAGCAGGTTTGCATCTAGATTCCTGCTATTTGCCAGAGTGGGGGAAGCCAGTATACACCCATGATTCCAAATGAAGCTCTTATCTTTACAGTCATGGGAATAGGAATCCCAGAACAAGATAAGGTCTTATAGAATATAAAGTTGGAAATTTTCTTGCACTTCTAAGTCAAAGGTTGTAAATATTGACATGTATACGTGAATATACACTGAAAAAACCATATGTGTATACACTGAAGCCGATTTCCCATACATTTATCGTCTTTCTCAGTAAAAGCACATTGGTATCCTCTTTCCTAAGTTGATGAAATTAATTACATGAGTCTTGGGAGGGGAAAAACTCTTTATAAAATACTTTTAAGGGAAGATTTGTAGAAAAAAACATATACTCCCCCGCCACCGCCAGAATCTTCACATCTCTAAACATAATAAACATCAGGTTTTTAAAATTAGAAAACAACAACAGTATATTGTAAATAACAGTATATTTTGTTTTAAGCCTGAAAATAAGTGCCCAAAATAATTGCAGTGAAAACCTGCACAAATTCAAATACAACATATTTGGTGATTACCTTCTGCTTTCTCCATCCCCTGTCTCCAAAAGAGGTCAGGCTAAATTCTAATTTTCTGGGGGATATGGGCAATATCATCAACAGAGAGAGAGGGGAGGAGCATGCACATCCCCTTTTACTTCCCACAGTAATGTGCTCGTGGAAGAGTTCTGAGTCACTATCAATAAGTTCAATACTTTCCAAACTTGATTGCTCCTCAGAATCACTTAGTGAGCTACTTTTTTCACTAAATACACAATTTTGAACCCCACCTCTACCTGATGCGTAATAATATTCAATTACATAGGAATTTGTTTGTTTCTTATTTGTAATAGACAACACATAAATAGGGTTCTAAATTCAGAATGTTCAAAGAGTCTTACAATAAAGAGTAATCTTCTCTACTTCTCTCCTTTAGTTCCCCTATACAGAGGCAACCACTGTCACCAGGTAACTGTATATATTGTTAGCAGTTTCTTTAGTATTTTGTGAGTGAAGTTATGTGTATTCAAGCAAATATGTATAATTATGTAATTTTATTACGAATAAGCTATGCATACTGTCCTGTACTTTGATTTATCCAGTTCCCATAATGTCCTTGAAATTGTTCCATATTATTACAGAAGGGAATGCCACATTCCTTTTTTTTTTTTTTTTTTTTGCAACTCTACAGTATTTCACTGTTTGGATAAGCAACAATATATTTAAAGTTTTCTACTGCTGGAGATATGTATTTTCTTCTGCATTTTTTGCTATTACAAACAATACTATAGTGAATATTCTTACACATGTGATATTTGCACATGTGCAAGTTTCTACATAATATAAATTCCTAGAAATGGAATTGTCAAATAAAAAGGTGTATTAGGCAGGGTTCTCTAGAGAGATGGAACTAATATGATATATGTATATATGAAGGGGAGCTTATTAAGGAGTATTGACTCGCACAGTCACAAGTTGATGTCCCACAATAGGCCATCTGCAAGCGGAGGAGCAAGGAAGCCAGTCTGAGTCCCAAAACTTCCAAAGTAGGGAAACTGACAGTGCAGCCTTCAGTCTGTAGCCAAAGGCCCAAGAAGCCCTGGAAAACCTCTGGTATAAATCCAGTAATCCAAAAGCTGAAGAACTTGGAGTCCGATGTTCAAGGGCAGAAAGCACCCAGCACAGGAGAAAGATGAAGACCAGAAGACTCAGCTAGATAAAAGCCACTCTGGCAACTGATCAGATGGCACCCACCCAGATTGAGGGTGGGTTGGCCTCTCCCAGTCCACTGACTCAAATGTTAATCTCCTTTGGCAACACCCTCACAGACACACCCAAGAATAATACTTTGCATCCTCCAATCCAGTCAAGTTGACATTTAATATTAACCATCACAAAAGGTATGTACATTTATTTTTTTGACGGAGTTTTGCTCTTGTTGTCCAGGCTGGAGTGCAATAGCACAATCTCGGCTCACCACAACCTCTGCCTCTCAGGTTCAAGCAATTCTCCTGCCTCAGCCTTCCAAGTAGCTGGGATTACAGGCACGTGCCACCATGCCCGGCTACTTTTTTTGTATTTTATTTTTTAGTAAAGACGGGTTTTCACCATGCTAGCCAGGCTGGTCTCAAACTCCTGACCTCATGATCTGCCCGCCTCGGCCTCTCAAAGTCCTGAGATTACAGGCGTGAGCCACCACGTCTGGCCCATTTTTTTTATTTTAATAGATATTGCCACATATGCCTCCACAAAAAAGTGTCAACTTTCATTAGGAATTTGAAGATTTTAAAATATCCCTAAGTGATTCTAATGATCAGACAGGATTCAAGACCACTGCTCTAGAATTTCAGCTAATGTGTGAAGCTGGATTTGTAGATTGAATCATTTGATTTTTTTCTTCAAAGCCACTTCTCCTATTAAGCTTTCCTCTATTATGTAGCCCAATAATTTTCAAAGTTTAATATGCATACAAATTATATAGATCTTTTTAAGAGGCAGATAATCTGAAATTCTTCTAAGTGAGGTTAACACCTTTTGTCCATGGATCACACTTTGAGTAGCAATGTCCTATGGGACTCCACCAGTCAATAGCACAAAGATTAACACTTAGCTTGTACTGTTTAGTGTAACAGTGATCATACACTTTTTAGTCTACAGACACCTCAAAAAAGATTTGTTTGTGTGGGTTTATATCTATTGATATTTACCACATTTAAAATTAAGACAAAGTTTTCTAAATGTTTACTTCATTTTAAATTTCATTTTTATGTTACTTCACAATGTATTTGAAAATGCATTAACATAAATAACACATATTTCTAAAAAAAAGTCCAAAACAATGCTAATGAGTAGAATGGCATTGTTTTACATTTTAAAATTTTTCTTTAATGTCTGGCTTAATAGAACACTGCAGGAATCTTGTATATATTTCTGATTAAATAAGCTGTGTATTGCACATCCTGTAGCCTCTGCAGAATATTACTATACATTCTTGAGAGATGGATAATGAAAAAAAGCAAATGTCTTAGTACTATAATGAAAATATCTTGGACCTTGAAGACACTCTAAAAGGTTCTTGGGGAACACCATATGTCCCCAGACCATGAGAACGACTGTTTTAATATGTGGCCCTTCTGCCATGCCATGGAGACTAGAAACATCTTTAGGACAGAGACTGATTATCTTATTCTTCTTTACCTCAACAGGGCTAGCTCAGATTATGTGTTGAGTCAATACTTATTGATTTGAGGACTATGATAATCAAATTTTTCAAAGTATTCTCATCCTATTTCTTTTGCATAGGCAATTGAGAACTAGAAACTGGGGATATCAATGGAGATGGGAAATGAGCCCGTTTTCACTCATCTCCTCCATAAAGAAAGGTTCACAGTGAAAGCTATAAAGCTCACCTCTAAAGAAAATAATTTCATCACAATATCATGAAGTATTTTTGCACCCATCATTTTATTTGATGCTAAAAAACCACGTAAGCTAGTCATTTTACAGATAATGAATCTGAGACACAAGCCAAATTGCCCAAGTTTTATAGCTAGTAAGTGACTACTGACCCAGGGTTGAGAAAATAGAACTCAACCTTGGATTATAAATAAGTTGAAGGAATGTCTTAATGTATTGTATTGTGCACTTATTTTGTGTGTCATGGGATATTAATACCATTCAGGATTGAGACTATTTACAATAAGTTGCCTTTATGGTGATCAAATGTTCCCAGTTCTTTGGGGGCATCCAACGACCTGCTAAATTTGTTTATTGCCTGATCTGCTTGACAATAGACATTAGTCCTCAAACTGCTTTCTACTATAGTACTGTGATATAATCAGGATTTCCAGGAAGTCTCTTTCTGCCATCATAATTTTTATTAGTGTAGTGAGTAATAACAGCTTTTTATGCTACCAGACTGATGTAATTATTTCTCAATAAACCTAGTATGTTTTCTGCTAAAGAAGACGACCAGGTCAGCAATGCAGGAACTTACAGTTCCAGTGGAAAGCAAGGGCAAGGTCAATTTCTGTTTGCAAAGAGCAGGAAGGTCTATAGTAACTAAAGAAACACTAGAAGCATGGTCTAGGGTGTCAGTCCTCTTGATTCCTTTTTTTAAAAGTGTACTTGCTTTTAATAGACTGTGGTATAATCTTCTCAATTCCTGCTCCAATTCAAAACACCACAAACAGGAATCCGAGTCCTACTGCATTATTTTTATGTGAAGCACTGGATAATTTGGGCCCTTAAAACGTAGAGGAAAAAATGCCCAGGGGCAAGAATTGGGGTGGAGATTAAGATAGTTTTCTAAATGTGCTTGAAAGCTCATTTCAAGGGCCTATTAGTTGCACGGTAAAAATGAATACAATTACCTGGTAAATTCAGGTTCTACACAATTCAGTTTTCAGTTGTCATCTGAAAAATTCCATTCAAATCTGGTGATTAGCCTGATTAGCCTGATTTAGATAAAATATATAGGCTTACGCTGTGTGTGTGTGTGCACGCGCACGCATCCATCTAGAAATCACACCTTTAATTTTAGTGCATTGTATATGGTGACAGTTTCATGGGTGTTGTATTAGTCTGTTTTCATACTGCTGATAAAGACATACCCTAGACTGGGAAGAAAAAGAGGTTTAATCGGACTTACAGTTCCACATGGCTAGGGAGGCCTCCCAATCATGGTGGTAGGCAAAAGGCACTTTTTACATGGCAGTGGCAAGAGAAAATGAGGAAAAAGCAAAAGCAGAAACCCCTCATGAACCCATCAGATCTCGAGGTACTTATTCAATATCACTAGAATAGCACAGGAAAGACTGGCCCCCATGATTCAATTACCTCCCTTTGGGTCCCTCCCACAACACATGGGAATTCTGGGAGATACCATTCAAGTTGAGATTTGGGTGGGGACACAGCCAAACCATATCATTCTGCCCCTGGCCCCTCCAAATCTCATGTCCTCACAATTCAAAACCAATCATGCCTTCCCAGCAGTCCCCCAAAGTCTTAACTCATTTCAGCATTAACGGAAAAGTCCAAAGTCCAAAGTCTCATCTGAGAAAAGTCCAGTCCCTTCTGCCTACGAGTCTGTAAAATCAAAAACAAGCTAGTTACTTCCAAGATACAAGGGGTTACAGTTATGGGTAAATACAGCCATTTCAAATGCTGGCCAAAACAAAGAGGTTACAGGGCCCATGCAAGTCCAAAATCCAGGGATGCAGTCAAACTTCAAATCTCCAAAACGATCTCCTTTGACACCAGATCTCAAATCCAGGTCACGCTGATGCAAGAGGTGGGCTCTCAGGGTCTTGGGCACCTCCCCGCCCTGTGGCTTTGCAGGGTACAGCCTCCCTCCCTGCTGCTTTCATGGGCTGGCATTGTCTGTGGTTTTTCCAGGCACATGGTTCAAGCTGATGGTGGATCTACCATTCTAGGGTCTGGAGGATGGTGGCCCTCTTCTCACAGCTCCACTAGGTGGTGCCACAGTAGAGACTCTGTGTAGGGGCTCTGATTCCACATTTTTTTTTTTCCACAATGACCTAGCAAATGTTCTCCATGAGGGCCCTGCCTCTACAGCAAACACTTGCTTGGGCATCCAAGCGTTTCCACACATCTTCTGAAATCTAGGCTGAGGTTCCCAAACCTCAGTTCTTGACATCCATGCACCAATAGGCTCAACATCACATGGAAGCTGCCAAGGCTTGGTGCTTCCACCCTCTGAAGCCACAGCTTGAGCTGCATGTTGGCCCCTTTCAGCAAAGGCTGGAGCAGCTGGGACACAGTGCACCAAGTCCTAGGCTGCACACAGCATGCGGACCCTGGGCCAGGCCCACGAAAACACTTTTTCCTCCTAGGCCTCTGGGAATGTGATGGAAGGGGCTGCCGTCAAGGTCTCTGACATGGCCCGGAGACATTTTCCTCATGGTCTTTGGGATTAACATTAGGCTTCTTGCTACTTATGCAGTTCTCTACAGCTGGGTTGAATTTCTGCTCAGAAAATGGGTTTTTCTTTCTATTGCATAGTCAGGCTGCAAATTTTCCAAACTTTCATGATCTGCTTCCCTCATAAAATGGAATGTCTTCAACAGTACCCAAGTCACCTCTTGAATGCTTTGATCCTTAGAAATTTCTTCTGCCAGATACCCTAAATCATCTCCTCCAAATTCAAACTTCCACAAATCTCTAGGGCAGGAGCAAAGTGCCACCAGTCTCTTTGCTAAAACGTAACAAGAGTGACCTTTACTCTAGTTCCCAACAAGTTCCTCATCTCCATCTGAGATTACCTCAGTCTGGACCTTATTGTCCATATCACTATCAGCATTTTGGGCAAAGCCATTCAACAAGTCTCTAGGAGGTTCCAAATTTCCCAAATTTTCCTGTCTTCTGAGTCCACCAAACTGTTCCAAACTCTGCCTGTTACCCACTTCTAAAGTCGCTTCCACATTTTTGGGTATCTTTTCAGCAATGCCCCACTGTACTGGTATCAATTTACTGTATTAGTCTGTTTTCACACTGCTGATAAAGATATACCTGAGACTGGAAGAATAAGAGGTTTAATTGAACTTACAGTTCCACATGAGTAGGGAGACCTCAGAATCATGGCAGGAAGTGAAAGGTACTTCTTACATGGTGGCGGCAAGAGAAAATGAGGAAGAGGCAAAAGCAGAAACCCCTGATAAACCCATCAGATCTCGTGAGACTTATTCACTATCATGAGAATACCACAGGAAAGACCAGCACCCATGAATCAATTACCTCCCCCTGGGTCCCTCTCACAACACGTGGGGATTCTGGGAGATACAATTCAAGTTGAGATTTGGGTGGGGATGCAGCCAAACCATATCAGGTGTATACTTATTTTCAAATGTATCAAGATGCATACTTTAAAAATATATAATTTTTGTGGTGGGAAGGGCCAAGATGGCCAAGTAGAAATAGTGTCCATCTGCAGCTCCCAACAAGATGTATGCAAAAAGTGAGTGAATTCTACACTTCCAACTGAGTTACCCAGATTCTTTCATTAGGACTGACTAGGGAGTTGGTGCTACCCACAGAGAGCAAGGAAAGCAAGGTGGGGTGACGTTTCACCTGGGAGCTACATAGGGCAAAGGGACCTCTCTCCTGCAGCCAAGGGAGGCAGTGAGTCAGTGTACTATGTGCACAGGGGCACTATGCTTTTCCCACAGATTTTTGCAACCCTCAGACTGGGAGATTTCTTCATGAGCATACATCACCAGGGCCTTGGGTCCCAAGCACAAAACTGGGCAGACATAGGGCAGCTGCTCCAGTCAGTGACTGTTTAGGCAGGCAATATGCTGCAGGAGTTTTTACATAATCTAGCAGCTCTCAGAACTCCAGAAAGGCAGGAGATTTGTCCACTTCCATGAAAAAGGAGCTAAAGCCATGGAGCCAAGCAGACTCACTCAGTGGGTCCCATTCCCATGGATCTCAGCAAACTAAGACCCACTGGTTTGGAATTCCCACTGGCCAGAACATCCACCTGGAGAATGTCTAAGTTGACCGAGTTCCCAGGGAGAGGGGTGGCCACCATTACTGCAGCTCTAGTCAGTGGTTTTCCCCTGCCAGTGCTAAAGAGGGTGGGCAGTTTGGACTGGGTGATATTCCCCCACAGCACAGCACAGTGACTCTGGCAGACTGTGGCCAGGCTGCTTCTTTAGTAGGAACCCGGATCCACCCCTTCTCACTAGGCAGGGCCTCCCTGCAGGAATTCCATCAACTCCAGTGAGGGACTTACAGACAAAACTCTCAACTCCCTGAAACAGAGCACCTGGGAGAAAGGCAGCCATGGTCTTGGGTTCAGCGTTCTTAATCTTTCCTGCCTGCTAACTGAAGAATCCATGTGTTCCAGATGAGGGGGATTCCCCCAGAACAGCTCCACTAAGGGATAGCCAGACTGCTTCATTAAGGGGATTCCTGGTCCTGTGCCTCCTGACTGGGTGAGACCTCCCAACAGGAGTCACTAGACACCTCATACAGGAGAGTTCCAGCTGACATCAAGTCAGTACCCTTCTGGGACAAAGCCTCCAGAGGAAGGAGCAGGCAGCAATCTTTGCTATTCTGGAGCCTCCACTGGTAATACCCAGACAAACAGGGTCTGGACTGGACCCCCAGCAAACTGCAGCAGACCTGAAGAACAGAGGCCTGACTGGTAAAACAAAAACAAACAAACAAAAAGCAACAACAACAACATCAACAAAAAGAAGCCCGCAAAAACCCCATCAAAATGTCAACAGACTTAAAGATCAAAGGCAGATAAATCCATGAAGATGAAAAAAAAATGATGCAAAAACACTGAAAATTCCAAAAGTCAGAATGCCTCTACCCCTCCAAATGATTGCAACACCTCTCCAGTGAGGGCACAGAACTGGACTGAAGCTGAAATGGATGAACTGACAGAAGTAGGTTTCAGAAAGTGGGTAATAACGAACTTTGCTGAGCTATAGGATTATGTTCTAAACCAATGCAAAGAAGCTAAGAACCATGATAAAAGATTATAAGAGCTGTTAACTAGAATAACCAGTTTAGAGAGGAACATAAGTGACCTGATAGAGCTGAAAAATACAGAATGAGAACCTCATGATGCAAATACAAGTATCAATAGCTGAATTGGCCAAGTGGAAAAGAGAATATCAGAGCTTGAAGACTATACTTCTTAAATAAGGCAGGCAGAAAACATTAGAGAAAAAGGAATAAAAAGGAATTAAAAAAAACTTCTGAGAACTATGGGACTATTTAAAAAGACTGAACCTATGACTGTTTGGAGTACCTGAAAGAGACAGGGAGAATGGAATCAAGTTGGAAAACATACTTCAGTATATCATCCAAGAGAACTTCCCCAACCCAGCAAGACAGGCCAACATTCAAATTCAGGAAATCTAGAGGACCCCACTAAGATACTCCATGAGAAGATCAACCCCAAGACACATAATCATTCAATTCCCCAAGCTTAAAATGAAAGAAAAAATGTTAAGGACATCCAGAGAGCAAGGCTAGGTTATCTACACAGGGAAGCCCATCAGACTAACAGTAGACCTCTCAGCAGAAGCCCTATAAGCCATGAGCATGGGGGCCAATATTCAACATTCTTAAAAGAATTTCCAAGCCAGAATTTCATATCTGGCCAAACTAAGCTTCATAAGCAAAGGAGAAATAACATCTTTTTCAGACAAGTAAATGCTGAGGGATTTCATCACCACCAGGCCTGCCTTGCAAGCTCCTGAAGGAAGCACTAAACATGGAAAGGAAAAACTGTTACCATCCACTACAAAAACACACTGACATACACAGACCAACAACACTATGAAGCAAATACATTAACAAGTCTACAATATTAATCCAGCCAGCATCATGATGACAGGATCAAATTCACACATAACAATATTAACCTTAAATATAAATGGGCTAAATGCCCCAAATAAAAGACACAGAGTTGCAAGCTAGATAAAAACACAAGGCCCATTGGTGTGTTGTACACAAGAGACATATCGCATGTACAAAGACACGTATAGGCTCAAAATAAAGGGGTGGAGAAAAATTTACCAAGTAAATGGAAAGCAAAAAAAGCAGTAATTGCAATCCTAGTCTCTGACAAAATAGACTTTGAAACAACAAAGGTCAAAAGAGACAAAGAAGGGCATTACATAATGGTATAAAATTCAATTCAACATGAAGAGCTAACCATCCTAAGTATATATGTACCCAATACAGGAGCACCCAGATTCATAAAACAAGTTATTAAAAACTTACAAAGAGACTTAGGCCCCCACACAATAATAATGGGAGACTTTCATACCCCACTGTCAGTATTAGACAGATCATCAAGACAGAAAATTAACAATGATATTCAGGAGTTGAACTCAGCTCTGAACCAAGTGGACCTGATAGATATCTACAGAACTCTCTACTCCAAAACAACAGAATATACATTTTTCTTGGTGCCACATGGCACTTACTCTAAAATTGATCACATGATGGGAAGTAAAACACTCCTTAGCAAATGCAAAAGAACGGAAATTATAACTGATAGAGTTGGACTGTGTCCCCACCCAAGTCTTATCTTGAATTCCCATGTATTGTTAGAGGGACCTGGTAGGTAATTGAATCATGGGAGCAGGATTTTCCCATGCTGTTCTTGTGACAGTGAATAAATCTGAGGGTTTCATAAGGAGGAGTTTTCTGGAAAAGCTATCTCTCTTTGCCTGATGTCATCCATGTAAGATGTGACTTGCTCCTCCTTGCCTTCTGCCATGATTGTGAGGCTTCCCAGCCACGTGAAACTGTAAGTCCATTTAACCTCTTTCTTTTGTAAATTGCCCAGCCTCAGGTATGTCTACATCAGCAGCATGAAAATGGACTAATACGGTAACTTGGTATCAGTAGAGTGGGGAGCTTCTGAAAAGATACCCAAAAATGTGGAAGCAACTTTGGAACTGGGTAACAGGCAGAGGTTGGAAGAGTTTGGATGGCTCAGAAAAAGATAGGAAAATGTGAGAAACTTTGGAACTCCCTAGAGACTTGTTGAATAGCTTTGACCAAAATGCTGATAATTATGTGGACAATGAAATCCAGGCTGAGGTGGTCTCAGATGGAGACGAGGAACTTGTTGGGAGCTGGAGTAAAGGTGACTCTTGTTATATTTTAGCAAAGAAACTGATGGCATTTTGCCCCTGCCCTAGAGATTTGTGAAACTTTAAACTTGAGAGAGATAATTTAGGGAATCTGGTGGAAGAAAGTACTAAGCAGCAAGAATTCAAGAGGTGGCTTGGGTGCTGATAAAGGTATTCAGTTTTATAAGGGAAACAGAGGATAAAAGGTCAGAAAATTTGCAGCCTGACTATGTGATAGAAATGAAAATCCCATTTTCTAAGGAGAAATTCAAGCCGGCTCCAGAGATTTGCATAAGTAATGAGGAGTCTAATGTTAATCCTCAAGACAATAGGGAAAATATCTCCAGAGCATGTCACATGTCTTCAGAGCAGCCCCTCCCATCACATTCCCAGAGGCCTAGGAGAAATGGTTTCCTGGTCTGGGCCAAGGGTCCCTGTGCTGTGTGCAGCCTAGGGACTTGATGTCTTGCATGCCAGCCATTCCAGCCATGGCTGAAAGAGGACAACATAGAGCTTGGGCCATGGCTTCAGAGGGTCGAAGCCCCAAGGCTTGGTGGCTTCCATCTGTTGTTGAGCCTGCAAGTGCACAGAAGTAAATAATTGGGGTTTGAGAATGTCCTACTAGATTTCAGAATATGTATATAAATGCCTAGATGCCCAGACAGAAGTTTGCTGCAGGAGTGGAGCCCTCATGGAGAACCTCTGCTAAGGCAGCATGGAAGGGAAATGAGGGGTCGGAGACCCCACACATGGCCCCTACTGTGGCACCACCTAGTGGAGCTGTGAGTGGAGGGCCACCATCCTTCAGATCCCAGAAGGGTAGGTCCACCAACAGCTTGCACTGTGAGCCTGGAAAAGCTGCAGACACTCAATGGCAGCCCATGAAAGCAGCCAGGCAATAGTCTGTACCCTGCAAAGTGTACAGGGGTGGAGCTGCCCAAGGCGATAGGAACCCAACTCTTGCATCAGTGTGACCTGGATGTTAGACACAGAGTCAAAAGAGATCATTCTGGAGCTTTAAAATTTGACTGCCCCACTGGATTTTGGACTTGCATGGGGCCTGTAGTTCCATTGTTTTGGCCAATTTCTCCCATTTGGAATGGTTATATTTACCGAATGCCTATACCCCCATTGTATATAGGAAGTAACTAACTTGCTTTTGAACTTATAGGCTCATAGGTGGAAGGGATTCACCTTGTCTCAGATGAGACTTTGGACTGTGGACTGTTAAGTTAATGCTGAAATGAGTTAAGACTTTGGAGGACTGTTGGGAATGCATGGTTGCTTTTGAAATGTGAGTACATGAGATTTGGGAGGAGCCAGGGGTGAAATTATATGGTTTGACTGTGTCCCCACCCATATCTCATCTTGAATTTCCATGTGTTGTGGGAAGGACCTGGTGGGAGCTGGCTGAATCATGGGGGCAGGTCTTTCCCATGTTGTTCTAGTGACAGTGAATAAGTCTCATGCGGTCTGAGGGATTTATAAGGGAGAATTTTCTTGCACAAGCTCTCTTTTTGCCTGCTGCCATCCATGTAAGATGTGACTTGCTCCTCCTTTCCTTCTGTCATGGTTGTGAGGCTTCCTCAGCCATGTTGAACTGTAAGTCCATTTAACCTCTTTCTTCTGTGAATTGCCCAGTCTCAGGTATGTCTTTATCAGCAGTGTGAAAACGGACTAATACAATAACAGTCTCTTAGACCACAGCACAATCAAATTAGAACTCAACATTAAGAAACCCACTAAAAAACAAACAAGTGCATGGAAATTGAACAACCTGCTCGTGAATGACTTCTGGATAAATAATAAAATTAAGGCAGAAATCAAGAAATTCCTTGAAACTAATAAGAACACAGTGACAACATACCAGAATATCTGGTACACAGCTAAAGCATTGTTAAGGGGAAATTTTATAGCACTAAATACCCATATAAAAAAGCTAGAAAGATCTCAAATTGACACCCTAATTTCACAACTAAAAGAACTAGAGAACCAAGAGCAAACAAACCCCAGAGCTAGCAGGAGACAAGAAATATCCAAGCTCAGTGTGGAACTGAAGGAGAAAGAGACATGAAAAATCCTTCAATAAATTAATGAATCCTGGAGCTGTTTATTTGAAAAAAAATTAATAAAATATGTAGACTGCTAGGTAAACTAATAAAGAAGAAAAGAGAGAAGGTTCAAATAAATACAATCAGAAATAATGAGGGGTTACCACCACTGACCCCACAGAATTAAAAACAACCATCAGAGAATACTATAAAAATTATTTGTACAGATACAAATAAACTGGAAAACCTGGAAGAAATGGATAAATTCCTGGACACATACACCCTCCCAAGACTGAACCAACAAGTTGAATCCCTAAATAGACCAATAACATGTTCTGAAATTGAGACAGTAATAAATAGCCTACCAACTAATAAAAGCCTAGGACCAGATAAATTTACAGCTGAATTCTAACAGAGGTACAAAGAGAAGCTGATACCATTTCTTCTGACTATTCCAAACAATTGCAAAGAAGGGATGCCTCCCTAACTCATTTTTTTTTTTTGAGACCAGCATCATCCTGACACCAAAATCTGGCAGAGATACAACAAAAAAAGAAAACTTCAGGCCAATATCCCTTATGAACATTGATGCAAAAATCCTCAATAAAATACTGGCAAACCAAATCCAGCAGCACATCAAAAAGCTTATCTACCACGATCAACTTGGCTTCATCCCCAGGATGCAAGGCTGGTTCAACATACACAAATCAATAAACAAAATTCATCATATAAACAGAACTAAAGACAAAAGTCACATGATTATATCTCAATAGATACAGAAAAGACCTTTGATAAAATTCCCCATCCCTTCATGTTAAAAACTCTCAATAAACTTGGTATTGAAAGAACACACCTCAAAGTAATAAGAGCCATATATAAGAAACTCACAGCCAATATCATACTGAATGGGCAAAGGCCAGAAGCATTCCCCTTGAAAACTGGCACAAGACAAGCCTGCCCTCTCTCACCACTTCAATTCAACATAGTATAGGAAGTTCAGTCCAAGGCAATCAGGCAAGATAAAGAAATAAAGGGTGTTCAAATAGGAAGAGAGGAATTAAATCTGTCTCTGCTTACAGATGACATGATCCTATATCTAGAAAACCCCATCAACTCAGCCCAAAAGCTTCTTAAGCTAATGAGCAACTTCAGCAAAGTCTCAGGATCCAATATCAATATGTTGAAATTACAAGGATTTATTTACATCAACAACAGACAAGCAGGGAGTGAAATCATGAATAACCTCCCATACACAATTGACACAAAGTGTGTAAAATACCTAGGAATACAGACAACAAGAGAAATGAAGGACCTCTTAAAGGAGAACTGCAAACCACCACTCAAGGAAATCAGAGAAGCCACAATCACATGGAAAAATATTCCATGCTCATGGATTGTAAGAATCAATATCGTGAAAATGGCCATACTGCCTAAAGCAATTTTTAGATTAAATGCTATTCCCATTAAACTACCATTGACATTCTTCACAGATTTACAAAAAATCTGTTTTCAGTTTAATATGGAACCAAAAAACAGCCCAAATAGTCAAGACAATCATAAGCAAAAAGAACACAGCTGGAGGCACCATGCTACCTCACTTCAAACTATACTACATGGCTAGAGTAACCAAAACAGCATGGTACTGGTTAAAAAAAAAAAAAAAAAAAAAAAAACAGGTAAATAGACCAATGGAACAGAATAGGGAACTCAGAATTAAAACTGCACATCTACAACCATCTGATCTTTGACAAACCTGACAAAAACAAGCAATGGGGAAAGGAATCCATATTTAACAAATGGTGCTGGGAGAACGGGCTAGCCATATGAAGAAAATTAAAACTGGCCCCTTTCTTACACCTTATTAAAAAAATTAACTCAAGATAGATTAAAACCTGAAATGTAAAACCCAAATCTATAAAAACTCTAGAAGAAAATCTAGGCAATACCTTTCAGGACCTTCCTATAGTTCACTGGTGAATCCTTCCCTTGCCTCTTCCAGCATCTGATGGCTTCTGGCTTTCCTTGAGTTGCGGCAGCATCACTCCAATCGCTGCCTCTGTGGTCAAATTGTCTTATTTTCTGTCTGCAATTCACAGAAGAAAGAGGTTAAATGGACTTACAGTTCAACGTGGCTGAGGAAGCTTCACAATCATGACAGAAGGAAAGGAGGAGCAAGTTACATTTTATGGACAGAAGGAAAGGAGGAGCAAACATTTTATGATGAAATCGCCAAAAGCAAATGCAACAAAAGCAAAAATTGACAAATGGGATCTAGTTAAACTAAACAACTTACTCACAGCAAAAGAAACTATCACCAGTGTGAACAGACAACCTACAGAATGAGAGAAAATCTTTGCAAACTGTCCAACTGACAAAGGTCTAATATCCAGAATATACAAGATACTTAAGCAAATTTACAAGAAAAAGACAACCCCATTAAAAAGTGGTCAAAAGGCATGAGCAGACACTTCTCAAAAGAAGACATACATGCAGCCAATCAACATGAAAAAAAGCTCAACCTCACTGATCATTAGAGAAATACAAATTAAAACCACAATGAGATACCCTCTCACACTAGTCACAATGGCTATTATAAAAAAGTCAAGAAACAACAGATGCTGGCGAGGTTTTGGAGAAATAGAAATGGTTTTACACTGTTGGTGGGAATGTAAATTAGTTCAACCATTGTGGAAGACAGTTTGGCGATTCCTCAAAGATTTAGGACCAGAAATACCATTTGACCCAGCAATCCCAATCCTTGGTATATACCCAAAGGAATATAAATCATTCCATTATAGAAATACTTGCACGAGTATGTTCATTGCAGCACTACTCACAATAGCAAAGACATGGAATCAATCCAAATGCCCATCAATGGTAGACTAGATAAAGTAAATGTGGTACATATACACCATGGAATACTATGCAGCCATAAAAAGGAACAAGATCGTGTTTTTTCCAGGCACATGGATGAAGCTGGAAGCCATTATCCTCAGCAAACTAATGCAGCAACAGAAAACCAAATACTGCATGTTCTCACTTATAAGTGGGAGCTGAATAATGAGAACACATGGATACAGGGAAAAATACAACACTCACTGGGGCTTGTCCAGGGAGGGCAGAGGTGTGGGTGGAGAGCATTAGTTAAAAGAGCTAATGCACGCTGGGCTCAATACCTATGTGATGGGTTCATAGGTGCAGCAAACCACCATGGCACACGTTTACCTACGTAACAAACCTGCACATCCTGCACACATGCCCGGGAACTTAAAAAATAATAATAATAAAATAATAAAATGCACTAACAATACCTTTGACAACAAAAAAGAAAGTGCCCTTATTAAAAATCAATGTTAAAAACGTTTGCAATTTTCAATGTAGTATTTTCCTTCAGTTTAACCATAATCAGGGATATAACTAAAAAAAAAAAATGCTTGGGAAGAGATCAGTGGTGCTCTTTTTTATTATAACTAATCCATAAAACATGGAGAGCCACAAATGACATTCTAGTTTAAGAAGTGGTGACAATAAATATCTTTGAGTATGTGTGTGTTCTCATTACTAATATTGGCCAATGGTAAAATGGGATTTGTACTTTACCCATTAAGTTTTTGTTTGTTTGTTTGTTTGTTTTGTGGCGAGGATTATGTATTCTGCTGAGTGGCAAAACACAGCAGATCCTTGAAAAATAATGTAGTCAAGTATATGAAATAACTACCATTGGGGAATAATCTACTTTGTCTTTCAGAATCTACTGCATAAATGAAACTAAGGTCCTTTGCTAGCATTACTATACAAAATGCAAAATTCTGTCATTATGGACTGAGCCATAAACAAGAAATCAATGCAGGGTTTAGGTAGCTTGACTGCAGCAGAAATCAGGGCATAGAAAATGGAAATGATTCTGCTTAACCATGATTAACAAACACGAATAATTATGAAAAGCATGTTGACATTTGACAGAATCTAAAGAGATTGAAGAAAAATGGTCACTTTCTCTACAATATGGAGTCAAACTTTTAACATCTCCACTCTTTACATTCTCCCTTCACAGGTACCAGGCTACACTGCCTAATAATTTTCACCAAATATTCCTGTTACCATCACCCTTCCTGAAGTCACTGTCTTTTAGTAAATCAATATTTATTGAGTGCTGAGAATGAACAGATAGTTGACTATACTGCTGAATACAGGTGGTTATTTAAAAAATGAAGGATGGTGTTTTTGTCCTGATGGCTTTTATAATCAGTGAAGAAGACAAAAAAAAATCATGCCAGAAATATATAAATGTATATATTACTTCCCAGATGGAGAAACTAGTCTGCTTCTAAACAGCATGGAGTATCTGTAAATTTCTAATCAATATCTGCTACAAGTACAAGGAAAGGTTGATTTAGAACTGAGTAGTGCAGAAAAACTGATTTTTAAGTACAGCATTTTAATTGACATCACCACTTGAATCATTGAATAAAATACTTTTATCTGAATTTGTACAAGTCATATTTCATATCAATTTGTAAACAGACCATTAAGAATTATCATTTCCTCACCATATTATTTAAGCAACTACTATATACCCAGCAATGAAAGATGCAAAATATTTGGATAAACTACAAGTCCTTCTAGCTCTAACAAATGAATGTCTCAGTCACTGTCCTCAAGGAGTTTACAGAGAATTATACAAAGAACTGTAATATGAAGCCAAATATTATTAGTAGCATTGGAGAGGACTACCCAAGGTGCTACAGGGACCTTTAATAAGGATAATAAAATATATCACCTTGTGATGAGAAAGGCTTCACCAAAGAAGTAGTGTTGAAGGTAGACTTTGATAGATGGATAGGATTTCAGAACAGCATTGGTAAAGCTATAGAGGCAGGAAAACTCAGGGTGAGTTCAGAGACTAATGATTAATTTACTCTGCTTAGAAAGGAATAGAGATGGAGTGAGTTAGTGGAGTGCATTGACAAACTGACAAAATCAGGACAAATGTTATGCTGCTTCACTTTTGTTTCCCTAGCTAAAATGTTCCCCTTTCTTCTAAACTCCCCACACCACTCAATCCCTTTCCTTTCCTTCAAGAACCAGCTTAATCTTCCTTGATCAATCTTAGCACTTCTTAATATGTATTATACAATTTAAAACTTAATAAACCACTGTCTTGACTTGTTCATAGTCATACCTGTTACAATGGCCATGAACATACCAAAGTTCTTCCTGGCTAGCTTTTGCCACCTTCAGAACAATCAGCTTAATCATAAAATGTCAAGCCTATTTCTTCTGCTTACTCTTATCTAAGGCAGGGTGTTCTTATTGATTGCTCCATATCCCCCTGGAACCAAAACAGAAGTACAGCCAAGGGCTCAGACACCACCCTGAAAAGTGAGTTAATAACATAATATCTGTTCTTTTCCATAATTTTCTACAAGATGATGTTCTTATGAGCCTGTCATTATATAGCAGTACCAGATAACAAAAAATAATCATAATCATTATTACTCTAATTTTAATAACAACCCCAAATATTTATTGAACGTTTTGTGTGCATCAAAAATTATGCCAAAACATTTGTTTTATTTAATTTAATCAACATAACAAACTGATGAAGCATATACTGCTATTAACCCTATTTTATATATGAAGAAATCATGATTCTCAATTTGTATATAATAGCTCTGAGATTTGAAAAACTTCTGTTTGACTTGAGAGCCATTATATTCGACTCCACTGCCTTTCATTCACAGGCTAACTCCATTCAGTGCTTCTTTAATATGGATAAAATATTACTACTCATTAAATAAAATATGACAGAAATCTGATTTAAGTACATGGAAACTGTACACACACATAAAAAATTCTCTTCTGAATGACACTATAGCTACCAGTGTGGGAAAGGCAACTTCTTCAAAGTATCACAGGAGCTAAAAATATTTTTCAAATATTCTGTTAATAAAGTAGTAGTTCAGAATGGGCTATCCTTCAGGGAAACTTGCTGTTTCATCATTTCCAGCTAATACTTCTGTTTGTTTGTTGCTGTATACATCATCTAAACATTCTAAAATAAAACATTGAAAACACATTTAAATAGAGCATAACAATATTAGTATTAAGAGCTATGAAATGGCTTCCAAATATGTGCAAAATAGAAACATATACCACCCATTAACCTCTTAGCTATGAAGACTAAAATAGTAGCTGTTTGGGAGAGGTATGTCATATAAACTGAAGTTGGGCTAAAACTGTGAGAATAATGGAATAATATGAGTGTATCTAGGGAGCCATGGGACCTGTGCATTCACAGTAAGATAGTGTATTAATTTATTTGGCGGCTGTAACAAATTATCACAACTATGGTGGCTTAAAAATATATAGAAATGTATTCTCTCACAGTTCTGGAGACCAGAAGTTCAAAATAATTTCACTGAGCCATAGTCAAGGTAAGGCAGGGCTGCTCTCCTCCCTGTAGTTCACTGGTGAATCCTTCCCTTGCCTCTTCCAGCATCTGATGGCTTCTGGCTTTCCTTGAGTTGCAGCAGCATCACTCCAATCTCTGCCTCTGTGGTCAAATTGTCTAATTTTCTGTCTGTAATATCCCTCTGCTTTCTTCCCATAAGGATATATGTGTTTATTTAGGACCTACCCAGAAAATCCAAGATAATCTTCCCATCTCAAGATCTGTAACTTAATCACATTTGCAATAACCCATTTTCCAAATCAAGAAACACTATAGGTTCCAGATATTTAGGCTCTAAATCTTTAGGGGTCTTTATTCAACCTATCACAGATAGAAAAATAGTAAAATAAAGCAGCTTGTAGATTTAACGTTATTTATACTGATTATTTGCCCTATTTGTCCACAGACATCTTACTACAACAACAGTGACCTCTCTGCCTTCAGTTAGCCCTCCCCTCTTCTAGCCAAGCACTCTACACACTGCATCTAATATGATCTTTCTAAAATACTTATTATATCTATGGTTCTTCACTGTCTAAATGAAAATAACACAAGTCTATTGTGGCATATGGGTATCAACTCTCTGTTTATCTAGCCCAAACTCTTTTCTTTCTGACGTCATCCTCTGTCTCACTGACATGGTCTTTGCTGCCTGAGAAGGTCATGCTCTTTCAAGCCTGGTTCTCCCTCTGCCTGTCATGCCCTTTTCCTTCTTCACTTACTGAACTCCTCATCTTTTAACACTCAATATAAGCATCACCTCCTGTGTAAAGCACTTCCTCAGGAAAAAGTATTATATCCTCTCCTCTGCGCTCCCACAGTAACTTGTGAAGATTTTATCTTATAATTTATCACATTTAATTATTAAAATCTGTTTAATATCAATTATCCAATGCTAGTATATGAGCGACTTCTCAAGGGCAAGGGGTACTGGGGTAGGCTGAATAATGCCCCTCTAAAAGATGACCATGTCCTAATCCCCAGAACCTTTGAATACGTTACTTTACCTGACAAAAGGGATTTTGTACATGTGATTAAGGTTGTAGGCATTGAGATAGGGAGATTATTCTGGATTATCCATCTGGGACCAATCTAATCAGAAGTGTTTTTATAAGAGGGGGAGACATGACAGCAAGATAATATAGAAAGAGAAGACATAAAGACAGAAGAATAAGTCAGAAAGAAGAGAAGATGTTAGCTGCTGGCTTTGAAGATGGAAGATGGGGCCACAAACCAAGGAATGTACATGTCCTCTAGAAGCTAGCAAAGGAAAGAAAACAGATTATTCCCTAGAGCCTTTAGAAAGATGACAGCCCTTACAATACCTTGAATTTTAGGATCTCTGACACCTTAAACTGTAAGATAATAAGTTAATGTTGTTTGAAGTCTCTAAATTTGTAGTAAGTTGTTATAAGCAACAACAGAAAATGAGCATAGGCATCAACCCACTCTCACTTTGAGTCCCATGCAGTTTCTGGCAGATAGTTGGTGGTCAGTTTATCAAATGAATGCACAAAGATAGTAACTGTTGATTAGTGAGGAATTCCACTGAGATATTTGGTTAACACTGAATCCTAATGCCATTGTAGTGAGGAGTATAATTTTACCCCTAGTATGCTCTCTATTAACTTATTTTTCTTGTTAGAATATTTTTATTAATATATGATAGTTATACATATTTATAGGGTACATGTAATATTTTGATACATGTATATAATGTGTAATGATAAAATCAGGATAAGCAAGATATCAATCACCTCAAACATTTGTTATTTATTTGTGTCAGGAACATTCCAAATCTTCCCTTCTACCTATTTTGAAACATACTATAAATTATTATTAATGATAGTTGTTCTATTGTGTTATCAAACAGTAGTACATATTCCTTCTATCTAACTGTATTTTGTACCCACTAACCAACCTCTCTTCATCTCCTCTCTCCCTTACCCTCCCCAGCCTCTGCTAACCACCATTCTACTTACTACTTCCATAAAATCATTTTTTTTAGCTCCCACATATGAGTAAGAATATGTGGTGCTTGTCTTTCTGAACCTGATTTATTTTACTTAACATAATGTCTTCCAAACTCATCCATGTTGCTGCAAATGACAGGATTTTATTCTTTTTCATGACTGAATACTATTACATTGTATATATATATACAACTTTTCCTTTATCCACTCATCTGTTGATGGACACCTAGGTTGGTCTCATATCTTGGCCATTGCAAATAGAGCTGCAATAAATATGGACATGCAGATATCTCTTCAATATACTGATTTCCATTCTTTTGGATAAATGTCCAGCAGTCAAATTATTTGTTAGATCATATGGTATTTCTACTTTTAGTATTTTTAAGGAACCATCATAATGTTTTCCACAGTTGCTGTACTAATCTACATTCCCACTATCAGTGTATAAGCATTTTCTTTTCTTCATATCCTTGCCAGCATCTATTTTCTGTCTCTTTTTTAACGTAACCATCCAAACAGGTATGAGGAGATATCTCGTTGTGGTTTTGATTTGAATTTTCCTAATGATTAGTAAATAGACAATTCTCATAAGAAGACATATAAATACCCAACAGATATATGAAAAAATGCTCAACATCACTAGTTAGAATTTTATAGGGCATTAATAGCCATTGATGAGAAACAGACATGGTCGCATCTCTTCACCTGTTTGATGAAGCCTGAAATTCCTTTAACATGGAAAACCTTTGCAGGCCACAGTGGAGTTTAATGAAATTCAATTTGAATGCCTGATTGAGGCAGCCAAAGAACTAGAACGTGTAATCAGCTGCTAAATCATCAAGGGTCAATGCTGTCATTGAGACCTCTGTTTTTCTAATAAGGCTGGGGAGAAAACAACAGGAAGACATTGGGTGGAGAAAAGGATGCAGGAAGAGGCTACAGATGCTCAAGACTTATAATTATTCCTATTTACCCCTTCTGGGTGAGACAATCTGAAATTGAAGATGATTTTTGTCATGGCTGACTGCAAAGATAAATGTACATTGCTCTACTTTGCTTGTTTTATAAAGTGCTGGGTGCTTTTTAGTGTAGATGGAAGGAAAATAAAATAATATCTCTAAGGTTTACTCTGGCCTTAGAGTAGAAAGTCGTGACATAAAAGTTTATTTAGCTCTGGTTAAAAGAGAACCATCTTTCAATCATCCATTTGTTCTTTGAGTTGCTAGTGATATAGACCTTATATAAATGATTCCTGCTTCAGTCTTTTTGTTTATCCAAAAGTAGGTCAAGTTGGGAGAAAAACTTGAGAGTTTTATGGTTTCACTTAAAATGGAAGCAGAATTTGGAATGTATGGGTGGTATCTAGGAGAAAGAATAAGAGTAGTGTAGGAAGAAATCAGACCCAGAGAAATATTTTTTTTTGTTTCTCTGTTTCCATCTCCTCCAGCAAGATAATCTATTAAATGAAGCATTCCTATTATTTCATATATTGGTAGGTTAAAAAAGCCACATAGAGTTAATTCATTGGGCCAATATTTAGGATAGCTGCAAAGTTCAATTTGATTTCGATGAATAGGCAAGCTTGTCTTTCCCCTCACATTAACCAGACATGCATTCTTTCCTTTCTCTTCTTCTCAACTTTATTTCCTTTCCTAATTTATGTATCCATGTGATCATTCAACAAATACATGTTAAGCACCTATTGTGTAACAGGTACTACGCTATGTACTGAGTCTACATATTTGAAGTTCAAAGTCTAATGGACTTTGTGCTCCAGAGTATGTGAGCATACTTTCTGGAGGCATTTGGAAAATTTGTGTCACTTAACCTTAAGTGTGAATAATCTTTGATCCAGAAACTGCACTTAATAAAATAATAAGACAAAGCTATTTAGTAAAACATTTTAAAGTGGTTTAAAAATAGAAAAAAAAAAACCTTAAATGTTGACAAGTAGGGCGTTGGTTATATTATGCAGCTATTAAATCATATAAATTAGTAAAATTTAACTACATGGAGATATTCATATATTAAGTGGAAAAAACAAGATGCAGTACAATATATATGGTATGATCTGAAAATGCGTATGTAATATAAAAAGAGAAACTAGCAAAAAATGGAAAGACTACATACAAAAATGCTATCAGATTTGAGTGGAGAGATTATAGGAAAATATTTTTAAATTTTCCACTACCTTTATTTTTATATTCCCTAAATTTTATTTAAAAATATGAACTATTCTTAAAAGCAATTTTAAAAATAATTATATGCCAAATGATTTTATTCTTTGGTGTTTTTTTAAGCTGAGTCTTTCTACTCATTTTTTTTTTTTCATTAGTGGCATATTCAACAGGTACTAACAGGACTTTTACGTGACCTGAGGTCTCTACAGTGGCCTCAAATCAATAAAAGTAGTATGAATGCAGGGAAATAATAAAAGATACAAAATTCAGGTTATTGCTGGGCTCCACTGCCTAAAATGATTGTTCTTCTAAGGAATGGGTTATAGGAAAATAAAGGTGCCCACATAGCAGAACTCTTGAGAAGATTTATTTTGACAATTACATAAAATATATATGAAAATGCAAAATATCACAATGATATTATCAATATTGCTTAGCCAAAATAAAGCCAAATAAATAAAATTAGACAATAAAAAAGAATGACTGATAATCATCTGATCTCAAGATTGGAAAGGCCTATCTAGGCATTATGCAAAATCAGAAATTTATTATTAAAAATATTTGCAGCAGATATTATAGAAAAATGATTATTTAATATAAAAATGAAAAATCAATAAAATGTGAACACTTTAGTAGAGAAATGGCAGTTTTGTTATTCCCATACAGCTACAATTCATAAAAGAATGCATAAAAATGGCAATGACAAACAAGAAATTATTTCAAAATCACTAGTAATATTTGACTACTATATTGTTAATTTTTAAAATGATAACACTCAGTGTTAATAAGAATTTGTGGGCTGGGTGTGGTCCCAGAACTTTGGGAGGCCAAGGTGGGTGGATCATTTGAGGTCAGGGGTTCAAGACCAACTTGAACAACATGGTGAAACCTCCATCTCTACTAATAATACAAAAATTAGCTGGGTGTGGTGGCACACACTTCTAATCCCAGCTACTTGGTAGGCTGAAGCAGGATAATCACTTTAACCCAGGGGGTGGAGGTTGCAGTGAGCCGAGAGTGTGCCACTGTACTCCAGAATTTGAGAAAAATTGGATTCTTAAAAATAGCTATTATTGCCAGATGTGATGGCTCACGCCTGTAATCCCAGCAATTTGGGAGGCCGAGGCGGGTGGATCACCAGAGGTCAGGAGTTAGAGACCAGCCTGACCAACATGGTGAAACCCTGTCTCTACTAAAAATACAAAAGTTAGCTGGGCATGGTGGTGGGTGCCCGTAATACCAACTACTCATGAGGCTGAGACAGGATAATTGCTTGAACCCAGGAGGCAGAGATTGCAGTGAGCCAAGATCACGCCACTGCACTCCAGCCTGGGTGACAGAGCAAGACTCCATCTCAAAAAAAATAAAAAACAAAACTGTTATTTACTTTTAGTTTTCAGGATTTACATAAAAAGAATTTATTATTTTTGTAATCAGAAAATATCAATATTTTCCTTAAAAAACACATCAATTTACAATTTAAATATAATGCTGTTATGCACATTTTATGTAAAAAAATCCTGACAATTTGTGTATATAATACATTTTTCATATAGTCACTAATACTAAAAATGAACTGGAAAATACTCTTTAAGAAATCTATGGAAAATTAATATGTAAAATAAAATATATTTTTAAAAAGCAAATAATAATAATTATCACTTCATCAATCTTTTCACAATAAACATTATATAATATATACTTGTGTTCTTAGTAGTACAAATATATATCTTGTATGATTACATTTTCACATATTAACTTTCCCAAGAGTAAAGTTCATTTGTGTTTAGAGTTATTCACCTAGCTTCCCTTTGCTGTTACAGATCCCTGTCCAAGCCATTAAAATATAAATCAGTCTTTCAAGGTGTTGATTTGGAATTCATTCAGCCATGTGCACTGCAAAATATTGCTTTCTATTTGAAATTATTTGAAAAATATTATCCTAAGAATTATTGATCACACCACTAGATATTTTCTGATTACCTATTACCTAGCCATTGCACTTTAGTCTTTAAATACATTGAACTATTTCACAAGGTAAAGTCCGTTATAGGAAAAGTTTGCTTTTTAAAAATTTCTTTCACATTTAAAGATATGGAAAACCTACATATCCTAAACAGCATTCTTAAAAGCCCTCTTAGGAGAAACTGTCTCGAGAAAGAACTGGTACCCAGGTTGGTTTCCTAATTTCTTTACCATAGTGAGAGTTATGATTTCTAAAGCTGTCAAGCTGGCATCTACAGTGGCTATCTTGTTTCTCCAAACAGCCTACCAAGGAGTAGCAGGTGAGTTCTCCACTCTGCTCCCTGTCAACATGACTCTGCCCTCACCAAAGGCACAGCACTCTGCCTGTCAGTTCTTGATCTCATGGGCGAAATTGCCTACTAGGATGCAAATTAGTGCCCATATTGCTGTGGATGAACGTACATACAGAGACTTACAGTGAAGAACAAGCAGAAAAAGACAATGATTTGTTTTTAGGGGTACAGTTTAAAAGTATAACACTGAAGAAGCTTTTCTATTTAAAATCAGATTTTTAGTCAGGTTAAAACACTTCTTTCTACATTAAAATGATTTCTCATCACAATAATGTGGAACAATATACCCAAGAACACATTAATTGATTGTACTGTTAACATTTGACTTCATTGCTAACGTCCTCATCACCAGCGTTGCTAGTATCAATGAACGGTGCCAGGCTTTGGGTTAGGCATTCACATATACCTCGTTTATCACATATGTATACACATATAGAGTACAAGGGCACAAAGAAGGCACAGGAAAAATGTTTCACTGAATTACCTCATTTAATCCTTACAAATTCTCTGTGATGCATGTATTAATAAACTAAATTTACAATGGAGGAATATGAGTCACAGTGAGATTAAGTAATCAAGATCACAAATTTGTATATGGATGAATTCAGAATTAAAATCAGGGCTAATTTTAAACTTTTTCTAGACTTTAATTTTCAGTGGTCTATCAGTGTGCCTATTCCATCTATGTCCTCCACAGTGCCATTACACTTTATATATAGCAGGTGCTCAATAAAAGTTAAATGTCATCAAATTTGTATGCACAAATGACGATAAATATTATTAGTCCTCAGGGAAGTGGTACTGCTTCACACCCACTAGGATGGTTACAATCACAAATACAGGCAACAAGTTTTGGGAGTATATAGAGAAACTGGAACCCTCATACACTGCTGGTGGAAATGTAAAATGATGCAGCTGCTTTAGAAAAGAGTCTGGCAGTTCCTCAAATTGTTAAACATAGAGTTACCCAGTTATGACCCAGCAACTTCACTCCAAAAGAAATGTAATTCCACCAACAAGAAATGAAAACAAAAGTCCACATAAAGACTTGTATGTGAATGTCTGTAGCAGTGCTATTCACAGTAGCCAAAAATGGAATAAATCGAAATGTCTTCAACTGATTACTAGGTAAACAAAATGATGTATATCCACATAATGGATTATTATTCAGCCAAAAAGAAATGAAATACTGATATATGCTACAACATGGATAAACCTAGAAAACATTATGGTAAGTGAACGAAGCCAGACACGAGAGGTAACATTGTATGGTTGCAGTTATATGAAATGTTCAGAATACACAAATTTATGGAGACAAATAAGCGAGTTTAAAAATGGGCAAAGATTTTAATGGGAGAACATATTTGCAAACTATCCATCCCACAAGGGATTAATAATTAGCATATATAAGGAACTCAAACAACTAAATGGCAAAAAGTATAATCAAGTTGAAAGATACTTTTCAAAAGAAGATATACAAATGAGTAATAAGCACATTAAAAATGCTCAATAGTATTGTCATTAGGAAAATACAAATGAAAACATAATGAGATACTTGCTTACTTACCCTAGCATGACAATAATAATAAGGGTTGGTGAGAATGTCGAGAAATTGGATCTCCTATACACTACTAGTATGAATGTAAAATGGGACAGCCACTTTAAAAAAGTTTTGGCAGTTCCTCAAAAGAAATAGAGTTACCATGTCTATGGTAACTCCACTTGTATGTATATGCCCAAGAGAATTGAAAACATGTCCACACACACAAAAAAAATGTTCACGGCGTTATTTATAACGGTCACATCAGCAATTCCACTTGTATGTATATACCAAAGAGAATTGTAAACATGTCCACAAAAATATATTTACAGCATTATTTATAATGGCCAAAAGAATGCAAACAAACAAAATACCCATGTGTTGATGAATAAACAAATTGCGATATATTCATATAATACAATATTTTCACCTATAAATAGGAATGAACCACTGATAAATGCTATAACATGGATAAATCTCGAAAACATTCTGCTAAGTGAAAGAAGCCAGACACAAAAAGGGCACATATTATATGATTCCATTCACATGAAATTTCCAGAATATACAAGTCCAGAGTCAGAAAGTAAATTAGTGGCTCCATGGAGTTGGGGAAGGAGGAGAATGGAGAGTGACTGCTAATGGGTAAAGGGTTTCTTTTTGGAGTGGTCAAATATTCTCGGATTTCTGATGCTGGTTGTACAACTCTGAATATATTAGGAACTACAAAACTTTATAATTTATAAGGGTGAATATTAAGGTATGTAAAATTATACCTTAATTTTTTCAAAAAGAATGAGTAGATAGCAAGAAATGATTCCATAAAGTTTTCAATCAGTTGTCCAAAATCATACAATTAGTGCTTTTCATGCTTAGTAGGTCCTTAATCTATGAGTATAGCAATACATACTTTAAAATGGAGATGAGAATCAATTTAGAAGTTAATATCAGATATATTTCTTCCCCTAAAATATGACAATTAAAATGAATATAAAGCTCCTGATTTTGAATTATATCTGTTCACCTTTAAAAAATAAAATTTGAGCATTTTTGATCAAAACTGCGATGTTTCATTTTCTGTTCCTGTGTTAGTTTGCTGAGAATGATGGTTTCCAGCTACATCCATGTCCCTGCAAAGGACATGAACTCATCCTTTTTATGGCTGTGTAGTATTCCATGGTGCATATGTGCCACATTTTCCTTATCCAGTCTATCATTGATGGGCAATTAGGTTGGTTCCAAGTCTTTGCTATTGTGAACAGTGCTGCCATAAACATATGTGTGCGTGTGTCTTTATAGTAGAATGATTTATAATTCTGTGGGTATATACTCAGTAATGAAATTGCTGGATCAAATGGTATTTCTGGTTGTAGATCCTTGAGGAATCGCCACAATGTCTTCCACAATGGTTGAACGAGTTTACACTGCCACCAACAGTGTAAAAACATTCCTACTTCTCCACACCCTCTCCAGCATCTGTTGTTTCCTGACGTTTTAATGATCGCCATTCTAACTGGTGTGAGATGGTATCTCACTGTGGTTTTGATTTGCATTTCTCTAATGAAGAGGGATGATGAGCTTTCTTTCATATGTTTGTTGGCCACATAAATTTCTTCTTTTTGAAGTGTCTGTTCATATCCTTTGCCTACTTTTTGATGGAGTTGTTTGGTTTTTTTCTTCTAAATTTGTTTAAGTTCTTTGTAGATTCTGGATATTAGCCCTTTGTCAGATGGATAGATTGCCAAAATTTTCTCCCATTCTGTAGGTTGCCTGTTCACTCTGATGATAGTTTCTTTTGCTTTGCAGAAGCTTTTTAGTTTAATTAAATCCCATTTGTCAATTTTGGCTTTTGGTGCTTTAGTCATAAAGTGTTTGCCCATGCTTATGTCCTGAGTGGTGTTGCCTAGGTTTTCTTCTAGGGTTTTTATGGTTTTTGGTCTTACATTTAAGTTTTAATCCACCTTGAGTTAATTTTTGCACAAGTTGTAAGGAAGGGGTCCAGTTTCAATTTTCTGCATCTGTCTAGCCAGTTTTCACAACACAATTTATTAAATAGGGAATCCTTTCCCCATTGCTTGTTTTTGTCAGGTTTGTCAAAGATCAGATGGATGTACATGTGTGGTGTCATTTCTGAGGCCTCTGTTCTATTCCATTGGTCTATATATCTGTTTTGGTACAAGTACCATGCTGTTTTGGTTAATGTAACCTTGTAGTATAGTTTGAAGTCAGGTAGCGTGATGCCTCCAGCTTTGTACTTTTGGCTTTGAAATGTCTTGGATATACAGACCCTTTTCTGGTTCCATGTGAAATTTAAAGTAGTTTTTTTTCTAATTCTGTGAAGAAAGTCAATGGGAGCTCGATGGGGATAGCACTCAATGTATAAATTACTTTGGGCAGTATGGCCATTTTCACGATATTGATTCTTCCTATGCATGAGTATAGAATGTTTTTGCATTTGTTTGTGTCCTCTCTGATTTCCTCAAGCAATGGTTTGTAGTTCTCCTTGAAGAGGTCCTTTGTACCACTTGTAAGTTGTATTCCTAGGTATTTTATTCTCTTTTTAGCAATTGTGAATGGGAGTTCACTGATGATTTGGCTCTCTGTTTGTCTATTATTAGTGTATAGGAATGCTTGTGATTTTTGCACATTGATTTTGTATCCTGAGACTTTGCTGAAGTTGCTTATCAGCTTAAGGAGATTTTGTGCTGAGATGATGGGGTTTTCTAAGTAGACAATCATGTCATCTGCAAACAGAGACAATTTGACTTCCTCTCTTCCTATTTGAATACCCTTTCTTTCTCTTTCCTGATTGCCCTGGCCATAACTTCCTATACTTTGTTGAATAGTAGTGGGAGAGAGGGCATCCTTGTCTTGTGGCGGTTTTTAAATGGAATACTTCCAGCATTGCCCATTCAGTATGATATTGGCTGTGGATTTGTTATAAATAGCTCTTATTATTTTGAGATGCATTCCATCAATACCTAGTTTATTGAGAGTGTTTAGCATGAAGGTGTGTTGAATTTTATAGAAGGCCTTTTCAGCATCTATGGAGGTAATCATGTGTTTTTGTCATTGGTTCTATTTATGTGATAGATTACATTTATTGATTTGTGTATGTTGAACCAGCCTTGCATCCCAGGGATGACACCGACTTGATCATGGTGGATAGGCTTTTTCATGTGCTGCTGGGTTAGGTTTGTCACCATTTTATTGAGGGTTTTCACATCCATGGCCATCAGGGATATTGGTCTAAAATTTTCTTTTTTTGTTGTGTCTCTGCCAGGTTTTGGTATCAGGATGATGCTGCCTCAAAACATAAGTTAGGGAGGAGTCCCTCTTTTTCTGTTTTTTGGAATAGTTTCAGAAGGAATGGTACCAGCTCCTCTTTGAACCACTGGTAGAATTCGGCTGTGAATCCCTCTGGCCCTGGGCTTTTTTGGTTGGTAGGCTATTAATTACTTCCTCAATTTCAGAACTTGTTATTGGTCTATTAAGGGATTTGACTTCTTCCTGGTTTAGTCTTTGGAGGGTGTTTGTGTCCAAGAATTTATTCATTTCTGCTAGATTTTCTGGTTTATTTGCATAGAGGTATTTATAGTATTCTCTGATAGTAGTTTGTATTTCCGTGGGATCAGTGGTGACATCCCCTTTATCTTTTTTTATTGTGTCTATTTGATTCTGCTCTCTTTTCTTCTCTATTAGTCTGGCTAGCAGTCTATTTTGTTTATCTTTTCAAAAAAACAGCTCCTGGATTCATTGATTTTGTGAAGGGTTTTTCATGTCTCTACCTCCTTCAGTTCTCCTCGGATCTTAGAATTTCTTGTCTTCCCTTCCTTACACCTTATACAAAAAAATAACTCAAGATGGATTAAAGACTTACACGTAAGACCTGAAACCATAAATACCCTAGAAGAAATCCTAGGCAATAACATTCAGGACATAGGCATAGGCAAAGACTTCATCACTAAAACACCAAAAGCAATGGCAACAAAAGCCAAAACTGACAAATGGTATCTAATTAAACTAAAGAGCTTCTGCAAAGCAAAATAAACTGTCATCAGAGTCAACAGACAACCCACAGTATGGGAGAAAATTTTTGCAAACTATTCATCTGATAAAGGGCTAATGTCCAGAATCTACAAGGAGCTTAAACATATTTATGAGAAAAAATAAACTCATCAAAAAGTGGGTGAAGGATATGAACAGACACTTCTCAAAATAAGACATTCATGTGGCCAAGAAACATATGAAAAAAAGCTCATCATCACTGGTCATTAGAGAAATGGAAATCAAAACCACAGTGGGATACCATCTCACACCAGTTAGAATGGCGATCATTAAAATGCCAGGAAACAGCAGATGCTGGAAAGGATGTGGAGAAATAGGAACACTTTTACACTGTTGGTGGGAGTGTAAATTAGTTCAATCATTGTGGAAGATAGTGTGGCGATTCCTCAAAGATCTAGAACCAGAAATACTTTTTGACCCAGCAATTTCATTACTGGGTATATACCCCAAGGATTATAAATCATTCTACTATAAAGACACATGCACACATATGTTTATGGCAGCTCTGTTCACAATAGCAAAGATTGGAACCAACCCAAATGCCCATCCATGATAGACTGGATAAAGAAAATGTGGTACATACACACCATGGAATACTATGCAGCCATAAAAAATGAGTTTCATGGCACCTGTATACCTATGTAACAAACCTGCACATTCTGCACATGTATCCCAAAACTCAAAGTATAATAATAATAAAAAAGAATGATGGTTACCCTAAGCTCTAGGTTTTGATGCCTTGTAACTTTGGTGGAGACTGTTTTATTTTTAGTTAAATTTGGAATTGAAATTATTATATTGCATACTCAGCAGATAAAGCTTCTTTGTGTTGTCCAAGTATTTAATGTGTACAGAAAAGTAAATTTTAAATATCCACTTTTATTTTGGACATTATATTTCAGACAAACAGAACAAATGTCATTAAACACAGTCCATTGGGAGATCACACTGGCAATTCTGCTTTGTTACTGCTGCTTCTGTCTGACTTGCTTGCAGAGCAGGATCTGTTGACAGCCTTCACCTCTAGGTTCAGGCTTAACATAGCACTTGAAGAATTGATCAAGGCATGAAAAAATATAAAAGATTCTGCAGGGGGATGAATGCGAAAAAATTCAGTTTTGAGCAGAACTTGGAATGGTCATGTCTCATGAGCTGATATTTAGTGGTTTAATAATCATTGTTCTGCTTTGGTGTTTCTTTCACTTCCTGAATCTCTATCATTGCCAGTAAGATCCAGCTCTGAAAGTAACTGTTTATAAAACCCTGGGCTAGTAACTTATTTTTTAATTTGCATGTACTAATAATATTTTATATAACAGCTTTATTGAGATACGATTCATATACCATACAATCAACCTATTTAAATTACAATTAAATGGTTTTTAATGTACCTGCCTAATTGTAACCTCAATGCCCTCTGTCCATGCGGTTAATAAAACTTGAGCCCCCTATGTCACTGGTTTCTTGTGAGAATAGAATGAAATGATGCAGGTTCAGGAACACTGGAAGCATAAAATGGCTCTGGAAATACGAGTTGGTATTGTCATCATTAATGAGGCTGCTAGGTGCAACTAGAGCCTTGAAGAGGAAGGTGAATAGATTGAAGGGGGCCTGGTAGTAATAATAATCCCTTACATTTGTATAGTGATTTATAGTTTCAAAGTGCTTTTATCTGAGCTCTCATTTGAGATATCGTTGGTGATGATCTTGGAGGGCTACATAGCCAATCTAATTCACCAGGGTAAAAGGAGAAGGCCTATTTACTTTCAAGCACAAAGAGATTCCTCTGTAAAAAGGAAAAAAAAATATTTGGCCAATAGTGGTATTTTAAGGCCCCAAACTTATCTGACATGAGATACTTTTAAAAATAGACTCACCTCATATGCACAATTATGTATCAAATAAAAAACTGCAACTATAGTTGTGAATTACTTTATTTCTTTTTTTCCAAGGGTTTGAAACAGAGTTTTTTTGTTTTTGTTTTTGTTTTTTATTTCAAACTCTTATTTTAGATTCACAAGTGCATATGTAGATTTGTTACGTGGGTAAATTGTGTGTTTCTAAGGTTTGGTACATAAATGATTTTGTCACCCAGGTAGTGAGCATAATAACAGTAGTAATGTTTTTATCCTTACCCGTCTCCCACCTTCCACCCCAAATAAGAACCAGTGTCTATAGTTTCCCTCTTTGTGTCCCTGTATACTCAATGTTTAGCTCCCACTTATAAATGAGAACATACAGTATTTGATTTTCTGTTCCTGCAGTAATTTGCTTAGGATAATGGCTGCATCCACATTGGTGCAAAGGACATTATTTAATCAGTTTTTCATGACTGTGTAGTATCCCCTGGTGTATATGTACCACATTTTCTTTATCCAGTCCACCCTTGAGCATCTAGATTGATTCTACATCTTTGCTATTGTGAAAAGTGCTCTAATTAACATACATGTGCATATATCTTAATGATAGAATGATTTATATTCCTTTGGGTATATAGCATTCCCTTTTCTCTGCAACCATGCCAACATCTATTATTTTTTGAGTTTTTAATAATAGCCATTCTGACTGCTGTGTGATGGTATCTCATTGTGGTTTGGATTTGCATTTCTTTAATGATTAGTGATGTTAAGCAGTTTTTTATGTTTGTTGGCCACATGTATGTCTTCTTTTGAGAAATGTCTGTTCATGTCCCTTGCCCATTTTTTTTAGATGGCGCTGTTTGTTTTTTGCTTGTTGATTTGTTTAAATGGCTTATAGATTTGGAATATTAGACCTTTGTCAGATGTATAGTTTGCAAATATTTTCTCCCATTCTGTTGGCTGTCTGTTTAATCTATTGATAGTCCTTTTACTGTGCAGAAGCTCTTTAGCTTAGTTCGGTCCCTCTTGTCAACTTTTATTTTTGTTGCAATTGCTTTTGGAGACTTTGTCACGAAATCTTTGCCAAGGCCTATGTCCAGAATGACATTTCATAGGCCTTTTAAGATAGTTTTAGATTTTATATTTAAGTCTTTAATCCATCTTGAGTTAATTTCTGTATGTGGTGAAAGGAAGAGGTCCAGCTTCAATCTTCTGCATATAGCTGGCCAGTTATCTCAGCACAATTTGTTTAATAGGGAGACCTTTCCCTGTTGCTTGTTATTGTCAACTTTGTTGAAGATCAGGTAGTTGTAGGTGTGTGACTTTATTTCTGTGTTCTATAACCTATTCCATTAGTCTATTTGTCTGTTTTCATACCAGTACCATTGTTTTAGTTACTATAGCATTGCAATATAATTTGAAGTCGAGTAGTGTAATGCTTCCAGCTCTGTTCTTTTTGTTTAGGATTATATTGTCTATTTGGCCTATATTTTGTTTGTTTCCATATGAATCTTAGAATAGTTTTTCTTTCTAATTCTGTGAAAAATGATGTTGGTAGTTTTATAGAAATAGAATTGAATCTGTACATTGCTTTGTGCAGTGTGGCCATTGCAATGAATTGATTCTTCCAATCCATGAGCATGGAATATTTTTCCATTTGTTTATGTCATCTTTGATTTCTTCCAGCACTTTTAAGTCATTCTCTTTGTGGAGTATTTTAACCTCCTGGGTAGCTGTATTCCTAGGTATTTACTCCTTTTGTGGCTATTATGAATAGGGTTGTGTTCTTAATTTTGCCCTCAGCTTGGGTGTTCTTGGTATATAGAAATGCTACTGGTTTTTATACATTGATTTTGTATCCTGAAACTTTACTGAAGTTGCTTATCAGTTCTAGGAGCCTTTGAGTAGAGACTCCTGGGTTTTTGTGGTATAGAATATTATTTGAAGCTATAAGTATTCATATATTTAGTGTTGTTATATTTTCCTTTTGAGTTGATTTTTTATCATGATGAAGTTTCTTCATCTTTAGTAATCATGGTTGCCTTAATGTCTTATGTACCCACTATTAATATAGCTACACCAATTTTCTTTTGGATATTTTTTGTGTAGTATACCTTTTTCCCATTCTTTTACTTTAAATATACCTGTATATTTATCTAGACAATACTGCATGACCTCACTTATATCTGGAGTCTAAAACAACTGAACCTATAGAAACAGAGAAGAAGGTGGTTACAAAGGATCAGGCAGTATGGGAAATGGGGAGATGTTGGCCAAAGGGTACAAACTTACATATGATTAATAAGTTCTGAAGCCCTATTGTATAGCATGGTGACTATATTTAGTCATAATATATTATATACTGGTGATTTGCTAAAAGAGTAGATCATAAGTATTCTCACCAAAATAGGTAACTGTGAGGTAATGGATATGTTAATTAGCTTGGTTATGGTAATTATGTCACGATGTATATGTATATCAAAATATCATGTTCTTCATCATGACTATACACAATTTTTGTCTACTATACCTCAATACAGCTGAAAAATAAAATAATAAATATGTTTATTTATATGTAAACTATATGGACACCCCTCTAACTAATTCTTGTTATAGCCTCTATTCTGGGGAACCTTACAAAGTTGTTTGTAAATGCCAGTATTAAAAGGATCATCTGAAGGGCTTACAATCACAATAACAGGCTGCTAGATAATGGTGCACAGCAGATTTTTTTTATGTTAGTCAAAATACTCTTTGAATGGATGTCAAAGATAGAAACAATGATTATAAACTATTGTATTGAACACTTCAGCCATTAAGGCATATTCTAGTTTGGCCTAGAAATATCAATGATTATTTGTGTCTAACAGTTAAAAAATGTCCAATAAAGGAAAATTAAATCTAGCAGTGTGTCTATGTCAGGAACTTCTTTCTGCCACTGGGCTTAAAGCTGGTCTGCTTACTTTGTTAACTTCCTGCACTTTGTAGGCAATCTTTGCTTTATAAAATTATATCAATATATTATTTGTAATTTACTCTGTACATTTATTATACAACACATGCATTTATGCTTATGGAAACTAATAATTAGCCTACAGTTTATTTCATGACGTGGGTTCAGTTATAGCTTTCTAATGTCTTGAGTTTAGGCCCTATGAAGATATTTAAAAGGACAGGTACCTGTACTGGGTGGACCTAACCTATATTGATAGGTGCTCTTCTGTTGCCCAAATGAAGCAGATCTTGTACTAAATGCCATCTCTTAGAGCATAAGGTGAACAAAGCCAATTCTTGTACGAGTGGCCATCTCTTGCAAACAGTACAGATGCTCCTCAACTTATGATAGGGTAACGTCCTGACAAACCCATTGTAAATTCAAAATATTGTAAGTTGGAAATACATACAGTACATCTAACCTACTGAACATCATAGCTTAGCCCAGCATAACTTGAACATGCTCAGAACACTTACACTAGCCTATAGTTGGGTAAAATCCTCTGACCACACAGTATACTACGAGTATTAGTTGTTTACCCTCGAGATCACATGGCAGACTGGGAGCTGTGGCTGGTTGCCCCTGACCAGCCTCACTGAACAGTATCATACTGCATATCACTAGCCTGGGAAAAGATCAAAATTCAAAATTCAGACGACGGTTTTTACTAAAGACATATCAATTTTGCACCATTGTAAAGTCAAAAAATCATAAGTGAAACCATTGTAAGTCAGGGTCCATCTATAGTTACTTCCTGTAAATCCCACTGTTACATATATCCTGCCACCAAAGGAAAATAATGACAGTCAATGAAAAAGTAGGCTTTTCTTTTCAATTGGGACATTCTTTCAACTTTAAAAGGCTATCGTTACATATAATTTATATACATAGCTTTATACACAAGCAAAGTGAGCTGTTTACTGCTATGATTAATGAAACATTAGAAAGAAAGACCTCTTCATCCTCATAATGTGCCACCCTCACCTCACAGAGACCCGAAATTCCTTTAGCTGGAATAGTGTTACTAACTGAACTCTTATCTAGGAGAATCATAGGAAGGGGAGCAATAATTTTAATGTATTTCACATATCTCTGTAAGAATGGGAAGATACTCACAAATGCGGCTGGGGACTACTGGCCCTATGGAAGTCTTTGCCCCTGGTGCAATGCTTGAAATCTCTGGATGCTGGTTGTGGAGATTTTCTTCCTGAGGGTTGGTGGAAGGTGGAAGATAAAAAGATATATTGGGTCTCTAAGTCACTATTTCCTACAGTATTTCCAAATCTAGATCGTTAGTCTCTTGATATGCCTCCAAAGTTCTATTTTGGGGATAGTATTTCTAGACTATAAAACAAGTATGTTCTACCTTCAGTTATATTATTCACAGGGTTTCTACTTTCTATTAAAAAATTCTTAAGGGAAGGGGGTCTTTAGTACAAAGGGCTGATGAAATTTACCATGTTTTCTCCTAACTGCAAACTATACTTGCCTTCATCTCACATGAGCCTCCTGCTTCCTACTTTAATAGCTCCAGATGCAAGTATCCTAGCTGGGTTTCTTGTACCAATCCTTATGGCAAGGCACCAATAATTTTTATAAAAATGGTCTAAGAGTCATGTCTACATGTTATCAAGGAAATCTGTTATTTCTAAAATGCAGTAATTGCTGAATTAATGTTTTCCAAAGTATTTTCTGTGGATATTAAGTACTGCAAGATGTTTGGAAGCATCTGAAATAGAATTTCTTGATCATATATACTCTTGAGGATATTATCCATGAGAACTTCCACAACCTAGCAAGACAGGCCAACATGCAAATTCAGGAAATACAGAGAACTCCGCAAATTTATTCCTCAAGAAGAGCAACACCAAGACACATAATCATCAGATTCACCAAGATTGAAACAAAGGAAAAAAAGTTAAGGGCAACCAGAGAGAAAGGTTGGGTTACCCACAAAGGAAAGCCCATAAGACTAACAGCAGATCTCTCTGCAGAAACCCTACAAGCCAGAAGAGAGTGGGGGCCAATACTCAACATTCTTAAAGAAAAGAATTTTCAACCCAGAATTTCACATCCACACAAACTAAGCTTCATAAGCTAAAAAGAAATAAAATCCTTTACAGACAAGCAAATGCTGAGAGATTTTTTTCACCACCAGGCCTGCCTTACAAGAGGTCCTGAAGGAAGCACTAAATATGGAAAGGAAAATGTGGCACTACCCACTGCAAAATCATACCAAATTGTAAAGACCATAGACACTATGAAGAAACTGCATCAACTAATGGGCAAAATTACCAGCTAGCAACATAATGACAGGAATAAATTCACAAATAACAATATTAACTTTAAATGTAAATGGGCTAAGTGCCCCAATTAAGAGACACAGACTGGCAAATTGGAAAAAGAGTCAAGAACCATCGATGTGCTGTATTCAGGAGACCCACCTCACGTGCAAAGACACACATAGGCTCAAAATAAAGGGATGGAGGAAGATTTACCAAGCAAATGGAGAGAAAAAAAAAGCAGAGGTTGCAATCCTACTCTCTGATAACACAGACTTTAAACCAACATAGAAAAAAAAAAGACAAAGAAGGGCATTACATAATGGTAAAGGGATCAAGGCAACAAGAAGAGCTAACTATCCTAAATATATATACACCCAATACAGGAGCACCCAGATTCATAAAGCGAGTTCTTAGAGACCTACAAAGAGATTTAGACTCCCACACAATAATAGTGGGAGACTTTAACACCCCACTGTCAATATTAGACAGATCAACGAGACAGAAAATTAAGAAGGATATTCAGGACTTGAACTCAGCTCTGGACCAAGCAGACCTAATAGACACCTACAGAACTCTCTACCCCAAATCAACAGAGTATACATTCTTCTCAGCACCACATGGGACATATTCTAAAATTGACCATATAATTGGAAGTAAAACAGTCCTCAGCAAGTGCAAAAGAACAGAAATCATAACCAATAGTTTCTCAGATCACAGTGCAATCAAATTGGAACTCAGGATGAAGAAACTAACTCAAAACCACACAACTACATGCTAACTGAACAACCTGCTCCTGCATGACCTACTTGGTAAATAACAAAATTAAATCAGAAATAAATAAGTTTTTGTAACCAATGAGAACAAACACACAATATACCAGAATGTCCAAGACAGCTAAACCAGACTTTAGAGGGAAATTGACAGCACTAAATCCCCACTGGAAAAAGCAAGAAAGATCTAAAATTGACACCCTAACATCACAATTAAAAGAACTAGAAAAGCAAGAGCAAACCAATTCAAAAGCTAGCAGAAGACAAGAAATAACTAAGATCAGAGCAGAACTGAAGGAGATAGAGACACAAAAATCCCTTCAAAAAATCAGTGAGTCCAGGAGCTGGATTTTGAAAAGATTAACAAAATAGATAGGCTGCTAGCCAGAGTAATAAAGAAGAAAAGAGAAGAATCAAATAGACATAATAAAAATGATAACAGGGATATCGCCACTGATCCCACAGAAATACAAACTACCATTAGATAATACTATAAACACCTCTACACATATAAACTAGAAAATCTAGAAGAAATGGGTAAATTCCCACATATGAACACCCTCCAAATACTAAACCAGCAAGAACTCAAAACCCTGAATAGACCAATAACAAGTTCTGAAATTGAGGGAGTAATTAATAGCCTACCCACCAAAAAAAAAAAAAAAAAAAAAAAAAGCCCAGGACCAGACAGATTCACGGCCAAATTCTACCAGAGGCACAAAGAGGAGCTGATTTTATTCCTTCTGAAACTATTCCAAGCAATAGAAAAGAAGGGATTCCACCCTAACTCATTTTATGAGGCCAGCGTCATCCTGATACCAAAACCTGGCAGAGACACAACAACAACAAAATTTCAGGCCAATATTTCTGATGAACATCAATGCAAAAATCAAAAGTAAAATACTGGCAAATCGAATCCAGCAGCACATCATAAAGCTTATCCACCACGATCAAGTCGGCATCATCCCTGGGATGCAAGGCTGGTTCAACATATGCAAATCAATAAATGTAATCTATCACATAAACAGAACTAATGACAAAAACCACATGATTATCTCAATAGATGCAGAAAAGGAGTTTTATAAAATTCAACACCCTTTCATGCTACAAACTCTCAATAAACTAGGTATTGATGGAATGTACCTCAAAATAATAAGAGCCATTTATGACAATCCCACAGCCAATATCATACTGAATGGGCAAAAACTGGAAGCATTCCCTTTGAAAACTGCCACAAGACAAGAATGCCCTCTCTCACCACTCCTATTCAACAAAGTATAGGAAGTTCTGGCCAGGGCAATCAGGCAAGAGAAAGAAATAAAGTGTAATCAAATAGGAAGAGTGGAAGTCAAATTGTCTCTGTTTACAGATGACATGATTGCCTATTTAGAAAACCCCATTGTCTCAGCCCAAAATCTCCTAAAGCTGATAAGCAGCTTCAGCAGGGTCTCAGGATATAAAATCGATGTGCAAAAATCACAAGCATTCCTATACACCAATAATAGACAAACAGAGAGCCGAATCATGAGTAAATTCCCATTCACAATTGCTACAAAGAGAATAAAATACCTAGGAAAACAACTTACAAGTGGTACAAAGGACCTCTTCAAGGAGAAATACAAACCACTGCTCAAGAAAATAAGAGAGGACACAAATGGAAAAACTTTCCATGCTCATGGATAGCAAGAATCAATATCCTGAAAATGGCCATACTGCCCGAAGTAATTTATAAATTCAATGCTATCCCCATCAAGCTCCCATTGACTTTTTTCACAGAATTACAAAAAACTACTTTAAATTTCATATGGAACCAAAAAAGAGTCCATATAGCCAAGACAATCCTAAGCTAAATTAACAAATTGGAGGCATCACGCTACCTGACTTCAAACTATACTACAAGGATACAGTAACCAAAATAGCATGGCACTGGCACCAAAACAGATATATAGACCAATGGAACAGAACAGAGGCCTCAGAAATAACACCACACATCTACAACCATCTGATCTTTGACAAACCTGACAAAAACAAGCAATGGGGAAAGGAATTCCTATTTAATAACTCATGTTGGGAAAACTGGCTAGCCATGTGCAGAAAACTGAAACCATCATTCTTTACTCTTTCCATTTGTGAAAGAATATATTATTATGAAATGAATATTGACAATTTCGTAGGCAGGATTGTGCATTACTCCTCTTATGCATAAATGATCTACACAGATTTTACTTCCACATAATTCCCAGTGTGCACCTGTTCTATGAGCTGACATTTATCTGTGAATATTTAAGAAATGTCTGTTCTCCAGTCTCTTGTGAAGAATCAAACAAAACTTTTCTACTTGACTTTAGTCAAGTGTTATATATTTACTTATGAACATTCCATGGGAAAAAACAGGTTTTCTATTTTGAAGAGATTATTTGGTATTTTCATAAATGATTGTCCCTAAACGGCTTTTTTGGGATTTTATTCTCAAAGAACACATTTCAAAGAAGCTTCACATTTTCCCAGACTATGGAAAGCTATCCCAGCTGGAAAATGAAAATACCATCTCACTAATTACACCATCTCATTATTAGAGAAATGTTCCATTTGATGTACCAGGGCCGTTTCATTAAATGATAAGTTCAAATGTCTTTCTTGGAAGATGAAGGGCATTTGCTGCACTTTATTTTCCTAAGTGTTATGTCACCATGAAAAAACTATGACAACCTGTTAACTATAGGAAACCTTTTACAAGTGTCATTTTGTTTGTTTCCGAATTTTACAATTACATAAATTCTATTTTGTATCTACTCTACCTGTAATAATCTTGTATTTTGCAACTTTGATAATTGATCCATAAGAATGCATATTGACTCCCAGGTTTTTTAACTTAAAATATTTTTAGTTTTCACTCAAATTTTAACTAACTTTGTATCCAACAACATCCATGTGATCTCCTGTCATATCTCAATCTATTTTGGACACTTTTTAAACTAGTTACCTTTCCCTCATGTCTCTAACACTTATTCACCTGACCCAAGTCTTACCTTCACCATTTTTTTTGACAAATGAAATTCCTACCTGTAGATTAAATACATAGTTTTTAAGATTTATTTCAATTTTCTCTCAATTTGGTGAATATGGAGAGTGGAGCCAACACAAAGAGAGAAGGAAACAAACATCCATGAAACAGGAAGGATGTAAGAGGTCGTGGAAATCATCTGCTCTATACCCTCATTTTACATATGTGGACATTAAAATTCATGGAAAAGAAAATAAGTTGCTTATCAAAAGTCACAATTAATTCTTTTTTTTCTTTTATTATTATACTTTAAGTTTTAGGGTACATGTGCACATTGTGCAGGTTAGTTACACATGTATACATGTGCCACGCTGGTGTGCTGCACCCACTAACTCGTCATCTAGCATTAGGTATATCTCCCAATGCTATCCCTCCCCCCTCCCCCAACCTCACAACCATCCCCAGAGTGTGATGTTCCCCTTCCTGTGTCCATGTGATCTCATTGTTCAATTCCAACCTATGAGTGAGAATATGCGGTGTTTGGTTTTTTGTTCTTGCGATAGTTTACTGAGAATGATGATTTCCAATTTCATCCATGTCCCTACAAAGGACATGAACTCATCATTTTTTATGGTTGCATAGTACTCCATGGTGTATATGTGCCACATTTTCTTAATCCAGTCTACAATTAATTCTTATGAGAAATGTGGGCACTAGATCAGGTTCCCTAGTGTAACCTTCTTTATTACTCTCCCAAATTTACCTGCTTCAAGATTACATAAATTTGGTTTTTGGTCTTTCTTTTTTCCTCTTTTATATTGCCATATTACTCTGTGAATACTTTTATATATTTCCCACTTGATTATAGATTTCTTGAAAGCAAGAACTGGTCTTGTTTGCCTATGAATCTTTATGTACAGAAGTGCACCTGGAACAATACAGGTGCACGTCAAATGTCTGTGCAATAAAGTTGTATTTTAAATTTCAGCCTCAACATTCAAATTAAAACTGCACACAGATACCATTTTTACCTACTGGATGGAAAAGTATCATCCAAGTTTAACAACATTCTTTTTGTTCATGAGGACACGAGGAAAAAGACTTCTAAATCATTGCTGTGGGAATGCAAAATAATGTAATCACAGTGGAAAGGAATTTGGCAATATCCAGGAAAATTACATATATATTTAATGTTTGACCCAGCAATCTCACTTATAGGAACTGATTGCAAAGTTATGCTCACAAAAGAATGTGTGCACAATGTCATTTACTACAGCACTATTTGTAACAGAAAAATATTGGAAAATCACCCAAATTTTCAACAGTGGTGGACTGAACGAACAGAATACACTTACACTACATCTGTAAAATGGAGTGCTGTGCAGTTTTAAATGGGGATGGAAAATACTTGTACATCCTATAATCAAGTAATCACTAGGATATAATGGCAAATAAAAATTTGCATGGTTGAGAAAAGTATTAGTATAATTCTTTATACTTTAATAATATAATTAGTATAATGTCTTATAATACTTTATAGCATAGTATTAGATAGTAATAGAAGCTAAGCTTCTTGTTTTGTAGATTTGCTTCATGGAATATATCTTGGTTTTGAATATATCTTATTTTGTAGCTTTGACTTTGAAGCCATGCCAGTATTTTATATTATTATAAAATAAAATTCAATTTTTAAAAGCAACTTATAAAAACAGAATGTAACATGGAGAAAAGGAGCCTAATACTATATCCAATTGATGACATAGACCCAAGAAAAGGAACAATGCCAAAGAACTTTAAGTCAAAATAATATGATGATACAGACTTATTGGGATATGTCCAAAGGATAAAATGACGGCAAAAAGTATTTTACATTTGTGTTGGTGGCACATATACACCATGGAATACTATGCCACCATAAAAAAGGATGAGTTCATGTCCTTTGCAGGGACATGGATGATGCTGGAAACCATCATTCTCAGCAAACTAACACAAGTACAGAAAACCAAAAACACCTCATGTTCTCACTCATAAGTGGGGGTTGAACAATGAGAACACATGGACACAGGGAGGGGAACATCACATACTGGGGCCTGTTGGGAGGTTGGGGGCTAGGGGAGGGATAGTATTAGGAGAGATACCTGATGTAGATGACAGGTTCGTGGGTGCAGCAAACCACTATGGCACATGTATACCTATGTAACACACCTGCATGTTCTGCACATGCACCCCTGAACTTAAAGTATATAAAAAAAGTATTTTACAGATTTTTTTTCAATAATCACATCATTATTGGTAGTATTACCATTGATATTCTAAGGTTAAAGCAAATGAGCCACTATATTGTGGTCATTGTAGAGTATGATTTTCAGCATGGTTAAAAGAAGATATGGGCCGGGCATGGTGGCTCACATCTTTGTGAGCACTTTGGGAGGCTCAGGTGGGTGGATCACCTGAGGTCAGGGGTTTGAGACCAGCCTGACCAACATGGCGAAGCCCCATCTCTACTAAAAATACAAAAAGATTAGCCAGGTGTGGTGGTGTGTGCCTGTAATCCCAGCTAATCAGGAGGCTGAGGCAAGAGAATCGCTTGAACCTGGGAGGCGGAGGTTGCGGTGAGACAATATCATGACAGTGCACTCCAGCCTTGCTGACAGAGTAAGACTCCATCTCAAAAAAAAAAAATTAAATAAATAAATAAATAAAAGGAGATATGTATGTAAAAATCAATAAGAGTAAGTAGAATGGGAATAGAATCCATTGGTATGAACTTGTAATATATTTTACCCTAAAAATAGGGTAAAATAGGTGGTGGGGTAAATGGAAAGATGTTGGTCAAAGGACACAAACTTTCAGTTATATGAATAGATTCTGTTTATCTAATGTGCAACATGGAGAGTATAGCTAATAACACTGTATTGTTTACTTGAAATGTGCTAAGACAGTAGATCTTAAGTATCCTTACCCCACCACACACACACACATATACACACAGGTGGTGATGGCTGTATTAATTAATTTGACACACACACATATACACACAGGTGGTGATGGCTGTATTAATTAATTTGATTAGTAAACATTTCATTTCACAATGTATATGTTCATCAAATCATGTCATATACATTGAATATATACAATTTTTATTTGTCAATTATATTTCAATAAACTTGGAAAAAAGAAAAAAGAATAAATCTGAATAAAACCTGAGTGGCTTAATATGGGGTCATATGGACATCAACAATAATAATATCTACAATAAATTTAAATGCATCAAATATAATGATAACAACTAAAAGAATCATGGTTCACTTTTGGAGCATACCAGGAAAGAAATTCATTATTCTGTAAACTGGTAAATGAGAAGAAATAATAAATTATCTTGCTTTTCTTGTATGACTTTCACCTCAAGGTAACTAAAGAGTAGAGTAGAGGCTGGGCATAGTGGCTCATGCCTGTAATCCCAGCAATTTGGGAGGCCAAGGCGGATGGATCACCTGAAGTCAGGAGTTTGAAATCAGCCTCGCCGATATGGTGAAACCCCGTGTCTACTAAAAATACAAAAATGAGCTGGGTGTGGTAGTAGGTGCCTGTAATCCCAGCTACTTGGGAGGCTGAGGCAGGAGAATCTATTGAACCCGGGAGAAGGAGGTTGCAGTGAGCCCAAGACCGTGCCATTGCACTCCAGCTTGGGCAACAAGTGTGAAACTCTGTCACAAAAAAAAGAAAAAAGAGTAGAGACAGCTTTTCTTTGTGGAAATGTTTCCCAGCTAATAAATGAAGAAGATATGTTAGAGTGAAAATATTACCATTTGACAACTCCTATTGATTGAATTGATGGTTCTAGTTCCATCAAATACTATTGAGTTTTGGACTAAATGAGATAATATCTGTGGATTATAACACTTTCAGGTATAATAAGCACTAGGTAAGTGTGTGTTAAATAGATAAATTAAAAGTTCTCCCATATGATTTTGACACAAAGTTTAGGACCAATGGGATTGAACGAAGAATACTCTGTAACACTTAGCTCATTTTTCATTGAAAATATGTCCTCTCATCTACTTCCAGTTATTCTCAGCAGGGGTATTGTTTTCCTTGTATGTTCTCAAAATTGATGGCTATGTCTACGGGCTTGATGAGATAAGTGTTCAATTTTGGGGGCACGACAACAGGTACATTATGTTTCCCTTAGTTTTTCCCTTGGTTTCTCAAAAACTATCGAGGAACGAATACTTGATGACATTAAAGAATTCACATTTATTTTTAGAAATATTTTTAAAAGGGCCTAAACTTTTAGAGATGCATCCCCAAGTATTTTCAAATGAAACGATATTATATGCAAAATTTTCTTTAATATAATCCTGAGTCTGTGACTGGCGTATAGATGAAACAGGATCACTCATGAATTGATCAGCTGAATGATGGGTACATGGGGGTTTATTAGACTATTCTCTCTACTTTTGTGTATGCTTAAAAATTCAACAATGAAATATTCATGAAATGTTAGTCTGAAGTCTATAAATAAGTAAATAAAATTAAAAAGAGAGAATGGCAGATGAATCTATTCTACATATCACAAAGTCTTCAGGAAAAAAAAAGTTTGATATTTTGTCCTCAGTCTGCACATAGAGAAAGGTTGAATAAATGCATTTATGTGTTCTTTTTTATATATATATTCCATCAGGATAATTTCAGCAAGTTGAAGAAGGGCCATGACGAAGATAAGAGGATAAACTTTATTCATGAACTAGTCCCAATGGAAAAAAAATTGAAACAAATGAAGTAGTCTGCTGTATAAAACCGAGTATGAAAAAGATTTGGTAAAACTTGGCTTGATATGGGCTGGTGTAACTAGACACAGAGACAGACTTGTGAGTTTACCACAGCAGCAGGACTTCATAAATAGTAATGATGCTCAGAATCAGATGGGTAACATCATCTTACTTCCATATCCAATAACAGAAGGATTTGTTCTTGCTTTCTAATTCATTCATGGTGTATAATTCAAAAAAACAGTGTGGCAGAAAGTGTGAAGTGAGATAGGAACTGTCAGCAATATACTATATTCTGTAAGGAATAGATTCAAGGTCACTAGCTTTGTTTGAATTAGAAAAGGAGGCTATATGGTAGATATAACCTCACATACGCATATCATGGAGAATGAAGTACATACTGGATTACATTCCCCACTAAATAAGATGTCCTTGTGTAGAGCATAACCTGCACAACTGTTCACGGCAGCCATGAAGAGTCCCAGTAAGTAAAATACTACAGTTGGAGGAAGAGATGGAAAAGTAACTGGCAGTAACAGATGCTGGAGCTTGGATTTTTTTATTTTCTCTTCAGGTCAGTGTCAGATAAATGAGGATAGAGGGAAAATTAAAACATAAGTGGTAATGCCACGTCAATCTACCAAAGTATGCTTAGACAAGTAGTTTGCAACAGGAAACCAGGAAAAACTTTGTACCCCAGAGAATATTAGGGTATGTCTGGAGACATCTTTGGGTGTCACAACTAGGGGAGAAGAGAAGTGATACTGGCATCTAGTGTGTAGAAACTAGGAATGCTACTAAACATCCCATAACATATAAAACAGCTCCCCACAAAAAAGCATTATCTGGCCCAAAATGTCAATAGTGCCAACATTGGGAAGCCCTGGATTAGATAGATGACTTCTTGTTTCCATTATAAATTGAGTCAGTAAATAAGAATATCAACCTAATTTGAGAATAGAATTCCATCTAAATACCAGCTAGAAAATACCAGGATAAAGGAGATGCCTCATGTACCTCACAACATTGGAACAGACTAGAGCTCTCTAAGGTTTAAGAGAAACAAAGGGAATAAATAATTAACAGGGGTCTGTGAAAAGATACTGCAGAACAAAGGAAAGGTGATGTTTTTGAAGACTTGGTGGAAGAGCACACTCTGACAATTCTTTTGCTCTAGGAAGCAGAAGAAAAAAATTAAAACTTCTTAGCATTCTAAATAGGATTCAATAAGACATGATCTGTATGAAATAAGAACAGAGAAAAATAAATAAAAGATAAAATAGTTGATGCAAATACATCTGGATGAGCTAATAAAGGAACTGCATAGGAAAAGTATTCAAAAAACTAAAATAACAAGCCATGAATAAAACACACGCCACAAGCAAAAACAGCATAACTGTCACTAAGGAAAATAAATGAAATGGAGGCCAAATTGGGAAACAATAGCAGAGTGCAAAAGACAGATGAAAACAATAGTAATAATAATACAAAGAATAGAGAACCAACCACAGATATTTGATTTTTTTAAGAAAATACTAAAACAAATGGAACAACTATGAGGACAAATGTGATATGCTTTGGCTCTGCGTCTCCACCCAAATCTCATCTTGAATTGTAATACAAATTGTAATGCCTACATGCCTGGGGAGAGACCTGATGGGAGGTGATTGGATCATGGGGTCGGTTTCTCCTACGCTGTTCTCATGATAGTGGGTAAGTCTCATGAGATGTGATAATTTTATACAGGGATGTTTCCTCTGACCTCACTCTTTTCTCTCTCCTGCCACCTTGTGAAGAAGGTGACTGCTTCCCCTTCACCTTCCATCATGATGGTAAATTTCCTGAGGCCACCCCAGCCATGTGGGAACTGTGAGTCAATTAAACCTCTTTCCTTTATAAATTCCCCAGTCTCAGGCAGTATCTTTATAGTAGCGTGAGAACAGACTAATACAAAAAGCTACAATAATTGAAAACTTTTCTGAGCTAAATAAATATTGAGGTTCAAAATTCTTATGGGTCTCTGAATACCAGCTAATAAAACACATCTTTTATTGAAAAGACCTTATTGCTACACACTTTCTGGCAAATATCTAATTTGAGCTTATTAATGAGAATTTAAAATATCCTACAAATTTTGAGATGTGCATGGGTAGGGCAAGGTTTTCTATACAAGAATAAAAGTCAGACATTTCAGACTTCACATGTATTCCATAAAGTACTCAAAACTACTTGTTAGTAATTATGCAACATATACAGAATTCAGAGGAAGAAACATTCTGCCTCAAGAATTGTACACCTAAACAAGTTATCATTCATTAATATCAGATATAAAAGAGCCTAGAAAATGTACCAACTGGAAGCATTTCTTTAAAAAAATACTTAACTTTATATTCCAGCCCACCTAGCAATGAAGCTAAATGAATAAGTCAAGCAAAGACTATTTCTATCATAAAAGGGCTAGCATTGCTCACAGAATTCATTGAAATGTGGAGCCCCAAAAATGTTAAAAACATGATTGGAAAATTAATGAAAATGGTAAAAAGTTATGTCATAAAAGAACGATGATCTCATAGAAATAGAGAGTAAAATAGTGCTTGCTAGAGGCTTGAATGGGGGTACAGCAGGAGGTTGGATAATGGATACAAAATTAAAGCAAGATAGGAGAAATACATCTAGATTTTATAGCAATGTAGGGTGACTATAGTTAGCAACAATTTATTGCATGTTTTCAAATAGCTAGAACAGTGGATTTTTGAATGTTCCCAAAACACACAAAAAAGATAAATATTGGAGGGGATGAATATGCTAATTACCTCAATTTAATCATTACACATTGTATGCATGTATTGAAATATCACACTGTACCCCATAAATATATACAATTCTTATGTGCCAATTAAAACAATAATAAAATTTAAAAACCAAAGATGAAAACAACATAATTGCATACCAAAAAAAAAAAAAGATCTTAAATTCTAAAAGGAGAGAGCTTGGCAATTAAAAAGGAAATGATTGAGTATATAAATAAATAAATACACAAACAAAAGAAGTAATTACACATGCTACTAATAATATGAAGGAAATAAATAGGATGCTATGAAGAAGAATAATGAGGTGAACTACTTTAAATAAGATGGTCAATAAATAACTTTATTAGGATACTTCATTTAAGCTGAGACCTGAAGGATGAGAATGTGAACAGTTGAAAGTGAGAAGAGCAGGGTGTGCTATGGGTGAAAGTCATAACAAGAACAGAACACCTGTGGTGGGAAGGAACAAGGCACACTGGAAGAACTGAGCTTCAGCCTCACTGGCTGCCTTCACAGTAAACCTGGGAGAGCATGGTGAGACACGATGCTAAAGAGATCAGCAGGAGCAGCCACATCACGCCGGCTCCTATAAGCCAGAGCAAGCATTTGCGGGTTTTCCAAGAGCAGCGATTAAGTATAAGCAGAGAAGAGATATAACCTGATTTACTTTTCAAAATAAAAGCATATCTGCTCTGCAGCAATATATTGAAGTTTTAAAAAATTACTCAGAGACAAATAATTTACAATTTACATAAACTGTTCCGAAGCACAGATAAATATGAATGCCTCCCCATAAAAGCATAATCTTGATATTAAAATCAGACAAATAAAGCCCAAAGAAAGCCAGAGATAAGTCTCAGTGATAACACAGATATGCATCCTAATTAAAATAATAATAAAAGAAATTTATGAGAGTATTAAAAGTAAAACATACCATAACAATCCTAGCAAAGCATTGATCTCAAGGATGTTTCAACGTTAATAAAGGCATGGAGGAAGATCTACCAAGCAAATGGAAAGCAAAAAAAAGCAGGGGGTTGCAATCCTAGTCTCTGATAAAACAGACTTTAAACCAACAAAGATCAAAAGAGACAAAGAAGGCCATTACATAATGATAAAGGGATCAATTCAATAAGAGCTAACTATCCTAAATATATATGTACCCAATACAGGTGCACCCAGATTCATAAAGCAAGTCCTTAGAGACCTACAAAGAGACTTAGACTCCCACACAATAATAATGGAAGACTTTAACACCCCACTGTCAACATTAGACAGATTAACGAGACAGAAAGTTAACAAGGATATCCAGGAATTGAACTCAGCTCTGCACCAAGCGGATCTAATAGACATCTACAGAACTCTCCACCCCAAATCAACAGAATATACATTCTTCTCAGCACCACAGCACACTTATTCCAAAATTGACCACATAGTCAGAAGTAAAGCACTCCTCAGCAAATGTAAAAGAAAAGAAATTATAACAAACTGTCTCTCAGACCACAGTGAAATCAAACTAGAACTCAGGAGTAAGAAACTCACTCAAAACCACTCAACTATGTGGAAACTGAACAACCTGCTCCTGAGTGACTACTGGGTACGTAACGAAATGAAGGCAGAAATAAAGATGTTCTTTGAAACCAATGAGAACAAAGACACAACATACCAGAATCTCTGGGACACATTTAAAGCAGTGTGTAGCACTGCTGCCCACTAAATATAGCACTAAATGCCCATAAGAGAAAGCAGGAAAGATCTAAAATTGACACCCTAACATCACAATTAAAAGAACTAGAGAAGCAAGAGCAAACACATTCAAAAGCTAGCAGAAGGCAAGAAATAACTAAGATCAGAGCAGAACTGAAGGAAATAGAGACACAAAAAACCCCTCAAAAAATCAATGAATCCAGGAGCTGGTTTTTTTTAAAAGATCAACAAAATTGACAGACCACTAGCAAGACTAATAAAGAAGAAAAGAGAGAAGAATCAAACTGATGTAATAAAAAATGATAAAGGGGATATCACCACTTATCCCACAGAAATACAAACTACCATCAGGTAATACTATAAACACTTCTACACAAATAAATTGGAAAATCTAGAAGAAATGGATAAATTCCTGGACACATACACCCTCCCAAGATGAAACCAGGAAGGAGTTAAATCCCTGAATAGACCAATAACAGGCTCTGAAATTGAGGCAATATTTAATAGCCTACCAACCAAAAAATGTCCAGGACCAGATGGATTCACAGCTGAATTCTACCAGAGGTACAAAGAGGAGCTGGTAAAATTCCTTCTGAAACTATTCCAATCAATAGAAAAAGAGGGAATCCACCCTAATTCATTTTATGAGGCCAGCATCACCCTGATACCAAAGCCTGGCAGAGACACAACAAATAAAGAGAATTTTAGGTCAATATCCCTGATGAACATTGATGCAAAAATCTTCAATAAAATACTGGCAAACCGAATCCAGCAGCACATCAAAAAGTTTATCCACCATGATCAAGTGGGCTTCATCCCTGGGATGCAAGGCTGGTTCAATATACGCAAATCAATAAACGTAATCCAGCATATAAACAGAACCAAAGACAAAAACCACATGATTATCTCAATAGATGCAGAACAGGCCTTTGACAAAATTCAACAGCCTTCATGCTAAAAACTCTCAATAAATTAGGTATTGATGGGACGTATCTCAAAATAACAAGAGCTATTTATGACAAACCAACAGCCAATATCATCCTGAATGGGCAAAATCTGGAAGCATTCCCTTTGAAAACTGGCACAAGACAGGGATGCCCTCTCTCACCACTCCTATTCAACATGGTGTTGGAAGTTCTGGCCAGGGCAATCAGGCAAGAGAAAGAAATAAAGGGTATTCAATTAGGAAAAGAGGAAGTCAAATTGTCCCTGTTTGTAGATGACATGATTGTATATTTAGAAAACCCCATCGTCTCAGCCCAAAATCTCCTTAAGCTGATCAGCAACTTCAGCAAAGTCTCAGGATACAAAATCAATGTGCAAAAATCACAAGCATTCCTATACACCAATAACAGACAAACAGAGAGCCAAATCACGAGTGAACACCCATTCACAATTGCTTCAAAGAGAATAAAATACCTAGGAATCCAACTTACAAAGGATGTGAAGGACCTCTTCAAGGAGAACTACAAACCACTGCTCAATGAAATAAAAGAGGACACAAAGAAATGGAAGAACATTCCATGCTCATGGATAGGAAGAATCAATATTGTGAAAATGGCCATGCTGCCCAAGGTAATTTATAGATTTAATGTCATGCCCATCCAGCTACCAATGACTTTCTTCACAGAATTGGAAAAAACTACTTTAAAGTTCATATGGAACCAAAATAGAGCCCGCATTGCTAAGACAATCCTAAGCCAAAAGAACAAAGCTGGAGGCATCACGCTACCTGAGTTCAAACTATACTACAAGGCTACAGTAACCAAAAGAGCATGGTACTGGTACCAAAACAGAGATATAGACCAATGGAACAGAATACAGCCCTCATAAGTAATACCACTCATCTACAAATATCTGATCTTTGATAAAGCTGAGAAAAACAAGAAATGGGGAAAGGATTCCCTATGTAATAAATGGTGCTGGGAAAACTGGCTAGTCATATGTAGAAAGCTGAAACTGGATCCTTTCCTTACACCTTATATAAAAATTAATTCAAGATGGATTAAAGACTTAAATGTTAGACCTAAAACCATAAACACCCTAGAAGAAAACCTAGGCATTAACATTCAGGCCATAGGCATAGGCAAGAACTTCATGACTAAAACACCAAAAGCAATGATAACAAAAGCCAAAATTGACAAACGGGATCTAATTAAACTAAAGAGCTTCTGCATAGTAAAAGAAACTACCATCAGAGTGAACAGGCAGCCTACAGAATGGGAGAAATTTTTTACAATCTACCAATTTGACAAACGGCTAATATCCAGAATCTACAAAGAACTTAAACACATTTACAAGAAAAAAATCAAACCCCATCAAAAAGTGGGCAAAGGACATGAACAGACACTTCTCAAAAGAAGACATTTATGCAGCCAAAAGACACATGAAAAAATGCTCATCATCACTGGCCATCAGAGAAATGCAAATCAAAACCACAATGAGATACCATCTCACACCAGTTAGAATGGCAATCATTAGATAGTCAGGAAACAACAGGTGCTGGAGAGGATGTAGAGAAATAGGAACACTTTTACAGTGTTGGTGGGAGTGTAAGTTAGTTCAACCATTGTGGAAGTCAGTGTGGCGATTCCTCAGGGATCTAGAACTAGAAATACCATTTGACCCAGCCATCCCATTACTGAGTATATACCCAAAGGATTATAAATCATGCTGCTATAAAGACACATGCACACGTATGTTTATTGTGGCACTATTCATGATAGCAAAGACTTGGAACCAACCCAAATGTCCAACAATGATAGACTGGATTAAGAAAATGTGGCACATATACACCATGGAATACTATGCAGCCATAAAAAATGATAAGTTCATGTCCTTTGTAGGGACATGGATGAAGCTAGAAAGCATCATTCTGAGCAAACTATCACAAGGACAGAAAACCAAACACCGCGTGTTCTCACTCATAGGTGGGAATTGAACAATGAGAACACTTGGACACAGCGTTGGGAACATCACACACCAGGGCCAGTTGTGGGGTGGGGAAAAGGGGGAGGGACAGCATTAGGAGATATACCTAATATAAATGACGAGTTAACGGGTGCAGCACACCAACATGGCACATGAATACATATGTAACAAACCTGCATGTTGTGCACATGTACCCTAGCACCTAAAGTATAATAATAAAGAAAGAAATTGATTAATATAATCCATGAAATTTTAAAAATCCAAATGCACAAAACCAGATAAATATCTCAAAAATGAAAAAAAAGTATTTAATGAAATTAAAGACCTATTACTGATTTTCAAATTTCCAAATAAAATAGGTATAAAGGCCTACTTTCCTAAGGTGATAAAATGTAACTATTATAAACACTCCCCAAAATTTATTCTCACAAATTTTTCAAAATTAATCCACCAGTCACCTCAAAAACCCAGTATCCTGATTTGATCATTACACATTATATGCTTGTATTAAAATATTACCATACCTCATAAATTTGTACAATTATGTGTTAATAATAATTTTAAATTTTATATTTATAAATGTAACAAGTACAGCAGTAACAACATTTGTAGAGGATTTACCATATGCAAGGCAATGGTATTTTTTTGGGGGGTTTTATCTCCTGTTATTTTCACAACAATCTTAGGCATAAGTACTATTTTTGTCTCCATTTACAGATGAAGAAATTGAGATTATAAAAAGAACTGATATATAGAAAAAAGAATGGAAAATTATCATTATTTGTGAATGATATAATTATGTGCCTAAAGATCCAAGAAACTTAATTTCAACTGAAATAGTTCAATTAGTTGGTCAGATATATTTTAAGTACATAATTGTATAGCAGAAAATAACAGTAGACAAATACATTAAGACATACTGTTTGTGGAGAGTGCTATTCAATATTGTAAATTCGTTTATTTTTCCCAAACTACAGATTTAATTCAATTTTATTTAAATTCTAAATTTAATTATTTTGCCTTGACAAATGGATTCTAACATTCATAACAATGAATAAAAAAAAGGGAGATTATCTGGGGAAAATTGGGAAAGGAGTAGTGAGGAAACACTTATCCTATAAGATAAATATATAAATCTAAAAAAATCTTAGGAATATTGTAAAAGTAGACTATCTGGTCAATAGAACAAAGTAGAAATCCTTATGAAAGTCTTTAGTATGAAATGATTTTGAAAAGGTAAATACACTATTTCAAATAAGGATACAATGATGGATTGTTCAACAAATTTTTCTGATACAACTGGTTATCTGAAAAACAACATTATGTTACAACTCAACTGCATTTTACAACACTAAAATATATCATAAGTGAACTAAAAAATAGAATGTAAAATCAATTATTTCTCACACACAATTATTTCTCACAACTTGCATTATTTTCATAATTATAAACTATTACCATTTTGGGAATATATAAAACACCTTCTATAAATGAAAATATCAATACCACAATAGAAACAGGGTAAGTCACATAAAGATACAAGTAATATAAAGAAAGTATAAATGGCAAACAAATATAAAATATTCAGCCCAAATAACTTCATGATCTTGGGCAAGATCATACTTGACCTCTTTAAGTCTCAAATTCCTGATATATAAATGATAAAATAAGGAAGAGAAATGGTTTGTCTTCACTGTACATGGATTTTTATGGAAAACTGATCACAAAATATTCACTGTCATAATAATGAGTTAGAGACTTTGAATGGGGGCTGGCACCTTATTAAGACTATTTTTCTATTTACCTACCAGACCAAGAAAAGGCAGGATCTGGTAGATTTCTATGTGGACGTTATTGGTATGAAAAGTGAGTCACAATGTTCTTTCAGCCCAGCTAAAGTGCTGTTCAGTCACCAACATTTTATTAAAAAATCATTTTTCAGCCTGGGCAAAGTGGGTCATGCCTGTAATCCTAGCACTTTGGGAGGAGCATCACTTGAGCCCAGGAGTTCGAGACCAGTCTGAGTCACAAAGTGAGACCCTGTCTTTAAATATATATTTCTCCTTGCTTTATATAGGTGATCCCAGCCAAGTCCACTATATTTTTGTGTGGCTGTGGAAGATGAAATATATTACGATGTTTTTGTCACTTGCAATTACATCAGACATTATTTGACTATTCTTTTCTTTTGGAAATACAGAATGTCTCAGAAAAGGCTTCAAATTATGTTAATCCTCCATGTCCTTAATTAAAAATATAAGTACTTTCAATGAAAGGATTAGTTTCACAAAATAAAACAAATTCATGAAAGTAGTTTTAAAATCTGAGGAAAAAAAATTTATTAAAAATACAAAAATATGGAGAAGGAAAACGTCACAAACTATAAACCTCTTGCTACAACATTGCTGCAAATTTATCAATCAATTTTTTAAGTGGGGGATGAGAAAAAATAAAATATTTCACTTACATGGAGTTCAGAACTGTGTTATCCATAATTTTTGAATAAAAATATTTACTGAATGAGTAGCTGCACAAACTCAAAGCTTAGTTATCTGGCATTCCATCTCACAACATATTATAAGCAGCAAATGAAAGGAGGGAGAAGATTGAAGAAGCTGTTGGAGATTAGCAGTCTGTAATAAAAGAAATACCTGGCAGTAAAATAACAACACCACCACCAACAACAAATCTCCACACCCAACCTAGAGCCACCTACTTCAGGTATAAACAGCCTTATAAGCTTAATGTCCCCTGGGGATGTCTCCATATTACAAGCCCACTCAGTAATTACATACATAACAGCTGCTATTGATTGAACATGTTTCATGTGGACCGATACCATACTAAAGGCTTATACATAACATCTTATTTTAGCCTTACAACAATCTTATGAGATCAGTTCTATTATTATCTTAATCATGGGGAAACAGAAAAATTAAGCAATTGCCAAAGGTTATGCAGATCATAAGCAACAGAGCCTGGATTGAATTCCAGGTCTTTCTGACTCTCAAGCCTTGAGGGCTTTTTCATTCTGCTATACTGTCTTCTCTAGTCAGGTTTACTCACCCTAATTATAAATACAGGAGGCAGATAAGGAAGGATCCCCAAAGAATCTCCAACCTGCCCCACAAATGTTTGTTTACATCAGATGCTTTTGTGCAGAAGAGGGAACCAGCCCAGGGCCTTGTCTGGGGATGCCCACTACAAACTGGGGGAGCTCTCTTGCACACTGGGAGTATGGGGTGGAGCCACCAGTAATTTGTGCTTTGTGCAGGGGGAAGGAGCCTGGGCTCTTCAGCTTATTTGTGGTGTCCTGGTATTGAATCTGTGAGGTGAGAGCCTTCTTGGCAGGACCCTTTTTTTTTTTTGCTGAGAGCTTGCTTTTAATAAATTCCACTCTCCTCACCTTTCAACGTGTCCCCATGCCTAATTTTTTTCTGGTTGTGGGAGAAGAATTTGGGTTTTAGCTTAGGTAAGGAGCAAAGATCCTGCATCATTTTGGTGGCCTGTACGTGGATGTGAGGAAACGTGAGTCAATGCAGAACAGAAAATCATTTTTCCTTTTCTTTTTGAGCCTTTTTGTCCTTGGACTTCTTCTGAAGGTAGAGGAAACCGTGCCCCCCACCCACACCCATCGCTGATGGGGATTAGAAATGTCAGCCTTGGTCCAACCCAGCTTTTCTTCTTTTTTTTTTCTTCTTTTCTTCTTTTTTTCAGGATGGATGGACAAGTGACGGCTCCCTTCTCCCTCCCCTCCCAGCTCGGGCTGGGGCACAAGGCTCAAAGTCCCCACCTGGCAGGCTGGCCAGCATTCCCTGCCATGTGTCCACAGTGTCTTCCCCTCCCCTGCCCAAGGGGTCCAGCTCCATCCAAGCCCCAGGGAAGAAACACCAATTAAGTTTCTTTCCCTGTTGGAGGAATTCATTTGCATAAGAATAAGATATATTTTCCCCCAGGCATCTTTCCAACCCTGTATTTTAAGCTGCTTTTTCATTTTCTCCACCCTGTCAGCAGTTAACACAACCCAGCACTTTAAGCTTTTTTTCTTTTCTCCATCATGTCAGGAGTTGACTTTTAAGCAAGAGACTTTTTTTCTTTTAGAAGATGTTTTACTAGACCAGGACCCCAACTATTACTGTTTATGTTCTCTGTAGTTTTAATTATGAAAAAGGATTTGCAAGGTTGATCTTACGCTGTAGCCAATCTTGTGCACTTTGCCTGTTTTTCTGTATGGTTAGTAGCAAACATTGCTGCAGGCCTCCATCTTGTTTTACGCCCTGGGATGTGTGACCTGTAACCACAGAGCAGTGCTTTGTTTTAGCCTCTGCCATCTTACAGTGGTGGCCTGAGTTCAATCGTGGCTTAGGGAATGGGTCCTTTCTGGTTTGATATCTGCATGATTTTTGACATTTGTTGATTCTCCTCCCCTCCACGAACCGCCTTGAATTTTGCTTTCTCTGAGCATCTGAGAAGTTACCTTTGATAAGGTTCAAATGCCAGAAATATTGGCTGCTTCCTGCAGCTAAAGTCAAGTAATAAGGGATTTAAAATGATTTTCTTAAAGAGCACTCAGCTTAATTAAAAAGTGAATATCCAAGTTATAGGTATAGTTTAAAGGCCTTTATGTTTATCTCTTCTTGGTTCTTATTTTGCTGGAAAATTTTTTTTCTTGGTGGACTGAATTATTTTTCTCCATTTTGCCTTGCCACTCTTAATGCACACATGAGAGGCCCTAAGATAATTTCTGATGGCCTGTGACTCCTCAGGAAAAACAGAAAAGTCACCACAGATTCCATTTCAGGAGAGATCTCTGTTATCCTCATGGAACCCCAGGAATTAGGGGTGGATGGATCCCTCTCAAAATCTGTTTTTGTCTTCCAATTATACCTGTTTATTAGGCCCTAGAAACTACATGCTTTTCTAGCCTTGCTCTTAAAGGGCTCCACCCAGAGGCTGATAATCCAATTAGGAGATTGGCAAATGAACAATCTTATAGCTACTGGATCTTCTTCTGCCTGTCTTTATAGTAATGTATGCGTTGTGTGTGTGAGGTCTATACAAAAAGAGCTCTAATTAATTGACTTAAAGAAAGATAAACACTTGGGTCATATATTTTTAAAGGGAAGATAAAACCTATGGTACATTTTATTTCATGTGACTTTAATCTTGAGAAATAAAAACAGGCTCAAAGATTATTGGTAAAATGCAGATGTTGTGAAAATGTAAAATTTTGCCTAGGGTTAAAGGATTGTTTTGAATTAGGTAAAATAAAGCAAAAAGTTCAAACAAGTTTTGGAAGGACTGTAAAAATCAATCTTGCAAAACAAATTTCATGTGTGAACATATTGACTAAATTCAAAAGAATATTATATAGTTTTCCTGTAATTAAGCATTGAAATAAAAGCACAAAAATTATTCTTAAGGCACTAATATGCTATTTAGCAAAATTTGTAAATTGTTATAAAAGTTTTTGCTTTTTAAAATTTTCTGAGTCATCATTTTGGCAAAATAAATAACTTATGGAAATCTGGAATTCTATTTCATAACATCAAGAGTTTTAAACCTCTAACGTATTTAACAGGCTTCCCTAAATCAAACTTCAGTTTCGAAAATTGTTTTTTCTGATGCCTAATTTTGGATGTTACAGAGAGCCCCTGGAGAATCCAGAAGAGAGGTAAACAGGATTACCTGACATGTTTAGGTACATTGGATTGGCAAAATGATGTTTAACCTTCTTCAGGTTATATTTTAGGTAATAATATTAATATATGTTCCAAAATTGTATGGGATTTCTAAAATTCTATTGTCTGAGTATATGCTATTAATCACAATTAAGGTTGTTATGTTAAGTTATTGTAAAAAATGAAGGTAACCAAATAACTTTGTCAATTGTATTTCTGACTGTAACTACCCTGGACATGTTATTATTCACAGAAAATTGTTATCTTGTTTTGATCCTTCAAATGATGGTTTATAATCAGCTATAGAATTTTGACAGGTGCTTTCAAATGCAGGTTTCTGATAACTTGGGAGATTGTGATATTGGAATAAAGGCCAAACGTACAAGATTCATGAAGAGCTTAAATGTTCCTGAATATCAAGCAAAACAAGAGTTAACTGAATGGACTGAACTATTAGAAAATTGAAATAATCTTTTTTGACTTCTGCTTGGAACACTGGTGATCCTTGTTTTGTTTTTCAGTGTCAAGGAAACTTATTTTTATCTATTTATGCCTTTAATAATTGAGTAAGGTGTATTCCTGTGAACAAAATTTGGAGCATATTTGTCTCTCTCTCGCTGCCTGGCTTTTCTAGAATTTGGAAACTTGTTGTGAGTATTCTTAACTTATGGCAATATAGTTGTTTGAATCAGTGCAATAAGGATCCATTTTCTTTTGCAACAGGATGCAACTGGAGAAACTGGTTATTTTACCAAGTCTTTGAATGGGAGGATATGCTTCCCTTTAAGGAATTAAGCTTGACTTGCAGAGCCAATAAAAGCCCCTTAGGAAAACTGGCCTTATACCTTGTCTACACAGTCCCTGCACAGGGTTTCCTAACCTGTAGTGAGTAAAGAATGTCACATTCTAACAGACCCAGGAACCCCATCCTCTTGGGACCTCAAGAGGCGTGTACTCAACTCACAGGTATTTGAGGGTACAAACTCACAGCTGCTCTCTATTTCAGAAAGTTCTATCTGAGATTCCTTGTGGAACAGATTTCCATCAAAGCCAAGCTAAAAGGCCTATGTAAAAAAAATTATTCTTGCTGCACTTTGTGCAAATAATCAGGACAAATATAGACTAAAGTCTATTTTGCAAAAAACTCAGTACTATCATGATTTGTTTTTAACAAAATTGAGGACTAGAGAGACAGGAATTATGTTTTAGAACTTATCATATGTCATTAAATTCTACACACATTAACTTTTTTAAGTTTTTTGCCTGCATTTTAGACTAGCCGTGCCTACTCCTATGAACCAACCAGTGATCTCTGACTGCAGCTCAGAAGAACAAAAGGGGTTGGGTAATATAAAAATCTGGATGAATATTCTAGTTCTGATCAATTATCCTGCAGATCCTGTTGGGTGATGGGAATAAAAAGGGTACCCATCACCTGGAGGTTTCCTTTTGGGGAAAGTAAGACCAAGGGAGGTAACCAAAGCCAAGCCCCATGCACTCATATATTAGCAAGTATAACTGTAGCCACCAGTTATCTGGGCATGTCACAGTACATCTTTTTCTCTCCCTTGTTGAAGGAGCACTCAATTTTACAGATTCACCTTAGCATTTTGGCTTATAGTAATGAGTCCATGCCAACCCCTGAGACACGTTTTTTTTTTTTTATCTCAAACTCAATTCCAAGCTTCAAGTCAAAGCCCTAGGAAAGAAAACTGGATCTAAGGGATCCAGAGGCTGACAATAACAGAAGTTAAAAGGCACATAGCAAGTGAACATAACTAATTTCTGCCAATTAAGCCAAGCTTCCTGTTCATAGATAAATGTCATGTTAGTATCCATGGAATAAATGAGGTCTAGAGAATTCAAAGGCTACTGAGAGCAGGGGAGACAGGGCATACATGGGTGAGAGCAGATATTCCCACCTCCTAGGCACCCCCTGTTAACATGGATGAAAGCCTCTTTGACACCCATGGGCAGCAACTTGTCACAGTTGCTGGGACTTGGGGATATAAGGATGGAAGAAGAAAGAGGGATCTCTCACTTTTCCTCACATACCCCAAGTATTTTCTAGGAAGAGAAGGGAACCTGGGACTCCTCGCTCCCCTCTTTCTAGATGAGTAGGCATTCATCTTCAGTCTGTACCCCTTTCAAATGCATCCTGAACCCCTGGGATTCCTTTGAAAAAAAAAATCAAAACACCTTTTTTTTTTTCTTTTTCCTCCTCTGTACTCTCTTCACTGACAGGTAATTGTGGCTCCATACTATGGGACATGCCACTCAGCTGCATCCTCCAAATTGGAAAAAGTTAATTTCCCAAGCCTTAAACTGGTTGGCTTAGGATTGGGCTCGGGGAAAGGGACCCAGAGGCCTGACCTGCCAGCAAAAGGGTAAAAGTTTTTTTAACCAGTCAGGCTTTTGGCTCCCTCTCCCTGAGCAAACTGGTAAAAGGCCTTGGGATATTTGAACCATCCTTACTCCCCCTTGCTTCATTTTGATACATATTTTCCAATAACCTGGTTTGTCTCTTCTCAACTTCAGGCCATAAAACTCCAAATGGTCATGCAAGTGGAGCCTGTGACGATGTCCCTTTCTGCCAGGGACCCTTAGATAGATAGGCCTTTGAGGGAGACCTGACTGCCCTTTTTTCCAAAACAGTGCCCCCTGTCAGCAGGAAGCAATTAAGATCACTCTTCATCCTTATCCTTATCCTTATTCTAATGGCAGTTAGATGCACTTTTTTTTTGGTGGGGAGTGATAGATGCAGGAGGCAGATAAGGGAGGTTCCCGAGAATCTCCAACCTGCCTCACAAGTGTTTACATCAGATGCTTTTGTGCAGATGAAGGAAATGGCCCAGGGACTTGTATGGGTGTGTTTGCAATGGGTTGGGAGAGTGGGGTGGAGCCAACAGGAATTCATGCCTTGTGCTGTGGGGAGAAGCCTGGGCTCTTCAGTTCATGAGTGGTGGCCCAGTATTCAATCTGTGAGGTGGGAGCCTTCTTGGCAGGACCCCTTTTTTCATGGAGACCTTTCTTTTAATAAATTTGTTCTCCTCATCTTTCAACGTGTCTGTGTGCCTAATGTTTTTCTGGTCATCGGACAAGAACCTAGGTTTTAGCTGAGCTAAAGAACAAAACTCCTGCATCACTACTATGAGGAAGTGGCAGAATGGAGTAGGGGCGCTGTTTAAGAATGGATTTGGCCAGTTACTAACATCTATGAAGATGTTTCAAGTTGGACTATATAGAGGGCAGTTTTATCAGTGTCAAGACAATTCCTTTGCTCCAATGACTTGTGTGTGTGTGTGTGTGTGTGTGTGTGTGTGTGTGTCAGGGTGAGTGTGTGTAGGGCCTAGTAGCTCCCTGTGTGCATAGCCTCCAACTAGGTGCAATAAAAGATACCAGGAAATCAGAGACAAAACCCCCCTCCCCAAGGTTGTTATATACAATAGAGATTCAAAGACAGACAACATACTTAGAAAAACTACCCAAATCACAAACAAAAATAAAAAAATAAATATATTCATAATCATCACAGCTAGACAAAGCTATATACAATAAAACCTCAATTAACTAATCAAATCACTTCATATTTATGCTTTTCTCATACTCTTCATTTAAGGAAAAAACAGTGGCAAAAAGAACCAATGCAGGAAATTTTAATGATAATACCTATCAGTTATGTACAAGAGTGAAAAGAGACTTATCTTTTTCTTGTAGTTAACAGTCCTTCATAAGAGTTATTGAGAACAATAAAGTACATTTGCATATGACAATACAATTGACAAAGTACTATTCATGTATATTATTTCATTTAATTCTCACCCCAACTAGGGAAGTAGGTGTTTTCATGATTCACATATTTCAAATGAGGAAACTGATGTTCTAGTGATCTAAGTCAGTGAAACATCCTCAGTCATCAAAAGATTTCCATTTTTCCAATTCTGTAAAGAAAGTCATTGGTAGCTTGATGGGGATGGCATTGAATCTATAAATTACCTTGGGCAGTATGGTCATTTTCATGATATTGATTCTTCCTACCCATGAGCATGGAATGTTCTTCCATTTGTTTGTATCCTCTTTTATTTCATTGAGCAGCAGTTTGTAGTTCTCCTTGAAGAGGTCCTTCACTTCCCTTGTAAGGTGGATTCCTAGGTATTTTATTCTCTTTGAAGCAATTGTGAATGGGAGTTCACTCATGATTTGGCTCTCTGTTTGTCTGTTATTGGTGTATAAGAATGCTTGTGATTTTTGTACATTGATTTTGTATCCTGATACTTTGCTGAAGTTGCTTATCAGCTTAAGGAGATTTTGGGCTGAGACGATGGGGTTTTCTAGATATACAATCATGGCATCTGCAAACAGGGACAATTTGACTTTCTCTTTTCCTAATTGAATACCCTTTATTTCTTTCTCCGGCCTAATTGCCCTGGCCAGAACTTCCAACACTATGTTGAATAGGAGTGGTGAGAGAGGGCATCCCTGTCTTGTGCCAGTTTTCAAAGGGAATGCTTCCAGATTTTGCCCATTCAGTATGATATTGGCTGTGGGTTTGTCATAGATAGCTCTTATTATTTTGAGATACGTCCCATCAATACCTAATTTATTGAGAGTTTTTAGCATGAAGGGTTGTAGAATTTTGTCAAAGGCCTTTTCTGCATCTATTGAGATAATCATGTGGTTTTTGTCTTTGGTTCTGTTTATATGCTGGATTACATTTATTGATTTGCATATATTGAATCAGCCTTGCATCCCAGGGATGAAGCCCACTTGATCATGGTGGATAAGCTTTTTGATGTGCTGCTGGATTCGGTTTGCCAATATTTTATTGAGGATTTTTGCATCAATGTTCATCAAGGATATTGGTCTAAAATTCTCTTTTTTGGTTGTGTCTCTGCCCGGCTTTGGTATCAGGATGATGCTGGCCTCCTAAAATGAGTTAGGGAGGATTGCCTCTTTTTCTATTGATTGGAATAGTTTCAGAAGGAATGGTACCAGTTCCTCCTTGTACCTCTGGTAGAATTTGGCTGTGAATCCATCTGGTCCTGGACTCCTTTTGGTTGGTAAGCTATTGATTATTACCACAATTTCAGCTCCTGTTATTGGTCTATTCAGAGATTCAACTTCTTTAAAGTTCATATGGAACCAAAAAAGGGCCCGCATCATCAAGTCAATCCTAAGCCAAAAGAACAAAGCTGGAGGCATCACGCTACCTGACTTCAAACTATACTACAAGGCTACAGTAACCAAAACAGCATGGTACTGGTACCAAAACAGAGATATAGATCAATGGAACAGAACAGAGCCCTCAGAAATAATGCCGCATATCTACAACTATCTGATCTTTGACAAACCTGAGAAAAACAAGCAATAGGGAAAGGATTCCCTATTTAATAAATGGTGCTGGGAAAACTGGCTAGCCATATGTAGAAAGCTGAAACTGCATCCCTTCCTTACACCTTATACAAAAATCAATTCAAGATGGATTAAAGACTTAAACGTTAGACCTAAAACCATAAAAACCCTAGAAGAAAACCTAGGCATTACCATTCAGGACATAGGCATGGGCAAGGACTTCACGTCTAAAACACCAAAAGCAATGGCAACAATAGCCAAAATTGACAGATGGGATCTAATGAAACTAAAGAGCTTCTGCACAGCAAAAGAAACTACCATCAGAGTGAACAGGCAACCCATAAAATGGGAGAAAATTTTTGCAACCTACTCATCTGACAGAGGGCTAATATCCAGAATCTACAATGAACTCAAACAAATTTACAAGAAAAAAACAAACAACCCCATCAAAAAGTGGGTGAAGGATATGAACAGACACTTCTCAAAAGAAGACATTTATGCAGCCAAAAAACACATGGAAAAATGCTCACCATCACTGGCCATCAGAGAAATGCAAATCAAAACCACAACGAGATATCATCTCACACCAGTTAGAATGGCAATCATTAAAAAGTCAGGAAACAACAGGTGCTGGAGAGGATGTGGAGAAATAGGAACACTTTTACACTGTTGGTGGGACTGTAAACTAGTTCAACCATTGTGGAAGTCAGTGTGGCCATTCCTCAGGGATCTAGAACTAGAAATACCATTTGACCCAGCCATCCCATTACTGGGTATATACCCAAAGGACTATAAACCATGCTGCTATAAAGACACATGCACACGTATGTTTATTGTGGCACTATTCACAATAGCAAAGACTTGGAACCAACCCAAATGTCCAACAATGATAGACTGGATTAAGAAAATGTGGCACATATACACTATGGAATACTATGCAGCCATAAAAAATGATGAGTTCATGTCCTTTGTAGGGACATGGATGAAATTGGAAATCATCATTCTCAGTAAACTATCACAAGAACAAAAAACCAAACACCGCATATTCTCACTCATAGGTGGGAACTGAACAATGAGAACACAAGGACACAGGAAGGGGAACATCACACTCTGGGGACTGTTGTGGGGTGGGGGGAGGGGGGAGGGATAGCATTGGGAGATATACCTAATGCTAGATGATGAGTTAGTGGATGCAGCGCACCAGCATGTCACATGTATACATATGTAACTAACCTGCACATTGTGCACATGTACCCTAAAACTTAAAGTATAATAATAATAAAAAAAAGATTTCCATTTTACCCAGTGTATTATTTTTACTAAGAGGAAGAAGTCATCCTGGACACTTTAAAGGGACTTTCAATAAGAAATAAAATCATTTTAAATTTTACACAAAATGTTCAGGTTAATTTTAAATTTACATAGGATAAAATGAAAGAATTAATCCTGCTTAAAGTTTCTAGTGTTGTTGCTAAGGCTACAACTACTCTTTATTTCAGAGTAAAGAGCCCACAGCTTTTACATTTTAAGCTGTTATATTAAGCTTTGTGAAATACGTGCAATTTATTGTAGTAACAACATTGTTTTTGGAACCTGACATATCAATATAGAAAATATATATCTGACACTTACCAGGTGGCCTAGGCCAGGTCACAGTTCTTCTGTGGGTTTCTACAGAGTATAAGGGTTAAGATCTGGGTTCTTGAGGAAGATACAGTTTGAATCCTAGCTCTTCTACTTACCAGCTGTCTGGTTTGGAACAAGATAATTAATCTCCTTGGTCCTCAAGTTTTCACTTCCATAAACTTCACAGGGTTGTTATTAGAAATAAATAACACAATTTAAGCCTCCAGTATAATTCCGAATACCTATAAGAGCCTAATTCGTTGTAGTGATTATTATTTCTTTCAGCCTAGGAGCCAGTGGAAATTGGCAACTATTAGGCAAACACACTATGCAGGCTTGGCTAGTAAATTCAACCAACAAACATACATTCGTTATGCCATAAATCACTGGCACAAAGGCAAGATTCATACCATAATGCATAGAAAACCTCATCTCAACCTCATTTAATAGTGTATTTCCTGGAAGTCCGGATTTGCTAATAAGGAACACCTATTTTAGCCTAAAAAATGGATCTGCCATTCCCCCTTCAAAAATGTGGAACCAATCAAAACACAAAATTATTGAGGCTCCTCATGTAAACTAACTAACTAGAGAGGGGCTAACACCCAACCAACTGCTATTCAGTTAGCCTGGAAAGCTAGTGCAGTGAAAACTGTTTATGATTAGTGGCCACAGATATGTGGGTTGGAGTCTTAGCTATGGGCTTCAATAATGCCTCTGAATCTCAGATTTCTCATCTGTAAATATGGATAGTAATACTTACAAGTCAGAGATTTTGGTAAAGATTAGAGATACTTAAAGTTCCTAGCTGGGGCCAATAGTACATATTCCACGAAGGAAATCTTTACTATTATGAATTGTATTTACCTTTTCATCTTCAAGTTAACTGAGGTAGTAAGTATTCTGCCTTACTTTTGATCACACTTTTTGATGGGCCTTTAATGAGGCCTCTTCCAACAAACTGAGAATAGCCAGGCACTACTCAACCAATTCAGTATAAAGCAGTAAAATGTGTAATTACCTAATTTCTTTTCATAAAATGATACCAGTGCATACTTCATTTTATTGCACTTTGCTTTATTGGCCTTCACAGATACTGCATTTTTTTAAACAAATTGAAGGTTTGTGGCAATCCTCTGTCAAGCAAGACTATCAGTGCCATTTTTGCAACAGCATGTGCTCACTTCATGTTTCTGTGTCACATTTTGCTAATTTTCCAAATATTTTAAACCTGTTCATTATTATTTCTGTTATGGTAATCTATACTCAGTGGTCTTTGATGTTACTCTTGTAATCTGTGGGGTCCCACCAACCATGCCTATGTAAGATGGCAAATTTAATCAATAAATGTGTGTTCTGGCTGCTACACAGACTGGTCATTTCCTCATCTCTCTCCCTCTCCTCGGGCCTCCCTATCCCCTGAGATAACTATATTGAAATTAGGACAACTAATAACCCTAAAATGGCCCCTATGTGTTCAAATGAAAGGAAAAGTTGCACATCTCCCATTTTAAATTAAAAGATAGAAAGGATTAAGTTTAGTGAGGAAGGCATGTTGAAAGCCAAGAGAGGTCAAAACTAGGCCTCTTGCACCAGGCAGTTAGCCAAGCTGTAAATGCCAAGGAAAAGTTATTGGAGGAAATTAAAAGTGCTACTACAGTAAAGACATGAGTGATAAGAAAGCAAAACAGCTTTGTTGCTAATATGGAGAAAGTTTTAGTGATCTGGATAAGAGGTTAAACAAGCCACAACATTTCCCTAAACCGAAGTCTACTCCAGAGCAAAGCTCTAACTCTCTTCCATTCTGTGAAGGCTAAGAGAGGTAAGGAAGCTACGGAAGAAAAGTTCGAATCTAGCAGAGGTTGGTTCATGATGTTTAAGAAAAAAAACCATCTCTGTAACATAAAACTACAAGGTGAAGAAAAAGTGCTGATGTAGACACTGCAGCAAGTTATCCAGAAGATCTGGCTAAGATAATTGATGAATGTAGCCACACTCAACAACAGATTTTCAATGTAGATGAAACAGAATTATATTGGAAGAAGATGCTATCCAGGATGTTATTAGGTAGAGAAAGGAAGTCAATGCCTGGTTTCAAACCTTCAAAGGACAGTCTGATTCTCTTGCTAATGCAGCTGTGGACATTAAGTTGAAGCCAATGCTCATTTACCACTCTGAAAATCTAGGGCTCTTAAAAGTTATTATCAATCTACTCTGCCAATGCTCCATAAATGTAACAACAAAGCCTGGATGACAGCACATCTGTTTACAGCATGGTTTATGGAATATTTAAAGCCCACTCTTGAGAATTACTGCTCAGAAAAAAAAACATATTTCAAAAATACTACTGCTCATCGACAATGCACCTAAGTCACCCAAAAGCTCTGATGGAGATCTACAAGGAGATTAATATTTTCATGCCTGCTAACACAACATTCATTTGCAGACCGAGTAATAATTTTGACATTTAAGTCTTATTAGTTAAGAAATACATTTTGTAAGGCGACAGGTGCCACAGATAGTGATTCCTCTGATAGATCTGAGAGAAGTAAATCAAAAACCTTCTGGAAAGGATTCACCATTCTAGATGTCATTAAGAACATTTGTGATTCATGAGAGGAGGTCAAAATATCAACATTAATAAGAATTTGGAAGAAGTTGATTACAAACCTCATGCATGACTTTGAGGAGCTCAAGACTTCAATGGAGAAAGTAATTGCACATGTGGTGGAATAGGAAGAAAATTAGAATTAGAAGTGGAACCTGAAGATATTACTGAATTGCTGCAATCTAATGATAAAACTTGAATGAATGAGGAGTTGCTTCTTATAGTTGAGCAAATAAAGTGGCTTATTGAGATGAAATCTACTCCTGGTGAAGACGCTGTGAACATTGTTGAAATGACATCAAAGGATTTAGACTATTCCATAAACTTTTTTGATAAAGCAGAAGCAGGGTTTGAGAGGACTGACTCCAATTTTGAAAGAATTTCTACTGAGGGTAAAATTCTATTAAACATAATCATATGCAAATAAATTATTGTTTGTGAAAGAACGTGTCTATCGATATGACAAATTTCATAGTTGTTTTATTTTAAGGAACTGCCACAGCCTCCTTACCCTTCAGCAACCACCAACCGGATCAGTCAGAAGCCATTAACATCAAGGGAAGACCCTCCACCATCAAAAAAAATTACAACTTGGTGAAGGCTTAGATTATCATTAACATTTTTCAACTATAAAGTATTCTTAAGGTATGCACATTATTTTTATTTATAATACTATTGCACACTTAATAGACTGCAGTGTAGTGTAAATTTAACTTTTATATGCCACTGGGAAAGCAAAAAAAAGTGTGACTTGCTTTATTGAGAGTTTGGGTCCAAACCTGCAATATCTCCATTGTGTGCCTGAATGCATAATAGAGTCATTGGTAATTCATAAATTTGTTTCAGCCAATGGTTTCAAATTTTTTATTGAGTCTCTTGATTTTTGCAACAAGTAAACATAACTAATGTTCTAAGTTTCTATCATTTCTACTTTTATTCCTACTATTTGAAGGTGGTGATACGATTATTGGGAAGCAGTAAGAAAAAATAAAGTAGGCCCCATGGGGTGGCTCACGGCTGTAATCCCAGCACTTTAGAAGGCAGAGGCTGGTGGATCATTTGCGGCCAGGAGTTTGAGAAAAGTCTGGCCAACATGGTGAAACCCTGTCTCTACTAAAAATACAAAAATTACCCAGGTGTGGTGGCACGTGCCTGCAGTCCCAGCTACTCGGGAGGCTGAGGCAGGAGAATGTCTTGAACCCAGGAGGAAGAGGTTGCAGTGAGCCCAGATCATGCCACTGCAGTCCAGCCTGAGTGACAGAGTGAGGCTCTGTCTCCAATAAATAAATAAATAAATAAAATTAACTTTTATAACTTTTATTGAGCTCCCATTATGTGCCATACACTCTGTTAGGCAATTACATATATTATTTTACTATAGCAGCACAACATGCCTAAAAGCATATGAATTCTTTTGGTTCCCATTTTAGAGATGGATAATTGAGCTTAAATACCTTACCTAAGTCACACAGCCAGTAGTGGCTGATACAGAAACTGAAGTGAATACTTTGCTGTTTCATTACATGAGCCTGAATTGAGATTGCTGTACACTTCTAGATCTGAGATAATCAGCCTCAGGTTAATGAGGAAATAGCAGTGGCAATTTCACTTTGAGAACAAGATGTATTCTGTGCCTAGCCAAAGTGTTATAAGGCCTGACTCCAAATGATGTGGGCCCATTTTCTTTCATACCTTCTGTTAACTTTCATAAGTCATCTATGCTGCCTATTGTTCCCTTCAGCCTATTTGTCCTGAGGATTTACTAATTCAATTATTTTATTCTTCCAGTATTGATCCTTACATCATGCACTAAGCCTTCGCTGGTCCTGTTCTCTGAAGCACAATGATTTCCCATCAAGTTTTAATTCTGCTGTGCACTCAACTAGATCAGCATCACCTTCTCCTTGGTATTCAGCTGCCAAGATTTCCTTATTAGACTTTAAAATTAGATTTCCCTGCTGCCTGGAGCAGGGCCTGTTGTTTCTCTGAAATGGTGGAATAATTTTAGTACCTTTTCAAGGAAGCTGTATATGGAACTACAGCTCAATTTTGAACAAAGGGACTATATGACCCAACTGTGATGCAGTTCAGTGGTTTCAACTGAGTTCACAAAAAGTCGTATTATAATGATTACTAATTCAAGAATTCTTGACTATGTGGAAAATAATTTGAAATATTTATTTGTAAAATTTTGTTGAAAATTCATAATGTAGATGAAGGGTGATAAGAAGGGGTAGTGAATGAAAATGATTAGAAATCAGAAAAGAAACATTGGATTATAGTATTTCAAAAAATGACACTAGAGAAATTACATGTCACTTTTTCTGTTGAAGGTATTTCTTGTCTTCTCTGATATCCTACATAATGACAACTATAAGACCCATCTATTAGAGAGCCCAGATAGATCATATATAATTGAAAAAACAAGTCAGCGAAATCAGCCACATATTTGATAGGAGGAATTATGTTATATGTGACTGAGCACTAGAATCAGAGTAGGAAGATTCGGCCTCATCAAGAGAGCAGTTTTAGTCAAGTAGGAAGAATAGAAGTCTGTAGTTAAGAGCAGTTAGTGGAAAAGAATAGACAGCCTTCTTTCAGTCAGGGTTTTGAACTTGGTGAGTTATCACAAATAAGAAAGAGTTGTTCAAGGATAGGGAAAAAGTGAGCTTCATAATTTGGGTCAATATCATCATTTTTAGCATAATACCTAACAAGTTAGTTCTTACCATATGCCAGGTGCTCTAATAAGCATTTAACGTAGATTATCTCACTCAGTACTTGAAACTACCCTGTTTTTATATGGATTTAAAAAATAAAGCTCATAAAGGCTAGGAGATTTGTTCACAGTCACACAAAACTTAAGTTGTGGAATTGGAATTCATGTCTAGGTGTTCTGACTCCAGAGTATGTGCTTATACACACTATGCTATGACAGCTGTCAAGTGTAAGCAGAAAAAAATAAAAGAGGAAAGAAGATTCCAAAAAGTTGAATACAGTTATAATCGATGAATTGCACTCTTAGAGAAAGAGGGAAGAAAAGGACACAAATCATTTGCTTTAGAAATTAAAGAAAAGAAGGGTGGAGGAAAATGGTGGAACAAAGGGGATTCACTGATCATCCCACCCTCAGAGGACACCAAATTAAGAACTATCTTCACAAAAAAGCCACCTTCGAAGAACCAAAAATCAGGTAGGCACTCATGATACCTGATTTTAACTTCATATCACTGAAAAAGGCACTGAAAGAGGTAAGCAAAACAGTCTTGAATTGCTGATGTGACCTCCTCCCATCCCCAGCAGTAGTGAGGTGCAGAGAGCATTTCTGTGGTCTTGGGAGAGAGAGAGCCAGCAACTGTGAGACATTGAACTCAGTGCTGCCTTTATTATAGCAGAAAGCAAAACTAGACAAATTCAGTTGATGCCCACTCATGTAGGGAGCATTTAAACTAGCCCTAGCAAGAGGAAAGTTGCCCACCCCAGCAGTTGGAATTTGAATTTCAGCAAGACTTGCCACCTACCATGAGCTAAAGTGCTCTAGGGCCCCAAATGAACCGGAAAGGTAGTCTAGGCCACAAGGACTGCAACACCTATGTGAGTCCTAGTGCTGAACTGGGCCCAGAGCTAGTGAGCTGGTGGGGCTTTACCTTTCCCCTAATCCTGGGCTGCACAACTCGTGGCTTCATAAAAGACATCTTCCTTCCACTTGAGGTAAGAAGACAGAAGATTGGGGAGGGCTTCATCTTACATCTTGGATACAAGTTCAGCCACAGCAGGATAGATTACTGGTCAGAGTCACAAGGACCCTTTTTCAGGCCCTAGTTCCTGGACAACATTTCTAGACACACTCTGGGCCAGAAGGGAACACACTCTTGGAGGTAAGAATCCAGTCCTGGCAAAATTAATCACACGCTGACTAAGGAGCCCTTGGGGCCTGAATAATCAGCAGCAATACCAAGGTACTACATTGAGGGCCTTTGGTTAGACTCTGAGGCTTGCTAGCTTCAAATAAGACTCAGCACATTCCCAGCTGTGGTGGCTACAGGACAAGACTCCTGCTACTTGAGAAAAACAAAGGCAAAAATAAAGGAGACTTTGTCTTGCACATTAGGTACCAGCTTGGCCAAAGAGTAGAGCACCAAGTGGGCTCTTGGGGTTCCTGATTCCAGAACTTGGCTTTTAGACAGCATTTCTGAACTAGCCCTGGGCCAGAGGGAAGCCAACTGCCCTGAAGGGTGAGTCTCTGGCCAGGCAGCACTTCACACAAGCAGACTGAATAAACCTTTGGCCTTAAGGAAATATCAGTAGTAGTCTGGCAGTAACCCCAATGGGCCTGTGGTGGCAGTGACCACTGGGTGAAGCTTCCCTGCCTTTGGAAAGGGAGGTGAACAGTGGGGAAAACCAGTGTCTTGTGCAACTTGTGGTGCAGTTGCACCACAACTGCAGTATGGATAGAACACCAGGTAGAATTCTAAGGCTTTTTATTCTAGTTCCTGGTTCCTGGACAGCACCTCTGGACCTGCCCAGGGCCTGGGTGAACTCCCTGCCCTTAATTGAAGGAAATAGTCATGGCTGTTTTTGCCACTTGCTGATTGTAGAGCTGCAGGGCTTTTAGCAAACATAGACAGTAGCCAAGGAGTGGTCACAGCATGCCTTCGGCAAGACTCAATGCTGTGCTGGCTTCAGGTCTGACCCAGTGCAGTAATAGGGTTGATGGCCACAGAGGTGTTTTTGTCACTCTACTCCCAGCTTCAGGTAGCTCAGAACACAGAGAAAGACTCCATTTCCCTGAGAAAAAGTAAAGGAAGAAAATAGGAGTCTCTGCCTGGTAATCCAGAGAATTCTTCTGGATCTTGCCCAAGATCATCAAGGTGATACCTCAACAAGTTTGCAAGAACCACAGTGTTACTGGTCTTGGGGTGGTCACTAAAGTAGCTACCAATTAGATAACAACACCCAAGTTCTTTCAAGTATCTGAAAAGCCTTCCCAAGAAAGATGGCTACAAATAAGCCCAGAAAGTGAAGACTATAATAAATGCCTAACACTTCAATGCCCAAACATCAAAGAACATCTACTAGAATCAACACCATCCAGAAAAAACATGACCTCACCAAATGAACTAAATAAACCACAAGGGAACAATCCTGGAGAAACAGAGATATGTGATCTCTTAGAGAATTCAAAATACATGTGTTGAGAAAACTCAAAGAAATTCAAGATATGACAGAGAAAGAATTCAGAATTCTATCAGATAAATTTAATACAGAGATTTAAATAATTGTTTATTGCAGAACTATTCACAATAGCAAAGACTTGGAACCAACCCAAATGTCCAACAATGATAGACTGGATTAAGAAAATGTGGCACATATACACCATGGAATACTATGCAGCCATAAAAATGATGAGTTCATGTCCTTTGTAGGGACATGGATGAAGCTGGAAACCATCATTCTCAGCAAACTATCACAAGGACAAAAAACCAAACACCGCATGTTCTCACTCATAGGTGGGAATTGAACAATGAGAACACATGGACACAGGAAGGGGAACATCACACACTGGGGACTGTTGTGGGGTCAGGGGAGGGGGGGAGGGAGAGCATTAGGAGATGTACCTAATGATAAATGACGAGTTAATGGGTGCAGCACACCAACATGGCACATGTATACATATGTAACAAACCTGCATGTTGTGCACATGTACCCTAAAACTTAAAGTATAATAATAATAAAAATTGTTTAAATTCAAGGAGAAATTTTGGAGTTGAAATTGGCATACTGAAGAATGCATCAGAGTCCTTTAATAGTAGAACTGATCAAGCAGAAAATAATAGTAAGCTTGAAAACAGGCTATTTGAAAATAGTCAGATGAGACAAAAGAAAAAGATCTTGAAAGAATGAAGCATGCCTACAAGATCTAGAAAATAGCCTCAAAAAGGCAAATTTAAGAGTTATTGGCTTTAAAGAGTAGATAAAGAAATAGGAGTAGAAAGTTTATTCAAAGGAATAACATAGAACTTCCCATACCTAGAGGAAGATATCAATATCGAAGTACGAGAAGGTTAGATAACATCAAGCAAATGTAACCCAAAGAAGACACTTCAAAGCACTTAGTTATCAAATTCTCAAAGATGAAGGATTCTAGGCTGGGCACCGTGGCTCATGCCTATAATCCCAGCACTTTGGGAGGCTGAGGCAGGCGGATCACGTGGTCAGGAGATGGAGACCATCCTGGCTAACATGGTGAAACCCTGTCTCCACTAAAAATACAAAAAATTCTCTGGGCATGGTGGCGAGCGCCTGTAGGCCCAGCTACTCAGGAGGCTGAGGCAGGAGAATGGCGTGAACCCGGGAGGCGGAGCTTGCAGTGAGCTGAGATCGTGCCACTGCATCCCAGCCTGGGCAACAGAACGAGACTCCGTCTAAAAAAAAAAAAAAGAAACAAATAACATACAATGGCGGTTCAATATATCTGGCAGCAGACATTTCAGCAGAAACTTTTCAGGCCAGAAAAGAGTAGCATGACATATTTAAAGTACTAAAGGGAAAACAAAAATGTTTACCCTAGAATAGTATATCTGGTGAATTTACCCTTCAAACATGAAGAAATAAAAACTTTCTCAGACAAAGAAAAGTTGAGGGATTTAATCAACACCAGATTTGTTCTACAAAAAAAAATGATAAAGGAAATACTTCAATTAAAAAAAAAGGATGTTAATGAACAACAAGAAAACAGCTAAAGGTACAAAACTCACTGCTAATAGTAAGTACACAGAAAAACACAGAATATTATAACACTGTAACTGTGATGTGTAAACTACTCATACCTTAATTAGAAAGACTAAACAATGAACCAATAAAAATAATAACTTCAGCAACTTTTCAAGACATAGTGCAATAAGATATTAATAATAAAAGGTTTCAAAGCAGGGGAATGAAGTTATAATGTACCGTCTTTATTGGTTTTTGTTTGTCTGTTTATGTAAACAGTGTTATGTTTTTATCAGGTTAAAATAATGGGTTATAAGAAAGTATTTGCAAGCCTCATGTTCACCACAAATGTAAAACATACAATGGATACACACACAAAAAAAGCAAGAAATTAAATCATACCACTAGAGAAAATCACCTTCACTAAAAGAAAGACAAGAAGGAAGGAAAGAAGGAAGGAAAGAAGGAAGAAAGAGAAGACCACAAAACAACCAGAAAACACATAACAAAATGACAAAATAGGTCTTTACTTATTAATAATAACATTGAATATAAATGGACTAAATTCTCCAATCAAAAGACATAGAGTGGCTGAATGGATAAGAAAACAAGCCCAATGATCTGTTGCCTAGGAAAAACACACTTTACCTATAAATATACACAGACTGACAATAAAATGATAGAAAATGATACGCCATGAAAACAGAAACCAAAAAGAACAGAATTTACTCTTCTTATATCAAAGTATATTTCAAGGCAGAAACTATAAGAAGAGACAAAGAATTTCAATATATAATGATAAAGAGTCAATTTAGCAAGATAATACAACAATTTGAAATTATGTATGTACCTAATGATAGAGCACCCAGATATAAAAAGCATATAATTTTTAGAGCTAAAGAGAGAGATAAACTGCAATACAATAATAGCTGGAGACTTCAACACTCTTCTTTCAGTGTTGACAGATCTGACAGAGAAAATCAACAAAAAAATGGGACTTAATTTGCACTATAGACCAAATGGATCTAATAAATATGTATACAACATTTCATCTGTATTTGTCAGGGTTCTCTAGAGGGACAGAACTAATATGATAGATAGATAAATAGATAGATAGATAGATATAGATAGATACAAAGGGGAGTTTATTAAGTAGTATTATCTCACATGATCTCAAGGTCCCACAATAGGTCATCTGCAAGCTGAGGAGCAAGGAAGTCAGTCCGAGTCCCAAAGCTGAAGAACTTGGAGTCTAACATTTGAGGGCAGGAAGCATCCAGCACAGGATAAAGATATAGGCTGGGAGGCTAAGCCAGTCTACCCTTTTCATATTCTTCTGCCTGCTTTATATTCTGGCCATGCTGGCAGCTGATTAGATGGTGCCCACCCAGATTAAGGGTGGGTCTGCCTTTCCCAGTCCACTGACTCAAATGTTAATCTCCTTTGGCAACACCCTCACAGACGCACCCAGGATCAATACTTTGCATCCTTCAATCCAATCAAGCTGACACTCAGTATTAACCATCATATCATCCAAGAGTTGCAGATTACACATTCACTTTCTCAGCCCACGGATTATTTTCAAGGATTGACCATAAGTTAGGTCACAAAACAAGTCGTAAAACATTCAAAAACTGAAATAATATCAAGTGTCTTCTTTGACCACAATGAAATAACCAAGGGAATATTGGAAACTATACATATAAATGGAAATTAATATGTGTTTAAATGACCCGTGGGTCAATGAAGAAATTAAGAAGGAAATTAAACAATTTATTGAAACAAATGATAATGGAAACACAGCATAACAAAACCTATAGGATACAGCAAAATCAGTACCAAGAGGGAAGTATATAGCTATAAGTGCCTACATTTAAAAAAGAAGAAATTAAAAAAAAAAAAACCACCAAGCAATGCATTTAAAAAATAAACGAGAAAAGCTAACTGGGCACAACGGCTCATGCCTGTAAATCCAGCACTTTGGGAGGCTGAGATGGGAGACTTGAGTCTGGTGGTTTGAGACCAGCCTGGCAAAACCCCATCTCTATTAAAAATAAAAAAATTTAGCCGGCCATGGTGGCGCATGCCTGTAGTCCCACATACCTGGGTGACTGAGATGGGAGAATCACCTGTGCCTGTGAGGGCGAGGCTGCAGTGACCCACACAACTGTACTTTCAGCCTGGGCAACCAGAGTGAGACCCTGTCAAAAAAAAAAAAAAAAAAACCTAGAAAAGCTAGAGCAAACCAAGCCTTAAATTACTAAAATAAATAAATAATAAAATTGGAGTAGAAACAAATGAAATTAAAATGAGTAATGCAATACAAAGAGCAATAAAATGAAAAGTTGTTTTTTGAAAAGTTAAACAAAATACACAAACTTTAGCCAGAGTAACTAAGAAAAAAGAAAGAAGATGTAAATAAAATCAGAGATGAAAAGGGAGACATTACAACTGATATCTCAGTAATTCAAAGGATCATTAATGGGTATTATGAACATCTGTATGCCAATAAATTGAGAAATCTAGAAGAAATGGACAAACTCCCAAACACATACAACATACCAAGATAGAACCATGAAGAAATCCAAAACCTGAGCAGAAAAATAACAAGTAACAAGACCAAAACTGAAATAAAAAGCCTCTCAGTAAAGAAAAGCCCAGGACCCAATGGCTTAGCTGCTAAATTCCACCAAACTTTTAATGAAGAACTAATATCAATCCTATTCAAACTATTCCAAAAACTAGAGTAAAACAGCATACTTTCAAACTCATTCTATGAGACCAGGAATACCCTGATACCAAAACAAGGCAAAGACACATTAAAAAAAAAAAAAAAAAAAAAAAAAAAACTAAAAGCCAATATTCCTGATGAATATTTGCAAACTTCCCATCTGACAAGGGATCAGTAAACAATATATAAGGAGCTCAAACATATGAGAAATAGGAAAAAAGTTGTCATTTTTCTCTGGGAAAATGTCCAATAATCCAATTTAAAAATGGGCAAAAGATCTGCATAGACATTTCTCAAAAGAAGACATACGAATGGCAAACAGGTATATAAAAATGTGCTCAACACCACTGATCATCAGAGAAATGTCAATCAAAACTACAGTGTGATATCTTACCACAGTCAAAATAAATTTTATCCAAAGACAGGCAATAACAAATGCTGGTGATCATGTGGAGAAAAGGGAATCATCATACACTGTTAGTGGAAATGTATTCTAGTACAACCACTATGGAGAACAGTTTGGAAGTTCATCAAAACACTAAATATAGAGCTACGATATGATCCAGCAATCCCACTACTGCGTATATACCCCTAGAAAAGGAAACTAGTATATCACAGAGATATTTGTACTCCCATAATTTTTGCAGCTATGTACACAATAGCTAAAATTAGAAAATAAACTAAGTGTCCATCAAAAGATGGATGAATAAAAATTGTGGTACATATATACAATGGGGTACTATTCGGACATACAAAAGAATGAGATTCACTAATTTGCAATAACTTGGATGAAACTGAAGGTCATTATGTTACCTGACATAAGCCAGTTACAGAAAGACAAGCATCACATGTTCTCACTTATTTGTAGGATCAAAAAATCAAAACAAACTTAGGGATATAGACAGTATAAGGATTGTTAAGAGAGGCTAGGAGGGGTACTGGTGGGGCTGGGTAATGTGTTCAAATAATAGAATGAATGAGCAAGTCCAAGCATTTGATAGCACAACAGGGTGACTATAGTCAATAATAATTTAATTGTACATTTTAAGATAACTAAGAGTATAATTGGATTGTTTGTAACACAAGGGATAAATGCTTGAGGGGTGGATACCCCATTTTCTATGATGTGAATATTATTCATTGAATGCTTGTATCCAAACATCTCATATACCCCATAAATATATACACTCATATAGTTTGGCTGTATCCCTACCCAAATCTTATCTTGAAATGTAGCTCCCTTAATTCCCATGTGTCATGAGAGGGACCTGGTGAGGGGGTAATTGAATAATGGGGGAAGGTCTTTTTCATGCTTTTCTTATGATAATGAATAAGTCTCATGAGATCTGACAGTTTTATAGAAGGGAGTTCCCCTGCACATGCCCTCTTGCCTGCTGCCATGCAAGATATGATTTTGTTCTTCATTCACTTTCCACTATGATTGTGAGGCCTCTCTAGCCATGTGGAACTGTGAGTCAGTTAAACTTCTACCCTTTATAAATTACCCCAGCTCAGGTATGTCTTTATTAGCACACGAGAACAGACTAATACAGTAAATTGGTACCAGGTAGTGGGGAACTGCTGTAAAGATACCCCAAAATGTGGAAGTGACTTTGGAACCGGGTAACAAGCAGAGGTTGGAATAGTTTGGAGGACTCAGAAGAAGACAGAAATACGTGGAAAAGTTTGAAATTTCCTAGAGACTTGGAGGGCTCAGAAGACAGGAAGATGTGGGAAAGTTTGGAACTTCCTAGAGACTTGTCGAATGGCTTTGACCAAAATACTGATAATAATATGAACACTAAAGTCCAGATTGAGGTGTTCTCATATGGAGATGAAGAACTTGCTGGAATCTGGAGTAAAGGTCACTCTTGCTATGCAAAGAGACTGGTGGCATTTTGCCCCTGTCATAAAGATCTGTGGAATTTTGAATTTGAGAGAGATGAATTAGTGTATCTGGCGGAAAAAAAATTCTAAGCAGCAGTGCATTCAAGAGGTGACACAGCATAAATTTTTGAAAAATTTGCAGCCTGATGATGCAGTAGAAAAGAAAAACCCATTTTCTGGGGAGAAATTCCAGCTAGCTGCAGAAATTTGCATAAGTAACAAGGAACCAAACTCTAATTACCAAGATAATGGGGAAAACGACTCCAGGGCATGTCAGAGACCTAAACAACAGCCCCTCCCATCACAGGTCCAGAGGCCTAGGAGAAAAAAAACGGTTTCCTGGGCCAGGTTCAGGGTCCCCCTGCTGTGTGCAGCCTAGGGACTTTGTGTCATGCATCTCAGCTGCTCCAGCCGTGGCATAAAGAGGCCAAGGTACAGTTCAGGCCATGGCTTCAGAGGGTGTAATCCCCTTTCCTTGGCAGGTTCCATGTAGTGTTGAGCCTGTGGGTACACAGTAGTCAAGAATTGTGGTTTGGGAACCTCAACCTAGATTTCAGAGGATGTATGAAAATGCCTGGATGCCCAGGCAGAACTTTGCTGCAGGGGTGGGCCCCTCATGGAGATTGTCTGGTAGGTGAGTGCAAAAGAAAAATGTGGGGTTGGAGCCCCCACACAGAGTCCCCACTGGGACACTGCCAAGTGGAGCTATTAGAAGAGGACCACCATCCTCCAGAACCCAGAACCCATACGGTAGATCCACCAACAGCTTGCACCATGCACTGAGAAAAGCCACAGACACTCAACACCAGCCCCTAAAAGCAGCCAGGAGATGGGCTGTACCCTGCAAAGCCACAGGGGTTAAGCTTCCCAAGACCATGGAAACCCACCTCTTGCATCAACGTGACCTGGATGGGAGATACAGAGTCAAAGGAGATCATTTTGGAGTGTTAAGATTTGATTGCCCCACTGGATTTTGGACTTGCATGGGGCCTGTAGCCCCTTTGTTTTGGCCAATGTCTCTCATTTGGAACAGAGTATTTACCCAATGCCTGTATCCCCATTGTATGTAGGAAGTAACTAACTTGCTTCTGGTTTTATAAGTTCATAGGTGGAAGGGACTTGCCTTGTCTCAGATGAGACTTTGGACTGTGGACTTTTGAGTTAATGCTGAAATGAGTTAAGACTTTGGGGAACTGTTGCGAAGGCATGAATGGCTGTGAAATATGAAGACATGATACTTGGGAGCGGGGAAGGATGGAATGATATGGTTTAGCTGTGTCTCCACCTAAATCTCATCTTGAATTGTAGCTCTCATAATTTCCATGTGTTGTGGGAGGGACCCAGTGGGAGGTAATTGAATCATGGGGGTGGGTATTTCCCATGATGTTCTTGTAATGGTGAGTAAGTGTCATGAGATCTGATGGTTTTATAAAGGGGAGTTGCCCTGCACACACCCTCTTTCCTGTCATCATGTAAGATGTGACTTTGCTCCTCATTTGCCTTCTGCCATGATAGTGAGGCCTCTCTAGCCATGTGGAACTGTGAGTCAATTAAGCCTCTATCCTTTATAAATTACCCAGTCTTGGGTATGTCTTTATTAGCAGTGTGAGAACAGACTAGTTCATACATTTATTATGTATTCACAAAAATTAAATATAAAAATATTTTTAAAAAGAAATCAAAGAAAAATGTATTTCTAATTTCTGAAACAACAAAGTGAGAGACTAAACACAAAAAAAGGATGACAGAATGAGGGACAGCAAGAGTGTTGGGCTAGTAAAGGGAGACATATTTTGAGATGGAGAGAATGGATCTTGAGGGAGCACACAGTGTATAATTCAAATAGGAGCTCACAATCTAAAAAGTCTGTAATAGTAATTGGGTATTGGGTCAGGAAGTCTATAAGAATAAATGGATTTTTTAAATATAACAAGAGCCCATTAAAACTAGCAAAGATAGATTTGCAGCAATCCCCATGAACATGGTTTGATAATGTTCTCAATGTTAATGTCTGTAGCTCATGATATGGTCTGTGAAAGGCAGCAGGGGTTAGCCAGGACACGATTTTTAATAAATACGTAAGATCAAAGGGATAAAAGACTCTAGGAAAAGAATAAATACCTCATTGAATTGCTTGACAGTAGAATTCTGGCTGAAGCTATATTAAGGGGCTAAAGTAGAAGACTGAAAATATAAGAGAAAGAGACATGAGGGAAAATGAAGGCAGAGAACACGTACAGCAAGACTGAAATAATAGGAGAACGAAAAGGATTGCAGTTTGAGATCAAACAGATTGTATTTTTTTTTTAGATTTTTGAAATGGTCCTAGTAGATGACAAGAGCTAAAATTTTACATTTTACATTACAGTAGAGAGCCCTACACTTTTTCACATGGCTCATAAGGCTCTCCATGATCTGAAATTCAACAATGTCTCTGGTTATTCACCTCACCACTCTTTTCCATATTATTAGCAGTCACAGTTGTTTTATTTCAGTCCTTTAAATATGGCCCCTTTTCTCAGTAGGACCTTAGCACTTTAGTCTATAAATATTTGAGTGCGTTTTATGTGACAGTCATTATTCTAAATGCCAAGGCTACAACAATGAACAGAACAAAAAGGTCCCTGCCTTCTTGGAGCTTATATTTTGGCAGCAGAAGTGTCATCAATCAAATAATTCATAAACATATTATTGCAAATAATTATAAGAAATAAGAAAGAAAAGAACAGAGTACATTGGGAAACTGGAATATTGTCTTACCTCATTCTCCCTCCCCTACTAGACTCAACAAAATCCAGTTTATTTTCCAGGTTCAAAGTTAAATATCCTTTTTTCAGTGAAGCCTGTCTCTGACGATGCAGACTAGGTGATAGCTCCATGTAAGACACTATTATTGCATCTCCACTTCTCTTTCATAGCACTTACCAAAATTCTGAGTACTTGGCTGGGTGTGGTGGCTCATGCCTGTAATCCCAGCACTTTGGGAGGCTGAGGCGGGCAGAACACCTGAGGTCAGGAGTTGGAGACCAGTCTGGCCAATATGGCCAAACCCGGTCTCTACTAAAAATACAAAAAAATTATTCAGGCGTGGTGTCAGTCGCCTGTAATCCCAGCTTCTTGAGAGGCTGAGGCAACAGAATCGCTTGAACCCAGCAATCAGAGGTTGCAGTCAGCTGAGATCACGCCACTGCACCCCAGCCTGGGTGACAGAGTGGGACTTCATCTCAAAAAAAAAAAAAAAAGAATACTTGTTGAATATTTGTCCCTGATCATCTCATAGATTTAAGCACTGTGAAGGAAAAGACTGTGTCTGTTTTGTTCACCTCTGTGTATCCTCCTTCTGGCCTATGAATTTGAAAGAGATGGGGAGGCAGAAAGAGAGGTTTAGTATTGTAGAGGGAGTTCAGGGTTTGTTTCATTTAAGACTAAGAGGTGATTGGAGTATTCCATGAATATATGAAAGCTATGAAGATGTTTATTTATAATGAAATAGATTTCTAAAGACACAGTAGAGGAGATATCAAGACTAGTGATTGGATGTGTCAGGAGAGAGGGGACAGGAACTATTATACAAGCAGGTGAGAATCAAATTAGCAAGATGTTTATTGAACATTAAAGGAGTGAGAGAGTATAGAAGATAGTACATTTGGAAATACTGAGTTGAATGGGTCAGATATGGAACTAGCAATCCTTAATATTCTGAAAGTTTCATGAATAAAGGCTCTATCTGTGCTCTTGGGTAGAGACAACTTATTTATATTCACAAACCAATTTCTTAAAATACAAAACATCCTGCAAATTATAAACAGTTGGTATTCATCACCCTCTTCCTGTTGTCAGTTTTTCTCTCCCCTTTTGGAGTTCCCCTTGTTAATCAGGTGCTTATAATCTTCACTACCAAACTCAGAATGCATAAACCATGACCAATATCCTAGGAAATGCCCAGTGCTCTCCAATGCAAAACTTCTCAGTGATTAATGTGCATATGAATCACCTGGAGGCCGTTTTTAATGAAGATTCTGATTTAGTAAGTCTGGGTGAGGCTTAACATTCTCCATCTCTAACAAACTTCCAGGTGACACTATTGCTGCTGGTCCACAGGCCACATTTAGAGTAGCAAGAATCTAGATCAGCATTGACCAATATGGTAGCCACTAGCCACGTGTGGCTACTGAGCACTTTAAATTTGGCTAGTCCAAAGTAAAATTTTTTTAAGTGCTAAATACAGACTTAATTTCAAAGATTTAGTAAGAGAAAAGAATATAAAATATCTCAAATTTTTAATGTCACTTACATGCTGATTTTAATTTTATGATAATATGTTAAGTGTTATAAGTATAATTATTATATTTTATTCATATTATATTTATAATAATATTTGAAATATAGTAAGTTCAATACATTATTATAATGATTTTTGCCTGTTTCTTTTTTTACTTTTTAAAAAAACGTGGCTAGTAGAACATTTAAAATGCCATATGTGGCTTGCATTATATTTCTATTGGACAGAGCTGGCCAAGATCTTTTCTAAACATCTTTTCCCAAATTTAAACTTCTTTTTCTTATCCCCATTTACTCAGGGCCCTGAGAATTTGTATTCCAAAAAGCAGGTTAGTAGCTTGCCAATAAAGCCATGTCTTAAACTAAGAAATCTATCTGAAGTTATATATACCACATATTCTTTATCCAGTCATCTGCTAAAGGACATTTGGGTTGATTCTACAACTTTGCTATTGTGAATAATTCTGCAATAAACATGTGAGTGCAGGCGTATTTTCAATATAATTGTTTCTTTTCCTTTGGGTAGATACCCAGTAGTGGGATTCCTGGGTCAAATGGTATTTCTATTTTCAGTTCTATGAGATATCCCAATATTGTTTTCCATAGAGGTTTACTGATTTACATTCCCATCCACGGTGCATAAGCATGCCGTTTTCTCCACATCCATGTCGATATCTCTTGTTTTTCTGACTTATTTATAATAGCCATTCTAACTGGTGTGAGATGACATCTCATTGTGGTTTTAATTTGCATTTTTCTGATGATTAGTGATGTTGAGCATTTCTTCATATGTGCTTTGGCCATTTGTGTGTCTTCTTCTTTTGAAAAAAAAAAGGCTGTTCTTGTCCTTTGCCCCCTTTTTAATAAGGTTATGTGTGGGTTTTTTGAGTTGTTTGAGTTCCTTGTAAATTCTGGATATTAGTCATTTGCCAGATATAGTTTGCAAATATTTTCTCCCATTCTGCAGATTGTCTGTTCACTCTGTTGTTTTGCTCTGCAGAAGGTTTTCCATTTAATTAAGTCCCATTTGTCTATTTTTGTTTTTGTTGCATATGCTTTTGAGGTCTTAGTCATAAATTTTCTGTGTAAGCCAATGTCCAGAAGACTTTTCCTAGGTTTTCTTCTAGTACTTTTTTAATGGTAAGATTGAATCAGTAATAAAAATCTCCTAACGAAAGAAAAATCTCAGGACCAGATGGTTTCACAGCCAACTTCTATCAGATGGACAAAGAAAATCTGGTACCAATCCTACTGAAACCATCCCAAAAAAATCAAGGAGGAGGGATCTCTCCCTACCTCATTATATGAAGTCAGTATCACCCTCATAGCAAAGCCAAACAAAGACACAACAACAACAAAAGAAAACTACAGACCAATCTCCCTGATGAACATTGATGCAAATATCCTCAACAAAATACTAGCAAACTGAATTCAACATCACATCAAAAAGATAATACACCACAATCAAGTGAGTTTCATCCAAAGGATGCAAGTAGATTTCAACATATGCAAACTAATAAATGTGGTTAACCACATACAAAATAAAAATTCAAAACAAAATAAAATCATAAACCATATGATCATCTGAATAGATGCATGAAAAACATCTGATAAAATTTAGCAGCACTTCATGATAAAAGCCCTCAACAACTAGGCACAGAAGGAACATACCACAAAATAATAAAAGTCATTTATGAAAAACCCACAGCCAACATCCTATTGAACATCAAGCTGAGAGCCAAATCAGGAAGTCAGCCTCATTTGTAATACCTACAAAAAACTAAAATACCTAGGAATACATTTAACCAAGAAGGTGAAAGACCTTTATAAGGAAAACTACAAAACACTGATTACATAAATTGTAGATGACATAAATACATGGAAAAATACCCCATACTCATGGATAAGAAGAATCAGTATGTGAAAATGGCTATCTTGCAGAAGGCAGTCTACAGATGCCAATGTCATTTTCCAAAGAATTAGAAAAAATAATCTTAAAATTCATATGAAACCAGAAAAGAGCCCTAATAGCCAAAGCCATCCTAATAGAAAAGAACAAAGCCAAAGGCATCACATTAACAGACTTCAAATTATACTATAAAGTTATAGTAACCAAAATAGCATAGTATTGGTATAAAAATGGACACATAGACCAATGAAACAGAATAGAAAACTCAGAAATAAATTCACATACCTACCGCCAACTGATCTACAAAGTCGACAAAAGCACACTGGGGAAAGAATACCCTATTCAATAAATGGTGCTGGGAAAATTGGAATGTCATATGCGGAGTAGTGAAACTGGATCCTTATCTCTCATCATATGCAAAAATTAACTCAAGATGGAGCAAGACTTAAATATAAGACCTGAAATTACAGGTGAAGTTTTAATGGCTGTTAAAGTCATAAAGCAGTCTTATGCCACAATAATGTGCCAGAGACACTCACATTTAGTCCACAAAGAATTATGTTTATACCTTAATCCATGTAAATTTTAGTCAAAACTTAGATGCTGACAAAAAGCCAGTATGTAATCCATACTGCTTACGCATTTGCCCCATGGCAGCTGAACAAAAACCAAGAGTCATGTAGCACTACAGGTCCTGAAATAGGGTGTCCAGATTTAGCAAATAAATATGAAGGATGCCCAGTTAAATTTGTACTTCAGATAAACAATGAATAACATTTTAGTATACGTGTACCCCATTTAGGACATTCTTATATAAATTATTAACTGTTTATCTGAAGTAGGAGTTTAACTGGGCATCCAATATTTTATCTGAAAATTCTACCCCGACAAAGCTTTCTACATCTCTTTACTAAACTGTGGTTTAACCAGTTGGCATAATTGACTAATGTATTTGAATGTATCAATAGCTTCCATGCAGGAGAACTTATCCTACTTTTCTTCCATTATGTTAATATTTGAATTAAAAAAATCATTCACAAGAAAATCAGACTTTCTTTTGGACTTTAAGGTTGGGAGGCTTTGATAGCTCATAGTTCAAAAACTACTGAAAATTCTACCCTGACAAAGCTTTCTACATCTCTTTACTAAACTGTGGTTTAACCAGTTGGCATAATTGATTAATGTATTTGAATGTATCAATAGCTTCCATGCAGGAGAAGTTATCCTACTTCTTTTCCATTATGTTAATATTTGAATTAAAAAAATCATTCACAAGAAAATCAGACTTTCTTTTGGACTTTAAGGTTGGGAGACTTTGTCAGCTCATAGTTCAAAAACTATAGTGTTTTAAGGCTGTTCTTATCCTTGAATTGATACTTTTTGTCGCCTTTCACAATTGCCATCCTCAAAGCCAATGAAAAATAAAAATCAATTTAATTAAGATTAAAACTATTGAATAAAATTTTCCTTTGGGATTACCAGCTTCTTGTGTACCTTGACATGAAGATAGACATGACATGACTTGCTGATAGAGTCAGGGGCAAGATAACTCACATCACAGGGCCAAGAATCCATCTTTTCCGGAGATCTTGTGATCCCAGATGATTTCACTCAGAACTCAAACTTTAGTTTGGCATTTTTATGGATTTCAGATGTAATATTATCTAGACTAATAGCACTTGATCATGACACTGTCCTGGTACACAGGGAAAACTAGTAAAAGTTCAAGGATTTTACCTTCTCTATTTCTTCCTTTGGCCCAAGCTGGCCGGCAGTAAGCATATTTACTCAGGGAAGGTTGAAATAATAAAACCTCTCTTCTGACAACAATGTGAAACACTTAATGATTTCACTTTCTGCTCCTGGCCTGTTGCACCCATGCTGAAGCATGTCAGAATGTTCAATTTTGTTTCCTTATTTTTCCCCTGAGGAGAGGGTGGCATTAAGTTTTCATACTGAATGATAAACCTATCTCATTTAAATAACAAACTGAATGAAATCCCTTCTTATTTGCTTTTTAAAAATATGAAAGACATTTTTCTAGATGTCAGGTAGTGCATTGGGAACATGCATTTAAATCTCATTACTCTAATGGGAATAAAGTACAGAAGTACAAATAGGAAGAAACCTATAGCAACTAAGAGAACAGAAGGGAGGGTCACCAACAAATGAAAAATTACTAAATATTTTAGGAGAATAAAATGTGGAGATGAGAGACATCTGTTGAATATTGCACTCTTAAATAGAAAAGGAAAATGTCTCTCTTACTCCAAAATAATTAAAATGTTTAATAATATTTTGTAAAATTTTGCCACACTTTATAGAACTGCTTGATCCTAAAGAATATATATATTTCTGTGTAAATATATGTGTATGTATATATGTAGTATATGTCTGTGTACATATAAACATACTTTGATAAAATCAAATAGTTTTACAAAATTTATTATTAAAAACATTAGCCTTCCCCACAACTTACCCTCAGATCCCAAGACTACTCCTTTCAACAAATTAAATTACTTCTGAAACTAACTTTGTATTAAACAAAAACATTATCATACTTTGTTTATGTTCATTATTAGATATAACTCTATGACTTCATTTTTTAGCTTTATTGAGGCATAACTGACAAATAATAACCACATATTTATTCTAGAAATATATTGAGTATATTTATGTGTATGTTTTGATATATGTAAATTACATTGTGAAATGATTACCAAAATCAAGCTAATTACATATCCATTACTTCCCATAGTTACAATTCTTTTCCCTGTAGATAAAACTTTTAATATCTACTCTCTTAGTAAATTTCAAGTATAAAATACAGTACTATTAACTAGAGTCATCATGATGTACATTCATCCTCTAGAATTTATTCATCCAGCATAACTGAAGTTTTGTACTCTTTGATCAACATTTCTCGATTTCCTTAATTCCCCACTCCCTGGCAACCAAAATTCTACTTTCTTTTCCTATGAGTTCAAATTTTTTAGATTCCACATGTAAGTGTGTATTAGTCCGTTTTCACGCTGCTGATAAAGACATATCTGAAACTGGGAAGAAAAAGAGTTTTAATGGACTTACAGTTCCACATGGCTGGGGAGGCTTCACAATCATGGCAGAAGGCAAGGAAGACCAAGTCACATCTTACATGGATGGTAGCAGGCAAAAAGAGAGTTTGTGCAGAAAAACTCTCCCATTTTAAAACCATCAGATATTGTGAGACTTATTCACTATCATGAGAACAGCACAGGAAAGACCTGTCGCCCTTATTCAATTACCTCCCACCTACCACAACACATGGGAATTCAAGATGAGGTTTGAGTGGGGACACAGCCAAACCATAGTATTCCACCCCTGGCCCCACCAAAATCTCATGTCCTCACATTTCAAAACAAATCATGCTTTCCCAACAGTCCTCCAAAGTCTTAATTCATTTCAGCATTAACTCAAAAGTCCACAATCCAACCTCTCATCTGAGACAAGGCAAGTCCCTTCCACCTACGTGCCTGTAAAATCACAAACAGGTTAGTTACTTCCTAGATACAATGGAGGTATGGGCATTGGGTAAATACAGCCATTCCAAATGGGAGAAATTGGCCAAAACAAAGGGGATACAGGCCCCATGCAAGTCCATAATCCAGTGGGGCAGTCAAATCTTAAATGTCCCAAATTATCTCCTTCGACTCCCTGTCTCACATCCAGGTCATGCTGAAGCAAGAGGTGGGTTTCCACAGTCTTGTGCAGTTCTACCCCTCCTGGCTGCTTTCATGAGCTGGGGTTGAGTGTCTGTGGCTTTTCCAGGCTCACAATGCAAGCTGTCAGTGGATCTACCATTGTGGGGTCAGGACGGTGGTCTTCTTCTCACAGCTCCACTAGGCAGTGCCCCAGTAAGGACTCTGTGTGGGGGCTCCAACCCCACATTTCCCTTCTGCAATGCCGTAGAAGTGATTTTCTATGACGGCCCCACCCCTGCAGCAAGCTTTCGCCTAGGCATCCAGGCATTTCCACACATTTTCTGAAATCTAGGCACAAGTTCCCAACCCTCAATTCTTGACTTCTGTGTACTGCAGGCTCAAAACCACATGGAAGCTGACAAGGCATGGGGCTTCCATTCTCTGAAGCAACAGCCTGAACTGTATCTTGGCCACTATTAGGCTGGAGCAGTTGGGACAGAGGGCACCAAGTCCCTAGACTGCACACAGCATAGATATCCTGGGCCTGGTCCACAAAACCATTTTTTCCTCCTTCAGAGGTCTTCACTACAGCCCCTCCAGGCCTGTGATGGGAGGGGCTGTAGTGAAGACCTCTCACGTGCCCTGGAGACATTTTCCCTATTGTCTTAGGGATTAACAATCGGCTCCTAGTTACTTATGCAAATTTCTGCAGCTGACTTGAATTTCCCCTCAGAAAATGAAATTTTGTTTTCTATTGGATTGTCAGGCTGCAGATTTTCTGAACTTTTATAGTCTGCTTCCCTTATAACAATGAATGCCTTTAACAGTACCCAAGTCATCTATTGAATACTTTGCTGCTTAGAAATTTCTTCCACCAGGTATGCTAAATCATCTCTCTCAAGTTCAAAGTCCCACAAATCCCTAGGGCAGGGACAATATGCCACCAGTCTCTTTGCTAAAACATAACAAGAGTCACCTTTGCTCCAGTTCCAAACAAGTGAGAACCAGGCTTGAGTCTGGGGCTATAGGGGCCTGCCTGGCATTGAGTTTTAACTGCGAAGACCTAGTTTGGGGTTGAAGGCAAAGTCCAGTGCTTAATTCCTCTCCTTCCTCACATGGGGGGGTATCTCTTTTCATGGTATACTATATAAGGTTAAGGGAGGGTTGACTTAAGTAATGTAAAAGTGTCCTCCCTACACTCTTCAACGCATCTATTCTTAGTTCTGTCCTATACCCAGGTGATTTGATCTAATCACCTGATTTCCTCAGCTGTTACATAGGTATTTTCATGGTTAAATAGTTGTTCAAATTCATGTTTCTGGGTTGAGGGGGCAAGCGCTGTAGAAGTTTATTTTGCCAACTTGCTGACATTTGTTAAGGAACTCTGTTACATACACAATTGCCCGAAAGCTCCTCAAACCCACACTTTTTGGGATGTTATGGAGGTTTTATTCCTTTCCACTACTTTTTAAAATTGTATTTTTCTTCTTATTTCTAACTTTCATTGGGATTTCCTATTTGTCATTTGGACAAAAATGATCTGAATGAGAAATGCAACAAAGACACAGATATCATAGAAAAGAAACAGAAATCCAGGAAATGAAGAATTCATTCCATGAAATAAAAAAGACAATCAAAAGTGTCAATAATAGACTAGATCAAGCAGAGAAAAGGATTTCTGAACTGAAAAGCTTCTTTACATCGAATGAAACAATCAACTGATTGAAGAGAGGACCTGTAAAATGGGTGAAAATATTTTCAAACTGTTCATCTGGCAAAGAACTAATATCCAGAGTGTCAAAGGAATTCAAACAACTCAACAGCAAAAATAAATAAATAAGCCACTTAAAAATTGGGCAAAACAACTGAGTAAGCATTTCTCATAAGAAGATGTACAAATGGCCAACAGGTATACAAAAAAATGCTCAGCATCACTAGTCGTCAAGGAAATGCAAATCAAACCACATTGAGGTATCATCTCACACCACTGAAAATGGCTATTATCAAAAAGATAAAACATAAGAAATGATGAGGATGCAGAGATAAAGAAACTCATAGACTGTGGTGGGAGTGCAAATCAAAGAGACACCTACACTCCCATGTTTATTGCAGCAATATTCAAAATACCTAAGACATAGGGTCGACTTAAATGTCCATCAACACATTCACGGATAAAGAAAATGTGGGGCTGGGTGCTATGGCTCGCATCTGTAATCTCAGCACTTTGGGAGGCTGAGGTGGGTGGATCACTTGACGTCAGGAGTTTGAGACCAGCCTGGCCAACATGGTGAAACTCCATCTCTACTAAAAATACAAAAACTAGCCAGTCATGGTGGTATGTGCCTGTAATCCCAGCTACCCGGGAGGCTGAGGCAGGAGACTTGCTGGAACCCAGGAGGCACAGGCTGCAGTGAGCCAAGATTACACCACTGCACTCCAGCCTGGGTGACAGAGTGAGACTCCATCTCAAAAAAAAAAAAAAAAAGAAAAAAGAAAAAGTGGTATATATACACAATGGAATACTATTCAGCCATAAAAACAAAGAAGTCCTGTTAGTTGCAGCAACATGGATGAGCCTGAAGGAAATTATGTTAAGAAATAAGTCAGGCACAGAAAGATAAACACTATATGTTTTCACTCATATGTGGGAGCTAAAAAATATTTGACTTCATGTAAGTAAAAAATAGAATTGTGGTTATTAGCAGCTGGAAAGGTTAGGAAGAGGAGAGGATGTTGAGAGGTTGGTTAACTGATATAAAATAGCAACTAGATAACTAGATAGGAAGAATGAATTCTGGTTTTCTATAGCACTCTAAGGGGAATATGCTTAACTATAATTTGTTATATATTTCTAAAAAGCTAGAAGAGGATTTTGAAGGTTCATAACAAAAAAGAATGATAAATGTTTGAAATGTTGGCTATGCTATTTATCCTGATTTGATTATTATAAATTGTATTACATATCAAAATATCACTTTGTATGTAATAAATGTCAACTAAAAATAGAAAATGAAATATATATAATATATACATATATATATATATATGCCATTCATCATTTGTTAGTTATATGTGCATAAAGCATCTCTTTCCAACTTATGGATTGTCATTGATTCATTCTTTTACAAGCTTTATTCTTTCAAAAAATCTGTACTGAACATGTAATATACACCTACAACAGGTCTAGGCAATTGAGTTGCAACTATGACATAATAGACTGGAATTCTTATTCTGTTGGGGGTTACATTTACATAGGAAAAAGAGATACGGACCTATGATTACCAAGATACAGAAGAAACATATACATCATGCTAGAGAGTGATAAGATTTGAGGAATAAAAACACAACAGGGAAAGAAATAGGAAGTGTCAGGAAAGGAGATTGCAATTTTAGATATTATGGCCATGAATGGCCTTACTAAAAATGTAACCTTTGAATAAAGTTCTGCATGAGGTAAGGCACTAAACCAATAATAGCTATCAGAGGGAAGAGCATACCAGGGAGAATACCAAATGTCAAAGCTCTGATATAGGAGTATTGCAGTTTTGGTGAGAAACATCACACGCCAATTTAACTGCATAATTAAGTTAAAAAGTTGAAAGTTAATATCTTAAACTTTCTAAGTGGAGTGACATTAACAAGATGGCAGAATAGAAGTCTCCAGCACTCATTTCCCTCATAGAAAATGTCAATTTGAAACACCATTCATTCATGGCAATACATTCACCAGAACTACAGAATCTGAGAGATTATGGCACCTAGGTGGAGCACAGAGATAAGAAAAGATGCACTGAAGAGGGAAGAAAGAACATCTTCCTGTCACCCCTTACATCACCACGTTTCCAAGCCTGTGCAGCATAGCATGAAGAGAGATACACTTCATTTGATGGAAAAAGATTGAAGAATTCACTGTGACCCCCAGAAACAGGCCCACCTCTGTAAACCTCAAAGCAAGGCTGGCCCGTGTAGAACCAGAATCCAGGCTTGCCCTTGCAGATCTAGGCCCCAAACCCACCCTAACACCAGATTGGCCCCCACAGACCCAGGCACCAGGCTTCCCCATGTGGACTCAGGCACCATGCTGGCTTCCATGATCCAGGTTCCATGCCAATCCCAGTGGCCCCAAGATTCAGGCTAGCACCCATGGACTCAGGACTCGGTCTCTCCCTGAGCCAGGCTGGCACCCATGGATCCAGCATCTAGGCCCAACCCCATAGACCAAGGCTCCAAACAAGTTCTCATGTCCCAGACACCAGCTCTTCACCCATAGATGCAGGCACCAGGCCTAGCCTCATGTACCCAGGTTCCAGGCCCACTCGTAAACCCCAAGCCCTTTCAGACACAAAATCTGGGCCAGCACCTGTAGACCCAAATTCCAGGCCTGCCCCCACATATCCAGACAGAAGACAACCCCTGCAGATCCACATGCCAGGCCTGCCTGCTGATTGACCAAAGCACAAGTCTTGCCCACCTGAGGACTCTAGCAGCAAGCTCACCTGCAGACTCCATCAGCCAAACCACTCAGAATCTCAGGACAGACATATTGAGAACATCTTTCCCTGCCAAAGCTAGTCTGTAAAGATTGGAAGTGTCGTCTACTTCTTCAAATGATCAGAAAGGAAATACATGTACAAAATGAGTAAAATAGCAATTTGTCAAAAAGATGGAAACTACTTTAAAAGAACAAAGAAAAATTTTAGAACTGAATACAATGACTGAAAAAAATATTTCTTACAGAGCTGAAAAGTAGACTTAACCAAGCAGAAGAAAGAATCAGCAAGCTTGAAGAAAGGTCGTTCAAAATTACCCAATCACAGGAACAAAAAGAAAAAAGAATGAAAAAGAGCAAAGAAAAGCTACAGCATTTGTGGCACACAATCAAGGAAACCAATATTTGCATCATAGAAGTCTCATAGGAGTAAAGAAAGAAAAAGGAACAAATATATTACTTAAATAAATAATGACAGAAACTTCCTAAGTATAGGGAGGTAAATGAACATCTAGATACATAAATCTCAAAAAACTCCAAATGGGTTAACCATTAAGATATCTTCAGTGAGAGACAATACAATTAAATGGTCAAAAGTCAAAGAGAACTTTGAAAGCAGCAAGTGAAAAGCAACTCATCACACACAAGAGAATGAATTTAAGACTACCAGTGGATTTCTTAGCACTCAGTGAAAAAAAAAATATATATAGTGAAATTCAGAATACTCTAAAGCTTAAATGGTAGTGCATAAATCTCTTTTAACTCTTACATAAAAATTAATAAACTAAAGTATTAAAAATAACTATAGCTACAATAATACTGTAATGAATACATAATATAAAAACATGGAAATTGTGACATCAGTAACATATATTGTAAGGAGGGAACATAGAAATATAAATTTTTGGATGTTATCTAAATTATGTTCCTATAGCTTAAAATCAGCTATAACTATGATATATTTTCTGTAAGCCCCATGAATATCACAAAAATGAAATCTATGGAGGATACATTCAAGAAATAAAAAAAGAAATGAAAGCATACCGCTACAAAAAATTATCAAATATTTAAAAAAAGAGAACAAAAGACGAAAAAAGAAACTACAAAACTGTCAGAAAACAATTAATAAAATGGCAATAGTAAGTCCTACTCAATCAAGTTACTTTCAGTGTAAACTGACTAAAAGTTCCAATCAAAAGACAAAGAGTTACTGAATGAGTAAACATACAAGATCCAACTACAGTCATGAGTCACAAATGACATTTTGGTCAATGACAGACTGCATATACAATGATGGTTTCATAAGATAATAATATCATATTTTACTATACCTTTATTATATTTAAATTTGTTTAGATACACAAATACTTGCCAATGTGTTACAATTGCCTACAGTATTCAATACAGTAACATGTTGTACACGTTTGTAGCCTAGGAGTAATGATTATACCATAAATCCTAGGAATTTAGTAGGCTGTACCATCTGAGTTTATGTAAGTATGCTCTATGATGTTCACACAATTATGAATTCATTTAATGACATATTTCTCAAAACATGTTCCTATCATTAAGCTAAACATGACTGTAAATATTCTTGACAAGAGACTCACTGTAGCTTTAAAGACACACATATGCTGAAAGTGAAGGGATGAAAAAAGATATTTTATGCAAATGCAAAGAAAAGAGAGCAGGGCGGGCTATAATTACATCAGACAAAATAGACTAAGTCAAAAGTTGTCACAAGAAACAAAGAATATTTTTATATAATAATAAAGAAGTTAATTCTACAAGAGCATTTAACAACTGTAAATATGCATGCACTCAACATCAGAGAATCTTAATACATAAAGCAAATATTAACAGTTCTGAACCAAAAATACACAGAAATACAATAATAGAAGGGAACTTCAATTCTCCACTTTCAACAACAAAATAGAAATTAATGCCAAGAAGATCTTTCAAAACCACAAAATGGCATAAACGTTATCAACTTGCTCCTGAATGACTTAGGGATTAACAAAAAAAAAAAAAGGCAGACATTTAAAAAAATATTTGAAATAAGTGAAATTAGAAACACAACATAACAAAATCTTAATGTAGCAAAAGCAGTGTTGAGGATAGTTTATAGCTCTAAATGCCTAACACAAAAAGTCAGATATCAAATTAATGACCTAACACCACAACTAGAAGAACTAGAAAAACAGAACAAGCTTAACTCAAAGCTACCAGAAGAAAACACATCACTAAAATCAGAGTGAAACTGAAATTGAGACCCAAAAATCCATACAAAGAATCAATGAAACCAAAAGTTGGTCCCTTAAAAGGATAACCAAGATTGACAGACGTCTAGCTAGATTTACAAGGAAAAAAGAGAAGATCCAAATAAAAACAATCAGAAATAACAAAGGTGACATTTCAATCAATCGAAAAAAAATAAAGAAGTTCCTGAGACTATTTGGAACACTTCTATGCACAGAAACTATAAATTCTAGAGGCAATAAATTTGAGAAACACACAACTTGCCAAGATAGAATCAGGAAGAAATTGAAACCCTGAACAGATCAATATAAAGTTTGCAAATTGAATCAATAATAAATAACCTAACAAACAAAAAGCCACAAAGCAGATGGATTCACAGCCAAATTTTACCAGACATACAAGAAAGGTACCAATTTTGTTGACACTATTCCAAAAAATCAAAGTGGAGGAACTATAAGCCAGCATCACTCTGACATCAAAATCTCACAAAGATACAATGGAGAATGAAAACCAAAGTCCAAAATTCCTGATGAATACAGATGCCAAAATTCTCCAAAATACTAGCAAAATGAATCTGGCTTCACATCAAAAAGCTAACTGACTAAGATCCAGTAGGCTTCATTCTTGGACTGCAAGGTTAGTTCAATATATGAAAATTAATAAATGTGATTCACCACATAAAAAGAATTTCAAGAATACATGGTGATCTCAATAGACATGAAACGACCTTTCAATAAAATCCAACATCCCTTCATGATAAGAACCCTCAGCAAACTAGGCACTGAAGGAATATACCTCAAAATAATGAGTGTCATCTATGACAAACACACATCCACATCATACAGAAAAAGCAAAACCTGGAAGCATTCCCTTTGCGAACTCAAAAAAGACAAAGATGCCCACTCTCACCAATTCTATTCAACATAGTACCGGAAATCCTAACCAGAGGAGTCAGGAAAGAGAAAGAAATAAAATCCATCCACATAGCAAAAGAAGTAAAACTTCCTCTCTTTGCTGATTATATGATTCTATACCTAGAAAACCCCAAAGACACCACCAAAGGCTCCTGGAACAAATAAATGACTTCAATAAAGTTTCAGGATAGAAAATCAATATACAAAAGTCAGTAGCATTTTTATACACCAATAACATTCAACCTGATAGCCATATCAACAACAGAATCCCATTTACCATAGTCACAAAAAATTAAATGCCTAGGAATACATCTAACCAAGGAGGTGAAAGATCTCTACAGAAGAGCTACAAAACACTGCTGAAAGAAATCATAGACGACATGAAAAATGAGAAACATTCCATGCTCACGGATTGAAAGAATCAATATTATTAAAATGGCCATACTGCCCAAAGGAATCTACAGATTTGATGCTATTCCTATCAAAACACCAATGATATTTTTCACTGAATCAGAGAAAAACTATTATAACATTCATATGGACTCAAACAGATATGTACTCCTGTAGAACAGAATATAGAAACCAAAAATACAGCCATACACTTACAGCCATCTAATCTTCCACGAAGTCAACAAAAATATGCAATAAAGGGCTTCCTTTTCAATAAATGGTGCTTGGATAGCTGGCTAGTAATATGCAGAATAATAAAACTGGATCCCTACTTCTTCTCATAAACAAAAATTAATTCAAGATGAATTAAAGATTTAAACTTAAGACCTCAAACTATAAGAATCTTAGGAAAAAAAAAAGGAAACACCATTCTGGATATTAGCTTTGGGAAATAACTTATAAATAACTCTTCAAACGCAATTGCAACAAAAACAAAAATTGACAAGTGGGACCTAATTAAACTAAAGAGCTTCTGCACAGCAAAATGAACTATCAACAGAGTAAACAGACAACCTACAGAGTGAGATAAAATTTTAGTAAATTATACATCCAACAAATGTCTAATCTGTAGAATCTATAAGGAACTTAAATAATTGAACAAGAAAAAAAATAATGCCTTGAAAAAGTTCAACACCATATTAAAATGATCATGCACTATGATCAAGTTGGATATATGCCAGAGATTCAGGGTGATTCAACATAGCAAGTCTATAAATGTGATACACTTCATTAACAGAAGACAAGAACCATATGATCATCTTAAGAGATGCAGCAAAAGCATTTGACAAAATTCAACATCTTTGCATGATACAAACTCTTGACAAATAAGGTAAAGAAGTGTGAACCTCAAATGTCTGAGACAGGTCTCAGTTAATTTAGAAAGGTTTTTGCCAAATTTGAGGACACGCGCTTGTGACACAGCCTCAGGAGGTCCTGACAACATGTGCTCAAGATGGTCAGAGCACAGTTTGGTTTTATACATTTTAAGGAGACATGTAACATGAATCAATGTATGTAAGATGAACATTGGTTCCTCCTAGAAAGGTCGGATGACTCAAGGCAAAGGTGGCACAACTTGAAGTAGAGGGAGCTTCCAGGTCATAGGTAGATTAAGAGACAAACGGTTGCATTCTTTTGGGCTTCTGATTAACCTCTCCAAAGGAGGCAATCAGATAATGCATTTATCTCAGTGAAAAGAAGGGTGACTGAAAAGAATGGGACGCAGCTTTGCCCTAAGTTCCCAGCTTGACTTTTCCCTTTAGCTTTGTGATTTTGAGGCCCCAGGATTTATTTTCCTTTCACAGAAGAGTGTACATAAATACACTAAGGACCATATACAGCAAACCCACAGCTAACATCATACTCAACTGTAAAAAGTTGAAAGCTTTTTATCTAACTTCAGAAATAAGACAATGATGTCTGCTCTTGCCACTTCTATTCAACATAATACTGGAAGTACTAGACAGAGTAGTCAGGCAAGAGAATAATGAATAAAAAGCAGCCAAATAGGAAAGAGAAAAGTTAAATTGTCTCTGTCAGCAAATTATATGATGTTTTATACAGAAAACTCTGAAGACTCTACCACAAAACTGTTGGAACTAGTAAATTCAGTAAAGTTGCAGGATACAAAATCAGCGTATGGTAATCATTAGCATTTACATACACTAACAATGAACTGTCTGTAAAAGGAATCAAGAAAGCAATCTCATTAGAATAACTACAAAATATAAATTCTTAGAAATAAATTTATCCAGAAAGGGGAAAGTCCTGTACATTGTGAAAATCATAAAACACTCATGAAAGTAATTGAAGGTATATGTAAAATGAAAGATATAACATGTCTTTGGATTTAAAGAATTTAGATTGTTAAAATGTTGAGACTACTCAAAGCAATCTACAGATTCAATGCAATCTCTTTCAAAATTCCAATGACATTTTTTACAGAAATATAAAAAAAAGTTTTTAAACTCATATAGAATAACCACTTCAGACTGAGTAGCCATAGCAATCCTGAGCAAAAATAATAAAGTTGGAAGCATCAGACAACCTGACTTTAAAATCTATCACAAAGCTATTGCAATTAAAACAGCATAGTACAGGCATAAAAACAGACACATAGACCAATGTGACAGAACAGAGAGCCCAGAAATAAATCCATGAATTTATTGTCAATTAATTTTCAACAAAAGTGCTAGGAACATACAATGGGGACAAAACAGTCTTTTCAATTAATGATATTGAAACAACTGAATATTCACATGCAGAATAATGAAATTAGACCCTTATCTTACATGATATGCAAAAATCAACTAAAAATGTGTTAAAGACTATAGAGTATTATCTGAAACTCCAAAACTACTAGAAGAAAACATAGGAGAAAAGCTCCATGACATTGGTCTGGGCAATTAATTTTTTTTATAGGACCCCAAAAGCACAGTCAACAAAAGCAAAAAATAGGGAGAGGATTTTCTATAAAGCTTCTGCACAGCAATGAAATAATCAACAGAATAAAGAGATGATGTAGGAAATAGTCAAAAATATTTGTAAAACATATATCTGATGAAGGGTTAATATCTAAGATAGGCTGGGTGCGGTGGCTCACGCCTGTAATCCCAGCACTTTGGGAGGCCGAGGCAGGCAGATCACGAGGTCAAGAGATGGAGACCATCCTGGCCAACATGGTGAAACTCTGTCTCTACTAAAAATACAAAAATTAGCCAGGCGTGGTGGCATGTGTCTATAGACTCAGCTACTTGGGAGGCTGAGGCAGGAGAATTACTTGAACCCTGGAGGCAGAGGTTGCAGTGAGCCGAGATTGCACCACTGCACTCCAGCCTGGTGACAGAGTGAGACTCTGTCTCAAAAAAATATAAAAATAAAAAATAAAAAAAATCTAAAATACACAGGCAACTCAAACAACATAATAGTAAGAAAAGTAGTAACACAATTATAATATGAGCAAAACACTGAGTAGACATTTTAAAATTATACAAGTGGCCAATAGATATATTAAAGATGCTTAATATCACTATCTTTTAGAGAAATGCAAATTTAAAACCCAATTGATATACCACACAACTGGTAAAATGGCTACCATCAAAAAGAAAAAAATATCTAAGTTTTGGTGAGGATGTGGAAAAAATGGAACCCTTGCACATTGTTGGTGGAAATGTAAATTAGAACAGCCGTTATGGAAAACAATATGGAAGTTCCTCAAAAAATTAAAAATAAACTATGATCTAGCAGTCCCACTACTGGTTTTATATTCAAAGAAATTGCAATCAGTCTGATGAAGAGATATCTGCCGAGCCATGTTCATGCAGTATTGTTCACAATAGCCAAGTTATGGAATCAACCTAGGTGTCCATTAACATGTATGGATTAAGAAAATGTGGTATATATACACAAAGGAATACTATCCAGCTTTTAAAAAGAAAAACAACCTGTAATTTACAACTATATGGATGAACCTGGAAGACATTATGTTACGTGAGATAAGCCAGGCACAAAAAGACAAATACTGCATAATCTCACTTATATGTAGAATCTAAAAACATTAAACTCATAAAATTAGAGACTAGAATGATGGTCACCAGGGGTAAAAGGAAAATAGGGGGCTGGGAGATGTCAATCAAAGGACACAAAATTTTAGTTAGGAGGAATAAGTTCAAAAGATCTATTGTAGAACATAATGACTACAGTTAGTAAAGATGTATTGTGTTCTTCAAAATCACTAAGAGAGCAGATTTTAAGTGTTCTCACCACTCACAAAAATGATAAGCATATAAGGTAACATATATGTTAATACCTAAATTTATCCATTTAACAATGTATACATATTTCAAAACTACATGTAGTACATAATAAATATACATATAATTTATTTTTGTCAACTTAGCTTTTTAACTGTGACAAAAGGTAAAGCTGTGCTTACAAAAATTATAGCCTTAAAGATATATAGTAGAACACAAGTAGGTGAAAAATAGAGTCTGCAATAATTTCAGGAAGTTAGAAAAATAAACACAGAGAATAAGCAAATATCAATAAAAAATTCAACAGAGAAAATAACCACAGCCATAATTTTGTTCTTTCAAAAGACTATAAAATTTGATAGATGGTTGTATAGTCAAACAATTACCCAGATTTTGTCATTACACACTGTATGCTTGTATCAATATATCATATGTATGCCATAAATATGTACAAATATGTATCCATAAAAAATTTAAAATATCTTAGAGAAATGATAAAGAACAACTTGTGCTACAAACAACATGAATTATTTTCATCACATAATTTTGAGTGAATGATGCCAGAATAATAAGTGTGCTTATGGGTATGATTCCAATTTATAAAGTTCCAAACAGAGAAAAAACTCAAGGTTATTAGAAATCAGAATAGTAGTGGATTTGTGGGGCAATGATCAGGAGGGGACATGGGAAAGGCTTTATTGTTTCTGGTAATGTTTAATGTCTTGATTTTGGTGATAATTTCAGAGTTGTATTCTGTTTATTAAAAAATTATTTGAGCCATATACTTACAATTTATAAATTTTACTCTATATTTTATGTTTCAATCCAAACTTTTCCCCTAAGTCTCATATACAGTTTGGAGAGTATTTTGGTAGTACATATTGATATGGAAAAGTGCATATACCAAACTTGGTAATTTTACACCCAGTAATAAACTCTGAAGAAACATACACATATGCATTAGGAGCAGAAGATACATATTTTGCACTCTATTCTGTCCTTAAGCAGAGTGGTGGGTAGAAATCTGTTTTCCAAAACAAAACAAAGCAGAAAACAGTTAAAATAAGTGAACAAGAGGTATTTACTACATGAATAAAATTTAGGAACAAAATTTTATAATTTTGATTCACAAGTTCACAGCATGACATGTACAGTAACATAGCATTTAAACAATATTAAACACAAAATTCATGGATTCATTATATACACACATATGTATATGTATGTATATGTATATGTATATATGTGTATATATAGATAATTATGAAAACATAGACTATAAGGATATATACCAAACTCATGATGGTGTTTGGGTGATTGCCTCTGAAAGTGGATAGAGTCTATTTAGAAGAGCAACATTTTATGTATAATAACTTAATTCTTCCAGGTGAAAATATGTAAAGTGAGGAAACAATGTAAATATTTGCTAATTCTCAGTTGTTGGTGTACAGGTGTTTGACACATTATCCTAAGTAGTTCTCTGTATTCTTTAAATTTTTCCAAATACTAAAGTGGAATAGGTGATGGGAGCAAGTTGAAGAATAAAGGATGAAACAAGTGGAGAAAGTCCCCGGGCTAGAGAATGTTTACAAGTGGGCTTCAGAGAAGATGAAAACTAACTTATGGATCTGGAGAGGCTTTTGGCTCTATGCAGACTGTGTACCGCCAACATTTTCTCTCAGGTAAAATCAGAAGGAAATGTTTAGGGAAAGCTAAGGCTTCTGGTATAGAAGTCAAAACCTTAAAGCAGGAATTCTAAAACTTTAGTATGCACTGGAATCATCTCAAAATAGAGATTGATGGACTCCACCTGAGAACTTGTGAGAAGAGCAAATTCTTGGGCCCCGTCTCTGAAGAGAGACTGGTCAGTGAGTACAAACATACGGTTAGAAGGCACACGTTTTAGTCTTCAATAGCATACTGACTATATTTAGTAACAATATATTGGATATTTCAAAATAGCTTGAAGAGAGAACTTAAAATACTCCCAACACATAAAAATGATAAATACTCAAAATGATAGATACCCCTAAATATCCTGACTTGATCATTATCCATTCTATGCTTGCAACAAAATATCCTATGAATCCCATACATAGGTAAAATATTATGTATCAAAAAAGAAAAATATAATGAATCAAAACTCTGAAGATGAGGGCCAGGTGACATTAATGCTCCTGATCCAGGAACCTTAGGTTGAGAACAATTCCTTTCCAATAAAGCCTTCTTTATTTGACACTTGCACAGCTGTTTCCTGCCTGCTCTCTCTAAAGCAAGCCTGACATTTGATTTGTCGCACTCCATCCCATACAGATACACTAGAGATATTCTTCACTGAAGAGAAAGACCAATCAGGAAAAGTAGCTCTACTTCACAGTAACTGAAGTAAACCCTTACCACCTATTCAGCTGTTCTGTTTGCAATGGGAACAAGAAAGATAATCAGGCACATAGGAAATTTAAGCAGAACAAAATAGAAAGAAAAATGTAAACAAAAAGATGATACAAAAGAAATGAGATATTTTAGGTGACAGAATATAATTATTAAAAACAAGCAAAATATTATTACCCTTAGAGGCATGACAGAACTTTGCTGTCCAATATGTTAGCCACAAGCTTCACTTGACTATACAAACAAATTTAAATTGATGTAAATTAAATAAAATTAAACATCTCAGTTGTACTTGCCACAGCTCAAGTGCTCAATAGCCACCTATGCCTAGTGGCTACTGTTTTAGACAATGCTATTTATTTCCATCATCACAGAGAGTTCAGTTGGGCAGTGCTGTTCCAGGAGATAGTACAGCTCACTTCTACCACTAAAATGCAAAGGTTAGAAGAATATGAAAGGTTTTTGCACTAGCATCCCCAACTATGAGAAACAACTTCTGTTGTTTAAAATTACCCAGTCTATGGTATTTTGTTATTGCAACATGAAATGACTAAGATACCACATAAAGATAAGTTATTCCATTTGACTTTAAAACACAATTGAGAAAGAGTGACATCAGCAAGATGGTAGAATAGGAAGTTCCAGCTCCCATCCTTTGACATAATGAAAACCGGAGGAAACATCATCCTTTTTATAAAATGGCAAAGGAACTTGGCGGATTTTCATGTTCTAGTGTTTTCTGGGTGGCAGAATTTAAGAGCAACAAAATAGAATATTTGGTGGAAGAAACGTCTAAGCGAAGTGTTCAGAGTATGGCATGGCTTCTCTTGACAGTAAAATGTGAGAAGAGAGATAAACTGAAGTTGCGATTTATAATCAAAAGGAAAGCAGAATTTAAATATTTGGATAAGAGCTACAGCTGCTGTGGTCACACAACTGTTGCTGTGTGCCCCCTCTCCTTTTTCTTATTCATAGCTGTCCCCAGAGAAGTCAGTTGTGCCAATCTCCTCCATGTTTGGTGTGGGACAAGACAGAAGTGGTCCTCCTGGGCAGTGTCTTGCAAGGTTGGGGAAGGTGATCATCACTTTGCTCTCACGTTCCTCCGTGGAGAAATGTGGGCCCAGAGGTCCTCTCTCAGCACCAAGCTGTGTTACCTTTGAGGAAGGGCGATATCAGCAAAGTGAAACTGCTCTTTTTACCCTCTTCAATGCATCCATTCTCAGATATTTTGCACCTCCATGGCTCTGGAAGCTAAGCTTGACTCCAGTGCTCCCCAAAAAACTATTCTCATCCATGAGTGATTGCCAAAATCTTTGTTTATGTCAAGGGATGAGAGCTGGAAACTCCTATTCCACCATCTTGCTTATGTCACTCCCAGGTTCCATTAAGATATTCATTTCTATTTGAGACCTCATCACAATGGTCTTTCCTATCCACATTTTTACCAACATTCTGTTTACGAACACTTAGAAAATCAAGAATCTCTACAAAATGTGAGACTTTTTTTTTTTTTTGAGACAGTGTCTCGCTCTGTCCCCCAGGCTGGAGTGCAGTGGCACGATCTTGGCTCTCTGCAACCTGCGCAGTGAGGCTTTTTCAACAGCTCTCCTCTTTTTCTGATCCCTCACCAGAATAGCTCTTTACACAGTTCCAAAGCCACTTCCACATTTTCAGGTATTTGTTACAGCAACAATCTCCTCCCTGTACCAATTTCTACTTTGTCCATTCATGCTACCATAACAAAAGACCTTAGACTATGTAATTGATAGATAATAGAAATTTATTTCTCATGGTTCTGCAGGCCGGGATGTCCAAGATCAAGTTGCCAACAGATTCAGTGTCTGGTCAGGGCTTGCTCTCTGCTTTCAAGATGACTCCCCTTGCTGCAATCTTACATAGTGGAAGAAGTGAAAAAGGGATAAACTCTGTGTCCTCACATGGTGGAAGGATTTAAAAGACAGGCAGCTCTCTGAAGCCTGTGTTATGAGGGCATTGATCCCATTCACAAGGGTGAAGCCCTCATGACTTAATCACTTTCCAAAAGGTCCCATCTTTTAATACAGTGAAGATTAAGTTTCAACATACATTTTGGAGGAAAACAAATATTCAAACCATAGTAATAATATAGCAGCATACCTTCATTTATTTATCGTTCAGCTTTAATATTATCAATGTATGACCTATGTTGTTTCATCTATAAATGTACTCACTTTTCTTCTAAATTATTTTGATGTAAATTTCAGCAGCATATAATTTCATCTATAAATAATTTTCATATCATTAAACATAATTGTTACACCTAAATGCTAACAATAATTTCTTAATATCAAAAATCTAGTGTTCAATTTTCTCTAATCATCTCACACTTTTTGTTTTCTTACATAGTTTGTTTCACCAGATCAATAAAGGTTAGATCCGTTTATATTATTAGGGGTACAAAGTGGGGATGTTCTTAATCTATTACTTCTTAATAATTTTTAAAAGACTTCTCTAGAGAGAAACAGTCCTTCATCAATAATTGGTTACAATAAGAACCAGTTTCTGCAATAAATACAGACTAATTGCTGGGTTACTTTGCTCTGAAATTCTGGCATTCACCAAAAGTCAAAATATTAATTTAGTACTATCACATCCTTCAGAGGTGACTAATGATTTTTCAATATGTTATTAAGAACTCATAATTTTAATTATGTTGTATAATTTAATCCATTGTAGTTGTTATTTTTCTTTATGCACAAATTGTCCCATTTTTGGTCAGTGAGAGACTATTCAAGTGGGCTCTTGAGCTTTGACATAATTTGAGTTGTTTTTGATAGTTTTCTTGTTTTTTATTTATGAGATCTTTCTTTCCATCTTATATATTTCTTGCTTCCAACTTGGAATCATCTATTTATTTAAATATCTCTGGTACTTTAAGTGGAAAATAGTATTAGGAACAATGATGTAGACATTAAGGCTGTTCCTCGCTACTGGATGAACTTTTTAGTGGACAGAGCTAAGGAAATAGCAATAAAATATCATGAGTTCATACTGGTATTTTTCAGTTAAAATCTAGGATTACATGTTTTTACTTCATTTCTTTGATTTTCTATTTGTGTTCTCTTATACTGAAAACATAGACTCCTAATTACATTACCACAGTAATATAATTACTCGTTTGCTTTTTATATACATGCATACTAGTTTCATAATATCAATATTATTACTAATAATATTACTATATAAAAAGAGTCTTTAGCTATATTTCACTAAGGATATATAAATTACTGTGGTTTTTATCCATTTTGTTGAGCTATAATTGACATATAAAAAGCTGCACATATTTAGTGTATACATCTCAATGAGTTTGGCGATAAGTGTACACCAGTGAAACCATCACCACCATCAATTCCATAAATATATCCATCACCTCCCAACATTTCCTCCCACCCCCTTTATTATTACAGTTGTCATTGATAAATTTTTGGTAAGAACACTTAATGTAACTTCAGTAATTTTAAGTATATAATATAGTATTGGTTACTATAGTCATTATGCTGTATATCTCAATAATTTATTTATCTTGCATAAGTAAAACTTTGTACCCTTTGCTGTCACCTTCCCATTTCCTCCTCCTTTCAGCCCCTGAAAACCACCATTCTCTTCTCTGCTTCTATAAGTTTGGCTATTTTAGATTCTACCTATACGGTTGATTGATCATACAATATTTGTATTTATGAGTCTGGATTATCTTACTTAATACGGTTTCTTCCAGGTCCATTCATATTGTCACAAATGATAGGATTTTCTTTTTTGAGGCTGAAGAATATTCTATTGTGCATACATATTATAATTTATTTATCCATTGTTCTTTCAATAGATATTTAGATTGTTTCCACACCTTGGCTATTGTTAATAATGCTGCAATAAACATGGTACATTATAGATATAGATATCTATAGTGTAGATATCTTTAGTAAAGATATCTATAGTACAGATATCTTTTTGAGATTCTGACTTCAATTCATTTAAATATATACCAAGAAAAGGGATTGCTAAATTGTATTGTTATATTTTTAATGTTTTTTAAAAGATTCATATTGTTTTCCATAATTGTTATACCAATTCACATTCCCACTAACAGTGTACAACTTTTCTTCACATCTTCACCAACGCTTATCTTTTGTTTTTAAATAACAGCCATCCTAATAGGGGTGAGGTGATATCTCATTGTGGTTTTGATTTACATTTTAGTGATGATTAATAATGATAATTAATAATATACCTTTTCATATACCTATTGGTTATTTGTATGTCTTTTTTAGAGAAATTTCTATTCAGATGGTTTGCCCATTTTTCACTTGGGCAATTTGATTTTTGCTATTCAGTCATATGAGTTCCTTATATATTAGATTCACTCCTTATTAGTTATATGGTTTGCAAATATTTTCTTTCAATATATAGGTTGTATTTTGTTGTTGTTGATTGTTTCCTTTGCTGCACAGAAGCTTTTTAGTTTTATGTAATTCAACTTATTTATTTTTGTTTTTGTTGCTTGTGCTTTTGGTGTCATATTCAAAAAATCATTGCCAAGACCAATGTTAAAAACATTTTTCCTTATGTTTTCTCCAAAGAATTTTATGGTTTCAGGTCTTATGTATATTTAATCCATTTTGAGTTGATTTATTGTGTATAGATGGTCCCTAATTTACAATGGTTTGACATATAATTTCTCTACTTTATGATGGTGTGAAAGTGATATGCATTCACCGCGCTCCCCAGCTTATGATGGAGTTATATCTGAATAAACTCATCATAAGTTGAAAATATCTTACATCAAAATCACACTTTCAATTTATGCTATTTTAACTTATGATGAGCTTATTGGGACATAACCCCATCAAAAGTTGAAGAGCATCCGTATAGTGTAAACAAACAGTGTAAGAAAACAACTTCATTTTAATACATGTGGATATTAAGTTTTTCCAATACCATTTATTGTAGAGGTTTTCCTTTCCTCATTGGGTATTTTTAGTGTCCTTGCAGAAAATATGCTTACCATTGCTATGGTTTTAATGTTTGTATCTCCTCTAAAATTCATATTGAAACTTAGTCTCCAATGCAACAATATTAAGAGGTAGGGTCTTTAGAAAGTGATTAAATCATGAGAGTTCCACTCTAACAAATGGGATTAGGTGCTTTTAAACAAGGGCTCAGGGAACTAGCTAACCTTTTTGCCCTTTCTACATCCACCAAGTAAGGACACAGAATTCAGCCCTTCCACCATGTGAGGAAGCAGCAAGAAGGCCCTTACCAGACACTGAATTTCAGAACCTTAATCATCAATTTTTCAGCCACCCAAATTCTGAGAAATAAATTTTTGTTCTTTATGAATTGTCCAGTCTCAGGCACTTTGTTGTAGCAGCATGAACTGATGAAGACAGAAATTGGTACAAAGAAATCTGGTTTTGCCATGAGAAATACCTAAAAATGTGGACATGGCTTTGGAATTGGTAATTGGTACAGGGTGAAAGAGTTTGGATATGCTTGCTAGAAAAAGCCTAGATTGCTGTGAACAAAGTATAAGAGTGATTTGTTTGGATTTAGGAGTGGAGTGCTGTGGAGAGAGCCTACATCTTCCTAGAAATTATCTAAGTGGTCATGATGAGAATGCTGGTAGAAATGTGCATGGTAAGGCCATTCTGATGATGTTTTAGATGGAAATAAGAGACGTTTTACTAGAAACTGGATGAAAGGCCATCCTTACTACAAAATGGCAAAGAATCTGGCTGCATTGTGTCCATATTCCATTAATTTGTGGAAGGAAAACGTAAAAGCAATGAAATAGAATATTTGGTGGAACAAATGTGTCAGCAAAGTGTTGAGGATGTGGCATGGCCTATTTTGACCACTTGTCAGTAAAATGTGAAAAGGGAGAAATGAATTACAGATGAAATTTATAATCAAAAGGAAAGCAGAACTTAAAAATTTGAAAAATTCTCAACCTGGCCATGTAAAGAATAGAAAAAGGTATTCAGGAAAGAACGCCAAGAGTATAGAGAGAAAGAAACCAGACTCTATTCATAAAGACAATGGAAGGATGACCCCAAAGGCATTGCAGAGATCTTCAAGACTGCCACTCCCACCAAGGGCCCAGAATTCTAAGTTTTGGGGCATACCTCATGATTCTCCTCCATGCATTCTGGTACAATGGCTCCTCAGTGACTCTATCTGTGGCTCAAACAGGCACAAGTATGGCTTGGACTGCCACTCCAGAGAACACCAGTAGTAAATCTTGGTGGTGTCCACATGATGCAAACTTTGCTCACATTGTGGACACATGGCTACCTTCACCTAGATTTCAAAGGATGCCTTAAAGAGCTTTGGGGTCCAGGCAAAGAACTGCCAGAAAGGAGGGCTGTCATGGAGGATCCCAATAAAGCAATGCCTAGCAGAGCCATGTGGTAAGGCTTCCACAGAGAGTCCCCAGTAAAGCAATACCCAGCAGAGCTGTGAGTTTGGGACCACCACAAAGAGCACCGACTGTAACAATGCCTAGTGAAGCCTTAGGGGCATGGACGTCTCCAAGACCTAAGACCAGTATAGCCATCAGCATGCAACTTCAGCCTGGGAAAACTGTTGACATGTGACTCCAACATGTGGGAGCTGATATATGGGATGCAGCCACCAAAGCCATGGGAGTGGAGCTTACCAGGAGCTTGGGGGCCCAACTCCACCCCATTGTTTCCAGAAAGGAGGGCCTGGAGTCAAAGATTATTCTCAAACTTCAAGATTTAATGTTGTTTTCCTTGTTGGGTTTTGGACTCACTTGGGACCAATTACTCCTTTTTTCTTGCCTATTTTTCTCTTTTGGAATGGGAATGTCTATCATATGTCTGTTATGCCATTGTATTTTGGAAGCACATAAATTGTTTGATTTCACAGGGTCACAGGTGAAAAGCAGTTTGCCTCTGGATAAAACATACATTGAATCTCATCCATATTTGATTTAGGTGATATTTGGATGAGACTCTGGACTTTGAAATTGTGAGTTCATAATGAAACAATTTAAGACTTTGGGTACTATTGGGATGAAATGAATGTATTTTGTATATGAGAAAGCCATAAATTTTAGAGGTCCACAGGCAAAATATTATGGTTTGAATATTTGTGTCCCTCTAGAATTCATGATAAAATTTAATCTTCATTGTGGTGGTTCAAAGAGGTGAGGCCTTTTGGGAAGCCATTAAGTCATGAAAGCTCCACCCTCATGAATGGGATTAACAGCATTACAAGAGAGGCTTCAGACAGCTGCCTGGCTTTTTGATCCTTCTACCATGTGAGGACACCACAGAGTTTACACCTTTTTCACTCCTTCCATTATGTAAGATTGCAGCAAGAGAAGTCATCTTGAAAGCAGAGAGCAAGCCCTGACCAGACACTGAATCTGCTAGCAACTTGATCTTGGACTTCCCAGCCTCCAGAACCATGAAAAATAAATTTACATTATTTATGAATTACTCAATCTAAGGTATTTTGCTATAGCACCACAAATGAGTGAAGACAATTACTCTCTCTAATTTCATATGGATTTGAATCTTTCTATAATACAAGTTTAAAAAGTTGACATTGTAACCATTAACCAAGAATATCATACTACCACACAGGTATGATCAGACCATACAAACAGCTTTTACAGAGAGAAAACTATGATTGCAAAATTAAAACCCCTATAGAAGGCTGGGCGCAGTGGCTCACACCTGTAATCCCAGCACTTTGGGAGGCCAAGGCAGGCAGATCACTTGAAGTCGGGAGTTCGAGACCAGCCTGGCCAACATGGTGAAACTGTGTCTCTACCAAAAATAGAAAAATTAGCCGGGCATGTTGGCAGGTGCCTATAGTCCCAGCTACTCAGGAGGCTGAGGCAAGACAATCACTTGAACCTGGGAGGCAGAGGTTGCAGTGAGCTGAGATCACACCACTGCACTCCAGCCTGGGGGACAGAGCAAGACTCCTTCTCAAAAAGTAATACTACTACTACTACTACTACTAATAATAATAATAAAACCTCTGTAGAGACAGGAGAATTAAATTGAAAAAATCTCCAAAACGATAGAACAAAGATGTAAAAATGTGTCCACAAATATAGAAAGAATCAACATAGGAATTACAATATCCACCTAATAGATGTTTCAGAAAAAAAGTGAGAGAAAATAAAAGTGAGGGAATAAATAAATAATACAATCAAATTCCCCACAGTATAAGGACATGAATCCTGAAATTATATGAGCCTAGTAAGAAATCATCTTAATTAATGACAAAATACTCACATCATTATACATCCTTTTGAATTTTCAAAGCACCATTGATGAAAAGAAGCTCCTAAACACTTCTACAGAGAAAACATGAATCATCTATGTAGAAATTAAAATTGGACTGGCTTGAGACTTTATATCTGCAATAGAGGAGGGCTTCAAAGCTCTAAAAAATATTATTCGCCAATTAGAATTGTATGCCAAACAAGAGAAGAGAATTAAAACACAGCCTTAGTTTTGGTTCCCATGAAAAAGATTCAAACAGACAGTTATAGGCAAAGGTTTTCGGCAAATGTTCTGAAATAAAGTAAGAAGGTAGACAGCAAAGCTGGCCACAATGAAGTTGCAACCAATACCTGAGCAGGTCCTATGGAAAACTCTGGAGCTGTGGATCACCCTTTTGTGATCACCCTTTAGAGTTGTTCCTACTTGAGGCAATGGAGCTATGCCTTTGTATCTTTGAATAGTCATTTGATGTAATTCAACAGCTTGGAGGTGGCATACATTCAGGTCATTCTCTGTGATCAAGGGCAGTTCTTGTGGGGGAGGTGGATAAATAGAGGAAGGATCTACAGATTATCCAACACTACAGATTACCCTTTGTATATGTATTACTTCATCTTCATGCTGCTGATAAAGACATACCTGAGACTGAGCAATTTACAAAGTAAGGAGGTTTAATTGGACTTACAGGTCCACGTGGATGGGGAAGCCTCTCAATCATGACAGAAGGCAAGGAGGAGCAAGTCACATCTTACGTGGATGGCAGCAGGCAAAGAGGGCTTGTGCAGGAAAACTCCCTCTTATAATAACCATCAGATCTCCTGAGACTCATTTACTATCACGAGAACAGCATGGAAAAGACCTGCCCTCATGATTCAATCACCTCCCACCAGGTCCCCCCGACAACACGTGGGAATTCAAAATGAGATATGGGTGAAGACACAGCCAAACTATATCATTCTTCCCCTGGCCCCTCCAAAATCTCATTTCCTCACATTTCAAAACCAATCATGCCTTCCCAACAGTCCCCCAATATCTTAACTCATTACAGCAGCAAATTTTTGCTTGGACACCCAGGCATTTCCATACATTCTCTGAAATCTAGGCAGAGGTTCCCAAACCCCAATTCTTGACTTCTGCACACTCACAGGCTCAACACCACATGGAAGCTGCCAAGGTCTGGGGCTTCCACCCTCTGAAGCAATTGCCTGAGCTGTACCTTGGCCCCTTTTCGTCACAGCTGGAATGGCTGGGATGCAGGATACCAAGTCCCTAGACGGCACACAGCACGGTGACCCTAGGCCTGGCCCACAAAACTATATTCTCGTAGGCTTCTGGGCCTGTAGTGGGAGGGGCTGCTGTGAAGACCTCTGACATGCCCTGGAGACATTTTCCCCATTGTCTTGGGGATTAACATTCAGCTCCTCATCACTTACGCAAATTTCTGGAGCTGGCTTGAATTTCTCCTCAGAAAATGGATTTTCCTTTTCTATCACATTTTCAGGCTGCAAATTTTCCAAACTTTTATGCTCTGCTCCCTTATAAAACCGAATGCCTTTAACAGCACCCAAGTGGCCTCTTGAATGCTTTCCTGCTTAGAAATTTCATCTGCCAGATACCCTAAATCATCTTTCTCAAGTTCAAAGTTCCACTAATCTCCAGGGCAGGGGCAAAATGCTGCCAGTCTCTTTGCTAAAGCATAACAAGAGTCACCTTTGCTCCAGTTCCCAACAATGTCCCTCATCTCCATCTGAGATCACCTCAGCCTGGACCTTGTCTATGTCACTATCAGGCTTTTGGTCAAAGCCATTCAACAAGTCCCTAGGGAGTTCCAAACTTTCGCACATTTTCCTGTCTTCTTCTGAGCCCTCCAAGCTGTTCCAACTTCTACCTGTTACCCAGTTCCAAAGTTACTTCCACATTTTCAGGTATCTTTTCAGCAGTGCCCTACTCTTGGTACCAATTTACTGTATTATTTCATTTTTCGTGCGCTGATAAAGGCATACCCAAGACGGGGCAATTTACAAAGGAAAGAGGTTTAATTGGACTTATAGTTCCACGTGTCTGGGGAAGCCTCACAATCATGGCGGAAGGCAAGGAGGAGCAAGTCACATCTTACGTGGATGGCAGCAGGCAAAGAGAGCTTGTGTAGGAAAACTTCCTTTTATAATAACCATCAGATCTCATAAGATTCACTTATTATCATGAGAACTGCATGGGAAAACCTTCCCCCATGATTCAATCACCTTCCACCAGTTTCCTCCTACAACACGTGGGAATTCAAGATGAGTGAGATTTGGGTGGGGACCCAGCCAAACCATGTAAGTATAGGTCATACATTCTTGCTTTTTAAAATATTTTCCCCATCTAGGAAGAGTTATTCAGCAATCTAGATGGTTCTGTTTTTCAGTGAAACATAGAAGTATTGATAAGACAGAATACTGGTAAATCTACACTGCTACAACTGATATTAAGGCTATAACTGACAATCAACAGCCCCTTTTTCTGTTACCAATTCCATATTTCACTCATTGGTGGGTAGCACCTTTGCCAGTCTAGTAAGCTTGCTTGGTGGTGTGACCCAGACTGTTATCTTCAAGGGAACTGAGCCTTTATTCACCATGTCCTTCTCATGTTATATTTTCTGTTCTTGTCCATTTACAATTAAAACTGAATATGGGACCAGCAAGTTATCCCTGAGTATCCAACATATTCCTCCCTGCTCCCACTGTGTGATAGCAGCCCTACCTGTCTTCTTGATGACTGGGGTCAATTATCTCTGCCAGTTGATAACTCCTTTCCTTGCCTGATGATCTTCTGGCATGAAGAGCCCAAAGTGAACAAGTGATAGGTATAAGGTAAACTCAAATGAAACTTATACCTTTGAAGTGCCAAAGAAATATTGCATCAAACATTAGGCCACCCTTCCACTAGTATCACATCCAGTGATGAAAGTTTTTTTTTTTTGTTTGTTTGTTTGTTTTTTTTTTTTTGAGACGGAGTCTTGCTCTGTCGCCCAGGCTGGAGTGCAGTGGCGGGATCTCGGCTCACTGCAAGCTCCGCCTCCCGGGTTCACGCCATTCTCCTGCCTCAGCCTCCCAAGTAGCTGGGACTACAGGCGCCCGCTACTACGCCCGGCTAATTTTTTGTATTTTTAGTAGAGACGGGGTTTCACCGTTTTAGCCGGGATGGTCTCGATCTCCTGACCTCGTGATCCGCCCGCCTCGGCCTTCCAAAGTGCTGGGATTACAGGCATCAGCCACCGCGCCCGGCCGAAAGTTTTAATAACTGCATCATAACATACTAAGGGCTATCCATACTCCACATGCTGCCGAAAGTTTTAATAACTGCATCATAACATACTAAGGGCTATCCATACTCCACATGCTGCCATAGCTAGGATTACTCATTGCTAGCTGGACTGCCAAATAACCCAGTTCTGAAATACAATTTTAGTGTCTGTGTCTGCTTCCTAGGATTATTCCTGGCACCAATATTCTTAGAAATTTAAATAGAACAAACACTTCAATTAGAGAAATATAAATAAAAATCCCCAATGATATACCACTTCATACCCACTAGAATGGCTAAAATTTAAAAAGCTGAAAGCACCAAGTGTTAGCAAGGGTCTCATACAACTGTAAGTCATATAAATTGCTGGTATACAAACACTATGGAAAATAGTTTGTCATTTTCTGATAATTTACCATATATTTAACATAGAAGGCAGCAATTCCACTTCCAGGTATTTAGTCAAGAGAAATAGAAAAAAAGGAAAATTGAGACAGATGGTATATGTTTCCTTCCAGCTCCACAAAAAGACCTGCACGTAGTAGCTTTATTCATTATACCACAAAACTGTAAACAACTCTAATGTCTATCAATAGAAGAATGAATAAACAAATTCTAGTATATTTGTACAATGGAATACTATTCAATAACAAATAGGATGCAAATGCTGATGCACACAAAAACCTGGATGAACTTCGAAAGCCTTATGCTGAGCAAAAGAAGACTGACAAAAAGGTGAGTGCATACTGCATAATTCCATTTATATGAAATTTAGAACTTGCAGAGGTAATTTATAGTTAGTTTGGGGTGGGGGTGAGAATGAGTGCTGCAGAGATGTAGGATGAAGCTTTCTATGGTGATGATAATGTTCTGTATTTTAATTAAGGTGGCAGTTCCATGGGTACAAAATCACACCTTACATAATGATAGAGATACATTCTGAGAAGTGTGTCACTGGGCAATTTTGTCTTGGTGCAAACATCACAGTTTATACAAACCTAGATGGTATCACCTTCTACACACATAGGCTTTATGATACAGCCTTTTGCTTCTCGGCTACAAACTTATACAGCAGGTTACTGTACTGAATACTGTAGGCAGTTGTAACACAGTGGTAAGTATTTGTGTATCTAACCATATCTAAGTGCAGAAAAGGTATAGTAAAAATACTATATAAAAGATAAAAATAGTTCGCCTATATAGGGCACTTACCATGAATGGAGCTTGCAGGACTGTAAGTTGCTCTGGGTATGTCAGTGAGTGAGTGGTGAGGGAATGTGATGGCCTAGGACATTACTGCACACTACTGCAGAATTTATAAACACCGTACACTTAGGCTGCATTAAATGTATTTAAAATATTTTTTCAAAAATAAATTAACCTTATCTTGCTGTAACTTTTTTACTTTATGAACTTATTTAGCTTTTTGATGCTTTGGTAACAACACTTAGCTTGAAACACACATTGTAAAGCTGTAAAAAATGCTTTATATTCTTATTCTAGAAGTTTTTTCTACTTTCAATATTTTATTATTTCTTTTTTTACTTTTTAAACTTTGTTACTAAAGACTAGGATATAAACACATATATTAGCCTAGGTCTACACATAGTTACCATAGTTACAATCATCAATTATCACTGTCTTCCACCTCCGCATCTTGTTCTACTGGAAAATCTTCAAGGACAGTAACACACGTGGAGCCTATGATAACAATGCCTTCGTTTGGAATACCTCCTGAAAGACCTTCCTGAGGTTGTTTTACAGTTACCTTTTTTTCTAAATAGAAGAAGTGCACTCTTAAATAATAATAAAAAGTAGACTAAATACATTAACCAGTAACACAGTTGTTTATCCTCATTATCAAGTGTTATGTAGGGTACCTAATTGTACGTGCTATACTTTTGTACAGCTGGCAGAGCTATGGGTTTATTTATACCAGCATCACCACAATCACATGAGTAATGCATTATGCTACGACGTTACAATGGCTACAACGTCACTATGTGATAGGAATGATTAAGCTCATTATAATATTATGGGATCACCTTCATATTATCCAGTCCATCGTTGACTGAAATATTGTTATGTAGTACATGATTGTACATATTTTTCAAAACTCTGTGAACTGTATACTTATATATGTTCATTTTATTTTATGTAAACTGTATGTATACACAATACACACAAACATATATACACATATATAAATAATGTCTTAACTTTTGCCTTTAAGAAACTAAATAAAGTGCCTATTAATCTAATATTATGCAATGTGTTGGGTTCCAAATACTGTAAGTGTATTTATTAGTACTAATTAGTAAGGGTGGCTCTACTGTAAATCTTCTCTAATTACTTTCAGAAATGAAAAATAGTGGTACGGTATACCAAGTGCCCTTAGTATATTTCAAATGGTATTGTCTTTCCTTTTTTTTTTTTTTTTTTTTTTTTTTACAAAAGTGCTTATAAATGCTTTTAGAAAAATATAGCATAAAAATAGGATACCTATATAATAATCTGACCAGGAGAAATGGGATTTTCAGAATAAAAATGATCATTTCTTAATTAACAATAATACAATCCCTTAGCATATCTCATAGTCACTTAATTTAGACAGACTTAGCCCTGTCTTGCATGATATGCGTGTGCTTCTGCATACACACATGAAATTCCTATGGGTCTAAAAGATCATACTGGACTACATTTCTCAGTCTCACTTCTCTGGTTCCAAAAGTTATAACGACTGCCTTTCAGGCAAATTTAACTGCCTCTCTATAATTCAACTCAGCAGGAGTCTGGGGATTTGATGGTAAAGTCATTACTCATTAGACAGATTTGTAAGGAATAATTTTTAATTATGTAGAACGAATGTAGGAATGAAGAGATTGCAAGCAGAACAGTGGAAAAAATTAAATTACTTGGTATACACTAACGGAAACTGTTGGAGATAAAGACCTTCCTCTTTCCCCACTCCCACTCACACCTTTTAGAAATAAACAGGAATTTGCTAACGCATTTACGGAAGTTACAGAAATACAGAAAATCCAAAACAACTTGTAGTCTTTAAAGATCTGTAAAATTCAATAGCAGCATTAAATATGCTATACGAACCATCTCTGCAGTTTAGTGTAGCAATCTTTTAAAAACTCTCTTGGATGTGAACTATAGTTTCTTAGTACTAGACCTGATTCCTCCAGGAGGACAAAGAGTTCTTGAGATGAACATTTCAGAAAAATATTTCTTTGCAGTCTCTCTTCTCTTCCAACACACTCTTATCACCACTACTATGTGAACTATGTGAAGAAAGCAGGCAACAAATACCACATTTTTTTTTTTTTTTTTTTTTTTTTGAGATGGAGTCTTGCCCTGTCGCCCAGGCTGGAGTACAATGGCGTGATCTGGGCTCACTGCAACCTCCACCTCCTGGGTTCAAACCATTCTCCTGCCCCAGCCTCCTGAGTAGCTGGGATTACAGACGCCCGCCACCACGTCCAGCTAACTTTTGTATTTTTAGTAGAGACAGGTTTTCACCATATTGGCCAGGCTGGTCTCAAACTCTTGACCTCGTGATCCACCCTCCTTGGCCTCCCAAAGTGCGGGGATTACAGGCGTGAGCCACTGTGCCCGACCAAATACCACCTTTTGATTGCTATGTAGCTCAAGGAATCCCTTATCAACGTTAAGTAAGCAGCCAGACCCTAAGCTAGATAACATGAAAGCAGATTTACATTAAGAATAGCCTAGAATTTTGGGTCAAATGGGTTATTCCCAGCCTATGTGAACACTGAACAGATTCAAGAGATTTCTGTGCACTTTGATTTTCTTTCCTCAACCTTATCTCTAAATCATTGTAACTATGAACTTAAATTAAGCCTTTGCCAGAGAAGTCCCATTGAAGGACATTTTAGCAGCCAGTGAGGGAAGCCCATTTTGCTTTGCTTCTTCTCTCATTCTGTGCTATTAGAGACTGCCTAAGTAATCTAAATCGAATGAAGTTGAAATTAAATGGCTACCCTGATCACATGACTCAAAATATTTGCATCACTTCCCTTGAGAAGTCCTCACATTTGTCAAAAGGCAGTACATCATGCGTGAAATGCCCACCCCTGAAAGTTGAGAAAGATGTTTTTCTAAATGGAATTTGTACCTTTTCAAATGGTTGCCACACACCTTGAGAAGAGAAAATGAGTCCATATTACTGTTATTTCTTGAGTTCCAGGGTAATTTCCACCAAACATACCCCTTTGCCTCCTAGAATATCACTTAGAGTCCTAAAAACTGTTGACTACATGTACTGAAACAATACTCAGAATTATGTTTTTGATACAACATACATAGTGTCCCTCAAGGGAACAATTTATTTCTACACTTTTCTAAAATAAACAGAGAAAATAACATTCTGCACTGCATGTTGGGCATTCTAAATGCCTAAGCTGAATCAAAGCTGTCTTTAGGCTCCCCTTTTATCCCTTTGTCTATTTTAGTCTCTGTGGCTCTGAACAATCAGACTTTGGGGGAAAAAAAACAGCCATTTTTTAATTGAAACATTAATTAGCACACTTCTAATCAAAAACATCATGTTTAGAAATCTTCCATTCTCTGAAAACCATGCAATTAAGCCCTAAAAATAGTGACAATGTTTACAATTTAACTCTAAATTTATCCAACATTTTTAAATGAACTTTTAATTTTAGAATAACTTTAGATTTACAGAAAAGTTGTGAAGATGATACAGTGAGTTTTGATGTACTTTACACTCAGTTTCTTTTATTAACATCTGACATCAGTTGGGTATCACTATCATAATTAATGAACCAATAGTGATACGTTATTATAACTAAACTCCATACTTTGGGTTTCCATTGTTTTTACATAATCTCTTTTTCTGTTCTGAATCCCACCTAGGATACTACATTATACTTAGTTGTCACATCTAAAACTATTTTTTGTGGCTTGCAAATATACATTTTTCTTTGTTAATCTAGCTAGTGGTCTATCAATCTTGTTTATCCTTTCAAATAACAAACTTTTGGTTCTGTTGATTGTATGGATTTTTCGTTCTCAATTTTGTTCAGTTCCACTCTGATTTTAGTTATTTCTTTTCTTCTCCTAGCTTTGGAGTCAGTTTGTTCTTGTTTTTCTAGTTCCTCTAGATGTAATATTAGATTGTTAATTTGAGATCTTTCTAACTTTTTGAGGTAAGTTTTTAATGCTATAAACTTTCCTCTTAACACTGCTTTTGTTGCTTCCCAGAGATTCTGATATATTGTGTCTCTCATTTCATTTATTTCAAAGTTTTTTTTTATTTCACCCCTAATTTCTTTGTTTACCCAAAAGTAAAGCAAGTTGTTTAATTTTCATGCAATTGGGTGGTTTTGAGAGATCTTCTTGGTATTTATTTTTATTTTTATTCCACTGTGGTCCAATAGTATGGTTGGTATGGTTTTGATTTTTTTTTAATTTATTGAGACTTGCTTTATGGCCAAGCATGTGGTCAACCTTGGTGTATGTTCCATGATTCACTTTTTTTGGTGACTGAAAATGGTGTATTTTCAATTTTGTTGTCTATGTATTTATTACTAGTATATAGAAATACAGTTGGTTTTATATGGTTTATTGTATACTGCAACCTTGCTAAACTTGCTTATTACTTCTAGAAGGTTTTGTGGGGTTTGGGGGTAGATTCCTTGGGATGCTTTACATAGACAATCATGTCATCTGAAAATGGGGACAGTTTTATTTTTTCCTCTCTAAACTGTATACCTTTTCTTTCTTTTCTTGCTTCACCACACTGGCTTCCAGCAGTATTTTGAATAAAGGCAGTGAAAACAGATATCCTTGCCTTGTGTCCCATCTTAGGTATAATGTTAAAGGCAGATTTTTAAGAATGCTCTTTATCAAATTAAGGAAGTTTCCTTGTATTCCTCTCTGAGAATTTTATCATCAAAATACATCATTTTTTTCAATACTTTTTCTTCATCAATTGATATCACGTGATGTTTCTTCTTCAATCTATTGATATGATATGTTACAGCAAATTTTAAAAAAAAAGTTGATATAGCCTTTCATCCTTGGAATAAACAACATTTAGTCATGCTGTATAATTCTCCTTATATAGTGCTAAATTCTATTTATTAAGGATATTTGTATGGGTATTCATAAAGATTTTAAGTCTGTAGTTTTTTTTTTTTTCTTTTGACATGGAGTGTCACTCTGTGGCTCAGGCTGGAGAGCAGTGGCACAATCTTGCCTCACTGCAACCTCTGCCTCCCAGGTTCAAGCAATTCTCCCAAGTAGCTGAGACTATAGGTGCACGCCACCACGCCCAGCTAATTTTTGTATTTTTGGTAGAGACGGGGTTTCACCATATTGGTCAGGCTGGTCTCGAACTCCTAGCCTCAGATGATCCACCCGCCTCGGCCTCCCAAAGTGCTGGGATTACAGGCATGAGCCACCGCGCCCGGCCCTGTAGTTTTGCTTCGTGCAGTCTTTTTCAGGTTGGTATCAAGTGAATACTGACCTCCTAAAATGAGCTGGCAAGTAGTTTTTCCTCTTCTACTTTCTGGAAGAAATTTTTGGTAGAGTTCTCAAGTCAAACCATCTATACCTAGAAATATCTTTTTTGGCAGCTTTTAAATTACAAAACCAATTCCTTGAATAGTTATAGTGCAGTTCAAATTATTTGATATTCAGTGAGTTGTGGTAGTTTATGTTTTTCAAATGATTGGTCCATTTCATTTAAATAATCAAATTTTTAGGTGTAAAGTGTTTGTAACATTTGCTTATTATATTTTTGATGTCTTCAGGGTCTGTACTTAAATCTGTTTTATTCTTAACATTGGTGATTCATGTTTTTTCTTTTTTTCTTTTTCTTGTCAGTATTGCTAGAGATTTACCAATCTTACTAAGTTTTCAAATCAAAGAACTTATTTTTTTAACTAAGTTTCTCCATGGTTTTCTTGTTTTCAATTCCACTGGTTTACAATCTTGTATTTATCATTTCCTTCCATCTGTTTGCATTGGGTTTACTTTGCTCTCCTTTATCTAGATTCTTGAGGGAGGAAATTAGGTTATCAAATTGAAGCCTATATAATTCAGCCACAATTGCCACCACGTTGCACAACTCTGAGGAGCATCGAAGTGTTCAATGGGAAAAGTGCACAGTAGAGATTTGCTATGCAGTGGCCCTATTCTCAGTAATATAGGAAAACTAAATACCAGCAACTAAATACCAGCAAATATGTTCGATAACAATTGTATATCAGTAACCTAACAATGATTCAATTATCTTTTTTCCTTGAAAATGAATAAATCTATTCATATCAGGAGTTACTATGGTGTCTTTAAAAATATTTCAGTAAAAAATATTACATTTTTTGTTCCTGGCAGACATCACCATATCTACCATTCAAATTTTTGTTAATAGCTAAATAAACTAAATTTTGCCCTTTAACATTTCTTATGAATGTTTTCTGAAACTTCCAGTGTTTCATAATATAAAATATAATTCATATACCTATATTAGGTTTGCTAAACATTTCTCTTGCCTGCATCTGCTCTTAGAGTGCAAATTGAGAATTGTGCTTGATAAAAACCATTTTACTGGTTTTTTAAAAAACTCTCACAATTATTGCTTTAAAAGACAGGGTGGGAGATGTAGTAATTGTTTTAATAGCTGGCTTCCAGGAAACTAAAAGCTGCAAGGCTAATTAAAAGGCTATATTCAACAAATTACATTGAGTTACAATTGACCCAACTTGGCAAATAATTGGCTATGTAGGCAAGGGGGTGGGAGAAGTCAAAGATTATTTCATTTTTAAGTCTCTGTGACTGAGAGGTGTTTGCACTATTAAAAGAAATAGGAAACACAGAAAAAAGCTAAACAAATAAAGATAGACCATAACATCCAGGTAGAGATATTCAACTCAGCAGGTCTTTGCAATATTAGGAAGCAGTGATGATCAGAATCATAGAAATTATACCTTCAACAAGTTTATTGAAAGTTTATTGATCAGGTATCAGGTGCTGTGCTCTGCTCTGGAATGCATTTACACAAAAGGTAGACTGGCAGTTCCTGACACTGAATGCGACTATACAGGATGAGTATAAGGAGAGAAGAGCCCAACCACATGCTTATGTCATTTACACTTGGGATATGGGAAAAGGGAAGGGGGAGATGGAAAAGTAAAAAAGGTAACCAAAGAACCAGGAGAATGCAATAAAACAGAAGCTAAAAGAGGAGAGGATTTTAAAGGAGGGATGGTAAACAGCAAAAGAATTCATAGAGAGTTTGAAGGTACTGAGGAAAAAGAGAACTTGGATGTGTGTGTAGGAGATAACTCATGCTAATAATATTTATTGAACACTAAATATTTCACATGTATTTGTCATTTAATCTTCACTGCAATTCTATAAGAGAAGACATTATTGTAACCATTTTACATATTGAGAAAACTGAGGTTTCTTAAAGAAAACCAGAGCCAGAAAGTAGTTAAAGTAGTAAAAACATATTTACTCAGGATCTACTGTAATAGGAAAAAAGAGATCTCAGTATAGAGCTGAGCTCAATTGTGAATTTAGCAGGATAAGTGAGGACTTATAGCCAAAGAACAGAGTTTGTGGTAGGGTTATTGAATGGAGAATTACTACTAAGAAACATCAATGGTAGGGAAATCTTAGTTAGAATGACTTAGGAATCTTGCTGAAGGTAAGACAGGGTTATCCAATATCAAGGGTAAGGGAAAAGAAATTTGATCAAATATTGAACGTGATTAAATACTAAGGGTGGGAAACTCTCTCCAAACTGATATAGGAGACCAAAATATGCAATCTCAAAATATATTTGTGGAGTACCTGAATGTGCCACCCCCAAATATGCTCCTTTTGGCATAAGGATTAGTTTGAGCTGATTTTTTTCAGTAACTGCAAACACAGAAGAATCTCTGAAAACAACATAGAAGTTACTATTTTTTAAGATAAATTTACATCTATAAAGAAAATCTCCATCTATCCATTATTGTACCAGGACAAGAAGGATGACTTTAAATCACTAAAGACTCTTATCAGTAGAGAAGATAGCAAGTTAAACCTGCATAACAAACTATACACTTAATTATTTTGCTTTTTCTGGTCATATCCTTATTATTGGTCTCTCCAGTATCTTTCCTTCCCTGTTTCAGCAGACAATGGTATTTAAGCCTGAATTCAAAACCACCTTTTTGATATTGAGTCATTTCTCTGGGTGTCTCTCACATATACACGAGGTTTACATGTTATTGAACTTTCATTTGATTTTTTCTTGTTATTCTGTCTTTCGTTATAAGAGTCTGTTTCAACTAACAGCTATGAATGGTGGAGAAAAAGTTATGTTTCTTCCCGTACATTGACTTAGCAGGATTCTTGTTCCAACTGAACTAGGCAGGGTGAAGCCAAGGCCCAAGCTGAGACTTAGTCAAAAACAGGTCTCAAAGGATTCCCTCTAAAGTTTGGTCAAGGAGAGAGTATTTTTTCGGCTAAATGTTTAACTTTGTTGAAGGAAAATAGTAGAGCAGGAGTATAATCTCATCTCTGTTTTCTCCTAGATTCATCTACTTCTTAACCTCAGAATAAAGTTTCAATCAGTGTAAGCAGAAGTCATATTAGAAGGGAGCTAATGCAGTTGTTCCCAAACATTGCTACAGATTGTAAAAAACACCTGATAGTCATTTTAAAAGCTCAATGCCCAAGTCACAATGCCCATGCTAATTAAATCAGAATGTATCTTTCAGAATTTTTTAAAGTTCATCAAATAATTTCAACATGCAGCAAAGTCTGAGAACCACTGGGCTAATGAGTAAGTAGGCCAAAGAGAGAAAAGAGCAGTATATAATATGCCTTCAAGCAATTTGCTGCTAAAAAGAGGGGAATTAAATTAGTTGGGTGTGGCGGCATGCACCTGTAGTCACAGCTACTTGGGAGGCTGAGGAAGGAGGATTGCTTGAACCTGAGAGTTCAAGGTTTCGGTGAGCAAGTTTCATGCCACTGCACTCTAACCTAGGCAACAGAGTGAGAACCTGTCTCTAAAAAAAATTGAAGTAAATTAAAATTAAATGAAGGGAAATAAGCTAGGCAAGTTAGGAGTGATGGGGAAATATAATTAAGAGAAACAAAATAAATATTTTCCTAACCCAGAAAATCTTTCTACAAAGGTAGGAGAGATAAAAACAAGTTTTATTATTGAATAAGTATTAAACCAGAATGTCATGCAAATCACAGGCAATCTGTTAAGACATTACAAAGAGAAAAGAAAATTTACACTTTTATATAGCCAAGCAGCTACAATCCATTATGTATATGTTTTTCAGATAAACAATAAGTAGTCTTCACATAAGAATATTCCACAACACCTTTTGTCACACATAATTCATCATAACTTTACTATGAAAATTGGGGAAATTCCCTTTATTAGTTGAATGCCTTTATGTGGACACTTTAGTTTCTTTAGTTTGACACTTCCTATAACTTAATAACAAGAGGTAGTTTTGCAAATTGGAGGGAGGCTCCCATTGAAGGTAGGCTCTTTCCCTCCCACAGGAGGTAAGGACGTTATCTCTCTTGATGTTTGTGTTTCAGAAAGATGCCTTCCAGGTCCTTGAAATGTTACTGAGTTGAGAGACTGATGAGAGTGTTATTCAGTGATTGTAAAGATTTACATACATTCAAAGAGAACGTAGAAAGAAGTTCTCAAACATTAGAGAGAGGAGAGGAGTGTCTTTTCTTATTTTCAACAGAGAGAATTAAGCCTCTTATTTTAAATTTGTATGTGTAATTTCAGGAGATATCAGAATTAAGGAGATTTTCTTTTCCAAACTTACATGGAAAAATGTAAAAAGGTTTGCATGCTGAGGGTAAAAGACTATGGGAGAAGCGGGCATTGAATGTGCAAGAGAATAGAGGTATTGATGGCACAAGGTTCCAGAGCAGGAGAGAAGTGGTGACTTCAAAATTCTAAGTAAAGTGCTAAGTTCAGGCCAGGAGAAGGGAAACTGCTTTCCTGAAATGAGGGAGTGAAGATGCAGAAATATGACCTTATGGAGAAAGGGTGATTGCCTGTCTTCATCCTATGGAATCTACAATGTTCTTCCATTAGCATCATCTCCAGGGACTGGAGCTTACTTACGACAGTCACAGTCCAGTGGCGACATGTTTCAGGGGATGCAATTAGCAGCAGTATTTCTCTAATCATCACCATTGGATGAGGAAAATTATAAAAGACTATGCCAACAATTTATTTGCTCACATTCATATCATCAAAATATGCTGCAGTCACTATCAGAGGCTTTTCATTTCCAAAGTATCCAGGGTCTTGTAATTGACAGTGGGGAACTCTATGGGGTGTGTCAAAGCCAAGTTGTTTGACAGAGATCTTTCTATTTTTATCTAAGATTTGTTTTATAAATGTGAGAGATCAAATAGAATTTTTCCTGAAAAATATAAATAAAATAAGTTAAATGCAACTCAAAAAGGTTTGTTGTCTATCCCTATTGCCCCTCCAGGTTTTCATCAAACGCCAGGTGCCCCATATCCAAGGTCACTTTAATCATCCTGTTTTAAGTACTCCATGAAATTATTGTATTTTCATGTATTTAAATTAATTAATTGAAAATGTTGTCATCCAAAAGATGACCAGGATGGCTAAATAGTAGAAAGGAGAGCCTTATTGGTGATATTGGTTTGCAAGCCAGGAGGAGAAAGTCTCCAGCATGCACTGAGGATGCTCTCTTTGAAGAGGGAAAGCCAAACTGGGTTTCAAGCTTCACAGGTTCCATATCACACAATAGAGTCATACATTTTCATCAGGGTAGGAAGAAAAGCTAAATTACATTTATGAGTGGAGCCAAGCACATATGCAATGGGTAAACATACATGTAACATACATTAAAGTGAGATGGAATTTGGTTCTTTATGTCAAAAGATGAACTATAGGATACAAAGACAGTTTGTGTGCACCCTCTATAAACTGGCTGAAAATGGCTTAAGGTCTATGATTTCTTATCAGAGAAGAATACTTGTAAGGCCAGTCTTCCATCCAATCAGAGGTGTAGTGGTCTGGGTTGTAAACCAGCCTGGTAGTTCCTATTGTTAGGGAGTTTGGGGAGTATTTAAAAATTTGCCATGCCAGTCAGGCCCTGAACCCTCAACCAACAGGTAATATTTTTTAACCTTAGGGTCCCTGTTAGTTGATAAAGGGCCATCTCTTTTGGTCTCTCAGATCACAATGTTAAAGGTAAAATCTTAGATGAAAAACCAGATCTGTGTAGATTTTTATGCCAACGTGGATATGGTGAATTAAGAGCAAAGCCAAAAGGCCTAACAGGATTTTGCAGTGGCAGCTTGAAGCAGGAGAAAAAACAAACAGCCAAAGCTTCTAATGTGAACCTTTTTCATACTTTTACTTGGGCTATCTGGGGTAATCCTCTTAGTTAATCTTTCTTGGCCTCAGTTTCCTCATTTGTATAACTAAAGTGTTGGATTCCATTATTTATCCTCCAACTTCTACTGAGAAAGAATAAATAAATAAGTATGGTTTAAACTGCAGCATAAGGAGTTAGGACTTGATATGAGACAAAAAATGTCCAAAGTATTGCAGCTATACTAGGAGAAGCATTGACAATCTTCCTTGGATATTTTTTAAACAGGAAATCTCCCTATGTGTAAAAGGGTTGTAGGTAAAGGCACAAGAAAGAGTCTTATTTGGTGGTCCCTCCTGGCCAAGAATATAATCCATTCCACTGAAAATAAGCAAATGAAATATTCTCCAGAACCCAGCTTCACTGTGGAATGAGATATCTGGCAGTTAGAAATGGTCAATTCATGCACCACAGGTGAGCAGCTCCCACTGAGGTTCAAAAGCAAGCTGACCACTAGAAAGCTCTGGATTTGTCTCCAGAGCATTAGGATTTTTATTGCTTTATGATCCATCCACATCCATATAAAATGATTTATTCCCTTGGTATATGCAATATAATACCAAAGAACTAGCACTGGAACAGTTTCAGGGGTCAATTAACCCAAACCCAGAATTCTAAGCAGCAGAGATTAGTTTTTGAAATGTTTCCCAGTAATTAAATCTAGCAATGAAGGTGATTCCACCACTTTCCTTTTTTTCCAACTCTTTTAATTATTACTGAGTCTAACTTCCTCACATGTAAAAAAATCACTTAAGGATGGTTATGAGTATTTATATACACTGAGGTGTGATTGGGGATTAATTGTCTCCATGCTTCTCCAAGATTTCCACGGGCAAGTATGACCCTCAAAAAGATTATTGCATTTTGTTATGAGGCTCAGTTAAGAATCTTCCACCCTACATAGCAGATAAAACATTTTAACAAGAAAAAAGTACTTTAAGCTCAGTTATAGCCTATATAATAATACGTATGTGCTTATGACAATAGGGACGGAAAAATGTTCCTATTTCTTTATGCATCTTAGGTTCATTGGCTGGCGCCCTGTAAATTAGACTGACAAAAGATAAATTAACAAGAGAAAAACAGAAGTCTCAACAGTGGTTAGAACTTGGGTTTATATACTACCTTAAAAAGAATACATTTTGTAGAGAAACTGACAAGACAAAGGAAAAAGACTTTAAGCTTCTTGGAGTCAGCAAATTGAGGGAAAGTAAACATTTTCGGGAGCTAATGTAAGATAAGGGCAAGTTAGTAAAGGTTCATTATATAGGTTCCTCTGTTGCCCTTTGTGGGCTGATAAGGGTCTAGAGTTGTCTCTGGTGATTAATTTCTGTCCTTCCTCGTAGAGAGAGGAGAGGGGCCACCTTTACAAATTTATGTCCTGCTTTGGAGCATATAGGGGGAGGAAAGAGTCCTATTCTTGTATCAGCTTTTTCTCTATTACCTTGAGCTCAAAATAATCCTTATTCCAGAATGGCATATTTTGAGGTGGTATATTCTGCTATCCTTCATGACCAACAACAAGGACACTCACTATGGAAATAAAAACAAATGTTTCTATCAGTCTGAGAAGAAGGAAACCAAAGGATACAGAAGAATAGCTCAGTTTTTATAAGTTGTGGAAGAGCAGAGGACCTAAAATGTAGAAAGACAGGGACTGCTGGCTAAGAGATATGGTCTCTAACATCTCTGACATTTGATCATTTACATAAGGTAAAATGCATTTTTCCAAAGCTAACACTGTGCTGTCATAAGCACTTGGTACTGCTGAGGATGACTCTGAATCCTCTACAAACTCGAAGGGAAAAAGTACCTCTAAGAAAGATGAATCAGAAGTAGATTGAACTGGTCAGCTGGGAGAATCACAGGATCATAGAGGTGGGAAGGAATTAAGAAATTAGACCAAACCTCCCATCCAATGCAGAACCCTCCCTACAACACCTCCAATTGGTGTGCATTCAGTTTCTGCTTGATTACTTCCAGTGACTAGAACTCCTCTGAAGAAGGAGAATGTAAAAATATTCTTCCTTTGGTTGAACAAGAATCTGCCATTCATAACTTCCATTCACAACTTCCATTCACTGACTGTTTCTAACCACAGAAGTTATAAAAGATACACACATAACCCCACTTTGATCTGGCAGTTCTTCAAATATTTAAAGACAGGCCTAGTTACCTTGCAGAGAGACAATATAAGAAATGTAAGTTTAAAGTCAATCTAAAACTGCAACACACATATACAGAACTGAACATGCTGTTCCAGATATATTCTGACCAGCACAATCCACAATATAGACTACTAAGCCCTCTTCCTGATAGACTTCTATTAATATAGCGCCTAAAGTTGTCCTTTTATTCCCATCATATCACACTAATGTTGCATACCAAGTAAAATCTGTTTTATATATAATCTTGCTATTAAGCCAAGAAGCTCTTATCTTATCTTTGATACCTTAATTTCTTGAGCTTTAATGAAACACATTATAGACAACATTGAATTATACCTGAGCCCTGTGCTCCTACAAAACAAATTAGGTTAAAGAAACTCCCCACTCTTGTATTATGGAAAATGATTTACTGCAAAAAACTACCCTTCCCCATGCGACTTAGATAATACTCACAGATGCCCCTTTGTTTTCATATGGCAAGGCCAGACACAGACCCTACAAATTCCCATTCTTTTCATAAATGATTAATTGAACTGGTTATGCCTACCGATCTTTTGGAATGTAATGCCTCTTAACCAAACTTTGTCTAAAACTTTTTCTCCCAGGCTGCAGAACATTGGCCCAACCTCAGCCTAGACAGCATACAAACTCTCTCTAAGGGCCCTCATGGAAAATAAACCAGCCTCAGGGTAAAACCTTCTCTGATTTACTATTCCATCGCGCCACAATTTCAACCTGCTTCCCTACACCTGGTTCTTTCTAGCTATGTATACTCCTCTCTATAAAAGAAAACTCTTTTCACCTTACTCTTGAGATACTTTGTAGATATTATGGTCACAAATTTCCCCCTATTATAATAGTCCCTATCTCCCTGTTACAATAGTTCTGCTCCTCCCATCTTGCAAAATAATCCTTTTGAATAAAGTCTCTCTTTATTAAGTCCAGATTTGCTTTCATTTGACATTATGTATATTTCTACTCAATTACATCCTGTGTGGGCACATGGCGTGGGACTGGTGGGCAGCTCTGTCTGCGGTCCCAGCGCAGGATCCACTAGGCGAAGCCAGCTGGGCTCCTGAGTTGAGTGGAGACTTGGAGAACTTTTATGTGTAGCTGGAGGATTGTAAATGCACCAATCAGCACTCTGTGTCTAGCTCGGGGTTCGTGGATGCACCAATCAGCACTCTGTATCTAGCTAATCCGGTGGGGACTTGGAGAACTTTTATGTCTAGGTGGAGGATTGTAAATGCACCAATCAGCACTCTGTGTCTAGCTCAGGGATTGTAAACGCACCAATCAGCACTCTGTGTCTAGCTAAAGGTTTGTAAACGCACCAATCAGTGCTCTGTGTCTAGTTAATCTAGTGGGGACTTGGAGAACTTTTACGTCTAGCTAGAGGATTGTAAATACACCAATCAGCATTCTGTGTCTAGCTCAGGGATTGTAAACGCACCAATCAGCACCCTGACAAAATGGACCAATCAGCTCTCTGTAAAATGGACCAATCAGCAGGATGTGGGTGGGGCCAGATAAGGGAATAAAAGCAGGCTGCCCAAGCCAGCAGCAGCAACACACTCTGGTCCCCTTCCACACTGTGGAAGCTTTGTTCTTTTGCTCTTTGCAATAAATCTTGCTGCTGCTCACTCTTTGGGTCCGCACTGCCTTTATGAGCTGTAACACTCACCGTGAAGGTCTGCAGCTTCACTCCTGAGGCCAGCGAGCCCACGAACCCACCGGGAGGAATGAACACTCTGGACAGGAGGAATGATCAACTCCAGAAGCACTGCCTTAAGAGCTGTAACATTCAGCATGAAGGTCTGCAGCTTCACTCCTGAAGCCAGCGAAACCACAAACCCACCAAAAGGAAGAAACTCCGAAAACGTCTGAACATCAGAAGGAAAAACTCTGGACACACCATCTTTAAGAACTGTAACCCTCACCACGAGGGTCCGCAGCTTCATTCTTGAAGTCAGTGAGACCAAGAACCCACCAATTCCAGACACACCAGTACCTGGACCCAATTAGAGTAAGTAAATTTACTGAGGCTCCAGAGGAAGGACTTCAGGACTCAGACCTTAGTTATAGATTAAAATAGGTTAATCACTAATGTATGTAGATGAATGCACATTTACAAGTAGACTTATAGCTTAGAAGTATATAAGCTCTCTAAAACTTTGTAATTTGGAGTTGGTCTGGCAATAATTTCCAGGCCTTCTCCTTGTAACCAGTTACAGAAATAACAACTCTCTTTTTCCCCAGTTCATCTGCATCTCGTTATTGGGCCATGAGAAATAACACCCTGACCCTCAGTTTGGTCAAGGAACAATTCTTTAAAGGGATTCACAATCTTCTGTATTGAATGGTTTGTTCTCTCTCCCCCTCCACCTCCTATTTCCCTTGCCCTTGCCCTTCCCCTCTCTCTCTTTCAAAGAAAAAGGAGATGAGATTTGATGTTGTGTAGGCCAAAACAAACTTACTGATGTGGGCCATTTACAAACTCCCTGGGATAACCCTTTGCCATTCAGGAAAATCCAATAGTTTAGCCTTTTATTCTCTCATGGTTCGGGGCTGACTCATTCTAATGGCTGGAATGTTACTTTCACAATCAACACTGTACATTTGTATAGGGATTTGTAAACTTTTGGATTTTGTTTTGAGATATCTTAGCAAGAATATGCTGCCTTTAGCTTTTATTGTATTACCTTATTGAGCAAATATGGCTTGAAATCCATCAGCCATGGTGGACTGTGTTAATGCTTGGAAAAAGGTGTTTCCTTTCAACCAAACAAACATTTGCCTAGGTTGTCCTGCATCCAGTCTCATTCCCTTGATATATGCTGTGAACGCTCACCAGAACTAAACATATTTTAACAGTCAAATTATAAAAATCATAAATACATATGAGTATACTAGCTCAAGCAATAACTAAAATTACAAACTTACACACATAGATTATAAAGATAAAATGATGAAATTTTCATTGAGGGCATTTCCCTTCTTAGGATATTTCTTGAAAGTATGATTAGCTCAAGAAGAGGCCAGGCATTTTGATTCTATAATCCTCTGACCCTTGGCACTATAAACACACACCTCTGAAATTAAAACTCTCAGGTGGTATACAGAAAAGAAATACAAGGTACATTTGTCTCTCAAGGAAATAAGAGAAGTTTTAATTGTTCTTTCCTATACTTTTTGGCATGCATTTATGTGAAATTCTGCCCAGATAAATCTGTTCAGACTATCATGGTGCTTACATGCATGTATATCTGAAGGTATTATTAAATTGTGTCAGCTCTCTCTTCTATGTTGGTATGAAGGGGTCTTTTGTGGGAAGGATTGTTTTATTCCCGCATTAAGGAGTAACTAGAGTTTATAATCTCTCCTTAATAGGGCATTAATGAAGGGTTTTGTTATTTTGACTAGAATAGTCCTAAATCTCCACATTATTCCAGATTCATTTCCTTGTTCTATTAATCTGGTTCTATTGCCCCAATTCCTGTCTCCACTTAACATTGCACAATGATCTGATTACTTTATGGTATTGATATTTCTGTGCTAATAACAAAGTATCTGCAAACTATCTATCTGCCCTTAAAGTCACCCCTGACTCCATACACATCCACACACAAAGACTGTTAATATAAAACATAGCTAAACTGTCATCGTTCTTATTGGGTTCTTATTGCCAAAGGAACTTTTTTTTTTTTTTTTTTTTTTTTTGAGGCAGGGTCTCACTCTGTTGCCCAGGCTGGAGTGCTGTGGCATGATCTCAGCTCATTGCAACCTCTGCTTCCCAGGTTCAAACAACTCTCCCACCTCAGCCCCTCAAGTAGCTGGAACTGCAGGTGTGTGCCACCATGCCCAGCTAATTTTTGTATTTTTTGTAGAGACAGAGTTTCACCATGTTGCCCAGGCTGGTCTTGAACTGCTGAGCTCAAGTGATCCACCTGCCTTGGCCTCCCAAAGTGCTAGGATGACCGGCGTGAACCACCACCTCTGGTCAAAGGAACATTTTTAAAAGTGATAATATTAGGCATTCAAGTTTTCAGGTGGATTAAAAAATAAGCAATTCAAATTTGTTTGCTATGAAAACAATATTTATTTATTTGATATACAATAGTCCTTCTCCATCCACAGGAGATATATTCCAAGACCCTCAATGGATGCCTGAAACCCTGGATAGTACCAAACCCTAAATATACTTTACTGTAAAGAAGGCTTAAATTTCTCTAGTTTTGCTTCTGTTGCCCATGCTTTTGGGGTCATATCCGCAAAATCATTGCCTAGACCAATGCCATGGAGCTTTCTTGTTTTCTTTTAGTACTTTTACATTTATAATTTTAGATATTATATTTAACTCTTTAATTCATTTTGAGCTGATTTTTCTATGTGATGTGAAATAAGAGTCTAATTCAATCTTCTGCATGTAGATATCCAGTTTTCCCAACTACATTTATTGAAGAGACTGTCCTTTCCCCACTGTGTGTTCTGGGCAATTTTGTCAAAAATCAGTTGACTGTAAATGCATGAATTTAGTTCTCAGCTCTCTATTCCGTTCCATTTGTCTATGTGTCTGCTTTTATGACAGTATCATGTGGTTTAAATTACTATAGGTTTAGAGTATATTTTAAAGTGTGGTAGCCTGATGCCTCTCACTTGGTTCTTTTGGCTCAAGGTTGCTTTGGTTATGCAGGGTCTTCTGTAGTTCCATATAAATTTTAGGATAGTTTTTTTTTCTATTTCTGTGAAGAATGTCATTGGTATTTTGATTGGAATTGCATTGAGTCTGCACATCACTTTGGTAGTATGAACATTTTCATACTATTAGTTCTTCGAAACCATGAACACAGGATATATTTCTATTATTTTGTCTTCAATTTCATTTATCAATATTTATAGTATCTTTGTATAGGTCTGTCACATCCTTGGTTAAATTTATTGCTGTTTTATATTTTTATGGCTATTGTTAATGGAATTGTGTTCTTAATTTTGGGGGGATAGTTTCTTGTTAGTGTATAAAAATGCTACTGGATTATTTTTAATGATGATTTTGTATCCTGCACATTTACTAAACTGGATTATTAATTCTAATAATTTTTTGGTAGAATAGTTATGGTTCTTATATATATATATGAATATATCATCTGCAAACAGGCACAATAGAAACTTTTCTTTCTATTTTGAAAGCTTATTATTTATTTTCCTTGCATAATTGCTATTGCTGAAACTTCCAGTACTATACTGGATAGAAATGGTAAGAGTGGGCATCCTTTCCTTGTTCTGATCTTAAAGGAACCAATTCGTTTTTATCTGTGATTTTTAGGTTTTTGAAAATTACTGTTTTAAACAGAACTTTACTGGCACTCTTGTACTGCAAATGACTGATTTAAATGGGCAATAAGATGACAATAAAGAATAAAATACTTTGGCCATCCTTTCTAATGTGCCGCTGATTAAATAATACTGCATTTTTAAAAAGTGATTGAAGTATCCAGATATAATTGCATTTATTTACTCTCATCATGATCCTACACTACCTTCAATTGTTTATTCATTAATCTTTTTAACAACACTGTGGATTTATGTCTACAAGTATTAAGCTTTTTATTTTTTTATTATACTTTAAGTTTTGAGATACATATGCAGAAAGTGCAGGTTTGTTACATAAGTATACACGTTCCATGGTAGGTTTGCTGCACCCATCAACTTATCATCTACATTAGGTATTTTTCCTAATGCTATTCCTCCCCTAGCCCCCAACCCCCTGACAGGCCCTGGTGTGTGATGTTCCCCTCCTTGCGTCCATGTGTTCTTATTGTTCAAATCCCACTTATGAGTGAGAATATGCAGTGTTTGGGTCTCTGTTCCTGTGTTACTTTGCTAAGAATGATGGTTTCCAGCTTCATCCATGTCCCTGCAAAGGACATGAATGCATCCTTTTTTATGGCTGCATAGTATTCCATGGTGTATATGTGCCACATTTTCTTTATCCAGTCTGACATTGATGGGCATTTGGGTTGGTTCCAAGTTTTTGCTATTGTGAATAGCGCTGCAATAAACATACGTGTGCATGTGCCTTTGTAGTAGAATGATTTATAATCCTTTGAATATATACCCAGTAATGGGATTACTGGGTCAAATGGTATTTCTGGTTCTAGATGCTTGAGAAATCGCCACACTGTCTTCCACAAGGTTGGACTAATTTACACTCCCACCAAAAGTGTAAAGGCATTCCTATTTCTCCACATCCTCTCCAGCATGTGTTGTTTCCTGGCTATTTAATGATTGCCATTCTAACTGGAGTGAGATGGTATCTCATTGTGGTTTTGATTTGCCTTTCTCTAATGACCAGTGATGATGAGCATTTATTCATATATTTATTGGTCCCATAAATGTCTTCTTTTGAGAAGTGTCTGTTCATATCCTTAGCCCACTTTTTGATGGTTTTTTTTTCTTGTAAATTTGTTTAATTTTGTAGATTCTGGATAGTAGCCCTTTGTCAGATAGATAGATTGCAAAAATTTTCTCCCAATCTGTAGATTTCCTATTCACTTTGATGATAGTTTCTTTTGCTTTGCAGAAGTTCTTTAGTTTAATTAGATCCCATTTGTCTATTTTGGCTTTTGTTGCCGTTGCTTTTGGTGTTTTTGTCATGAAGCCTTTGCCCATACCTATGTTCTGAATGGTATTACCTCGGTTTTTTTCTAGGGTTTTGATGGTATTAGGTCTTATGTTTAAGTCTTTAATGAATCTTGAGTTAATTTTTGTATAAAGTGTAAAGAAGGGATCCAGTTTTTGTTTTCTGCATATGGTTAGCCAGTTTTCCTAACACCATTTGTTAAATAGGGAATCCTTTCCCCATTGCTTGTTTTTGTCAGGCTTGTCAAAGATCAGATGGTTGTAAATGTGTGGCGTTATTTCTGAGGCCTCTGTTCTATTCCATTGGTCTGTATACCTGTTTTGGTACAAATACCATGCAGTTTGGGTTACTGTATCCTTGTAGTATAGTTTGAAGTCAGGTAGCGTGATGCCTGTGGCTTATTTCTTTTTGCTTCAGATTGTCTTGGCTATATGTGGTCTTTTTTGGTGCCATATGAAATTTAAAGTAGATTTGTTCTAATTTTGTGAAGAAAGTCACTGGTAGATTGATGGGGATAGTGTTGAATCTATAAATTACTTTGGGCATTTTGGCCATTTTCACGATATTGATTCTTCCTATCCATGAGCATGGAAAGTTTTTCCATTTGTTTGTGTTCTCTCTTACTTCCTTGAGCAGTGGTTTGTAATTCTCCTTGAAGAGGTCCTTTTACATCACTTGTAAATTGTACTCCTAGGTATTTTATTCTTTTTGTAGCAATTGTGAATGGGAGTTCACTCATGATTTGGATCTCTGTTTATCTGTTATTGGTGTGTAGGAATGCTTGTGATTTTTGTACATTAATTTTGTATCCTAAGACTCTGCTGAAGTTGCTTATCCACCTAAGGGGATTTTTGGCTGAGACAATTGGGTTTTTTAAATATATAATCATGTCATCAGCAAACAGAGATAATTTGACTTCCTCTCTTTCTATTTGAATATGCTTTATTTCTTTCTCTTGCCTTATTGCCCTCGCTAGAACTTCCAATACTATGTTGAATAGGAGTGGTGAGAGAGGGCACCCTTGTCTTGTGCCAGTTTTCAAAGGGAATGCTTACAGCTTTTGCACATTCAGTATGATATTGGCAGTGGGTTTGTCATAAATAGCTCTTATTGTTTTGAGATATGTTCCATCAATACCTAGTTTACTGAGAGTTTTTAGCATAAAGGGGTGTTGAATTTTATCAAAGGCCTTTTGTGCATCTATTGAGATAATCATGTTGTTTTTGTCATTGGTTTTGTTTATGTGATGAATTAAATTTATTGATTTGCATATGTTGAACTAGCCTTGCATCCCAGGGATGAAGCCGACTTGATCATGGTGGATAAGCTTTTTGATGTGCTGCTGGATTTGGTTTGCCACTATTTTATTGAGGATTTTCACATTGATGTTCATCGGGGATACTGGCCTGAAGTTGTTGTTGCTGTTGTTGTTGTTGTTGTGTCTCTGCCAGGTTTTGGTATCAGGATGATGCTGGCCTCATAAAATGAGTTAGGGAGGAGTCCCTGTTTTTCTGTTGTTTGGAATAGTTTCAGAAGGAATGGTACTAGCTCCTCATTGTACCTCTGGTAGAATTCGTCTCTGTATCCATCTGGTCCTGGGCATTTTTGGTTGGTAGGCTACTAATTACTGCCTCAATTTGAGAACTGTTATTGGTCTATTCAGGAATTTAGCTTCTTCCTGGTTTAGTATTTGGAGGGTGTATGTGTCCAGGAATTTATCCATTTCTTCTAGATTTCCTAGTTTATTTGCATAGAAGTATTTATAGTATTCTCTGATGGTAGTTTGTATTTCTGTGGGACCAGTGGTGATACCCTCTTTACCATTTTTTATTGTGTCTATTTGATTCTTATCTATTAGTCTGGCTAGTGGTCTATTTTGTTAATCTTTTCAAAAAAACCAGTTCCTGGATTCACTGATTTTTTGATGGGTTTTTCCTATATCTATCTCCTTCAGTTCTGCTCTGATTTTAGTTATTTCTTGTCTTCTGCTAGCTTTTGAATTTTTTTACTTTTGCTTCTCCAGTTCTTTTAAATTGTGATGTTAGGGTGTCAATTTTAGATCTTTCCCACTATCTCCTGTGGGCATTTAATGCTATAAATTTCCCTTTAAACACTGCTTTAGCTGTGTCCAAGAGATTCTGTTACCTTGTGTCTTTGTTCTCACTGGTATCAAAGAACATCTTTGTTTCTCCCTTAATTTCGTTATTTACCCAGTAGTCATTCAGGAGCAGGTTATTCAGTTTCCATGTAGTTGTGCAGTTTTGAGTGAATTTCTTAATCCTGAGTTCTAATTTCATTGCTTGTGGTCTGAGAGACTGTTTGTTATGATTTATGTTCTGTTGCATTTGTTGAAGAGTGTTTTACTTCCAATTATGTGGCCAATTTTAGAATAAGTGTGATGTGGTGCTGAGATGAATGTATATTCTGTTGATTTGGGGTGGAGAGTTCTGTAGATATCTATTAGGTCTACTTGGTCCAGAGCTGAGTTCAAGTCCTGAATATCCTTGTTAATTTTCTGTTTCACTGATTTTTCTAATATTGACAGTGGGGTGTTAAAGTCTCCCACTATTATTGTGTGGGGGTCTAAGTCTCTTTGTACATCTCTAAGAATTTGCTTTATGAGTCTGGGTGCTTCTGTATTGGGTGCATATGTATTTAGGATAGATAGCTCTTCTTGTTGCATTAATCCCTTTACCATAACATAATGCCCTTCTTTGTCTTTTTGGTCTTTGTTGGTTTAAAGGCTGTTTTGAGACTAGCATTGCAACCCCTGCTTTTTTTTGCTTTCCATTTGCTTGGTAAATATTCCTCCATCTCTTTATTTTGAGCCTATGTGTGTCTTAGCACGTGAGGTGGGTCTCCTGAATACAGCACATGGATGGGTATTGACTCTTTATCCAATTTGCCAGTCTGTGTGTTTTAATTGGAGCATTTAGCCCATTTACATTTAAGGTTAATATTGTTATGTGTGAATTTGATCCTGTCATTATGATGCTAGCTGGTTATTTCGCCCGTTAGTTGATGCAGTTTCTTCATAGTGTTGATGGTCTTTACAATTTGCTATGTTTTTGCAGTGGCTGATACCAGTTTTTCCTTTCCATGTTTAGTGCTTCCTTCAGGAGCTCTTGTAAGGCAGGCTGAGTTTATTTTTCAAATCAATAGACCAAAACTTGCAATAAGCAATGATAGACAAATAAGAAAATCAATTCTAGTGATAGAATTGAAAATATTTCACCTGGTAGCAACAGAAAAGTACAATTTTACTTCCCATCTCTACAAAAAATACAAAACTTAGCTTGGCCTGGTGGCGTATGCATGTGGTCCTAGCTACTTGGGTGGCTGAGGGAAACCCCACTGACCCCGGGGCAGTGAGACTGCAGTGAGCCATGATTGTACCACTATGCTCCAGCCTGGACAACAGAGTGAGACCCAAAAATTGCTACTTCAAACTTATTTGGCATCCAGCAACATGCAGGACAGTTGACTACTTGAGTAAAAAGATGAATGGTGGTGTAGTTCCAAGCAATTTGGGATATTTGACAACCTTAGCATGGGTTTAATTTAACGAAAAGGGTCTACAATGTTAATGATTAAATCAAAATATGTGTGTGTATTTGGTGACGGGGGAGAGAACGGCTTTATTTTGAATTGATAGAAGGAAGGAACCTAATTATAAAAGTATTTTCAATTTGCACCCTCATGTCTCTAGTATGTTCTTATGTATGAAAAGGTACAATATTCATTGAAACTCTTCTGTAAGTTGTTGAGATCTTATTCTCAGGTATGGTAGCAATCTAGGATATATTTATGTATGTTTTGAATAACTAAAATAAAAAGAAGTGATGTTGGAACAAAGAGGTGATTTTTATTGCTTTTCTGAGTTAAATATGATCATACTCTTTATCTCCCTCTCTTGAGCACAGATGCATAAATAGTGGCTAGAAATGACTGCAAATACATAATCTTGCTTTAGAAATTCACAAATTGAAATATTTAAAATAAATCTGTTCCAACTTTTTTTTTATTCTTCAGCTTTGTCCTTCTGTAATTTGTTATTTATAGCCAAAGCTTCAGGGAAAATTTTTAAGTCAACTTGCAGTGTAGATTAAGCCACTGAAAAATAGTGATTGTGAGATGTATTCAATAGCATTCTGTACAAGAACTCATTTCACCACCATAATGATGAGATGCTGATATTTGGCAAAGCAATTCCATAGATTTATAGCTTCATCATCTGCTTTACTGATTGCTAGTCTCCCAAGGACAAATGGGCTTTCAGACACAATTGTAAATATCCAGAATAAAGCAATGATATCTCTACTCAGAATAGTTATGCCATAATTAGAAAAAAGTTGCTAAATAAACTTAATTGAACATTTAAAGGTCTCTATAAAACATTTCTTTTAATTTTTTCCCTAGAGGATCATGCTGGGTTCTTATTTCAAAATATTATCCAATCTTTCATTGGCCATCTCTCTTTCTTCTTACATAGAAATTGCCTAGTTGATATTTGGTAAAGTATCACCATTTTCACAGAGATAGGTAATTCTCCCATTCCAAAGCCTCCAGGATTATTTATTTTTTCTTCTTCTTTTTTTTAATTCCTTAGGAGTTTGACAATAACTAAGTCCTTCAGGTATTAGATGAAGGACAGTAAGAGCTTGAGAAAAACACAAGAAACTTTAGAGAGAAAGATCAGTTTGGAAAAGAAGGCAAGATTTTGCTGAACCCTTAGAGCAATGAAAATAGCCTAGAAATGAAAGTAAGCAATGATTAAACACTAAAAATGGTTTCTTTCAATCACCTCTTGACATTTATATGGTATCATAATACCTCTGGTAAGTCTTCTCTGGTTTATGAAAACAATAATAGAACCACTGAAATTATTCAGCGATTTATTCATAAAGCAATAGACAAGTTCATTGAATGGAAAGCATTTTTTTAGTTATTAAAGCAGAAAAATTTAGCTGGAGGGATGCCTGTTAGGAAAGCACTGCACATATTCATAGCAGTATAAAGGGCTTGATGGACATTTAAGCTGTTTCCAGTTTTTTGCAAATACAAAAAGAGCTGCACACAGCCTTGTGCATGCATCTTTCCTCAGTTGGGTGAGCACTGCTGTAAGATACATTTCTAGGAATGAAATTGCTTGGTTAAAGGGGATGTGCCTTAAAAATATTGATAGATATTAATAAATTGTTCATCAAAGAGGTGTACATTGTATGAGTGTGATCACCATGGTGAATTGTTAGTGTTCTAATATGCTTCAATCTAATAGGAGGAAGTAGGAGCTGGCTGTTACTTTATGTTGGATTTCTACACTGAGTTAAATTTATGCTTTTCATATTTCTATTGGTTCTGAAAAATACATCATTTAAAAGATTTTAAAGGATTTTGTAAAACAAGTTTTAAATAAATCTAACATAAAATTCTTAGTATTTATCTCATTTTATTCTAAACCTAATCTAATATGCAGCCACTGATTAGTTTGATGAGAACATTTCTGTGACTCACCTTGGCATGTCCTAGTTTGGGGTTGGAGTCCTTTCTCTCAATTTTCAGGCAGGCTTCATTTTTAAAGGGCCTCTGGCTACTTCTCTGTCAGATGTGAGTTTTGGATCACCTCTAATACTCTCTCTTCAGTTGTCAGTGATGGAAAGGACAGGAATGGGAGAGAAAAAAAGAATAAAAATATTTTAAAAACCAACAATACCACTATTACTAAAAATAGCAGCTAGTATGCACTGAGTTCTTGCTTTGAGTCTAGCATTACTCTAAGTTCTTTACACGTAGTACCTTATTTAATCTTCATAACAATATATTTTGCTATTGAGGAAACTTTGATTCAAAGAAATTAAGCAGCTTACCTACAGTCACATATCTATTAAGTAGCAGATCCAGGACCCAAATACAGAAGGAGAATGGAGTGTTAAAAGATACATATTCTAGAGGAAAATTACCTAAAATTTACTGTGTGACCATAGTCCCAGTAGCCTAACCAAGCTAGGCCTCTGTTTCCTAATATAAATATTGGAACAATGGTTGTACTCACTCCATGGAAAGGTCACGAGAATTAAGTTCGTCAATACATGCAAAAGACTTAGATTATCTGTCTGACACATGGTAAGAATCATGGAGGTGTTATCCATTATTATCCAGAATCAATGCCTCCCAAATAAATATCCCAGAGCATTAGCTTTTATAACTGTACATTCTAGCACTGCTTGGACTATGTACTACAGTCAAAGCAATCATCACTTACCATCTTCACATAAACTGCATATCACTCTTGCCTCTGAGTTTAAAGAACATTTCTCCCCCTTTATTTCCCAGCCCTTGTTTTATTCTTTCTACCAAACTCCAGCTGTATCTAAGTACCTGTAATCAGATACGACATCAAGGAATGATTTGAAATTTCCTACATGCCACCACCTGTCTTCCTAGCCCTGAAGATACCACAAAGGCAGAAACCCTAATACTACCATTCAGCTGCAAGTAAGAAGCACAAAATTGATTATCACAACCAAAACATTGGCATTAATCTCATAAAGAATCCTTCAGTTTTACTTGTATTCATTTGGGTGCATGGGAAAGACTTAGAAACGGGGTTTTAACATTTTAACATTCCATTTGGAAATAGTTTTATTTCTTTATTGTAAATCTTCTTTCCCAGGCTTCGCAGATTTTGCATATCAAAGGGCTTTTGTTCTGTTTGATTATTTGTAGATGTAAAGCAAAAAAGATTTGTTTGGATGGAAGAGCTTGAACTAGGACATTATAGAAGACAGCACACTTAAAAGTAAGAGTCCAGAACTAAAGGGAATCATGGGAACCTATGTCCCTTGAAATCCATAAAAGTATTTAGGAATTACTTAAACTTCCAAATATTATGGAATTGAGTTCAAGAGAATCTTAATATAAGGGAGAAAACCCATATGATAGGGGATTGCATATGTCATTGCTGTGTCCATCCTGAAAATATGCAGTTGTTTATTTCATACAGTTTGAGGACTTCCATAAGGACCCTTTTCCTAAATCTTTAACAACAAGCCATGCTGCCTCAAGACACACTGTTATGATTATTTTATATTATTGGAGGCATTTATTCTTAAATGGTCTCTATTAAGTACAAATACTTCTAGAAAGAGACATCTGTTTGAGAAGGTGTAATGAATTCATTCTTTGATTACCTCTCTATTCCAAACACAAAGTTATGATGTATAAATATAAGACGAGAAAAACCAAAAGGATGTACTGTGATCAAAAATAATATGGTTATCTCTAAGAACCAGAAATAGGACAAAAGAAAAGCATAAAACAGTAAGTGAGCCTGAAGCCACTTCTAGGTTCTTTTTTTAGAATCAGGCAGAAAGGAACAGCTCTGGTCTACAGCTCCCAGCGTGACCGACGCAGAAGACGGGTGATTTCTGCATTTCCATCTGAGGTACCGGGTTCATCTCACTAGGGAGTGCCAGACAGTGGGCGCAGGACAGTGGGTGCAGCGCACCGTGCGCAAGCTGAAGCAGGGTGAGGCATTGCCTCACTCGGGAAGCACAAGGGGTCAGGGAGTTCCCTTTCCTAGTCAAAGAAAGGGGTGACAGATGGCACCTGGAAAATCGGGTCACTCCCACCCGAATACTGTGCTTTTCCGACCAGCTTAAAAAACGGCGCACCACCAGATTATATCCCGCACCTGGCTCGGAGGGTCCTACGCCCACGGAGTCTCACTGATTGCTAGCACAGCAGTCTGAGATCAAACTGCAAGGCAGCAGCAAGGCTGGGGGAGGGGCGCCCGCCATTGCCCAGGCTTGCTTAGGTAAACAAAGCAGCTGGGAAACTCGAACTGGGTGGAGCCCACCACAGCTCAAGGAGGCCTGCCTGCCTCTGTAGGCTCCACCTCTGGGGGCAGGGCACAAACAAAAAGACAGCAGTAACCTCTGCAGTCTTAAATGTCCCTATCTGACAGCTTTGAAGAGAGCAGTGGTTCTCCCAGCATGCAGCTGCAGATCTGTGAATGGGCAGACTGCCTCCTCAAGTGGGTCTCTGACCCCTGACCCTGGAGCAGCCTAACTGGGAGGCACCCCCCAGTAGGGGCAGACTGACACCTCACACGGCTGGGTACTCCTCTGAGACAAAACTTCCAGAGGAACGATCAGACAGCAGCATTCACGGTTCATGAAAAACCACTGTTCTGCAGACACTGCTGCTGATACCCAGGCAAACAGGGTCTGGAGTGGACCTCTAGAAAACTCCAACAGACCTGCAGCTGAGGGTCCTGTCTGTTAGAAGGAAAACTAACAAACAGAAAGGACATCCACACCAAAAACCCATCTGTACATCACCATCATCAAAGACCAAAAGTAGATAAAACCACAAAGATGGGGAAAAAACAGCAGAAAAACTGGAAACTCTAAAAAGCAGAGCACCTCTTCTCCTCCAAAGGACCGCAGTTCCTCACCAGCAATGGAACAAAGCTGGACGGAGAATGACTTTGACGAGCTGAGAGAAGAAGGCTTCAGACGATCAAACTATGAGCTACAGGAGGAAATTCAAACCAAAGGCAAAGAAGTTAAAAACTTTGAAAAAAATTTAGACGAATGTATAACTAGAATAACCAATACAGAGAAGTGCTTAAAGGAGCTGATGGAGCTGAAAGCCAAGGCAGGAGAACTACGTGAAGAATGCAGAAGCCTCAGGAGCCAATGCAATCAACTGGGAGAAAGGGTATCAGCAATGGAAGATGAAATGAATGAAATGAAGTGAGAAGGGAAGTTTAGAGAAAAAAGAATAAAAAGAAATAAACAAAGCCTCCAAGAAATATGGGACTATGTGAAAAGACCAAATCTGCATCTGATTGGTGTACCCGAAAGTGACGGGGAGAATGGAACCAAGTTGGAAAACACTCTGCAGGATATTATCCAGGAGAACTTCCCCAATCTGGCAAGGCAGGCCAACATTCAGATTCAGGAAATACAGAGAACGCTACAAAGATACTCCTCGAGAAGAGCAACTCCAAGACACATAATTGTCAGATTCACCAAAGTTGAAATGAAGGAAAAAATGTTAAGGGCAGCCAGAGAGAAAGGTCAGGTTACCCTCAAATGGAAGCCCATCAGACTAACAGTGGATCTCTCAGCAGAAACTCTCCTAGCCAGAAGAGAGTGGGGACCAATATTCAACATTCTTAAAGAAAAGAATTTTCAACCCAGAATTTCATATCCAGCCAAACTAAGCTTCATAAGGGAAGGAGAAATAAAATACTTTACAGACAAGCAAATGCTGAGAGATTTTGTCACCACCAGGCCTGCCCTAAAAGAGCTCCTGAAGGAAGCGCTAAACATGGAAAGGAACAACCGGTACCAGCCGCTGCAAAATCATGCCAAAATGTAAACACCATTGAGACTAAGAAGAAACTGCATCAACTAACGAGCAAAATAACCAGCTAACATCATAATGACAAGTTCAAATTCACACATAACAATATTAACCTTAAATGTAAATGGACTAAATGCTCCAATTAAAAGACACAGACTGGCAAATTGGATAAAGAGTCAAGATCCATCAGTGTGTTGTATTCAGGAAACCCATCTCACATGCAGAGACACACATAGGCTCAAAATAAAAGGATGGAGGAAGATCTACCAAGCAAATGGAAAACAAAAAAAGGCAGGGGTTGCAATCCTAGTCTCTGATAAAACAGACTTTAAACCAACAAAGATCAAAAGAGACAAAGAAGGCCATTACATAATGATAAAGGGATCAATTCAACAAGAAGAGCTAACTATCCTAAATATATATGCACCCAATACAGGAGCACCCAGATTCATAAAGCAAGTCCTGAGTGACCTACAAAGAGACTTAGACTCCCACACATTAATAATTGGAGACTTTAACACCCCACTGTCAACATTAGACAGATCAACGAGACAGAAAGTCAAAAAGGATACCCAGGAATTGAACTCAGCTCTGCACCAAGCGGACCTAATAGACATCTACAGTACTCTCCACCCCAAATCAACAAAATATACATTTTTTTCAGCACCACACCACACCTATTCCAAAATTGACCACATACTTGGAAGTAAAGCTCTCCTCAGCAAATGTAAAAGAACAGAAATTATAACAAACTATCTCTCAGACCACAGTGCAATCAAACTAGAACTCAGGATTAAGAAACTCACTCAAAACCACTCAACTACATGGAAACTGAACAACCTGCTGCTCAATGACTACTGGGTACATAACAAAATGAAGGCAGAAATAAAGATGTTCTTTGAAACCAATGAGAACAAAGACACAACATAGCAGAATCTCTGGGACACATTCAAAGCAGTGTGTAGAGGGAAATTTATAGCACTAAATGCCCACAAGAGAAAGCAGGAAAGATCTAAAATTGACACCCTAACGTCACAATTAAAAGAACTAGCAAAGCAAGAGCAAACACATTCAAAAGCTAGCAGAAGGCAAGAAAAAACAAAGATCAGAGCAGAACTGAAGGAAATAGAGACACAAAAAACCCTTCAAAAAATTAATGAATCCAGGAGTTGGTTTTTTGAAAGGATCAACAAAATTGATAGACCACTAGCAAGACTAATAAGGAAAAAAAGAGAGAAGAATCAAATAGATGCAATAAAAAATGACAAAGGGGATATCACCACCGATCCCACAGAAATGCAAACTACCATCAGAGAATACTACAAACACCTCTATGCAAATAAACTAGAAAATCTAGAAGAAATGGATAAATTCCTCAACACATACACTCTCCCAAGACTAAACCAGGAAGACATTGAATCTCTGAATAGACCAATAACAGGCTCTGAAATTGAGGCAATAATCAATAGCTTACCAACCAAAAAGAGTCCAGGACCAGATGGATTCACAGCCGAATTCTACCAGAGGTACAAGGAGGAACTGGTACCATTCCTTCTGAAACTATTCTAATCAATAGAAAAAGAGGGAATCCTCCCTAACTCATTTTATGAAGCCAGCATCATCCTGATACCAAAGCCGGGCAGAGACACAACCAAAAAAGAGAATTTTAGACCAATATCCTTGATGAACATTGATGCAAAAATCCTCAATAAAATACTGGCAAACAGAATCCAGCAGCACATCGAAAAGCTTATCCACCATGATCAAGTGGGCTTCATCCCTGGGATGCAAGGCTGGTTCAATATACGCAAATCAATAAATGTAATCCAGCATATAAACAGAACCAAAGACAAAAACCACATGACTATCTCAATAGATGCAGAAAAGACCTTTGGCAAAATTCAACAACCCTTCATGCTAAAAACTCTCAATAAATTAGGTATTGATGAGACATATCTCAAAATAATAAGAGCTATCTATGACAAACCCACAGCCAATGTCATACTGAATGGGCAAAAACTGGAAGCATTCCCTTTGAAAACTGGCACAAGACAGGGATGCCCTCTCTCACCACTCCTATTCAACATAGTGTTGGAAGTTCTGGCCAGGTCAATTCGGCAGGAAAAGGAAATAAAGGGTATTCAATTCGGAAAAGAGGAAGTCAAATTGTCCCTGTTTGCAGATGACATGATTGTATATCTAGAAAACCCCATTGTCTCAGCCCAAAATCTCCTTAAGCTGATAAGCAACTTCAGCAAAGTCTCAGGATACAAAATCAATGTACAAAAATCACAAGCATTCTTATACCCCAATAACAGACAAACAGAGAGCCAAATCATGAGTGAACTCCCATTCACAATTGCTTCAAAGAGAATAAAATACCTAGGAATCCAACTTACAAGGGACGTGAAGGACCTCTTCAAGGAGAACTACAAACCACCGCTCTATGAAATTAAAGAGGATACAAACAAATGGAAGAACATTCCATGCTCATGGGTAGGAAGAATCAATATCAAGAAAATGGCTATACTGCCCAAGGTAACTTATGGATTCAATGCCATTCCCATCGAGCTATCAATGACTTTCTTCACAGAATTGGAAAAAACTACTTTAAAGTTCATATGGAACCAAAAAGAGCCCGCATCGCCAAGTCAATCCTAAGCCAGAAGAACAAAGCCGGAGGCATCACGCTACCTGACTTCAAACTATACTACAAGGCTACAGTAACCAAAACAGCATGGTACTGGTACCAAAACAGAGATATAGATCAATGGCACAGAACAGAGCCCTCAGAAATAATGCCGCATATCTACAACTATCTGATCTTTGACAAACCTGAGAAAAACAAGCAATGGGGAAAGGATTCCCTATTTAATAAATGGTGCTGGGAAAACTGGCTAGCCATATGTAGAAAGCTGAAACTGGATCCCTTCCTTACACCTTATACAAAAATCAATTCAAGATGGATTAAAGACTTAAACGTTAGACCTAAAACCATAAAAACCCTAGAAGAAAACCTAGGCGTTACCATTCAGGACATAGGCATGGGCAAGGACTTCATGTCTAAAACACCAAAAGCAATGGCAACAAAAGCCAAAATTGACAAATGGGATCTAATGAAACTAAAGAGCTTCTGCACAGCAAAAGAAACTACCATCAGAGTGAACGGGCAACCTACAAAATGGGAGAAAATTTTCGCAACCTACTCATCTGACAAAGGGCTGATATCCAGAATCTACAATGAACTCCAACAAATTTACAAGAAAAAAACAACCCCATCAAAAAGTGGGCAAAGGACATGAACAGACACTTCTCAAAAGAAGACATTTATGCAGCCAAAAAACACATGAAAAAATGCTCACCATCACTGGCCATCAGAGAAATGCAAATCAAAACCACAACAAGGTATCATCTCACACCAGTTAGAACGGCAATCATTAAAAAGTCAGGAAACAACAGGTGCTGGAGAGCATGTGGAGAAATAGGAACACTTTTACACTGTTGGTGGGACTGTAAACTAGTTCAACCATTGTGGAAGTCAGTGTGGCCATTCCTCAGGGATCTAGAACTAGAAATACCATTTGACCCAGCCATCCCATTACTGGGTATTTACCCAAAGGACTATAAACCATGCTGCTATAAAGACACATGCACATGTATGTTTATTGCGGCACTATTCACAATAGCAAAGACTTGGAACCAACCCAAATGTCCAACAATGATAGACTGGATTAAGAAAATGTGGCACATATACACCATGGAATACTATGCAGCCATAAAAAATGATGAGTTCATGTCCTTTGTAGGGACATGGATGAAATTGGAAATCATCATTCTCAGTAAACTATCACAAGAACAAAAAACCAAACACCGCATATTCTCACTCATAGGTGGGAATTGAACAATGAGAACACATGGACACAGGAAGGGGAACATCACACTCTGGGGACTGTTGTGGGGTGGGGGGATGGGGGAGGGATAGCTTTGGGAGATATACCTAATGCTAGATGACGAGTTAGTGGGTGCAGCTCACCAGCATGTCACATGTATACATATGTAACTAACCTTCACATTGTGCACATGTACCCTAAAACTTAAAGTATAATAAAAAAAAAAAAAAAGAATCAGGCAGAAGCAGCTAGAGGCCTAGCTGCTGTGGAATAAAGAAATTAAAAGTGCTTTTAACAAGATGTATGGTCTGATCCAGGATTAACCTTAAGGGCATGAATACATCTCATCACTTTCTTCAGTCATTGAAATAAGAAAATGCTCTAGACTCAACAGAGTTGAATAAATCCTTAATGAATTAGAAGAAATTTCTGAGAAAATTAACCCAGGATATGGCACTAAGAGACAATAACTTAAAAATATATGAAGGATACATTAAGAGACATGAAGGGTAGATCAATAATTTCTAATATTTATCTCATTCCAGAAGGGAATAAATGGAATGGCAGAAATGGACTCTGAGATTTTAAAAGTTTTCCCTACAAAGACAGGACGGGTGCGGTGGCTCACACCTGTAATCCCAGCACTTTGGGGGGCTGAGGTGGGTGGATCACAAGGTCAGGAGATCGAGACCATCCTGACTAACACGGTGAAACCCTGTCTCTACTGAAAATACAAAAACAAAATTAGCTGGGCAAGGTGGCAGGCGCCTGTAGTCCCAGCTACTTGGGAGGCTGAGGCAGGAGAATGGCGTGAACCCGGGAGGCGGAGCTTGCAGTGAGCCCATTTCATGCCACTGCACTCCAGCCTGGGCGACAGAGCGAGACTCCATCTCAAAAAAAAAAAAAAAAAATAGAAGTTTTCCCTACAAAGCAATGATAATATTTGAAGAAGGACATGTTAATTAACTTGATTCAATCATTCCATAATGTATACATGTGTGGAAACATCACATTGTACCCCATATATATGTAAAATTATTTGTCAGTTAAACATAAAATAAAACTTTAAAAAACATAATGAGATATCACCTCACATCTATTAGACTATCAAAAAAATGAAAGATAACAAGTGTTGGTAAGAATGTAACGCAAAAGAAACTCTTGTACACCTTTAGAGGGAATGTAAATTAGTATAGTTGTGAAAAACAGTATGGGCTTTCTTCAAAATACTAAAAGTAAAATTGCCATATGATCTAGCAATCTCACTTCTGGGTATATAGCCAAAAGAACTGAAATCAATGTGTTGAAGAGATATCTTCAATCCCATGTTCGTTGTAGCATTATTCACAGTAGCCAAGATATGAAAACAACCAAAGCACCCATCAATGGATGAACACATTTTTTAAATGTGGCACACACACAACACACAGACACACACAATACTATTCAATCTTTAAAAAGAAAGAAATTCGATGTGGCTGGCAACATGGCCAAATAGGAACAGCTCCAGTCTGCAAATCCCAGTGAGACCAATGCAGAAGTCAGGTGATTTCTGCATTTCCAACTGAGGTACACTGCTCACTTCACTGGGACTGGTTCCACAGTGGGTACAGCCCACAGAGGGTGAGCCAAAGCAGGGTGAGGCATTGCCTCACCCAAGAAGTGCAAGGAGTCAGGGAACTCCCTCCTTTAGCCAAGGGAAGCCGTGAAGGACTGTGCCATGAGAAAAGGTGCACTCCATCCCAGATACTACGCTTTTCCCACAGTCTTCACAACCTGCAGACCAGCAGATTCCCTCGGGTGCCTACACCACTAGGGCCCTGGGTTTCAAGCACAAAACTGGGTGGCAATTTGGACAGACACCAAGCTAGCTGTAGGAGATTTTATTCATACCCTAATGGTGCCTGGAATGCCAGTAAGACAGAACTGTTCACTCCCCTGGAAAAGGGGCTGAAGCCAGGGAGCCAAGTGGTCTAGCTCAGCAAATCCCACCCCCACGGAGACCAGCAAGCTAAGTTCCACTCAGCACAGCAGTCTGAAGTTGACCAGGGATGCTCAAGCTTGGTGGGGGGAGGGGCGTCCGCCATTACTGAGGCTTGAGTAGGAGATTTTTCCCTCACAGTGTAAACAAAGCCACCACGAAGTTTGAACTGGGCAGAGCCCACTGCAGCTTGGCAAACCAATGTAGCTAGACGGCCTCTCTAGATTCCTCCTCACTGGGCAGGGCAACTCTGAGAGAAAAGCAGCAGCTCCCGTCAGGGGCTTATAGATAAAACTCCCATCTCCCTGGGACAGAGCACCTGGGGGAAGGGGCAGCTGTGGGTGCAGCTTCAGCAGACTTCCTGCTGGCTCTGAAGAGAACCTTCCTTCCTGCTAGCTCTGAAGAAAACAGCAGATCTCAGAGCAGAGTACTTGGGTTCTGGTAAGGGACAGACTGCCTCCTCAAGTGGGTCCCTGATCCCCATACCTCCCGACTAGGAGACACCTCACAGCAGGGGTCAACAGACATCTGATACGGGAGAGCTCTGGCTGGCATCTTGTGGGTGCCCCTCTGGGAAGAAGCTTCCAGAGGAAGGAACAGGCAGCAGTCTTTGCTGTTCTGCAGACTCTGCTGGTGATACCCAGGCAAACAGGGTCTGGAATGGACCTCCAGCAAAGTCCAGCAGACCTGCAGCAGAGGGGACTGAGTGTTAGAAGGAAAACTAACAAACAGAAAGGAATAGCATCAACATCAACAAAAAGGACGTCCACACAGAAACCCCATCCAAAGGGCACCATCATCAAAAACCAAAGGTAGATAAATCCATGAAGATGAGGAAAAACCAGCCCCAAAAGACTGAAAATTCCAAAAAACAGAACGGCTCTTCTCCTTCAAAGGATCATGACTTCTCTCCAGCAAGGGAACAAACCTGGATGGAGAATGAGTTTGACAAAGGGACAGAAGAAGGCTTCAGAAGTTGGGTAATAACAAACCCTCTGAGCTACAGGAGCATGTTCTAACCCAATGCAAGGAAGCTAAGAACCTTGAAAAAGGGTTAGAGGAATTGCTAACTAGAATAACCAGTTTAGAGAAGAACACAAATGACCTGATAGAGCTGAAAAACACAGCACAGGAACTTCATGAAGCATACACGAGTATCAATAGCCCAATTGATCAAGCAGAAGAAAGGATATCAGAGATTGAAGATCAACTTAATAAAATAAAGTGTGAAGACAAGTTTGGAGAAAAAGAAATGAAAAGGAAAGAACAAAGCCTCCAAGAAATATGGGACTATGTGAAAAGACCAAACCTACGTTTGATTGGAGTACTTGAAAATGACAGGGATAATGGAACCAAGTGGAAAAACACTCTTCAGGATATTATGCAGAAAAACTTCCCCAACCTAGCAAGATAGGCCAACATTCAAATTCAGGAAATACAGAGAACACCACAAAGATACCGCTCGAGAAGAGCAACCTCAAGACATATAATTGTCAGCTTCACCAAGGTTGAGATGAAGGAAAAAATGTTAAGGGCAGCAAAAGAGAAAAGTCAGGTTACCGACAAATGGAAGCTCATCAGACTAACAGTGGATCTCTCTGCAGAAGCCCTACAAGCCAGAAGAGAGTGGGGGCCAATATTCAACATTCTTAAAGAAAAGAATTTTTCTACCCAGAATTTCATATCCAGCCAAACTAAGTTTCATGAGCGAAGCAGAAATAAAATCCTTTACAGATAAGCAAATGCTGAGAGATTTTGTTACTACAAGGCCTGCCTTACAAGACCTCCTGAAGGAAGCACTACAAATGCAAAGGGAAAACTGGTATCAGCCACTGCAAAAGATACCAAATTATAAAGTCCATCGACACTATGAAGAAACTGCATCAACTAATGGACAAAATAAACCAACTAGCATCAGAATGACTGGATCAAATTCACACATAAAAATATTAACCTTAAATGTAAACAGGCTAAATGCCCCAATTAAAAGACACAGACTGGCAAATTGGATAAAGAGTCATGACCCATTGGTGTGCTGCATTCAGGAGACCAATCTCATGTGCAAAGACACACATGTGCTCAAAATAAAGGGACGAAGGAAGATTTACCAAGCAAATGGAAAACAAAAAGAAAGCATGGGTTGCAATTCTAGTCTCTGAAAAAGACAAAGAAGAGCATTATATAATGGTAAAGGGATCAATGCAACAAGAAGAGCTAACTATCCTAAATATATATGCACCCAATACAGGAGCACCCAGATTCATAAAGCAAGTTCTTAGAGACATACATGGAGACTTAGACTCCCATACAATAATAATGGGAGACTTTAACACCCCACTGTCAATATTAGACAGATCAACAAGAGAGAAAATCAACAAGGATATTCAGGACTTGAACTCAGCTCTGGACCAAGTGGACCTAATAGACATCTACAGAACTCTCCACCTCCAATCAACAGAATATACATTCTTCTCAGCACGACATCACACTTTTTCTAAAATTAACCACATGATTAGAAGTAAAACACTCATCACAAAATGCAAAATAACAGAAATCATAACAAACAGTCTCTCAGACCACAAGCAATGAAATTAGAACTCAGGATTAAGAAACTCACTCAAAACTGCACAACTACGTGGAAACTGAACAACCTGCTCCTGAATGACTACTGGGTAAATAACGAAATGAAGGCAGAAATAAACAAGTTCTTTGAAATCAATGAGAACAAAGACACAACATACCAGAATCTCTGGGACACAACTAAAGCAGTGTTTAGAGGGAAATTTATAGCACTAAATGCCCACAGGAGATAGTGGGAAAGATCTAAAAGTGACACCCTAACATCACAATTAAACGAACTAGAGATGCAAGAACAAACAAATTCAAAAGCTAGCAGAAGACAAGAAATAACTAAAATCAGAGCAGAAATGAAGGAGATAAAGACACAAAAAACCCTTCAAAAAATCAATAAATCCAGGAGCTGGTTGGTTGAAAAGATTAACAAAATAGATAGACCCCTAGCCAGACTAATAAAGAAGAAAACAGAAAAGAATCAAATAGAATAATAAAAAAAGATAAAGGTGATATCACCACTGATCTCACAGATATACAAACTACCATAAGAGAATACTATAAATGCCTCTATGCAAATAAACTAGAAAATCTAGAAGAAATGGATAAATTCCCAGACACATACACCCTCCCAAGACTAAACCAGGAAGAAGTTGAATGCCTGAATAGACCAATAATAAGTTCTGAAATTGGGGCAGTAATTGATAGCTTACAAACTAAAAAAAGCCAAGGATCAGATGGATACATAGCGGAATTCTACCAGAGGTACAAAGAGGAGCTGGTACCATTCCTTCTGAAATTATTCCAAGTGATAGAAAAAGAGGGGCTCCTCCCCAATTCATTTTATGAGGCCAGCATCATCCTGATACCAAAACCTGGTGGAGACACAGCAAAAAAAGAAAATTTCAGGCCAATATCCTTGATGAACATTGATGCGAAAATCCTCAATAAAATACTGGTAAACTGAATCCAGCAGCACATCGAAAAGCTTATCCACCAAGATCAAGTCGGCTTCATCCCTAGGATGAAAGGTTGGTTCAACATATGCAAATCAATAAACATAATCCATCACATAAACAGAACCAATGACAAAAACCACGCGATTTTCTCAATAGATGCAGAAAAGGCCTTTGAAAAAATATAACACCACTTTATGCTAAAATCTCTCAAAAAACTAGGCGCTGATGGAACATATCTCAAAATAATAAGAGCTATTTATGACAAATTCATAGCCAATATCATACTGAATCTACAAAAGCTGGAAGCATTCCCTTTGAAAACTGGCACAAGACAAGGGTGCCCTCTCTCACCACTCCTATGCAACATAGTATTGGAAGTTCTGGCCAGGGCAATAAGGCAAGAGAAAGAAATAAAGCGTATTCAAACAGAAAGAGAGGAAGTCAAATTGTCTCTGTTTGCAGATGACATGATTGTATATTTAGAAAATTCCACCATCTCTGTCCAAAATCTCTTTAAGCTGATAAGCAACTTCAGCATTGCCTCAGGTTACAAAATCGATGTGCAAAAATCACAAGCATTCCTATACACAAATGACAGACAAACAGAGAGCCAAATCATCAATGAACTCTCATTCACAATTGCTACAAGGACAATAAAATACCTAGGAATACAACTTACAAGTGATGTGAAGGACCTCTTCAAGGAGAACTACAAACCACTGCTCAAGGAAGTAAGAGAGGACACAAACAAATGGAAAAACATTCCATGCTCATGGAGAGGAAGAATCAATATCATGAAAATGACCATAATACCCAAAGTAATTTATAGATTCAATGCTATCTCCATCAACCTACCATTGACTTTCTTCACAGAATTATAAAAAACTACTTTAAATTTTACAGGGAACCAAAAAAGAGCCCGTATAGCCAAGGCACTCCTAAGCAAAAAGAACAAAGCTGGAGGCATCATGCTACCTGACTTCAAACTACACTACAAGGCTATGGTAACCAAAACAGCATGGTACTGGTATCAAAACAGATATATAGACCAATGGAACAGAATAGAGGCCTCAGAAATAACGCCACACATCTACAACCATCTGATCTTTGACTAACCTGACAAAAGCAATCAATGGGGAAAAAATTCTCTATTTAATAAATAGTGTTAGGAAAACTCGCTAACCATATGCAGAAAACAGAAACTGGATCCCTTCCTTACACTTTATACAAAAATTAACTCAAGATGGATTAAAGACTTAAACATAAGACCGAATACCATCAAAACCCTAGAGAAAAACCTAGGCAATACCATTCAGGACATAGGCATGGGCAAAGGCTTCATGACAAAAACACCAAAAGCAATGGTAACAAAAACCAAAATAGACAAATGGGATCTAACTAAACTAAAGTGCTTCTGCACAGCAAAAGAAACTATCCTCAGAGTGAACACGCAACCTACAGAATGGGAGAAAATTTTTCAATCTATCCATCTGACAAAGGGCTAATATCCAGAATCTACAAAGAACTTAAACAAATTTACAAGAAAAAAACAAACAACCTCATCAAAAAGTAGGCAAAGGATATGAACATACACTTCTCAAAAGAAGACATTTATGTGTTCAATGAACATATGAAAAAAAAGCTTATCATCGCTGGTCATTAGAGAAATGCAAATCAAAACCAAAATGAGATACTGTCTCACTCCAGTTAGAATGGTGATCATTAAAAAGTCAGGAAACAGCAGATGCTGGAAAGGATGTGGACAAATAGGAATACTCTTACACTGTTGGTGGGTGTGTAAATTAGTTCAACCATTGTGGAAAACAGTGTGACAATTCTTCAAGGATCTAGAACCAGAAATACCATTTGACCCAGCAATCCGATTACTGGGTATACACACAAAGGATTATAAATTATTCTACTATAAAGACTCATGCACATATATGCTTACTGCAGCACTGTTCACATTAGCAAAGACTTAGAACCAACCCAAATGTCCATCAATGATAGACTGGATAAAGAAAATGTGGCACATATACACCATGGAATACTATGCAGTATGAGCTCATGTCCTTTGCAGTGACATGGATGAAGCTGGAAACCATCATTCTCAGCAAACTAACACAGAAACAGAAACCCAAACACCACGTGTTCTCACTCATAAGTGGGAATTGGACAATGAGATCACATGGACACAGGGAGGGGAACATCACACACCAGGGCCTGGTAGGGTGCTAGGGGAGGGATAGAATTAGGAGAAATACCTCATGTAGATGACAGGTTGATGGGTGCAGCAAACCACCACGGCATGTGTATATATATATATATAACAAACCTGCACATTCTGCACATGTATCCCAGAACTTAAAATATAATAATATTTAAAAAAATATGCTAGGTACCAACAAAAGATTTGCCTCTCCAAAAAAAAGTAATACTTGTCTATAAATTACCTATGACATTGTGGCTCCAGCCCTGTAAATGCAGGAATTAAAACAGTGGGAGTAATTTTTAAATTAATTTAAATGTACATATTAAGTCTTTCACATTCCATGTTTTAGTGTACAGAAACATCTTGTGGAAGATTCCTGGAAAAGAAGAATGAAAATTATGAGAGTCAAGGGCCATTAGAAACAAGAGCCTGGCTGGGCATGGTAACTTACACCTGTAATCCCAGCACTTTGCCAGGCTGAGGCAGGAGGATTGCATGAGCCCAGAAGCTTGAGACCAGCTGGGGCAACATAACAAGACCCTGTCTCTAGAAAAACTAAAATTAGCTAGGCATTGTGGTGCTCACCTGTGGTCCCACCTACTTGGGAGGCTGAGGTGGCAGGATCACTTGAGTATGGGAGGTTGAAGCTGCAGTGAGCCGTGATCGTGCCACTGTACTCCAGCCTGGGTGACAGAGAGAGACCCTGCCACAAAAACATAAAATTAAAAACAAAAAAGAAACAAGAACCTCCCACCTGACTTTCTTAGGAGCACAATCCTTTTCCAACTGCTTACTGCTATTTGTACTCTCTGCCCTGTCTGAAGTTGGCAGCATTCCCATCTTTCAACATAGGCTCTCAGATTGTGAACCTTATCTATTATCTTTTCAGTTCTCAGATTACATAGGTTCTAAAGTCACTAGTAATTGATGCTGTTAATTCTAAGGAGCTGTCTGTTTTTGATAACTCCTGCTCACAGTGAAAAAATCCTCCTGGACTTTTCGGACCAGTTGAAAGCACGTCTCTGTATCCTCTGTCTCTTCTCTAATCTGTGTCTGGAGCATGTCCATACCAACCACATAGAGACATAGAATTTGAATAGACAGCTTTATTTCTTCATTTATATGCTGTCTTTCTGTTCTGTCCTGGCCCCTCACCAGTGTCTTTCTTCACTTTATTTTCCAGTGCCACAGTTGCATGGCTGTGCACTATATCACTCCTGGGGATTACCATCCATTTGGACTGCAGAATCAGAGGAGACTCTAGAGTTGTACGCCGTGCTGGCATCTCACAGGTCTGCCCTGATCAAGAAGCTTGATGCTAGTGCATAATTAAGAAGTGGAAAAAAAAGTGAGGGCCACCATTATGCTACATAGAATTCTGTAGAGTTGGTTTTTTCAAGGAATACCTGTTATTTTAAGTGGGCATGTAAGGCTGTCACTTTGACAAAGCTTTATTAGATGTACATGAATAAAATTATAGGAGTAGTAAATGAAATATTTTACTTAGAAACCCTCACTCAATTACTCTTTGAAATACTCTTTCATGTATTAAAAACAAAACCCAGACTAGTGTTTTCACATTTTCAAGATGAAGAACACTGTGGATGAAGCAACAGTAATCATCAGAGCATTAGCCCATGAATCAGAATAATGAGTTTCAATTTCTTTGAACATTGTGCTGTGTTTCAATGAAAATAGTTTTAGATCTATTACTTTATCCTAGATCCCAAGATAACCAGGATCAATAATTATTCATTCATAAATGTATTTATTTAAAAAATTATTAAACACTAATGATAAGAGAAAAAAAAAGCAAGAAATTCTGTCACTTGCAACAACATGAACCCAAATGACATTATGCTAAGTGAAATAAGCCAGGCACAGAGAGACAAATACTGTATGCTCTCACTTATATGTGGAATATAAGAAAGCTGAATTCATAGATGTAGAGAGTAGAATGGTGATTACCAGAGGAGGAGAGGAGGGTGGATGGTAAAAGAGAAGATGTTGATCAAAGGGTAGAGAGTTTCAATTAGATGGGAGGTATAAATTCTGGTGACCTATTGCACAGCATGGTAACAGTAGTTAATAATAATGTATATTTAAAAATAGCTAAAAGGGGAAATTTTAAATGTTCTCACCAAAACAAAATGATAAGTATGTCAGATGATGGATATGTCAATTAGCCTGATTTGGTCATTCCATAATGTATACCTATATTGAAACATGACATTGTACCCCATAAATATATGCAATTATATATATATATGTATATATATAAAATTACAAATGAAATAAAACTTTAAATAGGAAAGAACTTTTTGAAGATGTAATAGCTGAAAATTTTGTGGAACTAAAAGCAGCTTCTTAGACTGAAAGTGCATTCCAAGCACCAAATAGGCTAAATAAAAATACATCTATGCCTAGGAAAACCTTATAAAACTGCAGAGCAACAAGTTAACGAGACAATCTTTAAAAATATTACACAGAAAAGACAGATAATAAACAAAAGACTGAGCTGATTTCTCAACTAAAAAAAAAGAGTCCATAGACAATAAAATGATAACTTCAAAGTACTAGGGGTGAGAAAAGACTGTGAATTTGGAATTTCGTACTCAATTAAATGATCATTTATGAACAAGGCCAATATACAGGCATTTTCAAACATGGATTGAGTAAGAAAGTTTATTACAAGTTCTTACTAAAAGCATTTTTAAGAGATACATCTAAAAAAGAAGAAAAGTAAACACAGAAGAAAGGTGTATTTCTGAAAACTGTAATAAGTAGAGAAATTGACCAAATATGCCAGTAAATTTAATTTTCCATTGTAAAAATTATTAAGTATTTTAAGAGTAGAATCACAATTTTAAACTAAGGGTTGGCAAACTTTTTCAGTAAATATCCAGATAGCAATTATCTTAGCTCAGAGATGCCATACAGTTTCTGCTGCAACTACATACTGTCATTGTAGGGCAAAAGCAGCCATAAGCAATGTGTAAATGAGCATGGCAGTGTTCCGATAAACTGCTATTTTAAAAAGAAGTGGCTGAACAGTGGACTGTTTAGCTCCAGGACCTCTTCTCTGAACAATGCTACAAATATAAGTTGCCATTAAAGCATGTTAAATTTCTCTTTATAGTTGAGAAAAGGATACAAAGATTGGGTAATTCTGTTTCCTTAGAATATCTCTGGAAGGAAAAATGCCTTGAACTTTTTTCAGCTATTACCATAGTGAAGCACAGTTGAGGGCAAGGCCCTTCGGAAAGAGAATACAAGGTAGAAATCTGTCAGAGACACTCATGGGAAAAAGGCAGGGGCAGACAAGACATTTTACATATATGGTATTTTTTTCTAGGCAGGCTCTGGGGTATTACTGCAGTGGTAAGTAATCATAAGCTGTTTTTCACTAAATAATTGCACTTATCTTTCAGGTTCAGCTTAAATTTTCCTTACTTTCATGTCTGAGTGAAGTGTACCCCCTATATGCCTCCTATAGCACCTTTAAACATATACCTAATGTAAAACTTAACATATTTGATCATATTTGCTAGTCTGGGGTTTTTCTCATAGAAAATGAGTTCTGTGAAAAGAGATGTCATGATTGTCTCATTCATTATTGTATTATTCATGCCAGGACAGTGCCTGTCACGTGGCAGATACTGCACCGATGTTTGTTAAATGAATAAATAGCTACTTCTATTGAATTAATGACACATGAACATGTGCCAAGATATATAACCTCTGTTTTGGGGGTTACATTATCATCTTGATCTTTCACATTTATTTAACCAACAAATAATGAATTAGCACTCACTATAGGTAAGGCACCATTCTAGATTCTGATTATATAAGCAGTGAGCAAAATAGTCCCTGTCTCATGTAGTTTACATTCTAATGGGGATGAGAGATAATAAACATATAAAAATGTTTACAAGTGGAAAACATTACCACTTGTAATGATTACCAGTAAAATCATTGTTCTTTGATGGGTCAGGACTTTAGCACTTCAGAGTTAACATCAACCACCAGTAAGTAAGAAAGATGGTGAAGATGGACAAAGAAATTTGGCTGAATCTGTATTGAACTCATTCTGTCCTGGCAGGTTACAATGTTTAGTAAATACATAACATCAGATCATTTAGTTGTCTCTTACTAGAAAATGTTCTAAAATATCCAGCTAATTAATACTGCTTCTTAAATAGTATAGCTGGGGAAAAGCACTCTAATGAATATTAGAATTGGTTTCTAGACTTAGGCTTGCCATTCAATTACCATGTGACCTTAGGCAAGTGAGTTATTTCTTCTCTCTGGGCCTCAGTTTTTCCCATGAGAGAACTGGGTTCAATCAAAGAATTTAGTCATTTAGTTGTTTTCTTACCACTGTCATTATTTTTACCGTATTTGAATACCATATCTGTTATCATTTACCTAATAATTATTAGGTAATAATAAGTATTATTAGGTAATAATAAGTATTATAATATTATTAGGTAATAATAAGTATTATAATATTATTAGGTAATAATAAGTATTATATTAGGCAATAATAAGTATTATATTAGGTAATAATAAGTATTATAATATTAGGTAATAATAAATATAATAATATTATTAGGTAATAAGTATTATTACCTAATAATTTTCTTTAAATTAAAACACGTTTTGTGTTTAGTAGTAAATAATATTGGTGAAATCATGATTGTAATATGCTAGTTATAGTGTTTCCTGGTGAATCATTAAATTCATAGCTTTTAAAATGTTTTTTAATGCCACCTTTCAACGTACCATAAGTGGCATTTCTATGTCATTTGGAAATGCTGGATTAAATGACTTTCAAGTCCTCTGCATTCTAAATATTAATATTTTATGAGGTTTTTTGTATGACTGCTTTATCTCAAAAAATATATAAAATAATGCTTAGTATTTGAAAACAATTAAAACCTGTACTTTGTTTGAATATCTTTCTTCTCTTTCTCATTTACCCGACTGTAATACTTTCCAGGGTACTGTCAGGCCTCTGAGCCCAGGCCAGGCCATCGCATCCCCTGTGACTTGCACGTATACATCCAGATGGCCTAAAGTAACTGAAGATCCACAAAAGAAGTAAAAACAGCCTTAAATGATGACATTCCACCATTGTGATTTGTTCCTGACCCACTCTAACTGATCAAAGTACTTTGTAATCTCCCCCACCCTTAAGAAGGTTCTTTGTAATTCTCCCCACCCTTGAGAATGTACTTTGTGAGATCCACCCCTGCCCGCTAATTTGGTGCGGTGACTTGGATCGGGGGACATCCCTTGGGAGATCAATCCCCTGTCCTCCTGCTCTTTGCTCCGTGAGAAAGATCCACCTACAACCTCAGGTCCTCAGTCCGACCAGCCCAAGAAACATCTCACCAATTTCAAATCCAGTAAGCGGCCTCTTTTTACTCTCTTCTCCAACTTCCCTCACTATCCCTCAACCTCTTTCTCCTTTCAATCTTGGCACTACACTTCAATCTTTCCCTTCTCTTAATTTCAATTCCTTTTATTTTCTGGTAGAGACAAAAGAGACACGTTTTATCCGTGGACCCAAAACTCCGGCACCAGTCACGGACTGGGAAGGCAGCCTTCCCTTGGTGTTTAATCATTGCAGGGACGCCTCTCTGATTATACACCCACGTTTCAAGGGTGTCAGACCACGCAGGGATGCCTGCCTTGGTCCTTCACCCTTTGCAGCAAGTCCCGCTTTTCTGGGGAAGGGGAAAGTACCCAACCCTTTCTCTCCTTGTCTCTACCCCTTCTCTGCTTTTCTGGGGAAGGGACAAGTACCCCAACCCCTTCTCTCCTTGTCTCTACCCCTTCTCTGCTTTCCTGGGGCAGGGGCAAGTACCCCAACCCCTTCTCTCCTTGTCTCTACCCCTTCTCTGCTTTCCTGGGGCAGGGGCAAGTACCCCTCAACCCCTTCTCCTTCACCCTTAGCGGCAAGTCCCACTTTCCTGGGGCAGGGCCAAGTATCCCTCAACCCCCTCTCCTTCACCCTTAGCAGCAAGTCCCGCTTTTCTAGGGGGCAAGAAACCCCAAACCCCTTCTCCGTGTCTCTACTCTTTTCTCTGGGCTTGCCTCCTTCACTATGGGTAAGCTTCCACCTTCCATTCCTCCTTCTTCTCCCTTAGCCTGTGTTCTCAAAAACTTAAAACCTCTTCAACTCACACCTGACCTAAAACCTAAATGCCATATTTTCTTCTACAATGCCTCTTGACCCCAATACAAACTCGACAGTAGTTCCAAATAGCTGGAAAATGGCACTTTCAATTTTTCCATCCTACAAGATCTAAATAATTCTTGTCGTAAAATGGGCAAATGGTCTGAGGTGCCTGACGTCCAGGCATTCTTTTACACATCAGACCCTTCCTAGTCTCTGTGCCCAGTGCAACTCCTCCCAAATCTTCCTTCTTTCCCTCCCGCCTGTCCCCTCAGTCCCAACCCCAAGCGTCGCTGAGTCTTTCTAATCTTCCTTTTCTACAGATCCATCTGACCTCTCCCCTCCTTGCCAGCCCAAGCTAGGTCCTAATTCTTCCTCAGCCTCCACTCCTCCACCCTGTAATCTTTTTATCGCCTCCCCTCCTCACACCTGGTCTGGCTTACAGTTTTGTTCTGTGACTAGCCGTCCCCCACCTGCCCAGCAATTTATTCTTAAAAAGGTAGCTGGAGCTAAAGGCATAGTCAAGGTTAATGCTCCTTTTTCTTTATCCCAAATCAGATGGCGTTTAGGCTTTTTCATCAAATATAAAAACCCAGCCCAGTTCATGGCTCGTTCAGCAGCAACCCTGAGACGCTTTACAGCCCTAGACCCTAAAAGGTCAAAAGGCCATCTTATTCTCAATATACATTGTATTACCCAATCTGCTCCTGACATTAAATAAAACTCCAAAAATTAAATTCTGGCCCTCAAACCCCACAACAGGATTTAATTAACCTCACCTTCAAGGTGTACAATAATAGAAAAAAGTTGCAATTCCTTGCCTCCACTGTGAGACAAACCCCAGCCACATCTCCAGCACACAAGAACTTCCAAACGCCTGAACTGCAGTAGCCAGGCATTCCTCCAGAACCTCCTTCCCCAGGAGCTTGCTACAAGTGCCAGAAATCTGACCACCAGGCCAAGGAATGCCTACAGCCCAGGATTCCTCCTAAGCCATGTCCCATCTGTGCGGGACCCCACTGGAAATTGGACTGTTCAACTCACCTGGCAGCCACTCCCAGAGCCCCTGGAACTCTGGCCCAAGGCTCTCTGACTGACTCCTTCTTGGCTTAGTGGCTGAAGACTGATGCAGCCCGATCGCCTCGGAAGCCCCCTAGGCCATCACGGACGCCCAGCTTCGGGTAACTCTCACAGTGGAAGGTAAACCCGTCCCCTTCTTAATCAATATGGAGGCTACCCACTCCACATTACTTTCTTTTCAAGGGCCTGTTTCCCTTGCCTCCATAACTGTTGTGGGTATTGACAGCCAGGCTTCTAAACCTCTTAAAACTCCCCAACTCTGGTGCTAACTTAGATAATACTCTTTTAAGCACTCCTTTTTAGTTATCCCCACCTGCCCAGTTCCCTTATTAGGCTGAGACACTTTAACTAAATTATCTGCTTCCCTGACTATTCCTGGACTACAGCTGCATCTCATTGCCGCCCTTCTTCCCAATCCAAAGCCTCCTTTGCGTCCTCCTCTTGTATTCCCTCACCTTAACCCACAAGTATAAGATACCTCTACTCCCTCCTTGGCGACCGATCATGCACCCCTTACCATCTCATTAAAACCTAATCACCCTTACCCCACTCAATGTCAAGATCCCATCCCACAGCACGCTTTAAAAGGATTAAAGCCTGTTATCACTCGCCTGCTACAGCATGGCCTTTTAAAGCCTATAAACTCTCCTTACAATTCCCCCATTTTACCTGTCGTAAAACCAGACAAGCCTTACAAGTTAGTTCAGAATCTGCGCCTTATCAACCAAATTGTTTTGCCTATCCACCCCGTGGTGCCAAACCCATATACTCTCCTATCCTCAATACCTCCCTCTACTACCCATTATTCTGTTCTAGATCTCAAACATGCTTTCTTTACTATTCCTTTGCACCCTTCATCCCAGCCTCTCTTTGCTTTAACTTAGACTGACCCTGACACCCATTAGGCTCAGCAAATTACCTGGGCTGTACTGCTGCAAGGCTTCACAGACAGCCCCCATTACTTCAGTCAAGCCCAAATTTAATCCTCATCTGTTACCTATCTCGGCGTAATTCTCATAAAAACACACGTGCTTTCCCTGCTGATCATGTCTGATTAATCTCCCAAACCTCAATCCCTTACAAAACAACAACTCCTTTCCTTCCTAGGCATGGTTAGTGCAGTCAGAATTCTTACACAAGAGCCAGGACCGCACCCTGTAGCCTTTCTGTCCAAACAACTTGACCTTTAGCCTAGCCCTCATGTCTGCGTGCAGCGGCTGCCACTGCTTTAATACTTTTAGAGGCCCTAAAAATCACAAACTATGCTCAACTCACTCTCTACATTTCTCATAACTTCCAAAATCTATTTTCTTCCTCACACCTGATGCATATACTTTCTGCTCCCCGGCTCCTTCAGCTGTACTCACTCTTTAAGTCCCACAATTACCATTGTTCCTGGCCCAGACTTCAATCTGGCCTCCCACATTATTCCTGATACCACACCTGACCCCCATGACTGTATCTCTCTGATCCACCTGATATTCACCCCATTTCCCCATATTTCCTTCTTTCCTGTTCCTCACCCTGATCATGCTTGATTTATTGATGGCAGTTCCACCAGGCCTAATCGCCACATACCAGCAAAGGCAGGCTATGCTATATAGTACAAGCCACTAGTCCGCCTCTTAGAACCTCTCATTTCCTTTCCATCGTGGAAATCTGTCCTCAAGGAAATAACTTTTCAGTGTTCCATCTGCTATTCTACTACTCCTCAGGGATTATTCAGGCCCCCTCCCTTCCCTATACATCAAGCTCGAGGATTTGCCCCCACCCAGGACTGGCAAATTAGCTTTATTCAACATGCCCAAGTCAGGAAACTAAAATACCTCTTAGTCCAAATAGACACTTTCACTGAATAAGTAAAGGCCTTTCCTACAGGGTCTGAGAAGGCCACCACAGTCATTTCTTTCCTTCTGTCAGACATAATTCCTCAGTTTAGCCTTCCCACCTCTATATAGTCTGATAACAGACCAGCCTTTATTAGTCAAATCAGCCAAGCAGTTTTTCAGGTTCTTAGTAGGTTTCAGTGAAACCTCTATATCCCTTACGGTCCTCCGTCTTCAAGAAAAGTAGAACAGACTAAAGGTCTTTTAAAAACACACCTCACCAAGCTCAGCCACCAACTTAAAAAGGACTGGAGAATACTTTTACCACTTTTGCTTCTCAGAATTCAGGCCTGTCCTCAGAATGCTACAAGGTACAGCCCATTTAAGCTCCTGTATAGATGCTCCTTTTTATTAGGCCCCAGTCTCATTTGACACCAGACCAACTTAGACTGTGCCCCAAAAAAACTTGTCATCCCTACTATCTTTTGTCTAGTCATACTCCTATTCACCATTCTCAACTACTCATACATGCCCTGCTCTTGTTTACACTGCCGGTTTACACTGTTTTTCCAAGCCATCACAGCTGATATCTCCTGGTGCTATCCCCAAACTGCCACTCTAAACTCTTGAAGTAAATAAATAATCTTTGCTGGCAGGACTATGCTGAATCTCCTTAGGCACTCTCTAATCAGATGTCCTATGTCCTCCCAATTCTTAGACCTTTTATACCTGTTTTTCTCCTTCTCTTATTCCATTTAGTTTCTCAATTCATCCAAAACCGTATCCAGGCCATCATCAATCATTCTATACGACAAATGTTTCTTCTAACATCCCCACAATATCACCCCTTACCACAAGACCTCCCTTCAGCTTAATCTCTCCCACTCTAGGTTCCCACGCCGCCCCTAATCCCGCTTGAAGCAGCCCTGAGAGACATCGCCCATTCTCTCTCCATACCACCCCCCAAAAATTTTTGCCGCCCCAACACTTCAACACTATTTTGTTTTGTCTTATTAATATAAGAAGGCAGGAATGTCAGGCCTCTGAGCCCAGGCCAGGCCATCGCATCCCCTGTGACTTGCACGTATACATCCAGATGGCCTAAAGTAACTGAAGATCCACAAAAGAAGTAAAAACAGCCTTAACTGATGACATTCCACCATTGTGATTTGTTCCTGCCCCACCCTAACTGATCAATGTACTTTGTAATCTCCCTCACCCTTAAGAAGGTTGTTTGTAATTCTCCCCACCCTTGAAAATGTACTTTGTGAGATCCACCCCTGCCCACCAGAGAACAACCCCCTTTGACTGTAATTTTCCATTACCTTCCCAAATCCTATAAAACGGCCCCACCCCTATCTCCCTTCGCTGACTCTCTTTTCAGACTCAGCCCACCTGCACCCAGGTGAAATAAACAGCCATGTTGCTCACACAAAGTCTGTTTGGTGGTCTCTTCACATGGACACGCATGAAAGGTACATTTCTGGGCCTTTCTCAGACACATTTGTGAAACTTAGAGTTTACATAGTATATCCTTTTCTATCCTTTTGTCTTCAGATTATCTATATCTTTAAATTTAAAATACATTTCTTGTAGATAGCATTTATTTAGGTCTTTTTATTTTTTTATCCAGTCCAGTAAATCTCTGCCCTTTATGTGGTGTTTAGTTCATTTATATTTAAATTGACTATTGATATGTTTGGCTTTAAGTTTACCATTATTTTTATTATGTTTTGTGTCAATTGCTCCAGAGCTTACAATGTGAAGCTTTATCTTATTAAATACATATTAAGCAAAACCTATGTAGATAGAATGCCATTTGATAATTTGCCAAGCATAGTGAAATTTCTGCATCAAATCTATATCTCCCAAAATAAAAAATCAAAACTCCAGGACTACCATTTTCCCTTTGGCCCTTCTATATCCATGCCATATTGTTTATAGAAAAATGGCATTTAATTCAACTTAAATTTGCAAGCAAAGATAACTAATGGGGTTGTCTTTAGAAAGGCTACATAAAGAAAGATGTTTCCATCAGGATAGGTTAAGCTGTGCTTTAGTAACACACTCCCAAATCTCAGTGGCTTCAAAAAAACTAAAGATTAATTCTTGCCCATGCTGTGTATTCATCAAGGGTAAGCAGGGGTATCTGCTTCACGTTGTCTTTTCTTAGGACCCAGGATGATGAAATAGCCACTTGCTGGAACATTGTTTATTATCATGGCAGAGGGAAGGAGAGCTCTAATTAATATATTGGTTAAGTACTCAGCCAGAAGTAACACATGTCACTACTGCTTGCAAGCTATTGGCCAGAACTGGTCACACAAACTTGCACAACAATAAGGGTCCAGATAGTACAACCCTATCATGAGTCAGAAGGAGGACAGAATTGGAATATTTAGCAAATAACATTAATGACTACCACATGCATTTTCATTTTGTTTGTTTGTTTTTTGTTTTTTTGTTTCTTTGCAGGTTCCAGAGTCTTTGCTCCCAAAAGGTTGATGCTGCTCGGTCCTTCTTCTGGCACTGGTTTTAAGAGTAACAGTAAATATTCCTAACAAAAAGAAAAAGTATAAACCAATGATAAGTAGATGCTTTGGGGGAGTGCTATGAGTTATTGGGAAGAACAGGTGAAATTAACTTGAAATCTGTGCAGAAGCAGCAATGCTCCCTTTTTGACATCAGGTATGTCTTGAGGGACCAGACAGAGCCTTTAAATAATGGAGTTCTGCCAATAGGTTGGTGTTTTTAAAGCTGTCTGTTGGCATTTCCATTTACTGTTTCTTTATTCACTATTTCCAAATATCAGATGGTTGTTAAATATTTTGTCAAAAAATGCTATCTTCATTAAACCAATTACTTTAATAGTATAATAATAAAATAATACCACTTTTGACAGCTTACCATGTGGCAGGCACTGTCCTAAGTGTTTTACACTATTTGAGGCATTTAATCCCTACAGCAATCCTATGAAATAAACGGTATTACTATCCTCATCTTACAGTGAGAAAATGAGAACCAAAGTTTGATTTGCCATATATCACACATTAACAAGGGGACAGAATAAGGAGCCTAACTCATACAAGTTAGTCCTCAAGACTGTGTTTCTAACAACCACAGTTTATTTCCTTTCTGAAGGGAAGAGAAGAAACATACATTTGATAAAAAGACTCCTGGACTATAAATGAAAAGACCTGGATTTTAATCCCAGTTTCTGGCACTGACTAGCCATAGGAACTTAGGCAAAACCCTTCCCTTACTCAGGCCTAAATTTCCTAATCTAGAAAAATAAGCAGAGTAGACTAGATGTTTTTTTAAATCCCTTTTAGTTTTAAGATTCTCACAATAGCAAAGACTTGGAACCAACCCAAATGTCCAACAATGATAGACTGGATTAAGAAAATGTGGCACATATACACCATGGAATACTATGCAGCCATTGAAAAATGATGAGTTCATGTCCTTTGTAGGGACATGGGTGAAGCTGGAAACCATCATTCTCAGCAAACTATCGCAAGGACAAAAAACCAAACACCGCATGTTCTCACTCATAGGTGGGAATTGAACAATGAGAACACATGGACACAGGAAGGGGAACATCACACACCGGGGCCTGTTGTGGGGTGGGGGAAGGGAGGAGGGATAGCATTAGGAGATATGATGAGTTAATGGGTGCAGCACACCAACATGGCACATGTATACATATGTAACAAACCTGCACGTTGTGCACATGTACCCTAGAACTTAAAGTATTATATATATATATATATATATATAAAGATTCTATAAGTCTGTTAAGTATAAATTTCTGTCTAAAAGCAGAGGCTTATGAGTACATCTTTTACACAGAATTTCTTGTTCAAATAGAATTCTTTGTTTCTAACTCAGAAAAGCACTATTGCTCTGGGCTATCTGCCTGGATGTAGAAATAACCTATCAATATAAAACTGTATGTCAGTGTGAGGGTCATTGAGATAGGATCCAATCCCTTTGCTCTCTGCTAAAGACAGGATGTAATGATTGCACACAAGTAATAAGCATGACGTTTAATATATTTTAAATTTTTTTTCTTACTGCTCCTCTCTAGAAATAAGGCTAACCTACCTTGTGGCTTGACTTGGCTTCATGAGGATTGAATTTTTATCCATGTCTAAAGATCTGTCAGTCTGGAAATGTTTAAATATTTAGGTATTTTGTTTCTGACATGCAGAAAATTTTAACAACTTCTGTACCTCAACAGTCCACTGTTTCTGGTAGTAAGCCATAATGAACAAAGAATACAGTGTTAACACAGTCTTCTCCCATTTAGTGAGGCAGTGTGATTTGTAATGAATAGTGGATATTAATGTTTACAGATTTAGATTCGTTTGTACCACAAATAATCAATTTGGAAAGAAAAACACTTCTGTTTTCCAATTTAAGAAAAACAAACTAAAGATAAGTAACCAGCTATGTTCCCTCAATTATGTATTTAAGAACACAAGGATAGCTCTGTGCTGCTGTCTGATGAGAAGTAAATGGCAGGAGAGCAGTTTTCAAAAAATAGAGCTTTAAATTTTAGGTTTACCATCTTTCATTGTCACTTTGTATTGTCTGTGAAATCTTTAGCATCATCTCACTGAACACTGGGTACATTTTGCCCAATGATACTGATAACCATAGAAAGTAGTGAGTTGGTTATTTTTAGTTGATAATTAGTTTAGTTGAGCAAAGTGAGGATTCTCTGAGGTTTTTCCATACACAATTAAAGGTCCTGAGGCTGGAGTCAGCTAAGGCAGCAGGAAAGTTACGCCAGGATCAAGTGGAAAACTGAAAGGCACAAATCTCACAGTATGACTTTTTGATAATTATAGTGTCCTATGTGGTAAGAAAGATGATAGGTCAACACTGAGGTTATCAAAAACCCCAGACTATAAATATGTATGTTCACCATTGCCCAGATTTGTTCTCATGATATTTACCATTGTAGATCCACTGATTCAGAAGAGTGGTAGACTTTATCTCAGACATAAGTGCTCATTGGGAGACCGAGTGTGATGGCAGAATGTTACGCCCAACTGATCATCCCGCTGACAAGGACACCAAATTAACAACTATCTATACAGAAAAAAAAAAAAAAAACCCTTCATAAGAACCCAAGTGAGGTGAGCACTTATCTGGTTTTAACTTTATATCAATGGAAGAGGCACTGAAGAGATAGAAAAAACAGTCCTGAGTTGATGTCACCCTTCCCCAACCCCAGCAAAGCATCATGGTGCAGAGAGCATTTCTGGGCACTGGCAAAGGGAGAACAAAGCAATTATGAAATTATGAGGCATTGAACTCGGTGCTGTCCTGTTAGAGCAGAAAGGAAAACCAGACCAAATGCAGCTGATGCCAGCCCACAGAGGGAGCATTTAAAATAGCCCTAGTCAGAGGGGAATAACTAATGCCAGCAATAGGAACTTGGAGTGTCTGCAAACCTTGCTAGCGAAAGCTACAGTGTTCTGTGTCTCCAGGTAAACTTGAAAGGCAGTCTAGGCTGTAAGGACTGAAAATCTTAGGTGAATCCTAGTGCCTTAAGGGAACATCAGTGGTACTCTAACACTACTCCTCATGACCTTGGGTGGTGGTGGCTTTAGGGTGAGGCTCCTGTACCTTTGGAAACAGGAGGGAAGAGTGGGAAGGACTGCATCTTATGGTTTGAGTGCCATCTTAGCCACAATACAATAGAACACCAGGTAGGCCTCTAAGTTTTTTCACTCTACACTCAGACTCCTGGTTGGCAACTCTAGACCCATCCGGGGCCTGGGGAAACTTGCTATCCTGAAGGAAAGGACACAAGCCTGGCTGGCTTTGCCACCTGCTCTTTGTAGAGCCCAGGGCCTTGAGCAAACATAGGCATAAGCCAGGGACTAGTTCTAGCAAATCTTGGGTGAGACCCACCATTCTGCTGACTTCAGGTCTCATCCAGTACATTCAGAATAGTGGTGGCCACAGGGGTGCTTGTGTCACTCCACCCACAACTTTATATGGCTCAGAATAGAGAGAGACATGCTGAATGTTTGGGTGAAAGTAAGGGAAGAGAACAAGAGTCTCTGTCGGGTAATCCAGAGAATTCAAGATTTTCTCTACTAACATCAAGGAGGTACCTCTACAAGTCAACAAGAACTATAGTATTACTAGGCTTGGCAGGCCCCCTGAAGCAGAAAAAGCTTAGATCACAGCACCCAAGCCTTTACAAATATCTGCAAAGCTTTCGCAACAAGGACAGCTACAGATAAGCTCAGACAGTGAAGCCTGCAATAAATACCCAACTATTCAATGCTAAGACACCAAATTAGAAAGAAAAAGGCATTAATAAGCAATAAGTAATCACCTGAAGGTACAAAACTTATTGGTAATAGTAAGTACACAGAAAAACACAGACTATTGTAACGCTATAACTGTGGTATGTAAACTATTCTTATCCTAAGTAGAAAGAATAAACTATGAAGCAATCAAAAATAATAATTACAACAACTTTTCAAGACATAGTCAATACAAAAAGATATAAATAGAAACAAAAAGTTAAAAAGCAGGGGGACAAAGTTAAGGCATAGAGTTATTATTAGTTTGATTTTTGCTTGCTTGTTTAAGCAAATAGTGTTATGCTGTATTCAGATTAAAAATGGGTGATAAAATAGTATTTGCAAGCCTAATGGTAACCTCAAATCAAAAAACATACAATGGATACACAAACCATGAAAAGCAAGTGTATTTGTCCATTTACACACTGCTATAAAGAACTACTTGAGACTAAGTAATTTATAAAGGAAAGAGGTTTAATTGACTCACAGTTCCACATGGCTGGGGAGACCTCAGGAAGCTCGTAATCATGGAAGAAGGGGAAGCAAGGCACCTTCTTCACAAGGTGACAGGAGGGAGAATGAATGCAGGAGGAACTACTAAACACTTATAAAGTCATCATATGTTGTGAGAACTCACTCACTATTAGGAGAACAGCATGGGGGAAACCACCACCATGAATCAATTACCTCCACCTGGTCTCTCTCTTGACACATGGGTATTATGGGGATTATAATTTAACAGGAGATTTTGGGTAGGGATACAGCCAAAACATATCAGCAATAAACTAAATCATATCACAAGAGAAAATCACCTTTGCTAAAGGAAGACAGGAAGGAAAGGAAGAAGGATGAGAAGACAACAAAACAACCAGAAACACATAACTAATTGACAAGAGTAAGTCCTTACTTATCAATAATTACATTCAATGTAAATGGACTAAACTCTAATAAAAAGACATAGACTGGCTAAATGGATGAAAAAACAAAACCCCTTGATCTGTTGCCTACAAAAAACACACTTCACCTATAAAGATACACATAGACTAAAAGTAAAGAGTTAGAAAAAGATATTCCATGCCAGTGGAAACCAAGAAAAAGCAGGAGTCACTATACTTATATCAGATGAAATCGATTTCAATACAAAAACTATGAGAAGAGACAAGATCACTATATAATCATAAAAGGGCTAATTCAGCAAGAGTAGATAATAATTTTAAATATATACGCACCCAATACTGGAGCACCCAGATATATAAAGAAATGTTATTAGAGATAAAGAGAGAGGTAGGCCCTAATACAATAATAGCTGGAGACTTAACAAACCACTTTCAGCATAGGACAGATCTTCCAGACAGAAAATCAACAAAGAAACATCAGAATTTATCTGCAATATAGACCAAATGAATTTAATAGTTATTTACACAATATTTCATCCAACAGCTACAGAATACACACTTTTCCTCAGCATATGATCATTCTCAAGGATAGACCACATTAGGTCACAAAACAAGTCTTAAAACATTCCAAAAAATTGAAATACTATCAAGTATCTCCTCTGACCACAATGAAATAAAACTAGAAATTAATAATAAGAAGAATTTTGGAAGCTATACAAATACATGGAAACTAAACAATATGCACCTGAGTGACCAGTGGGTCAATGAATAAATCAAGAAGGAAATTGAAAAATTCCTCAAAACAAATGATAATAGAAACACAACATACCAAAACCTATAGGACACAGCAAAGGCAGTACTAAGTGGGCAGTTTATAGCTATAAGTGCTTACATGAAAAAGAGGAAAGACTTCAACTGAACAATCTAATGATGCATCTTGGAAAAGCAAAATCAAACAAAACCCAAATAAGTAGAAGAAAAGAAATAATAAAGATTAGAGCAGAAATTAATGAAAGAAGGTTCAAAAGATCAATAAAATAAAAAGTCATTTTTGAAAGATTAGATAAAATTGACAAACAGCCAGACTAAGAAAAAAAATATCCAAATAAACTTAGAAATGAAAAAGGAGACATTACAACTGACACTGTAGAAATTCAAGAGATCATTAGTGGCTACTATGAGCAACTATATGCCTATAAATTGGAAAGGCTAGAAGAAATTGACAAATTCCTAGATACATAAAACCTGCTAAGATTGAACTAGGAAGAATTCCAAAACCTGAACAGAAGAATAACAAATAATGAGATCAAAACTAAAATAGTAGGTTGGTGCAAAAATAATTACGGTTTTTGCCATTGAAAGTAATGGCCTGGAACCTGATGACTTCACTGCCAAATTCTACCAAACATTTAGAAAAGAATTAATAGCAACCCTACTCCTCTATTCCAAAAAATGGAGGAGGAGGGAATACTGCTAAACTTATTCTATGAGGCCAGTATTACTCTGATACCAAAACCAGACAAAGACACATCAAAAAAAGGAAAACTGGCTGGGTGCAGTGGCTCACGCCTGTAATCCTAGCACTTTGGGAGGCCGAGGTGGGTGGATCACCTGAGGTCAGGAGTTCGAGACCAGCCTGGCCAACAAGTTGAAACCCTGTCTCTACTAAAAATACAAAAATTAGCCAGGTGTGGTGGCACATGCCTGTAATTCCAGCTACTTGGTTGGCTGAGGCAGGAGAATCACTTGAACCCGGGAAGCAGAGGTTGCAGTGAGCAGAGATCACACCACTGCACTCCAGCCTGGGTGACAAGAGTGAAACTCCAAAAAAAAAGAAAGAAAGAAAGAAAAAGAAAGAAGGAAAGGAAAGGAAAGGAAAGGAAAGGAAAGGAAAGGAAAGGAAAGGAAAGGAAAAGAAAAAAGAAAAGAAAAGAAAAAAGAAAAGAAAACTAAAGGCCAATATCTCTGATGAATATTGAGGCAAAAATCCTCAGCAAAATACTAGCAAACAGAATTCAACACTACATTAGAAAGATCATTCATCATGATCAAGTGGGATTTGTCCCATGGTTGCAAGGATGGCTCAACATACAGAAATCAATCGATGTAATACATCATATCAACAGAACGAAGGATAAGAACCATATGATCATTTCAATTGATGCTGAAAAAAAATTTCAAAAACTTTAACATTCTTTCATGATAAAAACCCTGAAAAAACTGAGGATAAAAAGAACTTACCTCAGCATAATAAAAGCCATATATGACAGACCCACAGCAAATATCATAGTGAATGGGCAAAAACAGAAAGCCTTTCCTCTAAGACATGGAATACGGCAGGAATGTCCATTGTCACCACTGTTATTCAACATAGCACTGGAAGTCCATGCTAAAGCAATCAGACAAGAGAAAGATATAAAGTGCATCCAAATTGAAAAGGAAGAAGTCAAATTATCCTCGTTTGCAGATTATATCATCTTATATTTGGAGAAACCTAAAGATTCCAAAATAAAACTATTAGAACTTATAAACAAATTCAGTAAAGTTGCAGGATACAAAATTAACATACAAAAATTAGTAGCAGTTCTATATGCCAACAGTGAACAATTTGAAAAAGAAGTTAAAAAGTAATCCCATAGCCACACACAAAATTAAATAACTAGGAATTAACTTAATCAAAGGATTGAAAGATTTCTACAATGAAAACTATAAAACAGTGATGAAAGAAATTGAAGAGGACACCAAAAATTGGGAAAATATTCCATGTTCATAGATGGAAAGAATCAATATTGTTAAAATGCCCATACTACCCCAAGCAATCTACAGATTTGATGCAATCCTTATCAAAATACCGATGGCATTCTTCACAGAAATAGACAAAAACAATCCTAAAATTTACATGAAACTACAACTAGGATAGCAAAAGATATCCTAAGCCAAAAGAACAAAACTGGAGGAATCACAGTACCTGACTTTAAATTATATGACAGAGCTACAGTAATCAATACAGCATGGTGCTGGCATAAAAACAGACACATAGCCCAGTGGAATACTTACTTTCAGCAGTATGGCCATTTTCATGATATTGATTCTTCCTATCCATGAGCATGGAATGTTTTTCCGTTTGTAAGAGGTGATAGTAACTTAAAGAGGAATCAGTAAGCTCTCTCTGAAGTACATGACCTGAACCCAGCAGAACAGAAGACTATGTACCTGGCTCCCAGAAATAGAAGAATAGGGATCACATGTCAATAGAGATTGGCAAGTTATTCAAGGAGAGAGTCAGGAGTTCATGGGGGTGAACAGTGATCTCCAAGAGTTGGGAAGCAATACTACCATGTCAACATGGGGCTAAAATGCCATGTCCTAGGTATCTTAAATAGTTACCTCTGCTAAGAAAGTTTCTGAAAACAAAATCTATCATTGCAATGCATCCTCTTCATTAATAGAGGTCTAGCTACTTTAAGTATATACTTGGCCTTTGGAGACTCCTTATCTTCCAGTCTGCATTACATAAAAGAGACAAAAGGGGGTACCAAATTACCTAGCAAAAGTGAAGGTGCAAATGTTTTATCTTTTCTTATAGTTGGTATAAAAAAACTGAGCATGCTGAAATTGAAATCACACAAACAGAGGTTTGTTTTTAAGTCTAAAAAAATTACACAGGGTCTTCTGGAAGATACCATAGTGAAAATGCTCATGAAATGTATCACTAAATCATATAAAATTCAATAAGTAGTCATAAATTCATGGGTTGCATTTTATTTTCTGCTACAGAAAGCATCACCTCATTACTAATACACTCAGAAAGCTGTTGAAGAAATCATTAGTCTTAATAAGATTGTTGATTTATTTTCTTCTTGATTGTGACAAAAGCCAGCATAAGAAGGACAAAGAAGGAAAGACATCATTGCCAACTACCCATAAACTATTTCCAAGGAAAACATTTTATTATTTGTGTATATTAGGAGTAATACACGAGAAGGCATCAATAATAAGCTGATTCTCTAGCCAAACAATCTAAATTTAAATCTAACCTTGGCCTGTTAAAGATGTCTATAAGGAAATCTCATTCACTCATGTTAAAAGCCTTTCAAGATTAAAATTAATGCTGGCAATTGAGGAATATATTTTTATGGTATATAACCTCTGAGAACCTATGTGATCATCATGTTAAAGAACAATGAAAATGTTAGTTTTTGTCTCCTTTATGTTTTGTCAGAAAAGAAGCATAGCAAAAGGTTTTCAGCCCAAACTGAATCTCTAGTTTTCTTCCCTGTTTATCATAGGTTTTCACTTTGCTCTGATCAATGTATTTGATAAATGTATGAATGAATGAATGAATGAATTGTCCTTCATTAGGTATGCTTAACACACAGTAGTAACAAGCGAGACGTGTATTCTAATGATCCCATAGTTTATAAAGGAAAAAAAGTAGCAGCTTATTTATTGAATAAATATTTATTCAAAATCTACAATGTGTCAAGTACTCTTATAGGCCCTGGAGGAATAAAAAATAAATGAGGCAGACACTGTTCTTGGCTCATAAGGTACTTTAAAAAATCAGAAAAAAACAGACATTAAATAATTAAACAATTAAAATACTATGGACTTGTAGTTTGCTCAAGTTGCCTAGCAGAATACCATAGAACGTATGGGTTAAACAACAAACACTTATTTTTTTTCCACATTTTTCAAAGCTAGAAGTTTAAAATCAAGACGCCAGCAGAGTTGGTTTCTGGTAAGTCCTCTCTCCTTGGCTTGCAGATGACCACATTCTTGCTGTGTCCTCACATGGCCTTTTCTCTGTGTTTGCACAGAAAAAGGATATCTCTGTTATCCCCTCCTCTATCTATAAAGATACCAGTCCTGTTGGATTAAAGCCCCACCATTGTTACCCCCATTTAACCTTAATTACATCCTACAAGCCCTATCTCAAAAAACAGTTACATTGGTTCAACAAATAAATCTGGAGGGGACACAATTCAGTCCATAACAAGTTTTCAAAGATGTTACAGAAAAGAGGGGTACATTATGCTCTCACAGCATACCTATAAGTGTGATACACTAGTCTGGGTGTCATGGAAGCCTTCCATGAAGAGGTCATTTAAGCTTAGCTTGAAGCACAAGTAAATAGTTTGGAAAAGGATAGGGGGAAACTAAAGGAGCAGCAACAACATACAAAAATTGCAAAATATGGCACATTCAAATAAATGAAATAACCTCAAAGCAGCTGGAACAGAGAAAGGAAAGATGACATGGTTTGGCTCTGTGTCTGCAACCAAATCTCATGTTGAATTACAATTCACAATGTTGGAGGTGCGTCCTAGTGGGAGATGACTGGATCATGTGGGTGTTTTCTAATGGTTTAGCATTTTCACCTAGTGCTGTCTCATGATAGAGTTCTCACGAGATCTGAGAACTCGTGAGTTCTTTGAAAAGTGTGTAGCACCTCCCCATTAGTTCTCTCTCTCTTCCTGTTCCCACCGTGTAAGATGTGCTGGCTTCCCCTTCACCTTCCGCCATGATTGCAAATTTCCTGAGGCCTACCCAACTGTGCTTCCTGTAGAGCCTTCAGAAAGCTGTGAGTCAATTAAACCTCTTTTCTTTATAAATTACCTAGTCTCAGGTATGTCTTTATAGCAATGTGGGAATGGACTAATACAGAAGATAAGAATGACTAGGCTGAATAGCCAGGTAAAAATCACCTTACGAGCCTCATGAAAGGATTTGAAGTCTACCCTAAGGCAAATGGGAAAACACTTTATGATTTTAAATAAGGGTCATATTTACTCTTTAGAGAGAGGACTCTGACTACAGTGGCTGAGTGTGCATCTGTGTGGCTGTGCCTGCATACTCTTATTTTACACATAGTCCTAGAGTACCTTGCCTCACGGCCACACACTATTAAGAAGGCCCACATTCAACTTTCAGCTGTGTTTCTGATAGCTGCTATGTGAGATTGTGTACCTTTGTCACACTCTTTCATGAAGGAAAATGTGGAATGAAAGGGCACAGAGATGGTGCCCCAGCTTAATATTTGCATTCCCCTTCTCCTCCTTCAATAACAATAGTATTTATAATTCATAATAGTAATTAATAGTTATTGATCATATACTATACGTAAGACACTGGTAACTATTTGAAATGAGTTATCTTATTTTTTAACTTTCGTTTTAGGTTCAGCAGTATATGTGCAGGTTTGTTATGTAGGTAAATTGTGTGTCACAGGGATTTGCTGTACAGAATATATCATCACCCAAGTAATAAGATAATACTCAATAGATAGTTTTGATCCTCACCCTCCTCCCACTCTTCATTCTCAACTAGGCACTGGTGTCTGTTGTTCTCTTCTTTCTGTTCATGTGTACTTGGTGTTCAGCTCGCACTTATAAGTGAGAACACGCAATATTTGGTTATGTGTTTCTGTAGTCGTTTGCTTAGGATAATGGCCTCCAGCTCCACCCATGTTGCTGCAAAAGACATATAATCTTATTTTTTGCTCTAGCTGTGTAGTATTCCATGGTGTATATGTACCACATTTCCTTTATCCAGTCTACCATTGATGAGCATTTAGATATTTTTTAATTGTTGTGGGTACATAGTAGTTGTATATATTTACGGGGTACAAGAGATATTTTGATACCCATAGGCAATGTGAAATAAGCACATCATGGAAAATGGGACATCCATTCCCTCAAGAATTTATCATTTGAGTTACAAACAATCCAATTATACTCTTTGAGTTATTGTAAAATGTACAATCAAACTATTATTGACTATAGTCACCTTGCTGTGCTATCAAATAGTAGGTCTTATTCATTCTTTCTAATTTTTGGTACCAAATAACCATCCCCAACTTCCCACAACACCCCCACTCCCCTTCCCAGGCTCCAGTAGCCATCCCTCTACTCTCAATATCCATGAGTTCAGTGGTTTTGATTTTTGCCTCCCACAAATGAGTGAGAACATATGATGTTTGTTTTTCTATGCCTGGCTTATTTCACTTAACAGAATGATCTCCAGTTCCAAACATCTGCATTTGTTGCAAATGTTTGAATCTCATTCTTTTTTAATAGCTGAATAGTACTTTACTGTGCATATGAACCACATTTTTAAAATCCATTCATCTGTTGATTAGCACTTAGGTTGCTTCCAAATCTTAGCTATTGTAAAATGTGCTGCAACCAATATATGGGGTGCAGATATATCTTGAATATACTGATTTTCTTTCTTCTGGGTATATACCCAGCAGTGAGTTGCTGGATCATATGGTAGCTCAATTTTTAGCTTCTTGAGAAACTGCCAAACTGTTCTCCATAGTGGATGTACTAATTTACCTGCCCACCAATAGTGTACAAGGGTTCCTTTTTCTCGACATCCTCACCAGCATCTGTTATTGCCTGTCTTTTCGATAAAAGGTTTTTTAATTGGGGTGAGATGGCATCTCATTGTACTTTTGATTTGCATTTCTCTGATAATCAATGATGTTGAACGCCTTTTCATATGCCTGTCCACTCACTGATGAGCATTTAGGTTGATTCTATATGTTTGCTATTGTGAATAGTGCTGCGATGAACATGCACGTGTGGCTGTCTTTATGGTAGAATGATGTATATTCCTTCAGGTATGTACTCAGTAATGTCATTGCTGGGTCAAATGGTAGTTTCATTTTAAGTTTTGAGAGAATCAAACTACTTTTCATAATGGCTGAACTAATTTATATTCCCACCAGTAGTTTATAAGCATTCTCCTTTCTCCACAACCTCACCAGCATCTCTTATTTATTTGACTTTTTAATAAATAGCCATTCTGACTGGTGTGAAATGTTATCACATTGTGGTTTTCATTTGCATTGCTCTAATGATCAGTAATGTTGATCGTTTTTTCATATGCTTGTTGGCCACATGTATGTCTTCTTTTCAAAAGTGTATGTTCATGTTCTTTGCCCATTTTTCAATGGGGTTGTTTGTTTCTTGCTTGTTGATTTAAGTTGCTTATAGATGCTGGATATTAGATCTTTGTCAAATGCATAGTTTGCAAATATTTTCGCCCATTCTGTAAGTCATATGTTTACTCTGTTGATAGTTTCTTTAGCTGTGCAGAAGCTCTTAGTAAAATTAGGTCCTACTTGTCAATTTTTGTTGTTGTTACAATTGCATTTGAGTCCTTATCATGAAATCTTTGCCAGGGCCTATGTCCAGAATGTACTTCCTAGTTTACTTCTAGAGTCTTTATAGCTTTGGGTTTCACATTTGTCTATAATGCACCTTGAATTGGTTTCTGTATATGGTGAAAGGAAATGATACATTTTCAATCTTCTGCATATGGTTAGCCAGTTATCCTACCACTATTTACTGAATAGAAAGTCATTTCCCCATTGCTTGTTTTTGTTAGCTTTGTCAAAGATCAAATGATTGAGGTGTATGGCTTTATTTCTGTGCTCTCTACTCTGTTCCATCGGTCCATGTGTCTTTTTTTTTTTTTTTTTTTTTTGAGAAGGAGTCTCACTCTGTCACCCAGGCTGGAGCGCAGTGGTGCGATCTCGGCCCACTGCAGTCTCCACCTCCCAGGTACAAGCAATTCTCCTGCCTCAGCCTCCCAAGTAGCTGGGATTACAGACATGAGCCAGCACACCTGGCTAATTTTTTTGTATTTTTAGTAGAGACTGGGTTTCACCGTGTTGGCCAGGCTGGTTTTTAACTCCTGACCTCAGGTGATCCGCCTGCCTCACCCTCCCAAAGTGCGAGGATTACAGGTGTGAGCCACCGTGCCTGGTCATGTCTGTTTTTATACCAGTATCGTGCTGTTTTGGTTACTGTAGCCTTGTGGTATGGTTTGAATTTGGGTAATGTGATACCTTCAGCTTTTTTTTTTTTTTTTTTCTTAGGATTGTCTTGGCTATTCGGGCTCTTTTTTGGTTCCGTTTAAATTTTAAAGTTGATTTTTTTCTAATTCTGTCAAGAATGTCATTGGTAGTTTAATAGGAACAGCATTGACTCCGTACATTGCTTTCTGCAGGATGTCCATCTAAACAATGTTGATTCTTCCTATCCATGATCATGAAATGTTTTTTCATTTGTTTGTGTCATCTCTGATTTCTTTGAACAGTGTTTTACAATTCTCATTGTAGAGATCATTCACCTCCCTGGTTAGGTGTGTTCCTAGGTATTTCATTCTTTTTGTGGCTATTGTGAATGAGACTGTGTCACTGTTACAGAATGGGACTATGTTACTGTTGGGGGGGTGGTGATGAAGTCTCCTACTATTACTGCGTGACTATCTAAGTCTCTTCATAGTCTCTAAGAACTTGCTTTATGAGTCTGTGTGCTCCTGCGTTGGGTGCATGTATATTTAGGATAGTTAGGTCTTCTTGTTGAATTAAATCCTTTACCATTATGTCATGTCTTTTATGATCATTGTTGGTTTAAAGTCTGTTTTTCCTGAAATTAAGATAGTATCCCCTGCTTTTCTCTGTTTTCCATTTGCTTGATAGATTTTTCTCCATCCCTTTCTTTGAGACTATAGGTCATTCCATTTGAGATGGGTCTCCTGAAGAAAGCATATAGTTGGCTCTTGCTTCTTTATCCAACTTGCCATTCTGTGGGCATTTAGACCATTTACATTAAAGTTTAATATTGATATATGCATATTTGAGCCTGTCATCATGTTGTTAGCTGGTTATTAAGCAGACTTGATTGTGTAGTTGCTTTATGGTGCCAATGGTCTATGTACTTACTTACGTGTATTTCCATGGTGGCCATTAACAGTCTTTCCTTTCTGTATTTAGCACTCCTTTAAGGACCACTTTTAAGGCAGATCTTGTGGTAACAAATTTTCTTAGTATTTGCTTGTCTGAAAAGGTTCTTCTTTCTCCTTTGCTTATAAAGCTTAGCTTGGCTAGATATAAATTTCCCTGTTAGATTTTCTTATCTTAAAGAATGCTGAATATAGGCTCCCCATCTCTTCTGGCTTGTAGGGTTTCTGTTGAAAGATCCACTCTTGGCCTGTTGGGATTCCCTTTGTAGTTGTCCAGCCCCTTCTCTCTAGCTGCCTTTAACATTTTTTCTTTAATTTTGACTTTGGAAAATCTGGTGACTATATGTCTTGGGAATGCTTATATTTTACAGTATTTTGCAGGGGTCCTCTTTATTTCCTTAATTTTATTATTGGCTTCTCTAGTGAGGTTGGGGAAATTTCATGGATGATATCCTCAAATATGTTTTTTGAGTTGCTTGCTTTCAATCCCTCGCTGTCAGAGACACCAATGTGTCATAAATTTCATCTCTTTTCATAATCCCATATTTCTTGGAAGTTTTGTACATTCTTCTTTATTCTTTATTCTTTGTTTTTGTTTGATCGAGTTATTTTGGAGAACGAGTCTTTGATCTCTGAGATTCTTTCCTAAGCTTGGTCTATTTTACTGTTAATATATTAGGAAATTATTGAATGAGTTTTTCAGCTCTGTCAGATCAGTTTGGTTCTTTCTTAAAATGGCTATTTTGTCTTTCCACTCCTGTATAATTTTATTTTATTATTTAAATTCCTTGGATTGGATTTTGACTTCCTCCTGAATCTCAATGATTTTCATTGCTATCCATATCGTGAATTATATGTGTGTCATTTCAGCCATTTCAGCCTGGTTAAGAACCATTGCTGGAGAACTAGTATGGTCATTTGAAGGTAAGAAAACTGGTCTTTTGAGTTACCAGAGTTCTTGTACTGGTTCTCTCTAATCTGTAGGCTGGTGTTCCTTCAATCTTTTAAGTTCTTATAAGTTTCTGTCCTTCAGATGGAGTTTTTTGCCTTTATCTTCTTTGATGCCCTTGAGTGTTTGATTGTGGTTTAAGGTGGGTTCAGTAAACTGGCTTTGTTTCTGGGTAAATTAAGGGGGTCTAGGCTTGGCTTAGCACTCTTGGGATGCGTGCTCTAACTCTGGGGGTCTGATACCAGGCCCCCAGCTTTGTTATTTAGCTCATCCTGCTGCACTGGAGGGGCCTAGGTGTTCCCAACCTGCTAGCCACAACAGTCATGTGTGGTGCTGGCCAAAGCACTTCATCAGGCTGGTGGGAGTGGTACATGCTCACTGGTACATTCCAGCAGCCACAGTACCATGGCAAGGTGCATGAACACTGACTGGGGTTGGGCACCAGTTGAAGAAGGGCAGTGGCATTCCTGTGCACACTTTTACCAGTGAAAGCAGCAGCAGGGATAGGGCACTAATGGGGGCAAGGTTGCCAGAATCTGTGTGCATGTTTGCACCAGTGGTGGTGGCACAGCTGTGTGCCTGAGCATCAGCCACAGGGGGTTCATCAGGGTGGGCTCATACTGGCAGCAGTGGTGTGGAGGGATGTGTGTGCATACACACATTAGTGGGGGAGAAGAGAGGAGGTCTGTTTGTGAGTGCCCACTGGAAAAGTGGTGGGGTGGGGAGCTGTGGACAAGTGCATGATGGCAAAACAGCAGGAGAGGCTGTGATGTAAGGAAGGTGCTCGTGGGGTGCTGCATGTTGGTGAGTGAGTATCCTGGACCCCTGTAATGGTCAGGCATGGTCTTCCAGCAAAGGAGCTATGATGAGGGCTTCCAGGGAGTGCTATGGTTGGGCATATGAGGCTGCACAGTGAGTGGGTACAGCCAGGCTGGGACCCCAGGAGAGGCCAGCAGACAGGGGGACACTCAGACCGGTCTGGCCCTGTCCCACTGGCAAGATCTCCCTGCTCTGTCCAGATCCAACAGTCACCTAAAAGCTAAAGTCTTCTAAAGGAATATGGTTGGCCTTGGGAGTTGAGTATTGCTGGCTGTGCTCCACTGCAGACTTTCTCATAAGTACCCAAACCCTCTGGGCTTCACACAGACTGGAGGCCTGCTCCTGCCACTTCTCTAAGCAGCTCCTTCTGCCATCTCAACTGTCTGTAACGGTCTTGGGGTCTTCTGCCACTGGAATTCTAGAAATTCATGGTGAGAGCAGGGCACTCCTCACCTGTTCAACTCACCCCTTCTTTAGGAGTCTCTGGAGGCCAGGAACAGGAAGGAGGCCTGGTACTCAGCAGCACTGCGCACTGTTCTCAGTTTCCTCCCCCTTCAGCCTAGCACCTGCATCCTCCCTCCATCCACTCTCAATGCCTTCCCTCTGAAGGTCTGTTCAGAGTGTGCCAGTCTTCCCAAAGTACCAGTCTCTTGGTAGGAGATGTTCCTCCTGGCTGTGTCTAGTTGGCTATCACGGCTCCTTCTGGGTTATCTTATTTAATCTTCAAAACAGTATCATGATAATATAGGCTATTTTACTATTTTACAGATTATGAAACTAGGGTTTGAAAGTGGTTACATAAGTTGCCACAGATATCAAAGCTGGGAGGCGGTAGAGCTGTAATTCAAATTCCATTATTGAAAGCTACAGTCCACACTCTTCACCAGTAGAATGTTTTCTCTCCCTGGGATGTGTGCCCAGGCTCAGTCTTACTAGCAGTACACAGCGAGGAGAGGCACAAAAGAGATTCATACCCTTCTCTGGTTACACCACTGCATTCACCTTTATTGCCTCTGCCTGAAAAAGTTTAAATGGATTATAGAAATGTCTGATTGTTATCAACTTGAGGAAGGATGTTCTCTTTCATCATCCTGTGGAAATAGTGCACAAATTCAAGAGTGTAAGTTCCCTAAATGTCACTGAACAGAAGAGAATAGAGGAGGGTAATGGATTTTTCCATCAAGTGTCTTTTATTTAACCTAGTCTTTCACCTCACTAAGTAGAAGGCCATCTGGTCTCATACTCCAACTGCAGAATAGTTAAAAGAAAATAATAGGAAATTGGAGAATGGTTATGCAATGTTTATTTCTGAGTTAAAGTGGAGCTTTAATCTTCTAATTTTTTTAATGGGCATAATGCTAGTCTGGCAAATTATTAATAGTTTGGATTTAATTCAAAAATTTGGTTATATATTTTATTAAGCTCATATTTACTGGAGCACAAGGCAAGCTATAGTAACAAGCATCAAAAGTCTATTTTACTGCCCATATTATGAGCAGATGGAGCATAGATGTTTAAAAATGCCAAACCTTTTGATTAAAAGCCTGATTATAGTCAGATCAAGATGAAGAATAATGGTTCTATACAAAGGTTCTCTGCATTTTAAAATACTAGTGGACTTTTACTTGACTTTTTTGCAATTAGATGTTATAGTTTTATAAAATTTTGAGTTTGAAATACAAAAATAAACCCCAACCCCTCTAAAATGAGCAGAGATTGCAAAGGGCTTGTTTTCAGCAGAACAAGGACAGAGTTTCCCCTAATATTGCCAGATCAATGAGTTACTACTGTTATCATGCAACAGGGGGTAAACTTTTGAAAATAAAGGCTTATAAAAGTAGTACAGGCAGAAAATAGACATGCATGTGGGTTGATAATGTGATTTAGTTAATGAGATATTTTTAAAAATCAGGATGATTTGGGAACATTTTTGTCTGAGATTGTTACCTCAAATGATCTACTCTCACACAATAAACGACCAGATGCTAAAAGCATAAGGGTTCTACAAGACACTTAATACAAGATACTCCTATGAACAAGATACTTCTCCATAGAATAACAATGTTTAAGCCTGGAACCTTGTTGCTCAACTCTCTACACAGTTAACATTCCCTTGGAATTTATTTCCCCACAGTATTCAAAAAATGTGTCTCAATAAGAGGGCTAGTGAAAGTGGTTGAAGCTGGTCAAAAACTAGTGAAGTCCCTTCAAATACAGAAGCACAAAGGAGATAAATCTGAAATGCTTCCACCCAAAAAGCAGTATGATACAGTGGTACATAGGTTTTGAAGCCTAGCAAAATTAGTCTTAAAACCCAGTTATGGCTTCAAGATGGCTGACTAGATGCATGTTGTAACTGCCCCCTCCAAAAAGTATCAAAAATAGCTAATAGATAATCATATTTCAAATTGATCATGTAAGAGTGAATGCTGGAATTTCACAGACAAATGACAGGAAACACCTAAGGCAAGAAAGGAGAGGGAAGTGAGGCAACCTGCTCAGCTGAGATTGGCTGGAGCCTGAAGAGGCTCCCCAATTCAGGGAAAGAGTAAATGAGAGATTTCCAGTGGTCTGTATTCCCACCATGAAGTTCTGCAATCCTAGCCACAGGAGAGCCCCCTGACTCACACATACCCTGAGACTAACATAGGGAGCTGCCTGGAAAGCATGCAATGGCATTGCTCCAGAGAGAAATCTCACAGGGACCCATACCCACCTAAGTCATAAGCAGCCATGGCATGGCACCATTTTGAAAGCACAGCCCCTCAGATTGCATCCTGCCCTGGGGCCAACAGCCCCTGCATCTCCATATACCTGATGCCTCACTGACATACCCTGTATGCATCCAGGAGCCACCACTGGCTGCTGCCTACCAGGACCAATGCAGGAGCCATTAGCAACAATCCAACCACATCCAATAGGAGGGCAACTGCACAATTAAGAGTGCTAAGGAAAGGCTACCCTGCTTATAGTCACCACATTGGCCTGAAGTGGATACTCTCCAGCTGACTGTTTATTGCTGCTGTCACTGAAAGCAACCCCACTTGCCCCTGGAGCAAGGTCTCACCATAGCTGTTGCCAAACCCACTGTAGCATTCTGCTGGGGCCCTGGGAATCACCTTGCCCCTGCTCACCACAGCCAGAGCTCACACACACCACTGGGGAGCCTGAGGGCAGCCTCGTCCAGCTCTGCTCCATCCTACAGTACCCAAGCACATTATCCAGGGGCCTGGGAATGACCCTGTTCCATCCACCGCTGTTGGCACCTGAACACTCTTCCCAGGGGAGTGAAGACAGACCCACCAAACCTGTTGCTGCCATCACAGCTGGCTCCCACTTGCATGCACCACCTGCCAGTCTGGGGACTGGCTTGTCAAGCCCATCACAGCCACTGTCCACACCAGCGTGAACTGCTTGGGAGCCAGAAAATTGTATCACCACTCCTACTGCCATCACCCATGCCCCACACTCACTGCCCCGGGGCCCAAGGAATCTCCCACCCACCCAATGACTGCCACTGCAGGTACCCAAACAAGGATGCCCAAGAATTGGTCCACCTGGACCCACTAACACTAGTGCCAGTTTATGCTACCCTGGGGCCCAAGGACAGGCATTTTCCACCTGCCACTGCTACCAATGAGGCACAAGGATTGGCCCACCAAGAGACCACTATCCAGGATAGACAAGGAACTCAAGAAAATTAACAGTTAAAGAACTCCAAATAATGCCTTTTAAAAGCGAGCAAAGAACATGAATAGACATTTTTCAAAAAAGACATGTAAATGACCAACATGTATATGAAAAAATTCTCAATATCACTAATCATGGGCTTTCAAATCAAAACCACAATGAGATATCACCTTACCCCAGGTAGAATGGCTAGTACTAAAATGACAAAAAAAAAAAAAAAAAAAAAAAAAAAAAAAAACAGATACTGGTGAGGATGTGGAAAAAAAAGGAACTCTTATATACCGTTGGCGGAAATGTAAATTAGGACAGTCACTGTGGAAAACAATATGGAGATTTCTCAAAAAAACTAAACATAGAACTACCATGCAATCCAGCAATTCCACTACTGGGTATTAACCCAGAGTAAAATAAATCAGTATATCAAAGGGTTACCTGCATTGACATGTTTATTACAGCACTATTAACAATAGCAAAGACATTGAATCAAACTAAGTTTCCATCAACAGATGAACATATAGAAAAAATGCGGTATATATACACAATAGAATACATTTTGACCATAAAAAATGAAATCATTTTATTTTTTTTATTGTACTTTAAGTTCTGGGGTACATGTGCAGAATGTGCAGGTTTGTTACATGCCATGGTGGTTTGCTGCACCCATCAACCCATCATCTACATTAGTTATTTCTCCTAATGCTATCCATCCCCCAGTCCCCCACCCCCCGACAGGCCCTGGTGTGTGATGCCCTCCCCTGTCCATGTGTTCTCATTGTTCAACTCTCACTTACGAATGAGAACATGCAGTGTTTGGGTTTCTGTTCTTGTGTTAGATTGCTGAGAATGATGGTTTCCAGCTTCATACACGTCCCTGCAAAGGACATGAACCCACCCTTTTTTATGGCTGCATAGTATTCCATGGTGTGTATGTGACACATTTGCTTTATCCAGTCTATCATTGATGGGCATTTGGGTTGGTTCCAAGTCTTTGCTATTGTGAACAGTGCCGCAATAAACATATATGTGCATGTGTCTTTACAGTAGAATGATTTAAAATCTTTTGGGTATATACCCAGTAATGAGATTGCTGGGTCAAATGCTATTTCTAGATCTAGATCATTGAAGAATCACCACACTGTTTTCCACAATGGTTGAACTAATTTACATTCCCGCCAGTGGTGTAAAAGCGTTCCTATTTCTTCACATCCTCTCCAACATCTGTTGTTTCCTGACTTTTTAATGATTGCCATTCTAACTGGAATAAGATGGTATCTCACTGTGGTTTTGATTTGCAATTGTCTAGTTCCCAGTGATGATGGGCTTTTTTTCATATGTTTTTTGATGGGGTTGTTTGTTTCTTTCTTGTAAATTTGTTTAATTTCTTTGTAGATTCTGGATATTAGCCCTTTGTCAGATGGATAGATTTGAATACCCTTTATTTCTTTCTCTTGCCTGATTGCCCTGGCCAGAACTTCCAATACTATGTTGAATAGGAGTGGTGAGAGAGGGCATCCTTGTCTTGTGCCAATTGCAATCCTAGTCTCTGATAAAACAGACTTTAAACCAACAAAGATCAAAAGAGACAAAGAAGGGCATTACATACTGGTAAAGGGATCAATGTAACAAGAAGAGCTAACTATCCTAAATATACATACACCTAATACAGGAGCACTCAGATTCATAAAGCAAGTTCTTAGAGACCTACAAAGAGACTTAGACTCCCACAAAATAATAGTGGGAGACTTTAACACCCCACTGTCAATATTAGACAGATCAACGAGACAGAAAATTAACAAGGATATTCAGGACTTGAACTCGCCCCTGGACCAAGTGGACCTAATAGACATCTACAGAATTCTCCACCCCAATTCAACAGAATATACATTCTTCTCAGCACCAAATCGTACTTATTCTAAAATTGACCACATAATTGGAAGTAAAACACTCCTCAGCAAACGCAAAATAATGGAAATCATAACAGTCTCTCAGACCACAGTGCAATCAAATTAGAACTCAGGATTAAGAAAATCAGTCAAAACCACACAACTATATGGAAACTGAGCAACCTGCTTCTGAATGACTACTGGGTAAATAACAAAATGAAGGCAGCAATAAAGATGTTTTTTGAAACCAATGAGAACAAAGACACAATGTACCAGAATCTCTGGGACACCTTTAAAGCAGTGTGTAGAGGGAAATTTATAGCACTAAATGCCCACAAAAGAAAGCAGGAAAGACCTAAATTCAATACCCTAAAACCACAATTAAAAGAACTGGAGAAGCAAGAGCAAACAAATTCAAAAGCTAGCAGAATACAAGAAATAACTAAGATCAGAGGAGAACTAAAGGAGACAAAGACACGAAGAACCCTTCAAAAAAATCAATGAATCCGGGAACTGGTTTTTGAAAAGATCAACAAAATAGATAGACCTATACCCAGACTAATAAAGAAGAAAAGAGAGAAGAATCAAATAGATGCAATAAAAAATGATAAAGGGGATATCACCACCAATCTCACAGAAATACAAACTACCAGCAGAGAATACTATAAACACCTCTATGCAAATAAACTCAAAAATCTAGAAGAAATGGATAAATTCCTTGACACATACACCCTCCCAAGACTAAACCAAGAAGAAGTCAAACCCGTGAATAGACCAATAAAACTTGTGAAATCGAGACAGTAATATAGCCTATGAACCAAAAAAGGTCCACGGCCAGACAGATTCACAGCTGAATTCTACCAGAGGTACAAAGAGGAGCTGGTACCATTCCTTCTGAAACTATTCCAAACAATAGAATAAGAGCGAATCCTTTCTAACTCATTTTTTGAGGCCAGCATCATCCTGATACCAAAACCTGGCAGTGACACAACAAAAAATAAGTTTTTTGATGAATTTTGATGAATTTTTGGATGAATTTTTTTGATGAACATCAATGAGAAAATCCTCAGTAAAATACTGGCAAACCGAATTCAGCAGCACATCAAAATCTTATCCACCAGGATTAAGTTGGCTTCATCACTGGGATGCAAGGCTGGTTCAACATATACAAATCAATATACGTACCCCATCACATAAACAGAACCAATGACAAAAACTACATGATTATCTCAATAGATGCAGAAAAGGCCTTCGACAAAATTCAACAGCGCTTCCTACTAAAAACTCTCAATAAACTAGGTATTGATGGAACATATCTCAAAATAATAAGAGCTATTTATGACAAACCCACAACCAATATCATACTAAATGGGCAAAAACTGGAAGCATTCCCTTTGAAATCATTTTATTTTCAACAACATGGATAGCACTGGAGGTCATTATAATCAGTAAAATGATCCAGGCATAGAAATACAAATATCACATGTTCTCTCTCATATGTGGGATCTTAAAAAAGCTGATTACGTAAAGAGCAGAGTGATAGATATAGAGGTTGGAAAGGGTGTGTGTGTGAGGGGGTAGAGGGGATGAAGAGAGGTTGGTTAAGGGGTAAAAACCTACAGTTAGATAGGAGAAATAAGTTCTCATGTTTCATAGCAGAGTAGGGTGACTAAAGTTAATTAAAATTTACTGTATATTTCAAAATACCTAGACGAGATCACTTGAAATAGTCCAAACACATGGAAATGATAAAAACTCGAGGTAATGGATACTCTGAATTCCCTGACTTAATCATTACACATTCTATACATGTAACAAAATATATTTACCTCATAAATATGTACAAAGAACAAATATTATACATCAGTTAAAAAAAACAGTTGTGGAATTTACTCAGCTGTGTAATCTTGGGTAAATTAATTATTTCTTATGGTCACAGTTTTGTTGTCTGTAAAATAGGTCAACACTGTGTTAGCCTCATAGGTAGTTGTGAGGCTCAAGTAATGTAAAGAGCCATGCACATATTTAGCACTTAATTTTTGAAGGCCTCAGAAGCACTGTAGTAAATGTTGGAACAACAATTAACCATCGTTAACAAGCTCTTAGAATTTGCTACAATTAACAATCTTTCTGAATTGCTGCAATCACAGGCTCCTATATGTTCTCCTGTATTCCTTCTTCAACTTTAGCTTCTAACACTGCTTTGCAGATGTTTCGGACACTACCTGGTGCTCCTGGACATTTACATATTGCCTCTGTCCAAAGTTGATTTGAGGTGTTTTAATAAAATGGAACAGCAACATGTCTTTATCTTTTTTCTGTTATTTGTCATCTGAGTACCCTTGCTTCTGAGAGGCATTATTACATGATGGTGAAAGGGATAAACCAGGTAGAGTTCTAATCCTAACCTTTTTGTACTTACTAGATGACATAGTTAGATAATTTATCTGTGCTTCGGTTCCTGTCTCTGAAAAAAAAGTGGAGATGAAAATAGTACTTTAGTGTTGTTGTGAGGATTAAATGAGGAAATACATTTAAAGTACCTGGAACATAACAGGCACTAAATAAATGTTAGCTATTATTTTTTCTTTTTGTTTAACAAATTATGACCTTGACTCACTACCAAATGGTTTTATAGTCTTCTATTGGCAGCACTAAGAAGCACGCTCAGATGCAGTAGATAAAACATGTATCAACTCAGGTATAGTAATGAGCCCAAAGTGTGAGCAGCATAACCCTCAGAGGTCACAGAGTTACTGCAGGCAGTCCATAAAACCACTCACAACAGTCTTTTCTCAAAGAGTCATGATTTTTTAAAAAGATACAGGATGGGTAGACTTCAGATTATTTGGCTGTCAAAAAGGGGTCCTGAAATATCTATATGTCTACAGATATAAAAATACACAAACACAATTCTTATGTTCCATTAAATTCTGAAAGCAGATGATTTATATATCAACATACATTCCTCAAAAATACTGATGAAGTAATTAGAAATATATTTACAGTTTATTATATTTAAAAAACAACAGCAGTGTAGCGCTAGCTTAAAAAAAGAAGGTTGTTAAATTACTTCTTATATTGAAGGACTGCATGGACAACTAAACACACCCAAAACTCCAAGGGGCACAGAACACCAAAGAACCTGGCAGTTACAAATGTCCTAAATCATTTAAATATGAGTCTTAGCTAGAATAAAGTTAACAACCCTGAAAAATCAGCCAGATAAAAATCTTCATTCTAATTGAAATAATTTCAATAAAATATTTAATTTTTAAAAGATTTAGGGGACAAAATATGTCTTAAAAGCTTAGATTTAGTATGTCCTTTTTGCAGTTGTAAAACATAAAGTATATATTAGGAGGTTTAAGCATATCCAAATGCACGGCTATGTTATCCTTATGGGAAATGTGGGGATTTCTTTGTTAATTTTGGCTATCTGTTAGACATATTTCCTTACAGTTATTTAATATTTCCATTCATAATAAGACATTAATTCTTTAAAAATTTATACTCATTGAAGAGAGAAAAGGGATAGTGTTAGTCAATGTCAATGTAATTAAAACAAAGCTATCCCAAAGTGTTTTCCACTTTCAAGTATTGTTATACTTTCATAACTGAATAAGAATGCATGGAGCAAAATAATATGTTAAATAATTTTACTTGCTATACATGGGACACTAGGCATATTTTTTCAGCTGAATCTGAATCTTCATTGAAAATGAGAAATGGGTCATGGCAGGTACAGAAGTTCTATACTTGTGGCCATAATGACTCACATATAATTAGAACAGACAAACATTGCAAATATATACAGTTAAATTATACTAAGTAGGTACAGCATTCACTAACAAATTTAAAGAACTATTAGAAATGTATATTTTCAATGATGTGACAGACATGATATCTTAAAAACTTCTGTATATAAGAGATTAAGAAATGTTTTATAAAACATTACATTCTTTTTATATGTAAGACTAATCTCACGAGAAAATATGAAGAATCTCCAAATCAAAAGCAAAAAGAGAACTGAAAACCTTATGGTTAGCTGACAAAAGCCCTATGGATGCCCTGGAAATATCTGAAGATGTCTGTACCTAAAAAGCTTGAGTTGCAAACACTGTGAAAGATCAGCAGACAAGGATTTGGCCCTTAGCAAAATGGAAGTTGGAACAAAAATCCCAGCATTAAGCTGGGACCCATGAAGGACTAAATCCTCAGTGAAAGGCTATTTTAGAAAATAGTCCATCTGCTTGCAAAGGGACACCATGAAAATTTTATTTATCTTATTTTGGGGAGGAACAAACAAACAAACAAACAAATACTTCCTCCTGAGAATTCTTAGATTAGAGAATTACAGGGCTAAGAAACCACAAACCAGAAAATTGATACCAATTGTTCTTAGGTTTGTAGCACTAGAGAAAAAAGCGAGCACGAATAATGAATACAGGGACACATCTTCCAATCACCCATCAGAGTATGCCCGCTATAAAAATACAGCACGCGATCTAAATTAAAAAAATTTAAATGCTGATTTGTGTACACTAATCTTGTATCTGGAAACTTTGCTGAATTCTTTTATCAGTTCTGGGAACTTTCTGGAGCAGTCCTTAGGGTTTTTAAGGTAAATGATCACATCATCAGCAAACAATAACAGTTTGATTTCCTCTTTACCGATTTGGATGCCCTTTATTTCTGATTACTCCGGCTAGGGCTTGCACTACTATGTTGAAGAGACGCGGTGACAGCAACCATCCTTGTGTTGTTCCCGTTCTCAGAGGGAATGCTTTCAACTTTTCCCCACTCAGTATTATATTGGATGTTGGTTTATCATAGATGGCTTTTATTACATTGAGGTATGTCTCTTGTTTGCTGATTTTGCTGAGAGTTTTTATCATAAAGTGATGCTGGATTTTGTTGAATACTTTTTCTGCGTCTATTGAGATGATCGCGTGATTTTTGTTTTTAATTATGTTTATGTCGTGTATCACATTTATTGACTTGCGTGTGTTAAACCATCCCTGCATCCCTGGTATGAAACCCACTTGATCATGGTAGATTATCTTTTTGATATGTTGTTAGATTCGGTTAGCAAGTATTTTGTTAAGGATTTTAGCATCTATGTTCATCAAGGATATTGGTCTGTAGTTTTCTTTTTTGGTTATGTCCTTTCCTGGTTTTGGTATTAGGGTGATGCTGGCTTCATAGAATGAATTAGGAAGGATTTCTTTTAAGTGAAGTAACTCAGGAATGGAAAACCAAACATCGTATGTTCTTGCTGATACGTGGGAGCTAAGCTATGAGGACGCAAAGTCATAAGAATGATACAGTGGATCTTGGGGACTTGGTGGGAAGAGTGGGAGGGGGCAAGGGATAAAAGAATACAAACATGGTGCAGTTTATACTGCTCAGGTGATGGGTGCACCTAAATCTCACAAATCACCACTAAAGAACTTACTCATGTAACCAAATACCACCTGTACCCCAATAACTTATGGAAAAATAAAATTTAAAAAATAAAATTAAAAATAAATTAAACATGCAGTAAGCAGGATATCATAAAAATAATAAACTGAACAACAAAAAAAGCACAATTAGGCCTTCAAATACAGTCACGTGTCACTTAATGACAGGGAGATCTGAAAAATGCGTCCTTAGACGATTTTGTCATTGTGCAAACATTGTAGAGTGTACTTACACAAACCTAGATGGTATACATATGTTTATTTATATAGATTATTTCATATGGAAAACCATATATATTAGCCCCATTACTTAATATCAGTAATTTCCCCTACTTAATCTGCAATGCCAATATCAAACACCATATATCAAGTTTCTATATGCGCTTCATTACAATCTTATTGGACCACCATTGTATATGTGGCCCATTGTTGACTGAAATTATTGTTATGTGGCTTAAGACTACTTCAGACGCTGAACTATTTGAATTATAAAATATGGGATGTAAAATAAATGTCTTACATTTTAAAGAAATGAAAGACAGAATAAAAAATGTAAGCAATGTTAACAGACTCATTAAAAAGACCAGGAAATTTGAATAGGAACCAAACATATCTTTGGGAAATGAGAAAAATAACCATTATGAGTAAAATACAAGGATTAAACAGCAAACTGTAGTCAGCTGAAGAGAGGATCACAAAATACAGCAGAGCAACACAAAGATATGAAAAATATAATATGAAATAGAGGTCAAGAGACATTAGTGATAACCTGAGAAGGTTCAACATACATATAACTAAAAAGAAGAAAAATAAAGATTGTCATGTATATTAAGGGATAGGGTGGGGGATGCATAATATGAAGACATGGCTGAGAATTTTCCAGAATGGATAAAAAGCCTCCCACAATCTGTGAAAGTTACTTGGTCTTTTATGACCTTGACACTTTTGGAGAGTACAGGTCAGGTATTTTTGTGGAGTACTGTTCATACAAACCCTCAATTTGGCTTTGTCTGATGTTTTCTCATAGTCAGACAGAGGTTATAAACTTTTGAAAAGAATGCCATAGAGGTGTTGTACCCTGCTCAGTATATCAATAGGTAAATAATTTTAACCTTGATTACCTGGTTAAGATGGTATCTACGAGGTTTCCCTGCTGTAAGTTTATTATTTTTTCATTGTAATCAATATATATTTGGAAGGAAAGAATTTGAGGCTGCATAGATATTCTGTTTCTCCTTAAATTTTGCCTGTTAACTTCAGCATTCACTAGTGCATTTCGACTGTAGCAAATATTACTACAGTACTTTAATGGTGATATTTTAATTTCCTTTATTCCTTCTACATTTATTATATAGAGTTCTTCTGTATGGGAGATTTGTTGCTTATACCCTATTTATTTATTTTACTCAAGTATGTTTTAAACAAAACCTTTTTATTTTGAAATTATTTTATTTTTCTTTTCTCAACATTAATTTTAGGTTCGGGAGTACATGTGCAGGTTTGTTACGTGGGTAAATTGCATGTTGCAGGGGTTTGGTGTACAAATGATTCTGATACCCAAGTAGTGAGCATAGTACCCAACAGGTAGTTTTTCAACCCTCACCCACCTCCCACCCTCCCCCCTCAAGTAGTCCCAGTGTCTATTGTCCATGTGTACGCAATGCTTAGCTTCCACATAAGTGAGAACATGTGGTATTTGGTTTTCTGTTCCTGCATTAATTCACTTAGGATAATGGCCTCCAGCTGCATTCATATTGCTGCAAAGGAAGTAATCATGCCCTTTTTAATGGCTGCATATTATTCCATGGTGTATATGTACCAATTTTCTTTATTCAGTCCACTTTTGATAGACAACTGGGTTAATTCCATGCCTTTGCTATTGTGAATAGTGCTGTAATGAACATATGTGTGCATTTTCTTTTTGGCAGGACAATTTGTTTTGGGGAGGATATATACCTAGTAATGTGATTGCTGAGCTGAAAGCTAGTTCTAAGTTCTTTGAGAAATCTACAAACTACTTTCCACAATTGCTGAACTAATTTACATTGCCACCAACAGTGTATAAGCATTCCCTTTTCCACAGCCTTGCCAGTGTCCGTTGCTTTTTTATTTTTAATAATGGTCATTCTGACTGGTGTAAGATAGTATCTCATTGTGGTTTTGATTTGTATTTCTCTAATGATGGTGTTGAGCATTTTTTCTTATGCTTGTTGGCTGTGTGTATGTCTTCTTTTGTGAAGTGTCTGTTCATGTCTTTTGCCCACTTTTTAATGGGGTTGTTTTTTGTTTTTTGCCTGTCAAGTTCCGTATAGATTTTGAATATTAGACATTTATCAAATACATAGTTTACTAATATTTTCTTCCATTATGTAGGTTGTCTGTTTACTCTGTCGATAGTTTGTTTTGCTGAGCAGAAGCTCTTTAGTTTAATTAGGTCTCACTTGTCAAATTTTTTGTTGTTACAATTGCTTTTGAGGACTTAGTCATAATTTTTTTTTCCCCAAGGCTGATGTCTAGAATGGTATTTCCTAGGTTTTCTTCTAGGGTTTCCATAGTTTTAGGTCTTAAGTCTTAAGTCCATTTTGAGTTTATTTTTGTATGTGATGAGAGGAAGTGGTCCAGTTTTAATGATCTGCATATTGCTAGCCAGTTATCCCAGCACAATTTATTGAATAGGGAGTCCTTTTCCCATTACTTTTTCTTGTCAACTTTGTCAAAGATCAGAAGGTTGTAGATGTACAGCTTTATTTTTGTGTTCTCTAACTTGTTCCATTGGTCTATGTGTCTGCTTTTTCTTGTTGTTTTTTGTTTGTTTGTTTGTTTGTTTGTTTTACCAGTATCATGCTGTTTTGATTACTGTAGACTAACAAAGCTTTTTGAAGTCAGATACCGTGATGCCTCTGGCTTTGTTCTTTTTGCTTAGGATTGCCTTGGTTATTCGGTCTCTTTTCTGCTTCCATATGAAATTTAACATAGTTTTTTTTTCTAATTCTGTGAAAAATGACACTGGAAGTGTTGTAGAAATAGCATTGAATCTGTAAATTGCTTTGGGCAGGATGGCCATTTTCACAATATTGATTCTTCCTGTCCATGAGCATGTAATGTTTTTCTATTTGTTCGTGTTGTCTCTGATTTCTTTCAGCTGGGTTTTGTAATTCCCATTGTAGATTTCTTTCACCTCCCTGGTTAGCTGTATTCCTAGGTATTTTATTATTTTTGTGGATATTGTAAATGAGATTGCATTCTTGATTTGGCTCTCCGCTTGGACATTGTTGGTGTATAGAAATGGTACTGATTTATATACATTAATATTATACCCTGAAACTTTATTTAAGTTGTTTATCAGTTCTAGGAGCTTTCACACAGAAACTATGGAGTTTTTAAAAGTAGAGAATCATACCATCTGCAAAGAGAGATTGTTTGATTTCCTCTCTTTCTTCCTATTTTGATGACTTTTATTTGAAATAATTTTAGAATTATAAGTAGCAAAACTAGTACAGTGAGTTTCCAAATACCCTTCCTCAGATTTCCCCAAAGAGTATATCTTACATAAACATAGTGCATCATCAAAACCAAGAAATTGATGATTTTTGTACCACATTACTATACTTAGTAACTATACCTAATTTGGATTTGGAATTCACTTGTAGATTTTTGGGGGAAGAATTGTGCTTTTTGTTTGTGTTTTTGTTTTGTTTTTGACTGGGTCTCACTTTGTTGTCCAGGTTCACTACAGCCCCAAAGTCCTGGGCTCAAATGATCATACTACCTCATCCTCCAAGTAGCTAGGACTAGAGGAACATGCCACTGTGCCTGGTTCCATGGATTTTCCTAGTGGCTTTACATGAGATCTTTTGCATGTTTGCATATATGTATGTGTGTACGTCTATGAAATTTTATCTTAAGCAAAAATTTGTGTAATCACCATCATAATTAGAATACAAACAAATTATTAATTCATATTGCTATGGACTCAAGAGATATTTATTTTGGCCTTTGGGATATAATATTATCATTATCCAGTTTTGTCTATTGGACACTCTTTTGGGGTAACTACTATGTCCTTATGACATACTACCATCTGTTGTTTTAAACGCTTTCTTACTGCATGGTACCAAGATAATTCTGTATTTTTCCTACCCCAGCTCTAGAATTAACCATTTCTCCAAAGATCACTGTTTCCCTTTACTGGTGAGTGGTATTTAGAAACCATGACCTCTGTGCTTGTTGTACTATTGCTATTGAGTTATCCCTCTTTCTGGAACCTCTAGAAATATCTATGTATATGTATATGTATACGTATATGTATATGTACATGTATATGTATGTATATATGTATGTATATACATATACATATATACACACTAACCCATGTATAACACAGCTCTATATTTATCTCTGTATCTATCTTTCCACATACACACAAATGCATATATATATATAGAGAGAGAGATTTGTCCAACCCCATTATATACATAAAGTAGTTTCAGAATTGCTAACCCACAAACATAAAAAAAAAAAAAACAAGCTTGATTAACTTTTAAAAAATGCTTCCAGGTGGTATAGAAATACTAAATTAATTTACACTAAGATATTACTAATTAGTGGCCACTTTGGCAGGGATAGCAGACAGCAATATAAATTGATAGGGTTTTGGTTGAAAAATGACATGGCTGGGAAAGATGAAGAAAAGGGCACAGAAAGGCAGAGAAAAATGCTGCCTCTTTCCTGTTTTGACTAAGGCAGAAATTTGATCATGTGGCTCTCACAGTATGGCAACTCCTAAACTCTCCATCTCTGTGATACCAGCCCAGTTAAAGAGAGCTGAGGATAAATACCTGGCTTCTGGAAAAACATATGGCATGGTAGTGAGTAGTAGATGTTAAGCTATATATCTTTCTATGGTACTTTGGCTGCCCTGGCACCTTTGATTTGCATCAAACAGAGATGCTTTGGCATTTGCTAAAGTATTGCTAGACTCATCCAGTGGCAGAACAATAACAGAGGAATAATGAAAAGCAATAAACAATACTGTCAAACAACTTTTGGAAGGAAGATAGCAAGTACAAAAAAACAGCCAGAGACACATCCCCTAATTGTTATTCCTGACAGTAACCAGGTTTCTGGGTGGATTAAGGTGGCAATAAATATTGAGGACAGGATCCTATGAATCTAATCTCCCCATGTCTTCCCCATCTTAGACTTTCCTTTACAAATTTCAAGAGAGTAACAGAAACTTCAATGAACCCCAAATAAATAGTTTCTATTCTCATCGTCAAATGTCATATCCTATCCTCTCCCTCTATATATACTTTCAGGAAAACCTAGAACATTGCAAGAATATTTTTCGTTGTTAATTCATAAAGCAGTGTTGAAAAATACGTCCTTTTTGAATCATATACACTTGTGTTCAAATCTTGGATTAAATACCTTCTCCTAGCTCCCTGAAATTCATTAAGCTTCAGTTTCCTATCTGTAAAATATCTTCCTCCTATCATGGGAGAGACTGGCTAGATGCTAACCAGTCCCATTTCATCTACATGACCACAGAGGAAGACTATATTTCCTAGCCTCTTTTGAAATTAAGTTGTAGAATTTGATTGAGTTCTGGCCAATGCAATATGGACAGAAATGATGTGTACCACATGCAGGCCTGGACATAAAACAACCCACATGATCCTCCATGTTCATTCTTGGCTTGTTGGCTAGCAAAAGGCAGAGGATCTAGCATAGCATTCTGAGAAAGTCTTATATAAGGGGCGATTACTAAATACACAGAGCCTGTGTCCCTGAGTCACTCTTTGGAAAACTCTGTGGAAAGGCAGTCATCAATATCTGAATAGACTGAGATATGAGAGAAAAAGATACTGTATTATGCCATGAAAATTGTAGAATTATTACATTAGCTCATATTAATTGCCCTGATTAATACATATTTTATTATTCAATAACTATTATAGGTAAAGCAACTACCACAGTACCTGACACATAGTAAGGGCTTAACATCTGTTGAGGCAATTTAAGTATAATCTGACATAAAATGTATACCCACAGGAAACAAAAGTTAATTCAAAGTGTGTGTGTTTATTGAGCACGGACAATGAAGTTTTAACATCCCCTAATTTTTTCTCCTGCTTCTTTTATTTTTCACTTTTTCATATGGAAATAACTGGTGATGTCTATTTCTAAATTATTTTATTTTACTTTTATAAATTTAGATTTCCAGTGCATAAATTTTCATGTTTCCTATTTAATATACATTTTATTTCCTAAAATGTGGGGAACACTTGGGAAGATAGGGACCTGTTTTTTTACCTGGACTCCAGAGGAATTTTAACTAACTCTAGGTCAGATCAGGCCCTTTTCTCGTTACCTCTTAAGCATTATCAAACATAGCTTTATCTAACCATGGTTTTATCTCCAGCCTTCGGGTAGAAATTTCTTTTCTAATTGCCCTAGGTTAATATCATATAGCAAAACACTGACTAGAGTGGATACATCACTCTAACATTTCATACTAGTTTGACTGCAAAAGGCGTTGAAGTTCTTCTCGCCACCAGGCATAAGTGCTTCAGACTCAGAAATCATTTATGTAACTGCTTTTGTTGATAGAGGTTTCTGAAGTCATCCCTCATAGATTTCAATTCTCTTCTTTCAGAGATACTTTTTTCTTCTTTCTCCAAGGCAGAAGGAAAAGAAAGAAAGTCACCAAGCCTACACTACCTAAAAACTAAAGTTTCTTCAGCCACTGTATCTTCTTTTTTTCATAGAACCATCAAAGGTTTTGTTATTTGGGTTTGCACCTGGAATGGATGACGAGACCCACTTAAAATTATTCTATACAGGCAATTCTCTTAACAGTGCCAAAGCACAGAATTGTGATGCCTTAGTAATTGAAAAATTGCCTGGTGAGAGACTTTCAAAAGTCTACATCTGCTGAGGTTTTCATCTGTGAGAAGGAAAATATCTTCATTACTAAATAAACATTGAAGCAAAACTGAGAGGCAAAATAATATATGGGCTTTCAGGTTATAAGTCATCAGTTCTGATTGTTCAATGCACCACTTGTTGATTTTACCTATTCATAAAAGAGGTGCATTAAAACATTCCCTGAGTACTTTACAACAGTAATTCTCAAAACGTGATCTCTGGACCACCAGCAGCAGCTAATCCTGGGAACTTGTAGAAATGCAAATTCTGGGCCGGGCGCGGTGGCTCACGCCTGTAATCCCAGCACTTTGGGAGGCCGAGGCGGGCGGATCACGAGGTCAGGAGATCGAGACCATCCTGGCTAACACGGTGAAACCCCGTCTCTACTAAAAATACAAAAAATTAGCCGGGCGTGGTGGTGGGCGCCTGTAGTCCCAGCTACTCGGGAGGCTGAGGCAGGAGAATGGCATGAACCCAAGAGGCGGAGCTTGCAGTGAGCCGGGATAGCGCCACTGCAGTCCAGCTTGGGCGAAAGAGTGAGACTCCGTCTCAAAAAAAAAAAAAAAAAAGAAAAGAAATGCAAATTCTGAAACCCCACCTCAGACTTTCTGAATCAGAAGCCCTGCAGGTGGGGCCCAGCAAGTTGTGCTTTACTAAACACTCCAGGTGATTTTTTTCAGCTGCTTTACTCCACCCTCTATGAACACAGGGACTCTCCAAGGTGTTCACCATCATAACTGTTGAAACTAGCCCATTTCTTTTTAAAAAATTTTTTACCATTAATTTTTGTGGGTACATAGTAGGTGCATATATGTACAGAGTACATGAGATACTTTGATACAGGCATGCAGTATTTAATAATCACATCAAGGTAAATGGGGTATCCATTATCTCAAGCATTTATACTTTGTGTTACAAACAATCCAGTTATACTGTTATAGTTTAAAATGTACAATTAAATTATTACTGACCAGGTCACCCTGTTGTACTATCAAATACTAGGTCTTACTCATTCTTTCTACTTTTCATACACATTAACCATCCCCACTTATTCTGACAACCCAACTACCCCACCAAGCCGCTGATAACCAGACTCCTACTCTCTATCTCCATGAGTTCAATTGTTTTAATTTTTAGCTCCCACAAATAAGTGAGAACATGCAAAGTTTCTCTTTCTGTGCCTGCCTTATTTCTCTTAACCTAATGACCTCCAGTTCCATCCATGTTGATGTAAATGACTGGATATCATTCTTCTTTACGGCTGAATTGCATGCCATTGTGTATATGTATTAATACCACAGTTTATCAATTCGTCAGTTGATACTTAGGTTGCTTTCAAATCTTGGCTAGTGTCAATAGTGCTGCAACAAACATGGGAGAACAGATATCTCTTTGATATACTGATTTCCTTTATTTTGGGCACATACCTGGCAGTGGGATGGCTGAATCATATGGTAGCTCTATTTTTAGTGTTTTGAGAAAACTCCAAACTGTTGTTCACAGCTGTTTGACTAATTTACTTTTCCACCAACATTGTATGAGGGTTCTGTTTTCTCCATATTTTGCCAGCATTTGTTATTGCCCGTCTTTTGATAAAAGCCATTTTGAATAGGATGAGATGATATTTCATTGTGGCTTTGATTTGCATTTTTCTGATGACCAATGATGTTGAGCACCTTTTCATATGCCTAATGCCATTTGTATGTCTTCTTTTATGAAATGTCTATTCAGATTTTTTGCTCATTTTTTGATCAGATTATTAGATTTTTTCCTATAGAGTTGAGTTCCTTATATATTCTGGTTATTAATCTCTTGTCAGATGGTGATATGGTTTGGCTGTGTCTCCACCCAAATCTCATCTTGAATTGTAGTTCCCATAATCCCCACGTGTCATGGGAGGGAACTGGTGGAAGGTAATTGAATTATAAGGGCAGTTATCTCCATGCTGTACTCATGATGGTGCGTTTTCACAAGATATGATGGTTTTATAAGGGGCTTTCCTCCACCTTTGCTCTGCCCTTCTCCTTGCTGCCCTCGTGTAAAGAAGGATGTGTTTGCTTCCTCTTCCACCATGATTGTAATTTTTCTGAGGACTCGCCAGCCATGCTGAACTGTGAGTCCATTAAACCTCTCACCTTTATAAATTACTCATTCTCAGGTATGTCTTTATTAGCAATGTAAGAATGGACAGTAAATTGGTACCAGGTAGTGGATCACTACTGTAAAGATACTCAAAAATGTGAAGTAACTTTGGGACTTGGTAACAGGCAGAGGTTGGAACAATTTGGAGTTTTCTAGTCTCAGAAGAAGAGAGGAAAATTTATGAAAGTTTGAAACTTCCTAGAGACTTGCTGAATGGCTTTGACCAAAATGCTGATAGTGATATGGACAATAAAGTTCAGGCTGAGGTGGTCTCAGATGGAGATGAGGAAATTGTTGGGAACTGGAGCAAAGATCACTCTTGTTATGCTTTAGCAAAGAGACTGTTGGAATTTTGCCCCTGCCCTAGAGATCTGTGGAACTTTGAAATTGAGAGAGATGATTTATGGTATCTGGCAGAAGGAATTTCTAAGCAGCAAAGCATTAAAGAGGTGACAGAGCATAAAAGCCTGCACCATGCTCCTGGAAAAGCTGCAGACATTCACCGCCAACCTGTGAAAGCAACCAGGAGGGGGGCTGTACCCTGCAAAGCCACAGGGGCAGAGGTGCCCTAGGCCATGGGAGCCCACCTCTTGCATCAGTGTGATCTAGATGTGAGACATGGAGTCAACGGAGGTCATTTTGGAAGCTTAAAGAGTTGACCGCCTCGCTGGATTTCAGACTTGCATGGGGACTGTAGCCCCTTTGTTTTGGCCAATTTCTTCCATTTGGAAGGGGTATATTTACCCAATGCCTGTACCCCCATTGTATCTAGGAAGTAACTAACTTACTTTAGATTTTACAGGCTCATAGGCAGAAGGGATTTGTCTTGTCTCAAATGAGACTTTGGACTTGGACTTTAGAGTTAATGCTGAAATAAATTAAGATTTTGGGGGACTGTTGGAAAGGCATGATTGTGTTCCAAAATGTGAAGACATGAGATTTGGGAGAGGCCAGGGGTGGAATCATATGGTTTGACTGTGTCGCCACCCAAATCTCATATTGAATTGTAGTTCCCATAATCCCCACATGTCATGGGAGGGACCCAGTGGGCGGTAATTGAATCACGGGGGCAGTTATTTCCATGCTGTTCTCATGATAGTGAGTGAGCTCTCACGAGATCTGATGCTTTTATAAGAGACATTTCCCTGCTTCACTCAGCACTTCTCCTTGCTGCCCACATGTGAAGAAGGACATGATTGCTTCCCCTTCTGCCATGATTATATGTTTCCTGAGGCCTCCCAAGCCATGTGGAACTGTGAGTCAATTGAACCTCTTACTTTTATAAATTACCCAGTGTTGGATATGTCTTTATTAGCAGCTTTAGAATGGACTAATACAGATGAATAGTTTGCAAATATTTTCTCCCATCCTGTGAGTTGCCTCTTCACTTTGTAGATTGTTTCCTTTACTGTGATGAATATTTTTAATTTGATGTGATCCCATTTGTCCACTTTGGCTTTGGTTGCCTGTATATATATATATATATATATATATATATACACATACACATATATATGTACAGATATATATATACACACAGATATATATATATACACACACATATATATACACACACAGATATATATATATACACACAGATATATACACACACACACACACACACACACACACATATATATATATATCTCTGAGATTTTGGTGCATCCAAAATATATCCCTCAGCTTTTGGTTGTCTTGGAAAGTCTTTATTTCTCCTTCATGCTTGAAGAGTATTTTTCATAGATATACTATTCTAGTGTAAAAGTATTCTTTCCTTCAGAACTTTAAACATATCATGCCACTCTCTACTGGCTTGTAAGGTTTCCACTGAAAAGTCGGCTGCCAGACCTAGTGGAACTCCATTGTATGTTATTTGTGTCTTCTGTCTTGCTGCTTTTAGGATCCTTTCTTTATCCTTGTCTTTTGGGAGTTTGATTATTAAATGCCTTGAGGTAGCCTTCTTTTGGTTAAACCTTCTTGGTGTTCTATCACTTTCTCATACATAGATATTGATATCTTTCTCTAGGTTTGGGGAGTTCTCATTATTATCCTTTTGAATACCCTTTCTACCCCTATTTCTTTCTCTACCTCCGGTTTAAGGCCAATAACTCTTACATTTGCCCTTTTGAAGCTATTTTCTAGATCTGGTCAATGTGCTTCATTATTTTTTATTTTTTTCTTTTGCCTTTCTGACTATATTTTCAAATAGCCTGTCTTTAAGCTCGCTAATTCTTTCTTGTGCTTGGTCAGTCCTGTTATTAAGAGACTCTAATCCATTCTTCAGTATTTCAATTGAATTTTTAGCTCTAGAGTATCTTCTTGATTCTTTTTAAGTATTTCAATCTCCTTGTTAAATGTATCTGATAGAACTCTGAATTCCTTCTCTGTGTTATCTTGAATTTCTTTGAGTTACTTCCAAACAGCTATTTTGAATTCTCTCCCTGGATGGTCACATATCTCTGTTTCTCCAGGATTGATCCCTGGTACATTATTTATTTCATTTGGTAAGGTCATATTTTCCTGGATGGTCTTGATGCTTATGGATGTTTGTTAGTGTCTGGGCATTGAAGAGATAGGTATTTATTGTAGTCATCACAGTCTGGGCTTGTTTGTGCCTGTCTTGAGAAGGCTTTCCAGGTATTCAAAGGGCTATAGGCTCCAACCCTAATACCACTGTGGTTCTTTAAGACTTGTAGATGTAGGCTGGGCGTGGTGACTCACGCCTGTAATCCCAGCACTTTGAGAGGCGGAAATGGGTGGATCAGCTAAGGTCAGGAGTTCAAGACCAGCCTGGCCAACATGGTGAAACCCTGTCTCTACTAAAAATACAAAAATTAGCTGGGTGTGGTGGTGGGTGCCTGTAATCCCAGCTACTCGGGAGGCTGAGGCAGGATAATCACTTGAACCCGGGAGGCGGAGGTTGAAGTGAGCCAAGATCATGCCACTGCACTCCAGACTGGGTGATAAGAGCAAAACTCCATCTCAAAAAAATAATAAAATAAAAGACTTGAGCTGTACCATCTTGGTGGTCTTGGATAACATCCAAAAGAATTCCCAGGATTACTAGGCAGGAACTCATTTTCTTCCCTTACTTTCTCCCAAACAAATGGAGTCTCTCTTTCTGCTGAGCTGCCTGTATTAGGGGGTGTCATGATGCAAGCACCCCTGTGGCCACCACCATTTGGACTGTGCTGGGTTATTTCTGAAGCCAGCAGTGGATCTCACCCAAGGCCCACTGTAACCATTACCTGTCTACCACCTATGTTTGTTCAAGGCCCTAAGGTTCTATAATCAGTGGATAGGGAAGCCAGCTAGGTTAATGTCCTTTCCTTCAGGCTGGCAAGGTCCCCAGGCCCAGGCGTGTCCTGAGATGCTGTTTGAGAGCCAAGGATTGGAGTCAAAAACCTTAGAAATCTACCTGGTTTCTATTCTACCACATCTTAACTGGCCCTCAAACCACAAGACAAAGTCGCTCTCCCTCTTCCTTCCCTTTCCATGGGCAGAGGAACCTCTCCCAGCTGCCACAACTACCAGCCCAAAGTGAGTACTGCCAGGCCAGTACCAATGTTCACTTAAAGCCCCAGGACTGTTCAGTCAGACTCTGATGAATGCTGCCAGGCCTGGGGCCCACTCTTCAGGGCAATGGTCTCCGCTCTGGCCGAGGGCAGGTCCAGAATTGCTCTCCAAGAGCCTAGGCCTGGCTCCAGGACCCCAAGATCCTGCTTGCTGCTCTATCCCACTGTGGCTGAGCTGGCACCTAAGGTGTAAGACAAAGTCCTCTTACTTTCCCTCCTTCTTTTTTCAAGCAGAAGGAGTCTTTCTCCATAGCTACCACTATTTGGAACATGCTGAGTCTCACCTGAAGCCAGCACATCTCAGAGTCTCACTCAAGGCCCATGGCATACTATTTGAGTATGGCTGATGGTTATTTAGGGCCGAAGGGCTCTTTAGTCAGCAGGTGATGAATCCTGCAAGGACTGGGTCCTTTTATTCAAGGCACCAAGTTCCCTTCTGGTCCAAGTTGTGTCTAGAAATGTCATACAGGAGCTAGAGTGATTTTGATTTAGGCTAAAGTTTAAGGCTTACCACCTTAGAAATTGCTGTACTGTGAAGATAAAGCAATACACTTAAAGATGATGGTGATAATAATATCAAATACTTCTTAAATACTTACTATGGTCCAGGCACCATGCTAATCACTCTAAATAAATTAGGTTATTTAATCATCACAGTAGCCACAATGAGTATTTATTATTATTATTAATTATTACTGTCCCTCATTAAAGATGAAGAAACTTAGGGGTGAAGTCATTTGTCCAAGTTCAGATAGCTAGTTCATAGAAATCACAACTCCAAACCAAGTATGCCTCTAAAGAACAGTCTTCTAACCAATATAATATATATCATGTTGTTTGTCTATGAAATTCCTAAAAATGTTCAATTCTAATTCCAAATCAGCATCTGTCTTCAGGGCCTGGTAGTGCCAAAGCATTTAATCTGGATATAGGGTTACTCAACACAGGAGTTGAGTTTCTCAAAGGCTGTATATAAATCAGCATTCTTAATATTCTGTTGACTTTATTATAACTCTCTTACAGGTTATATTTCTACTCTTCAGTTCATAGTGGTCCCAAACTCTTGCCACTTTCAATATTTCTGCCCATCATCTTTTCTAACATTTAATAATCTGTAAATAAATGTAGAGATACACTATGGAGTTCGAGAGACATTTTATAATTCCTCAGTCAAGTGAATAAGACTAAAATGCAAATAACGACCTCTTACTTGTCAAATATCTGTTGTTCATAAAGCTGAGCATTGCTTTATAATATCTTTTGAAAAATTATAAAAGGTCAAAAAAAATACTAGAATAGATTAATTTTGCTCACATCCCGGCACAACAGAACTATATAAAAAGCCTTTCAGAAATGAAGCTTACACTCATCCTTTAGCAGTTTACGAGCATTTAGTCATTCTGCAAGTGAGAAGTATGAGGAAAATTGTTTTTCTCTTTTAAAGGGTTAATGTGGCTGAGTGAGGGTTTGCGTTTCAGAGAGCTAGAAGACAGATAAATAACCTAAACATCTCAGGGGGAGAAAGTACTTTTTTTTTTTCTTCCCTTAATCCCATCAGTACCCTAAATGCCTATGCTGATGCACAACATTAACTTACAATACTGGGTTTGTCATTATAATTACACTGCAAAGGAGCCCTTCTCTTAGGCAGGGTCATACAGGCTGCAATGCAAAATAAGTAAGGGCAGCAGAACTCCTGAGAGGCTCCATTCATAAAGCAAGGGTAAGCATGAATGCAGCATTATTCTTTCTGGGAAAGTTCTGAAAAGGTTGACCTCAGTGGAATGGGTGCAAATTTGCATAATGCTTCATTTCCTTAGAGCAACTCAAGGGTTGGTAACCATTACATGAGGCCAAACATCACTGGAAAGATTAATGGAAGCGGGATATCATTACATCCAAATAGAGTGAAGTCATGCCAAGGTCACTGCAAGGTTTATTAAGAGAAAGATGTTTGCTCATTAGAAGGGGTGACTTGTCTCTCAGGCTAGCAGAGTTAATGGAAATGAATTGCACCTCACTAAATATTAAGCTGTCCAGTAAAGCTCCTTCATGTTAAGCAACATAATGGATAAGACATGGCATGGATGAGATTTGTAAAAACCTGCTGGTTTACATCTTTTGGCAAGGACCATGGTATGAAAATCCTTTAGCCAATTAAGAGTTATTTGTCCCTTTTGTTATCACAGCAAGGAAAAAAGAAAAGCACAAAAGCAAAAAGTACTAATTTTTACTTCAAGGTCCTGGCTCCAGTACTTTGTGTGAGTAGTGTATTGATAAATTGATTGACTGAGTTCCTTAATGCAGCATCAAAATAGTCTCAGGGGCTTAGATGGAAGTGAGATACAGGACTTAACCCAAACAGCCTCAATGAAGTATCAATGAGCAGTTAGCCTTTAATAGGGAACAACCCCACAAAGATGTAAATGACTTTCTACAGAGAGAATATATTCTGATCATTGACTCCTCCTGCTTGTGCACCCAGGTCCTGGCTTAGAGTCAAAATGACAACTAATGATGCGTCTTCCCAACCAAATTTATAGGTGATGAAGTTCAAGATGTGCCAGGGAGAGGAGAAAAACAAGCACGTAAAAGCACAAAAAGTTAGTATTTTGTAATGGAGAGAGTTTGTTGGTTTTGGATGAGGGTAATTACAATTAACTATATCTATCTATATAAAAGAACAGTAAAAGCCACACCTCTCCCTGTCTGCTGCCAGCTATCCAAAAACAGTTAATGTGACTTCAGGTTTCTCTGGTCAGATGCCCAGTTCTGGGCTTATGACAGGAGACTGCTGATAAAAGTGGCTTGGACACAAATCACTGCAATACTTAAGGGTCACCAGATAGTCATGAACACTGAGATTCCCTATGTGCAATTCCTAGTCAAAGGCTCTGGTCTCTAAATGATGACTGATACAATATCTTATGAATTTGAATTAACCACAGGGCAAGTTCTGGTGGCTATTGTAGTTCAAAATGTAATTAAGATTTTTTTTTTCTAAAATTATCTTCTTATTTGTGTGCACAGAGGTGTAAATGGCCATACTGCCTGAAGCAATCTACAAATTCAGTGCTTTTCCTATCAAACCACCAATGTCGTCTTTCACAGAACTAGAAAGAAAAACTATTCTAAAATTCATGTGGAACCAAAAGAAGAGCCCAAATAGCCAAAGCAATCTTAAGCAAAAAGAACAAAGCCAGAGGCATCACATTACCTGACATCAAACTATCTATAAAGCTACAATAACCAAAACAGCATGGCATTGGTACAAAAGCAGACACATAGACCAATAGAACAGAATAGAAAACTCAGAGATGAAGCTGCACACCTACAGCCATCTGATCCTCAACGAAGTTCACAAAAATAAGCAATGGAGAAAGGACTCCCTATTTGATAAATGATGTTATCATAGCTGGCTAGCCACATGTAGAAGAATAAAACTGGACCCTTACATTTCACCATATACAAAAATTAACTCAAGATGGATTAAAGATTTAAATGTAATGCCTCAAACTGTAAGAATTCTAGAAGAAAATTTAGGAAATACCATTGTAGACATCAGCCTTGGGAAAGAATTTATGACTAAGTCCTCAAAAGCAATTGTAACAACAAAATAATTGACAAGTGGGACCTAATTAAACTAAAGAGCTTCTGCTCAGCAAAACAATCAACAGAATAAACAGACAACCTATGTAATAGGAGAAAATATTAGTAAACTGTGTATCTGACAAATGTCTAATATTTAAAATCAATAAGGAACTTAGTAGGTAAAAAAAAAAACCATTAAAAAATGGGCAAAAGACATGAACAGACACTTCTCAAAAGAAGACATACAAGCAGACAACAAATACATGAAAAAATGTTCAACATCACAAATCATCAGAGAAATGTAAATAAAAACCACAATGAGATACTATCTCACACCAGTCAGAATGGCTTATTATTACAAAGTCAAAAAACTACAGATGTTGGTGAGGCTGCACAAAAAAAGAGAATGCTTAAGCAACTGTTGGTGGGAATGTAAATTAGTTCAGCCACTGTGGAAAGCAGTTTGGATATTTCTCAAATAACTTAAAAGAGAACTACTGTTTGACCCTGCAATCCCATTACTGGGCATATACCCAAAGGAAAATGTATATTATTTTACCAAAAAGACACATGCACTCATATGTTCATCATAGCACTAATCACAATAGCAAAGATATGGAATCAACCTAGGTGCCCATCCACAGTGGATTGGATAAAGAAAATACAGTATATATACACCATGGAATACTATGCAGCCATATAAAAGAATAAAATCATGTCATTTGCAGCAACATGGATGCAGCTGGAGACCATTTTCTTAAGCAAATTAATGCAGGAACAGAAAACCAAACACCATTTGCTCTTTCTTATAAGTGAGAGCTAAGCATTGCATACACACAGACATAAAGATGAGAATAATAGACACTGGGGACTACTGTCTACTAAAGGGGGTAGAAAAGGAGGGATCAAAAGCTGAAAAACTACCTATTGGGCACCCCCAAACCTCAGTGCCAAGGAATATACCCATGTAAGAAACCTGCACGTGTACTTCCTGAATCTAAAATGAAAGTTGAAGTTATATAAAAAAAGAAATCTTGTTGTACATATTTTATGGTTTTTACTCCTAATGTGGGAACAGAACTACCTTCATAATTAGGTCAGGCAGAGAATATAACTCTGAGGGCTTTCAAGCCTGGGATCTAGAATTTTTTTGTAAGATGTAATCTCACATTATTGTAAAATGAGAGGGGGGTAAGCCACCGCCCCTACTAATCTCTGAATATCGATACTGTCTACTATCAGCTTTTAGAGTTAATTTGATATAGATCACTTATAATTTCAAGGTGAACTCTCCTTAAGTGTACTTCAGTGCACTTTCATTTTAAGAAGTAAGTCAACTGCAATGAAAACAGGAACAGCATGAGAGACCAAGATTGTTTTATGGTAACTATGGACTCTTAGAAGCAAAATTATTCTGGAGAGATGGTTATTATTTTGAGGGCAGGGTTTGTATTGCATTGAGCTCTCAGTACCCAGAGAGAGCCTAGAAAATAGAAGGAACCCAATAAATGATTCTTTATGAATGAATGAATGAATGAATGAATGGGTACATGCAACCTTGTAAGGATATAGGCCTAGAACTTAGAGTATAATAAAAAACAAGGGGGGCTAATTCTTATCTAAACACCAGAATGTTGTTTTAGCCAAATCCATTTACATGTTTCCAAAGAAATTTTTATTTTTATTCATTACCTGGGAAAGACAAACAACAAAAAAAAAACTCATAATCACAATGACAATTGAAATACATGAATACTTCAAGGTTATTGAATTTGCATAACAAAATATGTAAATAAAAGGAATTGTCAAATTGTTTCTGAAAGACATGAAGCACAGGTAAAACACAATTTTAACAGAAGGGATGGAGACGAAAAGGACATAATATTTTAAAATAAAATAATGTTTATTTGTATTCTCCCTACAATCTTTGTAATAGTTAATCAAGGGAAACAAAATTTCTTTCACTTTGGTGCCTCTCTTCTCTGACTACTTCATAAGCTACTTTTGCCTCTGGGTTTTTCGTAATGTCTTCGTCATCTCTTTGCATCAACATTTCCATTTTCTCCCAACCAAGGCCTAGGAAAAGCCTTAAGCTATGACAGCATAGATGCCAAATAGTTTTTGCCCTGCCATAGTGTAAAATTTTTGGCTTGATTTTTCTCAGAATATTGACAAAGACAAGGTATTTACTTATCTTTTTGTTCAATACTCTTATTAAAGCTCATACATGGCTCAGGTTGTTCTGACACTGTCCCTGAAAATTAAATTTTCTATTAAGTATCACCTTGTTTTGCATTATTTTTGTTTCTGTTCTGTAAATTAAGGATAACATTTACTGCCTGGGATTTATTAACCTCATGTATTTGATGCATTTTCAGGAGAAATATTTAAGATTATGTCTAATGGAAAAGTCAGAACTTCAAAATCATGTCTAAATATATGGATATGTCTTTATCACCTTCTGTGACAAAGGACAGAGTAAGAAATTTCTAATTAAATATTCCAAAGTAATAATCATAGACAACAAAATAAAACACTTGGAGGGAAACAAGCGGTTTGGTTAATATACTTCTAGCTCCTTAGTGTCTGTCCATGACAAATAACTTGACAAAAATTCTCTACTATCATCTTAATAATGAACATTATAAAACAAATACTGGGCATCATCATTATGCTTACCATTTATGGCCTTTCTACTGTGGTGAAACCTCTACCTTGACTCTTCAATATATAAATGAAGTTAGACTCTTCATTTCTAACTGTGGAATGGTGTTAGGAGACAATAAAATTTCCGCAAAGAATGACCCACATAGATACTTGAATGCAGCCTCAAGACCAACAGGATTGAAAGTAAAAAAGATTTTAAAAGGGGCTTACAGAATTTTGTTTTCCTCAATTGTTATTTCTCATTCTATTATCCAAAAGAAAATATTAAAAGTTTACTTGTTATTAACAGTGATAATATATTACTCTCCTTCGAACTATGCCATCAGTGTCCCTCATTACCACTTTCTTGATATTCTGAAGGTTGACCTGTCATTTTTAAAAATCTCAATCATTAAGTTCTCTTTATGTCAGCTGCTATAGTGATGTCTCAGGCTAAGCAGTGACTTTAAGGGGAAAAGGCTTTTATACATGAACAGGCTGCAAAATAAAAACCACATCACATGAGGAAGAAGGGATTTGGAAGACCTTGCAGAATTTCGCTGAAACTCAATTCATAGTCCTATGACCTATTTCATAACTGTGCATCCCAGCTTCCAATCTCAGCTTTCTTTCCACATTACAGCTCTGGTGTGTCCTTACTGGGTTCTCAGCATCTTTTGAAATCCTTCCTGCTCCCAACATTGCTTCTCAATATATGCATTGTATCTCTCTTACACAAATGGCTCCTGATCTGTGCCCAAATTGCACACATAACAAAGAATGTAAGAAGAATTACTTATAATAATAAAATTCTAAAGTATGGATCTCTATCCAATTTCTCGCTCTTGAACTCCAGTCCCAAAAGTCAAATAAGACATCTGTATCTTAACTGTCTCACAAGCAGTGCTATGGTCTACATGTTTGTCTCCCCCAAATTTCATAGATTAAAATCTAATCCCCAATGAAATGGTATTAAGAGGTAGGGTCTTTGGGGGATGATTAGGTCATGAGGACCTCACCCTCATGAATGGGATTAGTGCTTTTATAAAAGAGGCTCAAGGAATCTTGTTTGTCCCTTTTACCATGTGAAGACACAGCTAAAAGAAACTGTCTATGAGAAACAGTCCCTCATCAGACATTGAATCTGCTTGTACCTTGATCTTGGACTTCCCAGTATCTAAAACTATCAGCAATAAATTTCTACTCCTTACAAATTACTCAATCTAAGATTTTTTTGTTATAGGAGCAAAATACACCAAGACAATCAGTAAAATAAACCCACCCTATCCAACACTAAACTCCTCATCTTTGCCTCAACTCAACCTCTCCTTCAATGTTCCCTGTCTCAGGGCATGGCCATGCCATTCCCCAATCTTTATATTATAATATGAGTACTTGATTTTTTTCATTCTTCTGATGATAAAATCTCTTCATTGTCTCCCTCATTGAATTTAAGATAAAATACAACTTTCTTATAAAAGAAAAACATCAGCCGAATTTAATATTTAAACAGTTTAATTGAGCAATGAATGATTTGCGAATCGGGCAACCCCCAGAATCACAGCAGATTCATAGAAACTCCAGTGCAGCCACGTGGTGGAAGAAGATTTATATAGACAAAAAAAAAAAAAAGTAAATGATGTATAGAAATCAGCAGTGAGGTACAGAAACAGCTGGGTTGGTTACAGGTTGCTGTTTGCCTTATTTGAACACAGTTTGAACACTTAGCAGTCTATGAGTGGTTGAAGTATGGCTGCTGGGATTGGCCAAGACTCAGTTATTACTACAGGCAAAATCTAACTCCTAAGTTAGATTTTCAATTTTGTCTGACTATTAAGCTAGGTAATAGTTCTCCACAAGGACTCAAATATAGAAGTGTGGAGTCCTCCTCAGGCCATATTTAGTTTTCTTGAACACTTAGCATGACACTGAAAACCCTCAGTCGTTTGGTCTTGCTGACATTTTAAGCCTCATCCTTCACTACTATTTCTATTTATTTAAATGCACTCTGCTTGCTCATCTGTCCATGTTAATTCCTCTGAATGTAATACCCTTCAGCTCCTACTTTCCCTGGCTACTTCCTACCTATTCTTTAAACATTTCTGAGAGGAAGTAGTACCTCCCCTCAGAAGTTCAGTTATGCCAGCCACTGAGGCTGGGTTTAGTGCACCTCCTTTGCGTTCCCACAATACCCTATGTGTACATATTGCAGCATTTTTCACACTCTATTATGATTCCCTAATTTTATGCCTCCTCCAATAGACTGTGAGCTGCTTGAGAGTAAGATGTATATCTGTTCTTCATATTCCCAGGAATCTACCTCCTTGTGTGGTACACAAAGTACATGCCAGATAAAGATTTACTGGGTGAATAAGTGACCAAAGAGCTCTGACAGGAAAAAAGAAACATTCAAACAAACAAACAAAAAAATGGTTCTATCATTTGATTTAAGCATTGATAATAATCAAAATGCATTTATTCTGAGACCTTGTATTAGTTTTCTAGGGCTGCCATAACAAAATATCACACATTGGGTGGCTTAAAGAATAGAAATTTATTTTCTCACAGCTCTGGAAGCCACAAGTCTGAGATCGAGATGTCGGCAAAGTTAATTTCTTCTAAGGCCTCTCTCCTCCTCAGCTGGTAAATGGCTGTCTTTTCCCTGTGTCTTGATCTTCTCTATGTGTATGTCTGATCTTCTCTATGTGTAAATCTCTGTCATGCTTTCTTCTTCTTATAAGACATCAGTCATTTTGAATTAGGGCCAACCCTAATAACCACATTTAACCATAATTACCTCTTTAAAGATTCTATCCTCAAATGCAGTGATATTAGGAGGTAATAGGGGTTAGGACTTCAACATATGAATTTGGGAGGAATATAATTCAGCCCATAACAGGCCTTGAAGTTACAAAATAATTCTTCCACTAATGTGGGTCATTACAGCTTAGTCCACAGTATATTCCCCAAGTACTCACAAAGCCTGTCAGATGGTATTCTCTTTGTAGGGTCACTGGCAGTTGGGAAGGTACTTGTTTCCTGCATTCGTGCCTTTTTTATTCCTTCTAAACATCTGAAGCTGAGCATAAATCTCCCCCTTCTCCCTCCTCCCTCTGCAATATCTCTTGCCCCAATTATGCAGTTAGCCTAAGAATCAGGAAACTGTTCCAGAAATAAACTTAACCTGCTGATCTAGATAGTGACTAAATCCTCCAATAATGTGGACATCTACTAGAAAAGCTAGGTTAACAGGCTTCTTTTTTAGAAGTCATCTGTTTGGTTGTGAGATAAGATCAAGGCTCAATCATATCCAAAGTCCAAAAGACTTCAAACATTACGTGATTTTTGCCCCACTCCCTATCACTGCAGTGCAGTTATAACTGGTTCTGGAGTTGAGAAAAAGCCAAGCAATCTTAACTGTTGTCAATTTTATACCATTGAAATTGTGAAGCAAATATGCAAATTATATTAAAAGCCTCCCAAAAAAGCATGGGTAACAGTGACATTTTTTTTCCCACCACAATCTCAATACACATCACAAGTACTTCTACTTTACTATTTCTTCCTCCACAAACAATCCAAATCCCACCACTTACTTATACTCCATGATCTCCACAAAGCCCTTCCTTCCATAACTACTCTAGTGTATTTGGATTTTTCTCCTTTCTCTCACAGCTCAGAATGTTCACTATTTCCATTGTACAGAAAATAGTTGATATGGAAGATACATTAAAATGTCTGTTCACATCTCCTCATTTTAAAAATGGAATTGACTAGATTATTGAATAAGTGGACGCCCGTATATTGCACTTAGGAAATAATTTGATTTTTCTCCTATTTCTGTCATCAAAACTACTCTGTTAAATCTCTTTTTCAGACCCCTGGATGATATTTCAAACAGCAACCTTAGCTATTCAGGTTGTCAGGGGTGACAAATAATTTCAGTTAGAGGAATTAAAAGGCCAATCTGTTTCAAAATATAATGCATTGTTATTAACTACAGTCACCACGTTATACAACAGATATCTTTAACTATTGTTTATTAGCTCAACTGAGCCATTCCACAATGTATACATATTTCAAAACATCATGTTGCATGGGATTAAAATGTACAATTTTGAATCTGTCAGTATTTTAAATTGATATAAATACTTGTACATATTTATCAGATACAGGTGATATTTTGTTACAGGAACAGACTATGTAATAATCAAGTTAGAGTATTTGGGGTATCCATCATCTCAAGTATTTATCATTTATATGTGCTGGGAACATTTCAAGTTCTCTCTTCTAGTATTTTGAAATATACAATACATTGTTGTTAACTTTAGTCATCGTACTCTGCTATTGAGTATTATAACTTATTCCTTTTATCTGACTGTATGTTTGTGCCCATTAATCAACCTCCCACAGATTCTTCCCAGCCTTTGGCATCTATCCTTCTATTCTCCACTCTGTGAAATCAGCTTAAGTTCTTACATATGGGTGAGAATATGCAATATTTGTCTTCCTGTGCCTGGCTTATTTCAACTAATATAATGGCCTCCAGTTCCATCCATGACATAATTCCAATTATGACATAATTCCATTATTTTTATGACATAATTCCATTATTTTTATGGCCAAATAGTATTACATTATGTATATATAACATGACATTTTCTTGTTCATTTATCCATTGATGGACACATAGGTTAATTCTATGTCTTTGCTATTGTGAATGGTGCTGCAATAAACATGGGAGTGCAAGTATCCCTTTGATATACTGATTTCTTTCCCTTTGGATGAATACCCTAAAGTGAATTTGAGAATGATAGGGTAGTTCTACTTTTAGTTTCAAGAAAAGCTCCCTACTGTTTACCATAGTGGCTGCACTAATTTACATTCCTACCAACAGTCTATATGAGTTCCCTTTTCTCCACATCCCCAACAGCATCTCTTATATTTTGTCTTTTTAACAGTAGCCATTCTACCTGGCTAAGATAACATTTCATTGTGGTTTTGATTTTAATTTCCCAGATAATTAGTGTTGTAAGCATTTTTTCACATACATGTTGGCCATGTGTATGTCTTCTTTTGAGAAATGTCTATTTATGTCATTTGCCCACTTTTTAAGTGGGATTTTTTTTAACTGTTTGAGTTCCTTGGTTCCTTGTATATCCTGGATATTAGTCCCTTATTGGATGAATAGTTTGTAAATATTTTCCCTGACTCAACATGTTGTCTCTTTACTCTGTTGTTTCCTTTGCTGTGCAGAAGATTTTTAGTTTAATATAGTCCCATTTGTCTATTTGTGTTGCCTGTTAGTTTGAGTTCTTACTTATAAAATCTATGCCTAGATCAATATCCTGGATTGTTTCCCTTGTTTTCTTCTATAGGATTTTTAGTTTTGGCGTCTTATGTTTAAGTCTTTAATCCATTTTGAGTTGCTTTCGTATATGGTGAGAGATAGGGGTCTAGTTTCATTCTTCTGCATATGGATATCCAGTTTTCTCAGCACCATTTATTAAAGAGTGTGTTCATTCTTCAATATATGTTCTTGGTGCTTTTTTCAAAATTCGGTTGGCTGTAAATATGTGAATCTATTCTTGGGTTCTGTAATTTGTGATATTGGTTTATGTGCCTGTGTTTGTTATGATAGCCTGTAATATATTTGAAAGTCAGGTAGTGTGATGACTCCCGCTTTGTTCTTTTTTGGTCAGAATTACTTTGGTCATTTGGACTCTTTTTGGTTCCACAGAATTTTTAGAATTGTTTTTTTCCATTTATGTAAAATACATCATTGGTATTTTGATGGGAATTGCACTGAATCTGTAGACTGCTTTTGACAGTATGGTTATTTTAACAATATTAATTCTTCCAATCCATGAACATGTCATGTCTTTCCATTTGTTTGTGTCCTGTTGAATGTCCTTATTAGTGTTTCATAGTTTTCCTTGTAGATGTTCTTTATAATATCTCCTTGATTAATTTTTTCTAGGTATGTTTTATAGTTATTGTAAAGGGGATTACCTTCTCAATTTCTTTCTCAGCTAGTTCATTTTTTGTGTATATAAATGCTACTGATTTTTGTATGATGATGTTGTATCCTGCATTTTTACTGAATTTATTTTTCAGACCTACAGGACTTTTGGTGGTGTCTGGGTTTTTCTAGATATAAGATTATGTCATCTGCAAAGAGGAACAATGTGACTTTCTTTCTCAATTCGGATGCCTTTATTTATCTTGCCTGATAGCTCTGGAAAGGATTTTCAGTACTATGTTGAATAGAAGTGGTGAAAGTGGGCATCATTGTCTTGTTTGAGTTATTAAGCAAAAGGCTTTTAGGTTTTCCCCATTCAGTATGATGTCAGCTGTGGATCTGTCATATTATGGCATATTATGTTCCTTGTGTGCCTAATTTGTTGAGAGTTTTTATCATGAAGGGATATCAAAAGCTTTTTATCAAAAGCTTTTTTCTACATTTATTGAGACGGTCATATGGATTTTGCCCTCCATTCTGTTGATATGAGGTATCACATTTATTGATTTGCATATGTTGAACCATCCTTGCTTCCCCAGGATAAATCCCACTTGATCATGGTGTGTTATCCTCTTCCTGTGCTGTTGGATTTACTTTGCTAGTATTTTCTTGAGGATTTTTGTATCTATGTTCCTCAGGGTTATTGGCCTATAGTTCTCTTTTCCTGTTGCATCTTTTTCTGGTTTTTGTATCAGGCTAATGCGGGCCTCATTGAATAAGTTAGGGATAACTCCTTCCTCCTTAGTTTTTTGGGATAGTTTGAGGAGAATTGGTGTTAGTTTTTCTTGTAAGTTTGGTAGAAATCAGCAGTGAAGACATCCAGTCTTGGGCTTTTCTTTGTTGGGAGAGTTTTTAGTTACAGATTCAATTTCATTAATCAGTATTAGTCTGTTCAGGTTTTCTCTTTCTTCCTGATCCAATTGTCCATTATCTGAGTCCACAAGACAGATAATAACAGGTGGCATATTCCTCCACATTTTAAACAGAAGGCTATATATATTAGGCTCACCAAGAGATGCCTCCAAACAGGTCCTACACCTCTTGTTTCATCACTCAACCCAAACTTATCTGTAAGAGAGGTAGAGATTGGAAGGAGGTTGTTGAGAGGGGATTTTTAAGAAGAGAACTGTTAGTCTACTAGGGTTGGGGAACTGAAGTGTTGTTATTAGGGGAGAAAAGGGGTTCCTCCTTCCACTTTCCACCTCAAGCCATATAAGGGGTTTCATTGGGCCTTACTCTAGTGCCCAGTACTACCATGGTACTACAGTGGAGTATGGAGAAAATACTTAATGAAGTGCTTGCTAGGCAGCCCCTGGAATTTAGAGGAAACAGGGTCTGGAGGGTCACAATGGGTACAAGCTGCACTTTCACCAGTGATGGGGCAAATTTTCAGTGTTTTTATTTTGACCAAGAGTACATGAAAAAAGCCATAGCAGAACTGTCCTAAAGGATCCTTATAGGAAGATTGCCTTCTAGGGAAAGATAGGCCCAGCAGAAAGAGACTGTTTGGAAGGAAGTGGGGTAACATTACAGTGCAGGAGCTGAGAGGGTAATGATAAGTCAATTAAGGAATGTATCGCCTACAGTGTTGGGGAGACCTTAGCAGAGGGACATGTCAGGTAGCAATACAATTCTTAAAAATATCCCGTTTACTGTAGTATCATGGTAGCCAGTATTTGAACATCTATCACAGTAAGAGTATAATGCACCAGCCAAGTAAGACTATTGGCTCTCTCACCTTTTTTCTTTACTCTTACCCTACCACTATCCCATACCTATCCTAGAGAAGTCAGAGGGAGGCAACATAGTGATTGGAGGAAGAAACATAGAAAAGCATTGCGAAAGAATGAAAAAGAAATAGACTATGTCTTCCTTTCTCATAGCTTATTTATAAAATTTTGTGGCCAGGCTCATGCTGGAACTGAGAGCAGCTTTAAATTAGATGAAAGTTAAAAATGTTTAATGTAAATTAGATTGCACTTTTGGTCACTTATCTAAATTTTTATTTCAGGAAAATTATTATTTCTTCATTAAACACGCTGCAAAGCTGTTAAGTATTAATCATTTGTTAGAAAATTTTATTTAAAAATTAACATAATTTTTAAAGATGACTTTTTTTTAAAAGGTACGAAGAACATACATTGGAGAAAAGATGCCCTTCTCAATAAATGATTCTGCAAACATTAGATATCTATATGCAGAAGAATAAAACTAGACCTCTTTCTCTCACCATATACAAAAGTAACTCAAGATGGATTAAATACTTAAATATAAGACCCAAAACTAAAAATCCTATAGAGGAAAACAGAGGAAACAATCTAGGACATTGATCTAGGCAAAGATTTTATAACTAATCCCCCAAAGCACAACCAACAAAAGAAACAATGGACTAACGGGACTATATTAAACTAAAAAGTTTCTGCACAACAAGGGAAAACAATCAACAGAGTGAAGAGACGACCGGTTGAATGGGAGAAAATATTTGCAAACTATATATCCAATAAGGGACTAATGTCCAGAATATACAAGGAAATCAACTCAACAGTTAAAATAATAATAATAATAATAATAATAATAATAATAATAATTCCATTACAAAATGGGCAAAGGACATCAATAGACATTTCTCAATAGAGGACATACAAATGGGCAACACCTATATTAAAAAATGTTCAACATCACTAATCATCATGGAAATTCAAATCAAAACCACAATGAGATATTGTCTTACCCCAAATAGAATGGCTATTATTAAAAAGACAAAAAATAACAGATACTGGTGAGGATATGGAGAAAAGGGAACTCATATACACTGTTGGTAGGAATATACATTAGTGCAGCCACTATGGTAAACATTATGAAACTTTCTTAAAAAACTAAAAATAGAACTACCATACACTAAATACTCTGACTTGATCATTACATGTATATATTCATTATATACATGTGATTCAATTATACATGTATACACAAAATGTGTATAAATAAAAAATAAATAAATATAGAACTACCATACAATCCAGCAATCCCACTATTAGCTATTTATTTTAAAAAAAGGAATCTGTATATCAAAGAGATACCTACACCTTTATGTTTATTGCAGCACTATTCACAATAGCAAAGATATGGAATCAGCTTAAGAGTCTATCAACAGAAAAATTGATAAATAAAATATTGTATATATACACAATGGAATACCATTCAGCCATAAAAATGGAAATCATATCCTTTGCAGCAACATGGATGGAGCTGAACATCATTATGTTAATTGAAATAAGCCAGGCACAGAAAAAAATCACATGTGCTCACTCATATGTAGGAGCTATAAAAGTTAATCTAATGGAGGTAGATAGTAGAATGATTGTTACCAGAGGCTGAGAAGGGTATGTGTATAGGAGTGGAGATGAGGAGAAGTTAGTTAATGGGTACAAACATAGTTAGATAAAAGGAATAAGTTATAATATTTCACAGCTGAGTATGGTGACTAAAGTTTACAACAATATAATGTATATTTCAAAATAGCTAGAAGAGAGTACTTGAAATATTCCTAACTCATAGAAATGACAAATATTTGAGCTGATGAATATCCTAAATATTCTGACTTGATCATTACACATTGTATGCATGCAACAATATGTCACATGTACCCCATAAATATGTACAAATATTATGTATCAATACAAATATTTTTACAAGGAAATTGATTGAGTAATACTGATTGAATAATCCTGATAGAATAATACAGATAGAACTACCATATGATCCAGGAATTCCTTCTCTGGGTGTACAGGCATACATTGAGAATAATGCAGGTTCAATTTCAGACTACCACAATAAATTGGATATTGCAATAAGGTGGGTCACACAAATGTTTTGGTTTGCCAGTGCATATAAAACTTATGCTTACACTAAAATGTATTCTATTAAGTGTTCAATAGCATTGTATATGAAAAAATGTACATACCTTAATTAACAATAATTTGTGGCTAAAAAAGCCAACAATAGTCTGAGCCTTCTGTGAGTCATCTTTTTGCTAGTGGAGAGTCTTGCCTCTATGTTGATGACTGCTTACTGATTAGGGTGGTGGTTGCTGATATTGGGTGGCTGTGGCAATTTCTTAAAATAAGACAATAGGGAAGCATGCCACATTGTTTGACTCTTTCATGAAAGGTTCCTCTGTAGTATGAGATGCTATCTGATAGTATTTTACCCACAGAATTACATCTTTCAAAATTGGAGTAAATCTTCCCAAAATCTGCTGCCTTACCAACTATGTTTATGGAATCTTCTAAATTATTTGCTGTCATTTCAATAATTTCACAGCATTTTTGCCAGGAGTAAATTCCATCTCAAAAAAATAGCTCACCTCTTTTTCTCATCCATTAAAAGCGACCCATTCATTTGTTAAATTTATGTCATGAGATTGTGGCAATTTTGTCACATCTTCAGGCTCCACTTCTAATTCTGATTATCTTGTTAACTTCACCACATGTTCAAATACTTCCTCCACTGATATCTTGAATCCTCAAAGTCATCCACGAGGACTGGAATCAACTTCTTCAAAACTCCTGTTAAGTTGATATTTTGATCACTTCTCATAAACCATAAATGTTCTTAATGGAATCTATAATGGTAAATCCTTTTCAGAAGGTTTTCAAATTACTTTGCCCAGATCCATTCAAAGAAGCACTATCATTGGCAGCTATGGCCTTACAAAACAAATTTCTTAAGCAATATTGTTTGAAATTGCTTAATCCATGAGCTGCAGAATGGATGTTGTGTTAGCAGTTATGAAAACAATATTAATCTCCTTGTATATCTCCATCAGAGCTCTCCGGTGATGAGGTGCATTGTCAATGAGCACTAATATTTTGAAATAAATTTTTTGTTCTGAGCAGTAGGTCTCAAGAGTGGGCTTCAAATATATAGTAAACCATGCTGTATACAGATGAGCTGTCATCCAGACTTTATTGTTCCATTAATAGAGTACAGGAAGAGTAGATTGAGAATAATTCTTAAGGGCACTGTGATTTTCCAAATGATGAATTAACATTGGCTTCAAATTAATGTCCCCAGCTACATTAGCCCCTAGCAAGCTTGTTAGCCTCTCCTTTGACTCTTTGAAGCTAGGCATTGACTTCTCTTATCTAGCTGTGAAAGTCTTACATGGTATCATCTTCCAAAATAATGTTGTTTTGTCTCCACTGAAAATCTGTTGTTTAGTGTAGTCACCTTCATCAATGATCCTAGCTCTTCTGGATAACTTGCTGCAGCTTCTCTATCATCTCTTGCTGTTTCACCTTGCACTTTTATGTTATGGAGACAGCTTCTTTCCTTAAGCCTCTGCTAGCTTCCAGCTTTTCTTCTGCAGCTTCTTCACCTCTCTTATCCTTCATACAATTGAAGAGTGTTAGGACCTTGCTCTAATTAGCCTTTGGCTGAAGGGAATGTTGTGACTTGACCTTCTATCCAGACCATTAAAACTATCTCTATATCAGCAATAAAACTGTTTCACATTCTTATTATTCATGCGTTCATTGGAGTAGCACTTTTAGTTTTCTTTAATAACTTTTTCCCTACATTCACATCTTGGCTAATTATTTGGCACAGGAGGCCTAACTTTCAGCCTGTCTTGGTTTTGGACATGACTTCCTTACTAAACTTAATCGTTTCTAGCGTTTGATTTCAAGTGTGACTCTTCCTTTCACTTGAACACTTACAGGCCATTGTAGGGTTATTAATTGGCCTAATTTCAATAGTGTTGTGTCTCAGGGAATAGGAAGGCCTGAGGAGAGGGAGAGAAATGAGGGAGCAACCAGTTGGTGGAGCACTCACAACACACACAACATTTATTAAGTTTGCCATCTTATCTGGGTGTGGTTCGTGGCCCTCCAGAATAATTTTAATAGTAACATCAAAGACCACTGACCATAGATCATCATGACAGATATAATAATGAGGAAAAAGCTGGAAATATTGAGAGAATTACAAAAATGTGACACAGAGACATGAAGTGAGCACATACTGTTGGAAAAAATGGTGCCAACAGACTTGCTTGACACAGGGTTGTCACAAACCTTCAATTTGTAAAAAAAAAATGCAATTATCTGCAAAGTACAATAAATTGAAGTGTGATAAAATGAGGTAGGCCTATGTACTTAAGGTAAAATCATTACTCTGTACTTCTATGTTCATTGCAGCATTGTTCACAATAGCCAAGATATGACAACAACTTAAGTGTCCATTGATGGATGAATGAATAAAGAAAATGTGGTAAATATATGCAATGAAATATTATTCAGCTGTAAAAATAGGAGATTCTACCATTATCCACAACATGGATGGACAAAATGGATGTTATGCTAAGTGAAATAAGCCAGACACAGAATGAAAAATATTGTATTATCTCACTTGTACGTATAATATTTTTAAAAAATAAAGGTCAAATATACGGAGATAGAGAATAAAACAGTGATTACCAGGGGTCGGGTGGGGAGCAAGAGGAAATGTATTTCAAAGGATACAAAGTAGTAGATCTATAGAATGAACAGGTTTAAAGATCTAATGTACAACATGAGGACTATAGTTAAAATTTCATTGTATTAGGGATTTCTGTTAAATAAGCACATTTTCATCACCTTTCTCACAGGAAAAATAACTGTGTGAGATAACAGACATATTAATTTGCTCCACTATAGTAACAACTTCACTATCTTTATGTATCCCATAACATCTTGTAAATCTCAAATATACAAAATACAATTTATTTTTCAAAAAATCATCCTTCTGCCAGTATCTTGTTCTGGACTGAAGATAAAGTAAGCCTCTGAACCTCAGCTTCCACATCTGTAAAATGAGGACAATAGTAACTATCTCAGTGGAGTTCTCAGGATAAATTGAGATAATATATTAGGTTGAACTATATGCTGTTTATGCAGATCAACAATGGTCAAATATGGCAATTTAATGTCTTCAATCTAATATATAAAGAACAGTGTCTAGCATCTGCATAAAGTCAATAAAGAGTGATTATTATGATATTTTTTAAAAAATGACAGGGAGTATTAAAGAATGTTGGTCTGTAAAGTACATGCATGAAACGCACCTAATTTTTAAAAAGTTCCTAACCGCTCTAGAGTATAAGAAATGTTCCTCATCTCATGTGAGAATCATTGTTAAAATTTGACATGCACATTGGCATTACATGAAATATTTGAATGATTAAGTTTTGTGGGAATTGGGAGATTACTGTATTTCAGCGTTTTCTTTCAGACCTCCTAACCTTCTTATCAAGTGGGATTGTATAGTTTCCCATAGGTAGTTATTAACAGCTACGATGAAATTCTTTGATACCCCTTTGATATTCCAATTTGGACTAACAGAGGACAAGGTCAGAAGCTCCATCAAGAGTATAAATGCACAGCCTATTGAGTAGACTTGAGGAGTCTTTTTGGTTCACCCTTCATAGGTATGAAGGTGTTTCCACAGTTATGGGTTTTGTTACTTTGTTACTTAGAAGTTTATCTTTACATAAGAAATGCACAGACCATAATGTCAACTTTTCACTAATTCTTTCTATAACTACATTTTTATCAGCTACCATATCTGTAAGTTATTGTGCCTTTTCTGCATTTTATCATCACTGAGTAAATGAGTTCTGCTCCTGAATCTAACTTAATTAAATGTTGATCAAATAAATATTTTTATCCATGGAATACAAGTAAAACCTATTAATTTGGGAGAGAGCTAAAAATGTTTCTACCATATCTAGCATTTCTATGAAATCATTCAGAACTTCCGGAGTGTTAGATAGTACTTCATCTTGTAAGACATATTTAATAAGAAATCGACATTATGGATAAATTGTTAATAGGAAGAGCACGTACCATGAAACTGGAACAAAATCTCAAATACACATAAGCTAAGACCATGGGATAAAAAGATTATTTGTAGCTGCTCTTCTGTCTCTCTGTCAAAAAAATAAACAAACCAAAACCCCTTCACTGCCATTGTATGGAAAAAACACATTAATTCAGTACACACTTATTCAAAACGATGCAGAACGAAAATAATCTTCCTCAACAAACTATATGTAATGTAAATCTAAACCTGGTCAATACAAAGTCAAATTAATAAGACTGCCCTCCTTGTGAATATGCTTCTTTTTTTGGGTTTCCTTTATTAAAGATAGTTCAGTGCTCTCCGGGTAATGTGTTTATTTGGCACAGTGCTGAATTAGCCATTATACTGGAGAAATCATGGTGAATTCAAGAGCCATGGAAAATTACTTCACAAACTATTCTATTACTTTATTCCGAATAGCTTTAAGCTGTAAAATTTGGTTTTAAAGCACTCTTAGGCCGCAAATAAGCTATTAGGTGTCCTCAGAACCCTGTTAAACCTTCTGCCCAATGTTTCTCAACCTTGGGCACACATTAGAACCAACTGGGAAAATTTTTAAAGCCCTATGTCTAGACCACACCCCACACCAATTACTCAGAATCTTTAGGGTTGGGCCTGGAAATCATATTTTTAAAGCTCCCTGTGTAATGTTAATATGAAACAAGGTTGAGAATCAGAAATCTAGCCCCATTAATCAGTATAACAACATATGTGGCTCATAAACTGGTTCTGAAACAAATTTTTGAGCTATTTTTTGACAAAGACAACACTTGGAGAATTTTCTGGAATCCCAAGTTGACAAACTTTAAAGACCAATGTTTATTAGCATGTGCATTTTTAATGAAATTGGTCACATTACTTTTATTCCTTTCTCATACATAAAGTAAGGGTTTTCAAACACTTCATTACAAGAGGGGTAAAGCTTGTGAAAGGATAAAGACATTTGGAATCCAGAAGTTTGATGAAAACAAATGGGACACATAACAAGAATTCCTGGAATTGACATTCAGAAATACTCTATTGTCTTTACTATATTTCCATTTAGTTTCTTAAGTTAGAATACCCATGGTATTAAAAAGGCTGATTTCTAAAATATGCTATTAATTTAGGTAGCGAATGCTGGTCGTCACAGAGAGAAAAGTATTTTGCAAATAAGTGACTCAATTTTTATCTGCTCCAACAATGATATTCTATTTCTCATTCAAAAACTGATAACATCTCTCAGCATAAAAAAAGAATGATACCATGTCAACAACTGCAGAAGCCAGATCTTACACTCTAGAGAGAATCAATTCAGAAAATAAAGGAGTATGTTACATTCTTTTACATAAAGGAATCCATTTATTTATTCCTCACAATTCGGAGAAAAACACCAGAGGTCACAGTAGGCTAAATTTTTCTTATGTAAAGAGGAAGCAGGTTTAAATTTTCAAACTGAAATTTAATAATTTCTTTCTCACGTGTTAAAAATATGATAGCCAACTCTGAAGCAACAAAGAAAACTGATAAACATAGAAGAGATTAAAGCATCAAAAGACCTGTTGAACAAAATGAACTTTCCTATTTCTGCCAACCCAAAGGAGCCACAATTCCAAAGAAAAATATTCAGACATTCATCCTAACAACATAAATAAACTGTAATGTTATTTTCCACATGTATTTTTGTATTAAAATTTTACCTTATGCCGGTTTCAATGCTACTTGAGTCTCTGGATAATGTCAAACTAGGTAATAAATTATACATATTTGCCTTTAGTGGAAATCACCCTTTCCCAAACAAACTTGGACTTACAAACTTTCTGTATGTATACATATGTAACAAACCTGCACGTTGTGCACATGTACCCTAAAACTTAAAGTATAATAATAATAATAATAAAGAAAATATTTTAAAAAAAAGTTTAATCAAGTATACCAAAGTATAATCAAGTTCCTGTGACAGCTTAAAGAAATAGCTCCTAACCTGAGGGTCATAGATGAGGTTCTAGGGATCATCACATAAAATTGTAATGAAATATTTTTCTAGGACAGAGGTCTATAGGTTTCATAAGATTTTTTAAGGAATCTGTGAACCTAATAAGATGAAAAATACTGATCTATAGTACCCCACCTAGAGTATTCAGTGGTCAAAGCAAAATCTGCTCAGGTCAGATTTAAGTACCAGAAACATCAAGATTTACTCTATGAGTTAAGAGACAGGAGTCAACAACAAGTTTAGGTAGAGAAGACTTCAGTTCTGGTATTTAGGCTTGCCCTATTTCTGGGTGGAGAAACTATTAGGACTTTATCTGCTGCAGGTCCAAAGGTAGGGACTTCAGGAAAGTATGTAGATAAAAAATTGGAGAGGCCTAGATACCATGAGCATAACAAGGCAGTAGTAATGACTAAATAAGTATTTTCTCAAATTTCACTTAAAAGAAAAATCTGTTATTCATATTTGCAGTTTGTAGCTCTTCCCTTGGATCAATTTCAGATCTGTTTCAAGCAAAAACATTTCAAAAAAATCAATCCAAAGTTATGATAGTCCTTTTTAATGCATAAACTTATCTGTATTGCCACTAATCATTTATTAAATGTTCACCTTGTTCTAAGTATTCTAGAAAACTAATGTAGACATGGTCCTGCAAGTGATCTCTGGTTGCTAATGGAAAGGTAGATTGATTTCATTGTTTAAGTGATTATTAAGTGCCCAGGTAATACAGTTATAAGCATTTTAGAAATTCATGAAATATTGATAAATAACTTTGCACATTATGGTTATGATAATTAAGCTGAAAAAAAGCATTTGATTTCCTTTTAGCTTGTTTGATATGTAGTATCACTGTACCTGAGGAAGGTGCTCTGCATTCTACTTCAATATGCAATTTTCAACTCATGCATGTTAAAGAGATTTTGGATCTGGATATTTAATACATATACTGCCAAATAAGCATAACCTATTCTGATTTTACACACCAAATTCCTTTATCTTTTCTAGCCATATTTTATCAGATTTTTGCTTTATTTTTCCCAAAAGCTAAAGATCATCTTAGGCATATACTCAAAAAATATATACCCCATATACCTATCCCTGGGATTAAAAGATTGCTCTCAGGAATGATACTAACTGCGACTTCAGAGTCAATACTGACTTGGGATTTTAGATGAGAATACCTTATTACAAATAAAAAAAGAATGTTTTCCACATCATATTAAAATATAAGTCACATTACCAAGTTGGTGCATTTAAAACATGAAAATAATGTAATGAAATGTATCTCTCTAGAGCAATGGATGGAAAGCAAAATAAATCTGGAATCAGAAACATGTTACTACATCTTGAGCCTTTACCTTGCATTTGAAAAGTTTAATTCTTTTGACTTTTGTAACTGAGCAAGAATTTGAACAAATCAACCAAGCCCCATGGCTGTGAAATCGGCCACCATTCATGGCTCATTTATTCCATAGGTTTGACGGCAGGATATGATACTTTATTTAGGTCTTTTCTTTGAACAGTAGTCCATTTCTTCTTGCTAGTATCCTTAAAGAAATCAAGAACCACTTAGGCTGTATCTCTCTTACAACCTTCTTTCATAAACCTGAAGAGGATAAGAAATTTGCTCCTTAGACTTCGTGCAGCCTGGCAAAGCAATTCCATTTGAAGCTATTCCGTTTGAAAGTTTCCTTTCCTTCACTATGCTATTTTGAAATATTTAATAAATCTGAACATTCTTCTGAAATGTATTAACATTCTTCTGGCCATATGATCTTGCAAAAATTATTTAACTTTATTGACCTCAGTTTCTTCATCTTTAAAATGGGTAAGCTAATGCCTACACCTTAAAAGGTAATAAGTATTAAAGGAGGTTAAGGCATGTAAAGGTGCTTCTCCAACTGCCTATCACATAATAAGCACTCAATATATTGGAACTATTAATAATTTACTATTAATTAATAAAAATGAGCAATAGAATTATAAAAGCATGCCAAGATATGTTCAAATATAATGAGTAATTTTTTAGATATGATTTAAAGATTTATTGGCATTAGAAGAATTGGAAAAAATGAGAATAATCTGGCAACTTTCAATATTAAAATTCCTCATTTTTTACCCATATTGTTCATTTTTAAGGTAAATTTAAATTTACCTTAAGTTTAAAATTTTAAATAGTAGTAAAATAATCAGAGAAGAGAGCAGTATATATACTCAATTGCCAAATAAATTTTAGGAATTTAGAGGGTGAGAAATCACCTTCTAAAGAAGAATCTTTGTATTTCCTTCCCTGACAGAACCAGTGCACATGACTCATTTAGCCATCTGTTTAATTCTTGTATAGAACTTTCTCCTCCATATAGACTCTTCACTGATTTTCATTTAAGACACTTAGAGGCTCAGCGAGGAGCAGACTCTGTTTCATTTTATTTTATTTTATTTTATTTTATTTTATTTATTTTATTTTATTTTATTTTATAAGACGGAGTCTCACTCTGTCACCCAGGCTGGAGTGCAATGGTGTGATCTTGGCTCACCGCAACCTCTGCCTCCCAAGTTCAAGCGATTCTCATGCCTCAGCCTTCTCAGTAGCTGGGATTACAGGTGCCTGCCACAATGCCCAGCGAATTTGTATTTTTAGTAGAGACAGGGTTTCACCATGTTGGCCAGGCTTGAACTCTTTTATAAAGTCCCTACTCTGTACCAGGCAGACATTGTACTAAATCTTTAGAACATACTTGTTGATTAACATAACCCATGTAAAGAAACTATGGAGGAGCAAGGTGGCAGGGTAAGAAGTCCTTGTCCTTGTTCCTCCACAGAAACACCAATAAAACAATGATATTCAGGCCAAAATATCTTTATGAGAAATCCAGAATCCAGTTAAAAAAATTAAAGAACCCAAGATGAGCAAAAAGCAGCTCTCCGTATAATTGAATTAGGTATCACTTCTCAAGATACTACTCTCTTCTCACATAAAGAGGCACATTAAGTTTCATCCAATTCACTCATTACTTACTAGATGGAAATAGGCAAGTTATGGAGGGTGGGGGTGGGGAATTTAACCTTTGTGTTCTTTTCATCTCCTATATAATTTTAGAGGAGCAATACTTTAAGTAGTCTATCCCCTCCCCTGGAGAGCTGTCACTCAACTTCCTCAGGTGCAGGTTGTTGGGGGGAAGGTCAATGTTCAGGATTATTATTCTAGCTACCTGAGCTGACTTCTTTGAAAATGTAATCAGAATTATTTCATTATTTGGTTTGTTTGTCTGTTTGTTTAAATAACACCTGTCTGGCAGTTGTCACAACCCACTCAGAGCTTTTTATTTAGAAATAAGGATAAACCACTGCAATTCAGCCAGAATATTTCCAAAGAGAAACTATTGCTGATAAATGTTGTGCATGTCATAATTATATAAGGTAGCTATGGCCCAGAGCTCCATGTTTTTTAAAAAGGCTGTTTTATGTATCCAGAGGGACAGTTTTCCAGAGAGCAAGACAGGTATCCAGACAAATAACCCAAATCAATGTAGCCACTTTCCCTTCAAGTAACAAAAGAGAAATTTCTCTGGTGTTTCAAACATAGCTAAAAGCTGTCACAAGTCCAGTTGAGAGGCAGATTTTGCACAAATTGTGTTCACCCAAGAAATCAAACAAAAGCCCACTCCCTCTTCTTCTAAAAGCAGTTAAGCTGTAAACTGGCATTTGTTCCATTATTCTTAGGTGAAAGCCTTTGCATTAACAGCAATATTTTCAGTAAAAGTTATCCCTATCTAGATTTCTGAAATCCTTAAGTTTGCTGCTTCACATTGCACTTTGAAGGAAATACATCCGCTAACAAGCCTAACAAATGTCACTTTGGAGAACAGTTGCAGTCTGGTGAAACACAGACTGCTCAGAGGCCCCAGCAGAAAGAGCTCAGACTGGATGTTCAGGTCCCTGAGTATTACCAGCTAAAAATCCATTTTCCCAGTGGGTGAATGGAGTAGAAATACGCTTATTCTACAAATAGTACTTATAGCCAAGAGTCAGAGAGCCAGTCCAATGTGTTAGAGTCAGGACATTCATTTGACTCATCACTACAGCAGATGACAGGACAGGCACTTACCATAGCTCATTCTGGCCGGAGAGACTTCTTGAAGCCATGCAGAAGGGAAAATACAAGTGAGGAATAATCGCCAGATTCACAAGAATATATTATGGAACATATATCAGTCTTCATACTTTTAACTGTATGGAGCAGAATAGAGAACCCAAAACTAATCTACACACCTACAAATTCAGCAATTTGTCTCACATATTCTTTCACGTTCAGTAATTTGTCTCACCACAAGTCCATCCATTCCAAGCTCCATTTTCAGAGATGAGGAAAGTTATGTTCTAAAGTTGACCTGCACTTTGTATATAAACGTTATCATAGTCCACAAAACACTGTGAGCTCTTTGAGAGCAGAGATTCAGTTTTTTAATTTTTTTTTATTTTTAATTTTTGCAGGCACAAATTAGGTTTGTATACTTATGGGGCGGATGAGATGTTTTGTTAAAGGTATGCAATGTGAAATAAGCACATCATGGAGAATGGGGTATTCTAACCCCTCAAGCATTAATTCTTTGAGTTACAAACAATCCAATTACACTCTATTAGTTATTGTAAAATGTCCAGTTCAATTATTATGTACTGTAGTCACCTGGTGTGCTATCAAATAAAAGGACTTATTCATTCTAACTGTTTTTTTTTTTTTTCAGTACTCACTAACCATCCACACCTTCATTAAGCACCCTACTACCCTTCCCAGCTTCTGGTAACCATCCTTCACTCTCTATGTCTGAGTTCAATTGCTTTGATTTTTTAGATACTACAAATAAGTGAGAAAGTGAAGTCAGCCAGTTACAGTCTTTCTGTAACTTCACTTAACATAATTATCTCCAGTTCCATCCATGTTATTACAAATGACAGGATCTCATTTTTTATGGCTGAATAGTAGTCCATTGTAGATAACTACCACATTTTCTTTATACATTCATCTGTTGATGCACACTTAGGTTGCTGCCAAATCTTAGCTATTGTAAGGATTGCTGCAACCAATATATAGGGTGCAGATATATCTTCAGTATACTGATTTCCTTTATTTGGGGTAAATACCCAGCAGTAGAATTGCCAGATCACGTGGTAACTCAATTTTTAGTTTTTTGAGGAATCTTCAAACTGTTTTTCATAGTGGTTGTACTGATGTACATGCCCACCAACAGTGTGCAAAGTTCCCTTTTCACCACATCCCTGCCAGCATTTGTTACTGCCTGTCTTTTGGATAAAAGCCATTTTAACTGGGGTGAGATGATATCTCATTGTAGTCTTGATTTGCATTTCTCTGATGATCAGTGATGCTGAGTACTTTTTCGTATGCCTGTTTTGCATTTCTATGTCTTCTGTAAGAAATGTCTATTCAGATCTTTTGCCCATTTTTTTTGATCAACTTAGATTTTTCCCTATAGAGTTGTTTGAGCTCCTTATATATTCTGGTGATTAATCTTTTGTCAAATGGATAGTTTGCAAATATTTTCTCCCATTCTGTGGGTTGTCTCTTCACTTTGTGATTGTATCATTTGCTGTACAGAAGCTTATTAACCTGCTGTGATCCCATTTGTACAATTTCGCCTTAGCTGCCTATGCTTGTGGTCTATTCCTCAAGAAATTTTTGCCCAGACCAATGTCCTGGAGATTTTTCCCAATGTTTTCTTGTAGTAGTTTCAAGGTTGGATGTCATAGATTTAAGTATTTCATTCATTTTGATTTGATTTTTGTATATGGTAGGAGATAGGGGTCTACTTTCATCCTTCTACATATGGATATCCAGTTTTCCCATCACTATTTATTGAACAGACTAATGTCCCCAGTGTATGTTCTTGCAACTTCTGTCAAAAATGAGCTCACTGGAGGTGTGTGAATTTGTTTCTGGGTTCTCTATTCTGTTCCATTTATCTGTGTACCTGTTTTATGCCAATACCATGCTGTTTTGGTTACTATAGCTCCATCTGTAGCATAATTTGAAGTCAGGCAATGTGATTGTTCCAGTTTTTTCTTTTTTCTTAGGATAGCTTTGGCTATTCTAGGTCTTTTGTGATTCCATATAAATTTTAGGAAAATTTTTTCTATTTCTGTAGAGAATGTCATTTGTATTTTGATAGGGATGGCATTGAATCTGTTGATGCTTCGGGTACTATGAACATTTTAACAATATTGATTTTTCCAATCCATGAAAATGAAATATTTCTCCACTTTTTGGTGTCCTCTCAAAATTCTTTCATCAGTGTTTTATAGTTCTCCTTATAGAGATTTTTCACTTCTTTTGTTAAGTTAATTCCTAGGTATTTAATTTTATGTGTGGTTACTGTAAACAGGATTACCTTTTTCTTTCTTTTCACATTGTTCACTGTTGGCATGTAGAAATGCTACTGATTTTTATATGCTGATGCTGTATCCTGCAGCTTTACTGAATTTGTTTATCGGTTCTAATACTTTTCCTTTTCAATTTGGATGCCCTTTATTTCTTTCTCTTGTCTGACTGCTCTATTGTGGACTGCCAGTACTATGTTGAATATCAGTGGTGTCAGTGGGCATCCTTGTCGTGTTCCAGATCTTAGAGGAAAGGCTTTCAGTTTTTCCACATTCAGTATGATACTAGCTGTGGGTCTGTCATATATGGCTTTTATTATGTTGAGGTATGTTCCTTCTATCCTCAGTTTTTTGAGAGTTTTTAGGATGAGGGGATGTTGAATTTTATCAAATGCTTTTTTGGCATCAATTGAAGTGATCATATAGGATTTTTCCTTCATTCTGTTGATATGATGTATCACATTGATTTGCATATGTAGAACCACCCTTGCATCCCAGGAATAGATCCCACTTGGTCATGATGAATTATCTTTCTAATGTATTGTTCAAATCTGTTTGCTAATATTTTGTTGAGGAATTTTCCATCAATATTCATCAGAGATATTGGCCTGTAGTTTTCTTTTTTTGATATGTCTTTGTCTGGTTTTGGTATCAGGGTAATACTGGCCCTATAGAATGAATTTGGAGTATTTCTTCCTCCTCTATTTTTTGGAACAGTTTGAGTAGGATTTGTATTAGAACGTCCTTAAATGTTTTGTGGAATTCATCAGTGAAGCCATGAGGTCCTGGGCTTTTCTTTTTTTTTTTCTGGGAGATTTTTATTACAGCTTCCATCTCATTACTTGATATTGGACTGTTCAGGATTTGAATTTCTTTCTGGTTCAATGTTGGCAGGTTAAGTGTGTCTAGAAATCTGTCCATTACTACAAGATTTTCCAATTTATTGGCTTAGAGTTGCTCAGACTAACCACTAATGATGCTCTGAGTTTCTGTAGTATCAGTTGTAATGTCTCCTTTTTAATTTCTGATTTTATTTATTTAGATCTTCTCTCTTTTTCTCCTAGTTACTTTGCTAAAGGTTTGTCAATTTTGTTTAAGTTCAAAAAGAAACCCAGCTTTTTGTTTTATTGATCTGTTGTATTGTTTGCTTCATTTCAATTTTGTTTATTTCATCTCTGATCTTTATTATTTCTTTTCTTGTACTGATTTTTTGTTTGGTTTGCTATTGCTTTTCTGCTTCTTTAAGAAGAATCATAAGGTTGTTTATTTGAAGTTTATCCTCTTTTTTGATGTAGGCACTTATAGCTATAAACTTCCTTTTGAGTACTGTTTTTGCTGTATCCTACAGGTTTCAGCATTTTATGCTTCTATTATCATATTTTCAAGAAATTTTTTCTATTTTCTTCTTAATTTCTTCATTGGCCCACCAGTCATTCAGGAGCATATTGTTTAATTTCCATGTATTTGCATCATTTCAAAAATTTCTCATTATCAATTTCTAGATTTATGTCCTTTTAGTCAGAGAAGATGTGTCATATTATTTCAAATGTTTTGAATGTTTTAAGACTTGTTTTGTGATCTAACGTACAGTGCATCCTGGAGAACAATCCATGTGTTAAGAAAAAGAATGTGTATTCTGCAGCCTATGGATGATATGTTCTGTAATAATCTATTAGATCCATTTTGTCTACATTGCAGATTAAATCTGATGTTTCTTTTTTTTCCATCTGGAAGATCTGTCCAATGTTGAAAGTGTTATGCAGAAATTTCCAGCTATTATTGTATTCAGCCCTATCTCTCTCTTTATCTCTAATAACATTTCTTTATATATCTAGCTGCTCCAGTGTTGGGTGCATATATATTTAAAATTGTTGTATCCTCTTGCCAAATCAATCCTTTTATCATTTTATAGTGACATTCTTTGTCTCTTCTTATATTTTTTAATCTTGAAATCTATTCTGTCTGATATAAGTATAGTGACTCCTGCTCTTTCTTGGATTCCATTAGCATGGAATATCTTTTTCCAACCCTTTATTTTCAGTCTAAGTGTGTCTTTGTAGGTGAAGTGTGTTTCTTGTAGGCAAGAGATCAATGGGTCTTGTTTTTTCATCCATTCAACTCATCTGTGTCATTTAATTGGAGAGTTTAGTCCATTTACATTTAATGTTATTATTGATAAGAACTTACTCCTGCCATTTTGTTATTTAATTTCTGGTTTTCTCTTCATTTTTCTTTCCTTCCTGTCTTCCTTTACTGAAGGTGATTTTCTCTGTAGATATGATTTAGTTTTTTGCTTTCTATTTTTTGCATCTCCTTTGTATGTTTTTTGGTTTGAGTTCACCATGAGGTTCACAAATACTATCTTATCATCCAATATTTTAACCTTATTACAATGTAATGCTAATTACATAAACAAACAAAAAAACTGAAAGAAATGCTATGCCTTAAAGTCTTACCCCTGCTTTTTAACTTTTTGTTGTTTCTATTTATATCTTATTGTACTATGTTTTGAAAAGTGGTTGTAGTTATTATTTTTGACTGGTTCATCATTTGTTCTTTCTATTTAGAATAAGAGTAGTTTGCACATCACAGTTACAGGGTTATAACATTCTGTGTTTTTCTGTGTACTTACTAGTACCAGTGAGTTTGGTACCTTCAGGTGATTATTTATCATTCATTAATGTCACTTTCTTTCTGATTGAAGTGCTCCCTGTAGCATTTCTTGTGGATAGGTCTGATGTCGATGAAATCCATCAGCTTTTGTCTGGGGAAGTCTTTATTTCTCCTTCCTGCTTGAAGTGTAATTTTGTCAGAAATACTATTCTAGGGTTAAAGGTTTTTCCATTTAGCACTTTAAATATATCATGCCACTCTCTCCTGGCTTTTAAGATTTCCACTGAAAAGTTGGCTGCCAGACCTAGTGGAGCTCTATTGTATGTTACTTTTTTCTTTTCTTTTGCTGCTTTTAGGATCCTTTCTTTAATCTTGATCTTTGGGAATTTTATTATTAACTACTTTGAGGTAGTCTTCTTTGGGTTAAATCTGCTTGGTGTTCTATAACCTTTTGTACTTGGATATTGGAATCTTTCTCTATGTTTGGAAAGTTCTTTGCTATTATCCCTTTGAATAAACTTTCTACCCCTATTTCTTCCTCTACCTCCTGTTTAAGGAAAATATCTTTTAGATTTGTTCCTTTGAGGCTATTTTGTAAATCCTGTAGGCATGCTTCATGGTTTTTTATTCTTTCTGCTTTTGTCTCCTCTGTGTTTTCACAAATAGCCTGTCTTCAAGCTCACTATATTTTTCTTCTGCTTCATCAATTCTGACATAAAAGTACTCTGATGCAGTTTTTCATATGCCAGTTGCTGTTTTCTGCTGCACAATATCTGTTTGATTCATTTTAGTTATTTAAATCTCTTTGTTAAATTTATCTGATAGAATTCTGAATTCCTTCTTTGTGTTATCTTCCATTTCTTTTTTTTTTTTTTTTTTTTTTTTTTTTTTGAGACGGAGTCTCGCTCTGTCGCCCAGGCTGGAGTGCAGTGGCGGGATCTCGGCTCACTGCAAGCTCCGCCTCCCGGGTTAACGCCATTCTCCTGCCTCAGCCTCCCAAGTAGCTGGGACTACAGGCGCCCGCCACTACGCCCGGCTAATTTTTTGTATTTTTAGTAGAGACGGGGTTTCACCGTTTTAGCCGGGATGGTCTCGATCTCCTGACCTCGTGATCCGCCCGCCTCGGCCTCCCAAAGTGCTGGGACTACAGGCGTGAGCCACCGCGCCCGGCCTATCTTCCATTTCTTTGTGTTTCCTCAATACAGCTATTTTGAATTCTCTATCTGAAAGGTCACATATTTCTATTTCTCCAGGATTGGTCTCTTATGCTGTATTTAGTTCATTTGGTGAGGTTATGTTTTCTTGCATGATGTTGATGCTATTGTCTGGGCATTGAAGAGCTGGGTATTTATTGTAGTCTTCACTGTCTGAGCTTATTTGTAGCTATCATTTTTGGGAAGGCTTTCCACATATTTGAAAGGACCTGGGTGTTGTGACTTAATCTGTATCTGCTTTAGAGGGCACTCCAGTAACACTGTGGTTCTTGTGGAATTGTAGAAGTAACTGCCTTGATGGTCTTAGATAAAATCAATGAGAATTCTCTGGGTTACCAGGCAGTGACTATTTTTGTCTTCCATTACTTTCTGCCAAACAGTCTCTCTCTCTCTCTCTCTCTCTCTCTCTCTCTCTCTCTCTCTCTGTTCTGAGCCACCTAAAGCTGGGTGTGGAGTAACACAAGCACCCCAGTGGCCCCTACTACTATGACTGTGCTGGATCAGACCTGAAGTCAGCACAGCACTGGGTCTCACCCAAGGCCTGCTATAACCTCTCCATGACTACTGCCTATGTTCTCTCTAGGCCCTGGGGCTCTACAATCAGTTGGTTCAAAGCCAGCCAGGCCTGTATTCTTCCCTTCAGGGTGGTGAGGTCCCCCAGGTCTCAGGTGGATCCAGAAGAGCTGTCCCAGATGACAAGCTCTCATCTGGGAGTCATGGCCTAGATTAAAAAACCTTAGAAGTCTACCTAGTGTTCTATTGTATTGCAGCTGAGCTGGCACTCAAACCACAAGATGCAGTCCTTCCCACTCTGCCCTCCCCTTTCCAAAGGCAGAAAAGCCTTGCCCTGTAGCCACTGCCACCACAGGCCATGAGGAGCACCGCCAGACTACCCTAGATTTTCTCTTAAGGCTTAAGTCCTCTTAAGTCAGTTTATGGTAGATGCTGCTTGGCCTGGGTCTCATCATTCAGGACAGTGTGATCCCCACTCCCTGCCCCAGGGAATGTCCCAAAATGCCATCCAAGAGTCAAATCCCAGAATCCACCCCTCCCTGCAATATGAATGTGATCTCTCACCACAAATGAGTTTAATCTCTCTCTCTCTCTGAATAGTATGTCCCTATGCTTCTATCTATTAACCTCTTTAGCAGGCCTTGCATTAGACTTATATGAGTATTTATACCAAAATGTTAGATTAAAAAATACTTGATGAAAAGAAATAGGTCTTAATCATCTTTGTATTCCACAGAACCTATTGAGTACGAAACAGATGACAAAAAGATCATTGTTTAATTGGATGATTATGGATGCAACAATAAACTCAACCATTAGCTACTATTTAACCTCAACTTCTCATATTTTAGATTTGCCAGACTTTTATAGTTCTCTAATTTTTCGCTGCCACTGTATGTATCTCTTATTGTAAGCTAAGAAGACAGAAAAAGAAAAATTATAAACATGATCCAACATTTGTAGTTTGCATCATTATCTTTCTTTTTCTAATCAAGAGATTTTCTTGTCTACAGGTTTAATTTTGCCTCCTGACCCTTTGAAGCCCAACTGTGCTAAAAGTTGCCTTGTATCTTTTTGATTAAGAGAATACATTAATCCACATAGACCAATGAAATAAAATAGAGAACCCAGAAATAAGGCAGCACACCTACAGCCATCTGACCTTTGGCAACCCTGACAAAAATAAGCAATGGTGAAAGGACTCCCTATTTAATAAATGGTGCTGGGAGAACTGACTAGCCATCTGCAGAAAATTGAAACTAGACCCCTTTCTTATACCATATACAAAAATCAACTCAAAATGGATTAAAGAGTTAAATGTAAAACCCACAACTATAAAAACTCTGGAAAACAACCTAGGCAATATCATTCAGGACATAGGCATGGAAAAGATTTCATGAAAAAGACACTGAAAGCAATCACAACAAAAGTCAAAACTGACAAATGTAATCTAATTAAACTAAAGAGCTTCTGCACAGCAAAATAAACTATCAACAGAGTAAACAGACAACCTACAAAATGGGAGAACATTTTTGCAATCTATGCGTCTGACAAAGGTGTAATATCCAGCATCTATAAGAAACATAAGCAAATTTACAAGAAAAAAAACATTAAAAAGTGGGCAAAGAACATTGATATGGTGTGGCTCTGTGTCTCCACCCAAATCTTATCTTGTAGCTCCCACGTGTTGTGGGAGGGACCCAGTAGAGGTGATTGAATCATGGGGGCAGGTCTTTTCTGTGCTGTACTTGTGATACAGAACGGGTCTCACGAGATCTAATGGTTTTAGAAAGGGGAGTCTCCCAGCACAAGCTCTCTTTTTGCCTGCTGCCATCCATATAAGATGTGACTTGTTCCTCCTTGCCTTCCACCATGATTGTGAGGCCTCCCCAGCCATGTAGAACTGTAAGTCCAATTAAACCTCTTTCTTTTGTAAATTGCCCAGTCTTGGGTATGTCTTTATTAGCAGCATGAAAACGGACTAATACAGTAAATTAGTACCAGTAGACTGGGGCACTGCTGAAAAGATACCTGAAAATGGGGAAGCAACTTTGGAACTGGGTAACAGGCAGAGGTTGGAAGTTTTGAGGGCTCAGAAGAAGAAAGGAAAATGTGGGAAAGTTTCTAACTCCCTAGAGACTTGTTGAATGGCTTTGACCAAAATGCTGGTAATGACATGGACAATGAAATCCAGGCTGAGGTAGTGTCAGATGGAGATAAGGAACTTGATGGGAACTGGAGTAAAGGTGACTCTTGCTATGTTTTAGCAAAGAGACTGGCAGCATTTTGCCTCTGCTCTAGAGATTTGGGGAACTTTGAACTTGAGAGAGATGATTTATGGTATCTGGCAAAAGGAATTTCTAAGAAGCAAAGCATTCAAGAGGTGACTTAGGTGCCATTAAACACATTCAGTTTTATAAGGGAAGCAGAGCATAAAAGTTTGGAAAACTTGTAGCCTGACAATGTGATAGAAAAGAAAATTCCATTTTCTAAGGAGAAATCCAAGCCAGCTGCAGAAATTTGCATAAGTAATGAGGAGCCAAATGTTAATCCCCAAGACAAAGGGAAAAATGTCTCTAGGGCATGTCAGAGGTCTTCACAGCAGCTCCTCCTATCACAGGCCCTGAGGCCTAGGAGGAAAAAGTGATTGCAGGGGCTGGGCCCAAGGTCCCCTTGCTGTTTGCGGCCTAGAGACTTGGTACCTCCATCCCAACCACTCCAGCCATGGCTGAATGGGCTTGGTTCGTGGCTTCAGAGGGTGAAAGCCCCAACCCTTGGCAGATTCCATGTGATGTTGAGCCTGCCAGTGCACGGAAATCATGAATTGGGGTTTGGGAACCTTTGCCTAGATTTTAGAAGATGTATGGAAATGCCTGAATGCCTAAGCAGAAGTTTGCTGCAGGGGCAGGGCCTTCATGGAGAACCTCTGCTAGGGCACTGCAGAAAAGAAATGTGGGGTCAGAGCCCCCACACAGAGTCCCTACTGACGCACTGTCTAGTGGAGCTGTGAGAAGAGGACAACCATGCTCCATACCCCAGAATGGTAGATCCACTAACAGCTTGCACCATTCACCTGGAAAAGCTGCAGACATTCAATGCCAGCGTGTGAAAGCAGCAAGGAGGGAGGCTGTACCCTGCAAAGCCACAGGGACAGAGCTGCTCAAGACCATGGGAACCCACCTCTTGCATCAGCCTGACCTGGATGTGAGACATGTAGTCAAAGGAGTCTATTTGATTGCCCTCCTGGATTTCGGACTTGCATGGGGCCTGTAGCCCCTCTGTTTTGGCCAATTTCTCCCATTTGGAATGGCTGTATTCATCCAATGCCTATACCCGCATTGTATCTAGGAAGTAATTAACTTGCTTTTGATTTTACAGGCTCATAGGCAAAAGGGACTTGCCTTATTTCAGATAAGACTTTGGACTGTGGACATTTGAGTTAATGCTGAAATGAGTTTAGACTTTGGGGGACTGTTGGGAAGGCATGACTGGTTTTGAAATGTGAAGATATGAGATTTGGGAGGGACCAGGGGCAGAATTATATAGTTTGGCTCTGTGTCCCCACCCAAGTTTCATCCTGTAGCTCCTATAATTCCCACTTGTTTTGGGAAGGACCCATTTGGAGACGATTGAATCATGGGGGTGGGTTTTCCCTTGCTGTTCTTGTGATAGTGAATGGGTCTTATGAGAGCTGATGGTTTTAAAAATGGGAGTCTCCCTACACAAGCTCTCTTTTGCCTGTTGCCATCCACATAAGATGTGACTTGCTCCTCCTTGCCTTCCACCATGATTGTGAGGCCTTTCCAGCCATGTGGAATGGTAAGTCCAATTAAACCTCTTTCTTTTGTAAACTGTCCAGTCTTGGGTATGTCTTTATCAGCAGCTTGAAAATGGACTAATACAGACATGAACCAATACTTCTCAAAAGAAGACACACATGCAGCCAACAAGCATGTGAAAAAAAGCTCACCATCACTGATTATTAGAGAAATGCAAATCAAAACCACAATGAGATACCATCTCACACCAGTCAGAATGGCTATTAATAAAAAGTCAAAACAAAAACAACAAAGGCAAATCAAAACAACATGCTGACAAGGTTGTGGAGAAAAAGGAACACTTTTACACTGTTGGTGGTAATGTAAATTAGTTCAACCATTGTGAAAGAGAGTGTGGTGATTTCTCAGAGACCTAGAGGCAGAAATACCATTCAACCCAGCAATCCCATTACTGGGCATATACACAAAGGAATATAAATTATTCTATTATAAAGACACATACATGTGTATGTCCATTGCACAATAGCAAAGACATGGAATCAACCCAAATGCCCATCAATGATAGACTAGATAAAGAAAACGTGGTACATATACACCACAAAATACTATGCAGCCATTAAAAGGAACAAGATCTTGTCCTCTGCAAGGACGTGGATGGAGTTGGAGGCCATTGTCCTTAGCAAACTAATGCAGGAATAGAAAACCAAACACTGCATGTTCTCACTTATAAGTGTGAGATAAATTATGAGAACACATGGACACATGGGGGGAGCAACACACACTGAGGCCTGTTGGAGGGCGGGGGGTGGGAGAAGGGAGAGCATCAGGAAGAATAGCTAGTGGGTGCTGGCATTAAAATCTGGGAAATCACCACTAAAGAACTTATCTATGCAACCAAACACCACCTGTTCCCAAAAAATATATTGAAATAAAATTTTTAAAAGTGCCCTTTGAAGAACAAAAAACAAAACCAAAAAAAAGGGAATTTCAAAAATTAAAAAAAAAATACCTGGGTGATATGATCATCTGTGCAGCAAACCACCATGGCACACGTTTCCCTATGTAACAAACCTGCATATTCTGCACAAGTACCCCTGAACTTAAAATAAAAGCTGCAAATTAAAAAAGAAAAACCAAAAAGGAAGAAACAATGTTCCTAGATAAGAAACATATACCATTTATCTATATTAAATCTAAAACCTGAAGCATCAAAAAAAACGGAATACATTAATCACCTTAACAATATTTGTTTAGAAGTGTCCAAAGCAACATGTCTACATGTCTGTTGCTGTGTATGCATACATATTTCTCTTACCAATTTCTACCTTATATGTAAAGCAATTAAATTCACATACTTAAATACACATGGGGAAATGGTCTTTCTAGATGAAGAAATACACCTCAGGGACACCTGGGCACTCCCTGACTCAGCTTTTACATCCTGAGTGAGATGCAGCCTCATGATACTGAGAACGTAAGAAACAAGACTCTGAGAACAAGAAGCAGGAGAACCACATGTGTATAAATACTCCCTTAAATGTAAGTGCATGTGTTACTTAATTCTTCCTGGGCAGTGATATAACCCACACATAGAGAAGGGATATGGTACAGCACAAAATCAGATTTCTTGCACTTGGCAAGATCATGCCTTGTTCAAGCAGTGTTACCTGCTACTGTTTGTGCCCCACATTAGGGACTAAAAGGGTCAAAGGAATAATGCTGCTGCTGCTCCTACTCTAATAAGCACCTCACTTGTGCTAAATTTGTATATGCTTAGCTAAATGAATCAAGACCTTACTGTGTGTATATGTGTGTGTGTGTGTGTGTGTGAGAGAGAGAGAGAGAGAGAGAGAAAGAGAGAGAGAGAGAAAAGGAAGGAAGGAAGGAAGGAAGGAAGGAAGGAAGGGAGGGAGGGAGGGAGGGAGGGAAGGAGGGAGAGAGAGACTCTTTCCACCAATCCATAGCACACTTGAAACAACACAAAATCTTATATACTGGTCTATAAGTTCCTTAAGATCATGGTCCTCATGTTTCATCCTTGTAGCTGCCATATTATCTGCATGGTTATTGGTACTAATTCCTGTTCAATACGTATATTGAATGCAGAAAGTGAAGTTTCAGTACATGACTTCTGTATTAGTTTCCTATGGCTACTGTAACAAGTTACCACTAATTTAGTGACTTAAGACAACAAGAATTTATTATCTTATGATTCTGCATGTCAGGAGTATGACACAGGTCTCACTAGACTAACATCAAGGTATCAGCAGGGCTGCATTCCTTTCTGGAGTTTCCAGGGAATAATTCATTTTCTTGCCTTTTCCAGCTTCTAGAGACTTCCCACATTCCTTGGCTCCCGGTCCCCGTTCTTCCATCTTCAAAGCTAGCCGTGGTTTGTAAAGTCTTTCTGCATCATTCTGACACTCTCTTTTGCCTCCCTCTTCCAATTGTAAGTACCCTTGTGATTACATTGGGCCCACCTGGATAATTTAAGCTACTCTCCTCATTCCAACGTCAGCTGATTGGCAGCCCTAATTCTATCCACAACCTTAATTTGTCCTTGCCAAGTAACAATACATATTCAGAGGCTCCAGGAGATATATATTTGGTGCTTATACTTTTGCCTATCATAGCTTTTTTAAAAAGACTATTTTAAAAAAGACTATTTCTTTTACGATTCTTTAAGACATTTAACAAAATAATAAATGCTTTAAAGGGAGTTATACAGTGTTCCTCTTTCACTCTTTTTTTTACAAGTTCTTTTTTATTATTTTAGATTCAGGGGGTACATGTGCAGGTTTGTTACATAAGTATATTGTGCAATGCTGGGTTTTGTGTTTCTATTGAATCCATCTCCAAATCATCTCTTTCACATTTCAAAAAAGAAGTCCAACCTCCTGCTGTAGATCATTCTTACCTAAATAAGTGGGAAACAATGAAAGCTACATAACTGCTCACTAGCAGGGATATTTCTAAATAAATAACTAAGGAATTAGTGTATGCAGAATTGCAGGAAACTTTTGAGTGGAACTTGAAGCTATACATGATTATCTTATGTTTAAATTTATTTAATAAATGCAAGTTAGTTAAAAATTTATCACACAAATGACTGGATTTACTTTTGTGGAATTTCAAGCTAATGTCTCCTTATAATTCTCTTGCCAGAACATTTAGGACACAACGTGTTTGAAAGACAACTTATTAAGGGTACACTGATATTTGCTAATTAGTAATAGGCCCAAGATGATATTGATAATGTCCCCTAAAGTCTAGAAAAATAAAACCACTTACTATAGGACCCTAAGAAGTATTGCTGAGTTGGAATCAAGAACTAATCTTTATATAAAGGCTACTTTAATTCAGCTTTCTCGTTCATTCGGTCAAAGCCACACTAAATCAACTGTAATTATAGATAAGGAGAGAAGAATGTGCAAGCCACCATGCTTATAGGAAAGTAATGGATAAACAGACTTCTAGTTAAATATGGCAAATTGACCACGAGTTTATCTTGTTTTCTCCCTAAGCCTTTATTAAGAGCCATGGATAGGAGTAATGGATGATATTAACTGACAGGAACTAAGAAAATAGAAGAGGAGAGAACAGGAGACAAAAGATTTTAAAAGACTTTTTTTTTAACAAAATGAAAAGTGGAAAGAAAAGTATTAACTGATTTAGCAGAGAAACGGAATTTATAACTTAAGTGCCTGCAGAGGGGGAAAAACAATGAGAAGTAACTCCAGTATCTCTGCAGAATCTGAGGCTCAATGCCTGGAGGCACTAGGTACTGCAGAAGGTAAGGAAATGGCTTGCAACTGAAAAAGTTGTTTTCAGATGAAGAGATATTTTCAGGTTGAAAGATAATATACAGAGTGGTTGAACTCACCAGTTCCCCTCTTCTGATCCATGCAGGTGGTGTCTACCCCTTCTTCCCCCAAGAGAAGAGAGATTTAATCTCTGGAAAAATTGAACTGGGAGGCTCCAGACTCAAGGACTGTAGTGTAGGACAAGGATAAGTCATGGGTATGAGAACAAGAAGATTAAGTAAAAATCCCATATTGAGCACTAGGACCCTCACTCCTTTCCCCTGCCCTGTTCCTAGAAACAGCTAGGTATGTATCACTGCTACTCTACTCAGGACGATGTAGTAGATAAAGATTCTCAGAGAAACTAAGGTCCTTAGAGAAAAAGGCCTCTGACATTTGGAGGGTGGCTATGAAGAGGTCAGCTCTTGCCTGATCACCATTCAAGAAAACCCATCAAGCAGCAGCATTCAACCTCTTATCTCATGTACACATAAAACTGTTAATCAAGTTTATAATGTATCACCCATGTAGCCAAGAAGTGCCCAAGCAATTTTCCAAATTGAGAGAAATTCTTTTTTAAAAGGATTTTTCTCTGTCTTTTATCCTTTCATTTATTTTATTTATTTGTTTAACTTTTGTCTTAGGTTCAGGGGTGCATGTGCAGGTTTGTTGTATAAGTAAATTTCACGTCACAGGGAGTTTGGTGTACAGATTATTCTGTCACTTAGGGGATAAGTAGAGTATCTAATAGATAGTTCTTCAATCCTCACCCTCCTCCCATCCTCCACTTTCAAGTAGGCCCTGGTGTCTCTTTTTCCCTTCTTATGTCCCTATGTACTTGATGTTTATCTCCCACTTATAATGGAGAATATGTGGTATCTGGCTCTCTGTTCCTTCATTAGTTTGCTAAGAATAATGGCCTGTAGCTCCATCCATGTCCATGCAAACGACATGATCTTGTTCTATTTTATGGCTGCGTAGTATTTCATCGTGTATATATACCACATTTTCTTTATCTAGTTTACCATCCATGGGCATTTAGGTTGAATTCATGTCTTTGCTACTGTGAATAGAGCTGTGTTGAACATAAGTATGCATGTGTCTTTATGGTAGAATGATTTATATTCCTTTGAGTATATATCCAATAATGGCATTGCTGGGTTGAATGGTAGTTCTGGTTTTAGCTTTTTGAGGAATTTCCAAATTGCTTTCCACAATGGCTGAACTAATCTACATTCCCACCAGCATTGAAAATAGGATTTTTAAAGGGCTGATTATAAGAACTCGAAATTTTGTTTTCCATGTGTCTTTTCTTAGGTGGCATATGCTTTATCAAAGTGAGAGAATAAACCTAGAGAGACAATGGAATCTATTGAACAGGTGATCCAACACAGAATGATGAAAGGAGGTTATGGGACAATTGTGGCCCATGCCTAGAGAACAGACAACACCCATTCTAGATTGAAACATGAATGTAGCTGGAGGCCATTGCCCTAAGCAAAAAAAAAAAAAAAAAAAAAAAAAAGCAGAAGCAGAAAACCAAATATTGCATGTTCTCACTTATAAGTGGGAGTTCAACATTGGGTACATGAAGATATAAAATATGAGAACAATAGACACTTGTGACTACAACGTAGGGGAGAGGAGGAGAGGGGAAAGGGCCGAAAAACTACCTATTGGGTACTATGCTCACTACCTGGGTGACAAGTTCAGTAATATCCCAAAACTCAGTGTCATGCAATATTATCCTTGTAAAAAACCTGCACATTTACCCCCAGATCCTAAAATAAAAGTTGGAACAGAACAAAACAAAAAAAAAAAAAAAAGAAAAAAGAGGATACAGGACTATGGGAAAGAAGCTTATAGGGAAGAATGGAACTGGTGGGGGATTTTCAACTTTTTCCAAGTATTTGAGTACTTTTAAAAAATAATGATTGTCACTGAGAATTCTAGAAGGACATTTGAGGAGAAATTAAGTTAAGTACAAAGAAAACATGGGAAATTGAAAATAAAAAACAGCAATTTATGATTTTAAAAATTGCAAGAGAAAAATAGAATCATGGTAGAACACTTAGTTCAACAGTGAACACTACTTACATAGGCATACTATTTTAAATAATAAAGTGAATGTGTGTGAGAGAGAAGTTAGAGAGCTTAAATTCTTATATTTTATTATAAGAAGTTAATAGGCAATGTGTAATGTCAATAAGTCAAGAAAATGCAACATAGTATGTCATTTAGAAATATGAAGGTAAATGAAGAAATAACAAAAAGTTTCAAATGGGACTGAGCTGTGGAGAGATATGAATAAAGGGACTGATTTTTCAATATAAATTATATTTTAAACTATATACATAAATTATTTTGGTAATACTATTTTTAAAAAAAGAAAAAGGAAAGTAATAAAGTGAAATTACATGAATTGTATAGGACCAGGATGTGAATGTTATATGGGTGTGTCTAAAAGGAAAGTCTTATAATGAACAAGAAATCCACCTGTTTTGCTTCAACACAATGGATAGGGATAATACTACCAGCCAGGATAAATAAAATGTTCTGTCATGCTTGATCCCCAGCATACTCTGGGGCTCATTTGGGACTTTTAACAATCACAGTAAGAACCATGTATATCCTAAAATCAAAGTTTTGAAGAAAAGTGGTATTTTTATTACTAATAATATGCTACCCTTCATTTATGGAGAAGAAATACACTTTGAGTTGTTTTTACATTGGTGTGTGTGGATTTAGGCCATTTTCCTGATCTTTGGTTCAGTTCCCTTGGGGCCAACTATATGCATTTGCAGGAGACCTAGCTAAAGCTGGGGGGTACAGCCTAGAGCCATGGAACACAGCAAAACTGACTAGCTTCACCTCAGGGAAATAAATTCAGGGCCTTCACAAAACATTCTACTAAGAAAGTCAATGTTTACTCTCAAGTTATTTGATTTTCAAGTTATCTGCTTCAATAAGCTTTTTCACCCACATTATTTATGAGTTTGTTTTGGTAGAATCAACCAAGAATTCAAGACCTTGTCTTGTACCTATATATTTGTTGCTTACCAATTATTCTGGTAAAACTACCATATCTCTCTATCTGGGTTAGGGAAATACCACATAGAAAAATTCCTTTAACTGTAACCACATTATATTTCTTATCCAACTGAACTTTGATACCCAGAATTCCACCTCACTCCCTAAATGGTATTTGAAGAGTCTTTAATACTTTGATTTATGGCTCTCAAGATACTTGCCAGTTTCTTCTTCTTTGATGGGAAAACAAGACTTACATTTTTTATATGGTTGTTATGTTGAAATTACCATCAGCAAATTAATGTACTTAATAATTGTCAAATAAAGTGAAAAAATGTGTCTGAAACATAGAGACAACTATATTTAGGAATCCCTTCAGCTTCTTACAGGCATCAGATAACAAGATAAATATCATTATGATTTTGATCTAGGGGACCCTGTCATTTAAAATTTAGGTGAAAAAAGATGTTCTTTATTCAGCTAGATCTGAGAGCACCATAATGAATAAAAGTCATTTACTTTATGTTGCCTTTAATTTGTTCAGGGTTGAATATCTTTGTATTTTAAGCATCAGCAAGAAAATGCACTTCTTATCTGGTGTAAATTATAAACAATGTGGCACTATGAGGGATTAAATAATCACATCTTAAAATCCAGCAAGAGCTCCTCAGTGTAGAAAAGTCAATTAGTCATTGATTGTGGATTCTATCCCTTGACCTTTTGTTCTCCCATCTTATATCTCATAGGCAGGAGAGTTTTCATTCCTGTTATTCAACTGTTGCTACTGGAAACAGAAAGGACCCACTCATCCTTTTCACCATCTTCAGCAAAATTATTGGGTCAGAAAAGTTTGCCTCATGTCTCACACAATATACACTCAAGACTTCTTGAGTGTGTACTTGACAGCAGCAGGGACAGGAGAAGAGAGATTCTGCCTAGCTCCCTTTGCCTTGTGCACTCGGTGTAACTTTTCTTTCTCCCTGACTCTGAAAATACCCTAGAATATCTCTCTTCCAAGACATCTAAATTCTTATGAGATCCACTTACAAGAATGCAGCCTGTCTGTGAATCCTGGATTCATCCTCTGTGGGTTGGGGCTAAAGGCAGTTTTTCAGTATCCAGATCACCACTGATGTTTGAAGAGCATATAGGACTGCATCCTTGGTCTAAATTACTCTTTGGCTAAAGTTATAAGCCATTCTCTAGTAATGCCATTCATGAGTGAGTGTGTGTGTATGCATGTGTGTGTGTGTTGTATAGATGTATGAATATGTGTGAATATCTGTGCATGTGTGAGTGTTTCCATCTACTTCCCCAGTACCCTTAATGTCTATTCATTTACCAAAACTGCCTCATAGCCCTTCTTTGCACTTTATCTGACTTTGACAGCAGCAGAACTGAGAAAGAGTTCTTATAAGATCCAATAGAGTTTGTGGCCTAACTGGAAGATCTTTCCTCTGTTCTTTATAGCCTTCTGTGTTCCTCGTTCCCTTTTTTCCTTAACTAGGTTTGGCCACCTACCCACCCCTGCCCACTCTACCATTCCAAGGTGCCCCATAACAAAAACTACACTAGTACCTTTAGACAGCTGGACCTTTGCCAAGCCAGATCCCCTGCCCCCATACACACACCAAAGGGGAAGAAAAGGAACCCCTTGAAACACTATTCCAAGCTTCTGTGAAAATCATTTTTTCTGCTTCTTTGAGTTCCAGTTTAGGACCAATCATTCTTTTTTTTAATTCTTAAATTCACACTGTCTCAACTTCTTAATTCATTTTTTTTCCTAATTTTCAGGACTTCTGGTTGGAAAAATTCACAAGTATCTGGTATGGAATTCCTCTCTTTATGTGCTTCATACATCCTTCTTAATTTTGATTCACAAGCTCTAGTTTTCATCTATACTTGCCATTGTTTCCATTTTTCCTTCCTTTCTCATCATACAGAAGGCAAGAAGCTGTATATCTTGGATGGTCTTTCCAGACAAGTCTGTATGACATTTTCCTCTTTCTGTCTGGTACTAACTCTCTCTCTATCACACACACAACAAAGAATGCATAACTTTTTGTGTGACCCTTAGCTTATATTATTATTTTTTTTAGACTCAGGCACAGAATCCAATTTAACCTGTATTATTTTATCTTACTTATTTAGCTCTTAATGTCATCAACAAAATAAGACAAAGCCTGTTCTTTCTGTTCTTATTTCACTTATACTGTATCTGTGTAAATACTGAATGTTTGTTCTAAGTTACTAGGTTAGCTATAAAGAAAGAATATATTTGGAGATGTATGTAATAATTGCAGGAATAGTGAGAGAAAGAGAGAGTTTGCTAGGATTTACCTTCATTTGGAACAGGAATTGCTTCCTCATACTCTTCACTGAATAGAGCCAAGAACTCAGGGCCAGAAGTAAATAAACAAAGTCAAACTACAACTGAGCCTACCATGGGAATGAACTGCTTTGAGGGTGTTCTAGAAGATCCATAAGAATGAGTTCAGACAATAGCAATTCCAAAATAAAATCCCCTTGTGGAGAAGTCATGGATTAATGAACTATACTTTCCATGATCAAAGAAAACAGACTTTTCATGAGAAAAGTCAGCCTATGCTTACTCTTCCAATCAGGTTAAGCTAATAGCACAACTTATCCTCCCCCATTTCTCTCCAAAATGTGCCCCAAAAGGGTGTTGCCATGTGGACAGAGGTCTGACTTATTCAAGTGTGCTCCAGGAGCAAATAACTGAGGCCCAAAGAAGGAAAGTACACGGAGGTAGATTTCAGCTCAACGTAAGTAAATTTTGAAACATGAAAGTTTCCTAAAAACCACACAGGCTTCCCCAGGAGATAGTGTTTGAGCAGGCACCAGGTGACCTTTTCACAGGAATGTCATAAAAAATGACTTAAGAATAAATGTGGTATAGAGGAATCTAGTATTTTTTCTGACTTCTAATAGTCCATGATTCTATTATTTTCTAAATGGTCTCTAGCAAGTAACTTTATCTGAATATGTTCTTCTCTGCTACTGCCAGTCCATTCAGTCATTTCTACTGAACCTACTTCTCCCTATAGCTCTTAGGCTAGCTATACCACTGGACTGGTCTTTGCGCTAATAGGAAACATACACGGTGTTTGCTAGCTGGGACAGGTAAAATTCAAATTGCCTTTTACTATTCCTCAAGAGTGTTTTCTAATTCATTTTGCCTTGTCATTGCTTGAGGCTCTTCTGACATTGACCTTTTGACCAGCTGTTGGGTTTGCTTTTCAGTAGTTTGGTCCTTCAGTGTATTACTTTCCCCAGATTGCTGACTCATTGCTCTGATGCTTTATTTGCATGAGTTTTTGAACTCTAGATTTTCTATATAATTTGCAACATTTAAATATGTGGGCTCTAAAAACAAACTGCCTGAGTTTAAATCCAGGCTGCTCTGCCATTTACCAGTTCTGAGACCTTGGATAAAATATTTGTCTTCTCAGGACTTGAGTCCCTTCTTCTGATAGGTGGAGGGCAAAAGGAATACCTACATAATTAGGTTATTGTGAGGAATAAATGAAGTATGTAAAAGGCCAAGAACATATCACTTTCTTTGAAGGCATCAGAGGAACTCTAGGAAATGTTAGAGCAGCAATTAATTACAGAGATCTCTTTGGATTGCTACATTACTCCTTCAACTTCAACTCCTTACAGACTGTGTCCTTTCAGTTCCTTACAGATGTCTCAGTCACTACCAGGGTCGCAGGATTACTTTTGTATTATCTGTTTCCTGAACCCTTCCAAGAAAAAAATTAAATTGGTTTATTGTAAAACACAGATAGAAGCCCAACACATATATTTTTCTTTACCCTGTGTTATCGTTATGAATGGGATCAGTGACCTTATAAAAGAGACCCTGTAGAACTCTCTCACTCTTTCTTCCATATAAGAACACAGCAAGAAGATGGCTGTCAATGAACCAAGAAGCAGGCCCTCACCAGACACTATATGTGCCAGCACCTTTAACTTGGACATTCCAGCCTCCAGAATTGTAGGATATAGATAGATAGATAGATAGATAGATAGATAGATAGATAGATAGATAGAAATCTGTCTATCTATCATAGGGAGATATCTTTATAAGCTCTCAGTCTATAGTAGTTTTGTTATAGCAGCCCTAATGTACTAAGATACCATGTTCGTTGGAATCTGAGTGATAATGCTTCTGAGATGCAGTATAGCAGACTAAGTAAAGAAGTGGATTCTGGAGTCATGCTGCTTTAATTCTAGCCCCACTTCTACCATTTAGTAGCTATGTGATCTTGGGCAAGCTGCTCTTTTTCTGCCTCAGTTTCCCCAAATGAAAAATTGAGATAATAACAATTGTACTTACTTTCTAGAGTATATGCATGGATTATATGAATTAATACACCTTAACACTATATGCTTGGCACATAATATACCAGACACATATGATTAAGGTGTATTTAATTGATGTTAATTATTATTTTTTTCCTCCTGTAAAAAAGGGATATGTCACAATCCTGTAAATAATAGTGGTTGTTAACAGGTTTGGGGGAAGACAATGTCTAACAATCCAGAAAGGGAGCAAGCATACGTTGAATTCCACCTCCTCAGGTGGTTTGGATAAAACTCTCATAAACGCAAAGAAGAATCACCCACTCAGTTGCTGACCTAGACTTTTGCATATTCTTTGCTTCCTCAACCATAGCTTCCAGCCTGTCCCTATATTTAGTTACTACCCTCAAAGTAATAATATAGACCTTGTATAGGCTGCCTTAGGAAACATAACCCTATCACCTCAAAGGGTCCTAAGCAGGCACTGTGTTCACGCAGTCAACACAGGCCACAAACCTTGTCATTCTTATGCCTATGTGTGGAGAAGGCAGGAGCACCTCAAGGTGCTCACTAAGTGTTAGGAGTATTAGCATAAAACTTTCCAGACTAGGGAAGAAGAGATAGAGACAAACAGGAAATAGTAAGTCTGTAGAAGAGGTTGGAACTCACTACAAAATTTCATGGAAAGTGGGAATAAATAGGACGTGATTTCACAAATCAGTTTTGCTGATGAAAAATTTAGTTGAGGGGACATTAGAAGGAAAGGAAGAGGACTCACTCAAGATATTTTTTCAGAGCAATATGGAAGTCTCAAATACATCCGGAAATTCTCCATGTCCCTTATCTAGGCATAGCCTGTGAGTATAGGTGGACCAGGATTGACAACCCACAGGTTTGTTTCCTGTTTCTGCCACACCTTTGATATGTGACTTTGGGACAGCCTCTTACCCTCTCAGTGGCCCTTATAATTATAGTTCCTGATATAGGAAGAACCATTGCTATGGTATGTATGTTTGCCCTCCCCCCAATCTACCTGTCCACAATTCATTTATTAAAATCTAATCCACAATAGTAGGGGCCTCTTGGAAGGCAATTAAGTCATGAGGGCTCTGTCCTCATAAATAATATTAATTCCCATACAAAATATGCCCAAAAGAGCTCATTCCCCTCTTCTGCCACATGAGGACACAGCTAGAATGCATCACCTTCAAAGTAGAGAGCAAGCCCTCACCAGGTACTAGTGAATCTGCTAGTGCCTTGATCTTGGACTTCTCAGCCTCCAGAATTGTGAGCAATAAATTTATGCTGTTTATAAGTTACCCAGCATAAGGTATTTCATTATAGCAGCCTGAATATACTAAGACAATCACTCTTAACCCTCAAATTTGATAAAACACAGTACATTGAATTGGTATTTGCCTTTTTGAGTAGCAGTAGAGATAGAAAAGGCGATGTCCTGATCTTCATTCCAGAGGCCTGTGGAAAAGTTGGACTCCAGCCAGAATCACAAAAAGTGACGTTTTTGCTAATAATATGCTTCCTTCCAACAAGCTGTTTTGTAGGGAGTGACTATAAGAATTAATTAGGAAATAGTGTTTGGAATCAGATTCTGGCTCTCACTAACAAGTTGTGTGACTTTGTTCAAGTTAGTTATTGTTTATGGACCTCATTTGTCTCAGCTGTAAAATGGGGGAAAATACAGTATCTACTGCATTGGGTTGTTGTAAGGATGGAGATAAAGCATGTGAAGCATTTAGCTCCACACTTGGCACATAGTAAATGCTAAAGAAAAAAATGTGACCTATTATTACAATTTAGCCTCACTATTCCACATTTGGGGATATCAAGGGAAACAGTGGATGATGATAAAAAACGATTAATGAAAAAAAGGCATTACATGAGTTGTTGTGGCAGGGGTGGGATGGGCTCAATGTCATTGAGGGGCATATGTTAAGAGGATGTACAATTTGCTAAAACCAGGTATACCCAGGAAAAACAAAAGGCAATATCAGAAGCAACTAAGGTTGGAATTGATTACAAGTAGATGAGCACAAAAGAAAGTTTGTTGGGACATTTGTTCTGGGAGGCCTAGAACTGACAGGGAAGGAATCTGTTAATTAGCACTGTATTAGCCAGTCATAGGTTGAGTCATATTCTTTAAAAGAAAGCCCAATGTAATGGGGTAAAGCCAGCTGAAGAAGACAAAAATTAGTGCTCGAAGCTCTACAAAAACATATACAGGCCCTGGATTCCAAGATTAAAGTTCTGCATTCATTCAATAAACATACATGGTACATCAATTATGTGTAAGGCATCTGCTATGTTCTGAGTGTTGATGTCCCACCAAAATACATATGTTGACATCCTAACCCCCAAGGTAGTGGTATTAAGAGGTGGAGCCTTTGGGAGGTGGTTAGGTCACAGGAGCAGAGCATTCATGAATGGAATTACTGGCCTTATAAAAGAGGCCCCAGAGAGACTACTGGCCCGATTCTACCATGTGAGGACACAGCAAGAAGGCACCATCTAGGAACCAGGAAGTGGGCCCTCATCAGACATTTTATCTGCCAGCACCCTGATCTTGGACTTCCAAAGCTTGCAAATTGTGAACAATAAATTCCTGTTATTTATAGCTACTCAATTTATAGTATTTTTTTATATCAGCCAGAATGGACAAAGTATCCTTATGGTATCTGAGGGCAGCAATATACTCACAGAGGCTATCTTACCTCTGTTAATTCTTCACCAAGATCGCCATTCATATTCCTCTTAATTAAGTTAATTAATGTTTATTGAAAACCTACTGTAGTAAAAACTAAATATACAAACAGAAAGAAAGGAAACAAAAATACTTTTGAAGCAGCTTAATCTTTGCTTTCCAGTCAGGAGCCTACTTTGCCCTACCACAACCCTGTCCCAAACACTTGTAGTCAGGTAGCCAGTGTTTACATTGTTGCATCATCCAAGAAAACAATTGAGTAACCCTTTTATGAATCATGGAACTTGCTTACATGATCATCTGGCTTGATTGACAAAACCATTTTCTTACAAGTTTTTTCCTTTGATTCAGTTCCCTGACTCATCTCTTACTATGCTGTTCCTAGAGCAGACACCTTATTGGGCCAAAGGCTTTACAACTGTATTTCAAAAACATCTAAGGTTCTTCAAAGATGTTATGGTGATTCCAAAAGCATTCAGTTTGAATTACAATAATTTTTATTTATGTATTTATATGTATTTATTTATTTATTTATTTTGAGATGGAGTCTCACTCTGTCACCTAGGCTGGAGTGCAGTGGCATGATCTCGGCTCACTGCAACTTCTGCTTCCCAGGTTCAAGTGATTCCCCTGACTCAGCCTCTCGAGTACCTGGGATTACAGGCACCCACCACCATGCCCTGCCAATTTTTGCATTTTTAGTAGAGACAGGGTTTCGCCATGTTGGCCAGGCTGGTTTCGAATTCCTGACCTCAGGTGATCCACCTGCCTCAGCCTCCAAAAGTGCTGGGATTACAGGCGTGAGCCACTGCGCCCAGCCTATATTTTTAAATATCTTTCAAACGTAGTAAAATAACACACCGAAATGGAATATACACCAGATTAGCACATACGGTGCTAATTTTTGCTGCCAGATGATTTAGTTTTTGGTGCAGACCTTGATTGGTAGCTACTCCTACCATTTTATTTATCTCGAGTCCCCTGAGACTGCAAGCTGAGCTATCAGAAATGCCGTTTTTATTTCCAATTCATCTATGTGAATTAGGAATATCTCTACACTGTGCAACCAAAATCTTACAGAAGAATAAGTTAGATGTGAAAGCTGAACATAAGAATACAACTGTCACATAGAAGCCCGTATTTTAAAGGATTGCATTCATCAAAACTTTATTCATGTGCTTAAACAGGGTGGATTTGAACTTAAAAGATTCTAACATATGTTTAAATATTACAGCTCTATGTGAGATTCCATTTGACTTAAAAAAAAAAAACCTACTGTTAAAAATAAAATTTAGAAACTACTGTCCTAAGTAAATTATGAGCTACTCACAAAGTATAATGGGGCAAAGTCAATTACAATAAATAAGTAAACACTTGGCATCCCAATGACTAGCCTGTTCAAAAGAGATGCCTGGAAAGGATGTGCACCTATATTGCTATATTGATCCATCTCTTCAAGAAACTAGAAGACATGTTCATAAAGCTCTACACCATTGTTAAGGCTCTTAAGCCTCACAGCACTCTTGTTACAGGTATTATCCATATTCAGGAACCATGACACTCCTCTCTCTGCCCGCTGCAATTGAAATTGACTCTATTCTCCTCTTACCATATCTATAGACACTGTCCTTTAAAACAGTAAATGGCTCAAAAGAATATAAGGTACAGATTGCGTGAACTTTCAGTTCTACAAAAGGGTGGTTAAATACTCAGTAGACTGGAAAGAATGCGGACCGAAATGCTTTATATCTGAGAATTGACCGATCGCTCTGCTTTCCTCAGAGTCCTTTAATCTACCCCACTAAAATCAAACTCTTCTCACCTCACTCTAAGATCAGGCAATTTTGGTGTAACTCATTTCAGTAGTGTAACTTCTCAACAGAGGCATTCTTTTTGCCAATCCTGTTCCCTGGGCACTTAACCTGGTCCACTGGCAGTCTATTTGAATGGTCCTTAGGCTTCTTTATTCCTGTCCCTGACCAGCTTGATTGATCTGTCTCTCAATTTCTGCCCTGTTTTCTGCTCTGGCTCCTGCCCTCTTCAGTCTATCTTCCTTTTTTTCATCTCCTGGGCTCTCTCAACATTGGCCCTAGCCCAGGTCCTCATGTTCTTATCTCTTGCTTATCAACTCCAGCCTTCCTAGGGTGCCTTGAACAATCTACTCTCCAATGATCACATCTGCCTCAGTCAACACCATTTTTGGTTGAAAACAGTAACAAAAAACTGATATCCAATTCTTCTTTGTGATTCCATCTTTTATAAAAACTGTAAAGTAAAAGGTGAAGTGCAGATACTTTTTTTAAACAGTAAGTCAGACTGCCTGTTTTCTTGATCCTGAAAACATATACCAATAAAGCTGGCAAAGACAGGAATAAAAAATAATACAGTTAACAAAGTCAAATAAATTTCTCTGAGCCCGGGGCCCTTCAAACATATGTTATCTTACTATCGGCTTGCACAGCCAGGTGCCTCCACTCTCTGCTTCCTGTCAACTGCATTCTGCCTGTTTTTGTGAATTTCCCAAGTTCCTTTCCCCACCTTATTTATATTTCTAACAGCCTTATTATCATTTAAATTACATCCAAAAGCAACTGACTGTGTTTCATCTGAAGCACAGATGGAAAAAGAGAGTGGGCAGGTTCTGGGGCAAATCCCATTGGGTGCTTCCCTGCCTTTCTCCCCCTCAGATACATTTATCCAAATGAAATCACATTAAGGCAAATATCAAAGGCATTATTGAGAGGCATGGCAGACAAAAACTTGCAGCCTAAAGGGCTTTTATAAAAGTAGGAAAGGAAAATGCTTTGAGCAGGGGGTGGTGTTTTAGGGTGAAGGTTTCAGGTGCAGATAGTCTCTATATAAGCCTTGACTAAGGAGTTCTAATTATTTTCCCCATCATCCTGCAGACCACTGATTTCTCAAGAGGCACTCCAGTGCCCCACCCCCTTAGAAGAAAAGTAATCTGTAACTGGGATAACTGGTGAAGTAACAGCCACCCAAAATTATGGCTCATCCAGCTAAGCAAATAGCAAAATAATAATGTAGATTTATGTATGTTGATGTAAAAAGATTTTCAGAAAATATTTCAAACAGAAAAAGGGAAGAGGTCTACATCTATAGATCGATAGATAGATATAATTTGTGCTTTAAAAACTCCAAGACTATATACAGTTTGTGAATGTAACGGCATTAAAAAGGAAGTGAAGACAAGGCTTGCAGAAAACACACTATTGACACCACTTTATTAAACCATTTTTTTGTTGCTATAACATAATACCACAGACTGACTAATTTATAAAGAAAATAATCTTATTTAGCTCATGGTTTTGAAAGATGGGAAGCCCAAGAGCATGGTGCCAGCATTGGTTGAGGGCCTTCTTTCCACATCATCACATGTAGGAGGGCATCACGTAGTGAGAGGGCAAGAGAGATAGAGAAAGCTTACTTTTATGACAAAGCCACTCCTGTGATAAGAAACCCACTCCTACAATAGTGGCACTAGTCCATTCATGAGGGCAGATACATAATTAATCCATTAATTTATTCATGGGGGCAGGGGGATTGAGTTTCCAACACATGAACTTTTAGAGGACACATTCAAACCACAGCACTGCTTTGAAAAAGGAAATTGATGGATGTTGAGTGGAATTTTTATGTCTCATTTTGTATACTTTAGAAAATTTTAATAGTGAGTGAGGATTATTTTTGTAACATACACAAGAAGAAAAAGGAAGATGGTGATTTCAGGCCTGGAGATGATACCAGTGTGATCTTGATAAGCCTTGCCCTCCAATTCACCATTCTTCTCACACAACAACACAAATTAAATGCAGCCATAAAATATGATGAGTTCATGTCCTTTGTAGGGACATGGAGGAAGCTGGAAACCATCATTCTCAGCAAACTATCGCAAGGACAAAAAACCAAACACTGCATGTTCTCACTCATAGGTCGGAATTGAACAATGAGAACACTTGGACACAGGAAGGGGAACATTAAACACCGGGGCCTGTTGTGGGGTGGGGGAAGGGGGCAGGGATAGCATTAGGAAATATACCTAATGTAAATGACGAGTTAATGGGTGCAGCACACCAACATGGCACATGTATACATATGTAACAAACCTGCGCGTTGTGCACATGTACTCTAGAACTTAAAGTATAATTAAAAAATATAAAAAAATAAAAAATAATAATAAAATAAAATAAAAAGTAGCTCAGGCTGCAGATAGCCAATTCAATTTCCTAAAGAGTCCATGCTCCTCTAGGTTCTCACACACGTTTGTCTTTTAGCCTAGGATACCCTCTTTCTCCTCTTTTTTTCCATTTTCATGTGGTTAATTTCTGTCTTGCTGTTTGTGCTTAGATGTCACTTCCTCCAGAAAAATGCTCCCATGTTCTGTATTTCTCCATTTCTCCACCAATTCTGACTGCAAGGCAGGGCTACATCAAGGATCAGGAAAAGTAGGTCATTGGTTGGCCCAGTTAAATGCCCAATGAAAAGGAAAAATGACAAGTTTAAGAAACTATCACAGAAGAGATACACTTTTAAGGTGAGTTTCCCACAAACACCTGATTTTAAAAGATGCATAGTATGCTCCCAGAGAACCTGGACTTCTGCTAGCACAGCAGCTACCATTCGACATCGTAATTGTCTGCTTGCTTGTCTGTATCCCTCAACAAAATCTAAATGCTATAGAACCCTAAGGGAAAACTGCTTGTCCAACTTATTCTTCACTTTAACTCAGAACTAGCAGAGTAGATACTAAATATTTATGCATGGGCTACATGTATAAGTTACAAAGGTCAGTGGCTTACTCAAAATAAGTGATCTTATAGATATGAAAATGTTACATCCTTGACACTGGGGACTGTAGATTCTCCTAATTATTGGACTGAAAACCAAGAGGAACCAAGAACTGGGGACCAAACACAGTTTTTAATGGGTATATTGTATTAGTCAGGATTCTTTAGAGAAACAAAACCAGTATATATATGTGTGTGTATATATATATATCTATATATAGATATATATACATATCTATATATGTACATATATACATACATAGATATATATATACATATATACATATACATATATACATACATATATAATCTATATATACATATACATATATGTGTATATATATCTCTGTGTGTGTGTGTGTGTGTGTGTGTGTGTGTGTATATATATATATAGAGCGAGAGAGAGAGAGATTTACTGTAAAGTTATGGAGACTTAGAAGTCCCCATGATCTGCTGTCTGAAAGCTGGACACCCCAAACAGCCACTGGCATAGCTCAAAGGCCAAAGAGCCAATGGGGTAGATCCCAGTTTGGGTCTGAAGCCCTGAGAACCAGAAACACTGAGGGCAGGAGAAGATCAATGACCCAGCTCAACAGTCAGGCAGTTAATTTAATCTTCCTCTGTCTTTTTGCCCTCTTCAGGCCCTCAACAGATTGGATGATGCCCACCCAATCTGTTTCAGTCATTCCACCAATTCAAATGCATATCTCTTTCAGAAACACCCTCGAAGACATACCCAGAAACAATTTTTAACGAGCTATTTGGGCATCCCATGGTCCAGTCTTGTTGATGCATTAAATTAATCACAGTGGGAAAAATTTAAAGTGGCCTGTCTCTGATAAGATTATTCTCTTGACATAAGGCAGGGTTTCTCAACCTCAACAGTACTGACACTTTGGGTTGAATAATTATTTGTTGTAAAGGACTGTCTTTTGCATTTGTAGGTTATTTAGCAGCATTCATGGCCTTTACCCACTTGATGGCAGTAACACAACTCCCCAAGTTGTGGCAACTAAAACTGTATACAAACTTTGCCAAATATTGCCTGGGAGGCAAAATCACTGACACAGGGTTTTCATGGATGTAATAGAGCAGTTTCACGTAAATGACACAAGATTTTCATGCTCACATGCACTCCCCTATTGACACATGATTTAGACCTTACAAGCAAAAGTGTTCCAATTGTGTAATTATGCTTACTGGGTAGATAGGGGCTTAGACCAATAGTCTTAACTAGGTGACACGAAGTTTAATGTATAGTCAACCTTTACTAAGCATTCACAGGTTTGAAATTCAGTTCTAATTATTCTCAAGTAGTTCTGAAGATTCATGGCACATAGTCAATTTGTCAGTGTACTGAAGCATGAAATTGTACCATGTACTCTTTTTAGCTGGTGTGTCGAGGTGAGTTACTTAGCTAGTGCATGAACCCAGCTGATCACCCACCACAGATATCATTTCCTTTAAGTGCCTGCATCTTAACATGGCTTTGTTGTTCTCTGTTGGAAATGTGTAACATAGTAATTTTTAGGAATTGGGGTACGGGTGGAAGAGATAATTTCCTTGTAAAAAGGCTGTACAAAGAATGCCAATTTGCAAGTAATGGTAATGTAAGTGGAATGGTCTAAGGATGTGGTATTATTGGTAGAATTTATCTTAAGAGCTTTACGAATTATTTAGATGCATTTATTGGATTGTTAATGACCCAAAGGGTTCCCATACATTTTTCAGTCATACTTCACTACATTTTATAATGAAATTATATGTTATAATTGTATTCATGAATTTGGGAATCTGCAAAGATCTCAAGACATAACCCTCAAGAATGTTGAGGATCTACTAAATTTTAGAGGTCTCAGATGTGCCCCTTACTCTCCATTTCCAAAATTATAGGCTTAACCCAAATTGTAACCAGCTGGATAACTGCTTGTCTCCTTAATTACCACCAAGCCTTCTTCTCCATGGTAGTAAGAAAATATGTTCCCTATGGGATGTTCAGATTATGTAACTCCGCTATTCTCAAACCTATAGTATACCACCCCTACAGCATGTCAAATGCAAATAATACTCTTGATTGTGAGTGAACTTTTAGGCTCTGCACCAAATTCCTGCACTCTATGACTTATCATTGCTCATTTTTCTGAACATTCTTAGTTCTTCACTGTGGCTTCCCTTTCCTAAACCTAGGTTCTTTCCTGGTACCTCCACATTATCATTTAGGTCTGGAGAAGCCCAGTTAAAGAGACCTCTGTACTTCCTTTCTGCCATATCATATCTTTTCTTGCCTTGCACACATATTCTAGTAAAGACTCACTACCATGAAAATGCCCCTTTATGCTGGGTGGTTAAGTTAAAATAACATGGCAGGTGGAATCAAACAGACATGGATTTGAATCCGTCTCTATTAGTTACTAGCTGTGTGAGACTGATCAAGCTATTTCATTGGTTTCTAAGATCCTCTGACCCTCATTTCTAAATAGGGATAATATGTCATTCTGCTGTTGTGAGACTTATATTTGAATTTTTCACCTGAATGCCCCTACTCACACACACACACACACACACACACACAGGTTTGCCACCTCAAAGTACCTTCACTTGCCATTTTCCCCACCATCCTTATTTCAGTCAATGTACCCTATAGCTCATTTCAGAAACCTCCACTGCAAAGTCCTATCAATTCCATGACTTATTATCCCTTCTATATATCCCCATGCCTCCATCCACACAATTACCATTCATATCTTGACTAGACTACTACATTCGCCTCCTAACTATTCTTCCCACTTTTATTCCCTATATGCTCCATTGATTCTCCTCAAAGCTTTCAAATTGATCCTTTTTAAAAGATTAATCAGATTGCATCTGTTACCTGCTTAACCCTTCCAAGGGCTTCCACTTGAATTCAAGATATAAACCAGATCCTATATAATGGCCTTCAAGGTCCTATAAAATTTGGCCCCAGACTACCTCTCTGGCCTCATTTCCTACCACTTCTTTCAATCTCGACCACCAATTCCCCATTCCTTGATTATAACTGGTCTCTCTGCTTCCATTCTTATCTACCTTAACACAGATGTTTTATCAACGTATTAGCCTAGTCATCACAAAGTGTTAAAATGCAAGATTGCTATAATTGCCTAGTTATTTAACTACAGCACTTTAAAAAATCTATATTTCCACAGACTATTATAAATACTTCAAAACCATTTCTAAAGCAAGAGATTATCTGAAGACTTTGGAAATATAATTATTTTCTGTTATTGTTTATAATTACCGTCTTTTAAACTGTTTCTAATATGTTAATATGAATTTTCAGCACATTTTCCAGTACAAATGAGTTTTTCAAAGAAAATTCTTACTCATATCATCATAACTTCATTTTTATATGTTTAAAGTTACATCGAAAGATCCTCCTGCCTTTCTTTTTCTCACCTTAGCATAAACCTTGGAAAGACAGAGCTCTCAGTAGCACTGGGGAATCTTGGATTAATGAACTGTTTTAATCCTTTTCCCTAGCCTATCTGCCTCTTCTTGATGCCATAGAGAAGATAGTGAATCATTTCTGCCTAAATCTTGCCTTGCTAATATAACGTTTTTACCTTAGTCTTAACCTCCTAGATATATTTTCCAATGTCTGCTGAGTTACACATCTGTCCCTGTGTCTCCATGTACTATCATATTAAGCTTTGAGTAGGACATACTAGAGAAAGAAGATACTACCATCACTATCAGCACCGGGAGTATGTACTGAGTATCATACTAGGTACTTTACATATACTACCTATAATCTTCACAACTGCAGTATAAGCATAGGAACTATATTATTATTATCATCACATAGTTGCAGAGACAAAGAGTCAGAACAATTAAGCAACTTATCTAAGATCAGAGCTCTTGAAAAAAAAGCAAAATTTTAACTTAGCACCATCTTTGGCTAGCACTATATACCAACAAATATCCAAGACAGGTAATATAGCATGGAGTTGAACAGCACTGGTTCTAGAGCCAGACTGCCTGTGTTTAATTCCAGACTATCAATTACTGACTGCGTAATCTTGGGCAAGTTAACCTTTCTGGGCTTCAGGGCCCTCATCTGTAAAATGTGGATTATAACAGTGCCTATGTCTCATTGAGTTCTTGTGATGATTAAAAGACTTAATACACATGCCAGGTGCATGGTAAGGGAGAAATGGTAAGTTGTATTAAGTGAATTTCAATGAGCATGATGGTATCTAATCATTCACTGGTTAGATGACAAAGAGAAAATTAACCTCGCCAGATTAAGACAACATTACATGTCTGTATTTGGAGAAAGAAAGTTCAAATCTTGACTGGAAAATGAGAGTTGATGTTTCCATACTCCTAGACAAACACTGGACATTTTTCTAGGTCTTAAAATATTTCCCCAGACATATACTGCTTCCTCTTTCAAATGTATATCATCAGAACCTCCTTTTAAATGGCCTTTTTCAAATTTGCTAACTTAATGACTATGCAGTCTGCCCTCCACTGTTCAGGAAGATATTGGCAACCACACCGATTCAATGGCTCTTTATGACTAAGGACGCATATTGGACTCCTAACTTCAGAAAATCTACTTGTGGTGTCTTCTCAGTTTTTCCCATGTGAGGGAACATCATCCTGTAAGAAGTTTTTGAATCACTGTTCTCAGGGAGATCTCTGGGTGCTCTTAAATATTCCTGGGGCCTTCTTAAGTCCAGAAATAGGACTCCAGCTGATAACACTCAAGTGCTCACCTCATTTTAAATCACTGAATCACACTAAGGTTTTTGTGGGTTGTAAATGGTAAAGAAACAGGTGTCAACATTTCTAATACTCTCTGTTATTTAAATAATTCAAGAAGAACAGTAAAATAATATGTTCCTAGTAGCTCAGTAACCCTAAATTATGTTCCTGGAAATACTCTAGACAGTGAACATGTGGCTTATCTACAATATATCTCAAGATTTGGAACATGTAAAATATTTAATATGCTTTTCTTATTCCTTTGTTAAATTCAAAATAATAGCCTCACTTCACAGTGTCAAAAGCTGAAGGTCAATGAGGTCATGATTGGTTTGAATACTAAGGTATGTATTATTATATGTCTGTATTATACTATGAATACAAAGGTATGTATTATTACTAAATATTATGTTAAATATGGTACCCAAAGTTATTATTATTATTGCTGCATAACAAATCACCCCAAAATGTAATGGTTTTAAAAAAACATTTATTCCTCCTGTGGTTTCTGCGGGTCAGGGGTTTCTGAAAGGGCTCAGCTGAATAGTTCTGACTGGTTCAGAGTCTCAGATGTGATTGTGGTCAGATGGTGATTAGAGCTGGAATTGCAGGGGTTCTGGCTGAAGCAGTAGGGTGCAAGCCAGGTATTTTTTCCACTACATGTAGTCTCCACATGGTATAATCTGGGCATCCTCATGGCACTGCATGGTGGCCTTGAGACACTTGTTTATGTGGTAGCTCAGGGCTACAAGCAGGTATCCAAAAGAACCAGACATTATATCACTTTTTATGAACTAGTCTCAGAAGTTACATTGCATCATGCCTGCTATAGTCACAAGCCCATCCAAATTTAAGGGAAGGCAACAAAGAGCCCACTTCTCCATGGGAAAAGTGTCCACATTACTTTGTAAGAAGAATGTGTGGGATGGGAGATACTGTTGCAATCATCTTTAGAAAATACAATCTGTCACACTTGGCATTTATACTTTATATATTTTTTATTTATGTATCATATTTAAACAAGCTGGTTTTTGATGTTTTGATAAGTTGTTTGCTTTCACACAAAAGACATAATTGAGTGGGTAGACATGCTTTCCTACATCCACTCAGAACTATAGAAAAACCTACTGACACCAGGAAGGCATGGCTAAAGAACCACTATAAACAATTTTCCAAACCTCTTTGATTGTGGAGACTTTTTTACATGGCACTGATAGCAACATTTTCTGAAACAGTATTATGTGAGATATAGTTTGAAAGATTCTGTCATGATCCAACAGCAACAACTTTCTTCAAAGATTTACTATTTTCCAATTACAAATGCCCCATTTTAATATTATCAACATATCTGCTAACATACTTCTAGTCAAAAATTACAATGAGAAATGCTATTTCTTCTGTGTTCCAATTACGTGTAGATAGGTTGCTTTGTTATGTTGAAATTTATTGTTGGATGTTATCTGTCATTGATAAATGGACTTTCTAATTAAATTTCATATCTTTAGTATTAAACATGATTTAGCGCATGATATCAATTTGCATTTCCAGTGAAGGGGGAAAAAGTGAAAATTCATTGCTAAACATCTAGTAAGAAATTACCTTAGTGTGTACATGATTTATCTACTTCATTCTATGTCATAAATGATAGGCATATCCCCTGTGATCCAAAACCTTGGAAATTAATGTTTTATAATAACTTAATAGCATAGTATACAGATCACAACATTTAAGAGAAAGCAAATAAATCTATCATTTACTATTTTAGGACTATTTTAGCTAGAGACTAATTTGAAATGTTTTAATTGATATCTTCAATGTATTTTTGTTCAATTAGAGTTTTAAATGAGAGCTTAGAGCAATGGTGACCTTTAAATATCCTATTCATTTTAAGACCGCAGTAGATGATTCTAAACTAATTAATTATAACCATTATAAGTAAATGAGTTATTAGCATTCGTGAATTCTATAACAGCCAATTTGTTCCTGTTACCAAACTCTTGAAGTACCTATTTTATAATTTCTCAGAGATGTAACCATAGGAAGTAAGTGGTTGACAACATAAACCTTTATAATTAATGAGGGTAACTTTTCACCTTTTTGAATTATGTTGAAATGTACACAGAATCCAGGTAATACACCTCAAGGACTACTGTTTTCTTCAAAGTTAAAATGTTGTCTTACAGCTCTCAACTTCCTAGGGTTCATTTATTCAAGAAACATTTGCAGAGTACTTGCTTTGTTCCAGGTATGTTAGATACACTGTTAGATACCATGAGGGATAAAAAAGGAATCAAACACTGTCCTTACCATCCAGAAGCTTAAAACAAAGGAGGAGAGGTACAACATTTATGCAGGTTAGTGCACTATCACGCTAAATATGTTTGTTAAGTGTCATAGAGAGAAAGAAACCAAGTTGTTTCCTTGTAAAAATCATTTTTGCACAACTAATAGCATGTAGTAATTTATTATATTTGCCACCTCTTACCCCACAAAAAGCTATGAACATGCAAATAAAATACCTTTGATCTATAGTTCTTGCAATACAGGAAAATATATAAAATTGATTAAGGCTTTGATCAAGAAAGCTTATCAATTCTCCCCTTCATTTATAAATGGCCTAAAGATGATAACTGCATCCCTCTTTCCCCTCAACCCCATGCATACTTCTTTCTTGGAATGTATCTATACTTACTTATTTACTTCTTTATTTATTTGTGTCTCTGTATACATATATATTATATGCACATGTGTATAAATATGTATCTACTTATAAATATATATTTATATATACATATACAATGTAGATATATAAATATATATTTATATATACATATACAATGTAGATATATAAATATATATTTATATATACATATACAATGTAGATATATAAATATTCATATCTCAAGAAAGGAGTGTGATATATTTATATATTATTAATATAAGTAAATTTATTTAGCATACTAAATTATAAATAAATAGGTAGATAGATAGATAAATAGATAGAGATAGATATAGACATATCTCCTAAGGGAAGAATGCGAGGGCTGTGTTTAAATACATATATACAATGGAAGGAAAGAAGAAAGGAAAACAGATAAAAAAGGAAGGGAGTAAGTCTAGCATCTTTCCAGAATCAGGGAATTGAATGACATGTAACAATAGAACCACAGAATTATTTCTCACTAACCACTACTGCTACCTAAAAGACATGATTCAATAATCTCCAAGATTTCATAGCAATCACATCATCTAATTGATTGTCAGTGTTATGGTTTTAATTATATTAACAATACTTATCCAAATAAACAACTAGATATCCAAAGCACTGACTCAATTATGCTCTCTATTTCTGCCATGTAAGTATAGTCATGGTGTTTCTTCTCTAAATTTATAGATCTCAGTCATGAACTATAAAGCTTTTAGAGCATAGAGTCAATATATTGGTATAATAAACTTTGCTAGTTCTTCCATAGTATTGCAGAACAGGGTTAATTTATGTCAGGGACAAGAGATGTTCCTTATAGTTCTTGTATTGAATGTATACATTTTGAATTACTTTTTGCCTTGGCTTTCATTATAACACATGAGATATACTCCTTGGGGAAAAAATAAATAAAACCGAATAAAATAGAAGGGCTACAGAGGGGAATAAAGAACCACATTATATGACTTAAAACCATGTATTTAAGAAGAAAATGTTAATACTATTAAACTATGGTGCTTAAATTTATTCATAGCCCACAAAAACTTTAGAATTCCTAGAAGAATAAGACAAAGACCTCATAGCTTCATTAAATTCACTAGGAAAAAATACGCTCAACTCACACCAACCAACTCTTCCATCTCAAGTTCCTAGAGTTGAATGCATATGGCTTTTGAAGTCATGTTTCCTGGCCACTTTTGTGGATGCCACCAGCTTATTTCTAAATACAAACATGGGAGAGAATGGAGATGAGAACAGATGAACATGAAAGAGCCAAGGAATCAGAAGAATAGACAGTTGATAAAAAGAAAACAATAATTCTTATAACACACAAGTGTTAAGTAAGTAATGGCAGGAGGCACAGGAGTGATGCTGGAGATTTAAAGAAACTTATAAAATAAAGAAAAAATTCTAAGGAGGTGGCCAAGATGGCTAACTAGAAGCAGTTAGTGTTCATGGCTCTCACAGATAGGAATGGAAGGCGTGAGTAAATGAAGAACCTTCGAATGAAACATCCAGGAACTCACATTGGGACTAATCAAGGAAACAAACTGACCCACGGAGAACAGAGAAAAGCAAGGCAGGACAACAGCCCCCACCAGGAGCAACTTGGAGCCAAGGGAACCTCCCTCACTCAGGAAAATGGTGAGTGTATGTGTGACCCTGGGAATCCACACTACTCCTAGATATATTAGCAACCCTCAGGTTGTCAGGAGGTCCCCTCATGAACCCACTCCACCAGAGCCTTCAGTCTGTCACATAGAGCTACATGGAGTCTTGGCAGAGCAGCTTCTCAGGCACACATGGAGACCCAGGAGCCTTAGATACTTCGGCTTTCCAGCAGAAGTAACTGCAGCTCTGGCATGCGGGAGGTAAGACCCCCATACATACCCCTAGGAAAGAGGCTAAATCAAGGAGGCTGAGCAGTGACAGTCTGCAGGCCCCACTTCCACCACACCTCACAGGATAGACCCACTGTCTTGGAATTCCAGCCAGCTGCCAGTAGCAGCATTGCATCTCCCTGGGATGAGCTCCGTGGGGGCAGGGCAGGCGATCTGCAATCTTTGCTGTTTGGGTGACCTTGTCAGTCCTTCCAGCCTTCCGGCTTTGGAAAGGACAGGCCCACCTGAGGTGGAAGGGATCCCGCAGTACAGCATAGCTGTTACTGAAAAACGTGGCCAGACTGCTTTCTTAAGCAGGTCCCCAATCCTGTTCCTGCTTATTGGGTAGTATCTCCCAACCGGGGCCTCTAGCCACCCTGCTGGTGTTCTCCACCCGACAGAGATTTGAAGACTCTCTGGGGTGGAGCTCCCAGAGGGAGGGATGGGCCTCTATCTATGCTGTTTGAGCAACTTAGCTGTTCCAGCCTTCAGGATTTGGAGTGTCCAAGCCAACCGGGCAAAAGGGATCCCCCAGCACAGCACAGCTGTTTCCACAAAAAGATGGCCAGGCTATTGTATTAAGCAGGTCCCTAATCTCATTCCCCCTCTCCGAGTGGGATCTTTCAACCAGGGCCTCCAGCCACCCTTGCTGGTGTTCTCCAGCCAGCAGAGATTTGAAGCCTCCCTGGGATGGAGCTCCCAAAGAGAGGGGTGGGCCACCATTTTTGCTGTTGGAGTGACTTAGATATTCCAGCCTTGGGGCTTTGGAGGGTCTGAGCCAACCAGAGGAGGAGGCAGTCCCCCAATACAGCACAGCTGCTCTGTGAAAACGTGGCCAGGCTGCTTTTTAAAGCAGGTCCCTAATCCCATCTCTCCTCACTGAATGGGACCTCCCAACTGAGGTCTCCAGCCACCCCCATCAGTGCTCTCCAGCCAACATAGATTTGAAATCTCCCTGAGACAGAGCTCCCAGAAGGAGGGGTGGGCCGCCATCTTTGTTATTTGGGTGACTTAGCTATTCCAGCCTTTAGATTTTGGAGAGTCAAAGGTGACCAGGGGCTGTTGTAGGCTGCCAGCACAGCATAGTAGCCCTACACAAATGTGTCCAGATCAATATTTTTTTTTTTTTTAGATGGAGCCTCACTCTGTTGCCCAGGCTGGAGTGCAGTGGCGTGGTCTCAGCTCACTGCAACCTCTGCCTCCCAGGTTCAAGCAATTCTCCTGCCTCAGCCTCCCAAGTAGCTGGGATTACAGGTGCCCACCACCACGCCTGGCTAATTTTTGTATTTTTAGTAGAGACAGGGTTTCACCATGTTGGCCAGGCTGGTCTCGAACTCCTGACCTCAGGTGATCCACCTGCCTCGGCCTCCCAAAGTGTTGGGATTACAGGCGTGAGCTACCGCTCCCACCCCAGACAACATTTTTAAGCAGGTCCCTGATCCTGATCCTCATCATCGGGTGTGGCCTCCCAACTAGGATCTCCAGCTACCCCCACCAGTGCTCTCCAGCTAACATAGGTTTCAAATCACCCTGGGATGAAGCTTCCAGAGGGAGGGGCAGTCTGCCATCTTTGCTGTTTGGCTGATTAGCTATTCCAGCCTTCAGGCTTTGGAGTATCTGAGCAAACTGGGGACTGAAGTGGACCCCCAGCACAACATAGCTGCTCTATGAAAACATGTCCAGAATGGTTTTCTGAGTGGGGCACCAATCATATTCCTCCTCACTGGGTGGGACATCCCAACCGGGGTATCCAGCCACCACCTATAGGTGTGTTCAGGCAAGCAACAGGTCTGTACCTCCCTGGAACAGAGGTCCCAAAGGGAGAGGCAGGCTGCCATCTTTGCTGTTTCACAGCCTTCACTGGTGATACCTCCAGGTACTGGAAAATCTGAGGTGAATGCAGACAGGAGCAGGCCCCCAGCATACTGCAGCAACCCTGTGGAAAAGCAGCCAGACTATTACATGCATGGCTATTCCCATATCTCCTCACTAGGCAGATACTCCGGGCCTGGGCCTCCTTCACTGGTGATACCTCCAGGTACTGGAAAATCTGAGGTGAATGCAGACAGGAGCGGGCCCCCAGCATACTGCAGCAACCCTGTGGAAAAGCAGCCAGACTATTACATGCGTGGCTGTTCCCATATCTCCTCACTAGGCAGATACTCCGGGCCTGGGCCTCCAAACACCCCCCCATCCAACCAGAGCTATCGAGCCAGTAGCAACCTGACAACTCCCTGGAAAGAGCATCTAGAGGCAACTGAAAGTGTCTCTGCCACTGCCTCTGCAGTGGAACTCCCCTTACTGCCCTCAGACTAGCAAAGGAGCGAAGACCTTAACTTCCTTATCCACGCCTCCAAGAAGCTGCAGTCGACCCAAGGAGAGGAGGCTAGTTCATTTCCCACGTGTCCCACTGTATTAGTCCATTTTCACACTGCTATAAAGAACTACCTGAGACTGGGTAATTTATGAAGAAAAGAGGTTAATTGACTCACAGTTCCACAGGTTTAACAGGAAGTATGACTGGGATCACTTAGGAATCTCATAATCATGGCAGAAGGCAAAGGGGAAGCAAGAACCTTCACATGATGGTAGGAGAAAGATAGAGAGCATGAGGGGTGAAATGCCACACACTTTTAAACAACCAGATCTCATGAGAACTCACTCACTATCCTAAGAACAGCAAGGGGAAAGGCCACCCCCATGCTTCAATCACCTCCCACCAGGCCCCTCCTACAACATGTGGGGATTACATTTCAAGATGAGATTTCAGTGGGGATACAGAGCCAAACCATATCTTTCCACTCTGGCCCCTCCCAAACCTAATGTCCTTCTTACATTTTAAAATACAGTCATTCCTTCCCAACAGTTCTCAGAAGTCTTAACTCATTCCAGCATTAACTCAGCTACAAGTCCAAAGTCTCATCTGAAACAAGGCAAGTCCCTTTTGCCTATAAGCCTATAAAAATAAAAAAAATAAGTTACTTCCAAGATAAATGGAGCTACAGGAATTGGGTAAATGCTCCCATTCCAATAGAAGATATTGGCCAAAACAAAGGGGATACAGGCCCCATGCAATTCCAAAACCCATCAGGGCACTCGTTTCATCTTAAAATTATAAAATAATCTCCTTTGACTCCATGTTTCACATCCAAGGCACACTGATACAAGGGGTGGGCTCCCAAGGCCTTAGACAGCACCGTGTCTGTGGCTCTGCAGGGTACAGTCCATGTGGCTGTTTTACTGGCTGGCATTGAGTGCCTGTGGCTTCTCCAGACACACAGTGCAAGCTGTCAGTGGGTCTACCATTCTGGGTTCTGGATGATGGTGGCCCTCTTTTCACAGCTCCACTAGGAAGTGCCCCAGTGGGGACTCTGCAGGGGCTCCAACCCCACATTTCCCCTCTGCATTGCCCTAGTAGAGGTCCTCCATGAGGTCTCTGTCCCTGCAGCAGACTTCTGCCTGGACATGCAGGCATTTCCATACATCCTTTGAAATCCAGGTGGAGGTTCCCAAATCTTAACTCTTGCCTTTTGTGCACCTGCAGGCCCAACACCACGTGGAAGCCATGTCTTGGGGCTTGCACCCTCTGAAGCACTGACCTGAGCTGTACCTTTGCCTCTTCTCACCACAGCAGGAGCTGGAGTATTTGGGACACGGTGCGCCAGGTCCTGAGGCTGCACAGAGCAGCAGGGCCCTGGGCCCAGCCCATTAATCCATTTTTCCCTCGTAGGCCTCTGAGCCTGTGATGGGAGGGGCTGCTGCAAAGATCTCTGACATGCTCTGGAGACATTTTCCCCATTGTTGTGGCTATTAACATTCGGCTCCTTGTCACTTATGCAAATTTCTGCAGCCAGCTTGAAGTTCTCCCCAGAAAAATGGGTTTTTCTTTTCTACCACATGGCTGGGCTGCAAATTTTCCAATTTTTTATGCTCTGCTTCTGTTTTAAGTGTAAGTTCCCGTCTCAAACCATCTCTTTGTGAATACATATTGAGAAGTGACAGCGTGCTGGCAGTCCTCACAGCCCTCGCTCACTCTCGGCACCTCCTCTGCCTGGGCTCCCACTTTGGCAGCACTTGAGGAGCCCTTCAGCCCACTGCTGCACTGTGGGAAACCCTTTCTGGGCTGGCCAAGGCCAGAGCCCACTCCCTCAGCTTGCAGAGAGGTGTGGAGGGAGAGGCGCGAGCAGGAACCGGGGCTGCGTGCGGCGCTTGCAGGCCAGCTGGAGTTCCGAGTGGGCGTGGGCTTGGCGGGCCCCACACTCCGAGCAGCCGGCCGGCCCTGTCGGCCCTGGGCAATGAGGGACTTAGCACCCGGGCCAGCAGCTGCGGAGGGTGTACTGGGTCCCCCAGCAGTGCCAGCCCACCGGCGCTGCGCTGGATTTCTCACCGAGCCTTAGCTGCCTTCCCGTGGGGCAGGCCTCGGGACTGCAGCCCGCCATGCCTGAGCCTTCCCCCGCCTCCGTGGGCTCCTGTGCAGCCCGAGCCTCTCTGACAAGCACTGCCCCCTGCTCCACGGCGCCCAGTCCCATCGATCACCCAAGGGCTGAGGAGTGCGAGCGCATGGTGCGGGACTGGCAGGCAGCTCCAACTGCAGCCCCAGTGCGGGATCCATTGGGTGAAGCCAGCTGGTCTCCTGAGTCTGGTGGGGCCTTGGAGAAACTTTATGTCTAGCTCAGGGATTGTAAATACACCAATCGGCACTCTGTATCTAGCTCAAGGTTTGTAAACACACCAATCAGCACCCTGTGTCTAGCTCAGGGTTTGTGAGTGTACCAATCGACACTCTGTATCTAGCTGCTCTGGTGGGGCCTTGGAGAATGTTTATGTCTAGCTCAGGGATTGTAAATACACCAATGGGCACTCTGTATCTAGCTCAAGGTTTTTAAACACACCAATCAGCACCCTGTGTCTAGCTCAGGGTTTGTGAATGCACCAATCCACACTCTGTATCTAGCTGCTCTGGTGGGGCCTTGGAGAACCTTTGTGTGGATACTCTGTATCTAACTAACTGATCTGATGGGGACATGGAGAACCTTTATGTCTAGCTCAGGGATTGTAAACGCACCAATCAGCGCCCTGTCAAAACAGACCACTCGGCTCTACCAATCAGCAGGATGGTGGGGGCCAGATAAGAGAATAAAAGCAGGCTGCTGGAGCCAGCAGTGGCAACCCACTCGGGTCCCCTTCCACACTGTGGAAGCTTTGTTCTTTTGCTCTTTGCAATAAATCTCGCTACTGCTCACTTTTTGGGTCCACACTGCTTTTATGAGCTGTAACACTCACCGCGAAGGTCTGCAGCTTCACTCCTGAAGCCAGCGAGACCACGAGCCCACCGGGAGGAAAGAACAACTCCAGACGCTCTGCCTTAAGAGCTGTAACACTCACCGGGAAGGTCTGCAGCTTCACTCCTGAGCCAGCGAGACCACGAACTCACCAGAAGGAAGAAACTCCGAACACATCTGAACATCAGAAGGGACAGACTCCAGACGCGCCACCTTAAGAGCTGTAACACTCACCGCGAGGGTCCGCAGCTTCATTCTTGAAGTCAGTGAGACCAAGAACCCACCAATTCCGGACACAAAATGACTGTATGCTGTTAGGAGCAGCAAGGTTAAATCTTGAATGCTTTGCTGCTTAGAAATTTCTTCCAGCACATAACCTAAATCATCTGTCTTAAGCTCAATGTTCCACAGATCCCTAGAGCAGGGGCACAATGCCACCAGTCTCTTTGCTGAAGAATAGCAAGAGTCACCTTTGCTCCAGTTCCCAACAAGTTCCCCATCTCCATCTGAGACTACCTCAGCCTGGACTTCAGTGTCTATATCACTATCAGCATTTTGGTCAAAACCATTCAACAGGTCTCTAGGAAGTTCCAAACTTTCCACATCTTCCTGTCTTCTGAGTCATCCAAACTATTACAACCTCTGCTCATTACCCACTACCAAAGTTGCTTCCACATTTTCAGGTTATCTTTATGGCAGTACCTCACTGCTGGTACCAATATTCTGTTTTAGTTTATTCTCACAGTGCTGTAAATAACTACCTGAGACTGGGTAATTTATGAAGAAAAGATGTTTAATTCACTCACAGTTCTGCAGGCTTAACAGAAAGTATGATCTGGAGGCCTCAGGACATTTACAATGATGGCAGAAGGTGAAGGGAAAGCAAGGACCTTCTTCACAAGGTGGCAGGAGAGAGAGAGTGAGAGATGTGTGAAGTGCCACACACTTTTAAACAACCAGATCTAGTGAGAACTCATTAACATGAGAACAGCAGGGGGTAGTCCACCCCCATGATTCAATCACCTCCCGCCAGGTACCTCCCCCAACATGTAGGGATTACAATTTGAGATGAGATTTGGGTGGGGACCCAGAGCCAAACTATGTCACCTACATACACCCCACTGCTCATCACCAGACAGGGAACCCGTAGATGGGCCCACAGCACAGACCCTCCATCCTGGGCTGATGGCACAGAGTAATTGCTGACCTGCATCTGTCTGGGGTGGAGCCCACAGGAGACAAGCAAATGGCCACAACCACTACCAAGGTCCCTTTCTCTGCTGTCTCCAAGTTGGGGAAGAAAAATAAATACTGAGATCACCCAAGAGCTGCAGTGAGCAGCCCAGGAGTGCTAAGCTGTGATCTAGAGGCAGCACTCAAGGGGGAGAGAAGCCCATACCTCCAGGGCATTGAGAGGAAACCCCACTGCAACTGTGAGGAGACATAGGGGAGCCATACAACCAAGCAAGAGTCTACCAACTAAGCAATAAGCCTAAGTGCCACCTACTGGATCACACTTCAATGCTTGAACACCAAAAATACCTCACTAGCATACCCCCCTCTGAAACCAGAGATAAGACATCAACTTCAAATAAAGACCCTACACAAACCCTTGGCCTCGTGAAAACATTGAGAATAGAAGGCTATTGACTGTACTCAGTCTACATTGCAGTTTTAGCAATATACAAACACAGGAACTCTAGTAACTCAAATGGCCAGAGTGCCATATGTCCTCTAGATGACTGCACCAGCTCACCAGTAAGAGTTCTTAACCAGGGTGAACTGGCTGGAATTATAGAAATAGAATTAAGAATATAGATAGGAATGAAGATCATCAAGATTCAGGAAGATGGCAAAACCTAATCCAAGGAATGTAAGAATCACAATAAAGTGATACAGGAGCTGAAGGACAAAACAGTCAATATAACAAAGACGCTACTGGATCTGACACAGATGAATAACATAATACAAGAATTTCACAATGCAATCACAAGTATTAACAAAGCAGAGGAAAGAACATCAGAACATAAAGACTGGTTCTCTGAAATAAGACAATCAGAAAAAAAGAAAAAAAAGAATAAAAGGAAAGAGTAAAATCTCTGAGAAGTAAGTGATTATATAAAGAGGCCACAGACTGCTGGCAGACATGGCCACTTCCTGCTTACCCCCAGCAACGCTAACATTAAAGCAGTTTATAAGAAGGCAACAAGTTATTCTCTGCTACAGAAGGATTTTGCAAACAACTTGGCACCTTCACAATGATTCAGCTCACAAATACCTGAAGTATTGGGCAAGGCAAGAACTGAAAGGAAACAAAAGTGCCCCCAAAGAGGATACGATCCAGATGATGATTGATTACTCAAGGCAATATGCAGCTCAAGGAGTTAGAAAAAAACATTTGCTTTAGCAAAATCTTAACTATAGCATTATTCTGAAGGATTTTCAAAGTCTCCATATGTTTTGTTGCATTTAGGATTAACAATGGACAACAAAAAGCCCAGTGTTGCTATTTGTATGTACAGTATTTGGTGATAGAGAGCAAAGGAACACACATCAAAACAGTTGCCTTAACAATGAAAATCATACCCTGCATTTTGAAAATGTTTATGGATGTCTCAGCAGTTTTTAAAAGAAGGAAAAACCACTAACAAATGGCCAGTTAGCACCTGAAAAGATGCATTAGGGAAGTGTAAATCAAAACTACTATGAGGCCGGGGTGCAGTGGCTCATGCTTGTAATCCCAGTACTTTAGGAGGCTGAAGTAGGTGGATCACTTGAGGTCAGGAGTTTGAGACCAGCCTGGCCAACGTGGTGAAACCTCATCTCTACTAAAAATACAAAAATTAGCCAGGGGTGGTGGTGCATGCCTGTAGTCCCAGCTACTTGGGAGGCTGAGGCAGAATCACTTGAACCCAGGAAGCAGAGGTTGCAGTGAGCTGAGATCATGCCACTGAACTCCAGCCTGGGCAACAGAGCAAGACTCCGTCTCAAAAAAAAAAAAAAACCAAACAAACAAACAAACAAAAACTATGAGATATCACTTCACATTCACTAGAATGGCTGTAATTAAAAAGAGAAATAATAGCAAGTGTTGGTGAAGATGTGCAGAAATTGGAACCCTCATACATTACTGGTGGGAATGTAAAACGGTGCAGCCACTTCAGGAAACACACCATCAGTTCATCAAAAGATGAAACAGAGCTGCAGTATGATTTAGCAATTCTACCCCTAGGCCCATAACCATTATTTGGCAGTAAAAATAAACGAAGGACTGATATATGCTAAACGTGGATAAACTTTGAAAACGTTAAGTGAAAGAAGCCAGCCACGAAATATCACATGATGATTCCATTCATATGAAATGTCCAGAATAGGCAGAAAGATTAGTGGTTACCTAGGCTGGCTATAGGTAGAATGGAGGAACTGCTAATGGGTGTGGGGTTTCTTTTCAGGGTGATGAAAATATCCTACAGTTAGCTTGTGGTGTAGGTTGCACAACTCTGAATATACTCAAATCCATTGAATTGTACATTTTAAGTGAAAGATGTGAATTGTATCTCAATAAAGCTGTTATTTAAAAAAAACTCTGAGGTGTAGGACTGAAAGTATACTGACACCAGTAGATACCCTGGAACTTTCTCGAAAAATCCTGCATTTTCCCTGAGGGTTGTTCGGGTACATTCTTCACATGTGTCATGGTTTGATAGAGGACTCATCAAAAAGATCACCACTGGGAATCTAGATCTTTGTTGGAGAGGGAAGAGAAAGAGAAGCTTAATGAGCACATTGAAGCACTTACCAGAAAGAAGAGGGAAGACTTCTGGATGAAACCTCTGTGAGTACCTTAACATCCACGTGGAAGAAGTAAAAAAAAAATAAGATTCTGGGTGGAGTTCTCCTCCAATGACAGGAAAAAACAAAGATAATTTGAAGAATATGTCAGAGACAAATATATTACAACCAAAGTTGACTTCAGGGCACTTTTGAAGGAGACCAAATATATAACAAATAGTTTAGTTAAAGATGTGAAAGTGAAAGCTTGTGGAAGATGCTGGAATCATCAGTCCTGAAAATTGAAGTCTTCTGTTCATCAACAGAACAGAGCTAAGAAGCTAATCTAAGAATCTGACCAACACCTGAAAGATGTAGACAACATTTTGCAGAATGATAAATAGTATCCAGTACTGAACTGTGCCTGAGGAAAGGCATAAACTGAATGTGGATGTTGATGACCTGGACTGTCAGGGTCCACCTCTACCTCCCAGAGCCTCGGAGCCCACAAGACAAAATAATTCTCAATACTGTTCCATTGGGGTAATCTACTAATTTAACATGCTTCCCTGAGCCAATTTTCAGGTTTTTATGTAGATAAGTATTAGCTGACCTATTGCAAAATGATCTGACAAACAGGAGAAGCATTTGTGACGTTTCTGAACAGAGAACACTTTGGAAATATTTTTCTTTGTATGACATGATTGATACACTCAAATACAGGCTATCTCTAGTAAATCTAAAATCTTGAAACTAAAATCATCCTTTTATGGGTATAGAAGTCAGTGATTTAATAATGCTCTTCCTAACAGTGGTGTGCATAGAAAGGTTTTCATCAAAGAGCATATGTGGTTTGCATTTGCAAGATGCAAATAGCAGACTCCAAGAAAACCTAAGTTGCTTTTTTGGTTCTTTGTTTGTTTGTTTTGTTTTGTTTTTTAGCAGGTAAGGCCAGGTGCAGTGGCTTATGCTGAGGTGGGAGGATTGCTTGAGCCCAGGAGTTTGAGAACAGCCTGGGCAATATAGTGGGACCCTGCCTCTACAAAACATTAAAAAATTAGCTGCGCAAGGTGACATGTGCCTGTAATTCCAGCTACTCAGGAGGCTGAGATGGGAAGATTGCATTTATCCCAGGAGGTTGAGGCTGCACTGAGCCATGAACATGCCACTGCACTTCAGCCTGGGAACAGAGCAAGTCCCTCCTTCACCCCACCAAAAAAAAAAGGAAAACACTGACAATTTAATAATCTGTCAGAGGCAAAAATTACTTTAATGGACATGCTTTTACCTTCATCTCTAAAGAACAATTTAATTTGTTCACTTACATGCTTTACTTATCCCCTCTAAATTATAGGCCAATCTTGTTGGTTAACATAAGGGATTTATTTAGCAGTTTCTTCTCGGGTATGGAGCCATGGTCATTATGAAGTTGGTCTGAATCCAACTGCCAGTGATTTTTATGGAGGAATGAAAAAACAAAACAAAACTTGCTGATGAAACACACTTTATTCATCATGAAGCAATCTTTGTCAGTACTCTGGATTAGAAAACAAATTACTTTCTGGATGTTTCCTGAAAACTGTACTTCTGTTTGAACGTTAAACTTTAGTTCCTAAAGTTTAAGATGTTTGAATGTCAGTTTATGTATTTGAACCATAATAAATTGATAATTTTATATTTAAAAAATTTAAGTACAGAAGCTTTGTAGCAAAAAAAAAAAAAAAAAGACCAAATCTATGAATCATTGACACTCCTGAAAGGGTAGAGGGAAAAACAAACAACTTGGAAAACACATTTCAGGATATCATCCAGGAAAACTTCCCCAACCTTGCTAGAGAGACAACAGAGAACTGCAAGATTACACACAAGAAAATCATCCCCAAGACACTTAATCACCAGATTTTCCAAGATTAAAATGAAAGGAAGAATGGTAAATGTAGCTAGAGAGAAAGGTCAAGTCACCTACAAAGGAAACACCATCAGTTTAACAGCAGATGTCTCAGCTGAAATCCTGCAAGGCAGAAGAGATTTGGAGCCCATATTCAACATTCCTAAAGAAAAAAAATCTTCAACCAAGAATTTCTTATCCAGCCAAACTAAGTTTCCTAAGTGGAGGAGATATAAGATCCTTTCAGATAAGCAAATGTTGAGGGAGGTTTTTACCACCAGACCTGCCTTACAAGAGATCTCTTTGTTATCAAAGTTCCATTTAGCAAGATACTTTTTACCCTTGAAAATACTAGGTTTCTCATTTGCTAAATGCAATGACCCTTTAGTCTTCTCTTCATAAATCTTGTTTTTTTCATAAATCAAGGGAGGGAGATGCCTAAATATTCTTTAATGGTCACCTCTCCCACTATCACATTTTTCTCTCTGTCATCCACTTTGATATTAGTTCAAATAGCCCTGTAATGTTGTTCCTTCTGTTGATTTAATCAATACATAGGTTTAGGGACATTTTCTTTAATGAGGTTTGACCTACTCTTTAGCTGAGTTACAAATTTCTCTTCTTGACAAGGTCAGCAGCATTCTGTGCTCTTATGGCACCTGTGTAGGAGTGAGATTAGTATCCTTACAGAAGCTAGGACTTTGGGTGTATTTTTAAAGATAAGACTTTAGACAGCAGATGAATCCAAAATGTACAGAACTTTTTCCTGTCATCCTTTAAAGTGAGCCAGAAATCATTTTCCCAAGATTTCAGAATTTATAAGTTTACCATTTTGTCATTCAAATAGCTCACTGAAATGATGGACTATAGTGCTCAGCAAAGGGCTAAGATGTGGTGTTGGCCTTAGAATGACTAATATTCAAGGAAAACAAAAACCTCAGGCTTCCTTTGCCATCTTCCTTCTCCATTTTGAGTTTGTACTGGTTTAATTTTTAGGTTAAATCCAAACACCTAATAGAAGTTACAATCAGGCCCTAAAAGTGGGTTTCTTGCAGCAGTGGGGCTTATATTCACAACTGAGCCATTTTTATTTTCAGCTATAGCCCACTCTCCTTAAATAGCCTAGGAAGACACTAAGAGAATATCTGCAATGAAGAGTCTCTAAAAAGAAGAGGGAAAGTAAAGGCAGAGAGCTTAGTCAACAAATGCTGAGGCTTCATTGAATACCTTATTCATGATTGAGAATAGATTGATTTTAATAACCTCAAACTATGCTACAGTGTCTCTACTTAAACAAACTTTATTTTAGAACACTTTTAAGTTTGCAGAATTCTTAGAGATATTACAGAGTTCTTGTGTACCCCATACTCAGATTCCCCTATTTTAACATCTTACTATATTAAGACTTATTGACATCTTAATATGTTAGTACCATATATATGCAACAATGAATGAATCAATATTGATACATTATTATTAACTAAATGTCATACTTTATTCAGATTTCCTCACTTTTTCCTTAGTGTTATTTTTCTTTTCTATAATCCCATCAACGTATCATATTACATTTAGTTGTCATACCTGCTTAGGCTCTCTTGGCTGTGACAGTTTCTTAGATTTTCCTTTCCTTGATTTTGAAGACCTTGATAATTTTGAAGAGTACAGGTCAGGTATTTTCTAGAATGTCCATCAATTGGGATTTTTCTTATTTTTTTCCATAATTAGACTGAGATTATTGGTTTTTGGTAACAAGACCACAGAAAAAGAGTGCCATCCTCATTACATCATATCCCAAGATACAGGCTATTGACATGGCTTATTATTGATAATGTTGACCTTGGTCACATTGCTGAGGTAGTATTTGTCAGGTTTCACCACTGAGGTAGTATTTGTTAGTTACTATTTTTCCCCCTCTCTGTATTCTACTCTTAGAAAGCAGGTCATTATGTACAGCCTCTGCTATGGTCCACCTACTTGGAGGTAGGGTATCTTCATAAATAACTTGGAATTTCTTTGCGAGGGAGATTTGTGTATTCTCCCCCTTGTATTTGTTTAGTCAACCACTTATTTATATCAGTATGGACTCAAAATTACTTGATTTTATAATGTGTGTTATAATCCAATATTTCTTTATTTTGTTGTTTACATTGTTCCACCTTTGACTACTGAGAGTTCTTTCAGTTGGCTTTTCTACCCCTTTGACATAACCCCATTATTGTGTTTTCTTATTGTTTTGCTTTATTTTGTTTTGTTTAAGAACTGCTTTACTTTCTGGAACTAGAAGATACTCCAGCACTAGTAGAAGTATATTTTACTTCCCAGTCTCAGAATCAGTCATTTCTCCGATAATCCCTCCCAGTATGAGTACCATCAGGGAAATTAAGGTCCAGTTTTTTTTTAAAAAGTAAAATCTTCAGAGAAGAAAGAAGACTTTTACATTCAGGGCACTAAGGGCAGAACAGCATATTTTGTGTTCCCCTCTCTACCTCCACCAGGCAACCGTGACTCCATATTTCTAGTTGTTCTGTTTCTGTCATCTCTCCCTCCAATCTGCTTCCATCCTACAAACTACTGTTCATGAAGTCATGTCATTGTCCTGCTGAAATACTCTTACTAGCGCTCCACTGACTTCAGGAGCTAGCTCAATTTCTAAATCATCCCTCAATAACTCCCTACAGTCTAGACTTAAACTATTACTACAGACTATGTCTCCTGTAACCTTCTCTTTTATTCACAACCTCAATCTCTAGTTATAATGGAAAGATTACTTGAAATACGCCCTGAGATATTTTTTAACTCTCTCAGATAGAAGAAACTAATTCCTTCAAATTCCCGTCGCAGCTTATTTTTAAAAATTCTTTTCTCATGGCGCTTTACTTCCTACCATCTATTAGAATTCATTAAATATAAAGCTGTTTATCAATTTCTGGGGTTATTAAGCAATTTCCTTTATCTCATTTCCCCTGCCCCTAGTTTTATGTGCCTACTTGCTCAGCTAAGAGAGAGAGAGCAGGAATTGTGAGCCGATAATCAGCCATTGCCTTAAATTAGCTCCCCTGCATTGTGAACATTACCCAAGTTTCTTCTCTAGCCTGACTCAGTCAATCAATCCTCAAATAAATAAAAATGAGTTTGCTGATACTTTATTTAAACCCTAATTTAGGAAAAGATCATTGCTGTCTTCACCTCCTTGACTCTAGTAAGTACAATTGATTGCTTATGTACTGTATTAGTCTGTTTTTACACTGCTATAAAGAAATATCCAAGACTAGGTAATATATAAAGGAAAGAAGTTTAATTGGCTCACAGTTACACATGGCTGGGGAGACCCCAGGAAATGTACAATTATGGCAGAAGGTGAAAGGGAAGCAAGCACCTTCTTCACAAGGCAGCAGGAGAGAGAAGAGAAAACCATCAGATCTCATGAGAACTCACTCACTATCACGAGAATAGCATGGGGAAAACCATCCCCATTATCCGATCACCTCCTACCAGTTCCTTACCTTGACACATGGGGATTACAATTTGAGATTAGATTTGGGTGGGGACATGGAGCCGAACTATATTATGTACCTGTTATCCCTAATTAAAATTCCTGGATTAACTTTACATAGCACCTTGTACAACAACAATTTTTTTTTAAAAATTTTCTTACTTCCTTCATTCCATCCATTAAAATGTATGCTCAGATTTGTCAATCAATCTAATAGAAACCAAGGCCTTAACTAAATCCATTATGCTTTAAAAATGGAATTCCAGAAAGTAACTGGTAGAAAAGGGAAAGATCTGGGGGATGTCAATGTTTCTGCTGCTCTAAAATTACACCACTTATAATTGCCATTCAACACATTTTCCCTTAATGTAAAATAAACTTCTCTGTGAGGTTTGGGCTGACTTTGAAGCTGCAAATCTAGCTTTACCTGCCCAAAATGCCAGCTTAGCAGTATTGAGAGGATTTTTCTCAAAAAAAAAAAAAAAGCCGTAACTATCTGTACATGAAACTTACAATAACCTCTCTGGCTTCCCTTACATTAAACACTTTGAGGACTGCATAGAAAACACCAAATGCATTTGGGCCAAATGACAGTTTGGAAGTATTTTGCTCTTGAAGTCTGGGCTAAGCCCCATACTTAAACTTTCCCTCCCCTTGCCACCCTTTCTGGATCCTATACTCTGGCCATAGGTTTTCAACCCCTCTTTCCTGCCAAGATTCTGATCCAATACATCTAGGATAGAATCCAGGAAAATATATACTAGCAATCTTTCCAGGTGATTCTGGCATATAACCAAGTTTAGCAATCATTAATCTAATGGAATATCCTCACTTGACAAATGAGAAAATTGGCAACTAAATCAAGGGAATCAAAATTAAACCCCTCAGTCTCAGTATAGTGCTCCTCTTACCTTACTAGGAAACCACTACCAATGTATGCATCCAGTGATGATGTTCAAAATAATTAACAACTAGCAAGAAACAGGCACGGGTGAAAAGGGACACGTAGCCAATTGAAACATATGCCTGACCAAACAAAATGGATGCCTGCCATAAACATCTGGTATGGCTCTACTTATGTGTATCTGGCTGAACATCTGCATTAAATATTGCTTGAGAGGATTAAATTTGAATTAATGAATTGGAATAATAAGAAATTATATTTTAGCTTAAAATAAGAAAGATCTTTCTCACAATAAAATCTGTCCAACACCTAAATGGACTAACTTAGTAAGCAATCAGATCCCCATTATTAAAAGTATTCAAATTGTATAAGTACCTAATAGGCGTCAGAAATGCTACCGAAAGGAGATTTATACTCACTGGGATATTGGAGCAGAAAGCTTCTATGATGTCTTACAACTGAAAGTTTCTGTATAACAATATATAAGTTTTAGCTGACATAATAAATTGCTTATATTTTATTTTATTTTTTTCATGTAGGTGTTTCAAACTCCTGTGGCCATAGCTATAGCAACTACCTTATTTCCTTCAGCAATGTGTGATTTCTTGCAGAAATCATGACACTTATATTGGCAACAAGACTTGTTTAGTCATATGTTCATGTTAAATTCAATTAAAAAATAAAGCCAGTGAAAACAAATGGAATCAAAGAAATATGATAATAGCCTATGACTAGCAGATAAATACTGGAACATGAGCAATCAGAACTTATGGTTATATTTAGCCCCATCAATTGCTTGTTTTTCCAAAGCTGATTTCTTTCTCTATTTCTTCATTCTCAAATACTTGAGTAGAAATTTGATTCATAAACAATGGTTCAAACTTTGACTCATTCATAAGTGGTAATAATGATGTGGCTAAAGAGAACTTTTTCAGAATTATAGTTTCCTTTAAAAATGGACTGGTTTCTCAGTTAAAGACATGGGATAGTTTCAATAGCATTTTATTATTGTGTCAAGCCAACCAAATATCTCTATTTTAAAACAAATGAGCTAAAATTATAAGCCTTCAGACTAATAAAAAGGTGATTTTAAGTACCACATAATTATCATACTTCAAAAGTTTCTATCTTACAACGAACGTTTTGTACAGAATATAAAGGGGAATGGTGAAATAATTAATGGGACAAGATTTTAGTCTCGGCTCTGACACTAATCCCTATGTGACCTCGAGCAAGCCATGTAACCCCTGGTGGTTACTTTCTAATAGGAAAATGTATGTGTTGGAACTGCTGGTCTTTATCATTCCTCCTATTGTGTATTTTTTAATGCAAAACAATAATTGGATAATATATCAGAAAGGAAATTATGGCATTAGCTTTTTATTTCATTTTTAAGTTCTAAAACTATACATAAAAACTCAAATCTAAATAAGCCACTCAACTTTTTCCTTGTAAGAAAACCCTATTAGATAATTGTATTAGTAATAATAGTCTTATGCAGCCACTGATATTTTTATATCCTCTGTCAGAGTATTTACTTACAGCCATTTCAGATTAAAGTTGACAGCTACTTAATTTGTAAAGTTCAGAAAGATGGAAATTTCCACAAAGCATAAAGTTGCCTTAGATTAGCACTGCTTTCTTACGGTATTCAATAACCTTTGTAAAATCAGCTTAGTTTTAAAATTGAATGCTATACTTTCCAAAATACAAACACAGCTCACCGTAAATTCCTCCAAAGTCTAAAGCCTTTGTAACATTTTTGCCTCATGAGGCTGTTTGCTCAGTAGTAAAGAGGTCAGGCTTTGGAGTCTGACACATCTTGGTATATATGTGTGGGCCACAAATTCTTAACTTTATGTCTGCAAACAAGTTACTTTACATAGCTTAGTTTTCTTATCTGTAAAACAAGGATGATATTAGTATCTACTTATTAAGATTCTGAAAACCAAATATTATAATGTATATAAAGTTCCTGAAACAACAAGCATTCCAAACATTATAAATACTTCTCTTGTTGTTGTTAGCAACAGTGCCAGCTATGACTCAAGGAAGAACATGCCTTAGCAGCTATGTAAATCTAGTCTAACCAGCTTTAATTTTTCTTTACCCCTACATCACACAATGTTGTTCTAGTAGTTCCTGTAAGCCACTGCCATCCTATCGGGTAAGCCAATGGGGTTGCGGCATCTGAGGTGGCCAGATAAGTCTACTGTGTCCATTCATCACAGCTCAGAAGATAGCAACCAGTCTGCTGCTTAGGAGCCATCTTAAATCTTACACCAAGAAAAGAAATAACAAGAAATAAATACTTAAAAAAAGCTCACACAGGAATGGACATAAGCAAGCCATCTGAAAGTCCAGAGATAAAATCTTGTATAAATGGGAAAACCAGAGGATAGAAGAACCAACCCATTTCTTTTAATGACCCAGTTGAAGAAGTCAAAATAGTATACCAGGTGCTTCTTTGTAAATTCACTCCACCAATCATGTCTTCTGCAATTTCTACAGCATAACCATTTTGGTTTCTGGTTGAAGGACAAAATGGTCTTTGGTGTATGGTGACACTTGGATAAAATTATATCTAGAACATGAATGATAACTAAATAGAATTATAGAGTACTTCCAGCCATTCTTGTTATTTTATTTTCCATTTGGTTGAAAGTGTACTCGCTGATGATGGCCGACTAGACATAGCCATGTGGAATAACTGCCACCAAGGAACAGAGACACTGATGCACTCTTAGCTTATCTTCAGAAGGAATGCACTGAAAGTGGACAGAGGGAAGACACAAAGGCTGGGATGAAGAGGGGAGGAGCTGGGAACCCTGCACGGGGCTACTGTGCACCAAGACTGGCTCCTGGCCCCCAACAACTCTGGGGGAATGTGCGAGTTGAACTGGCAATTAGAAAACCACTCTCACCATGGGCCTCTGGAATCCCAACAGAAGGAGACCCCTTGACCACCATGGACATTTGAGTTGGCAGGGAGAGCTACTAAGAGAAGGCGTAGGGGCAGAACTCCAGCTAGTGAAGAGCCCAGAGGATTTGGTGTGTGATCTTCTTCTGTAGTGGAGCACAGCCAGGGACACCCATCTCCCTAGGCTCGATTTGCTCCCATAGGACACTTTTTAGCCCTAAAAGAACTGTAGGAACTGAACTCTGAAGGGCAATCTTGTCACCAGTTCAACCTGAGCACCCCTTGGTCTGCTGGCTTCTCCCAGGGCCCCAGCCTTCCCACGCCTGCTTGCAGTGCACCCTCAGTTGCCCTGGGGACCTGCATTATACCTCCTATGCTGGCAGACCCACCTTACCAGCAGAGAGCTCCAGCAGAGTGGCCTCCAAAGACATGTACCCCGTACTCACTGACAGCTTCCTGTACTCACTGCAGCCTGACAGCACCCCGTACTCACTGCAGCTTCCCACAGGGCCATGACCACCCCCCACATTGCTTTGAATGTGTGTGCATGGGTAGATCTTGCCTTCCCTGACCTAACAGCAGATCTATGTGTATGTACCCTGCCTCGCCACTGCTGTTGGCATGAGTACACTTCACCTCCTTTTTTCCTACTGTACTGCCATTGCAGTTGGAGCCTTGGTTGGCATAGAGCCCACCAGCCCTAACCCTGCCAATGCCCTGTCTCTGTGCCAACACTACCCCCAGAGTGAAACAAGGAATGAAGAATAGCATGCCCTCCCCTGCCCTGAGCAGCCACCTTCGCCTGCGTGAACATACACAGAGGGTGCACACAGCCCTATGCTCACCAGCATTCTGCCCCCATGCTAACATCACCACCAGTGAAACCACAGGCATAGTCAACAGCAGGGGGCCTCCCACCTACTGTGAGCTGTGCTGCCCCTGCTGCAGCTACAAACTCCCATATAGAGGCCAGCACCCTGGCATCCACTAGTACCCTGCCACAGCCATGGAGTGAGCACCCTACTGTGCTATGGCTGCCACTGCTGCTGACATGTGTGAATGAGGATGGATCCTGCTGCCACCTCCCTACAAAATGCTTTGGCATGAACCACCCATTGGAGTGCTGTGACCAACAGTCCAGGAGCAACTTGATCACCTCAGCACGATGAACTCCTAATCTCAAGGATCCAGAGAACAAAGTCTGGACCTGATACCAGTCCTTCAGAATTAGAACATGCAGTTCAGAAGTTGTGAGCTGAGCTCCAGACCCCTAAAATCTTCCAGAAAGAAAGGCAATCAGCTGAACCCACCATATACTGCAATCAAACCCTTAAGTTCATCAAAAAGGATAAAAGAAAAAACACCACTTAAAGGACAGTAATTTCAAAGATTGAAGGAACATCAGCCCACATAGATGAAAAAGAAGCAGTGCAAGAATTCTGGCAACTCAAAAATCCAGAGTACCTTCTTTCCCCCAAATGACTGCACTAGCCCTCTAACAAGGGCTGAGATGGCTGAAATGACAGAAATAGAGTTCAGAATATGGATAGGAATGAAGATCATCAAGATGCAGGAATACATTGAAACTCAATCCAAGGAAGCTAAAAATCAAAATAAAACAATGTAAGAGCTGACAAAAAAAATAGCCAGTATAGAAAAAAGTGTAACTGACCACATAGAGCTGAAAAACACACTACAAGAATTTCATAGTGCAATCATAAGTATTAATAGCAGAATAGACCAAGTTGAGGAAAGAAATCTCAGAATTTGAAGACTGGCTTTCTGAAATAAGTCAGTCAGACAAAAATAGAGTAAGAAGAATGAAAAGGAACAAATAAAACCTCTGAGAAATATGGGATTATGTAAAGAGAACAAATCTATCACTCATTGGTGTTCCTGAAAGAGATGGGGACAAAGAAAACAACTTGGAAAACATTTTTCAGGATATCATCCATGGTAACTTCCCCAACTTAGCTAGAGAGGCCAATATTCAAATTCAGGCAGGGAACATAAGCAAGATACTTCACAAGAAGTTCATCTCCAAGACCAGTAATTATCACGTTCTCCAAGGTTAAAATGAAGAAAAAAAATGTTAATGGCAGCTAGAGAGAAAGCCCATCAGAGTAACAGCAGACCTCTAAGCAGAAGCCCTACAAACCAGAAGAGGTTTGGGGCCAATTGTCAACATTCTTAAAGAAAAGAAATTCCAACCTAGCATTTCATATCCAACCAAACTAAGCTTCTTAAGAAAAGGAGAGATAATAACCTCTTCAGACAAGCAAATGCTGAGGGAATTCATTACCACTGCATCTGCCTTATAAGAGCTCCTGAAGGAATCATTAAATATGGAAAGGAAAGACCATTGCCAGCCACTATAAAAAAATCCTTAGGTACATAGACTAGTAACACTTGTAAAGCAACCACACAGATGACCTAAAGGCCCCATTTAAAAGTCAGAGTGGCAAGCTGGATAAAAAAGCAAGACCCAATGGTATGCTGTCTCCAAGAGGCCCCTCTCACATGCAATGACATCCATAGGCTCAAAGTAAAGGGATGGAGAAAAATCTATCAAGCAAATGGAAAAGAGAAAAAAAGCAGGGATTGCAATTCCAATTTCAAACAAAACAGATTTTAAATCAACAATAATCAAAAAAGACAAAAAAGGGCATTAAATAAGGGTAAATAATTCAATTCAACAGGAAGACTTAACTATCCTAAATACAGATGCACTCAACACTGGAGTACCCAGATTCATAAAGTAAGTTCTTAAAGACCTTCAAAGAGACTTAGACTCCCACACAATAATAGTGACAGACTTCAACACTTCACTGACAGTATTAGATAGATCAGAGACAGAAAATTAACAAAGTTATTCAGGACCTGAATTCAGCACTGAATCAAATAAACCTGATAGACATCTATAGAACTCTCAGCCCCGAAACAAGACATTCTTCTCATCTCCATATGGCTCATACTCTAAAGTTGACCACACAATTGGATGTAAAATAATCCTCAGCAAATGCATAATAACTGAAATAATACCAACTACTCTCTCAGACCACAGTGCAATAAAATTGGAAATCAAAACTAAGAAAATCTTTCAAAACCATACAATTACATGGAAATTAAACAACTTTCTCCTGAATAACTTTTGGGTAAATAATGAAATTAAAGCAGAAATCAAATTCTTTGAAACTAATGAAAACAAAGATACTACATACCAGAATCCCTGGAACACAGCTAAGACAGTGTTAAGAAGGAAATTTATAGCACTTAAGACCCATGTCAAAAAGTTCAAAAGATCACAATTTAACAACTTAACTTCACAACTAAAAGGACTAGTGAAACAAGATTAAACCAACCCCAAAGCTAGCAGAAGACAAAATATAACCAAAATCAGAGCTGAAAAGAATGAGATTGAGACACACACAAAAAAAGCATTCAAAAGATCGATGAATCCAGGAGTTGGTTTAAAAATAATAATAATAATAATAGACTAGATCACTAGCTATACTAATAATAAAGAAGAAAAGAGAAGATCCAAATAAACACAATTAGAAATGACAAAGGGGATATTACCACTGACATCACAGAAATATAAAGAACCATCAGAGAATATTATGAAAACTTCTATGCACACAAATTAGAAAATTAGAGGCAATGGATAAACTCTTGGAGACAAAAACACTCCCAAGACTAAACTGGGAGGAAATTGAATCTGTGAACAGAACAATAACAAGTTCTGAAATTGAATCAGTAATAAATTGCCTAACAACCAAAAATCAATCAGGACCAGATGGATTCACAACCAAATTCTACCAGATGTACAAAGAAGAGCTGAACAGAAACTCTTCCTACAGAAACTATTCCAAAAAATTGAGGAGGAGGGACTCTTCCCTAACTCATTCTATGAGGCCAGCATTATCCTGATATCAAAACCTGACAGAGACACAATAAAAAGAAAACCTCAGGCCAATATCCTTGATGAATATCAATGCAAAAATCCTCAACAAAATACTTGCAAACCAAACCGAGCAGCACATAAAAAAGTTAATACATCACGATCACATAGGCATTATCCCTGGGATGCAAGATTGGTTCAACATATGCAAATCAATAAATGTGATTCATCATATAAACAAAACTAAAGACAACAACCACATGATTATCTTAATAGATGCAGCAAAAGCTTTCAATAAAATTCAACACCACTTTATGTTAAATACTCTCAACAAACTAGGTATTGAAGGAACATACCTCAAAAGAATAAGAGCCATCTATGACAAATCCACAGCCAGCATTAAGCTGAATGGGCAAAAGCTGAAAGCATTCACTTTGACTACCACAACAAGACAAGGATGCCCTCTCTCACCACTTCTACTCAACATAATATCGGAAGTCCTTGCCAGAGCAATCAGGCAAGAGAAACAAATAAAGGGCATCCAAATAGGAAGAGATGAAATCAAAGTATCCCTGTTTGCAGACAACATAATCCTATATCTAGAAAACCACATAGTCTCAGGACAAAAGCTCCTTCACCTGATTAACAACTTCAGCAAAGTCTCAGGATACAAAATCAATTTACAACAATAACTAGCATTCCTATACACCAACAATCAAGCCACGAGCCAAATCAGGAATGCAATTCCATTCACAATCACCACAAAAAGAATAAAATACCTAGGAATACAGCTAACTAGGGAGGTGAACGATCTCTACAAAGAGAACTACAAAACACTGCTCAAAGAAATCAGAAATAACACAAACAAAGGAATAAACATTCCATGTTCACGAACAGGAATAATCAATATTGTTAAAGGGCCATACTTCCCAAAGCAATTTATAGATTCAATGTTATTCTTATCAAACTACCAATGACATTCTTCACAGAACTAGACAAAACTATTTTAAAATTCACATGAAACAAAAAAGAGCCTGAGTAGCCAAGGAAATCCTAAGCAAAAAGAACAAATCTGGAAGCATCACACCACCTGACTTTATACTACAAAGCTACAGTAACCAAAACAGCATGGTAATAGTACACAATCAGGTGCATAGACCAATGGAACAGAATAGACAGCCCAGCAATAAGGCCACACACCTATAGCCATCTGATCTTCCACAAAACTAACAAAAAAAGCAATGGGGAAGAGATCTCAATTCAATAAATGGTTCTGGGATAACTGGCTCAACAAATGCAGAAGACTGAAGTTGCACCCCTTCCTTACACCTTATACAAAAATGAACTCAAAATGGATTAAAGACTTAAATTAAAAAAACCCAAAACTATAAAAACCCTGGAAGATAACCTAGGCAATATCCTCCTAGACATAGGAATGGACAAACATTTCATGTGGAAGATATCAAAAGCAATTGCACCAAATTAAAAATTGACAAATGGGATTGAATTAAACTAAAGAGATTCTGCAAAGCAAAAGAAACTGTCAACAGAGTAAACAAGCAACCTATATAATGGGAGAAAATTTTCGCAAACTATGCGTCTGACAAAGGTCTAATATCCACCATCTGTAAGGTACATAAACAAATTTACAAGAAAAAAACAAACAGCCTCATTAAAAAGTGGGCAAAGGACATGAACACTTTTCAAAAGAAGACATACATGTGGCCAAAAAGCATATGAATAAAAGCTCAACATCACTGATAATTAGAGAAATGCAAATCAAAACCACTATGAGATGCCATCTCACAGCAGTCATAATGGTTATTAGTAAAAAGCCAAAAAAAATAACAGATGCTGTTGAGATTGCAGAGAAAAGGAAATGCTTATACACTGTTGATGGGAGTGTAAATTAGTTTGAACCATTTAGGAAAGTGTGGCAATTCCTCAAAGAACTCAAAATGGAACTACCATTTGATGCAGCAATCTCATTACTGGGTATATGCCCAAGGGAATATAAATCATTCTATCATAAACACACATACACACATATGTTCATTGCAACACTATTCACAATAGCAAAGACATGGAATCAACCTAAATGCCCATCAATTGTAGACTAGATAAAGAAAATGTAATACATATATGTCATGACATACTATGCAGCCATAAAAATATACAAGATTATGTACTTTGCAGAAACATGGTTGGAGCTAGAGGCCATTATTCTTAACAAACTAACATAGAAACAGAAAACCAAATACCAAATATTCTCACACGTGGGAGCTAAATGATGAGAACACATGGACACATAGAGGGGAATAACATACACTGGGGCCTACCTGAGGGTGGAGGGTGGGAGGAGGGAGAGGATCAGAAAAAATAACTAATGGCTACTAGGCTTAATACCTGGGGGATGAAATAATCTGTACAACAAACCCCTGTAACATGAGTTTACCATGAGTTTAACAAACCTAAACATGTACCCCTGAATTTAAAAGTTAAAAAACAGTGTACTCACTGAGCATGTGAGGCCTATGTCCAGGCCTCCTGGACAGTAATAGGTAGTATATTAGAAGAAATATAATTAAGTGATGAAAATATCTGGGTGCACTTATGGTTCAAAGAATATGTCCAATATTTCATAGAATGGTAAGATGTCAAATTTATAAACAGTCTCAGACAACATCTAATTCAAACATTTCCATTAGCAATGAGGAAACTAAGACCCAGAAAGGATAACTGCCTTGCTCAAGGTTATATACCTCATTGTGTCACAGTTTTAAATCATCACATTTACTTAGAATACAACATACTTATGTTTTTGTTATGAATAAAATGAGAGAAACGGGTAAGAAAAAACTTATGAGCCACATTTTTCCCAGGAGAACCAATATATGAAAAGAGAAAACATTGTACTCAGGAGTAAAAAATTAATAATTGACAGTTGCTTAAATGAATTAATCCTAGAGATATAACTTGATTTATGTGACATATTTGAATATTGGATCTATCCCTTCAATATAGTTCACAATAAATTCACTTTCAATTTCTTAGTTAATTTTAAACCATTTGCATATTTAAATTATGTGATTTTTAAATGAATGTGAAAGATTATTGTAAGCTGTAAAGAATCATACAAAAGTAGGTTTTTATTAGCAGTAACATCTTTGCAAACGAAGTTTTTTTTGTTCCTTGACTTTTACATCCACATTATGTTCTTCTAATTGTTTCTTGGGATATTTAGTATTAAGTGAATAAAACAGATCATAATAGTCATGCAATCTATTTTTTTTATTACACATTAAGTTCTGGGATACATGTGCAGAACGTGCAGGTTTATTACATAAGTATACACTTTCCATGTTGGTTTGCTGCACCCATTAATCCGTCATCTACATTAGGTATTTCTCCTTATGCTATCCCTCCCCTAGCCACAAACCCCCAAAGAGGCCTCAGCGTGTGATGTCCCATCCCTGTGTCCATGTGTTCTCACTGCACAACCCCCACTTATGAGTGAGAACATGTGGTGTTTGGTTTTCTGTTCCTGTGTTAGTTTGCTTAGAATGATGGTTTCCAAATTCACCCATGTCCCTGCAAATAACAGAAACTCATCTTTTTGATAGTATTCCATGGTGTATATGTGCCACATTTTCTTTATCTGGTCTATCATTGATGGGCATTTGGGTTGGTTCCAAGTCTTTACTATTGTGAACAATGCTGCAATAAACATATGTGTGCATGTGTCTTTATAGTAGCATGATTTATAATCCTTTGGGTATATACACAGTAATGGGATTGCAGTGTGAAACGGTATTTCTGGTTCTAGATCCTTGAGGAATTGCCACACTGTTTTCCACAATGGTTGAACTAATTTACACTCACACCAACCGTGTAAAAGCGTTCCTATTTCTCCACATCCTTTCCAGCATCTGTTGTTTCCTGACTTTTAATAATTGCCACTCTAACTGGCGTGAAATGGTATCTCATTGTGGTTTTGATTTGCATTTATCTAATGACAAGTGATGATGAGCTTTTTTTCATATGTTTGTTGGTTGCATAAATGTCTTCTTTTGAGTAGTGTCTGTTCATCTCCTTTGCCCACTTTTTGATGGGGTTGTTTTTTCTTGTAAATTTATTTAAGTTCTTTGTAGATTCTGGATATTAGCCCTTTGTCAGATGGATAGATTGCAAAAATTTTCTCCCATTCTGTAGGTTGCCTGTTCACTCTGATGATAGTTTCTTTTGCTGTGCAGAAGCTCTTTAGTTTAATTAGATCCCATTGGCCAATTTTGGCTTTTGTTGCCATTGCTTTTCGTGTTTTAGTCATGAAGTCTTTGCCCATGCCTATGTCTTAAATGGTATTGTCTAGGGTTTTTTCTATGCTTTTTATGGTTTTAGGTCCTACATTTAAGTCTTTACTCCATCTTGAGTTAATTTTTGTATAAGGTGTAAGGAAGGGGTCCAGTTTCAGTTTTCTCCATATAGCTATACAATTTTCCCAACATCATTTATTAAATAGGGAATATTTTTCCCATTGCTTGCTTTTGTCAGGTTTGTCAAAGATCAGATGGTTGTAGATGTGTGGTGCTATTTCTGAGGCCTCTACTCTGTTCCATTGGTCTATATATCTGTTTTGTTACCAGTGCCATACTGTTTTGGTAACTGTAGCCTTGTAGTATAGTTTGAAGTCAGGTAGCGTGATGCCTCCAGCTTCGTTCTTTTGCTTAGGATTGTCTTGGCTATACGGGCTCTTTTATGGTTCCATACAAAATTTAAAGTAGCTTTTTTCTAATTCTGTGAAAAATGTCAATAATAGCTTGATGGGTATATCATTGAATCTATAAATTACTTTGGGCAGTATGGCCATTTTCATGATATTGATTCTTCCTATCCATGAGCATGGAATGTTTTTCCATTTGTTTGTGTCCTCTCTTATTCCCTTGAGCAGTGGTTTGTAGTTCTCCTTGAAGAGGTCCTTCACATCCCTTGTATGTTTTTTCCTAGGTATTTTATTCTCTTTGTAACAATTGTGAATGGGAGTTAACTCATGATTTGGCTCTCTGTCTGTTATTGGTGTATAGGATTTCTGTGATTTTTGCACATTGATTTTTTTTATCATGAGACTTTGCTGAAGTTGCTTATCAGCTTAAGGAGATTTTTGGCTGAGACAATTGGGTTGTCAGGCCTCTGAGCCCAAGCTAAGCCATCATATCCCCAGTGACCTGCAGGTATACATCCAGATGGCCTGAAGCAACTGAAGATCCACAAAAGAAGTGAAAATAGCCTTAACTGATGACATTCCACCATTGTATTTGTTTCTGCCCCACTCTAACTGACCAATGTACTTTGTAATCTCCCCCACCCTTAAGAAGGTTCTTTATAATCTCCCCCACCCTTAAGAAGGTTCTTTGTAATTCTCCCCACCCTTGAGAATGTACTTTGTGAGATCCACCCCCTGCCCCCAAAACATTGCTCTTAACTCCACCATCTATCCCAAAACTTATAAGAACTAATGATAATCCCATCACCCTTTGCTGACTCTCTTTTTGGACTCAGCCCACATGCACCCAGGTGAAATAAACAGCCTTGTTGCTCACACAAAGTGTGTTTGGTGGTCTCTTCATACGGACATGTGAGGCATTTGTTGCCAAAGACCTGGGTCAGTGGGACTCCTTCAGGACACCAGTCCCCTGTCCTCACCCCCACTCTGTGAAGAGATCCACCTACGACCTCCGGTCTTCAGACCAACCAGCCTAAGGAACATCTCACCGATTTTAAATTGGGTAAGCGGCCTCTTTTTACTCTCTTCTCCAACCTCTCTCACTATCCCTCAACCTCTTTCTCCCTTCAATCTTGGTGCCACCCTTCAATCTCTCCCTTCTCTTAATTTCAATTCCTTTCATTTTCTGGTAGAGACAAAGGAGACACATTTTATCCATGGACCCAAAACTCCGGTGCCAGTCACGGACTTGGGAAGGCAGCCTTCCTTTGGTGTTTAATCATTGCGGGGATGCCTCTCTGATTAATCACCCATGTTCCATTGGTGTCTGATCTCTGCGGGGATGCCTGCCTTGGTCATTCACCCACATTCCCTTGGTGGCAAGTCAATTGCGGGGATGCCTGCTTTGGCTGCTCACCCACGTTGCAGCCCAGGGCTGCTCCCCACCCCCCTTCCCCATGTCTCTACCCTTCTCTTTAAACTTGCCTCCTTCACTATGGGCAACCTTCCACCTTCCATTCCTCCTTCTTCTCCCTTAGCCTGTGTTCTCAAGAACTTAAAACCTCTTCAACTCTCACCTGACCTAAAATCTAAGCGTCTTATTTTCTTCTGCAACACTGCTTGGCCCCAATACAAACTTGACAATGGTTCTAAATGGCCAGAAAATGGCACTTTTAATTTCTCCATCCTACAAGACCTAGATAATTTTTGTCAAAAAATGGGCAAATGGTCTGAGGTACCTGATGTCCAGGCATTCTTTTACACATTGGTCCCTCCCTAGTCTCTGCTCCCAGTGAGACTCATCCCAAATCTTTCTTCTTTCTCTCCTGTCTGTTCCTTCAGTCTCCACCCCAGGCTCTGAGTCCTTTGAATCCTTCTTTTCTATGGACTCATCTGACATCCCCTTCTCCCCAGGCTGCCCCTTGCCAGGCCAAGCCAGGTCTCAATTCATCCTCAGCCTCTGCTCCCCCATCCTATAATCCTTCTATCACCTTCCCTCCTTACACCTGGTCTGGCTTACAGTTTTGTTCCATGGCTAGCCCTCCCCCACCTGCCCAACAATGTCCTCTTAAAGAGGTGGCTGGAGCTAAAGGCATAGTCAAGGTTAATGCCCCTTTTTTCTTTATCTGACCTCTCCCAAATCAGTTAGCATTTGGGCTCTTTTTCATCAAATATAAAAACCCAGTCCAGTCCATGGCCCCTTTGGCAACAACCCTTAGATATTTTACCACCCTAGACCCATAGGTGCCAGAAGGCTGTCTTATTCTCAATATACATTTTATTACCCAACCCACTCCCAACATTAAAAAAAGCTCCAGAAATTAGATTCTGGCCCTCAAACCCCACAACAGGACTTAATTAACTTTGCCTTCAAGGTGTACAATAATAGAGTAGAGGTAGCCAAGTAGCAATGTATTTCTGAGTTTCAGTTCCTTGCCTCCACTGTGAGACAAACCCCAGCCACATCTTCAGTACACAAGAACTCCAAATGCCTGAACTGCAGCTGCCAGGGGTTCCTCCAGAACCTCCTCGTCCAGGAGCTTGGTATAAGTGCCGGAAATCTGGCCACTGGGCCAAGGAATGCCTGCAGCCTGGGATTCCTCCTAAGCAGTGTCCCATCTGTGTGGGACCCCACTGGAAATTGGACTGTCCAACTGGCCCAAGGCTCTGACTGACTCCTTCCCAGATCTTCTCAGCTTAGCGGCTGAAGACTGACACTGCCCGATCGCCTCGGAAACCTACAAGACCATCACAGATGCTTTGGGTAACTCTTACAGTGGAGGGTAAGTCCGTCCCCTTCCTAATCAATACAGAGGCTACCCACTCCACATTACCTTCTTTTCAAGGGTGTGTTTCCCTTGCCTCCATAACTGTTGTGGGTATTGACGGCCAGGCTTCTAAACCTCTTAAAACTCCCCAGCTCTGGTGCCAACTTGGACAACATTCTTTTATGCACTCCTTTTTAGTTATCCGCACCTTCCCAGCTCCCTTATTAGGTCGAGACATTTTAACTAATTTATCTGCTTCCCTGACTATTCCTGGGCTAGAGCCACACCTCATTGCCGCCTTTTGCTCCAGTTCAAAGCCTCCTTCACATCCTCCTCTTGTATCTCTCCACCTTAAACCACAAGTATAGGATGCCTCTACTCCCTCATTGGTGACCAATCATGCACCCCTTACCATCCCATTAAAACCTAATCACCCTTACCCCACTCAACGCCAATATCCCATCCCACAGCATGCTTTAAAAGGATTAAAGCCTGTTATCACTCGCCTGTTACAGCATGGCCTTTTAAAGCCTATAAACTCTCCTTACAATTCCCTCATTTTACCTGTCCTAAAACTGGACAAGTCTTACAGGTTTGTTCAGGATCTGCACCTTATCAACCAAATTGTTTTGCCTATCCATCCTGAAGTGCCCAACCCGTACACTCTTTTGTACTCAATACCTTCCTCCACAACTCACTTTTCCGTTCTTGATCTTAAAGATGCTTTTTTCACTATTCCCCTGCACCCCTCATCCCAGCCTCTCTTTGCTTTTACCTGGACTGAGCCTGACACCCATCAGTCTCAGCAAATTACCTGGGCTGTACTGCCGCAAGGCTTCACAGACAGCCCCCATTATTCAGTCAAGCCCAAATTTCTTCCTCATCTGTTACCTATCTCAGCATAATTCTCATGAAAACACACGTGCTCTCCCTGCTGATCATGTCCGGCTAATCTCACAAACCCCAATCCATTCTACAAAACAACAACTCCTTTCCGTCCTAGGCATGGTTAGGTACTTCTGCCTTTGGATACCTAGTTTTACCATCCTGACTAAACCATTATAACAACTCACAAAAGCAAACCTAGCTGACCCCACAGATCCTAAATCCTTTCACCACTCCTTTCTGTTCCTTAACAACAGCCCTAGAAGCTGCCCCCACACTAGTTCTCCCTAACTCATCCCAATCCTTTTTCATTGCACACAGCCAAAGAGCAGGGCTGTGTGGTCAGAATTCTTACACAAGAGCTGAGACTGTGCCCTGTAGCCTTTTTTCCAAACAACCTGACCTTACTGTTTTAGCCTAGCCTTCATGTCTTCATGCGGCAGCTGTCACTGCCCTAATATTTTTAGAGGCCCCCAAAATCACAAACTATGCTCAACTCACTCTCTACAGTTCTCATAACTTCCAAAATCTATTGTCTTCCTCACACCTGACACATGTACTTTCTGCTCCCTGGCTCCTTCAGCTGTACTCACTCTTTGTTGAGTCTCCCACAGTTACCATTGTTCCTGGCCCAGACTTCAATCCGACCTCCCACATTATTCCGGATACCACACCTGATCCCCATGACTGTATCTCTCTGATCCACCTGACATTCACCTCATTTCCCCATATTTCCTTCTTTCCTGTTCCTCACCCTGATCACATTTGCTTTATTGATGGCAGTTCCACCAGGCCTAATTGCCACTTACTAGCAAAGGCAGGCTATGCTGTAGTATCTTCCACATCTATCACTGAGGCTACCACTCTGCCTCCCTCCACTACCTCTCAGCAAGCTGAACTCATTGCCTTAACTCGAGCCCTCACCTGCATCCAGGTGAAATAAACAGCCTTGTTGCTCACACAAAGCCTGTTTGGTGGTCTCTTCACATGGACATGTGAGACAGGGGTTTTCTATATATACAAGAATGTCATCTGCAAACAGAGACAATTTGACTTCCTCTCTTCCTACTTGAATACCCTTTATTTCTTTCTCTTGCCTGATTGCCCTGGCCACAACTTCCAATACTATGTTGAATAGGAGTGGTGAGAGAGGGCATCCTTATCTTATGCCAGTTTTCAAAGGGAATGCTTCCAGCTTTTGCACATTCAGTATGATATTCGCTTTGGGTTTGTCATAAATAGCTCTTGTTATTTTGAGATACGTTCCATCAATACCTAGTTTATTGAGAGTTTAGAAGGCCTTTTCTGCATGTATTGAGATAATCACGTGGTTTTTGTCATTGGTGCTGCTTATATGATGGATTACATTTGTTGATTTGCACATGTTGAACCAGTCTTGCATCCCAGGGATGAAGTGGACTTGATCGTGGTGGATAAGCTTTTTGAAGTGCTGCTGGATTCAGTTTGCCAGTATTTTATTGAGGATTTTCACATTGATGTTCATCAGGGATATTGGCCTGAAATTTTCTTTTTTTGTTGTATGTCTGCCAGGTTTTTGTATCAGGATGATGTTGGCCTCATAAAATGAGTTCAGGAGGAGTCCCTGTTTTTCTATTGTTTGGAATAGTTTCAGAAGGAATGGTACCAACTCCTCTTTGTACCTCTGGTAGAATTCGGCTGTGAATCCCTCTGGTATTGGGCTTTTTTTGGATGGTAGGCTATTAATTACTGCCTCAGTTTCAGAACTTGTTATTGGTCTATTCAGGGATTAGCCTTCTTCCTGGTTTAATCTTGGGTGCTTCCTGTTCCCATGACATTACATTCTGCTGGCCTAGAGGTCTTAGTTCCAGAGGGAGGAACACTGCCACCAGGAGACACAACAATGACTCCATTAAACCAAGAGTTAAGATTGCTACCTGGACACTTTGGTCTCCTCCTACCTTTAAGTCAACAGTCTAAGAAGGGAGTTACAGTGTTGGCTGCGGTGATTGTCCAAGACTATCAAGATGAATTCAGTCTAGTACTCCATAACAGAGGTAATGAAGAGTATGCATGGAATATAAGGGATCCATTTGGGCATCTCTTATTATTACAATGCCCTGTGATTAAGGTCAATGGGAAACTACAACAGCCCAATCCAGGCAGGACCACAGATGGCCCAGACCCTTCAGGTTTGGGTGACTCCCCCAGGAAAAAAAAACCACAACGTGCTGAGGTGCTTGCTTAAGGCAAAGGGAATACAGAATGAGTAGTAGAAGAAGGTAGTCATCAATACCAGCTACAACCACGTGACCAGCTGCAGAAACGAGGACTGTAACTATCATGAGTATTTCCTCTGGTTTTTGTTAAAAAGATGTTTGTGCATGTACACATTCATAGTAAGAAAATATCTTCATTTTATTTTCTTTCTCCTTTATCATGTAACATAAGATTTATTTACTTCACATCAGCATTTAAGTATTGTTAACTTTATGTAATAGTATTTGGGTTGGGGATTGGTGCATTTACAGTTGTACAAAGAATAGTTGTATTACGTTAGGCATAATTATGACTTTATTATTGTCTTTATTTGAAGATCATGTATGAGCTCAGGAGATGTGTATGGGTTCAAGTTGGCAAGGGGTGGACTTGTGATAGTTAATACTGAGTATCAACTTGATTGGATTGATGGATACAAAGTATTGATCCTGGATGTGTCTGTGAGCATGCTGCCAAAGGACATTAATATTTCAGTCGGTGGGATAGGAAAGGCAGATCCACTCTTAATCTTGGTGGGCACAATCTAATCAACTGCCTGCTTGGTTAGAATATAAGCAGGCAGAAAAATGTGAAAAGAGAGACTGGCCTAGCCTCCCAGCCTACATCTTTCCTGATGCTGGATAATTCCTGCCTTCAAACATCAGACTCCAAGGTCTTCAGTTTTGGAACTTGGACTGGCTCTCCTTGCTCCTCAGCCTGAAGATGGCCTATTGTAGGACTTTGTGATTGTTTTAGTTAATATGTAATAATCTTCCATATATATATTCCAAATATATATATTCCATATATATATATTCCAAATATATATATTCCATATATATATATTCCAAATATATATATTCCATATATATATATTCCAAATATATATATTCCATATATATATATTCCAAATATATATATTCCATATATATATATTCCAAATATATATATTCCATATATATATATTCCAAATATATATATTCCATATATATATTCCTATATATATTATATATATATTCCATATATATTATATATATGTTCCATATATATATATTCCATATATATATTCCACATATATTATATATATATTCCATATATATGTATTCCATATATGTATTCCATATATATGTATTCCATATATATGTATTCCATATATGTATTCCATATGTATTCCATATGTATTCCATATATGTATTCCATATATATGTATTCCATATGTATTCCATATATATGTATTCCATATGTATTCCATATATGTATTCCATATATATGTATTCCATATGTATTCCATATATATGTATTCCATATATATGTATTCCATATGTATTCCATATATATGTATTCCATATGTATTCCATATATATGTATCCCATATATATGTATTCCGTATATATGTATCCCGTATATATGTATTCCGTATATATGTATTCCATATATATTCCATATAAATTCCATATATATATATTCCATATGTATTCCATATGTATTCCATATATATGTATTCCATATGTATTCCATATGTATTCCATATATATTCCATATGTATTCCATATATATGTATTCCACATGTATTCCATATGTATTCCATATATATGTATACCATATGTATTCTATATGTATACCATATATATATTCCATATGTATACCATATGTATTCCATATATATATTCCATGTATATATATTCCATGTATATATTCCATGTATATATTCCATATATATTCCATGTATATATTCCATATATATTCCATGTATATATTCCATGTATATATATTCCATGTATATATATTCCATGTATATATTCCATGTATATATATTCCATGTATATATATTCCGTATATATATATTCCGTTTATATATTCCGTATATATATATTCCGTATATATATATTCCATGTATATATTCCGTATATATATATATTCCATGTATATATTCCGTATATATATATTCCATGTATATATTCCGTATATATATATTCCATGTATATATTCCATATATATATTCCATGTATATATTCCATATATATATTCCATGTATATATTCCGTATGTGTATATTCCATACGTATATATTCCGTATGTGTATATTCCATGCATATATTCCGTATGTGTATATTCCCTATGTATATATTCCGTATGTGTATATTCCCTATGTATATATTCCATATGTGTATATTCCCTATGTATATATTCCATATGTGTATATTCCATATGTATATATTCCATATGTGTATATTCCATATGTATATATTCCATGTGTATATTCCATATGTATATATTCCATGTGTATATTCCATATGTATATATTCCATATGTATATATTCCATATATATATTCCATATGTATATATTCCATATATATATTCCATATGTATATATTCCATATATATATTCCATATGTATATATTCCATATATATATTCCATATGTATATATTCCATATATATATTCCATATGTATATATTCCATATATATATTCCATATGTATATATTCCATATATATATTCCATATATATATATATATATATACACACACACATATATTCCATTGTTTTGTCCCTCTAGAGAACCCTGATGAATAAAAACCCTCCAGGGGATTTTTAGGACCGTGTACTTAGAATAAAATTCAAATTTCTTGTCATGACCTACAAGGCCCTAAAACTTTGCCTCTTGTCTACCTCTTTGCTCTTATCTTGCACCATACCCTCTATCTCACACTATACTGCAGCTGAAATGGCTTTCTTTCCATTCTTCAGAATTGCCAAATATTTTCCTCTCTCTGCCTGGGACACTCTTCACCATAGTCAGGTGGTTTGTTTAACTGATTGATTGATTTTATATCTGGCTTGCTTTCATGCTTCAGGTGTTAGCTAGGTAACCTTTTCATAAAGGTCTTTCCTGATGATCATATCTCAGGTAGTCCTCTCCTTTTAGTCTGTCACTTTTTTTTTAACTCCAGGAGGGCAAATGCTATGTCTACCTTGCTCACTATAGAATCCTCAGCATGTGGTACAACACCTAGCACAGAGGAGATAACAAATAATTGTTGAATGAAGATATAACTATGAATAAATGAAGTATGAGCACTTCTTCACATATCTGAAGGGATATTCTGAGGAAAGTAGAATACCTCATAATGTAAGGCTCCCTACAGTGTATATGTGTATTGCCCAGGAAACAGTATATGTGAAGAGCAAGGACAAGCAAAGTAGTGGGCAGAGGGATGGGTGAAAATATTTTCTGGGCTCAAGATCCTGTTAATCACACACATTCATATGTATATTTTTTCTCATAAATTGGAGTACTTTTTTTCCAAATGCAGATATAAGAAGGAAAGATAGATTGATCATCTCTTTCAGACCCTGTGAGAATAAGCATTAATAACACTAGTTCAGTCAGCATATTTTTTAAAAGCGGCATTTTAGTAGTCATACCATAATTGGGGTCAGTTATTTCTGGCAAACAGGTTACCAGTCCTCATCCTCAAGAAAATGCAATGACAGCCTCCCACCTGACATATCTTTCTGCAATCCTTAGTCTCTACTTCACCTGACAGCCAGTGTGAGCTAGCCAGCCAAAATGCAAACAGTACTATGGTCCAGGGAATAAAAATAGTGGCTCTACCTTTTAATACAAATGGCAAAAAGAGAGAATGAAAAACTCAGAATGTTGTGCAACAAGTTACTGAAGAAAGTGAAAAATGTTGGTGAGATGCAAAAAGACAAGGGAAGTGTCAACTGTAAGTGGGCAGTAGGTCCATGCTAGTCTAAAAACATCAGTGTTGGAGACTGAAGATGAACATTCAAATGAAGCATCTACTTGCCCAGAATAATAACAATCAGCAAGCACACAAATAGTTTAAGTTTGTGAACTATAACTGCATAGGGGTTAAAGAAAGATAGAAGAGCATGATACATTGAGGAGATATTTGAGTAACTTAATATACTCTAATTTTATCTTCAATGCCATCTCATTTGAGGTGCTTACAGGGGCAGACAGTTAAATAAACGTTAGAACACTTGCAGTATATAACCCAGATGGCTCATTTTGCTCTTTATTCACGTACTTTGTTTATTTTATTAGAGCAACAGGCCTAATAAATACAGTAAAGTCTTAACTATCCTAATGAGGAAAAACTATAAGCTAGAAGAATTTGATAAACCAAAAGTGGACTTGGGTATTAAACATCAACTCTTTCAAATGCTAAGCATACACAAAAACTATTGATATCTAACATCACTCACTTAATGCTGTATTTTTCAACTTTGACTCCATCTGAGATAGCCCAAGGTGCATAAGGAAAAGGAAAAAGAGCAAAGGTAAATAAGGAGAATGGACAGAGAGAAGAATCAGACCATCTTGGTGATCTATAAAATCAATTAATACATGATTAATAAAAAGTTAGTTTCTGTATGCGTTGTCCTCAAAGAAGCCCAGGCATGAAATGAAGTTCTAGTTCCCATTTCATAGAGGTGACCACACTGAGTTAGTTTATTTATGATGACATGGTGCTGACCAGTAGATGAGATTCATTGGCTACAGAATTGTGCTCAAAAGGCTGAAATCATGGTTTGATTACTTATTCACCTATACAACCCACTCATTCATACATAAAACCTCGAATAAGCATCTGAGTGTAGTGAAAAGGGAATGGGATCTAGAAGTAAACGACTTGGATGCCAGTTGAAACACTGACATTTATTCATTTTAAGTGACCTGACACCAAACAAGCAACTTAAACTTTCTGAACTTCATAACATGGGGATGGCCATAGCTTTTCTGCCTGCCTTACAGGGCTATTGTGAGATAGTGGATGTGAAAAGGCTTTGTAAACTGTCAAATGCCACTCAAATGCCACCAGTACACATCAAATCCCTCTCACAGAGGCCAATTCTAGTCCGTTTTCACAGGGTCTATCACGCTGAACCTTAGGTAGGGGTGCAGTTTGGAGATTGGGCCAAAGGACAAAGGGAAAAATGAGAAAGAGAAAAACGTGTTTTTTCCTCACAGTATACAAATGCTGGATTTTTAATAGACTTTTGAAGAAGCACAAAGCCCAGAAGACTCTCCTGCATGGGCAAACCTTTTTTCTATGCTTTTGATTCACATTCCTTTCTCTCTTCATCCCCACATTCTATCGTTCACTCCTCCCATATCTTCAATCTCTCTCTTCTGCTGGCTCTTTTCCTCAGTCTTATAAACATACTTCAGTAACTCCCCATCACCCTTGGAACCAAGCTCAAGTTCTATGACACAAAAAAAGCCTCACACGACCTGGCTTCTGTCTTCTTGTCTTGCATTTAATTCTTTACCACTCTCTGCATCTCTGAATTGCTTCACAGTTTTCTTCATACATGATGCTCCTCAGTACTGTTGCCTGCTGCTATCCATTCTGCTTAATATAAACTTTACCTTCACTTCACTTGGCTAAATCCTGATCCTCAAACTGAGTTCACATCTCTTCTTCCAAGCTACCTTCCTTGATACCTGAAGACCAAGTAAGATGTGCTTACTCTATAACACACTATATCTCCATCATTGCAAGTACTACATTGTATCATCATAATAACTTCTTTTTTATATGTCTTTCCACCCTCAAGACTGCTGGCTCCTCAAGAATTTGGTCTTAATACTGAAAGCTCACGACAAAGGACATAGCAGACACTTACCGGATAGATGAGGTTATTCGGTGCCAGCAAAGTTGTGAAGGATAAGGAACTCTCAGCCAGTCAGACATATCGGAGTTAATAAGTTCAAAATTATGCCTTTCTCTTGATGTACAAGTAAATAAGTTGTGTCAAGGAAGTGGGAATTTTTATTGGGATGGGGATTTGTAAGTAGGCAATTTGAAGACATGAGATATTTGGGGTCTTAGGTAGGTAAAATTTAGGCATGGTGCCACAATGGAAGGCACCAACTGAAACCAGGGGAAACAATCAAGGCCTGGTGACTCTGGATATGAATGTTTCCAAGGACCAATTTAGCCACAAAGAACACACAGATTCGAGGTATTAAAGCCAGGCAAGCAGTCTGTGGAGCAGACCCAGACACAGTACCCCATAAGATAGGATGGTAAAAACTCTCTCCCTTCCATTATTTTCTTGTTACAGAATGGCCAGACTAGGTCTAGAAGTACCAGTGCTGGTGTGAGCATCCAAAAAGGCAAAGTATGGCAATGATGATGGTGAACAACTTAATTCTCCTACAGGAATCTTCCTCCCAGTGCATACTAAGGAGATGGTGTATGGCACATTGAACAGCCCATAACTACTGCTGAGAAACCGTGTCTTTTCAAGTATTTAGAGGGTCAATGGTATTATTTTTAAATTTTGCACATATTTCTTTCATTGTAGCATGGCAAGAGGCAGGGAACAAATGTGTTTATTTGGCTTTTAGTTAGCCAGATATTCAATTCCCCTGACTGACACAGACAGCTGTCGTAGCAGCCCCAGGACATGCTCCTCCAAGCTAAAGTACAGAGTGTCATTCAGCACTGTCTTTAACAAATGTAACAGCAATCATAATACAAGCTGCAGCCATTTAATGAAAATATTTCTGGTAATTAGACTCTTCACTTGTTTATCTGAATCTCTTGCCACCACTCCAGATTGCTTATAATATTACAACCCACAGGTTGTAATGTGTGTTGTATATAATCCATCATTATAGGATTATGACATTTATAGGCATGATTTTATTTGTAAATGGCCAGATAACCTCAAACAAACTCAACCAACAATGCATACTTGCAAAAGTGATTAGCGGTAACAGGAATATTAAGTAGCCAGTGACTCTGAATATATTAGAGAATGCATTAATTACAATAAATTTATGAAATTCTGGATGAATGGTTTAGATGTGATAATAATGTAATAACAAATAGCTACTATTCATCAAGTATTATTATATACCAGAATTTTTACATACATTATGTCGTCAATTCCTCACAACAACCCTGGGAGATATAATTATAACCTCTGTTTCATAGGAGGGGAAACTGGGAATTAGAGTGATTAGAAGACTTGTCCATGATCACACAGAGATAGTAAGCATGAAGCAGATCCAGGATTTGAAGCTAGGTCACTAGAATTTCAAAGTCTTTGCTGTTAACCATGATCCACTATCTTATTTATACTTTTCTCTGTTTTCCCAAATCTTCTACAGTAGCTGTGTATTATCTGGTAATATCATTTAAATATCATTTATAATACATGAAACACTTACTTAGGATTTCAATTCAATTTAATTCCAAAAATTTTGTTGAGTTATTTCTAGAATATAAGAAACTATGCATTATACTGGGGAAACAAACTCTAGATCCTACACTCAGAGGAGTACAACTGGTACAATTTGCACAAGCACCCCTATAATATACTACAGAATAATCTAAATCCTGATAGGAAAGTGCAAACATTTTATATAGGAAAACACTAAAGAGGAGACATTACTTCTAGATAGGGGAGGGAATAAGAAAAGGCTTTATAAAGGTCATAATATATAAGCGGAATTTCAAAGGATACTTAGATTTATTTGCCATTTTATTTTTCATTAATTTTCAAAGTAAAAAAACAGCTCATTGTTGAAATATAATAATTTAGGGAAATGTAAAAAGAGCAATGACATAAAGAGCTGCTGTTAACATTTTGTAAACCCTTACAGACTTTATTCCTTGCCAATTTTTTTCCTTTAAAGAGTTGAGATCCTACTGTGTACATTGTATTGTGCTTCTTCAGTAACATCATAACCCAATTTTTCCCCATACTTTTCTGACTACCAGACTGTTTTTTTTTTTATCTTTGTCCTCCCCTAAATACCAAAGTAATTCTCATTCCAGTAACCCTCAAAGTGCAGTTAGAGGATCCCTATGGATCAGAGATCCCCTTTCAAGGGATTAACAAGGTCAAAATCATGTGTGGTTAAAGGATCCATTCAATGTGAAAAGTAGGCCAGAGGATTTTAATGTAACAGAGTGCAAAAGTTCATTGATAAGTTTTCGATTCCATATTGTAACTAACCTTTGAGAAAAATGACACTTGTTGACTTTTGATGCATAATAGTATCAAAGAAAAATATCCACAATCATCTTACAAGACTATTAAAATATTCCTCCATTGTCCAACTATATATCTGTGTGAGATTAGATTCTCTTCATATTCTTCAACCAAAACGGCATATCACAAAACAGCATATTACAAAAGCAGAAGCAGATATGAAAATCCAGTTGCCTTCTGTTAAGCAAGACATTAAAGAGATCAGTAAAAATGTAAAATGGTCTTCTCACTAGACTTTTGTATTGGTGGAAATATAGTTATTTGTCATTAAATATGCATGTAAACATGTTTATTATTTTAAATTAATAAATATTTTTAAATTTCTAACATTAAGCATTGATAAATATAACTCACATAAACCAAAGCTCTTTGAGGTCCTCAATTATTTTTAAGAGCATAAAAGAGTCCTGAAACAAAGAAGTGTGAGAACCACCATCTTTTCATATGTTTCAATGCATGCCTTAAACATGGCTGCCTTCAAGAAGCTTCCTTTTAACTTTAAACTAGGTTAAATGTCCACATCACCTAATACTTATTGTTCAAGCACTCAGCATGCCTCCAGTGAGTTCTTCAATGTCTAAATGTCCACCATAAGCTTCATTATGATATCAACTAAGTCTATCTTATGAACTTCTGTATCCTCCACACCTGACAGAATGCCTGACATGAAGGAGATGTTCTACATTTATTATGCTAATTAATAAATACAATTAAAATCCTTTGTAAATCATAGTTTTAATCATAAAATATTTCATTATATGGATACTGCATCATTTACTTAATATTCAAAACTGATAGTATTCTGACAAGTAGAGGTAGAAGAGCTTCTTGACAGGAGAAGAAGATGAAAAAGCACAGAGGACAAAGTATAATGAAATTGTGGGGGTAATTGTGTACACAGTGAATATAAAAAGAAGTGAAAGAATATAACGACAGATAAGTGGGAGGATCTTGAACGCTATATTAACAAATTTAGACACTATTTAGTAGCCAATGCAGGCCCTTTGGATGTGCATAAGCATGGCCATGACATGTATTTGTGCTTTATGAAGATTAATTTAGAACAAGTGTATAAGATTGTTTAGAGGAAGAAGAGAACAGAGGATAGGAAATCAATAACAGGCACTTCCTCCTGATGTCTTCCCCAGTTACTGAATAAATGTTTTATCACAGAGAATAGAATCAAGACTCATTGGATGATAGAAACGCCCAGAATAATTACTTAAAATGGTCCAGGGAGAAATAGAGTTAAAGATATAACCACAGTTTTCAATCTTAGTGACTAATAGGTCAGTAGTACCATTAGCAGAAACATAACAAATACAAAGAACTGTCTACAGAGTGAGCTATTGGCCTTAGGTTGGCCACATAGATATAAGACAGTGGTAGGGTCAACTATCATGTGACATCTTGAAGATTTGGGGTCCAAGAGCCAGTCAGGTGTACTTAATCCATTAAAAATAGAAAAGACCAGAAGAAGAAAATATCCAGAAGAATTAGATTTCTTTAGCATAGCTGATTCTCAAAATGGAGAGAATAAAGAAGCCTGCCTGCTGGAGAGATATATTGAAATCTTCTGATCAGCAGCTACTAGCCATTATTTCTATATAATTAAAAAAATTTACATCCTTCACCCACTATTTGATGTGGTTGTTTTTTCCTTGTAAATTTGTGTTTCTTGTAGATTCTGGATATTAGCCCTGTGTCAGATGGAGAGATTGCAAAAATTTTTTCCCATTCTTAGGTTGCCTGTTCACTCTGATAATAGTTTCTTTTGCTGTGCAAAAGCTCTTTAGTTTAACTAGATCTCATTTGTCAATTTTGGCTTTTATTGCCATTGCTTTTGGAGTTTTAGTCATGAAGTCTTTGGCCATGCCTATGTCCTGAATGGTATTGCCTAGGTTTTCTTCTAGGGTTTTTATGGTTTTAGGTCTTATGTTTAAGTGTTTAATCCATCTTGAGTTAATTTTTGGATAAGGTGTAAGGAAGAGGTCCAGTTTCAGTTTTCTGCATATGGCTAGCCAGTTTTCCCAACACTGTTTATTAAATAGGGAATCCTTTCCCCATTGCTTGTTTTTGTCAGATTTGTCAAAGATCACAAACTTGTAGTTGTGTGGTGTTATTTCTGAGGCCTCTGTTCTGTTGCATTTGTCTATATACCTGTTTTGGTACCAGTACCATGCAGTTTTGGTTACTGTAGCCTTGTAGTATAGTTTCAAGTCAGGTAGCGTGATGCCTCCAGCTTTGTTCTTTTTGCTTAGGATTGTCTTGTCTATACAGGCTCTTTTTTGGTTCAATAGTGGGTGAAGGATATGAACAGACACTTTTCAAAAGAAGACATTTTATGCACCAACAAACATGAAAAAAAGCTCATCATCACTGGTCATTAGAGAAATGCAAATCAAAACCACAATGAGATACCATCTCATGCCAGTTACAATGGCGATCATTAAAAAGTCAGGAAACAACAGATGCTGGAGCAGATGTGGAGAAATAGGAATGCTTTTACATTGTTGGTGGGAGTGTAAATTATTTCAACCATTGTGGAAGACAGTGTGACAATTCCTCAAGGATCTAGAACTAGAAATATCATTTGACCCAGCAATCCCATTACTGTGTATATACCCAAAAGATTATAAATTATTCTACTATAAAGACAGACACACACACATATGTTTATTGCAGCACTATTCACAAGAGCAAAGACTTGGAACCAACCCAAATGCCCATCAATGACAGACTGGATAAAGAAAATGTGGTACATATACACCATGGAATACTATGCAGCCATAAAAAAGGACGAGTTCGTGTCCTTTGCAGGAACATGGATGAAGCTAGAAAACAACATTCTCAGCAAACTAACACAGGAACAGAAAACCAAACACCACATGTTCTCACTCATAAGTGGGAATCGACCAATGAGAATATATGGATACAGGGAGGGGAACATCACACACCGGGGCCTGTCGGGTGGTGGGGGGTACTGGGAGGGATAACATTGGGAGTAATACCTAATGTAGATGACGAGTTGATGGGTGCAGCAAACCACAATGGCACATGTATACCTATGTAACAATCCTGCACATTCTGCACTTGTATCCCATAACTTAAAGTATAATTTAAAAAAATTAGTTAAAATAAACTTCCAGTGACTACTAGGACCATTATAGACCATTGAATACTCTGCTTCTACTTTAAATTATCTAAAAAATCCAGAAATAACCATATTAAGATATGAGCTAAAACTTTTTAAGTTTGAACATAAAGCACTGTATCTCTTTTTTTAAATAAATCTCCTAGTTGTGGAATGGGTGGAGCATGGAGGAAGGACTAAGAAGGCATGTATAATTACAGTCCAAACAACTGGGAGTAATATCATGTAACAGCTTCCTCAATTTCTATCACTTATGCTTCATTTATACTATTTTCTTTAAATCAACCACATATTTTTACTTAATACCATAAGTAGCAATAATATCTGTTAAGATGTGAATTTTGAAACTTAGTATGACTACTAAAATTTAAGAAATGTTCATCTGTATGCCACCTAATATCATCTCATGAAATCACAGTGATAAACATATCAAATCTAGGGGAATATTGGTCCACAAATCTTCTTGGTTGATAGGGATATACTGAAGATAGAATAAGAAGTTTTTGTGGGTATAACAGCCTGAATGGACTAAGACCTCTATGTTATATGGCATTGTTTTTTTTCCAAATGAAATCTTATGAGGATATATGTGTGTGTGTGTGTGTGTGTGTGTGTGTGTGTGTGTGTGTGTGTGCGTGTGCATGTGTGCATGTGTACTGAGCTATAATATATACATATATATTTCAGCACTCAGAGATTACTGACATATACTGATATATATATACATATATATACAGTATATCAGTATATATACGTGTGTGTGTATATATATATATATATGTAATAAGCATCCAAGAAAAACAGAGCTGCTTCAGTTGAAGCAGTGGGAGGCTGAGTGATGGTGCCAGAGTTTTTTTTACTTGCCACCCCTCTCACCACATGTATAATTTTACCACCAGGATTAATATCTGTTGATTTTACCCACCCAACACTTATTTTTATTTGTTCTTTTTTCTTTTGTCATGGAACCTCTTTTTTTCCTATTGGAAGTCACTCCTACCCCACTTCATGTGATCTCAGTTGTCCCCACCCCTAGCAGGGGTGGCCTGGGCCAACTAGAACATTTTATGTCTCTAGACACAATGGTGGTTTCTGGGACTGGTATATAAACCAAGTTGGTTCAATAAAACTCCATAGGTACAGAAAGTGTTTTTATCTTCCTCCCTGACTCAAATTTCTCTCTTCCTTTCTAAGGTTATCTGCCCATCTATGCTTTTGAGCACATTTTCACTCACCTTTTCCATCAATCAACACTCTCCTTCAATGGCTTTTTTTTTTCTGTTTCTGAAAATGTGTTCAATCTTTCCTCATTTCCTAGAAATGAGTTTCTTAAGACTTTACTCAAGAATGGTAACTTTCAATGTGGTTCCTAGAGTCACAGGGATGTAGCAGGAGTCACCATAAGAACCCTATTATTCAAAACTCAATAGGTTGCAAGTGACACCCTATTCAACCTAGCTTAAGTAAAAATCTAAAAATTGTAATTTTTAAGCCTATATCATTTAAAGACTAGGGATATATATACTTTTAGGAGGGGCAACATCCAACATCCAAGGGGCATAAACAGTATCATTGGATCATTGGGCCTCTCTCTCCTCTCTCGCTTTCTCCCCTTTCTCCTCCCTCCCCTCCCCCTTCTCTCCTCTACCCCTGCATTCATTTGTGCTGGCTTCTTTTTCAGGATATTCTTCTTCATGTGGCAGCCCCTGACAGATTCAAGCTAACACTATTACCATAACTAGCAATGCCAACAATCTATATAGAAAATGAGATTACTGAAGATACAGGGTAGAAAAGAAAAGATAATTCAATTTCCTACCATCTGTACCATTAACCAACCAAGAACATAAGCGAATAATAAACTTAAAAAGGAAGAGGGAACCCCTCTTCTACAACAGAAGAAAAGTAGAAGATGTCCTAAAACTTCATAAAAGCTTGTATCAGATGACCTCAAACTTCTATATGAAGTAAAGTATACAGTCACTTATTGAGATTAGGAGAAGCAAAGAGTGGAGGGTGGTTTGAGATAAGTGGAAGAATTTGTAATATCTCCAGTGAAAAATTTAATAGCAAATTGAGTAAATGTATTAATAGACAACAGTGAGAATGTAGTTGAGTCAAAAGAGGATGAATCTACTATGGTGAATTCTATCAGCAGAAGTAAAGGATTCTCCAGTAGTATTTACCATCCAAGGAATAGACAGTACAGAAAATAGATGACGGGGTTAACATAGGGCCGGAGTTTGTTAGTAGAAGCTGAATAAATGCACTTCATCTCACATCTTCTTCAACTTAATAAATGACACCATCATTCACCTAGATGCTTAAACATTTGAAAGTCATCCTCGATTTTGTTCTTTCTATCATCCTACCACCCACATCACATCTACCAGGAAATTCTAACAGCTTAATCTTCAAAATAAATAGTGAATTTTAACATTTATCACCTCCTCTACCAATAGCACTCTAGTCATAGCCACTATAACTTCATAGCTCGATTATCACAAGACTCATTCCTCTTTTGCCCTTCTAAACTGAATTGCCCATTAAACATCCAAATTATTTTTTAAATACTTAAATATGATCATATAACACTCATTGGCCCAAAACTCCAGTGGAATAAATGTCACCTTTGGAATAAAATCCAAATTCCTTATTATGGTCTACAAGAAACCATGTTGACCTGCTAAGGACTCTAGTAGCTTTTAATGATCTGAATGCCTAACATTTGTGCAAAAAAAGATCCAATAGGTAGTTATTTTAATATAGCTGAAGAATTAGTTTTATATTTTCATTTCTTTTTGGATATTTGGCAATATTTAAATGCAGCTTGACATCCTCAATTGAATTCATCAAATGAGGCTCCCTTACCCCTTTGCCTCAATCAAATTAGCTGTTATTCCTCTACCACTCAAAAACACTGCCAGGGATTCCTAATTATTTTGGAGTTATAATTCCCTTTTAAATTTGATTTATAATACTTTTTTCCTTCCCTAAGAAAATGTACTATATGTTATAGATACTTTTTATAGTTAAAATATATTTGATCTAAGAATCTGGCCAATGTCTCTAAATATGTAGAGTTACTCTGGGATGTCAAACAAGGCTTGAATATCACTATTGTTAACTTAAGGGGCATTTATAGGCCAGGTTCAAAATGCTTTGGAAGTAAAATTAATTGATGATTTGGTAGTGTAAAGACACAGATTTTCCACTTCAATCTTGAGCCAACCTACTGCCTTTATTACTACCTAAATAACTGAAGAAAGCAGAAATCACACCTGTTTCCAACTTAGCCACATAGTCATTCTATCCCAGACTATACTCATCCCCAAGAGTTTAATGTATGGAAAACTAGAACATAAATTCATACTATTTCCAAGGATTGTAGTAAAGAATAATATGCCACAGCACACATTAGACATTTATCTTTGTGAATCTGTCCATACTCAGACCTGCCTGATCATGCTATATAATTTTGGCTTTTGAAATACCTAAATTTTTGCCACACCTTTATTATGTGTCAAAAGTAAGCTAATATTCAGTCAGATATTAAGGCCTTGTGAATTGTTAGGGCCACTGCTCATTTTGATTGTCCAGCTGTATATTCTGAATTGTTGATTCTCATGCAGTGTTATGCACAAATATTTTTACTAGCACCATTTCCTAAATGACCAACGTACTAGAGTGGACAAAGTGTAAACATTAATATGCTAAATAGACATATAAGTCATAATCCAATAAAAGGTCAGATTCAAATAGAAAGAATATACTTGATTTTTTATCCAAATGATGATTTTTAAAGATTGTTTTATGATGTTCAAATGACTAAAAACAGTAGTAGTGGCAGCAGAAATAACTTACATTTATTGAGCACCAGTTATGTTTATTTACCTTTGATAGTTTGGCAATTTAGCCATGAGCTAAATGTTCTATATGACTTATTTCATTGATTTAATCTTCACTGAGAATACTATAAGGTAGACTTTTTTTTCTGTCACATAGATGAGAAAACTGAGGCTGAGATAAGTTACAAAATATAATTTGCCCAATGGTTCCACAATATTGTAACAAATATTTAAACCAATAGACCTTACTTTAAAAATCCATGCACTTAACTGGCATTCTATCCCATCACCTTCTATCACATTCTACTTCCATATTAAATATATTCTTTTAAATTAGCAAAATAAATTCCAAATCAGAGTTACTATAAATTGTAAATAATAATCTCAATAGGTAATTATATGTCATAATTTATGGTTGTATAGCATCTGATATAAGTGCAATTGGTTGATTTTATTTCATTAGTATGATTTAGTGTTATATCCCAAATGACTCAAGGAAATTTGCTCTAATAAATCTGAGTATAAGGGAAAATGGCATGCAAAACAATTAGAAATGCAATGCGAACTTTATTTAGTAAAAATCCAAATTATGAACAAGAGAAAAAGTTTTTGCTATTGAAGTTGTGTCAAAAAAACGATTATAATGAGAATTGAAATATTTGCACCAAGCATCAATAATTTGGCAATGTGTTTATTATAAGGAATGGCACACATGTAAAAACTTAGCTCTACACTTTACAAAAAAACAATATTTCACATCAAGAAAGATTAGATTTAGGAAAATATTTTAATAATTTTAACAATAGCTACCACATACCTAGCAATTATATGTCAGAAACTGTGCTAAATGCTTCATGATGCTACATATTTTTTCATTTAATCCCCATGCTAATCCCATGAAGTTGGATTATTATCCCGAATTTAGAAATAATGATTATTAACATTTAATGGGAATATGATGTAATATAATTTAAGTTTAACTTAACTTTCCATCAACTGTAGATGTTTTAGCAAGTGCCTCATTGTCCTATGGCTTTAATCTGTAAGACCCTCTCCTGTACCACAGTGTGATCTAGCACCACAACAAAAAAGACTACAAATGCCTTCTTGTTGCTTATTAGCTCTATTTTGGACTACTCACTGATCCATGTTACACTGGATTACTTGCACTGCCCCATAATTGATCATCCCAACCTAATTGCCTTGTAATTCACTGGCCTCCATTTGCACTTCAGAAAAGATGCATCAATAACTTCAACCCTTTGCGGCCGTGTTTGACTATGTTTTAAACTCTCGGGGGTCAATACTTTGTTGGATCCTGCATGGCTTTCAGACCATTGTATCTTGTATCTCCAATCAGGCACTTGAAAGTGACACCTCAATTTGAAAGTCTTTTCTTATTTATAGCTAAAACTTGCCTTCCTACAACATTTGCCTTTGGATTTTAGCCAGTTAAAAAATTGCTTTTAACAATAAAATGTAAATATTTGCAATTATGACCTTTACTCTGTTTCACATCCAAAGCAAAACAGTGCAAGAGAAACATTAGCATTAAAATGTAGGATGACTAACCAAGCACCAGGGCTCATTCCTGGCCCTCAGTGACTCCTGGGGAAGGGGTAAGTTGAACAGGCAAAGAGTGTCATGCTCTTGCCATGAACATCTGGAATCCTGGTAGCAGGAAACACCATGACCCCCAAGGACACTTGAGCTGGCAGGGATTGCTGCTTAAAGAGGTGGCAGGGGCAGGACTCCAGCCTGTGTGGAGCCCAGAGGGTTTGATGCTGCTATCACACCTATGAAGTGTTTTGGCCAGTGAGATTCATCAAAGTGTTGTGGCAAGCAGCCCAGGAACACCTTGGTCCCTCTAGTGCAGCAGGTTCCTAACCTTGAAGGGTCAGGGAAAAAAGCCAGGTGCCCCCTACCAGACCGCCAGTGTTACAGCATGCAGCCTAGGAGTGCTGAGCTGATCCTTGGTCCCCTAAAATCTTCCCGAAATAAAGTCAGTCAGTTGAACCCACATTAAACCACAATCAAACCCCCAAGGGCATCAAAGAAGGTAAAAACAAACAAACAAAAAAACCCTCAGCAACTTCAAACATTAAAGGAACATCAGCCCATGCAGATGAAAAAGAACCAGTGCAAGAACTCTAGCAATTCAAAAAGTGAGACTGTCTTCTGACCTCCAACCAACCACACTATATTGCCAGCAATTGTTCTTAAACAGACTGAAATGACAGAAATATAATTCCAAATATATATAGAAATGAAGATCATCAAGACTCAGGAGAAATTCAAAGCCCAATCCAAGGTATCTAAGGAATACAATAAACAGTACAGGAGCTGAAAGATGAAATAGCCATTTTAAGAAAGAACCAAACTAATCTTATAGAGCTGAAAAAACTTACTTCAAGCATTTCATAATGCAATTACAAATATTAACAGCAGAATCAACCAACATGAGGAAAGAATGTCAGAGCTTGAAGAGCAGTTCACCAAAATAACTTAGTCAGACAAAAATAAAGAAACAAGAAGAAAGAAGAATAAACAAAACTTCTAAGAAATATGGGATTATGTAAAGAGACCAAACCTATGAAGCACTGGCATCCCTAAAACAGAGGGAGAGAAAGCAAGCAACTTAGAAAACATATTTGAGGTTATTGTCCATGAAAATTTCCCCAACCTTGTTGGAGAGGCCAACATTCAAATTCAGGAAATGCAGAGAACCTGTGCACAATACTGTATAAGACAACCATACCCAAAACACATGGTAAACAGGTTTTTCAAGGTTGAAATAAAAGCAAAAATGTTAAAGGCAACTACAGAGAAGGACCAAGTCAACTACAAAGAGAACTCCATTAGGCTAACAGAGGAAATCTCAGCAGAAACCCTACAAGCCCAAAGGGATTAGGGTACTAAACTCGGCATTTTTAAAGAAAAGATATTTCAACCAAAAATATCATAACCATCCAAACTAAGCTTCATAAGCAAGGAGAAAGAAGAACCTTTTCAGACAAGCAAATACTAAGGGAATCTGTTACCACAAGACCTGTTTTAAAAGAGGTCATTAAGGGAATGCTAAATATGGAAAGAAAAGACTGTTAATGGCACCCACAAAAACACATTTAAGTACACAGACCATTGACACTATAAAGCAAATACACAATGAAGCCTGCACAATAATCAGCTAAAAACATAATGACTGGATCAAATATGCACATATCAATATTAACCTGTAACATCAGTGGGATAAATGCCTCAATTAGAAGGCACAGGGTGGCAAGATGGATAAAGAAGTACGAGCCAACTATATGCTGTCTTCAAGAGACTCATCTCACATACAATGACAAACATAGGCTCAAAGTAGAGGGATGGAGAAAAATCTACCAAGCAAATAGAAAACAGAAAAGCAGGGGTTGCTATCCTAATTTCAGACAAAACATTTTAAAGCAACAACGATGAAAAAAGACAAAGATGGGCATTATATAATGGTAAAGGGTTCAATTCAACAAAAAGATCTAACTATCCTAAATATATATGCACCCAACACAGGAGTGGCAAGACTCATAAAACAAGTTCTTAGAGACCTACAAAGAGACTTAGGTAACCACACAATAATAGTGGGAGACATCTATACCCCGCTGACAGTATCAAAAATATTATCAAGACAGAAAACTAAAAATGACTATTTGGGACCTGAACTGAACACTTGACCAAATAAATCTAACAGACATCTAGAGAACTCTCCACCCAATCGCAAAATAATATATATTCTTCTTATCTACAAATGCAAATACTCTAAATTTGACCACACAATCAGCCATAAAACAATTATCAGCAAATCCAAAAGTACCAAACTCATACCACACTCTCAGATCATAGTGCAATAAAAATAGAGATCAATACAAGAAGAGTGCTCAAATCCATACAGTTACATGGAAATTAAACAACCTGCTCCTGAATGACTTTTGGTTAAACAATGAAATTAAGGAAGACATCAAGAAATTCTTTGTAACTAATGAAAACAAAGATACAACATACCAGAATCTATGGGACAGGGTCAAAACAGTGTTAACAGGAATGTTTATAGTGCTAAATGCCACATCAAAAATTTGAAAGATCTCAAATTAACAACCTAACATTACATCTAGAGAAACTAGAAAAACAAAGGCAAATCAACCCCTAAGCTAGCAGAAGAAAATAAATATCCAAAATCAGAGTTGAACTGAATGAATTTGAGATATAAAAAAAAATACCATTCTGGACATAGGCCCTGGCAAAGACTTCATGACAGATACTAAAAGTTATTGCAACAAAAAAAAATTGACAAATGAAATGTAGTTAAACTAAAGAGCTTCTGCACAGCAAAAGAAACTATGACTAAACAGACAACCTACAGAATGGGAGAAAATATTTGCAAACTATGAATCTGATAAATGTCTAATATTCAAAATTTATAAGCAACTTAAAACAAAAAGCAAAAAAGAACCCCATTAAAAAGTGGGTAGAGGACATTAACAGACACATTTTGAAAGAAGACATACATATGGACAACAAGCATATGAAAAAATGCTCATCACTAACCATTAGAGAAATGTAAATCAAAACCATGGGATATCATATCACAGTAGTCAGAATGGCTATTATTAAAACGTCAAGAAATAACAGATGCTGGCAATATAAATTAGTTCAACCATTGTGGAAAGCAGTTTGGCAATTTTTAAAAGAACTTAAAACAGAACTACAATTTGATTCAGCAATCAAATTATTGGGTATGTACTCAAAGCAATATAAATTGTTTTACCATAAAGACACATGGGATTGCTGGCAAGATGGCCGAATAGGAACAGCTCTGGTCTGCAGCTCCCAGCGTGATTGATGCAGAAGGCTGGTGATTTCTGCATTTCCAACTGAGGTGCCCTGTTCATCTCATTGGGACTGGTTGAACAGTGGGTGCAGCCCACGGAGGGTGAGCCAAAGCAGGGTGGGGCATTTCCTCACATGGGAAGTGCAAGGGGTCAAGGAATTTTCTCCCCTAACCAAGGGAAGCTATGAGGGACTGAGCCTGAGGAGCCACGCACTCTGGCACAGACACTGCACTTTTCCCACGATATTCGCAACCCATAAACCAGGTGATTCTGTCTGGTGCCAACCCCACCACGGCCCTGGGTTTCAAGCACAAAACTGGACAGCTATTTGGGCAGACATGGAACTAGCTGCAGGAGTTTTCTTCCATACTGCAGTGACACCTGGAACACCAGCAAGACAGAACTGTACACTCCCCTGCAAAGGGGGCTGAAGCCAGGAACCCAAGTGGTCTGGCTCAGCGGGTCCCACCCCCATGGAGCCCAGCAAACTAGATCCACTGGCTTGAAATTCTCGCTGCCAGAACAGCAGCAGACTGAGATCAACCTGGGATATTGAACTTGGTGGGGGAAGGGCGTCTGCCATTACTGAGGCTTGAGTAGGAGGTTTTACCCTCAGTGTAAACAAAGCCACCTGGAAGTTCAAACTGGGTAGAGCCCACCAAAGCTTGGCATAGCCACTGTGGCCAGGCTGCCAGATTTCTCCTCTCTGGGCAGGGTATCTCTGAAAAAAAGGCAGCAGCCCCAGTCAGGGACTTATAGATAAAACCCGCATCCTCCTGGGACAGAGCACCTGGGGGAAGGGACAGCTGTGGGTGCAACTTCAGCAGACATAAACATCCCTGCCTGACAGATCTGAAGAGAGCAGTGGACCTCCCAGTAGAGAATTCGAGCTCTGCTAAGGGTCAGACTGCCTCCACAAGTGGGTCCCTGACCCCTGTGTATCCTGACTGGCAGACACCTCCCAGTAGAGGCCAACAGACAATTCATTCAGGAGAGCTCTGGCTGGCATCTAGCAGGTGTTCCTCCAGGAAGAATCTTCCAGAGGAAAGAGCAGGCAGCAATCTTTGCTGTTCTCCAGCCTCTGGTGGTGATACCCAGGCAAACAGGGTCTGGAGTGGACCTCCAGCAAATTCCAGCAGACCTGCAGCAGAGGGTCCTGACTGTTAGAAGGAAAACTGACAAACAGAAAGGAATAGCACGTCCACTCAGAGACTCCATCCAAAGGTCACCAATATCAAAGACCAAAGGTAGATAAATCCACAAAGATGGGGAGAAACCAGTGCAAAAAGACTGAAAATTCCAAAAAACATAATGCCTCTTCTCCAATGGATCACAACTCCTTGCCAGCAAGGGAACAAAACTGGACAGAGAACAAGTTTGACAAACTGACAGGAGTAGGCTTCAGAAGGTGGGTAATAACAAACTCCTCCAAGCTAAAGGAGCATGTTCTAACCCAATGCAAGGAAGCGAAGAACCTTGAAAAAAGGTTAGAGGAATTGCTAACCAGCATAACCAGTTTAGAGAAGAACATAAATGACCTGAAGGTGCTGAAAAACACAGCATGAGAACTTCATGAAGCATACCCAGGTATCAATAGCTGAACCAATCAAGTGGAAGAAAGGATATCAGAGATTGAAGATCAACTTAATGAAATAAAGCAAGAAAACAAGGTTAAAGAAAAAAAGAATAAAAAGGAACAAACAAAGCCACCCAGAAATATGGAACTATATGAAAAGACCAAATCTATGTTTCATTGATGTACCTAAAAGTGATGGGGAGAATGGAACCAAGTTGAAAAACACTCTTCAGGATATTATGCAGAAAAACTTCCCCAACCTAGCAAGACAGGCCTACATTCAAATTTAGGAAATACAGAGAACACCACAAAGATACTCCTGAGAAGAGCAACCCCAAGACACATAACTGTCAGATTCACCAAGGTTGAAATGAAGGAAAAAATGTTAAGGGGAGCCAGAGAGAAAGGTCATGATACCCACAAAAGGAAGCCAATCAGACTAACAGCAGATCTCTCTGGAAAAACCCTACAAGCCAGAAGAGAGTGGGGGGCAATATTCAACTTTCTTAAAGAAAAGAATTTTCAACACAGAATTGCATATCCAGCCAAATCAAGCTTTATAAGTGAAGGAGAAATAAAATCCTTTACAGACAAGCAAATGCTGAGAGATTTTGTCACCACCTGGGCTGCCTTACAAAAGCTCCTGAAGGAAGCACTAAATATGGAAAGGAAAAACCGGTACCAGCCACTGCAAAAACATATCAAATTGTAAAGTCCACCGATACTATAAAGAAACTGCATCAACTAAAGGGCAAAATAACCAGCTAGCAAAATAATGACAGGATTAAATTCACACATAACAATATTAACCTTAAATGTAAATGGGCCAAATGCCCCAATTAAAAGATACAGACTGTCAAACTGGATAAAGAGTCAAGACCCATCAGTGTGCTGCATTCAGGAGATGCATCTCACATGCAAAGACACACATAGGCTCAAAATAAAGGGATGGAGGAATAATTACCAAGCAAATGGAAAGCAAAAAAAAGCAGGTGTTGCAATCCTAATCTCTGATAAAACAGACTTTAAGCCAATAAAGATCAAAAGAGACAAAGAAGGGCATTACATAATGGTAAAGGGATCAATGCAACAAGAAGAGGTAACTATCCTAAATGTATACACACCCAATACAGGAGAACCCAGATTCATAAAGCAAGTTCTTAGAGACCTAAAAAGAGACTTAGACTCCCACATAATAATAGTGGGGAGTCTTTAACACCCCACTGTCAATATTAGACAAATCAATGATTCAGAAAATTAACAAGGATATTCAGGACTTGAACTCAGCTCTGGACCAAGCAGACCTAATAGATATCTACAGAAGTCTCCACCCCAAATCATTATACATTCTTCTCAGCACCTCGTCACACTTATCCATATCAAAAAATAATTGACCACATAATTGGAAGTAAAACACCCCTCAGCAAATGCAAAAGAATGGAAATCATAACAAACAGTCTCTCAGACCACAGTGCAATCAAACTAGAACTCTGGATTAAGAAACTCACTCAAAACCACACAACTACGTGGAAACTGAACAACCTGTTCCTAAATGACTACCAGGTAAATAACAAAATGAAGGCAGAAATAAAGATGTTCTTTGAAGCCAAAGAGAATGAAGGCACAATGTACCAGAATCTCTGGGAAACATTTAAAGCAGTGTGTAGAGGGAAATTTAGAGCAGTAAATGCTCACAAGAGAAAGCAGGAAAGATCGAAAATTGACATCCTAACATCAAAATTAAAAGAACTAGAGAAGCAAGAACAAACAAATGCAAAAGCTAGCAGGAGACTAGCAATAACTAAGATCAGAGCAGAACTGAAGGAGATAGAGACACAAAACACCCTTCAAAAAATCAAAGAATCCAGGAGGTGAGTTTTTGAAAGGATCAACAAAACAGACCGCTAGCCAGACTAATAAAGAAGAAATGAGAGAAGAATCAAATAGACACAATAAAAATGATATAGGGGATATCACCACCGATCACACAGAAATATAAATTACCATCTAAGAACACTATAAACACCTCTATGTAAATAAACTAGAAAATCTAGAAGACATGGATAAATTCCTGGATGCATACACCCTCCCAAGTCTACACCACAAAGAAGTAAAATCCTGAATAGACCAATGACAAATTCTGAAATTAAGGCAGTAACTAATAGCCTACCAGACAAAAAAAGTCCAGGACCAGACAGAGTCACAGCCAAATTATACCAGATGTACAAAGAGGAGATGGTACCATTCCTTCTGAAACTATTCCAAACAATAGAAAAAGAGGGAATCCTCCTGAACTCATTTTATGAGGCCAGCATCATCTGATATGAAAACCTGGCAGAGACACAACAAAAAAAGAAAATTTCAGGCCAATATCCCTGATGAAGATTGATGCAAAAATCCTCAATAAAATACTGGCAAACTGAATCCAGCACCACATCAAAAAGCTTATCCACCACGATCAACTCGGCTTCATCCGTGGGATACAAGGCTGGTTCAACATATGCAAATCAATAAACGTAATCCATCACATAAACAGAACCAATGACAAAAACCACATAATTATCTCAATACATTCAGAAAAGGCATTTGACAAATACAACAGCCTTTCATGCTAAAAACTCTCAATAAACTAGGGATGGATGGAACGTATCTCAAAATAATAAGAACTATTTATGACAAACGCAGAGCCAATATCATACTGAATGGGCAAAAACTGGAAGCATTCCCTTTGAAAACCAGCACAAGACAAGGATGCCCTCTCTCACCACTCCCATTCAACATAGTATTGGAAGTTCTGGCCAGGGCAATCAGGCAGGGGAAAGAAATAAAGGCTATTCAAATAGGAAGAGAGGAAGTCAAATTGTCTCTGTTTGCAGATGACATGATTGTATATTTAGAAAACCCCATCGTCTCAGCCCAAAATATCCTTAAGCTGATAAGCAACTTCAGCAAAGTCTCAGGATACAAAATCAATGTGCAAAAATCACAGGCATTCCTGTACACTAATAACAGACAGAGAGCCAAATCATGAGTGAACTCCCATTCACAATTGCTACTAGGAGAATAAAATACCTAGGAATACAACTTACAAGGGATATGAAGGACCTCTTCAAGGAGAACTACAAACCACTGCTCAAGAAAATAAGACAGGAAACAAACAAATGAAAAACATTTTGTGCTCACGCATAGGAAGAATCAATATCATGAAAATGGCCATACTTCCCAAAGTAATTTATAGATTCAATGTTATCCCCATCAAGCTACCACTGACTTTCTTTACAGAATTGGAAAAAAACTACTTTAAACTTCATATGGAACAAAAAAAGAGCCCATATAACCAAAACAATCATAAGCAAAAAGAACAAAGCTGGAGGCATCCTGACTACCTGACTTCAAACTATACTACAAGGCTACAGTAACCAAAACAGCATGGTACTGGTACCAAAACAGATATACAGACCAGGGGAACAGAACAGAGGCCTCAGAAATAACACCACACATCTACAACCATCTGATCTTTGACAAACCTGGCACAAATAAGCAATAGGGAAATGATTCCCTATTTAATAAATGGTGTTGGGAACACTGGCTAGCCATATGCAGACAACTGAAACTGGACCCCTTCCTTACACCTTATGTAAAAGTTAACTCAAGATGGAGTAAAGACTTGAATGTAAGACCCAAAACCATAAAAACCCTAGAAGAAAACCTGGGCAATACCATTCAGGACATAGGCATGGGCAAAGACTTCATGTCTAAAACACCAAAAGCAATGGCAGCAAAAGCCAAAATTGAGAAATGGGATCTAACTAAACTAAAGAGCTTCTGCACAGCAAAGAAACTATCATCGGAGTCAACAGGCAACACACAGAATGTGTGAAAACTTTTGCAATCTGTCCATTAACAAAGGGCTAATATCTAGAATCTACAAAGAACTTAAACAAATTTACAAGAGAAAAACAACCCCATCAAAAAGTGGGTGAAGGATATGAACAGACACTTCTCAAAGGAAGACACTTATGCAGCCAACAAACATATGAAAAATAGTCATCATCACTGTTCATTAGAGAAATGCAAATCAAAACCACAATGAGATACCATCTCACACCAGTTAGAATAGTGATCATTAAAAAGTCAGGAAACAACAGATGCTGGTGAGGATGTGGACAAATAGGAAAGCTTTTACACTGTTGGTGGGAGTGTAAATTATTTCAACCATTGTGGAAGACAGTGTGGTGATTCCTCAAGGATCTAGAACTAGAAATACCATTTGATTCAGCAATCCCATTACTGGGTATATACCCAAAGGATTATAAATCATGCTACTATAAAGACACACACACACATATGTTCATTGTGGCACTATTTGCAATAGCAAAGACTTGGAACCAACCCAAATGTCCATCAATGATAGACTGGATTAAGAAAATGTGGCACATATACAGCATGGAATACTATGCAGCCATAAAAAAGGATAAGTTCATGTCCTTTGCAGGGACATGAATGAAGCTGGAAACCATCATTCTCAGCAAACTAACACAAGAACAGAAAACCAAACACTACATGTTCTCACTCATAAGTGGGTGTTGAACAATGAGAACACATGGACACAGGGAGGGGAACATCACACACCTGGACCTGTTGGAGTGTGGGGAGCTAGGGGAGGGATAGCATTAGGAGAAATACCTAATGTAGGTGATGGGTTGATGGGTGCAGCAAACCACCATGGCACATGTATACCTATGTAACAAAACTGCATATTCTGCACATTTCCCCCAGAATTTAAAGTATAATAATAAAAAAATACAGTATAAAAGATTTTTAAAAAGACACAGGCATCCATACGTTCGTTGCAGAACTACGCACAATAGCCAAGACATGAAATTAACCTATATGCCCATCAATAGTAGTCTGGATAAAGAAAACATGATACATGCCCACCATTAAATACTATGCAGCCATAAAGAAGAAGATTATGTCCTTTGCAGCAACATGGATGGAGCGGGAGGCTATTATCCTAAGCAAACTAACACAGGAATGGAAAAACCAAATACTGCATGTTGTGACTCATAAGTGGGAGCTAAAGATTATGACCACAAAGAAGGGAACAACAGACTCCAGGACCTACTTGATGGTAGAGAGTGGGAAGAGAGTGAGGACTGAAAAACTACCTATCACGTACTATGCTTTTTACCTGGGTGACAAAATAAACTGTAAATGAATCCATCATGACATGTAACATATGTCCCCCTAACATCCAACCTGATTATATTATTTTACTTCAACTATGTTATTGACCTTAGGCCTACAAATCTAAAATAAAAGTTTTATATAAAAATTTAGGGTGACCAATTTGTCCTGGCTTTTCTAGATACTGTCTTGGTTTTGAACCTGGAAGTTCCCCTCCTCATAAACTTTCTAAGTCCTGGAAAACCTGGGATTGTGATATTCTAGGTTATATTTAGCAATCTAACATTCCTGAGTTCTACAATAGCTTTCAAAAACCATCATTTGATGAGCACAGTCTAAATCTCAAACACACACAACACACAATTTCTGAAATGTACATAAAGTGCTAAGTCATGACTCTACTAAGCTGAGAGCTCTAAATACTACAATCTAAGCATTACATGCCTTCCCCACTCCCCCAGATATGCAGAAGAGGTTGAAATATCAAGAGGGTTTTACTGGAGAGCTATTTAATTTATTATTAATAGCTAGAAAGGGAACCCCTCTGGAAATCTGGGTGACGGGCTTTAAACTTGTGACACTGGTTAAATTTACAATCCTTCCTAGGTTTTTTATTACTAAAACTAATAGAATACTTAGGCTGAGGCTCTTATATCTAAATTACCTGTTCTAGTATTCTAAACTTTATGTTTAATTATTTACTCAGGATATTGAGAGGTGCAATAGAGAATGTCACTAATGTATGAAGTATATTTCAAAACTGTTTAACACTTGTAGGATAGATATAATTGAGTGGTTAGCACAAGGACGTATTTTCTTTGGACCATAGAGTGTATTTTTAAAAACCTCAAATTGGTTGCCAATCTTTGAAACCCAAGAGACATTCAGAATAATCTGAACACAGGAAATGCTCCATAAACATGCGTGTCACAGAGTAAAAGTTTTCAATTAATGTTTGTTAAAATAACTGAATGCTAGAGAACAGCTTCCAGTGTCCTGAGTTATATAATCTCTCTGAATTGTAGAACAGGTGCAGTTACTTCAATGGACATGCCATTAGGAAGCTGCACATATAAGCTTTGCCTACTGCTTTGAAAATAAAGACACGTTGCCAATTAGCTTATATTACATTTAAGCTTTTGCCACTTGGAAAAGGTCCACTATAGCCTTGGGCTTTGTCTACATGCTGCCAAGCATCTGGATAAACAGTGACAGCCTCAGTTAATCATTTGGTAATAATAAACCCTTCCATTTTGATAGTTCTAGGTTTTTAAAGCACCGCTACATTTACAGTCTCATTTGAGTCTCACAGCAATTGGCTATCATTTAAAATAGCTTAGTGATTAAGACTCAGGTTATAGAGTCAAATGGATCTGGGCTCAAATCATTATTTTTATATTTGCTAGTTGCATGACTTTTGGCAAGCTATTTAACCTCTCTCTCTGAGCCTTAATGAGTTTGACTTAAACTTGAGGATAATAATACCTGTCTCATGAGACTGTTGTGATGATTCAGTGATTATGCAGGTCAAGCACTGAGAACAGAGCCTGGAACATAGTAAAGGCTCAATAACTTTTAGCTGCCATTATCATAATTATAATTAATTTTATTAATATTAATTTAGATACTATACATCTCATAGTCAAATATTCACAATTTTACTGTGTAGGCAAGCCACAGTAAGCTGCGGGGCAAGGGGAGATTTATTATATTGCTTGTCTAAACTACAAAGGGGCATATTTCAGAAGGTTGAAAGCTACAAATATCTCACAGTCCTAAAACTGACAGCTCTAGGCTAAGGACAAGAATTAAAGAGACTGGTGGCAGCAATGGCTTACAAGAGAGGATCCTTAGTACTACAAAAGATAAAACTCAGGAAAGTGTGTAAGCATCCTGCTCCCTCTATTTAACCTTTGGATATCTTTCAGAGAACATTGCTCTAGCATAATAAATAATTATTGTTGAACACCTACCCTGATAGGCAATGGAATTATTATTCCTATTTAACCTATGAGGAAACTGAGGCTAATAAAAATCAAATAAATTGCACAGGTCACACTGATAAAAATAGGTAGAGTTAGGCCTTACATATAGGTCTCCAAAACCCATATTTTTATCCACCATATGATGTGGTCTTTCCTCATACCTCAGGATATCATCAATCACACACTTGTAATGGAGTCAGCCAGGCTGGCTTCCAGTAAGCATGCCCTTTCTACTTGTCAACCCTCTTATGAAGGAGAATTGGCAAGCCACATGTAGAAGAATGAAACTGGATCATCATCTCTCACCTGTTCGAAATAAGGTCGGAAGAGGGAGAGGATCAGAACAAATAACTATTGGGACTATAGGCTTAGTACCTGGGTACTATAGGCTTAGTACTATAGGCTTAGTACCTGGGTGCCAAAATAATCTGTACAACAAACCCCTGTGACATGAGTTTACCTATATAACAAACCTGCACATCTACCCCGAACCTAAAATAAAGGTTTTTGTTTGTTTGTTTGTTTGTTTTTTTAATGAGCTGAAGGGAAGGAGAAAATTATAGACTATTTTCTCAAAGGGTTTAGTAGCAGAGGGAAGGACAATGGATAGTCTGATAAGTGAGGAAGATTCAGGGCTGAGGGAAGATTTTTGTTTTGTTTTTATTTTGAAGGCATATGGGCTTTGGTTAATTGTAGGCAGAGAACAAAGACCCAATGAATAGGAAGTAATTGGAGATATAGGAGAGAAAAAGAATAACTAATAGAGCACAGATTTTTTCTGTGGAAGATAATGAACATAAGTGGCTGGCTTCATCATAAGGGGGGAACATCAAAATATTTTAACTCATTTTGCATTCAGTCACATAGAATCTTTCTTCATCACAAAACTATTCAGCAATGGCTATCACTAGAGCAAACCCTAATCTAGGATCTCATTGCTTTATATCTGAGAGACTGTGATGGCCTTGTAATTACGTTCCTTCTCTACAATCTTGTCCAATCAAAATTGTCCCTGCGTGTTGGCTAGTGGAGCTCTCTTCCAAAATCTTTTCTAGAAACAATCCCATATATGGCCCCTTCTTTCTGATCTCTGATTTTAGCTTGGCATCTTAACTTTTCAGTATGGATAAGGATTTGGGTTGTTACTACTCCCTTTAAGTCTAGATTCCTTTGCAGTTTCCATTATCAGAAGACACCATGTAACTCTTAATTCTGTTGTGACTTTGGCATTTGACACACTGAAATTTGTTGCTGTAGCTGATTTTAAATGATGATGATGACACCTCTTGTTTTCTAACTAGATGGCAAGGATTGCTGCCAAGGAGACTTTCTCTAAACAACTATTTATTTCAAAAAAAGATCATTAAGTGTGTAACTCTGTATGCCTGTGTGTTCGTGTATGTGTACATGTGTGTGTGTTATACCACAGACATAATTTATATTTGGTATATTTATTCTCATATGTGGGCTAATTGATAGCTAACAGGGTCCTTGTGTTTTTCAGTCTGTTGTTTTTGCTCTCAGCAAAAATTTACTCAGTTGATGAGGATATTTTGACAACTTGGCCTGTGTGTCCAGGAACTGCAATTTGGTATGAATTTTCTGGCTGAAATGACCTAATTTTAACATATAAAATATTCCAAATTTATAAGGAAATGATGTAGGTAGCCTGATGCAAGGAATAACAAATATTAAGACTTTATACAGTTCCTAATATATAAAATCACAGGGTGGAAACATCATGATTATAGCTTCCTTATTTCATTTGCAAATATTACAAATGTTGTTTACTAAAACTGCATTCTAACAAAAGTTACAAAGAATTATAGTTTCCAGCTTGAACACACAGTTCAATTTAATTCTTAGGAATGTTTCAGTCAACATTTACAATATATTTGTACCTTAAAAAATTCACATACTTTCTCAAATGTCTTTGTTTCTTGATGCTTCCAAATATACTATACCCAAATAATTAATTTTCAGCACAGTGAAAGTGTATTGTTATTGTTTTTCTTTTGTGTTCAGTAGCCCAATAATGGCCTTTATATAATTTAGTGTGATTCCTATCTCCTCATTTATTTCTCAGCTGATTTAATTTTTAAGATTCTGATCACATAAATAAAGGCATACAGAATTTTATGGATAACTCATGAAAACCAATCTCTCTCTCTCTCTCTTTCCCTCTCTCTATCTCTCCCTCCCTCCCTCTATCCCCCCATGTGTGTATATATACAGATAGATAGATCGATAGATGGATAGATAGATAACACTTATCATTTGCATAGGTGTTTTGTGAACTTTAATATTTAAAAACCTGGAACTCAACTAACACAAGTGCTGAGCTGTAATTGTTTATTAAAGATGCCTTTACCAAACAAGAAGCAAAATACCACTCTGCACTTGCTGACAGAGAAAACAAAACAATCTGCATTCTCCAAAAGTGTTGTGATTTAGCAACTTTCCTCTGCAGAATTGAGGCTGGCTTTATAGGATTCATTATGTTGACCATTTTTTGAGTCTGTTGCCAAGCAATTGAATAGTTGATTTGATCTGGTTTTCTTAATGGCCAAAAGAACCAGATGGCTTGATTGGAATGATTACTGAAACAACCAATTCAACCAGGAAAACAGTTGGATTAATGATGATGTGTTAACAACATCCAACTTCACAAAGAGATAGCTAATGTAGAAACTTCAAAGCCTGATTTATCAGATTTAACTAGCATTGTGAGTCTTGATGGCCAGCTCAGAATTAGTATTGCAGTGGACAACTTTAATTGGGGGTATTTTTAAGTTTTTCATAATGCAAATCGGCATTCTAAAGGGTAGGATATTAAAGGAGCCAGAAAGAGAAACAACAAATTATTAGTCTATTGAGAAGCTTTGAAAGCATGCCAAGCTAAAATGATGATGGGCCATGATATGAGAATCTATAATGAATTTATAGCACAAACATTGTGACTCATAAGATTCTCACATCAGAGCAATTTAAAAAAGGTATCCTTGCAGATTGATACCTGTGATATTTGTTCTTTTATATCCTAAAGTGCGATTTTACAAAGTATTAGGAAACTTTATAAAAATGAAAAACATTAACAGCTACAAAAGAAAAGGCAATATTACAAAGCAAAAAATTTGTATGTATTAAGGCTTAAGTATTCATCTAGTTCTATGACTTTTGGCTCAATTATTACTGTCATGGTAATGTCTGGACATAGATTGTGAAATCAAGGGTTAGGGTTGGAGCAAATATTAAGATGTCTCTTGTTACAGTATCTCTTAATGAGAAAAATGTTGGGGCTCATGATATCCTCAAACTTTACGAGAATCAAATTTCTCTAAAACTTCCTCTCCTTTTACATTTCCTTTTTCCCCTATAATAGTGAATGTTTGATAGTTTCATTACATTCACTGAGGATTTCCCTTCCTTGTCCATATAAGAAGTGTTACCATCCAAAGACAGCATATTCCAGATGTTTTCCTGGGTTTGAAACAGGACTGCATCTCTTGTCTCTTTATCTGAGAAGAGGAGCAACCCTGTTTTAGGAGCCTTTTACCAAGACTGCAGGGGGTAGTTTGTCAGATTCCTGTTCTTGGAATGTGAGGCCTAGACAAAAAAATATAAATTTGAAGCAGATTTCTTCAGAGATATTATCTCAAGGAATGAATTTATCCATTAATTCCACAAATACATATCTATTAAATGCTAGGCATTGTGCTAAGTGCAGTGTATACAGTAGTTAACACTATAGACATGCTCACTGACAGATATTAATAGATTACTCTTAAAATATATTTGTAATTTTACATGAGCTATTTCAGAAAGGGTCAGGGTGTTATGAATGAATAATGAAGAGTTGTAGAATGTTTAAATTGGTAACCAGGAAAAGTATCTGAGAGGGTGACATTTAAGCTAAGACCCAAAGGATGAGTAGATGTTAACCAGGTAATAAGTGGTAGGGCGAGATATGTCCCAGGCAGTATGTAAAAAGGCTTGGAATACAGAGGCTCATGTAGCTCAAGGGCAGAGAGACCAGGGAGAATAGCTCAAGATAAACCTGGAGAGGCAGGCAGAGGCCAGGGATGCTGTAACAAAGTGCAACAAACTGAATGGCTTAAGCAATATAAATCAACGATCTCATAGTTCTGGAGGCTAAAAAAATTAAAATCAAGGTATCAACAGAGTTTGTTCCTTTGGAGGGCGGTGAGGGAAGGCTCTCTTCTAGGCCTGTCTCCTTATATTCTACCTGTCTTTTCACATTGTCTTTCTTCTTTCCGTGTGTTTCTGTGTCTACATTTCTTTTTTTTTTAATAAGGATATCAGTCATATTGCATCAGTGCCTATCCCAACGACCTCACTTTAACTTGATTACCTCCATAAAATCCCTATGTCCAAATAAGGTTACATTCTGAGGTAGTGGGACTTAACACTTCAATATATGGATTTTGAGAGGAACACAATTCAACTCAACACAGAGCTTTGACAGACATGCTACGCATTTTTTATCCTTTCCTGGGTGCCTAGGGCTGTCATAGACAGATTTTATTTTTATAAATGATTGCTCTGCTGTGTGGAGAATCTATTGTAGGGATTTTTATCAGTTTCCAATTGATGCTATGACAAATTAACATAAATTTAATGGCTTAAAAACCACCTAGTTATCTTATAGTCCTAGAATTCAGAAGTCTATAATATCTAGTTTCAATGGGCTAAAATCAAGGCAGAAGTCTTCATTCTAGATACTCTAAGAGAGAATGCATTTCTTTGTCTTTTCCAGCTTCTAGACACCACCTACATTTCTTTATTCATGGCTCCTTCCCCCATTTTCAAAGCCAGCAGTAGGGCATCTTCTCTCCTCTCTGACCTCAGCTCCAGTCATTACATCCTCACTTTCTGATTCTCGTCCTCCAGTCTACCTCTCATATGGACCCTTGTGATTACATTGGAGCAAATTGAATGGTCCAAGAGAAATCTCCCCATCTCAAGATTTTTAATTTAATCACACCTGTAAAATCCTTGTTACCATGCAAGGTGACATACACACGGATTCCTGAACATCCTGGTATGTGTACGGAGGGGCATTATTCTGTCTACCGCAGTAGTCAAGAATGAAAGTAAAAAGCCAGTTACAAAGGTATTGCGATAATCTAAGTGTGAGATGATGGTAACTTAGATTGGGTAGCAATGGAAATGGAAATAAGTAGTCAGATTGGAGAATTAATTAGGAGAAACTGAACAGGACTTGCATATATATATATATATATATATATATATATATATATATATATATATACTGAACTATAACTGATTTATAATATGTCTCCTGATTATTGTGAATATCATATCTATAGCATGGACTAGGAAATTAAAATATTACATTTTGAACATGGTCCTGTATATTTATAAAAGTAGACATTTTTGCATCCAAAAAGTTTTGCTTCTTTGTTTATTTTGGCATAGGTAGAAATTTTATTTTTAACTTTCTGGAAGAGTTGTATGAAATAGTTTGCTCAGATTTTGAAACCTTATGAATAAATCATTTGAAATTGTCTACTAAATTTGCTATTTATCTCATTAAGTTTGAATATGAGAGAGAAAAATGCTAACAAATTAGAAAATAAAGTCAATTAGAAAATAAAAACTGGTTGTGTTCAAAGTGCATCATGTGTGGGTGACAGTTGAAACACTAAAAAAGTAATTTTCATGAGCAGACGACTGAACTTTGAACATGTTTTAAATGGCATTACAAGAAACGAAACTGGATTTTAGTTGGAGGTCTCCAGAAATTACAATGGAGAAGACTGACAGAGATAGACCTGTTGAGAAGTTCTCTTGACTGATTCTTATGGCCAAAAGCTCTAGAGGAATATTTAGGAGTGTGGAAAAGGAAAACAGAAAGTTATATGGGCATTCTTAGGCTAGACCATTACCACATTACAGATGTACCCTGAGGAAAATACAATACGTTAAAAACTTATTCATCTTATGAGGTTTGACACATCTCGAGAACATATCTGAGGATCACATTAAATTAAAAATCCCTTTAGAGGAAAGTGACATTAGCAAGATGGTGGAATAGGAAATTCTATCACTCATCCCCTGACAAAAACATCAATTTGAACAACCATCCAAGCATAAAAATCCATTACAAGATACCCTCAATAAATGTAAGAAATTTATGTGAGAGAATACAGCAGATGGGTGGAACACAGAAATAAGAAAAGATACATTGAAGAGGGTAGGAAGGATAGTTTTACATTACCTATGTCATTCATTGCCTAAGCTTGAGCAATGCTGTGCAGGGAGAGTTACCCTTCATGTAGGAGAAGAGTGAGGTGAGCACCTGACTTTGCTATAGTGAGCCCCCAGAGCTTCAGGCTCCAATACTTCCTCAGTGCCAGGCTGGCCCTCATAGCACCAGGCTTCAGGCCCACAGTGGCAGGCTAGCCTCATGGCCACAGGCTCCAGGCTGGCAGGCCCAAGTTCCAGGACTGCCACAGTACCAGGTTTGTTCCCATGAACCCAGGCTTCAGGCTGGTCTCCATGGACCCAGGACTCAGGCCTTCCCCTATAGACTCAGACTCTAGGCCTGCTACAGCACCAGGCCAGACCTGTGGACCCAAGTTTTAGGCCTCCTCTCTGGAATCTGGTGCCCGGCCCATTTCAGTGGACCCTGGCACCAGGATGTACCCTATGGACTTATGATCAGGACTATCCCTGTGGACCCAACCATTAGGACAACTTCAGTGAGCCTTACTGTCAGGCTGGCCACCATGAACCCAAGATCTAGACCTGCTCCAGTGGACACAGGCTCCAGGTCCACCCCTGTGGATGCAGGCACCAGACCTGGCCACCTGCTAACCAGGGAACTAGGTCAGCTAGCCTTAGGACACCAGCAGCAAGCTTGCCCATGGACCACACCAGTTGGCCTACCCAGAATCTTTGGATAGGCTGACTTTAAAGGGCTTTATGTGTTAAGCCAGTCTGTAAAGACTGTAAGAGGTGCCTACTCTTTCAAATGTGCAGACACCAACCAACACAAGACCCCAAGAATTACAAATAATGAGGGAAACATGACATTATCAAAGGAACAAAATAATGCATCAGTCACAGATTCGAATGAAATGGAGATCTACAACCTACTTGACAAAGAATTCAAAATAATCATCTTAAATAGCTCAGTGAGCCACAAGAGAGCACAGATAGCCAACCAGACTAAATCAGAAAATGAACATATGAGCAAAATAAAAAAGTTCAACAGGGATATAGAAAATATTAAAAAAGCCAAACAGAAATTCTGAAACTGAAGAACAAAATGACTGCACTGAAGAATGTCATACAGACATTCAGCAACAGACTTGATGAAGCAAAAGAAAGAATCAGCAACCTTGAAGACAGGTTATTTGAAATTACTTAGTGAGGAACAAAACAGAAAAAAAATAATTAAAAATAATGACAAAAGCCTATGAGACTTATAGAATATCATCAAGTGAATCAATGTAAACATTATGGAAATCCAAGAAGGAGAAGATAAAGAGAAAAAAAAGGGACAAAAAAAGTAAAGAGATAATGAAAAAAAAAAAACTTTCAAAATATGGAGAAGAAAATGAACACCCAGATCCATGAAGCCTAAAGACTCCAAACAGATTAAACATAAAGATCTCATCACTGATACACAATATAATCAAATTCTCAAAATTCAGTGATTAAAAAGAGAATTTTGAAAGCAGCTAAAGAAAAAAAAAGTGACTCGTCTCATCACATATATAGAAACTCTCATAAAACAATCAGCTGATTTCTCAGAACAAACCTTGCAGGCCAGGAGAGAGTGGAATGACATATTCAAAGTGCTGAAATGAAAATACTGGGTGGGTGTAGAAAGATGGCAGAGTAGAAGGCTCCACTGGTCATACCCCCACCCTTCACAAAAAACTATTTTCACACACACACACACACACACCACCTTCATAAGAACCAAAAGTCAAGTCAGCACTCACAGTACCTGGATTTAACTTCATATTGCTGAAAGAGGCACTAAAGCGGTAAGCATCTGGAATGACAGGTAGTGCGGGTGCCGTGTGGAGAGCATTTTTGTGCCCTGGGAAGAAAGGAAAACAGCAACTGTGAGACATTAAACTCAGTGCTGACCTTGTTATAGCAGAAAGCAAAACTAGACCAAACTCAGCTGATGCCTGCCCATGCAGGGAGCATTTAAACTAGCTCTAGCCAGAGGGGAATCATTGATCTCAGCAGACAACTTGAGTTCCTACAAGCCTTGCCACCTCAGGCTAAAGTGTTCTGGGGCACCAAATAAACTTGAAAGGCAGTTTAGGCCACAAAGACTGCAACACTTAGGTGAGTCCTAGAGCTGAATTAGGCCCAGAGACAGTGAACTGGAGGGGCACATGACCTACTGAGACACCAGCAGAAGTGGCAAAGGGAGTGCTGGCATCACCCTTCCCCTAACCTACTTAAGGAAAGCAGATGGAAAAGTGGAGAAGACTTTGTCTTGCATCTTGGATACCAGCTCAGCGAGAGCAGGATAGGGCACTGGTCACGGTTGTGAGGCCCCCTTTCCAGGCCCTAGCTCCTGGACATTTCTAGAAACATACTGGACCAGAAGAGAACATGTGGCCGTGAGGGTAAGAACTCAGTCTTGGCAGGATGCGTCACCTATTAACTGAAGAACCCTTGGGCCTTAAGTAACCAGCAGTAATACCACAGTACTACACTGGGCCTTGGGTGAGACTCAGACTTGCTGGCTTCTAGTGATTCTCAGCACATTCCCAGTTGTGGTGATGATGAAGCAAGACTCCTGCTTGAGAAAGTGGATGGAAAAGTAAAGGCGACTATTTCCTGCACCTCAGGTATGAGTTCAGCCACAGGAGTTAGTGCACCAAACAGGCTCTTGGGGTCCCCAATTCCAGGAGTTGGCCCTTGGATAACATTTCTTGACTTGCCCTGTGCGAGAGGAGGGCCCATTCTCCTGGAGGGTGAATCGCAGGTGAGGCAGTATTCACCACAACCTGACTGAATAACCCTTGGGCCTTGAGGGAACATCAGTGGAAGTCTGGCAATATTCTCTGTGGACATGACTTGGCAGTGGTCATTGAGTGAAACTCTTCTGTCTTTGGAAAGCAGAGACAAAAGTGAGAAGGACTATGTCTTGTGGTTTGAGTGCCAGCTCAGCCAAATTAAATTTCTCTGCATACAAAGACTTTCCTCCTCTCATACATTCTGTTATTGAGGTAACAGTTTACATCTCTTATATTGTGTGTCCATTAATAAATTGTTGTGGCTATAGTTATTTTTAGTAATTATTTTTAGTAATTTGACATTTATAGTAGAGCCAAAAGTGTTTTGTGTACCACCATTACTTTATTAATGTATTCTGAATTTTTTTGTCAGCACATAGTAGTTATATATATTTATGGGCTATATGAGATATTTTGATACAGGCATGCCGTGTAACATAATCACATCATGGAAAATGGGGTGTCCATATCCTCAAGCGTTTGTCTTTGTGTTATAAACAATCCAATTACACTCTTTTAGTTCTTGTAAAATGTACATTAAATTACTATTGACTACAGTCATGCTCTTTTGTACTATAATATGCTAAGACTTATTCATTTTCTCTAATTGTTTTTGTATCCAGGAACCTACCCAAATCCCCATAAGCCCCACACCACCCTTCTCAGCCTCTATTCACCATACTTCTACAGTCCATCTCTGTGGGTTCAATTATTTTGATTTCTAGATCCCACAAATAAGAGCCAGTATGTAATTTGTCTTTCTGTGTTGACTTAACCAAAGATGTTAAAAATCTTTATAATAAAAAAGTATACAATACTGATGAAATAAATTGAAGAGAACACCAAAAAAAAAATGGGAAGATAATCCATGTTCACGGATTGGAAGAACCAATAGTGTTAAATGTCCACACTACCCAAAGCAACCCACCCATTCAAGGCAATGCCTATCAAAATACCATTGACACTCCACAAAATTTGAAAAAAGTATCCTAAAATTTATATAAAACCTCAAAAGATCCAGAACAGCCAAAAATATCCTAAGCAAAAAGTACAAAACTTAAAAAATCATATTATCTGACTTCAAATTATACTACAGAGCTACAGTAACCAAAACAGTATGGTACTGGCATAAAGACAGGCACATAGACCAATGGAACAAAATAGAGAACCCAGAAACAAATCCATACATCTACGGTGAACTTATTTTCTTATTATTATTATTATTATTATTAATTATACTTTAAGTTCTAGGGTACATGTGCACAATGTGCAGGTTTGTTACATATGTACACATGTGCCATGTTGGCATGCTGCACCCATTAACTCGTCATTTACATTAGGTATATCTCCTAATGCTATCCCTCCTCCCTCCCCCCACCCCACGACAGGCCCCGGTGTGTAATGTTCCACACCCTGTGTCCAAGTGTTCTCATTGTGCAATTCCCACCTACGAGTGAGAACATGCAGTGTTTGATTTTCTGTCCTTGTGATAGTTTGCTCAGAATGATGGTTTCCAGCTTCATCCATGTCCCTACAAAGGACATGAACTTATCCTTTTTCATGGCTGCATGGTATTCCATGGTGTATATGTGCTGCATTTTTCTTAATCCAGTTTATCATTGATGGACATTTGGGTTGGTTCCAAGTCTTTACTATTGTGAATAGTGCTGCAATAAACATATGTGTGCATGTGTCTTTATAGCAGCATGATTTATAATCTTTTGGGTGTATTCCCAGTAATGGGATGGCTGGATCAAATGGTATTTCTAGTTCTAGATCCTTGAGGAATCACCACACTGTCTTCCACAATGGTTGAACTAGTTTACACTCCCACCAACAGTGTAAAAGTGTTCCTATTTCTCCACATCCTCTCCAGCACCTGTTGTTTCCTGACTTTTTAATGATCGCCATTCTAAATGGTGTGAGATGATATCTCATTGTGGTTTTGATTTGCATTTCTCTGATGGCCAGTGATGATGAGCATTTTTTCATGTGTCTGTTGGCTGCATAAATGTCTTCTTTTGAGAAGTGTCTGTTCATATCCTTTGCCCACTTCTTGATGGGGTTGTTTGTTTTTTTCTTGTAAATTTATTTAAGTTTTTGTAGATTCTGGATATTAGCCCTCTGACAGATGGCTAGATTGCAAAAAATTTTCTCCCATTCTGTAGGTTGCCTGTTCACTCTGAGGATACTTTATTTTGCTGTGCAGAAGCTCTTCAGTTTAATTACATCCCATTTGTCAATTTTGGCTTTTGCTGCCATTGCTTTTGGTGTTTTACATATGAAGTCTTTGCCCATGCCTATGTCCTGAATGGTATTGCCCAGGTTTTCTTCCAGGATTTTTTATGGTCCTAGGTCTCACATTTAAGTCTTTGATCCATCTTGAGTTGATTTTTGTATAAAGTGTAAGGAAGGGGTCCAGTTTCAGTTTTCTGCATGTAGCTAGCCAATTTTCCCAACAACATTTATTAAATAGGGATTCTTTTCCCCATTGCTTGTTTGTGAAAGGTTTGTCAAATATCAGATGGTTGTAGATGCGTGGTGTTATTTCTGAGGCCTCTGTTCTATTCCATTGGTCTATATATCTGTTTTGTTATCAGTACCATGCTCTTTTGGTTACTGTAGCCTTATAGTATAGTTTGAAGTCAGGTAGCGTGATGCCTCCAGCTTGGTTCTTCTTGCCCAGGATTGTCTTGGCTATGCAAGCTCTTTTTGGAAGTTTAAAGTAGTGTTTTCCAATTCTGTGAAGAAAGTCAGTGGTAGCTTGATGGGGATAGCATTGAATTTATAAATTACTTTGGTCAGTATGGCCATTTTCACGATATTGATTCTTCCTATCTGTGAAGATGAAATGTTTTTCCATTTGTTTGTGTCCTCTCTTATTTTCTTGAGCAGTGGTTTGTAGTTCTCCTTGAAGAGGTCCTTCATATCCCTTGTAAGTTGTATTTCTAGATATTTTATTCTCCTAGTAGCAATTGTGAATGGGAGTTCACTCATGATTTGGCTCTCTATTTGTCTGTTATTGGTGTATAGGAATGCTTGTGATTTTTGCACATTGATTTTGTGTCCTGAGACTGCTGATGTTGCTTATCAGCTTAAGGAAATTTTGAGCTGAGACAATGGGGTTTTATAAATATACAATTATATCATCTGCAAACAGAGACAATTTGACTTCCTCGCTTTCTATTTGAATAGATTTTATTTCTTTCTCTTGCCTGATTGCCCTGGCCAGAACTTCCAATACTATGTTGAATGGGAGTGGTGAGAGAGGGCATCCTTGTCTTGTGCCGGTTTTCAAAGGGAATGCTTCCAGTTTTGCCCATTCAGTATGATATTGGCTGCGGGTTTGTCATAAATAGCTCTTATTTATTTTGAGATATGTTCCATCAATACCTAGTTCATTGAGAGTTTTTAGCATGAAGGGCTATTGAATTTTGTGAAAGGCCTTTTCTGCATGTATTGAGATAATCATGTGGTTTTATGATTGGTTCTGTTTATGTGATGGATTACGTTTATTGATTTGCATATGTTGAAGCAGCCTTACATCCCAGGTATGAAGCTGACTTGATTGTGGTGGATAAGCTTTTTGATGTGCTGCTGGATTCGGTTTGCCAGTATTTTATTGAGGATTTTTGCATCAATGTTCATCAGGGATACTGGCCTGAAATTTTCTTTTTTTTGTTGTGTGTCTGCCAGGTTTTGGTGTCAGGATGATGCTGGCCTCATAAAATGAGTTCAGGAGGATTCCCTCTTTTTCTATTGTTTGGAATAGTTTCAGAAGGAATGGTACCAGCTCCTCATTGTACCTCTGCTAGAATTCGACTGTGAATCTGTCTGGTACTGGGCTTTTTTTGGTTGGAAGGATATTAATTACTGCCTCAATTTCAGAACTTGTTATTGGTTTATTCAGGGATTCGATTTCTTCCTGGTTTAGACTTGGGAGGGTGTATGCATCCAGGAATTTTTCCATTTCCCCTAGATTTTCTAGTTTATTTGCATAGAGCTGTTTATAGTATTACGTGATGGTAGTTTGTATTTCTGTGTGATCAGTGGTGATATCCCCTATACCATTTTTTATTGTGTCTATTTGATTCTTCTCTCTTTTCTTCATTAGTCTGGCTAGCAGTCTACCTGCTTTGTTGATCCTTTCAAAAACCCAGCTCCTGTATTCATTGATTTTTTTGAAGGGTTTTTCGTGTCTCTATCTCCTTCAGTTCTGCTATGATCTTAGTTATTGCTTGTCTTCTGCTAGGTTTTGCAATTTTTTGCTCTTGTTTCTCTATCTCTTTTAATTTTGATGTTAGGATGTCAATTTTCGATCTTTCCTGCTTTCTCTTGTGAGCATTTACTGCTATAAATTTCTCTCTACACATTGCTTTAAATGTGTCCCAGAGATTCTGGTACATTGTGCCTTCATTCTCTTTTCTTTCAAAGAACATCTTTATTTCTGCCTTCATTTTGTTATTTACCCAGTAGTCATTTAGGAGCAGGTTGTTCAGTTTCCATTGTAGTTGTGTGGTTTTGAGTGAGTTTCTTAATCCAGAGTTCTAGTTTGATTGCACTGTGTTCTGGGAGACTATTTGTTATGATTTCCATTCTTTTGCATTTGCTGAAGAGTATTTTACTTCCAATTATATGGTCAATTTTAGAATAAGAGCTATAAGATGCTGAACAGAATGTATATTCTGTTGATTTGGGGTGGAGGGTTCTGTAGATATCTATTAGGTCCCCTTGGTCCAGAGCTGAGCTGAAGTCCCAAATATCCTTGTTAATTTTCTGACTCGTTGAACTATCTAATATTGACAGTGGTGTGTTATAGTCTCCCAGTATTATTGAGTGGGAATGTAAGTCTCTTTGTAGGTCTCCAAGGACTTGCTTTATGTATCTGGGTGCTCCTGTATTGGGTACATATATATTTAGAATAGTTAGCTCTTCTTGTTGCATTGATCCCTTTACCATTAAGTAATGCCCTTCTTTGTCTCTTTTGATCTTTGTTGGTTTAAAGTCTGTTTTATCAGAGATTAGGATTGCAACTCCTGCTTTTTTTTTTGCTTTCCATTTGCTTGGTAAATATTCCTCTATCCCTTTATTTTGAGCCTATGTGTGTCTCTGCATGTGAGATGGGTCTCCTGAATACAGCACACTGATGGGTCTTGACTCTATCCAATTTGCCAGTCTGTATCTTTTAATTGGGGCATTTAGCCCATTTACATTTAAGGTTAATATTGTTATGTGTGAATTTGATGCTGTCGTTATGATGCTAGCTGGTTGTTTTTCTCATTAGTTGATGCAATTTCTTCATAGTGTCAATGATCTTTACAATTTTGTGTGTTTTTGCAGTGGCTGCTACCGGTTTTTCCTTTCCATGTTTAGTGCTTCCTTCAGGAGCTCTTGTAATGCAAGCCTGTTGGTGACAAAATCTCTCAGCATTTGCTTGAAATCTCTCAGCATTTTCTTGTCTGTAAAGGATTTTATTTCTCCTCTTATGAAGCTTGGTTTGGCTGGATATTAAATTCTGGGTCGAAAATTCTTTTCTTTAAGAATGTCGAATATTGGCCCCCACTCTCTTCCAGCTTGTAGGGTTTCTGCAGAGAGATCCGCTGTTAGTCTGATGAGCTTCCCTTTGTGGGTAACCTAATCTTTCTCTCTGGCTGCCCTTAACATTTTTTCCTTCATTTCAGCCTTGGCGAATCTGATGATTTTTTGTCTTGGGGTTTGCTCTTCTTGAGGATTATCTTTGTGGTGTTCTCTGTATTTTCTGAATTTGGATGTTGGCCTGTCTTGCTAGGTTGAGGAAGTTCTCCTGGATAATATCCTGAAGAGTGTTTTCCAGCCTGGTTCCATCCTCCTCGTCACTTTCAGGTATACCAATCAAGTGTAGATTTGGTCTTTTCATATAGTCCCATATTTCTTTGAGGCTTTGTTCATTCCTTTTCATTCTTTTTTCTCTAAACATGTCTTCTTTATTTCATTAAGTTGATCTTCAATCACTGATATCCTTTCTTCCACTTGATCGATTCATCTATTTAAACTTGGGTATGCTTCATGAAGTACTTGTGCTGTGTTTTTCAGCCCATCAGGTCATTTATGTTCTTCTCTACACTGGTTATTCCAGTTAGCAATTCGTCTAACCTTTTTTCAAGGTCCTTAGCTTCCTTGCATTGGGTTAGAACACGCTCCTTTAGCTCGGAGGAGTTTGTTATTACCCACCTTCTGAAGCCTACTTCTGTCAGTTCATCAAACTCATTCTCTGTCCTGTTTTGTTCCCTTGCTGGTGAGGAGTTGTGATCCTTTGGAGGAGATGAGGTGTTCTGATTTTTGGAATTTTCAGCCTTTTTGTGCTGGTTCTGCCCCATCTTTGTGGATTTATCGACCTTTGGTCTTTGATGTTGGTGACCTTCAGATGGGGTCTTTGGGTGCACGTGCTATTCCTTTCTGTTAGTTTTCCTTCTGGCAGGCCTCTCTGCTGCCAGTCTGCTGGGGTTTGCTGGAGGTCCACTTCCAACCCTGTCTGCCTGGGTATCACCAGCGGAAGCTCAGTTGGAAATGCAGAAATCACCCACCTTCTGCGTCAGTCTCACTGGGAGCTGCAGACCGGAGCTGTTTCTATTCGGCCATCTTCCCACTGTATGTTTTTGATACCTTGTTGAAAATCAGTTCAGTATAGGTATGTGGATTTGTTTCTAGGTTCTCTATTCTGTTCCATTGAGCTATGTGTCTGTTTTTATGCCAGCATCATGCTGTTTTGGGTACCATAGGTGTGTAGTATAATTTGAAATCAGGTAATATGCTTCTTCCAGTTTTGTTCTGTTTGCTTAGGTTAGCTTTGGATATTCTGGGCCTTTCGTGGTTCCATATACATTTTAGAATTGTTTCTCTATTTCTGTGAAGGATGTCCTTTGTATTTTGATAGGGATTTCATTGAATCTCTAGATCACTTTGGGTAGTATGGACATTTTAACCATATTGATTCTTCCAATGCATAAACATGGAATACTTTTCCATTTTTGGTGTCCTCTTCAATTTCTTTCATCTGTGCCATACAGTTTTCATTATAGAGGTCTTTCATTTTTTGGTTAATTCCTAGGTATTTGATTTCTTTTTCACATTGTTCTGTGTTGGCATATGGAAATGCTACTGATTTTTCTATGTTGATTTGTTTCCTGCAACTTTATTGAATATACCAGTTCTAATAGTTTTCTTGTGGAGTCTTTAGGTTTTCCAAATATAAGATTAAATGATCTGCAAACAAGAATAATTTGACTTCTTTCTTTCCAATTTGGATGCTCTTTATTTCTTTCTTTTGTCTGACTGCTCTAGCTAGGATTTCCAGTACTATGTCTGATAACAGTGGTGTCAGTGAGCATCCTTGTTGTGTTCTAGATCTTAGAGGAAAGGCTTTCAGTTTTTCCCCATTCAGTATGATACTAGATGTGAGTCTTTCATATATGGCTTTTATTATGTTGAGGTATGTTCCTTCTATCCCCAATTTTTGGATGTTAAATTTTATCAAATGCTTTTTGAGCTTCAATTAAAATGATCATATGGAGTTTATTCTTCATTCTGTTGATACGATGTATCACATTGATTGATTTGCATATGTGAACCATCCTTGTATCCCAGGGATAAATCCCACTTCCTCATGATGAACAATCTTTCTAATATATTGAATTTCGTTTGATAGTATTTTGTTGGGGATTTTTACATCAATATTCATTAGAGATATTGATCTATAGATTTCTTTTATTGATGTGTCATTGTCTGATTTCTGTATCAGGGTAATACTGGCCTCATATAATGAGTTTGGAAGTATTCTCTCCTTCTCTATTTTTCAGAATACCTTGATTAGGACTGATATTAGTCTTTCTTTCAATGTTTGTATAATACAGCATTACAGCCATCAGATCCCAAGCTTTTCTTTACTGGGAGACATTTTATTACTGCGTCAATCTTGTTACTTACTGTTGCTCTGTTCAAGTTTTGGATTTCTTCCTGGTTAAATCTTGGTAGGTTGTATAGATCTAGGTGATTGTGTTGTGTGAGCATCATAGAGTATACTTACACAAATCTAGATAGTATAGCTTACTATACATCTTGGCTATATATATAGGCTACCATAGCAATAAAAAGGAATGAACTATTAATACACTCAATGACATGGATAAGTTTTAAATGCATTACATTATATAAAAGAAGAGTAAGAATACTGCACAGTGTATACTTCATTTGTATGACATTCTGGAAAAGACAAAACTATAGGGACAGTTAACAGATTAGTCGTTGTCAGGGGTTGGGGGAGGGGGAAGATTTGACTACAAAGGAGCAAGAGGGATTTTATGGAAGTGATAGAATTGTATGATTAAAAGGGTAAACTTTAAGAACTACATCCTTGTAATATTTAGCATAGCTAGTCTTTGAACAGAGTAGGTGCTCCAGAATATTCTAAGTGAAGGAGAGAAAGATTTCAAATGTTTGTAAGCATGGAAGAGTAAGGCAATGATGGAGCTACTAGCAAAGGCAAAGAGTAGAGAAAGGAAGGCAAAGATTTAGCCAGACAGAACATGAATAGTGTGGTAGACTTGACCCACTGTGTTTTCCTTACCCCATTATATGCCACAACCTTTAGATTGAGTGAAAATCAGAGCCCAGTGCATCTGATATTAGGATTACCACCTACAGAGGGGAAACAAGAGACTATGCAAGGCTGAAACAAGTAGGATAAGCAACTAAAATCAGCAACATAGACTACAAGTCAGAACTGGGAACAAAATGACTAAAGAAAAAATCAAAAATGAAATGGCCACAAAATACAGTTTATTTTGTGTATTTTTTGCCAGGGAAGGCAAGAAATAAGGCAACATCCTTGAATAGCTTCATACAGAGAGAATAATCTGGAGTCTAAAACACAATACTTAATAACAGAAACTATGTTTGCATACTGCCTCTGCTTTCCAAACTACTTTCCCAGCCATTATCATGTTTGGTCCTTGTAGGATTTTAATTAGCAATATTATTTACATATTATACATATTTATCATTTGATATGATTAGTCTGTGTCCCCAGCCAAATCTTATCTTGAACTGTAATAATCCCCACATGTCAGGGGCTGAGCCAGGTGGAGATAATTGAATCATGAGGGCAGTTTCCCCCATACTGTTCTCATGGTAGTGAATAAGTCTCACGAGATCTGACGGTTGTATAAATGGGAGTTTCCCTGCAGAAGATCTCTTGACTGCCACCAAGTAAAATGTGACTTTGCTCTTCATTCACCTTCTGCCATGATTGTGAGGCCTCCCCAGCCATGTGGAACTGTGAGTCAATTAAATCTCATTCCTTTATAAATTACCAAGTCTCAGGTATGTCTTTATTAGCAGCATTGGAACAGAGTAATATACAATTCTTTTCCCACCACCAAATAAAGCAATAACATTTGCCGACATTTGTGACTCATTTCTTATTAGCTCAAAAAATTCTCAAATTTTCCATATTTTCCCTTCACATACATAGTTTATTCCCTCTTTTATCTAAGGTGGTTTCTTCTATAAGCCAATATTCCTCCTGACTCTCTTGTTTATCTGCAGTCTGCTCTCACAGCAGGGTTTTTATCTCCCAAGTTCTGATGCTATATTTTTCCTTTTTTGTGCTTTTTTTAAATAGGACCTGATGAATTGTCACCATCAGAAAGACTTTATTAAGAATTATGGCTCTTCATGAGTATGCAGCAAAAATGATACAAATTAATACATACATTCTAAAGCAGGTATCAGCAAACTGTTTCTATATGGGACCAGACAGTAAGTACTTAAATCTTTGTGGAGCATATAGTCTGTTGCTACTGCTCAACTCTGCCCTTATAGAAAGGCAGTCGGCCATAGACAATATATAAAATTGTACTTATAAAAACAGGCACTAGGTCATAGTTTACCATTCCTGTTCTCAAGTTTCACTTAATAAGAAGCACCACATACTGTCAGTCCTCAAAACACTCCCACAGCAGAACATAATATTCTTCTCACATCAATGCTTAATTTTTTGTTGTTTGCTAGATAAATTAAATCAACATTTTCATAATGTCTTTCAAAAAACTTTTAATTTCATTTTTATAACCTCAAAATACAATTTATAAAATATAAAACTAACTTCTTAAAAGTGTTTAATTCAGTGTTTTTTGAACAGTCAGAGTTGTACAACCCTCACCACTAATATTTACCATCCCTCTCCTTTCGGACAATAATCATTCAACTGGTGCCTATTGAGCATCTATTATCTGCCCATCCTTGTATAATGTTTTTGTTTTGTTTTACTTTGTTTGGTTGGTTTGGTTTGGCTTGGCATGGCTTGGTAGAGGGTGTGGCTAGTGCATAGTGGGTAATAGGAGAAATATAATACATGACATGTCTGACACACTCAGCTAACAATATAAAAATTAAAAAATGGGAGTGCTAAGTTAGGCGACATGGAAACTACATACACAATAAAATTTTACTTATAGGTGGGTGGGGCAGGGGGATCCTAAGGAACATGATGAATTTATCTAGAGATTCAGCAGTCCTGCTATTACCCTCTCTAATCCAATGTCATCTATAATCTGACTAACTCAGAAAGGTTTTCACTGGGGCACTTCCAAAGATGAAGGATGAGTTACATCTTTTTCTTCATAATCTTCTCTTGAAGACATATGGTATCTCCTCTGAAATTTTGCATTCATTTTAAGCAGTTGTTTATTACATAGAGCAAAACTTTATAGTTTTTTCCCAGTTCTCTAGTTCCTGCAACCTCCTAAGGGTGTATGAAGTATTTCTCTTCATTGAGTTCATCAGTTCCAATTTCACAAGTCACATCTTTTGATTTCTTACAACCTTTTCAATCCTCAGTCCTTAGCATTCACTCTGCCTCACCCATTTTCATTTTTGAAAATGTTTTTCTTTTCTTTCCAGCAGAGGGAATGCTTCTCATTAGTCATTTACTGCTTTTCTCTTTCAGTGCTATGAAGACAGTCTCTGGAGCAAAGTAATGACATATGATACAAACATGGGTGGACTTTAAAAACCTTATGCTAAGTGAAAGAAGCATGCACAAAAGACCACATGCTATATGATTTCATTTATATGAAACGTCCAGAATGGGCAACTTCATGGAAACAAAAAGTATATTAGGCCGGGCGCATTGGCTCATGCCTGCAATCCCAGCACTTTGGTACGCCAAGGCGGGTGGATCACCTGAGGTCAGGAGTTTGAGACCCGCCTGGTCAACATGGCAAAACCCTGTCTCTACTAAAAAATACAAAAATTAGCTGGGTGCAGTGGCAGGTGCCTGTCATCCCAGCTGCTCAGAAGGCTGAGGCAGGAGAATCGCTTGAACCCGGGAGTCAGAGGTTGCAGTGAGCCAAGGTTGCCCCATAGCACTCCAACCTGGGAAAGAGAGCAAGACTCCATCTCAAAAAAAAAAAAAAAAAATAGTAGATTAGTAGTTGCCTAGAGCTGGGAAAATGGGGGGAATGATTGCTAATGTATATGGAGTTTCTTTTTGGGGCAATAAAATGTAAAATAATTGTGGGAATGGTTACAAAACTTTTGTTGTTGTTGTTTGGTTGTTTTTGGTTTTGGGGGGTTTGGGGTGCATTTTTTTTGAGACAGAGTCTTGCTCTGTCACCCAGGCTGGAGTACAATGGTGCAATCTTGGCTCGCTGCAACCTCCATCTTCCAGGTTCAAGCGATTCTTGTGCCTCAGTCTCCTGAGTAACTGGAATTACAGGCACACACCACCATGTCAGGCTAATTTTTGTATGTTTTTTTTTTCTAGTAGAGATGGGGTTTCTCCATGTTGGCCAGGCTGGACTTGAACTCCTGGCCTCAAGTGATCCAGTGGCCTTGACCTCCCAAAGTGCTGGGATTACAGGTGTGAGCCACCACACCTGGCCTGGTTGCACAACTTTGTAAATGTACTAAAAAATTCACTGAATTGTACTTTTAAAATGGATAAGTTTATGGTACATAAATTATACCTCAATAAAGTTGTTGTTGTTTAAATAAAAAGGCAGCCAATGACAGTTGTGGTATAGGGGCATGCTTCAAGCAAGAGTCTGATCATACCAGACCATCCTTCCTCCGGTAATACAAAGTTGACTTCCTTTTGACTCTGCCTTATTTCAAAGGGCTATAAAGAAACTCAGTCAGTAAATTCATGCCAGTCGTTAGTGGTAACTATACATTATTAAAACACAGGAAAATTGGCACCACAAAAACTTTTAATTAGTCTGACTCCATGTTCTAATGATGATTCCAGTTCTCCCACAATTGCCCTGGTACTGACTGTCAATCTGTCTAACTCTGTGAACTGCTCCATTTTTCTTTGCCAGAACTCCAGTTGTCATTACAATAAGCTCCGAATATTTAGGTTCATTTCCTCCCATATCCATAGCCTACTCTGATACCAGGTTCCTATTCAACATTAGTGAGAAGATTTCACCAACCCTACCACTGACAAGATAACACGGAACTTGTAAGTGCAAAAAAGTTTTACATCTTTCTGATTATAAAAATCATCCTATTTATTGTAAAACTTTGAGAAAAAAACAGAAAAAAATATATAGAAGAATAATACCTAGTGCCCAGGTATAATTAGCTAACATTTTGTTCTTATATACTAAATATACAGAAAAGGATGAGATGATTACTCTATGTAAAATTTAATAGCCTGGCTCTCTCTTCATATCAATAAATATAGTCATATATAGTTTTAAGGTCTGAATATTACTCTATCACATAAATTAATAAAATTTCTTATCAGTAATCTTTTAGATTGTTTCTAAGATTTATCAAATGTGAACAACGTTGAAATGAGCATCCTCATAGATACTTATTTGCACATTTGCCTAATAAACTTCTAGAAGTAGAATTGCTGAATGAAAGGACATCCATTTTTCAATTGAGGTTGATTTTATAAATTTCCTCTTAGAAAGAGATCACCAATTTACATTGCTGTCAGCTGTGTATTACAGTGCCCATTTCCCCCAGACTCTCTCCAACACTGAGTATAGTTGTGTGGTGCATAACGATGTTTTTGTCAATGACAAACAGCAGATACAACAGTCATCCCATAAAACTGTAGTGTAGTTGTTACTGCTCTTGGACACCTTTCAGAGGGACAAGATGTGAAAGTGGAAGTCAATGATTTTGATGCTTCTGACCCTATGTAGGCCTAGGGTAATGTGTGTGTTTATGTCTTAGTTTTTAAGAAAAAAGTTTAAAAAGTAAAGAAATAAATAATTTCAAAAACAGAAAAAAGCTTATAAAGATAAAAAGAAAGAAAACCTATTGTACAGTTTTACAATGTGTTTGTATTTTAAGCTAAGTGTTATTACAAAAGAGTCAAAAAGTTTAGACTGTTAAAAAGTTTATAAAGTTAAGAAAGTTACAGTAAGCTAAGGTTAATTTATTACTAATGGAAAAATGTTTTTATATATTTAATGTAGCCTAAGTGCAGTGTTTATAAAGTTGACAGTAGTGCACAGTAGTAGTCTACGCTTTTGCAGTCCATCACCACTCACTCACTGGCTTATCCAGAGCAACTCCAGTCCTGCAAGTTCCATTCATGTTAAGTACACTACACAGGTGTACTATTTTTTTAATCCTTTGTGCTATATTTTTGCGATGGCTTTTCTATGTTTACATATGTTTAGGTACACAAATACTTACAGTTGTATTATAATTACCTACAGTATTCAGTACAGTAACATGATGTACATATTTGTAGAGTAGCAGCAAAAGCTATATTATATAGCCTGTGTGCATAGTAGGCTATACCATCTAGGTTGCTGTAATACACTCTATGATGTTCCCATAGCAATGAAGTCTCCTAAAGATGCATTTCTCACAAGTTATCCCCATCGTGAAGTGATGCATAACTATATTACCAATTTCTCATTATTATAATTCTGAATGGGTTTAAAAAGGTATAACGGCTGTTGTTATTTGAGGTTGAGTTTTTAAATCTTTATTTAAAATTTTTATTTTCCCATTTGGTAATTATTCTTTGCTCAACATTATACTGGGATGTTAATTTAGTGAGATTATTTTTATTTTTTTAATTTTTTAATTTTGTGAGAAATAGTAGGTGTAAATATTTGCGGGGTACATGAGATGTTTTGATACAGGCATGCAAATTGAAATAAACACATCATGGAGAACGGGGTATCCACCCATTCAAGCATTTATCCTTTGAGTTACAAACAATCCAAATACACTCTTTAAGTTATTTTAAAATGTACAATTTAGTTATTATTTAATATAGACACCCTATTGTCCTATCAATAGTAGATCTTATTCATTCTCTCTATTTTTTGTCTCCATTATAAATCCTGACCTCCCTCCAAGCCCCCTATTACCCTTCAGAGCCTCTGGTAACCATCCTTCCACTCTTTATCTCCATGAGTCCAATTTTTTTTTTAAATTTTTAGGTCCCCAAAATAAGCGAGAACATGCAATGCTTTGCTTTTTGGGCTTGGCTTACTTTGATTAACTTAATAATCTCCAGGTACATCCATGTTGTTGCAAATGACAGGATCTCATTCTTTTTTATAGTACTCCCATTATGTATGGAGTACAATATATAGTACCTTTTTAATAGTACTTCATTTTATATATGTATGACATTTTCTTTATCCACTAATCTGTTGATGGAAAGACACAAAGGTTGTTTCCAAATCTTAGCTATTGTGAAGAGTGCTTCAACAAACATAGGAGTACAGATAATCTTTCGATATGGTGATTTTCTTTCTTTTGGGTACATACCCAGCAATGAGATTGCTGGATCATATGGTAGCTCAAATTTTAGTTTTATGAGGAATGTCCAAACTGTTCTCCATAGTGGTTGTACTAATTTATATTCCCAAAAACAGTGTACAAGGGTTCCCTTTTCTCCACATTTTTACCAGAATTTGCTATTGCGTGTCTTTTGTATACAAGCCATTCTAACTGGGGTGAGATGATATCTCACTGTAATGTTGTTTTGCATTTCTCTGATGACCAATGATGTTGAGCCCCTTTAAAAATGCCTGCTGTCATTTATATGTCTTTTTTGAGTAAATGTATATTCAAATCTTTTGCACATTTCTTGATAGTATTACGAGATTTTTTTCTATAGAGTTGTCTGAACTCCTTATATATTCTGGTCATTAATCCCTTGTAAGAGAGGTAATTTGCAAATATTTTCTCTTACTCTGTGGGTTGTTTCTTCACTTTGTTGATTGTATCCTTTGCTATGCAGAAGCTTTTTAACTTGATGTGATCCCATTTGTCCATGTTTGCTTTGGTTTCCTGTGGTGGTGGGGTATTGCTCAAGAATATTTTGTCCAGACCAATATCCTGGAAATTTTCCCCAATGTTTTTTTTTTTTTTTTTCCGTAAGTTATTGGGACACAGGTGGTAACTGGTTACATGAGTAAGTTCCTTAGTGGTGATTTGTCAGATTTTGGTGCACTCATCACCCGAGCAGCATACACTGCACCATATTTGTAGTCTTTTATCCCTCTCCCCGCTCCCACTCTTCACTCCAAGTCCCCAAAGTACATTCTATCATTCTTGTGCCTTTTCGTCCTCACAGCATAGCTCCCATATATTAGTGAGAACATAAAATGTTTGGTTTTCCGTCCCTGAGTTACCTCACTTAGAATAATAGTCTCCAATCTCATCTAGGTCACTGCAAATGCTGTTAATTCATTCCTTTTTATGGCTGAATAGTATTCCATCATATATATATGCATATATATATGCATATATATATATATATATATATATATATATATATATATATATATATATATATATATATATATCACAGTTTCTTTATTCACTCATTGATGGATGGGCATTTGTGTTAGTTCCACAATTTTGCAATTGTGAATTGTGCTGCTATAAACATGCATGTGCAAGTATCTTTTTCGAATAATGACTTATTTTCCTCTGGGTAGATACCTAGTAGTGGGATTGCTGGATCAAATGGTAGTTCTACTTCTGGTTCTTTAAGGAATCTCCACACTGTTTTCCATAGTGGCTGTAGTAGTTTGCATTCCCACCAGCAGCGTAGAAGTGTTCCATGATCACAGAATCCACACCAACATCTACTGTTTTTTAATTTTTTTTTATTATGGTCATTCTTGCAGGAGTAAGGTGGTATCATATTGTGGTTTTGATCTCCATTTCCCTGATCATTAGTGATGTTGAGCATTTTTTTCATATGTGTGTTGGCCATTTGTATATCTTCTTTTGAGAAATGTCTATTTATGTCCTTATCTCACTTTTTGATGGGATTTTTTTTTCTTATTGATTTGTTTGAGTTCATTGTAGATTCCGGATATTAGTCCTTTGTCAGGTGTATAGATTGTGAAGATTTTCTCCACTCTGTGGGTTGTCTGTTTACTCTGCTGATTGTTCCTTTTGCTATGCAAAAGCTCTTTAGTTTAATTAGGTCCCAGGTATTTATCTTTGTTTTCCTTGTATTTGCTTTTGGGTTCTTGGTCATGAAATCCTTGCCTAAGCCAATGTCTAGAAGGGTTTTTCCAATGTTATCTTCCAGAATTTTTACAGTTTCAGGTCTTAAGTTTAAGTCCTTAATCGATCTTGAGTTGATTTTTGTATAAAGTGAGAGATGAGGATCCAGTTTCATTCTCCTACATGTGGCTAGCCAATTATCCCAGCACCATTTGTTGAAAAGGGTGTCTTTTCCTCACTTTATGTTTTGTTTGCTTTGTTGAAGATCAGTTGGCTGTAATTGTTTGGGTTTATTTCTGGGTTCTCTATTCTGTTCCATTGGTCTATGTGCCTACTTTTACACTAGTACCACGCTGCTTTGGTGACTATGGCCTTATAGTATAGTTTGAAATCAGGTAGTGTGATGCCTCCAGACTTATTCTTTTTGCTTAGTCTTGCTTTGGCTATGCAGGGTCTTTTTTGGTTCCATATGAATTTTAGAATTGTATTTTCTAACTCTGTGAAGAATGATGGTGGTATTTTGATGGGGATTGCATTGAATTTGTAGATTGCTTTTGGCAGTATGGGTATTTTTACAATATTAATTCTACCCATCTATGAGCATGGGATGTGTTTCCATTTGTTTGTGTAGTCTGTGATTTCTTTCAGCAGTGTTTTGTAGTTTTCCTTGTAGAGGTCGTCAGACTCCTTGGTTAGGTATATTCTTAAGTTTTGGGGTTTGTTGTTGTTGTTGTTGTTGTTGTTGTTGTTTGCAGCTATTGTAAAGGGGTTGAGTTCTTAATTTGATTCTCCACTTGGTCGCTATTGGTGTATAGAAAAGCTACTGCTTTGTGTACATTAATCTTGTATTCAGAAACTGTGCTGAATTCCTTTATCAGTTCTAGGGGCTTTCTGGAGGAGTCTTTAGGGTTTCCAGGGTAAACGATCATATCATCAGCAAACAGTGACAGTTTGACTTCCTCTTTACCAATTCAGATGCCCTTTATTTCTTTCTCTTGTCTCATTGCTCTGACTAGGACTTCCAGTACTATGTTGAGGAGAGGTGGTGAGAGTGAGCATCCTTGTCTTGTTCCAGCTCTCAGAGGGAATGTTTTCAACTTTTCCCCATTCAGTATTATGTTGGCTGTGGGTTTGTCATAGATGGCTTTTATTACCTTAAGGTATATACCTTGTATGCTGATTTTGCTGAGAGTTTTAATCATAAAAGGATGCGGGACTTTGTCAAATGCTTTATCTGCATCTATTGAGATGATCATGTGATTTTTGTTTTTAATTCTGTTTATGTGGTGTATCACATTTATTGACTCACGTATGTTAAACCATCCCTGCATCCCTGGTATGAAACCCACTTGTTCATGGTGGATTGTCTTTTTGATATGTTGTTGGATTCGGATAGCTAGTATTATGTTAAAGATTTTAGCATCTATGGTCATCAAAGATATCAGTCTGTAGTTTTATTTTTTGGTTGTATACTTTTCCTGGCTTTCTTTTTTGGTTATATCCTTTCCTCTTAGCACCACGTTTGCTGTATCCCACAGGTTTTGGTAGGTTGTGTCATTATTGTCATTCAATTCAAATAATTTTTAAATTTCCATCTTGATTTTGTTTTTGACCAAATGCTCATTCAGAAGCAGGTTATTTAATTTTCATGTTTGCATGGTTTTGAAGGTTCCTTTTGGAGTTGTTTTCCAGTTTTATTCTGCTTTGGTCTGAGAGAGTGCTTGATATAATTTCAATTTTCTTAAATTTATTGAGGCTCATATTATGGCCTATCATATGATCTATCATGGAGAAAGTTACACATACTGTTGAGTAGAATATGTATTCTGTGGTTGCTGGATGAAATGTTCTGTATATATCTGTTAAGTCCATTTGTTCCCAGGTATAGTTTAAATTCATTGTTTCTTTGTTGACTTTCTGTCTTGATGACCTGTCTGGTGCTGTCAGTGGAGTATTGAAGTCCCCCAGTATTATTGTGTTGCTGTCTATCTCATTTCTTAAGTCTATTAGTAATTGTTTTATAAATTTGGCAGCTCCAGTGCTAGGTGCATATATGTTTAGGATTGTGATACTTTCCTGTTGGACAAGGCCTTTTGCCATCATATCATGTCCCTCTCTGTCTCTTTTAACTGCCATTGCTTTAAAATTTGTTTTGTCTGATATAAGAATAGCTACCCCTGCTCTCTTTTGGTGTCCCTTTGCATGAAATGCTTTTTTCCATCCCTTTACTTTAAGTTTATGTGAGTCCTTATGTGTTAGGTGAGTCTCCTGAAGGAAGCAGATAGTTGGTTTGTCAGTTCTTATCCATTCTGCAATTCTGTATCTTTTAAGTGGAGTATTTCCGCCATTTATATTCAATGTTACTATTGAAATGTACAGTATCATTGGATTCATCTTGCTCTTTGTTGCCTGTGTACTTTGGTCTTTTTGTTTTTTGTTTTTGCTTTTTAACTTGCATTTTGTTTTATAGGTCCTGTACGATTTATGCTTGAAAGAGTTTCTGTTTTGATGAGTTTCCAGGATTTGTTTCAAGATTTAGAGCTCCTTTTAGCAGTTTCTATAGTGGTGGCTTGGTAATGGTGGATTCTCTCAGTATTTGTTTGTCTGAAAAAGACCATATATTGCCTTCATATATGATGCTTAATTTCACTGCATACAAAATTATTGACTGATAATTGTTTTATTTGAGGAGGCTGAATATAGGGTCCCAATCCCTTCTAGCTTTTACAGTTTCTGCTGAGAAATCAGCTGTTAATCTGATAAGTCTTCCTTTATAGGTTACCTGATGCTTCTATCTCACAGCTCTGAAGATTCTTTCCTTTGTCTTAACTTTGGATAACCTGATGAAAATATGCCTAGGCATATTTTTTTTTAATGAATTTTCCAGGTGTTCATGCTTCTTGTATTTGGATGTCTAGGTCTTCAGCAAGGCTGGGAAAGTTTTCCTTGATTAATTCCCCAAACATATTTTCCAAGCTTTTAGATTTCTCTTCCTACTCAAGAACATTGATTGTTCTTAGGTTTGGTAGTTTAACATAATCCCAGACTTCTTGGAGGCTTTGTTCATATTTTCTTATTCTTTTTTACTTGCCTTTATTGTATTGGGTTAATTCAAAGACCTTGTCTTTGAGCTCTGAATTTCTTTCTTCTAGCTGTTCAATTCTATTACTGAGACTTTCCAGAGCACTTTGCATATCTAAAACTGTGTCCAAAGTTTCCTGAATTTTTTATTGGATTTTCTTTAAGCTATCGATTTCCTTGAATATTTCTTCTTCTTGTATCATTTTTTGGACTCCCTTGCATTGGGCTTCACCTTTCTCTGGTGCCTCCCTAATTAGCTTAATGACTAACCTCCTCAATTCTTTTTCAGGTAAATCAGGGATTTCTTCTTGGTTTGGATCTATTGCTGCTAAACTAGTGTGATTTTTGGGGGGTGTTGAAGAGCCTTGTTTTGTCATATTACCAGGGTTGGTTTTGGGGTTCCTTCTCTTTTGTGTAGACTCTGTCAGAGGGAAGGTCTAGGCCTAAAGGCTGTTGTTCAGATTCTTTTGTCTCATGAGGTATTCTCTTGATGTAGTACTCTCCCCATTTTCCTATGGATGTGGCTTCCTGTGAGCTGAACTGCAGTGATTATTGTCTCTCTTCTGGGTCTAGCCACTCAGTGAGTCTACACAGCTCAAGGCTGGTGATGGGGGTTATCTGCATAGAGTCCTGTGATATGAACCATCTATGGGTCTCTCAGCCGTGGATACCGGCACATGTTGTGGAGATAGCAGAGGGGGTGCAATGGACTCCCTGAGGGTTCTTAGCTTTGGGGGCTTAATGCTCTATCTTTGTGCTGGTTGGCCTCCTGCTGGGAGGTGCCACTTTCCAGAGAGCATCAGCTGTAGTAGTATAGAGAGGGACTAGTGGTAGGTGGGGCCCTATAACTCCCAAGATTATATGCCCTTTGTCTTGCTACCAGGGTAGGTAGGGAAGGACCATCGGGTGGGGGCAGGGCTAGGCGTGTCTGAGCTCAGAAGCGCAGACTCTCCTTGGGTGGATCTTGCTATGGCTGCTGTGGGGGATGCGGATGAGATTCCCAGGTCACTGGAGTTGGGTGACTAGGAGGATTATGGCTGCCTCTGCTGAGTCATGCAGGTTGTGATGGAAATAGGGAAAAACCAGCAGTCACAGGCCTCACCCAGCTCCTGGGGAAACTGCACAACTGGTCTCACTCCTACTGTGCCCCTGCTCAATAGCCCCAAGTCTGTTTCCTGGTGATGAGTGAGATGGGCTTGAGAACTTGCCCCCAAGCTACCTGCCTCCTAGCTGTGAAAGAAAAGGGTGTGGTTCTTCCCCGGCCTGTTGAGTCTGCACACCGAATTTGCACCTTCCCCCGAGTCCTAGCCAAGAGGCTTCTCACCCCATTCAAATTGTTACAAAGTTCATTTAGAGATTTCTTCTAATTAAACTCCTTCTTCCTGTGGAGTTTTACCCCCTGCTCCTCTGGCCACCCTCCCAATGGATCCCTGTGGTGCCAATCAGGAATGGCCCACTGGGGGACCCAGCGAGATACCAGGGCTTTTCTGCTGCTTCCTCTACCTCTGTATTTTGCTCAGCTCTCTAAATTGACTCAGCTTCAGGTAAGGTTGGAAACTTCTCCCACAAACAGACCTTCAATTTCTCCAGTGGGGGTGTGTGTATGGGAGAGGAGGGTCTCCCTTTCCCACTTCCACAGTTGGGGCACTCACAGTATTTGGGGTGTCTCTCCCCTCAATGTTTACTTGTAGCAATTTCATAGTTGGAGGTCTTAGATTTAAGTCTTTAATTCATTTTGATTTGATTTTTGTATATGACAAGGGACAGGGGTCTAGTTTTATTTTTTTGCATATGGATATCCAGTTTTTCCAGCAACATTTATGGAAGAGACTGTCTTTTCCCCAGTGTATGTTCTTGACACCTTTGTTGAAAATCAGTTCAATGTGTTTGAAAATATCCCCTCCTCCTCTATGTTTCAGAATACTTTGAGGAGAACTGATATTAGTTCTTTAAATTCAGCAGTATAGCCATCAGGTCCCAGGCTTTTCTTTACTGGGAGACATTTTATTATTGCTTCAATCTCATTACTTGTTATTGGTCTGTTCAAGTTTTGGATTTCTTCTTGGTCCAATATTGGTAGATTGTATGTATCTATGAATTTGTCAATTTCCTCTAGAGTTTCCAATTTATTGGCATATAGTTGCTCACAGTAGCCACTAATGATCTTTTGGATTTCTTCAGTATTAGGTGTAATGTCTCCTTTTCATTTCTAATTTTATTTATTTGGATATTCTTTTTTTCTTAGTTATTCTGGTTAAAGGTTTGTCAATTTTGTTTAACTTTTCAAAATACCAAGTTTTTGTTTTGCTGATGTTTTATCTCTTTCATTTCAATTTTATTTATTTCTGGTCTGATCTTTCTGTTTTTTTTTTCTTCTACTAATTGGGGGGTTTGCTTTGCTAGTTCTTTAAGATGCATCATTAGAGGTAGAGCAAGATGGCAGAATAGAAAGCTCCAGTGATTGTCCCCCTGACAAGGACACCTTTATAGGGATCAAATATCAGGTGAGTACCTATAATACCTGGCTTTAACTTCATATCACTGAAAGAGGTACTTAAGAGTTAGAAAAAACTATCCTGAATTACCAACACCACCCTTCCCCCACTGTAGGCAGCAGCTGTGCTGTGTGGGGAACTTCTCTGGGTGATAGGGAGGGAGAACACAGAAATTGTGAGGCATTGAACTCAATGCTGTTCTGTTAGAGAAGAAAAAATAAATCGAGACAAACTCACCTGATACCCACACACAGAGGAAATATTTAAACCAGCCCTAGCCATAGGAGAATTGCCAATCCCACGGGTCCAAATTAGAGTGCCTGCAAACCTTACCACCAAGAGCCAAAGTGTTTTTGGTCTCTGAGTAAATTTGAAAGGCAGTTGAGGTCATAAGAACCGCAACTCTTAGGTGGCTCCTAGGGCTGAAGGAGGCCCAAAGACAGTGGATGGTGGTGGGTGGGGACACATGACCTTCTGAGACACTAGCTGGGGCTACCAATGGAGTGCTGGCATTATCCCTTCCCTAACCCCAGGCTCCACAGCTCATGGCTCCAAAAGAAAACCCCTTCATTCCTCTTGAGGAGAGGAAAGGGAAGAGTAGGGAGGACTTTGTCTTGCATCTTAGATACCAGCTCAGCCAAAGCAGGATAGGGCAATAGTCAGAGTCATGAGTCTGCCGTTCCAGGCCCAAGCTTCCAGACCTTATTTAGAGATACACCCTGGGCAAGAAGGGAACCTGCTGAAAGAGAGGAAACCCAGTCCTGGCATTATTTATCACCTGCTAACTAAGGAACTCCTGGGCCCTGAATAACCAGCAGCAATAACCAGACATCAAGAGCCTTGGTGAGCCTCTGAGACTTGCTGGCTTAAGGTGAGACTTAGCACATAACCAGCTGTGGTGACTACAGGGCAAAACTCCTTCTGCTTGAGAAAACTAGAGAGAAAAGTAAAGGGAACTTTGTCTTCCAAGTTAGGTACCAGCTCGGCCACAGGGGAGTAGAGCACCAAAGGAGCTTCTGGGGTCCCTGAGTCCAGGACTTGGCACTTGGATGGCATTTCTGGGCCTGTCCAGGGCCAGAGGGCAGCACACTGCCCTAAAGGGTAAGTATCAGGCCGGGCAGCATTCACGACAAGCTGACTTAAGAGACCTTGGGCCTTAAGGGAATATCAGTGGTAGTCTGGCAGTAGTCCTCATAACCAAGGGTACTGGTGGCTACGGGATGAGGCTCCTCTGCCTTTGGAAAAAGAAGCGAAGAGTGGGAAAACCTTTGTTTTGTGATTTGACTGCCAGCTTAATCGCAGTACAATAAAATATCAGGTAGATTTCTAAGGTTTTTGACTCTAGTTCCTGACTCCCAGAAGGTACTTCTGGACCTAACCAGGGCCTAGGATGCCTTGCCACCCTGAAGGGAAGAACACAGGCCTGAGGCCTGGCTGGCTTTGCCACCATCTGACTGTAGAGCCCCAGGGCATTGAGTGAACATAGGCAGTGGCCAGGGAGTGATTACAGAAGGCCTTGAGAGAGACCCAGCACTATGCTGGCTTCACTTTGGGCTTATTTGTAGCTGTCCTTCGGAAGGTTTTCCAGATATTTGAAAGGACTTGGGTGTTGTAATCTAATGTGTATCTGCTTTAGGGGCCACCCCAAGCTCAATAATGCTATGGTCCTTTCAGACTCGTACTGGTACTGCCTTGATGGTCTTTGAGAAGACCTGTGAGAATTCTTTGAATTACAAGGGAGAGAGTTTTGTTCCTTTCCCTTACTTTCTCCCAAACACGGTGTCTCTCTCTGTTCTGAGCCACTTAAAGCTGGCAGCAGTATGACACAAGCAACCCTTGTCACCACTATGACTGCACTGGGTTAGACCTAAAGCTAGCACACTGGATCTTACCTAAGGCCTGCTGTAACCACTTCTTACCTACTGCCTATGTTCACTCAAGGCCCTGTTATTCTACTGTCAGATGGTGGCAAAGCCAGCCAGACCTGTGTCCTTCCCTTCAGGGAAGCGAGGTTCCCTACATCTGAGGTGGGGCCAGATGTCCTGTCCTGGAGTAAAGGTCTAGAGTTAAAAACCTTAAATGTCTAGTTGGTGTTCTATAGTATTAGGACTGAGCTGGAACTCAAACCTCAAGACACAGTCATTCCTACTCTTCCCTCCCCTTTCCAAAGGCAGAAGAACCTCATCCCATAGCCACCACCACCCCAAGCCATGAGGAGTACTGCCAGACTACCACCAATGTTTTCTTATGGCCCAAGGTCTTTTAAGTCAGCTTTTTGGGAATCCTTTCTGGCCTGGTACTCACCCTTTACAGCAGTGTGCTGCCCTCTGGCCCAGGGCAGGTCCAGAAATGCCATCCAAGAGTCAAGTCCTAAAATTGTGGACCCAGGAGCCCACTAAGTGCTCTACACCCCCGTGGCTGAGCTGGTACCTAACTTGCAAGACAAAGTACCTTTACATTTCCCTTTGCTTTTCTCAAGCAGGAGTTTTGCACCATAGCCAGCATAGCTGGTAATGTGCTGAGTATCAACTTCAGCCAGCAAGTCTCAGAGGCTCAACCAAGGCCCTTGATGCAATACCTAGTTATTGCTGCTGTTATTCAGGACCCAAGTGCTCTTTAGTTAGCAGGTGATGAATGCTGCCAGGACTGGGTTCTTTCCTTCAAGGCAACAGGTTCCCTTCTTGCCCAGAGTACGTCTAGAAATGGCATCTGGGAGCTAGGCCCTGGTACGGGGCTTCACACTAGGACTCGCCTACAATTTGCAGTTCTTTTGGCCTAGACTGTCTTTCAAGTTTACTTGGAGACACAGAGTGCTGTAGCTCTCAGTGGTGAGGTTTGCAGGCACTCAAGTTTGGACCCCTGGGATTGGTGATTTCCCTATGGCTAGGGCTAGTTTCAACATTCCCTCCGTGGGCAGGTATCAGCTGAGTTTGATCTGATTTTCCCTTATGCTGTTAACAGGACATCACTGAGTTCAATGCCTCACAATTTCTGTGTTCTGCCGCCCCAGCGCCCAGAGATGCTCTCTGCACCATGCTGCAGTTGCAGTGTGGTTGGGGGTGTGGCACTGGTGATTCTGGACTGTTTTTTCCTATCTCTTCAGTGCCTCTTTCAGGGATATGAAATTAAGACCAGGTACTGTGAGTGCTCCTGTGATTTTTGGTTCTTATGAAGATATTTTTCTGTGTAGATAGTTGTTAACTTTGTGTCCTTGTGTGGGGGACAATTGTTGGAGCTTTCTACTCCATCTTACTATGCTTCCTCTGAAGGTGACTTTCAAATGCTTTATAAAAGTCCAATATTTATGCTACTGAGTAGATCCTTAAAGAACTCTGTGGGTCTGTGGCATCAGTGGATCTATCTTGAGGATGGTTACTAATATGGAACAGTTTGTGACCAGGAACACCTTGGCTTTTGACTGAACTTGGAGTTTCTGTCTTCAGTATCTGTTATTCATTTATGTACCTCTTTGATTCTCTGTAGATGTGGCCAAAATTCTCTATATCACATGCATTGAGTTACTGAGCCTATCCCTCTAATCTTAGAAAGCCAAAACTTTGTGATTATGATTTCTAAAACTATATACATTATAATGTAATGGAAGGTAGTACAGTCATTAAGAATATGGAGTTAGAAAGATCTGAATTTGAATTCAAGTTCTGCAACTTACTAGTTGTCTATCTCTAAAAAAAGCCTACTTGACTTTTTAAAGTCTCAGTGTTCTCATTTATAATATGAAACAAATAATAACACTCTAATGAGAGTATTGTTTTGGGAATTTAATCAGATATTACATGTTTAATACTACCAAGAAAAATGACTACCAAGAAAATACTCAATACATAGCACTTTTAGTATTTACTAGCTGCTATAATAGAGATGAAAGACAGAGGAAATTAACTGGATCCTTTAGAATCCAGTTAGAAATTTGGTTTGCATATACATTAGAAAATGAGTGACTAGACAGAAATCTGCCTGGCTTTCAGCACCTATTACAGCATCCAAATTAACTTAGAAACTACTATAGTATAATGAAGTTAAATACAAACCAAACATAGAACATGTGTAATTCTGCCTCTCTATTCCCAGTGTCGAATAGCTTCACTATGCTACAACCTATCATGCTTTCAACGAAATCCAAACTCCAAAGCAGAAATCATCAAGCAGATTAAGTTAAACAAGGGGTGTAGTAGGAGTGTAATAGTAAAATATGAATACCCTACCATTAATAATAAATGGGATAGAGCTGAAACATGAGGCTCACAGGCTTTTGTTTCCTCTGATGAGAAGCTCAGTTTTGGCCTAGGGCCCTAGATGTGGGCCATCCACAGCTTTCCACCTGGCTTCCAGAATTTAGGGGACCTCTTCACCAAAAATCTGGGCAAAGAAGCAGGAATACAGATTCCTCAGAAAACCACAGCCCCAGATTTTTCATCCCTCAACCCAAGGACATATTCTGGGATTTAATTTTGTGTTTTATCTTCCTCGTTGCTCTCTTGGCATTTGCAGAATAAACAGAATAAAAGAGGCAGGCAATATGCCAGACTTCATTCTCCAAGGCAGACAGAGTGCCAAGAGGCACATCTAAAGAAAGGGAGGGTGTACCCCAACCCCCAAGTCAGCTTCTGGGATGCCTTTAGTCCAAATACTGCTGCATAAACCTCAACATTTTAGCATTCATACTGGGAATCCTAGTATTTCTCAGCTGCAAGCAGTCTCTCTAATATTTTAGAAAATGCTGGCTGAGGATTGTACTTTTTATAAATATTTATGTTGCATAGGGAACTTACAGGCTCCCATAGCAACCCAGCTAGTTCTGAAAATTAATGGAACACTGGTCTAGTCTTATGGAAGGCACCAGAATGGTTCTCTGCATAGAAGCCAAAAGTCGTATACATAATATGGTTCTGTCTAGGATTAGAACTCAAATCTCTTAAACTCTTTTCTGAGGCTTTTTCTACTACGCCATGCTCTGTTTCATAAGCTGGTAACCTTTTAAATGTTTTATACCAAATATATATATACTGATAAGAAGTAGGAATGTTGCTTCTGCTGCTAGCTACTTTTCTTTTAGTGGGGAGGGAGCATGGGAGTGCCTGTCAACTGCCTGCTACTTCTGGCTCCAGATGGTATTCTCAAACAGCAGGAAGGTAGGGATGGATGAAAATTGTTTTCAGCTTTCTAAGCATGCCATTATAGATCTCATCTCCTCAGGCTGTGAGTAGGGGGTACTAGGTGAGGATTTTATTCCTTGTGGGGTACAGGATTTATTCATCAGATTATTTAGTTTTTAAAGAAAACACAAACCAAAAACATGAAATAGGTTCAGGAAAGTTTCAAGATCAAGAGGAACATAGATGTGGCAATAGTAAGACTTGGCCAGTCTTGAACATTATAAAAATCACAATAGGAAAAGGAAGTCCTTGAAGAGGTAGCCCAGTGGTGAGTGAGGCTATGGACCTGACATGAGAAAATAACACATAAAGGACTACATGCCCTGGATATGGTAAAAAAATACATAGTCATTTACACTTCTTGGACTGTCTTTTCAGTCCATACACCTTGTCTGTATAAACTGCACTATCCACCTACCCATAGGGTACCCAACTCAAAAGTAACCAATCCACTAGATGACAAATAGACAATCACAATTTCTATCTCAGAAATTTGAACTAAGCATAGAAAGTGAGAGTATAGAGCTAAGGCAGATTAAGATTAGTGGTTTTCTTTGTTGGTTTTGTTTTCTGTTTTTTAAACGTTTTTTCTCTTTTTTGTTGTATAAATTTAAAGTCTACGGTGTAATGTTTGGGTATACTTTATACATACATAGTGAAATGATTACTACAGGTAAGTAACTTAACCTATCCATTATCTCACATGGTTACTTGTGTGTGTGTGTGTGTGTGTGTGTGTGTGTGTGTGTGTGTGTGTGTTAAGAGCACCCAAAGTCTACTGTCTTGGAAAATTTGCAGTATACAATGTTATTAACTATAGTCTTCATGCTGCACTTTAGGTCTGTACTTATTCATCCTATATAACTGCAACTCTGTACTCTTTGATCTATATCTCCCCCTGCCCCCACTTCTGGTAACCACCATTTTATTGTTTCTTTGTATTAGCCTTTTTTTTTAGATTCTACATGTAAGAGTCATTATGTGGAATTTGTCTTTCTGTGTCTGACTTACTTCACTTAGCCTAATGTCCCCCAGTTCCATCCATGTCATCTCAAATGATAAGATCTCCTTTATTTTAAAGCTGAATATTATTCATCAATATATACCACAATTTCTTTATCCAGTGATCCATTGACAGACATTTAGGTTTTTTCCACATTTTGGCTACTGTGAATACTGTTTCAATGAACATGGGAATACATATATCTCCTAAAGGTGCTGATTTCATTTCCTTTGGGGATTTGCTCAGAAGGATTCCTGGATCATATCGTAGTACTATTTTGAATTATTTGAGAAAACTTCATATTATTTTCCATAATGGTTGTACTAATTTACATTACCACCGGTAGTGTACAGGGCTCCTTCTTCTCTATGTCCTTGCAAACACTTACCTATCATCTTTTTTATAATAGCCATTATGACAGATGTGAGGCGATGTGTCATTGTGGTTTTGATTTGCATGTCCCCAGTGATGCTGAGCAACTTTTTATACACTTGTTGACTACTTTTATGTCTTCTTTGGAGAAAAGTCTATTCAAGTCCCCTGGCTATTTTTTATTTGGGCTATTCATTTTCTTGTTCTTGAGTTGTGTGTTTCTTTATACATTTTTAATATTAACTCCTTATCATATGTACAGTTCACAAATATTTTCTCTCAATCTGTAGGCTGACTTTCATTTTGTTGATTATTTCCTATGCTGTGCGGGACTTTTTAGTTTGATGTAGCTCCACTTATGGTTTTTGTTTACTAGCTATTCAGCTAGTAAGTAACATATCTGAAAATTTAACAGAGAGCTGACTGATTGCAAGGTCTGTGCTTTTGTAATTATATTCTCCATAACAAATATCTACTGTACTTATATTGTAATATCATTTGATATTTCACTTTATGTTCCACCTACTTCTCTGGAAACCAGCTACTTTGTTTTCTGTCTAGAAAGCTGAGATCTTTTTTTTTTTCCTACTCTATAATCTCTTTCAATTCCTTCCCTACCCCATGCCACCTCCTTGAGTTAGTCAGACTCCTGTTAATTCTTCCTCCTCTTTGTCTTTCAAATAAACCCCTGGTTCTCCATCCTCATTGTCATTTTCTTATTCAGACCTCACCATCTTTCAACTGATATTATATTTCTACATGCTTTCTCTGTCCTCAGTCTTTCCTCTCCCTCCACATTCATCTTCCACCCAGCATCACAGATTTGTCATGACATCCCCTTTTTAAAACCCTCAGTGGTTTCCCATTGCATGCATAAAGTCCAAACTCTTTAACACATGAAAAAGTCCACCATAACCTGTCCTTTCCCTGCCTCTCCAGCCCTATCTTTTGCCAATATGTAGTTCATGCACTGTCACCCCACCCAATTTTGGCCACACCCACTACTAGTTGCTCCTTGGACAAACCATAATCTTCTGTAACTCCAGGGATTTGCACAAGTTATTCTCTCTGATTATGATGCGCCAAATTTCTTATTCACATAGTGAAATTCTAGTCTTCCTTTAAAATCCAGTTCAAAAGTCAGTATGTACTGTCAAACCTTCAACTTTCCCAGGGAGAATAAATCATTCCCTTTCTGGGCTCTCATTTTGCCTTTTGTATTTCTCTTTTATAGTACTTACTGCACTATAATTATCTAATGGCCTGTGTCTCCCTTCCCCACTGAACTGTAAATGTGTTATTGACAAAGACTGCCTTATTGACTATCTCCAGCATTTAGCACAGTGATCAGCATAAGTATGTTCTTTATAGGTACCTATTGAATGAAGGAATAAATGATCTGTACTTGTAGTATGCAAAACAGTGTTCACTCTCCAATAATGTCCTTGTCCAAATCCATGGAATGTATGAGTTTGTTACCTTTCATGGTAAAAGGAGAATTAAGGTTGCAGTTGGAATTTGGGTTGCTAATCAGCTGGCCTTAAAATAAGAAGATTAGCCTGATAATCCTGATGGGCCCAATGCAATCCCAGGAGTCCTTACAAGTGGAAGAGGGATGCAGAGAGGAGTCAGAGTCAGAAGGAGATGTGACTATAGAAGAGAAAACCAGAGAGATTGCAGAATGAGGACTCAGTCCAATGTTGCTGGCTTTCAAGAGGTCACGAGCCAAGGGAAGAGGGTGTCCTCTAGAAGCTGGAGAAAGCAAGAAAATAGGTTCTTCCCTATAGCCTCCAGAAATAAACACAGCCATGCCAATACACAATGAGACCTGTGTCAGAATTCTGATATAAAGAACTATAAAATAATAACCTTGTGTTGTTTTAAGTCACTGAATTTGTGGTAGTTTGTCCCAGCAGCCATAAAAACCCACAGCTGTTTTGAGCCAAAAGCTTTGACTAGATTTTCTATCAACATGTCCTGCTTCTCTTTAGAACAGAGGTTCTCAAACATTAGTGTTCAAAAGAATCATCCAAAGAACTAGTTTAAAATGAAGATCCTGCTCTACACTCGAAAAGATTATGATTCAATGAGTTAGAGGTTGTGCCCAAGAATCTACATATTAAATAAGCACCCCAGGTAATGTTGGTGAAGGTAGTCCCTCTATCAGGAGAAATGCTGCTGTAATGAGAGTTAATTAACATTTATAAGACTAGCATTATTTATATCCCTTATATTAATTTAGTGATGAAAATATTGCAACCTTTCTGAGCACGCTAAACATTTTTGCTCAAGGCACTTCCCTTTCCTTAGTGCTGATTTAATTTTATTCATTATACAAGGCATCCAAATTATTTCATTGTGAATCCTGTCTGTCTGTCTCTAGACATTAAATATTATCATAACATCTTCCTACTTAAATGTCACAAAGACAGCTTTTTCTTTGTAATACAAGGTTTAATGAAGGGTAAAATACCACTTTCGAAATACATGATGCTTCTAAGGCTACTAAGCGCAGTAAACCCAGGATGGAATTCTAGTACAGATCTAAAAGGTATTTAGTAAGGTAAAACATAGGTAAAGCACCATTGTGACTATCTCCCATTAGTGCTGCCTCTATGGAAAAGAGTAGCATAATAGGATTACAATATAACTTGGGTACTGTAATATGTTTATAAAACTCCATTTAGCAGACTTTAGCATGAAGAGTGTCTCCTAACATAATCAGTCTGAACATTTGCCATTTTCAACACTACATATTGACTGATTGCCTATTCTGCCTCTTCCTCAGTTGTTATGGAGCCATTTAACAGAGAAAAATAGCATTAGCCTGTAAGACAAATTATTCCTTGAAAAGGTCAAAGTAACACAATTTTTGTCCTACTTCAAAAGGAGATGGAAATTCTAAATTGCGTAGCCCTCAATCCCATCCCTACAAAGCACAAATGGTCTTCTAAAATGTTAGTCTTTGATGCTTATCAAAGACCATTAAAACACATCAGGTTATATTTATTCATTCAAATTCTTTCACTATATAAATTATTCCTCAGGGCTTTCAGAGATGCAGTAACTCTTTGAGACCCCCATTGATGAGTGAGTACATCACAGCAGTCATTTGCCAATCAACCCCATGGCCTAAATGCGTTAATGCACTCCCCAGGGGACTGGCTAGCTTAATAGTCATCTATTCTTAAAGGCCTTAAAAAATGTATATCATTATAGTGACACTATCTTTTCAATATACAACTTTGGCCTATAGTACTATTATATTTAACATATTCTAATTCTCAGAATGAAACTTATTAGAGCTAAGATTCACATGTTCTTATCAGCTTATGCTCTCACCACCATTAGTGTGAAAGAAACTATTCAACAATGAAACAATAAATAATTTAAAGCTTCTTAACAGCTAATATTTCATCCTAATGAAATATCCTAGGGAAATAAATGATTAGGATACAGTGATGCATTGCTTAGTGATGAGGATACACACATTCTAAGAAATGAGTCTTTAGGCAGTTTAGGTATTATGCAAAAATTATAGAGTATACTTATACAAATCTAGATGGCATAGACTACTACACACCTAGGCTATATGGTATAGCTTATTTCTGCTAGGCTGCCAACCTGTACAGCAGGTTACTGAACTGAATACTGTAAGCAACTGTAAAACAATGGTATATCTAAACATAGAAAAAGTACAGTAAAAATACAGTAGTATAATCTTATGGGACCACTCCCGAAATGTCATTATGCAGCCCATGACTGTAGTTTGATCATTCAAATAACATGAAGTTATAGGGCAAGTTTTAACATGGTCCTAAATCTTGTAGGACCTTGGAAATCTGCTACAGGGTGAAGGTCCCTGGGGTAACACAGAGAAAATTAAAGTTACAGGGGACATTTGGGTTGGAGACAAGCAGAGGCGATATGATCAGACTCTCCCCCAAGCCTTTATATAAAAACATGGTCTTGTTTATTCAGACAATGGCACATATATTGGTTAACTGACTTCTACTTACAGATTGCAAAATATCCACATTAAAGCAAAAGTTGAAAAAGAAAGGAAAATTTAAGTAAAGTACTTATTACCACTTAATGTAATTCCCATCTCCTAAAATGTTGGCTTATTTTTCTCCTACCTACAGCTTGTCTCAAGCCTTTTAAAGTTCTCTGGTCCCATGTCACCATTTTTTCTCAGCTACTATTTTGAGTACAGATATTAGTTTTACATTTATATATGTAAACTCCCACATTGTTTCTAAAAGGAGGTAAAGCAGGACAGGTATTAATTACCTATTTTAAATTCTTTTCAGTTACCTTTAGCAAAAAGGACCTGAAGAGACTAGTATTTTCTAAACCCACACAGTCTTTTTTTTCTTCTCTTTAGGGCACCAAACTTCCAAGACTTGCCTTTTGCTTATTTATCAAGCAGCTCTGAAACACCTTTTAAAGGGTCAAGCAAGACCTTCCTTCTTCCACTTTTGTCTTCCCCTCTCCCAACCTTCATTGTGTTTCTAATGTACTCATTCAAGTCTGTTTGCTTTTGATATAATCTGGCTCTTTTAAGGTTCTATCCACAAATAATTTCAAACAATATGCCTAAAAATGCTTAAAAACTAGTTATTTCCATAATTTTCACATAACCCTTTGTTTTTACTTTTTTCTATAGGCATTCTCTGAATATTGAACCTGTTTGTGTACATTTCCTCTATGGCCAAAGCTGTTCCCACAAAACAAACTGGAAAGCATAAAATGAAATGTATTAGAGTTAATCATAAGAATGATCAAATATACCTTATCAACCTTATGGTTAAATTGTTTGCATCATTTAGACATCATGTTAGTGTTAAGAGAGTCTAGATTACTAACAGCATACATTTGCATGCTATTTTATAAACCATAAGCCATTTTACACATTGGGTCTGCATATTTCTTTTCTTTTCTTTTCTTTTTTTTGTTTTTTTATTTATTTTATTTTTTTTTTTTTATTTTTTTTTTTTTTTTTTGAGACAGGGTCTCACTGTGTTCCCCAGGCTTTGGAGTGCAGTGGCACCATCTCTGCTCACTGCAACCTCCACCTCTCGGGTTCAAGTGATTCTCGTGCCTCAGCCTCCTTCCCGAGTAGCTGGGATTACAGGCATGAGCCACCACACCTGGCTTTTCTGCTATTTCTGGTTCTAGATCCTTGAGGAATCGTCACACTGTCTTACACAATGGTTGAACTAATTTACACTCCCACCAACAGTGTAAAAGTGTTCCTATTTCTCCACGTCCTCTCCAGCATCTGTTGTTTCCTGACTTTTTAATGATCGCCATTTTAACTGGCATGAGATGGTATCTCATTGTGGTTTTGATTTGCATTTCTCTAATGACCAGTGATGATAAGCTTTTTTTCATATGTTTGTTGGCCACATAAATGTCTTCTTTTGAGAAGCGTCTGTTCATATCCTTCACCCACTTTTTGATGGGGTTGTTTTTTTCTTGTAAATTTGTTTAAGTTCCTTATGGATTCTGGATATTAGCCCTTTGTCAGATGGAGAGATTCTGTAGGTTGCCTGTTCACTCTAATGATAGTTTATTTTGCTGTGAAGAAACTCTTTAGTTTGATTAGATCCCATTTGTCAATTTTGACTTTTGTTGCCATTGCTTTTGGTGTTTTAGTCATGAAGTCTTTGCCCATGCCTATGTCCTAAATGGTATTGCCTAGGTTTTCTTCCAGGGTTTTTATGGTTTTAGGCCTTACATTTAAGTCTTTAATCTATCTCGAGTTAATTTTTGTATAAGGTGTAAGTAAGGTGTCCAGTTTCAGTTTTCTTCATATGGCTAGCCAGTTTTCCCAACACCATTTATTAAATAGGGAATCTTTTTCCTGTTGCTTGCTTTTGTCAGGTTTGTTGAAGATCAGATGGTTGAAAAAGGATGAGTTCATGTCCTTTGCAGGGACACGGATGAAGCTGGAATCCATCATTCTCAGCAAACTAACACAGAAACAGAAAACCAAGCACCACATGTTCTCACTCATAAGTAGTAGTGGAACAATGAGAACACATGGACACAGGGAGGGGAACATCACACACTGGGGCCTGTTGGTGGGTGGAAGGCTAGGGGAGGGATAGCATTAGGAGAAATACCTAATGTAGATAACAGGTTGATGGTTGCAGCAAACCACCATGGCACGTATATACCTATGTAACAAACCTGCACATTCTGCACATGTATCCCAGAACTTAAAGTATAATAATAAAAAAAATGTGGTACATATACAGCATGGAATACTATGCAGCCTTAAAAAAGGATGAGATCATGTCCTTACAGCACCATGGATGGAGCTGGAGGCCATTATCCTTAGCAAACTAATGCAGAAAGAGAAAATCAAAGGCTGCATGTTCTCACTTATAAGTGGGAGCTAAATGATGAGAACACATGGACACATAGAAGAAAGTGACACACACTGGGACCTATTGGAAGATGGAGGGTGGGAGGAGGGAGGAGATCAGGAAAAATAACTAATGGGTACTAGGCTTAATACCTGAGTGATGAAATCTGTGCAATAAACCCTCATGACAGAAGTTTACCTATATAACAAATCTGCACATGTACCCCTGAACTTAAAATGAAAGTTAAATTTAAAAAGGAAAAAAAAGGAAAAATAATGAAAATGAATGAACAAAACCTCTGAGAAATATAGGATTGTATAAAGAAGCCAAATCAATGAATGATTGGCATCCCTGAAAGAGATGGAGAGAAATCAAATAACTTGGAAAACCTAACTCAGGGTATCATCCATGAAACCTTCCCCAACCTAGATAGAGAGTCCAACAGTCAAATTCAGGAAACACAAAGAACCCCTGAAAGATCCTACACAAGAAAATCATCCCCAAGACATATAATCATCAGATTTTCCAAGGTTGAAGTGAAAGAATTTATTTCTTTTATTTCACAAGGGCAGCTAGAGAGAAAGGGCAGGTCACCAACAAAGGTAACACCATCAATGGACCTCTCAGCACAAATCCTATAAACCAGAAGAAATTGCAGACCTATATTCAGCATTCTTGAAGAAAAATATCTTCAACCAAGAATTTCATATCCAGCTAAATGTAGCTCCCTTGGCAAAGGAGAAATAAGATCCTTTTCAAACAAGCAAATACTGAAGGAGTTCATGACAACCAGACCTGCCTTACAAGAGATTTTGAAAGGAACGTTATGAAAGGAGCAATATGGAAACAAACGATATGGAAAGGAAAGGAAAAACCAGCCAATTTTACATTAGCAGCCAATGCAAAAACACACTTAAGTACACAGACCAGTGACACTATAAAGCAACCACACAAACAAGCTGGCCTAATAACGAGCTAAGAACACAATGACAGGATGAAATCCACACATACCAATAGCAAGCTGGAATGTAAATGGGCTGAATGCCCCATTAAAAAGGCACAGAGTGGCAAGCTGGATTTAAAAAAAAGCAAGACTCAGTTATATGCTGCCTTCAAAAGACCCATCTTACAGGCAATGACACACATAGGCTCAAAATAAAGAGATAGAGGAAAATCTACCAAGCAAATAGAAATTTTTAAAAAAGCAGGGGTTGCAATCCTAATTTCAGACAAAATAGATTTCAAACCAACAAATATCAAAAAGACAAAGGAGAGCATTACATAATGGTAAAGGGTTCAATTCAACAAGAAGACCTAACTATCCTATATATATATGCACCCAACATAGGAGCACCCAGATTCATAAAGCAAGTTATTAGAGACCTTCAAAGAGACTTATACTCCCACACAATAATAGAGAGAGACTTTAGCACCCCACAGACAATATTATATCATCAAGGCAGAAAATTAACAAAGATGTTCAGGACCTGGATGCAGCACCAGATCAAATGGACCTGATAGACAACTACAGAATTCTCCACTCACAAACAACAGAATATACATTCTTCTCATCACCACATGTCAATTGCAACAAAAACAAAAATTGACAAGTGGAACCTAATTTAACTAAACAGCAAAAGAAACTATCAACAGAGTAAACAGACAGCCTACAGAATGGGAGAAAATATTTGCCAACTATACATCTGACAAAGGTCTAATATTCAGCAACTATAAGGAACTTAAACAAATTTACATGAAAAAACAAACAACCCCATTAAAAAGTGGGCAAAGGACATGAACAGACACTTTTCAAAAGGAAACATACAAGCAGCCAACAAGCATATGAAGAAAAACTTAATATTATTGATCATTACAAAAATGCAAATCAAAAACACAGTGAGATACCATCTCACACCAGTCAAAATGGCCATTATTAAAATGTCAAACAGGCTGAGTGCAGTGGTTCACGCCTGTAATCCCAGCACTTTGGGAGACTGAGTCAGGTGGATCAACTGAGGTCAGGAGTTCGAGACCAGCCTGGCCAACATGGTGAAACCCTGTCTTTACTAAAAATACAAAAATTAGCCTGGCATGGTGTCTCATGCCTGTAGTCCCAGCAACTCGGGAGGCTGAGGCACGAGAATCATTTGAACCCAGGAGGCAGAGGTTGCAGCAAGCCGAGATCACGCCACTGTATTCCAGCCTGGGCAATGAAGTGATACTCGGTCTCAAAAAAAAAAAAAAAAAAAAAAAAAGTCAAATAATAACATATGCTGGCAAGGTTGCAGAGGAAAGGGAATGCTTATACATGGTTGGTGGGAGTGTAAATTAGTTCAACCTTTCTCGAAAACAATATGGTGATTCCTAAAAGAGCTAAAACCAGAACTACCATTTGACCCAGATATTCCATTACTGGGTATATACCCAAAGGAATATAAATTGTTCCACCATAAAGACACATGAACACACATGTTCATTGCAGCACTACTCACAATAGCAAAGACAGAATCAACCTAAATGCCCATCAATGGTAGACTGCAGAATACTTATTCTTCTCAGCTGCACATGGAAAGTTCTCCAGAATAGATCGCATATTAGGCCACAAACCAAGTCATAACAAATTTAAGAAGATAGAGATTGTATCAATTATCTTTTCTGACCACAATGGTATAAAACTAGATATTAATAAAATGAAGAATTTTGGAAACTTTACAAATACACAGAAATTAAACAACAGGCTTATAAATAATAAATAGGACAATTAAGAAATTAAATGGCAATTTTTAAAAATTTATTGAGCCAAATAAAAGTTGAAACACAGCATAACAAAACCTATGGGATACAGAAAAAGCAGTTATAAGAAGGAAGTTTATAGCAATAAATGCCTACAGCAAAAAAGAAAAAAAAAATCTCAAATAACCTAATATTGCACCTCAAGGAATTAGAAAAACAAGAACAATCTAAATCCAAAATTAGTATAAGAAGGAAATAATAAAGATCAGAACATTGAAAAAGAAATAGAGACTAGAAAAATAACAAAAGATCAACAAAACAAACAGTTAGCTTTTGAAAACATAAAGAAAATTGACAAACCTTTACCTGGACTAAAAAAAAGAAAATATTCAAATAAATAAAATCAGAGATGAAAAAGGAGATATTACAACTGATATCACAGAAACACAAAGAATCATGAGAGACAATTATGAACAATGATATGCCAAAGAAGTGGATAACCTACAAGAATTTAAAAAGCTATCACACACATACAAACTACCAAGATTGAGTTAAGGATAAATAAAAAATCTGAACAGACCAATAATGAGTGAGAAAATTGAATCAGTAATAAAAATTCTCCCACCAATTAAAAAAAGGCCTACAATCTGATGGCCTCACTGATTAATTTTACCAAACATTTAAAGAAGAGCTAATACCAATTCTTCTCAAACTACACCAGACAATTAAAGAAGAGGAAATACTTCCAAACTCATTTTGAGGCCAGCATGACTCTGATATCAAAATCAAAAACACAACAAAAAAGAAATCTATAGGCCAAGATCACTGATGGACATAGATGCAAAAGTCCTGAACAAAATATAGTATCAAACCAAATTCAACAACACATTAAAAGTATTATTCACTATGATCAAGTAGGATTTATCCTAGGGATGCAAGAATGTTTTAAAATACACAAATCAATAAATGTGACATAACACATTAACAGAAAGAGGGACGAAAACTATATGAACATTTCAATAGGTTCAGAAAAAGCTTCTGATGAAATGCAACATCCCTTTATAATAAAAACTCTCAACAAATTAAGTATAAAAGGTACATACCTCAATATAATAGAGGCCATATATGGCAAACCCACAGCAAACATTATTCTAAATGGGAAAAATTTAAAGCTTTTCCTCTAAGATCTGGAATATGACAAGAATATTCACTTCCACCACTTCTATTCAACCTCGTACTAGAAGTCCTAGCCAGAGCAATTAGGCAGAGAAAAAATAAAGGGCATTTGAAATAGAAAAGAGAAAGTTAAATTGTCTCTGTTTGCAGATAACAAAATCTTATATATAGAAAGCTCTAAAGGCTTCATAAAAAACTATTTGAACTAATAAACAAATTAAAGTAACAAGATACAAAATCAACATACAAAAACTGATAGTGTTTCAAGATCCTTCAATAGCTCAGTTGGTAGAGCAGAGGACTGTAGAAGATTTCATCACAAAAACATCAAAGGCAATTGCAACAAAAGCAAAAATTGACAAATGAGATGTTACTAAAACTAAAAAGCTTCTGCACAGCAAAAGAAACTATTATCAGAGTGAACAGACAACCTACAGAATGGGAGAAAGCTTTTGCAATCTATCCATCTGACAAAAGTCTAATATCCAGAATCTACAAGGAACTTAAGCAAATTTACAAGAAAAAAACATTAAAAAGTGGACAAAGGACATGAACAGACACTTCTCAAAAGAAGACATTTATGTGGCCAACAAACATATGAAACAAAGCTCAACATCACTGATCATTAGAGAAATGCAAATTAAATCCACAATGAGATACCACCTCATGCCATTCAGAATGGTAATTATTAAAAAGTCAAGAAACAACAGATGCTGGTGAGGCTGTGGAGAAACAGGAACACTTTTACACTGTTGATGGGAATGTAAATTAATTCAATCATTGTGGAAGACAGTGTGGTGATTCTTCAAAGACCTAGAACCAGAAATACCATTTGACCCAGCAATCTCATTACTGGGTATATACCTAAAGGTATAGAAATCATTCTATTACAAAGATACATGCATGCATATGTCCATTGCAGCACTATTCACAATAGCAAAGATATGGAATCAACACAAATGTCCATCAATGATAGAAGGGATAAAGAAAATGTGGTACATATACACCATAGAATACTATGCAGCCATAAAAAGGAATGGGATCATGTCCTTTGCCGGGACATGGATGGAGCTGGAAACAATTATCCTCAGCAAAGTAACACAGGGAAAACAAAGAAACAAACACCGCACATTCTCACTTACAAGTGGGAGCTGAACAATGAGAACACATGAACACAGGAAGGGGAACAACACACACTGGGGCCTGTTGGGGGGCTGGGGGAGGGAGAGCATCAGTATAAATAGCTAATGCATGTGAGGCTTAATACCTAGTGATAGGTTGATAGGTGCAGCAAACTGCCATGGAACACATTTACCTATGTAACAAACCTGCATGTCCTGCACATGTATCCCAGAACTTAAAATAAAATAAGATTAAAAATAAACAAATAGAAAAAGAAAAAAGTTCTTGTATGTATTCTGATAGGTAGTAGGGGTTTTTGTTTTCTAGCTATGTCATCAATTTCTAGTTTAAATGTGTTGTGGTGGATTGTATTTTGTGTTCTGTTGTTAGATTTTGGAACTTAAAATATTTTTACGCCTAACATTTGTTCAATTTTTGAGAATAGACAAGGATGTGTGAAAAGAAGGAATATTATCTATTTTCAGGTATGTTGTTTGATGTATATTAGTTACATTTACTTCATTATGTTTTTAATGTCTTTTATAGCCTTAATTATTTTTGGTGATCTATCATGAAAGCAAAGTGTTGAAATGAATAAAATCTCCAGTTTCTAATGTGAAAAAAAGTAGTGTTTCTACACATTAATAGTGAACTATATGAAAAAGAAATCAAGAAAACAATCCCATTTATAATAGTTATCAAAAAGTAAGATACCTAGGAATAAATCTAACCAAACTGGTGAAAAATATCTAAATTGAAAACTGTGAAACATTGATGGAAGAAACTGATGAGTACACAAATAAATAGAAATATATCCCCTGTTCATGGGTTGAAAAAATTAATTTTGTCAAAATGAACATACTACTCAAAGAGATCTACAGATTTAATGCAATCCCTATCAAAATACCAAAGACATTCTTCACAGAAATATAAAATATAATCCTAAAATTTGTATAGAACCACAAAAGATACCAAATAGCCATAGCAATCTTGAGCTAAAACAAACCAAATTAAACAAGCAAACAAAAAACAAAGCCGGAGGCATCACACTACCTGACTTCAAAATATGCTGCAAATCTATAGCAACCCAAACAGCATGGTATTGGCATAAAAATAGACACATAGAACAATGAAACAGAATAGGGAATACAGAAATAAATCAATGTATCTATAGCCAACTAATTTTTTGACAATGGTACCAGGAACAAAAATTGGGAAATGACAATCTCTTCAATAAATATTGTTGGGAAAACTGGATATCCATATGCACAATAATGAAACTGGACCCCTATCATTCACCATATTTGAAAATCAACTCAAAATGGATTGACTTAAAAGTAAGACCCAAAACTGTGAAAGTACTAGAAGAAAACATAGGGGAAATGCTTCATGACATTGGACTAGGCAATAATTTTTTAGATAAAGTCTCAAAAGCACAGGAAACAAAAACAATAATAGACAAATGGGATTACATCAAACCAAAATGCTTCTGCACAGCATTTTCTGCACAGCAAAATGCTTCTGCACTCAACAGAGTGAAGAGACAGCCTACAAAATGGGAGAAAATATTTCCATGCTATACATCAGACAAGGAGTCAGTATCCAGAATATATAAGGAACTCAACTTAAAAGCAAAAAGCAAACAATCTGATTAAAAATAGCAATAAAAAGCACTTGATAGGCATTTTTCAAAAAAATGTAGAAAAGGAAAACAGTATATTGAAAAACATTCAACATCACTATCATCAGGGAAATACAAACCAAACCACAATGAAATATTACCTCACTCCAATTAGAATGGATATTATCAAAAAGACAAAATATAACAAGTGTTGGCAAGGATGTTGAGAATAGGAATATTTTACACACTGTTGGTGAAAATGTAAATTAGTACAGCCATTATGAGAAACATTATGGAGGTTCCTCAAAAAACTCAAAATAGAACTGCCATATGATTCAGCAATCCTACTTCTGGATGTATATCCAAAGGATGTTAAATCAGTATGTCAAAGAGATATCTGCATTCCCATGTTTACTGAAGCACCATTCACATTAGCCAAAATATGGAATCAACCTAAGGCAGACACAGAAAGATGAATACCATATGATCTCACTCATATGCACATTTTTAATAAATTGATCTCATGGAAGTAGTGAATCGGACAGTGGTTACCAGAGACTGGAAAGAAGGAGGTGGTTGGTCAATGGGTATAAAGTTACAATTAGAAAATGGGATAACTATAACAGGTGTATTGCATGTGTAATCAGAATTCCAGAAGGAGAATAAAGAAACCAAATAAATATTTGAAACCATGAAGACTCAGAATTTCTCCCAAATTAATGTCAGACACCAAACCACAGATCTAGAAAGCCCAGAGGACATCAATCAGAATAAATGCCCCCAAATCTATACCTAAGCATAACAGTTTCAAACTATAGAAAACTAAAGATAAAGAAAAAAATCCAAGAAAAAGCCAGAGGGTAAAAAATACCTATAGAGGAACAAAGCTAAAAATTAGATCTGACTTCTCAGAAATCACTCAAGCAAGAAGAGAATGAAGTGAAATATTTAAATTCTTGAGAGAAAAAAATACCTACAAACCTAGAATTCTGTACGCTATGAAATTATCCTTCAAAAATGAAGAAGAAATATACTTTCTCAGACAAACAGCAAATGAGAGAATGTGTTACTGATTGATCTGCCTTGAAATAAATGTTAAAAGTTCTTTAGAGAAAACGAAAATATAGGGCGGAAACTCAGATCTTCATAAGGAGAAAGAAAGAGCATCGAAGAATAAATAAATAAAGTTTAAAATGTTTTGTGATTAGCAAGGTGACATGTACCTGTAATCCCGGCTACTCAGTGGGAGATAGGAGGATCACTTAAACCCAGAAGTTTGAGGCCAGCCTGGGAAATACAGTGACACCCTTTCTCTAAAAAATAAAATTAATATAATAAGAGCTATTTATGACAAACCCACAGCCAATGTCATACTGAATGGGCAAAAACTGGAAGCATTCCCTTTGAAAACTGGCACAAGACAGGGATGCCCTCTCTCACCACTCCTATTCAACATAGTGTTGGAAGTTCTGGCCAGGGCAATCAGGCAGGAGAAAGAAATAAAGGGTATTCAATTAGGAAAAGAGGAAGTCAAATTGTCCCTGTTTGCAGATGACATGATTGTATATTCAGAAAACTCCATTGTCTCAGCCCAAAATCTCCTTAAGCTGATAAGCAACTTCAGCAAAGTCTCAGGATATAAAATCAATGTGCAAAAATCACAAGGATTCTTATACACCAATAACAGACAAACAGAGAACAAAATCATGAGTGAACTCCCATTCAAAATTGCTTCAAAGAGAATAAAATACCTAGGAATCCAACTTACAAGGGATGTGAAGGACCTCTTCAAGGAGAACTACAAACCACTGCTCATCGAAATAAAAGAGGACACAAACAAATGGAAGAACATTCCATGCTCATGGATAGGAAAAATCAATATCGTGAAAATACTGCCCAAGTTAATTTATAGATTCAATGCCATCCCCATCAAGCTACCAATGAATTTCTTCACAGAATTGGAAAAAACTACTTTAAAGTTCATATGGAACCAAAAAAGAGCCTGCATTGCCAAGACAATCCTAAGCAAAAAGAAAAAAGCTGGAGGCATCACGCTACCTGACTTCAAACTATACTACAAGGCTACAGTAATCAAAACAGCATGGTACTGGTACCAAAACAGAGATATAGACCAATGGAACAGAACAGAGCCCTCAGAAATAATACCATACATCTACAACCATCTGATCTTTGAAAAACCTGATAAAAACAAGAAATGGGGAAAGGATTTCCTATTTAATAAATGGTGCTGGGAAAACTGGCTAGCCATATGTTGAAAGCTGAAACTGGATCCCTTCCTTACACCTTATACAAAAATTAATTCAAGATGGATTAAATACTTAAATATTAGACCTAAAACCATAAAAACCCTAGAAGAAAACCTAGGCAATACCATTCAGGACCTAGGCATGGGCAAGGACTTCATGACTAAAACACCAAAAGCAATGGCAACAAAAGCCAAAATTGACAAATGGGATCTAATTAAACTAAAGAGCTTCTGCACAGCAAAAGAAACTACCATCACAGTGAACAGGCAACCTACAGAATGGGAGAAGATTTTTGTAATCTACCCATCTGACAAAGGGCTAATATCCAGAATCTACAAAGAACTTAAACAAATTTACAAGAAAAAATCAAAGAACCCCATCAAAAAGTGGGCGAAGGATATGAACAGACGCTTCTCAAAAGAAGACATTTATGCAGCCAAAAGACACATGAAAAAATGCTCATCATCACTGGTCATCAGAGAAATGCAAATCAAAACCGCAGTGAGTGTGTCACCATTAAAAATTCACTCCTTTGGGTTAATGAGCTACTCACTTAAACAGAGTCATTCCTAGCCAAAGTTGTAAAATACTTAATTTTCCTTTAGCACTTGTATTTAGACTTCCCATTTGATACCCTTCTTTTCTTAAATTGGTATTTTGTTAGAGAGAAAGAGAGAGAGATCAGAGAATGCTTCGGAGAACATAGAACTAAAAAAAACTCACACCAGTTAGAATGGTGATCATTAAAAAGTCAGGAAACAACAGGTGCTGGAGGTGATGTGGAGAAATAGGAACACTTTTACACTGTTGGTGGGACTGTAAACTAGTTCAACCATTGTGGCAGACAGTGTGGCGATTCCTCAAGGATGTAGAACTAGAAATACCATTTGACCCAGCCATCCCATTACTGGGTATATACCCAAAGGATTATAACTCATGCTGCTATAAAGACACATGCACACGTATGTTCATCATGGCACTATTCACAATAGCAAAGACTTGGAACCAACCCAAATGTCCATCAATGATAGACTGGATAAAGACAATGTGGCACATATACATCATGGAATACTATGCAGCCATAAAAAAGGATGAGTTCATGTCCTTTGTAGGAATATGGATGAAGCTGGAAACCATCATTCTGAGCAAACTATCGCAAGGACAGAAAACCAAACACCGCATGTTCTCACTCATAGGTGGGAATTGAACAATGAGAACACATGGACACAGGGTAGGGAACATCACACACTGGGGCCTGTTGTGGGGTGGGGGAAGGGAGGAGGGATAGCATTAGGAGATTACCTAATGTAAATGACGAGTTAATGGGTGCAGCAAACCAACATGGCACATGTACACATACGTAACAAACCTGCACGTTGTGAACATGTACCCTAGAACTTAAAGTATAATTAAAAAATTTTTTTAATTAAAAAAATGAAAACTATATTTTTCTTATTTTAAAATGATCTAACATAAGTTTGATCAAAGTAGTATTAGTAATAATGTATTTTATTTTATATGCTTATGCATATATGTTATATTTACCTATATATAGGTGAAATGAGTCACAGCAATGATATGAGGAACAGAAGGGAAGAATTAGAATTATTCTGTCATTATAAGATATGCTGCCCATGAAGTGGTATACTGTCACTTGAAAGTGGACTTGGATTAGTTGTAAATGTAAATTGCAAACTCTATGGCAATACTTAAAAGAAGTTAAAAAAAAACAAGTATAACTGATATGCTAAGAAAGGAGAGAAAATGAAAGCATATAAAATGCTCAATTAGAACCACAAAAGACAGGAAAACAGTGGAAAATAAAACTAGGAACAAAAAATGAGGATACCAAATAGAAAACAGTAACAAATATGGTAGCTATCAATCTAACTGTATCAGTAATGATTTTGAATCTCTTTGGCCTTAATGCTCCAATTTAAAGACAGATATTGTGAAAGTGGATCAAAAAACAGAGAACCATCAAGTCAACTTATCAAAGTTAATGAGAAGCAAGATTTTGGCTTTTCCTTTTTCAAACTACTGTGGTCTGAGGGCATTATGGTTACATATTATGCCATTCTCAAGGCAAAACTCATATATATTTTGATTAGAGGTCAAGGTCTGTATTACTACGTAATATGGATACATTATCCCTATTTATTCAGAACAATTACATAGCAACATCAGAGGCAATGTGGTATAAAGCAAGAATACAGGCTTTGGAGCAGACACAGGTACTAACCCCAGATCCACAACTTACTAGATGCATGGCATGGGACAAGTTACTTAAACTTTATAAGCCTCAGTTTCCTCATCTGTAAGTGGAGCTAATACTACTTTCCTGACTAGGTTGAAGTGAAAATAGAGACAATAATTTTATATTTGATACTAAAATCATCTATTAGAATGCCTGGCACATAAAAGACATTTAGTCAATGAAATTATTAATAAAAAAATCTTCCTGCTGAGTGTGTCACCATTAAAAATTCACTCCTTTGGGTTAATGAGCTACTCACTTAAACAGAGTCATTCCTAGCCAAAGTTGTAAAATACTTAATTTCCCTTTAGCACTTATATTTAGACTTCCCATTTGATGCCCTTTTTTCTTAAATTGGTATTTTGTTAGAGAGAAAGAGAGAGAGAGAAATCAGAGAATGCTTGGGAGAAAATAGAACTAATAAAAACTCCCATTTCTTGTCGAGATTTGTGACTTTGGAAGTTGGGTGATGAATGTGACAATGTAAGAACATATTTTTTCAGAAAATGAAGCTGGACCAGGCGGACAATATAAATTTTCCTGATGTTATGATAGAGTTAGTGCACTATCATTTAAGTACTACTCTTCAAATATGACTAAAAATATATCTGTATATGTCTTCTCCCCAATTTCATGTATTTCCAATTACCTTAATTATTCATTACTTTCTCAAACATTACAACATAAAAATGAGGAATGGCTTTTTGTTAAGAATATTTTCAAGTCAGTACATAATAAAATGGAACAGCTGCAGCCATGAATTTTATAAACGCTTTGTTGAAAATAACATTAAATGGCAATATTAGTTCGCAGATAAACTGCAGTATTTTATTCTATGTCAAAAATTTGTCATTCTTATTTATAATGAGGAACATATGAAATAACTTACCTTGATTTTTATTGGATGGACGCCATCATCATCTTCATTGTCATTGTTGTCATCATCATCATCCCAATATTGATGGCCTAGAGTAAACAGGAACTTGAGGACACTGTTTAAGCAGCTGTGGACATAAAGACAAAGTGCCTATGTTCAAATAACTTAAAATCAAGTTAGGAGACAGGTTGTACAAACAAACAGGAAAGCACTATATCAGGATTAGAGCTGGTTGCCAAGTACTCTTGGTCATCAGGCACTACTTGGTTTCTGGACTTTGCATTCCTTCTCTACACAAAGTAGACACCCCGACATACCCACTTTATTTCTGACCTTAGTATATATAAATTTAAGAATTTTCAGGCCAAATTTTGCAAAAATTATGACCAAGAAGCTAAATGAGACCCAAGACTATATTTGTCACACTGCACACGTTTAACTTACTCTTTGAATTAGTTCCCATTTTAAAGCTCATTTGTTTTATTTTATAATTGAGATTTCCAACTTTTCTTGGCAATATCAAAAGATCTTGCAACACTAGGTCTATTTTCCACATTGCAATTACTTGTTGCTAAATAATGCACACCCTCTCTAGATAAGACATAGGAACCCCATTTTTTTCATAGGCCTCACCAATCCTTTTTGATCCTTAAACTGGTCTTGCTTCACGCTCTTTACCTCTCAGTCTCTACAGGCATTTGCGTTTATGGCCCATAGCCTAGCCACTCTTTTAGACTCAGCATGAAATATCACACTGGTTTAGTTCTGACATAAATTTCTTCCTTGTGCCTCTTGCTGCATTTCTTTTCTCAGTAATCCTTCTAGCACTGGCAAGTCCTGACTTTTGTCTTCCTGCTACTACCTCCATCCCAACAATATTTCTGTTTGACAATTATACCCCAAAGTGTTGACTCAGATCCTATTTACAATTACTTAATGACTATACCTTTATCAATTACCACTGGACTACTGCAATCAACAGTGATAAGAAGTTATAGCTGGCTGATTCATTAAATGAAAAGAACTATTTCACTGTATGCAAGTATAATCTGATACAGCAAGTTCATAAGCCTCTGAACCAAGAAAAGATTTTAGCAAAACCACGCCTCCCTTCAAAATACATAAGAGTAGGCAGCGATGGAAACCCCACTGAGGTCACTGATTTGGGCAAGGACCATTAAGGAAAACAAAAAGTTTGGGATGATAGGTAGATAGGGAAATCAATATTCACATAGTGCCACAGTATCACCTCCCTGGATGACTACCTGAAAAGAGAGGAAAGGTTAACTTTTCAATAGAGCAAGCCGACAATCATCATCTTAACCAAGTTATCATTCACTGGGTTCAGAGTCAATCACATATTATGTGTTTCTTAACATGATGCAATATGCAACACACAGCCTCACCTAGGAAGTAGTCCCATGAAAAATGTTTAACCTGAATCCAATACGCATTAGCCCTAATTTTCAGTTTTCAGAAATATAAGTTAACATAAAAGGAGCAGCTTCAAAGAAACCAAAAAAAAAAAAATCAGGAAAATCCAAAAGGTGATTTATGTTAAAGGGCAATATTCTTGATTTCATCAATAGTCAAAATCATTGAAAGAATATAAAGAAAAGGACTGACTTCTAGATTAAAAGAAAGTTAATAGACATAACAACAATCAAATGTAATATATGGCTCCGGATAGAATCCTGGTTGGAAAGACAGCTCTACAGTATATTTTGGAGTAATTAGGAAACTTTGAATATAGACTGTGAATATGACTTTGAATATAGACTTTGAATATAGACTTATGAGAATTATTATATTGTTTAGAAGTAATGGTGGTATGGTAATTATGAGAATAGGAGAATGTCCTTATTTTTTTAAATGCATAAAAGTTCAGTGGTGTCATGTCATGATGTCTGAAACTTACTTTCAAATAGTTCAGCCAAAAACATACAGGCACACACACACACACACACACACACACACACACACACACACACATCCCTGGAGAAAGACAGATTGATTTGATTTTAATCAAAAGCATAGGAAGAAAATTCATCAATGAAGTTTCCAATATAAGCAAAAAATAGTTTGATCATTCACAAAAAGAGAAATGGTTGGCATAACATCAGAGTACAGAGGAAGCTTTGAATACAAATACAGGTGACTACTAGCTCAGACTGTTTCAACTTGTAGCTATCACCCTGGAACCAATTATTGATAGTTACTAAGCCAAGTCCTCCAGCGTTGTGGATCTCCCTTATCTTTACCTTTCTTCACTAATTCCTGCTCGTCAGCTATCAGGTTAACCATTCCTCCCCCAATTTTGCTTTAGTTCTCCTCTTATGTGTTCCCACAGTACTCTGTTCTTTTATTACAGTATTTTTTAAACTAAATAATTTATCTGTTTCTCCCTCTGGGTGGAGAGCTAATACAGAACATGGCTAGTATTCCCACTATTTCCCAAGCATCTAGTCCAGTGTGTGGCACAGCATAGGTATTCAATAAGCATGGCATATCTTGATATTTAAAATTGAATTTTTACTACTTCCTCTCCAGAAATTTGGACCCTAATTCTTAATCCTTCGTAGTAAGTCGGGCCCAGTTATCTTAAGATTCATTGTCTAACTGCCTACAAGTCTGTCTTAACATCGCCCTCCAGTGGAATCTCATTATGCTGCTCTGTTCATCATCCCTGTTACTTTATTTTCTAAAATGTCAAACTCAATGTCACTATTCTTTTTTGTTCTAGCAAAATGCTCAGATTTTCTGTGGAAATTTTTAAACACCTGAGATCAGAGTGAGTTGAATGGCATTTTAGTGACATCTTAGCCCTCAAAGTCCATTATCTGAATAGTATTTAAGCTTGATGTAAGAGTGATCCAACTGAGTTGTTTCTACTGAATGTGATTTAGACAATCATTTATCCTTATTGTAACTCTTCCCTAATTGTCAGGACTTTCCTCCTGTAAAATCCCAAAGAGGCTATCAAATGCAAATCTACTTTTAAATTTTAGTGTCTGTAACTATTTCTGGACCTCTCTTTGACACAAAGGGCAGGTCTACAAGGATTTAGTCCCTCTAATAGAAAGCAGAAGTCAGTGAGTCTAACATGAATCCAAGGCAGAATATATTTAATAATAAGGCTGCTTTTGTAAATATGAATAGTAAAGTACAGCTACAATTAGAAACCAGTTATCTTCAAATCTAACACTCATCAGGCAGCATTATAAAATAAAGCTATTTATTACTAGCTATTACTTACATTTTTGAAAGCACCATCATGTTTCATATGTGGAATAAATAAGGTCCCACAATAATCCACATATTTCATGAAACCTCTAGGAAACAATCTAGTACTCATTCTAAAAGCTAATAAAAGGCAATAACTAGTTTTATGAGGTTTAAAAATCACAAATATTTTGACCAGTTTTTTCTAGAACAGGCAAAATTAAGAAGTACAATACATCCTCAGACTTCACAAACAAAGTACATTATCTCCATTTGCCTCACTGCTCTCTTTGGCTAATTGTCAATGAGGCTTACTGCCAAATAATGCTGCAGTTGGCCAAGTTGTAGTGAGCACCCTCCAGCCTTTTTGATTACCTGCCTTTTCAGGCTTCAAATGCAGCACACAGCACAGATGATCAATGCTGTAATCTGCCAAACCTTTCTTTGTCCCTTCATCAACATACTCCAATGTCACATTCAAAGTCCTTGGAGGGTACTTGCATGACCACCCTATCTCCTTCCATTTTTCTTCATAGCAATCATCACTATATCTGTATTTCCTACTAGAATGTAAGCTCCATCGTGGCAGAGACTTAGTCTTATATCGGTCTTACCTTTTCCCACTGTATCTCTAGCACCTACAACTGTACCGTGTACATAGAAAGTGCTTAATAAATATTTGTTCACTGAGTAAATAATCATAAGAGCTAATATATCTTGAAAATATATGATTATATGCATTGATAAGTGCTTTACATGGTTTTTTACATAGTGATAATCACCAGGAATATCACTATGAAGGATGTGCTATAGTTATTCCCATTTTATAGTTGAGGAAACTTAAGATTGGAAAAAAATGCATTTTGCTCAGGAAGGTAATACTTGTGATTATTGCTAATACATCAGTCTTCTGTGAGGAACAATAATGATAGTAAGGGATACTTAAGAATGTAACATAACTTGGATGTCTATGGAAATTAATAATAGCTAACATTTACTGAAAACTTCCTACGAGCCAGACACTATTAAATACTTTACATCTCTTCAATCTCGCAAAAAAACCTATGTTGTAGACACTGTCATTATTCAGTTTTACAGATTATGAAACTGAGGCACAGAGCTGCTAAGCAACTTGCATAACATCTTACAGCTAGTAAGTAACAGATCTTCAGTTCAAACTTGGTTAGTCTGACAAATCTTGAGACAGATTTATGAAGACACCTGTGAATGGAGAGACTATAGTAGGGTAGAGAGACAGAGAAAGGAAACAAAATAATTTTAATAAATACTATAAAATGCTAGAGATGATCATATTTATTACCAAAATAAAATCTTGGGACTTGCACATATTTTATATAATCCTCAAAATGAGGAACTATGTCCTATTATCTTCAGTTTATGGATGACACAAAGAGAAGTTTCTAGCCCAAGATCACACAGTTTGAGAGTAATCTAATTTCAGGGTGTCTCCCATTTCCATTGTCCCTGTACTGCCTGAAGAACTCAAAGAAACTTTGTTTCTGCAAGATCCAGGGGAGTAATGATATTTGGCTCAGAGATAGAAAGAATCAGGGTGGAAATGAGAAGGGTACATTTTTTAAAAAATGAACCCACTTAGGGAAAGCCTAGACTGAGAAGAGCTGAACACAGGAATTGGGCAGACAAAAGAAGAAAAGATTAAGATTTATTTCCACAACAACAAAAAGGGGTTTTGTTTGGGATACAGTATAATATTAGTAGCATGATGTAGTCATTAAGAACATTGTTTAATTTCTAACTGGTTAGCTTACTAGCTTTATGAATTTGGGTAAATCACTTCAACTTTCAAAGCCTTAGTTTTCCAACCTGTAAAATAGATATTATAAGAATGTTTTCCTCAGAGTGTTATTGGGTGTATCATCTGGTATGTAGCATGTGCTCATTAAACACCAGCAGCTGTTATTAATGATAGTGGATAGACTTCTCTTCCTCTTCACTGCACATGCCAATACACATCCAGAAGAGAAGAGAGAAAGATCAAAATGGAACGGAACTCAAATTCTTGGTGATGAAACCCATAATAGAGATAGAGACATATACCAAGCAATGGGAATATTGACACCTGGGTCCACCTTGGACAATACAAAAGACATCTAGGAGAAAGTGATACCTGAACTAAGTCCTGAAAATAGGCATATGAGCTTCTTGTTGCTGCTATAACAGATTACTACAATCTTAGTGCCTCAAAATAATACCAATTTATTATCTTATAGTTATGGATTTCAGAAGTCTGAAATGGGTCTCACAGGGCTAAAATCAAGGTGTTGTTGTGGTTGCATTCCTTTTGGAAACTAAGAGAGAATTGTTCCTTGGCCTTTCCCAGCTTTTAATAGTGCCTGCATTCTTTGGCTCATGGTCCCTTCATCCATTTTTGAAATTTGCAGATGGCATCTTCAAATCTCTTCCCTCCCTTGTTGATAAAGACCTTTGTGATTGCATCAAACCCACCTGGAGAATATCCAGAAACCTCTTCAAATCTCAAGATCCTTAACATAAGCACATCTGAAAAGTATGACCACTCATATAATCCATTTATATGTGTATCAGAACCCACACGAGGTGGCTAAATGAAGGGAATTTAATATAGGAAACAAATTACAAAGGTATTAGAAGAATGGAAAGAGCAAATGAGGGAGAGGTGAGGCAAAATAGAGATTATTAACTGCAAGAAGTGGCTACCACTCACGGGGCTGAGGGACAAAGGCAGGAGGTAATACCAGAGCCTGGGAACAAGGATCCAGGGCTATTAGGCAGGAACTGGAACTTTGGAAGAACAACTCAGCTGAAGCTGGGACCCCAGAGCTTCTCAATAATAACTAGAGCTACAGAGAGAATACTCCCAACTGCCCAAGACATAAACAAGCAGAGCATGGGGATGGGGAGATAGAATATCACAGCTCCTGCACTTCCCTTGACTTCAAAATCTGACTAGTGTCTCCTATTGGTCAATTCTAGCCAGAAGACATTTAGCAAGGAAGCCCAGAAAAAAAAACGGTATCAAGGGTCAAATGCTTGCAGACCAAGGGAAGAATAAAGAATGAATCTAAAAGCAAAACTAATCTTTTTGCAGTTTCCCAAACACGTCATATCCTTTTCTTACTCCCTTCACTTGAATTGCATTCCCTTTGTCCTCTTATCTCTAATATTTTCTCCTCTGTGAAGCCTTCTCTGAGTATTCCAGGCTTCTGAACTCTAGTATCTCCTTGACCACACTGATCATTTGGTAATTCACATAATACTGAGCAGCAGCACTGTTAGTTTTCTTTGTTTGCCTGTGTGACATGACCACTTAACTACCTTGTAAGCTCTTTGTAGGACAGAGAAGACCTACACATCCACATCTACCATACAGTTCTGACATGGCAAGTTTTTGCTTGGTTGTCTGAGCCTAATTCTAACTGCAGTGTGGTATTTTCCAGCATCTTAAGATTTTCTATGACATTCAAGGGTAGTGTTAAAATATTTAGCAATCAGTATGCATGGCCATCAACCAATCAGCATATACACCTGCCTCAAAAGAACAGACCCTGGCTGTAAACAACTAGTATACCTGCACTGACTCACAACTGCTGAATATCTGGCTGGACTACATGGAAAGGAGAACAAGAACCTGCAACTGAGAGAAATGTGCACTATTTGCACTATGGACCAAATTACTAAATTAAAACACAAAACAGCAGATTATAAGATAAAGTTCTCTTTTAAAAAGTAGTCAATCATGAGATACACACACACACACACACATATACACACACACACAGGTTGTGTTCATTACAGTTTACATTTTATTTCATTATTTGTAGTATATATTAATATATTAGTTTTATAGTCTATTTTATACACAAAATATACCAATACATATATGCATAAAAATAAAGAGTATAATGCAATGGTTACCTCTGGGTGCCCATTAAGGATGAGCATTATTTTCCTCTTGTTTTAGCTTATTTGCATGATCTGATTTGTCTACAATATTCAAGTATCATATATGGGATAAAGTTTATAAACTAAACAAACGTATTTCCTTTAAATGTTTCATTAATCTCTAGCAGGTATGTGATGAGTGAAAGAAAGAAGAGGACATGAGGGTTATAGCACATGCCCTAACAATACATTTTAAAATACCCAATAGCATGGAAATATTTTATCCTCTATACATGCTTCCTAGCCCTCAGAGAGTCAAAGTAAAAAATTAAATTTCATCCAAAACACTCTTCCTAATCACTGTTCTGAGGAAGAATAAAAATGCAAAGAGGAAAAAAAGCTAATCAAAATACATGGCTTAAGTTTTTAAATGGAGATCAGTATTTCATAAAATGTTAGGGAGACTGGTTCAGGAAATCATCATCCTTCCTTTTCACTAAGCCTGTCTGCCACCTGAAATTACACCTCGGATAGCAGCCTTTGCATTTCACTCAATGTCAAACCTGTAAACATCCTATGGCTTAACTGCTCAGGTCAACCATAATCTTCATCTCCTCCATAATCAGGCCAAGCTGGGAGTTCATGGCCAGCATTTGAAATTCACAGCAGACAAACACAGAGACCAGGCACACAAGCCAATCAAAGATGTGGTTACACAACTGATTTCAGTTTTTACCTCTCATATGAGGTGAGCTGCCGGTTGTGGGTACCCAACAATGACAACTCAGCTTCCATGAACTAAAGCACAGTGTTTCCATTGTGACCTATTTGGTGATCTTCATATAAGTATGGTTGATTTTCTTTACCAAGACTTTTTATGGCTATTTTAGTTCTATAATTACTTCTCAAAAATCTCCTGTCGTGATGATGTCTCCATTCTCTCCTTCTCATCTCAGGCTATTACCAAGACAGCAACAAACCCTGTGTTTTTCCAATCCTGATTGCTTTCCATCAACCTTCTCTTTGACTTGGACCTCCGAATTAGGTCAGCTCAGTCTGAACATTTAAGTTTTTCTTTTCCAGAAATTAACATAACTTATTAATAAGCCTGTAATTTTACAAAGGTTTAGCAAAACGTCAACCACATCCCCAGTCTATGAAGATAAGAGCTATATTTAGCTAGTCCTAATTAAAAATAGCTAAAGTGCTGCTTGGTATGGGAGGAGGGGAAAATCTGTATGATTCATGTCTCATCAAAAACGTTGACATTTGACTTTCCTTAATGCTGTTTATGGCTGAATTAATATTGTTCCATTTAGTTCGAAATATAGGAATTATTTGAATTGTATTATTGATCCTCATAAAATATGTGAATTTTACCAGTCTCACATACAGTCAATATTGGGCATGTAACAGGAGTTTTGTGACTCTCATTGTTAGTTAAAGATATCTTTACCAGAGAGTTGCATCCTAGAAAAATTGCCCCTAATAGTCATGTAGAATGATCTCTCCAGGTATAGATATCGGGTTATGAGTTTGATATGCAATCATTGCCATTCAGCCAAATCTATAAAGCAAAATTCAAAACCTAAAACAATCAAGGATCCAAGGCTTCATTCCTTATGGGGCATAAAAAGAATAGATCTGCATGTTCACAAACCAGAGTCGGTACATCTACATTGTCCTTGTGTTCCTTTTCAACATTTCCCCATGACCAAAAAAATGTCTTCCATGAAAAGAAACTCACACTAGACGTGATATTTCTAAATCTTTTAGGAGCAAGGTGCCAACTGAAAGGGGAAGCACGAAGCGGGTCGTTGCACTCAACTTCACACACTAACCTTATCACCAAACCCCATGGAAGAGAGAAAGCAACAAGCAACAGCAGCCAGTGACTGGGTTCAGGGCTTTTGGGTGTACAAGTATGTGTGTGTGTGTGTGTGTGTGTGTGTGTGTGTCTCAGGGTGTGTGTATATATATATATTTCTCTACCACCAAATCAGAAATATATGTATTTCTCTACCACCAAATCAGCTTTCCTCTGCACTTTCAGAGCAAGATTGACCCTTCATTTCAGCAGTTTCCTCAAACTCATTCATGGAAGGACTCAACACAGAAGCCCTGAGATGATTAATTGAATAGCCTTTGTAAATGCTACCTTTGACTAAAACCCTGAAGATGTCATTTCCCTTCTTACCAGTCTATAGTTAAATATATATCATATGTGATTCCAACTAATATTTTTGAGGGCCTGCTATGTTCTCAGCCCTGTATAGGTTTAAGTGCATACGTCGAGGGTGGTAGAATGTAACGATATGTAAGGTATAGTCTCTGTCCTCTAGGAATTTATCCTGTAAGACAGATAAAACAAAACCCAGTTACTCTGGTACAGGGCTATGTGTTATACATACCATATTAGTGTTGTCAACAAGGTGCTAGTTTCAAGGAAGACAAGATCTCTTCCCTTCAGCATATATAATTTTAGTTTCCCAAAGAAGGAGGCATCCAAGCTGGGCCTTAAATTAATGGTGATATTTGCACAGGCAAAGAGGTAAGCCTGAGCACTCAAAGTAGAAGGGACAGAGTGATAACCATCACAGAGTTAGGAATTTCTAAGAACCCCCAGCTGGGGCTTCACTGTGTATGTTTTTTTTTTTATGTGGTAAAAATTTCTTGTGACTATAATATGGCAAAATCTCTAAGCTCCTGGATTACAGCCTCAAATGCTGTGCTTTACAAGTCAGACAGAAAGAAAGTAGGCTGTTTCCTAGAATGGTATGAATTCCCTGGTGAGTAGATCACAGAATGGGTATGCATGTGCCTTTCCCTTCTGAATAATATGTCATTGCCTGTTTAATAGACAGCTGCATAGCAAATCTTAATATGTTTCTTAATAATGGCATATCTCTACCAAGATTCAATGTTCACCAAAAAATTCCACAAGAAAGTTATGAATAGAAAATTCTCTTATCACGAACAGAAATTTGTCTACACCATACCAACCATCTAGCTAAGACAAACAAAAACATCCAGTAAAAATGTTGCCTACTCAGCATTAAACATATTGAAATATCTAGGAATACCTGGATAGTGGGCCAAATTTCTCAGTTTTCCCCAGTATAAAACAGAGAAATCAGCATTGTGTAGACATAGCCTTACTCTACCTATTGGCAGGCCAAATCTTTGAGCAGGTTCCCAGTCAAAACACCAGGCATTTCTGGTTGAGCTTCTAACACCTCACTGATCTTAAAAAGAAATGTGTGCTACAGTATGGATAGATTGGACTTTTTATAATAGTGACTCACCTAATTTGCCCTCAATTTGGTACTAGTCATACAGCCATGATGATTTAAAGGCACCATTCCCTCTTAACCAATCCATTTAAAAAGGATTCATATCTTGTCAGAAAATTTGACACCAAAGTGCACAATAGTCCTAACTTTTCATTAGAATCCTTTGCATGGTGTAGTTAATGCTAAAAATATTTAAAGTAGATTAAGAATAGAACAAAGAAATGAAGTGCAACTGTGACTGTGACAGGGTATGAATATTAATGATGCATTTTTTATTCCTTTTCTCATCTAGTACCATCCCCTGTACTTTTTGATTCAAAATCTTACTTAACTTATACTGAAACGTTAAATACTAGCCCTTGGTTCTCTGTGATATGCTACATATATAAAGATAGAATTAATCTTTAGTCTAATATCTGTCTGAGGGATAAGGTGCTAAACCACCATATTATGGCTCCCCACTGTCTAAGGCATAAAGTCCAATCTCCTTAGGCTGACATCCAAGACCCTCCACAGGCTGGCTTCAATAAGCTTTTTTAAAGTCATCTCTCACTACCACTTTAGATGAATCATCCACTACAGCCACTGGGATCTCATCACTGTCCCCTGAAAATGCCACGATTAGTCTTCCCTCTGCATATTTACTCAGTCTGTGCTTCTCATTTTAACTCCATTTTTCAACTTCCATGCATTCCTCATAGCTCAACACAAGCTTTTCATTTGCAAAGTTTCCATCAGCCACACCAAACCCACTCTGTTTCAAATTAGTTAGTGCCTTTGCTGTGTGGCCCTAATGTTAAAGCTTGTACTTGGCTTCAGATACATCACTCATGTTTCTATGTATTATTTCAGTCATGAGTAACTTTTCAGTCATGACTATCTGATCTCCCTAACTAGATTACAAGCTCTTTAAGGGCAGGGACACCCCACACAACCAAGAGAATACTAAGTACATAGTGATCAGTGTTTAGCACTTAAATGCACAGTATTCAAGCACTGCTACTGCCTGAAGTCCTTTACCTTTATGCATGGGTGACATAACCATGTGGCCATCAAACAGCATCCTCATCTCAGCCCTCAAGGCAACTCACTACATAACATTTACAACCTACCTTCTCAGACTTCACTCTGCTCCAGCCAAGACGCATTGTGTCCCACAAACTCCACCCCACTCCCTCTCTCTTTTGTGCCTTTCTACATGTCACTTCCTTCTCCTGGAATGCCTTGCTCCTCATCTCCTTGCTGTAAAAATCCTTATTAGGCCCATCTCAAATTCTATTTCCTCTGTTAAGCCCTCCCCGGTAAATCTAGCCAACTATAGTATTGTCTCCACCTACTCATTAAATTCATCATCACTTACTCACTTTGATATTTGATATTATTTATATGTGGATACCTTTCCATTGTTCTCTATTGTTTCCATTTAGAGAATGAACTGAATAGTATTATCTGATCAAATCACACTTATCCCCAAACTACTTAGTTGGTGTTAGAGTGCCAATAAATAAAGTTCAAAATCCTTAACATAGCATTTGAAACCCTCTACAAGAGGCTCTAGCCAACCTTACCAGTTTCATTTTTGTCTTAGTCATCTTAGTCACCACAGATGGGGGGCATAAACAACAGAAATTTATTTTCTCACGGTTCTGGAGGCTAGAAGTCCAAAATTAAGGTGCCAGCATAGTCAGTTTCTTTTGAGGGCTCTCTTCCTGGCTTGTAGATAGTTGCCTTTTCACAGTGTTCCATGGCAGGAGTAAAGAGAGAACAAGCTCCCTGTTATAAGTACCTCTTCTTATGAGAGCACTAATCTCATCTTGAAAACTCCACCATTATGAGCTCATCCAAACCCATTTACTTCTCAAAAGTCTCATCTCCAAATATTATCATATTGAGAGTTAAGACTCCAACATATGGATTTGAGGTAGGGGAAAAACAATTCAGTCTATAGCAATCTCCCACTATACCATGTACAGTCATCCAATTGAATGGATAGATATGTAGACTAAGTGCATAGGCTCCAGATTCTACCTCTTCTTAGCTGTGTAGAGTTGGACAAATAATCTATTGTGAGTTTTGGTTTCCTTATCTATAAAACGGAGACAATAATGTTACTCAATTCATAGTATTACCATGAAGAATAAATGAGATAATTTACATAAAACACATAGTCTCATGTCTAACACAGAGTTAAGTGTTCAATAAATGGTCACTGTGCTTATGACATGCCCATGCTGACTACTTTTCCTAGAATGTCTTCTCTCCAGGTCTGCTTATCTATCACCTGCTATCAGTCCTTCAGGGCACAACTCCAGATACGACTACCATATCCTCCACAAGCTTTCTCAGATCTATTGAGTCAGAATTATAGTCTCTATCTTCCAATGTGCTGTGTTTATGACTCTATTCTGGCCTTTAGTATAGGTTCCCTCATTCTACTTGAATAATATATTTTAATGCCAAAGCATTAAATTGCAAGCTCATGACCTGGAGGGACATGTATCCCCTTGCTTACAGTAAGAGCTTCATGCAATAAACCATACTGGGGTAAGAGTCAGGGTACCATAGTTTTAGTTCTAGTGGTGCTGTCTTTATGTAGTGGTGGTCCCTTCAAAGAATTACTCTTACAGTTTTTGCTCAATTTTCTCAGCAATAAAACAACATCCTCAGCTTACAAATTTTTTTTACTAATAAACATGTATGTTGTAGGAACTTTATGGGATCTGATTATGAATCCCAGCTCTGCCACTTACTAGTCGTGTGACCCTGGACAAGTCTCTTAACTTCTTTGCACCTCAGTTTCTTCCCCTGAAAACAGGAAAATTTATTTTAAAAATTAAAAAAAAAAAAAAAGACTGGGAAAGCCAGGCTACAACTCAGTAAAAACTCAGTAAGTGTTCATTCCTTCCTTTATTCTTATGGTTTGAATGTTTGTCCCCTCCAAAATTCATTTGAAATTTAATTGTTAACATAACAATATTAGGAGGTGGGGCCTTTAAGAGGTGTTGAGATCGTAAGGGCTCTGCCCTCAGTGTTGAGATCGTAAGGGCTCTGCCCTCATAGGTGGCTCTAATGCCATTTAAAAGGGGTTTTAGGGAGTGAGTCCTCTCTCTCTTTGCTGTTTTGCTCTTCTGTGATGTGAAGAACGGCATTCCTGCCCTCTAGAGGATGCTTCTTTCAAGGTACCATCTTGGAAGCAGACACCGGGCCCTCCCCAGACACTAAACCTACCGGCATCTTGATCCTGGACTTCCCAGCCTCCAAAACTGTAAGAAATAAATTTCTGTTATTTATTAATTACTCAGTCTCAGGTATACTGTTATAGCAGCATAAAAGAGACCTAGGCAATTCTCCATTCCCACTCTGGGCAAGGATGCACTTTTCTGGCTCTGCTTTCAGTCCTGTCTCTATTTTCCCTGGGGAACCTATTCCTCTCTAACATCATTGGTCACTTCCTTGTCTATATTTTAATCCCAATGCCCTTTTGTTCTGCTAAAGTGCCTACCTCTATCCCTCTCCCTGCTATATATTCTCCCCATTTCAATGAGACACTGGTAATAACCTGGAGCTGAGAAAATTCCTGGAAGCACTGATTTGCCACCTGAAGGAGTAGCAAAACAAAGCTTTCTTCACGCACTGGTAAAGCTTCAGTAGGAAAGAGGGTGTTTCTGGAACCCATGATTGAAATATGGAATGTATTTTCCCACAGAAGCACAGCTTCAAATGATCATCAGTAGCTATGGTATTATTAGTACAGCATGATCTTTTAGATTATGGGTTACAAAGGCTTTTATGGGCTGGCTCGGGAAGCTAATTACCATGGAGACCATTGTTTTCTGTAGGAAAATGTATTGCACATTCGAAGGTGATTCACAAGCAATTTTGAGACATAAGCCATACATGAGTTACACATTTTCTTTACTTCTTTTCTATCTTATGCACAATCAAGCATAGAGCTAGGCACTCCAAAGTGCTAACTACTTACAGAAAGTGGATAACTAAAACAGTCACTTGCAGGTCCCTGTACATACATACATACAATGTGGCCTCTTAAAGCAAGTCGTTAAGCTGCACCCTCTCCCTGGAATACCCTGTCTCCCCCAGCTCACCTGGCTTTTACCTTCTCTGCCTTCCAAGTTTACTTCAGACTTCGCATCCTTCTCAAACCCTGGCAAACACTTCTGATCCCCCATGTGGCTAGATGCTCTTATTCTCTGTCCCCAGAAGCCCCACATTTATACCACTCCCAGAACATTTATAATGCATTTTCACTCCTTAGTTACTTGTTTGCTTGTTTATTTCATCCACTTGAAGACAGGGACTTTTATCTTGGCCCCAGCGTATAGGACAGTACCTGATTCTCAGTAGGCAGTCAGAGAAAGTCTACTAAATGAATGAAAAACTAGGAGCTACAGGCGCAATGGAAAACACACAGGTGGTTATCTTCACAGGACAGAGAGGTGGGGGCTGTGGGAAAGGCACATAGCTGAGCTGAAGAACAAGAACTATAAATGGCAGCACAGTAAGCACACAGGCTACCATGGCCTAGATGCTTAGTCTCCCACATACTCTGCATGACCATTAAGTACTCAATATTAGTGGACTACATTTAAAAAGCAGATAATTACATAATATTGGAACTACTAGGGACATAAGAGATAAACTTATCTTTCTCTGGCATTTTCCAGAGGCAGAAATTGAACCCCAAACAGGAGCTAGGACTTGTTATTCACTCAAAGCAAACATCTAAGAGTTACTCTTACACAACAGCTCCCTTCTTGAACTAACAAACAACCAGCCAAGGTAAACATTGTGCTCAAAGGGAACTCCAAAATGTTGCTTTTAACCTTCTACTTGTCTTGTAGGGTCAGCCCTACATAGACTAAGGCAACCTACGGTAGTGTGAAGAATAAAATCCCTCAGAGATGGAAAGAACCCCTCCAAAACCACCCAGCTCAAACTGTTCCTATGCAATAAAAATCTGCTTTGACACTAATCTCAACAAGTGTCAACCACCCCCTGCACAAACAATTGTATTCATGCCATGTTAGATTTCCCAGTATCTCTAGCAAAGGTATTTTGTATTGATATTGGCAATATTGTATAAATACCCTGTACTTATGATAATATTTAACTTCATTTTTAAGAAGTATGAGTACGGTTGCAAATAAATGGCACTAGAGTCAGCTGTTTGAACAACACAAATGGTCAAAAAGCATATTGGCATACAGGGGCACCTGTATATATGTACATATGTGTATACCAATATGTATTGGCATATTGATATACAAGGCGACTGGTATATACTGGAAAACTTCCAACAGCAAAAAAATAGATCCCTCTTATTGGTAATTTTTTTCCATCTTAAAGAGTATTTGAAGATTTAAATGGGGATTTTCTAGCCAGAATTGTCAATTGCAGAGATCATTCAATGAAGTATCAGTTTGCTTTTCAATCCTCATCTTTTTACATGTTTTATGAATAGTAACTGGTGGAGTAAAAACAGCACTGGACTAGTATTCGGGAGATCTAGCTTCTAGTCCTGGATCTGTCACTGACCAGCTGTGCTACCCTGAGTAAATTACTCCTTTTCTAGAAGCACCAATTTCCCCATCTATAAAATGAACAGATGAAATAGACGAGTATTCCCTCAGAGCCTTTCTTTAATATTTTTATATGTGTTCTGGGTTTGATTTCATTTGTCAAAAAGAGTTCTAGTGCTTTAAAAATATTCACCAATTATTGAACTAGACATCTTCATGGTCATTTATTGCTTAACAGTCTGTGATTCTTAATTGTTTGTTAGTGTGCAAGAATCTAGGGATACAACAGTTTCAAAATGATACTATTCCCCAAAATTTGCTATTAAACTAGAAATTACCTCCTGAAAATGAAAAAAAGTAGTAGATAAAGAAGGCCACCTACAGAAGTCTTCCCACCCTAAAATGGTTTGTAAATGTGCTACTGATGAGTTTCCAGTGTCAATTCAATTTTCATCCAGACCAAACTATGAATAACGTAAGCTAGACTGTGACAAGTAATGTCATAACAACTGGAGGCGGCAGAGTGTTTGCATGGATTCTAGGAAGAGCCAAAGTGAGAATGTGTCTGTGTGCTCTGTCCAGGAGAATCAGTGCTCTGATTCTAAAAACAAATACCAGTTCTCTAGAGATGAATATTTCTGGACCAATATTTCTAGAACAATCTGTCATGCCACCATAGCTTGATGGAAATGTCCCCTGAGGACATCAGATTCTCTTTATTCTACATCTATGCTTTCAAAGTAATACACTGATATATCATTTCATCTCCAGAGTGAACTTCCAACTAGGAGGATGTGCTGTGTGCAAAATACTGATAGCAGCCAAATACAATTGTATAATAAATTAAGACAATGGACCTCTGGAAGATCAGAGTTGTCTGATTTTGATTAATATGCATAAACTGACCGAACTGAGTTTCTGTTCTGAAAAACTAAGATCCCTATGCCAAATCTGGAATGGCCTCAACAAGAAGGGCATTCATCCAGGCTGTCTATACTGAAATGGCCAGTATCTCATTAGCACTATTCCATTCCTTAACAAAACTGCAGTATAGCAGATTATCTGTTTCTTGGGGCCCAGCATTAATGACATGAAGGACATATTCCAGTCTAGACTCACTAACCCCATTATCTTTGCTCTATTTCAGGGCCATAATTTTAGCCAACCTGCCAGGAGGTCAAAGTCAATGAAGATTTAATAAGTACTGTGTAAAAGGCAACAGCCATAGGGAAAACTAGGTTGGAAAAAAGTGCCTGCTATCACTGTAAACTTACAAATGAATACTGCTGAAAATAAAAGATAAAACCCTTTCCCATTTAAGGATGGATCTGTGATTTTATTTCAAACTCCCAAGAACATCACATATGATGCTGCATGATGTAACAAACCTCATTTCCAGGTCTCTGACCTCATTTCAGCCATCTTCTCAACACTCACCCTATGCCCTGTTTATATAATATATTGGCAGTTCCCTGCGTGCAGCATGCTGTCTTACCGGTCCATACTTTTACATATATAGCTTTTTCTGCCTAGAGTACCCTCCTCACACTGAACTTTCCGATTCAGCTCAGGTTTCATCATATTCCCTAAACCTCCACTGAGAATGAGTTGTGTCCTCCTATGTGTCTCCATAGAGGCCTGTATATATGCCACTAAAGCTCTTATGTTACTGTATTGTAATTGCCGATTTTCTTGTCTATATTTCCTCTTATAATATCAGCTCCTTGAGAGAAGATATGGCATTTTGTTCATTTCTTTATCTACGGTTACCTAATAAACAGTAGCCATGTATTAGTATAGTCATGGTCACATATGAAGTTTCAGTCAGTGACAGACTGCATATACAATAGTGGTCCCATAAGATTATAATATAGCTGAAAATTTTTTTATGCTTCGATATATAAGTGCTTACCCTTGTGTTAGTTGACTACAGTATTCAGTATAGTAACATGCTGTACAGGTCTGTAGCATAGGATCAATAGGCTATGCCTTGTAGTCTAGGTAGGTAGTAGGCTATGCCATCTAGGTGTGTGTCAGCACACTCTATAATGTTTGGACAATGACACTGTTCTCAGAATGTATCTCCATCATTAAGCAATGCATAACTGTATTTGTTTGCTGAATAAATGACCCAACTACTGTATAGGAAACAGTACAGAAGAACAACAGGAGTAGATCAAACCACTTGGAGCCATAAATTTGAGTTATAAACAATTTGCTTTACATAGTCACATGCTGAACTTTTCAATGTGGTTTCTCCATGTTTCAAACTTCCTCTCCAGCAGTTCTACCATAGTAAAGCCATCAAACACTGGAGATTTTGTTATTAATTGTTGATCACTTTCTTAATGAAACTCAAAATAAATCATTCTACTGGGAGCAGAGTGAAATCAATAACCAGAGCCAGAGTTAAAAGAAAGAAGAGAAAATCAACACCAGAATGGTCTTGAAAAAGGTCACAATGCCTTTCCATTCTTCCAAGAGCTCTTTGTGAATTGGATTCCACATTCATCTTTCCTTCTGGGTATTTGCAATAATGTCAGACTAAATAATAAATGTCAGATGAGCTGAAAAATATCTGGTTAAGAGGATAGCATTTCTGTCACAGCTTAAGAAAGGCTATTCAAAACTTCCCACAAAAATGTGTTTTCAAACATTTATAGACCTAAGGCAATGTTACACTTTCTGGGGAGGATAGAGAGCATTTCTTTCCTCATTCCTCCTTCAGCTTTTTAACAAATATCTCCTTCCTCCTTTTAGTGATATCATTGCACTTCAGCTTGTCTTTTTTATTTAAAAAAAAAGACGATGAAAGAAGAAAAAAATCTATCAGTAATAGCCACAACGTTATTGCTTCAAATGGCCATTTTTGTGCTAACTTCTATCATCTGGTTTATGACAGGATTGAAAAGTTTATATCTCCCTTTTTGAACATGGTTCCTCTTCTCTCCAACTCAATTTTCTCTCTTCTCTTTATCTCCCTCATTCACCCACCCCCCCACCTTAGTTACCTCTGGGGTTGTTACTTTCCAATATCTCATACACATTATGTAATTTGGATTCAGTGAGAATTATTGAATTGATTTTGGTACTATTTTCAATTTTTGACATATATTGATTTTAGCTTTAGGTGCTTAATTCCATGCTATTACAAATAAATTTTAGGTTTTCCACTTCAAAATCAAAGTTATATGTTTTGGCTATGGTGTATATTATTCATTATTTGCTTGATATTTTATTTTTATTACCTCAAAGCACAACTTTCTATTAAGAATAAACTAAAATAATTGGTGGATGAATGCCCTGGGTCCTGTCACAGCCCTAGCTGGGATTTTCTACACAAAGAAGTAAGAGCATCTAATGTTTGAAAGTCTTTGCAATGCAGACTCTTGGATTAGGTACTACAGGGATATCAGGAGACTGTGGCTCAGATAATTTAACTCAGTTGAAAGCCAATTCAAGCCTCCCTCAGAATTGTGCCTAGGCCTGACAGGACCTGTGTGCCAGATGCATCCCTGTAAGAAGAAGAACATTTATTTCACTTAGTTATCACAAATGTGTCTCCTTAATGACAAAAACTTCCTTTACCTTTTCATTCCTCTAAGCAATATTGTACCCCTATTGTGATTTCCCAAGTGAGAGGTAAGAACAAGTATTCCAATCCTTTTGGCAGAAACATTTATCATTGTAAATTAATGAATTGGTTTTTAAACATTGCTCTGTGCCTTGGTGGTATAAATTTGATTTCCCAGAGCTAAATCAACCTGGTGCAAACATCACCAAGGTCAGCCCACAAAACTGAAACCAGGCAGAAATAGAAAGACTTAAATCCTTAATATTTTCATTACTTATGTTATAATGTACAAAGTCCTTAGCATAGCATTCTATATCCTTCATAATCTGACTTCTGCCCTTCTAGCTTTAGTCTTCTGCATCTCCCCTGCATTATACCACAATTTAGCTACTCATACTTCTACGCATTGTTTCATGCCCCATTCCTATACCACCCTCCACTCCCATTGTGCCTAGTGAATCCAAGACCCAGTGCAAATATTAACTGGTCCATAAAGCCTTCTCCTAACTCCTTAGGCACAATTGCTATTTCCTTGATGTGGTCATAGCAGTTGATTTATATCTCTAACACAACACATAGTGCATTACATTATAGTTATGTGTCTATCTTTCTCACTCAACTGTGAGTGCCTTGAGGACAAAGAACCATGTTTCATTTATCTTAATGCCCAATCCCCAGAATTAGAGTTAGTCACACTCTCCTATGTACTCCCTCAGTCCTCTGGGCATACCTCTTTTGTCACATGTACTGCACTGGATCAAAATCATATCTTTACAAGCCTATCTTTTATATTGTGAGCTCCTTTAGATCAATGACTATGTTATAGTCATTCTTGTAACCCCAGCAATTAGCACAGGAAGACAAACAGAAAGTGCTCAATAAATATTTGGCAAAATGAAGTAGAACACAGGCCTTAATATCTTTAGCCCCATTTTTTGACTACCTGAGCTACCATTAAATGGGACAGACTAACAATTTAGATAGATTTAAAATGTAAAAGTGATGATAATGTGGACATATTGACCAATCTTTAAAATTATGATGTAATCATAAACATAAATATAGCTTTACTACTAGCCATAAAAAAACATAGAAAATCAAAGTATTTCCACAGATATTTATTGAGCTCCTATTATGTGCCAGAACTTTCCAAGCACTGGGAATACAACAGAGAATGAGATAAATTCCTGGTACTGTACTCATGAAGCTTACATTGTAGAAGGAAGAGAAAGACAACAACAATAACAAATTAAAAAAATTTTAAATATAGAATCTGACTGGAGGTAGTAAGTACCATGGAAAATAAAGCAAGATAATTATTCTGATAATGTTGATAATTCAAGAAGAAAACACATTTGTCTTGGCCATGTGGCAGCTTAAGTGTTTCTTTAGGTCGATTTTATAAGCCTTTTGATTCTGCAGGTTGTTGAGTATGTAAGAAAATAAAAACTGATGTTTTGGCATTATCAATGATTGATATAATCCACATAATCATTGCTGCTAATGCCAGCATTATTAAGCCTGGCAAGGGTAGGTGGGCAGACAATGAGAAAGAAAAAGAGGGAAGAAAGTAAAGTAAAGAAAATGCCTGGAGTACTCTAAGTTTGCATTTTCCCAAGTATTAATTAGCCCTTGCAATCTCTGTCATGGGGCTACTATATGGGCAAATTGCCCTTATATTAAAATCCACTGGATACTCTAGTACCTAAATCCAAATGGACCTAGTTTTACTAGCTTCTATACAACAGATAAATATTCTAGCAAGATTCCAATTGTATCATTCTTCTCTACCTCCATTTCTTATCACTAAAGGTGTCTTCCAATTTTTTTCCCTGATCATAAACCATCTCCTGTCAGGCAGTAGCAATTATGTGTTTTTGAAATTCTCACTTCTTAAGAACTAATGCAAATCCACCTTTAAAGCAGATGCCCAAGTGCTAAAATATAGCACTTTGTTAAAATATTGTTATTCTGCAGTATTTCTGGAAAATGAAATAGTGTAGTTCTAGTTTTTAACGAAGAAATGTGGCAATGTTATTATAGGCTTAGCTACAGTTCTCAAATCTTTACAAAGGCATCAGTAGACTAAGTTATTCAGCAAACAAAGAATATATGTGTTTTGAGTAGACAATAGTCAAGTTGCCATGCTGATTGTTGCTACATAAATATTCTGATATTAAAACCAAATTTTCATATCTTCAGGAAAAAAAGAGGCATTTACTGCAGAAAAGACAATCTGGTTACTGGTGGTTTTTTTTTAAATAACTATTTTCAAATAACAGAGAAATAATATTTTTAATAACCTAAGAATATGTTTATTATCATTTGTGCCATATACTGACCTATATGTTCTTATAAAATTTCATGTATACAAAATGTAAAACAAGGCCCTATTTCCATGTCAATTCTGTTTAAAATGGAAAAACTGGGATCACCTCTGTCACCCTCCTTACAATTCATATCCTCATTTGCACTTCAGTGGCTTAGGGCTGAGCCCCCAGGGAAGAAATCAGCATGAAATTGTTAATAAATATTTTGTAATTACTCATTTGTTCACACTTTTCTCTGTCTCCCCTCTATTCATTTAGAAACAAATTTAACACAAGTATTTTGTGTTCATTTCAGAAAAATTAGACACTAATAAGCAGAAACAAAATAGAAACATATATAATTATACCACCCAATAATAAACACAATTAATATTTTGGTATATGGCCATTCAATACTTATATATAGGTAAGTATAAGCAGATATATCAAGATATACAGGTATTGCAAGTATATAATAAAAATGGAATTGTACTATTTTGTAAACTATTTTTTCTCACTTAAGTCTATAGGGAATATCTTTCTACCTTAATAAATGTGGTTGTACATCATTGTTTTTCAGTAGCTGCATAATGTATCTCATTGTGTGGAAATTTCAAAATTTATTTTACTACTTCTCTATTATTCTATATTGAAGTTGTTTAGATTATTTTTCTATTATATTTAACCCAGCTAGGAACATCCTCACAGCTAAACTGCTGTAAACAATCATTTATTTTTCAAAGAAAATATACAAGAAGCAAATGATCAAAAGGCATGAAAATATTTAAGGGTTTTCATACATATTTTCAAAATGCATTCCAGAAAGACTGCCCAATTTATATTCAGCTGCCATTAAAAATAATGACAGTGACGATAACACTAGAGCCATCCAGTTTTTCTGTAGTCTCATTGATACTCGGTATTATCATTCTTCTTAATATCTGTTAATTAGACAGGCAAAAATGTATAATGTTATCTCTTAAATTAGAGAGTCTTTGTAAATTAGTGAATCAAAAAACATTTGTTGAATAGTTACTGTGTGTTAGGTACTACGCTAAGCTCTGAAGGTCACAAAACTGAATAAGATATCAACATTGCCTACAATGATCCCACAATCTAGTGGAGAATTCACACATGTACACAAATGATTAGGACCTGAGAGATGCTGCCATCAGAGCTGTAACAGAAGCATAAATAAAGTGTTATGGGAGTGCTGCACTGAAAAAGTGGTTTTCCTCAGTTTATTTCAGCATATAAAGACATTTCTACTTTCCATAATCTGACAGAGTTCACATTAAAAAGCCAATAAAAGAGAACTGAAAAGTGCACAGTCTTGAGAAGAAAGCAAATAAAATCTACCAAATTAGATATGACAGCAAAAAAGGATTAACAAAGCCTGGACAGACCAGGAAATACACCTGCATTTCTTACAGAGAAAACCAAATAAACTTCTAAGATGCGTGCTCTGCTTTTGAGAGAGAAAGTAAAGTGACAGAGTTTCTAGGGGAAAGCTTCATTGTTGTTCATCTCTCCTTTATACGTAATCACACTTGTACCATTTTGGCACACAGAGGAGAAAAGTATTCAGGGCCAAACATAACAGTGTTTCTAAAGCGTACTATGTTTTTTCTCCCTCCCTACTTTAGTGATAGATAAGAGTAGTCTCATTTACTGAATACTACTCTGATCCAGAGGTTTTCATATATTATCCCATTTAATTCTCCACATTCCCCATGACATCATCCTCATGTATACAAATGAAGACTCTTAAATTCAGAGAGGTTAAGACACCTTGTTGCATAATCTAGAACTCACAAGATTTTCCCTTTTTCCAGAGACAAATCCTGAGTCCCATCTTTATTGTATTTCTGAAACAATATCTAGTTTCACGCAGCAGCCTGGAAGCTGTCTCTAACTAAGAAAACATTGATCTGAATTTCAATTGCCGTAATTATTTTACATAAATAAAATAAGAGTAAGTTATGTGATTTTATTTTTTACTCTTTGGAGTTAGAATTTTTGATAGCACTCTAATAAAACAAATCAGATGACATTTCTATGTAAAATATACAAATGTATATTCCAAGTCCACTGATAGTTCCCGAAATGTATTTTGTACAGCTCTGTAAGGCTTTCTATACATGGTAAAATGGAGATCTGAAGCAATTATTAATATCAGTCTAATCAAAATCGTTTTTGCCACAATTTTTGCAGACTTCATATGAACCACTTTAGTTCCTAAATAACCCAGGCATTTTTAAAAAAAATTTTTTGAAGTGCAGGGAGATACAGTTAACTATAAATCATTAATTACACACCTAAAGAGCCACTAGGTTAATAGCAAATCAATGGCTCTTGCTCTTTATATCTGCACTGAGAACAGTACATATGTTCTATACCATTACTACAAACACTTTCAAATAAAACTAGGTCATCTTCACAGCCATTTTTTTTTGTCTTTGCTTATAGTAAGGTCTTTTTGTTCTGCTTCTTTAAAAAAATTGTCAATGATTCATTTTATTTACAATGAAATCTTCTTATATAAGATTTTTCTACTCCAACTGAACTGTACTGTGAGTGAAAAGGCATTAATTAGACTCAGATTTTCCATTTGTAGTTTTAGAGGAAGTAGAACACTTTGGGACTCTCCCCTTTTCTTTTACTGAAACAGGAGTGTTTAGGGCCATTATAAGCAAATGAGGGTGCCACTCTGCATTTAGCACTTGGAAAGCTTTTCATATCTCATGCTGCTTGCAAAGCCTTATATTTGCATTTTAAAAATTTAAATACAAGTAACCACACTCTTGACTATTATGTCCTGTGTATCAGAGCCAATCTGTGTAAATGGCAATGCTGTTTGCAAAATGAAAGAATTAAATTTACCTGACAACCTGGGCAAATGTCACTGGTTACCCCACTGGCCAGGATGGAAGAACTTGACTGTCTATACCACTGAGCAAATCCTATATGAAATAAAGTGATATACAGTACTGTTACCTTAATTTATTAATGGGGTTGGATGAGAAGAAATGGAAATTATAAAGTTTTGGTTAAAAATAATTGTTAACTTATGCCTTGCCTGCCAGGATGAGACTAGATTATGTAAAGACATGTAGAGTTGGTAACATTAAATGAATTAGAAATACAGTATTGAAAAAGGGGCCTGTTGTGGGGTGGGGAGAGGGGGGAGGGATAGCATTAGGAGATATACCTAATGTTAAATGACGAGTTAATGGGTGCAGCACACCAACATGGCACATGCATACATATGTAATTAACCTGCATGTTGTGCACATGTACCCTAAAACTTAAAGTATAATAAAAAAAATACAAATAATAAAAACAATTAGAAGTAAAACCAAAAAAAAAAAAAGAAAAGTTAAGTGAGATGGAGATTTTTTTAAAATGTCCTGCAAAGGCACCCAACATATTCCTTAACACATTTATTTATATGTGTGTGTTGCGGGGAAGGCCCCTAAATGCCAATAGTTTATACTAGATAGCATATTTCATCTCTATTCCTGTTGACAGCAACAGATGAAATGATCTGATGGTTTTGACAAAGTAAACATAAAATTCAATGAATAGAGAAAGACAAACGATCAGAAAAGAATAAAAACCAAAAGAAACTTCCAGATAGCTAGAGGCAGAAAAGGAAGAACTTGTAGTTTTAATAGCAGAGCAGATGAAAGAGGTTGTATGACTAATAGAGGCAGAAGCTTCATAGGAGGAGACAACAAAGACAGAGTAAATAGAAGGGAGTCTAGAAACACCACCCCCATACAGACTTGTAGGAAGCTTAGGAACCTAAGTGAAAAAGAAACCTTACTTTAGAACAACTGACCAGTGATGATGAGCATTTTTTCATGTGTCTGTTGGCTGCATAAATGCAAATCAAAACTACAATGAGATATCATCTCACACCAGTTAGAATGGCGACCATTAAAAAGTCAGGAAACAACAGGTGCTGGAGAGGATGTGGAGAAATAGGAACGCTTTTACATTGTTGGTGGGACTGTAAACTAGTTCAACCATGGTGGAAGACAGTGTGGCAATTCCTCAAGGATCTAGAACTAGAAATATCATTTGACCCAGCAGTCCCATTACTGGGTATATACTCAAAGGACTATAAATCATGCTGCTATAAAGACATATGCACACGTATGTTTATTAAGGCACTACTCACAATAGCAAAGACTTGGAACCAACCCTAATGTCCAACAATGATAGACTGGATTAAGAAAATGTGGCACATACACACCATGGAATACTATGCAGCCATAAAAAATGATGAGTTCATGTCCTTTGTAGGGACATGGATGAAGCTGGAAACCATCATTCTCAGCAAACTATCACAAGGACAAAAAACCAAACACCACATGTTCTCAGTCATAGGTGGGAACTGAACAATGAGAACACATGGACACAGGAAGGGGAACATCATACACCGGGGCCTGTTGTGGGGTGGGGGGAGGGGGAAGGGATAGCATTAGGAGATATACCTAATGTTAAATGAAGAGTTAATGGGTGCAGCACATCAACATGGCACATTTATACATATGTAACAAACCTGCACGTTGTGCACATGTACCCTAAAACTTAAAGTATAATTAAAAAATAAAATAAAATAAAAATAAATAAAAAAAGAAAAAAGAAAAAAAAAGAAAATGTGGCACATATACACCATGGAATACTATGCAGCCATAAAAAATGAGTTCATGTCCTTTGTAGGGACATGGATGAAGCTAGAAACCATCATTCTCAGCAAACTATTGCAAGGACAAAAAAACCAAACACCACATGTTCTCGCTCATAGGTGGGAATTGCACAATGAGAACACTTGGACACAGGGTGGGGAACATCATACACCGGGGCCTATAAAAGAACAACTGACCAAAGAGCAGCACTGCAATACAAGCAAAGAAAGAACTATTTAGGAAATAAACAAAAACAAAATTGTGCAAAGGAGGAAGTACTAAACAAGAAACCAGGAGACCTGTTGTGGCTCCTTGTACCACCAAACTTTTGTTGAGTGTTAACTAAAGGCAGGATATTGTGGGAAACAGGGTGAGAGACACTGAGATAAGGGAAAACAGAGTCTCTGTTGTTCACTCTGGTGAGGATGCTTGTCCCTTTCTCTGGAATTCTTTGCTCTGAAATCTACTTTGTCTGATATTAATACATCCACTGAGCTATCAATTGATTAGCATGTTATATTGTTAGCAAGGTGTTCCTTTCATATCACTTCGTTATAATCTATTTGTGTCCTTATATTTAAAATGTATTTCTTATAGGCAGCATACAGTGGTTGAGTCTTGCCTTCTTATCCAGTCTAACAATATTCATCTTTAAATTGTAGTGCTTGAAATATCACCATTCAATGTGATAATGTGATATCTTTAGGTTTGAGTCTGTCATCTTGCTATTTCTTCTCCATTTGTTCATCCATTCTTCGTTTTCTTTCTCTTTTTCTGCCCTCCTTTGGATTCACTGAATATTTTTAATGATTCTATTTTACCTTCTTTTTTGGCTTCATATTCAATTCTTTTCATTATTTTAGTGATTGATTTACATTTTGTATCATACATCTTTGAACTTAACACAGTCTATTATCAGGTAATATGTCACTTTGTGTAGAACGTAATAACTTTTTAATTACATACCTCCTGATCTTTGTGTTAGTGTCATACATTTTACTTTTATATATGTTATAAACTCCACAGTACATTTTGTTATTATTTTTGTTTAAATTGTTATATTTAAAAGATATTTGAATAATTGAAAAACATTTTCTATTTACCTGTGTAGTTGCCATTTCTGCTGCTCTTCATTCTTTGTGGAGATACAGATTTCCATCTAGTATCATATGTTTTTCTGCTTGCAGTACTTCCTTCAATATTTCTTAGAGTGAGCATCTGCTGGGGATGAATTATTTGAACTTTTGTATATCTGAAAGAGCATCTTGCCTTAATTTTTGAAAGCTATTTTCACTGGACATAGAGATCTAGATCATCATGTTGTTGTTATATTTTTTCTTTTTGTAGTTTAAATATGTTTTCCTGCCGTCTTCTTGCTTTTATGATTTTTGATTAGAAATCTGCTGCCATCCTTACATTTGCTCCTCTGTATATAATGTATGTTTTTCCCTTTGGCTAGTTTCAAGATTCTCTCTTTATCACTGACTTTAAGCAATTTGATTATGATACATGTTAGTGTTTTCTAACTGCTCCTTGTGCTTGAGATTTGCTGAACGTCTTGGACCTGAGTGCTTATGCTTTTCATCAAATTTGAAACACTTTTGGCTATTATTTCTTCAAATGTTTTTGGCTATTATTTCTTCAAATGCTCATTCAGAGACTCTAATTATATGTGTGTTAGGCTGCCTAAAGTGGTCTTACAACTCACTGATACGGTGTTCTTTATTATATTATTATTTTTCTTGCTGTGTTTTATTTTAGATAGTTACTATTGCTATGTCTTCAAGTTCACAATTTTTTTTTTTGCTTCTGCAATTTCTGTCATTAATCCCACTTAGTGCATTTTAAAGCCCAGAGAGCTGTTTTCATTTCTAGAAGTTCAATTTGGATCTATTTTTTTTTACTTGCCATGTCTCTAAGTTTTTGAACATAGTTCAAATGTGGTTATATAGGAATATAGCTATAACAACTATTTTAATGCCTGATATGGTTTGGCTGTGTCCTCCAGCCAAATCTCATCTTGAACTGTTGTTCCCGTAATCCCCATGTGTCATGGGAGGAACCCGGTGGGAGGTAATTGTATCATGGGGGCAGTTACCCCCATACTGTTTTCATGATAGTGAGTGAGTTTTCGTGAGATCTGATGGTTTTATAAGGGGATTTTTCCCTATTTGCTCGGCACTTTTCCTTCCTGCCGCCCTTTGAAGAAGATGCCTCTCTTCCCCTTCATCTTCTGCCATGATTTTAAGGTTCCTGAGTCTTTCCCAGCCATGCGGAACTGTGAGTCAATTAAACCTCTTTTCTTTATAAATTACCCAGTCTTGGGTATTTCTTCATAGCAGCAAGAGAATAGATTAACACAATGCCTTTGCCTGTGAATTGTACTATCTGTGTCAATTCTGGTTCAGATTTGATTGACTGATTTTACCATTTTCAATGGTGGTGTCCTATTTTTTGTATGGCTGGTAATTTTTTAGTGGATGCCATGCATTGTAATTTCTTCTTGTTGACTGCTTGATATATTTGTATTTCTATAAATCTTCTTGAAGTTTATTTTGGAATGTAGTTACATTACCTGAAAATAGTCTGATGCTTGAGAGGGTCTTTCTCTCAAGATTTGTTAGGTAGAATCAGAGCAGTGGTCAGTCTAGGGATACTTACTTACCACTGTGCAGTCAAAACCCTTATGTTTATTCTACCCAAGGCTTTATAAATCTTGAGGTTTTACAGCCTACCTAGTAGAACTGGCACTATTCCCAGCTAGTGTTTTCAGATGTTTCTTTCCCTCAGCTTGGGTAATTTTTTCATACATGAGTGTGGATCAGTATTCATCTGAATACTCAGTGTGGGCCCTCTGTAAATGTCTAGTTCTCTCTGTACACAGCTCCTTAGTTTTCATTACTCTGTGCTGTGAACTCTAGCTGTCTTGGTCTCCCTGGAATTCCAGCTCCATCTTCTCAACACAGAGAGTTAGTTCATTAGGCTCTGCCTAGGTTGCTTCTCCCTGCAGCATGACTTGGAGCTCTCTCTAGGCAGTAATTTTGGACAATCATAGGGGTCACCTTAGTTGCCTCAGGGACCACTCTGTTGTCTGATATCCAGTCTCATACAAACCACTATTTTATTTATTTTGTCAATTGTTTTATTGTTTCAAGTGGAAGTATCAATCTGGTCCCTGTTATCCCATCTTTTCCTGAGACAGAAGTCTTTCCCCCTCCCTTTTCTAAAAAAAAATTAAGAACACAATATTCTTGAGGAAGTGGTACTGAGAAAAGCTGCAATTACTCAGCCATCAATTAAAACCTAAGATCTGATTCTACCTACTTTAGATATCAGAATAAGCCTGCAAATACATAAAACAACAGAAGAGAGTAGCCACTGCTGCTTGAGAGGGTAATAATTTACAAGTGCTGACAGCATTGTTCTTTTCTTTGCTTCTGTATGTAAGCCATTTATCCATGATATTATCCACTAATTTGGAAGGTCTTTTGTTTGAGACTGAGACAGACCTAATACAGATGGGAAGGCCTTATCAATTATAACTATCACCCCCTGCACGTGTATAGATTTATATATTTTTAAAGGCTTTCATAGTCATTCACATCTCATTTGACTCTTAATGTGTCTGTAAGGCACAAGAAGATTAGATATCTTTATACTCATTCACAAAGAGATTAAATGATCTGCCTGATCACATCACTAGCTACTGTCAAAAAAATGACTGGCACTCAAGCCACTCAATTCCCAGTCCATGGCTCTGGCCTCAGACCGTATACCTTACTAATGCTCTGTAAATACAGGATTGGTATATCTGGGCTAAGTCAGAGAGGGGTCTGCCTATTAAATAGGAAGTTGAACAAAGCAGAGACTAGGACAGCCACTGTAGCAGCAATGCCTTGCAAATATAAGGGAGCGATTCTCTCCTAATATATTTTAATATAATGCAAAATCTCAGTCCCCAGCTGGATGTGAAAGCTTGTTTTCCTCCCTCTTAGCCACCATGCATTATTCATGTGAAGTGACCTCACTTACATGTTACAGGCAGATTGTGATGACAGAAGCTCCTTTGGTGCTGGCATACAGAAGGCCTGCTTTCCTGTTGCTCTAACTTGGTCTACTTTCCCTGCTTTATATGCTGTCACTGGAACTGTCACTCTCCTGTGCTAATGAGCTAAAATGAGTGTTTAATCACTGCAGTTATTCCTCATTTTCAGCAAAGCTCTTATGTACTCAGCCTTTGTCTTCTGTCTTCACAAGGAATGCTGTTTAATTCCCTGAACCCAAAGGTTCCATTCCTCATTGTCCTGCCCTGAAGGCTCTGCCAGATGTCTAATTGAGTTTCTGGAGATGGTCACAGGCTGACTGATTGATTTCTGCATTAATGGGTAACTGCTCCTACCTGACTCACCCAAGTCTGTGCTCCTGGACTTGAACCAATAGGAAGTCCGATAGGATTACCTCAGAACCAAATCCTTGCCTTTTTTTTTTCATCCTTCCTATCCCATATCTCTATTTCTCTCAAAACAAGGATGATTACGCAACAAAACATCTAAATATCCTTATAGTATCATAAAAATGTCCAGCTGCCAAAGAAGTCATATTGTGAAAAAAATTCTTAAGAGGAAGTAGAAAATGATTGATGAAAACAAGTTCTTGGCTGGGAGTGGTAGCTTATGCCTGTAATCCCATCACCTTGAGAGGTCAAAGTGGACAGACTGCTTGAGCTCAGGAGTTCAAGACCAGCCTGGGCAATATGATGAAACTCCATCTCTACAAAAAATACAAAATTTAGCTAGGAATGGTGGCACATCCCTGTGTTCCCAACTACTCTGAAGGCTGAGGTGAGAGGATCACTTGACCACAGAAGGCAGAGGTTACAGTGGGCTGAAATCACACCACTGCACTCCAGACTGGGCAACAGAGCCAGACTTTGAAAAAAAAAAAAAAAAGAAGGAAAGAAAGAGAGAGAGAGAGGGAGGGAGGGAGGGAAAGAAAGAAAGAAAAAGAAAGAAAGAGGGAAAGAGAGAAAGAAAGAGAGAGAAAGAGAGAAAGAGAAGAAAGAAAGAAAGAGAAAGAAAGAAAGAAAAAGAAAGGAAGGAAGGAAGGAAGGAAGGAAAGAAAAGAGAAAACAAGCCAAAAACTGAATATTGTTAAAGAAAAAATGTATTCGAGGATTGTCCTGGGAAGAATTCAATATTAATAACCACTGGATGGATGGACTAAAAGATGTACAAGACAGGAACTCTGAAGAACGCTATGTTAATTGTTCCCCAAATAATAATATTCTAATTATTTTAGTGGGGTTCCAACGCTGAGAATACATGTAAATGATTCACCCATAAATTTAAAAAATACACCTTGTCCTAAAAAATACTATAAAGCAAGGCAACATAATTTGCTTTATGCAAAACAATGAGGAAAAATCATAATTACATACTACTAAAAACTGTCTGCAGCATTGTTTGGTAGGAGCAGACAAGCAGCTCCTACTCAAGGGATTCTTTTGCTAGTTTTTAAAGACTGAACACAAAACAATTAGGTTACAAGTTCAAGACTTCAGAGCCCATATCTCACACTCATTCTTCTTCATCTTGGTTTCCACAGCTGTAACTGAAGGACTCCCTTGTTTGGCTCTTCTCATCTGGACGAACATTTGGGGAGTGACTACAATAATTTTTTAAAAGGAGGAGCACATTAAAATCTGCTTTAAGAAATAAGATAGCAGGATCCTATCTCAGTTCTACAGCATCTAAATTTCTGAGAATGGGGTTCAGATTGTTTTTTGTTTTTTTGTTTTGTTTTGTTTTTTGTTTTTTGTTTTTTTGTTTCTTTTTGCAAGCAACACATGATTAAGATGTGCATCTCCATTAAGAACTTTTAGATAAGGGATATTTGAAGAAATTAGGTGATTAAGTTTGTAATAGTTTCCTATTGTTGCTGCAACAAATTATCACAAGCTTAGTGACTTAACAACAGCACGAGAGCATTATCTAATAGTTCTGGAGGTCAGAAGTCCAAAATGGGTCTTGTTGGGCTAAAACCAAGGTTTCAGCAGAGCTGTATTCCTTTTTGGAGGTTCTAGGGGATAACTGCTTACCTTTTTCCAGCTTCTAGAGGCTGCCTGTATGCCTTTCCTTTTGGTCCACTTCTATCTTCAAAGCCAGCAATGTGTGGTGAAGTCTTTTTATGAAGCCATCTCTCCGATTCTGCTTCTTTTGCTTCCCTTTTCCTCATTTAAAGATCCTTTTGATGACACTGGGCCCACCCAGAAAATCCAGGAAAATCTCTTTGAGGTCATCTGGTTAGCAATGCGAATCCCACCTGCAACCTTTATTCCCTCTTCCTATGTAGGTTCTGAGGATTAGGATGTGGACATGTTTGGGGAATCATTATTCTGACTTCCACAGAGTTGATCCATTTCAACTATTTCATTTGGCAAATGAGTCAAAAGAGATACAAATCAGTAGAAAGACTTGACTAGTTAGTGGTATTAATGGCCTCAAAAATACCCTTCCCTTTACATCACCCCTGAATCTAAGAGCCGAATTCTGTCAATTTGGCAGCTATGAATCTAAAACCAATTGACACTGTCCTTCTCCTTAGTTCAGGCCCACCTTGTCACACCTCACCCTGAGCCCTGATGTTCCACAGGTCATGCAGATCTGCAAAAGTTATGCTGCCCTTTCCAGCAGCCAGTCAAAGGCAACAAGGACGTAGCCACCAATGTAAGTCAAGCCACTCCCAGAGTCCCAGTGGAATTTGAAATGAGTCCCATTTGCCCTATACTTTAAGAGTACATCCTGTTGGCTTTCTGTGTTCTCTGAGGGTACAAGATGTGAAAGGAAGTTCTGCTCATTATCCCCAAACCATTGCCTGGCCCCTGCTGCATGGTTTGCTCTGACAGAGGTCATCAATATCCCAGAAAAAGAATCTCACTCTTATTCCCGTACCCCAATCAATTTTTCAGAATGATACAAGATGGAAATCTGGAATTGACTCAGTTTATACCTTCATAACATTGAAATTGCATCCTTGTTCTTGATTTCTCTCTTCAGTTTTTCCCATCTTCCCACTGACTCTTCTCAGCTTAGCCCTCCTTTAACTTGCCATTTCTCCTCCAGACCAGAATAGGGCCTTGCCTAAATGGAACCTCTTTCAATACTTCTTGAATGAATTAATGAATGTGTGAATGAATGAATGAGCTATTGAAATAGCCTTATTATTGGGCTCCTCTGTCTCCAGTCTCTCTTTCCAAACACATCCTTAATACTTATGCCAGAATGAGCCTCTCAAACCAAGTATCAAATTGAGTCCTTTCACAGATCCCAGTGTCTTGCCATATAAAGCCCATTTTCCTTAGCCTAGCATTTGAGGCCATCCAAAATTAAACCCCTGACTAGCTTTGTCTCCTACTGCGCTACCTCTCCTCAAATGTATTCAACCCCTTATATCTCCATTCTGTAGCTACATCTCATACTCTTCAATCCCTGAGTGTAATGTATTATTTATGCCTTGCTGCATCACTCTTTATGTTTTGCACAACTTAGAATATATATATCTCTGTCTCTTCCATTCTCCAAACCAAAGCCTCGAGAGTTCTTCAAGTTCTAGCATTTGAACTATTTCCTTCATGAATTCTTCGCAGACCACTCTGCAGGCTCCTGTCCATTCTGCAGGTCTTATTCACTTATATCTTCCACAGGGCTTTGTGCTAGGTATAGACTAATATATGTTTGCTAAATAATTGCCAATTTTATAAGAGAGTGGTCTTTCCTGTTATTATGATTGAGTGGTCTAAAGAGATTTATTTGGCATTATATTGCCCCAAAATAGTATTTGATATATTTTAGAGAGGGCTTTTTCAGAAGAAGAAATCTTTCCAGTCAACTACTAGTTAATCAGAAAAGCCAATTAACCAAAAGATCCATTTCTTGCTCTCAATTATACACACCAATGGAGGGAAGCAGTGAGACAGATGATCTAAACGAGTAGATAATCAAAAATTCTGCCCATTGGCTTGCAGACTCTCCCCCCATCTTCCCTTTCACTGCCTACTGCGTTTCACCCCCCTGGCCTCTAGCAGACTCATTATCCTGATTCTGTTTTGCTTGGACTATGCAAAAATCAGTTTGAATTCTCTGTACACAAATTCATTCACCATTAACCTAAATTGTAATGGCCACCTCCTATCTGCCAGCCACTTAGATAGGCCCTAGATGGAAGAAGAGAGAAAGAGACATATCATACATGGTTCCTGCCAGGAAATAATTTATAATTTTTGAACAAAAGGAGTTTGCAATCTGGTTCAACACAGAATGTTTTCAGTCCCAACATACTTAAGAGATTTGAAACACCCTCATCTGTTGCAATGTGATGCAAAACCACAGAGACATGAAATAGCATGGCATACTAAAAGAAAGTTAAAATTACAAAGTCAAGATGGATTTGTAGCCTGGATAGTGTACCAAGGGAAGTTAGAGGTGGAATATATGGGGTAGGGGAGAGTTCAGGGATAGAATAAACAAGACTAAAAGCCTGGTTAAAGCCAGATTTGTGAAGAGCCTGGTAAGCCAAGCTAAGGGATTCGGACTTGATCCTTGAGGCAATAGTGAACTGGCAAAGGGAATGACATTGCTTGATGGCAGTGGTGGCTGCAGAGTCATGGAAAGGATCCAGCAGCCTGGGTTAATCATCTGAACCACAAAACAAATAATCCACCGAGGAAAAAACTAAATCTGGGCATTTAAAGGTATGATTCCCTATTCAAGATAATTTTATTTTTTGGAATTCCTACTGGCTAAGAATTCAGACTTGATATCTCTATGAAACAACAAACAAGTGCCTAGCTCAGTGACACCAAATTTAATAGAGAAATTAGGCTTAACACATGTTAAGCAACAACCAGCGCTGAGCTATAAAAGGCCCACTGAGGAAGTTTGTCTCCCTGGTGCTCACCATAAGTAAAGTAATATCCTATACTCTGGAAATTGAAAGAAAGGCATGTTCAAAATCCCCTGCTTAAAACCCTCAAGTGGCTCCCTGTTGCAATTGGGATTAAATCTAAACTCATTAATTAAGGCCAAAAAGCTTTCCATGATTTAGCCCCCACCTTCCTTTGCCAGCCTTCACTGGTAATAATCCTTGACACAAACCACGTACTGCAGCTGAATGATCTCCTGAACATCTCGCTAGAGAAATGCCAAACTTAGTCTGACCATAGACTTGCTCTGTAATCTGGATAGTTTTTATTTTTCTCCCAGGAAAGCTGTGTGGTTTCCTATGATGACCAATTTTTAAAGTAGCCTTTAAAATTGCAAACTCTGAGAATCACATTGCCTAGTGTGATAGTGATTAGCCTTCAGGACTAAGCCAACATTTGGATTCATCCTTATAAAAACAATCTAGTTTGTCCACTTATAATGAATGAGTAATGTCTCAATTCCAGAGGCAAAAGCTTGCATTACTCTTTAAACATGAAAGTACAGATTTACAAACGGGCAGAGACCTTGGTGCACCTGCTACAGCATGCCTACATGATCGGAATCAGTTTTAATGATTTTGTGTATGTGTGCTTATCCCTTGTAAGACAACCATGTGGAAAGATGCCTGGGCTGGAAATGAGTTTGCGGTTATTTTAATGATTTGGAATCCACCCATTAATCTGAAACAGTCCATGTAATGGTTGTAGGTTATATCTATGGTCTTTCATGTCCTCCCATTGCATTTAAAATAAAAACCAAACTCCCAAACTCTTTATCACATCTATGAGGCCCCGCACGGTCTTCTTCAAGCTCTAGGATCATTTTTCCCTTATCAAAAAAAGTTTGTATCTTCATTTATTTATTCCTTCATTACTTATTTTTTTAGTGCTTGTTATGTGCTAGGAATTGTTACAGGCACTGGGAATATAGCATTGAACAAGGAAAACCACGCTTCTGTTCTAGAATAAGGAATTTGCACAGAAGCAAAATTTTTTTCTCGAACAGAAAACAGGAGAAGGAATTGGAAATATGGTGACAAAAGTAGGGGCAAATAAAAGAAAGAGGCATAAATAAATTCACCATACCAATACCAACAAGGTTTCTAAGAATTATAGAGAGGAATTATAACTTTTTTTCCCCTATAATTTTCTCTTTTTGTTTTCCCACTATTGGAGATAAAAGCCTTTAAAAGAACTGGGCCTGTGGATTCGTCTTTGAGGTCAATAGGTGAGACTGTCTCATTTCCTAGCCAGTCTTTCAGAGAGAGAAGAATCCCACAAGATAACTCTCGTGGTGGTAGCTACTATGAGGCAAAGAAAACAGATAAAGTGCCAGTGGACAGAGGCATAGAAAAAGAGGGAAAACATAGGGACCTAATATTTGAAAAGTTTCTTTGGGAGAAAGTTTTCTGACACAGGGACAGAAGAATGAAACAGCTGGTTGAAGTAAGCAGAATGTCAGCTTAAGGATCATTGAGAATTAGGAAGACAACCATTAGTCTGGCAGATAAAAGGGTCACAGCATTAGCTATCCAGCAACTGCTTTTCTGGTAGCTATTAGCAGAGAATAACTCAATGAACTAAAGAACAGAGCTCTAATTTCTAAGAAGGACAGAGGAAGAATAAGGCTGGCAACCCAGTTCCAAAGGATTCAAGGCAGGATGTCTAACACAGAAACCCAGTTATAAGGAATTGTATCCCAAAACAGATCTTTGTTACAAGAACAACAACAACAACAAAAAACCCACCTCAATTCACCTCAATTGTTTGACTGATAGGCAAGGTCAAATCATAATCAAATATAATGCCTAGGATGCTAAACTACTGTCCCGAGGCACTTCAAAATCCTACTATCTCAAACAAGACTGGCACCAAAATCCAGGGCTAGGCTGAACTTGCAGGTAATTAAAAATGCCCTTAGTTGTGAAGGCTGGAGAGCTCTGGGGACAGAAAGTCCAGCAGGTTATTACTGAATGTGATGCAAGACACATCTCTGTGGCCAAGGCTTTCTTGGATGATTTAAATAGCCCAACATGAGTGTGAGATTCATCAGTGGTTGAAGGCACCTAATTACATTGGTGAGAGGCCACCAGGAATCAGACCTTAATTACTCCCAACCACCTGCTCTCCCACAAGTCTGGCCAAAACTGGAGAATCTCTGTGGATTCTCTTGATTGTCCTACTGTTTCTGGGAACCCAATAGCCAATTTCTGACATCAACAGAAGATGGACTGCCTCCAGAGTAGGTAGAGTGTTAGTCTCCAAAGGTTTGAAAGTGTAAGCTCAGGTTTCCTGACCCTGCAACTAGACCCCAAAATGTCACTTTCTTAGCACTGCTTCTAAGAATCCATCTGTTATAAATTGAACAGTTTCTCCACACACTAACACACAGAGATTATTGGAAGGTATACAACCAAGAAATAAGTTAGGAATTTAACAGAGTTTTGTGTTATTTCAGCTTGGAAGTGGCATGTGGAAGTTTGCTAACCCAACTTCATTTCTCTTACCTTGTATAGTCAATAATTGCCCCATTCATAGATGAAGGAGTGATTATGATTATTTAACATTATGGATGTTTGATACAGGTAACGAAGTTTAGCCAAGTAATAGGAACTTTAGATGCTGAATACATTGTAGTCAACCTACCACTTTGTAGACTTCAAGCAGCTACTATGTTAAACTGGGACCTAATCAAAAGGGCCTTGTTCTGCCAAGAAGTGCCAGGTTGCCCAGATTCTAAAAATGAAAAAACTCTTTCTGGCTGCTCAGTGCTTTCCTGCATTGTAGGTGCTAAAAGGCCTAAGAGGTACCTAAATACCTCAATAAAGAAAGCAGATTTCTCCCTTCATATTGGAGTTATATGTTATCTACATTTGGTTTGGCCAGAAATCTCACAAGTATTTGGCATGCAATGTATCCAACAGGCCAAATATGGCTTCCATAATATGCTTCCTTCAAAAGTCATCTCAAGCCTTACTTCCTCTGTGAAGCATTCCCTGACCATACTCAGATACATTTGAGGCCAACTTTCCTGTACTCTCATGAGACCTCCATGGCATACCTCAACTATAACAATTATCACACATTAGTGCATTTATTTGCTAACTTCTATGTTGTCTGACCAGATCATATTATTGAAGACAAGGCACCATTTTTATTCATCTATACACCACCAAAATTTCACACAGCACCTGTCCCATAGAGGTGATTCATAAATGTTGGTTGAATGTTGAATGAAATAAAATCTTACAAAACATATGCTCAGCCTAATTTGTTTTACTCAGGCATCTCCCACGCATTTGTCTGTCCACAAACAGCATTGAAATGATGCTGCTATAAATTAGTCAAGTTCCCCATTGATGTCCTGCTCTGTGCCTACAATTATGAGGATAAAAGACATTGAATCATCCCTCCCAGGGCTTACAGTCTGATTGGGGAGAGAATACCAGTAATCCTGAAACTGATTGTCGGCATTTGCTCATAAATTGGGTTCAAAGATGAATGCAAGGGGAGAGGATCAGAGTAACATTGAAGAGGTAGGATTGGAGCTAACCCTTGAAAAATCAGTTTGGCAAGAATTAACAAAAGATAACCAACTGAAGGCATAGCACAACCAAAGAAAGAACAAGTGATGGTAATAAATGTAGCATGCAATTTTGACAATGAGGAGTTAATTTTTATAGGCAACAGAAGGGTATTGAATTTCTGAGTGAAACATGAAATGAATAAAGGACACTGAATAAAGATGGTAAAATGGCATCAATAAACAATATGGTTTTGTGGGAGAAAAAATTGAGTGGGAGTCCTAAACGAATATATTCTGTATCTCTACATACTATGATAGATACTTCAAGAGAATGACTTTCTTTCTTTTTGCAGAGCCCCACATGAAAGGTGTCCACCAATGCCTTTCATCTGGTAGGTTTTTATGCAAGGCCTAACAGTAAAGTCTGTCCTTGGGTAGAGTGATTCAAAGGTTCTTGTGTTCTAGTGGAGGAGGAGGAAGAGCCTTACCATCACTGCACATAGGAAAACTCATTGCTGTGAGATGGCTAGACTGAAATTTCCATGATAGTAGGGACAATGTCTGTCTTATTCACAGTTCTATTAACAGCATCTAGCACAATGACTCACAGAAACTAGGCACTAATTAAATGCACTGGGTAACTGATTGAAAGCAATAGTATTGTAGAACTTAACATAGTCATCTAAATAAATATTGGCCATATCTATCTAACTACTATTATAAAATTTAGTGCTTTGATTTACCATACATATAGCCAGACGTGGGTGCTAGGTAGAGGAGATAAAGGCAGAATGAGATATAGTCTTTGACCTAAAGGGGAATGGTGGTATAGTATAATGGGTTGGATAGGGCACATGTGCACACACATCTGTGGACTAATGAAGAAATGTCCCTTTCCACAGTTGCCTCATGCAATATCTATAGCACTGTTGTCTGGAAGTCTAAGAGCATGTTCATTTCTTTCTTTTTTTTTCTTTTTTAAAAATTTTATTATTGTTATACTTTAAGTTTTAGGATACATGTGCACAACGTGCAGGTTTGTTACATAGGTATACGTGTGCCATGTTGGTGTGCTGCACCCATTAAGTCGTCATTTAGCATTAGGTATATCTCCTAATGCTATCCCTCCCCCCTCCCCCCACCCCACAACAGTCCCAGGTGTGTGATGTTCCCTTTCCTGTGTCCATGTGTTCTCATTGTTTAATTCCCACCTATGAGTGAGAACATGCGGTGTTTGGTTTTTTGTCCCTGCGATAGTTTGCTGAGTCATTTCTTACTATATGTCTAGTGGGAGAGAAAAGTGATAGACATTATTTTCACCTTACAAACAAGAAACAAATAATTATTTAAAATAATTAGAATACTAGCAATCATGTGGATCTTCTATTATCTTACATGCAGGAAGGAGACTAGGAAAGTAAGACTATCAAAGAGGCTCACAAAGAGGCTGGGTAAAGGAGATGGAAGTACATTGGTCTATGAATAAGGGTGAAGAAGTGATAATCTCAGGATGGTGGTACCTTCAAAAGCATGCTCAAATGACTGTAACAATTCTTCTCAAGCAACAAATGTGGAGAAACACTGCCCCAGGCTAAAGGTTCAGAGGGCCACTGCAGAAGGACTACTACGATAATCAGATTAAGCCCAGATTGGAAAAGAGGGGTAAGGAAGCATTTGAGGCAGTGAAGAAGAAGCCCTTGTTTCAATGCGAGCAGTCAGACTCATTTATTTCACAAATATTTTTAAGCACTATTTATTAAGTATTATATATGCCAGGCTCTATCTAGGTCTAAGAATATATGAACACAGTTCATTCCCATGGGGAACTGGTGAACTTGAGAGATAAACAAGTAAATGAACAATGTCCATTATGGAAACCAATTGTCAATGTCATTGGAATACTATGTACTGGTGTCTACCATAAAGAAACACTTGCACATGTTCACAACATGGCATTTTTACAAGAATAATCCCTAGAGCAGTGCCCATAAAAAATCAGGAGACAACCTAAATGTCTTTCAATATTTAAATGTTTACAGAAACCTATAGTATAGTCATACTATGTAACAAAGGGAAGCAATTAAAAAGAATAAGATACATTTTTTTTTTTGAGAGAGAGAGAAAGAGTCTTGCTCTGTTGCCCAGGCTGGAGTGCAGTGGCACGATCTCGGCTCACTGCAAGCACCTCCTCCCAGGTTCACACCATTCTCCTGCCACAGTTTCCTGAGTAGCTGGGACTACAGGCGACTGCCACCACGCCTGGCTAATTTTTTGTATTTTTAGTAGAGACGGGATTTCATCATGTTAGTCAGGATGGTCTCGATCTCCTGATCTTGTGATCCACCTGCCTCAGCCTCCCAAAGTGCTGGGATTACAGGCATGAGCACCACGCCTGGCCAAGAATAAGATACATTTTTATCTTCTGACATGAATAGCTCTTCAAGACATAGAGCTAAACAATACATATTGTGGGAATGGATAATCATAGAGAACTTTGGCTTTATTAACAAGGACTTAAATTTTTAAATAATTTTTCAATAAGAAGAATATATACTATGGTATTATTTGAGTAGTTAAAATCATTTTAAAATATATACATAGTTAAAATTACTTTAATCATTGTACCTCATTTCTCCTTCTTAATACTGTTTGCATCCTTTTTTTTTTTTTTGTAAGTGGGTAAGAATGGGGGATGTGGAAGAATGAACATTCTCAGGAAGAAGAGCAACATGTGCTAAGTTATAGAAGCCTGGGAAAATATAGAATAGTCCTAGATCATAGGGCATGTAAGGTGATGGGTGCAGGAGTGAGTGATGGGATAAGTACACATTGAATTGAAAATGGAATGATAAGGCCAGACTGTAAAGGTATCTATATGTCAAGCTAAAGAGCTTGGATTTTATTCTGAAGGTACTGGGAAACCATGGAATGAACTTTAGGAAGTTTTAAAGAGGTCTTTCTAGCTGTGGTATGGGGAAAAGATTGAGAGGACAGGAGAGTACCACGAAAGTCTTTACATGAATCTTACGAGACAAATATTGAGGTCAAAAACTGAGGCAATGGCAATAGAAATGGAACAGAAAGAAATCCTGAGAGAAAGTGGCATATATAGTTGCTGATTAGAGGTGGTTGGTGCTAGCCAGGGAGAGAATGCTACCAAAAATGTTGTGAAATTTTATGGTAAGAGCAATTTGACAGATAGTGATACCATTGACTAAAATAAGAAATCAAGAGAAGTAACTGATCTGAAGTAATAAGGGAGAGGATTGATGAGTTCCCTTTTGAACGTGCTAAATTTGAGGTACCTATGGGACATCTATATAAAAATATGACTGTAAGCAGTCATCATGTCAGTGTGGATTCAAGAGGAAGCAGTTTAAGTCATGGAAATGGATGAGATAATTTAAGTTTGCACAAATAGAAGAGAATTGGGTTGAAGATTGAATTCAGGAGAACATCAGAGTTTAAAGGAGAAAGTAGAAAAAGCTCAGAAAGGTGGAGGAAAATGGTCATAAAAGTAAGAAAAGAAATTAAGGGAGAGTGTCAAGAAAGAAGAGCATATCAACATTGTCATATGTAGACAAGAGGTATAGTGAGATAAGGACTGAAAAAAACCATTAGATTTCTCAGCAATGATGTCTTTGGTGATTTTAGCGAGAGCAGTTTGGAAGACGGGTGGTAGATAGAATAATGTCTCCCAAATATGCCCACATATTAATTCCTGGAACCTGTGAATATGTTAGGCTACATAACAAAGGGGACATTATAAGTGTGATTAAATTAACTTGAGATAGGGATTTTGCCCCGGATTAGCCAGATGAGCCTAATCTAATCACATGGGTTCTAAGTGAAAAACCTTTCATGGCTGTAAGTCAGACAGAGAGATAACTACAGGCGAGAGAACCAGAAAGATTACAACAAACATTGTTGACTTCAAAGATGGAGGAAGTGAGAGATATGAACCAAGGAATACAGGAAGCTTCTGGAAGCTAGAAAAAAAGAAGAAAACTGATTTATCCCATAGAGCTTCCAGAAGGGAATGCAGTCCTGTCCACACCTCAATTTTAGCCCAGTGAGACCATGTCAGACTTGTAACCTATGGAACTGTAAGATAATAAATGAGTTTATTTTAAGCCATTAAACTTTTGCTACTTTGTTACAGAAGCCACGGGAAATTGATACAGGGGGTGGGAATTGTAGTTAGGGCAAAAGCCTGATCACAGTGGAATGAATGGTGACTGGAAGGTGAGAAAATGGAGATGAATGAAGCCAACTCATTCCAACATTTTATTTCTAAGTGAAAAGAGAGCACTAACACAAAGAGCACAGAAGTTTGAGGGATGAATCTTGTTACAGTTTTTAAGAGAAGGAATGCGTGAGTATATTTAAATGCTGATAAGAAAGAGAAGAGGTAGGAGACATAGACAAGAGAGAGGATAACAATAGAGAGGAGGTTCTTGGGAAGGCAGCCTGTGGACAATAGAGGAAACAGAAATACAAGAACAGGAGCGATGCCAAATATCACTGAATTTCAGAGGCAAAAAGGAAATAGGTGAGGGAGAAGGGATTTGTGGAGCTATGGTTCTGATGGCAGGAACTCAATATTATCATCACATATAATCCCTGATTATCTGCCCTTGGGCAATTAAGACTTTCTAAAATGCCTGGGGAAAGAAGAAACCACTGGGGTCCAGAGAAATGAAGTGACTTGCTCACGATTACACAGAGATCTACTGAAGTTTTCATTTCCTTAACTGTGACATATTCACTGTGATAATGCATGTAAAACACAGTGTCTGGCATATGGCAAATGTTCAATAACTTGTGGCAGTTATTACTATAGGATAAGGTATGATACCTCTGATAGCCTATATAGCTAAAGTTTAGAAACACAGATACCTAGATACCTAGACTTGAGTCTGGGTCTATCATTATTATCAGTTTTGCTACTTACTAGCTATGTGGCTTTGAGCACAGTGATTAATTAATACCTACTAGACAGATATTCTGGCCTCAGATTCTGTATCCTTTCTACTATGCCACACTATTTACCTTTAAATAATTATACAAATGCCCACTGTGGGGGCTGATAATTGAACTATGTGTTCTGCCAAGCTTTACTATTCGGGGGTGACAAATTCCATAGGACCTATAGTATTCATACCTTACAATCTGCAAAAAGAATTGAACTATTTGCCTGCTGTTCAATTATGTGAACTTGATGGAAAGAGCATAACAGTCCACAGCTTAATTTCAGTTATCAAAGGACTCGAACCAAATCCAACAGAAAAAAATCCAAAACTTTTTTTTACCTTGATGAGTATGTAAATATTCATGATAACATTTGATGATGGTACTGTATTTGAATAAGAAAACACTAAATATTTTAATCAAGTCAACCATCATGTGCAACAGAAGTAATCTTACCATTTAGAGGTTCCTGAGTGGATGATGGGATGTTGTCTAATATATCAGTGATTGGCTATTTACTTGTATAGTTAAAATTCATCTCTTCCTTTCATCATTTTGAAGGGACATTGATTTCAATAAAAACCTCTAAATGAGGAGAACAAGAAATTTAAATCCACACAGTGAAAATGAATGAAGGCTGGCACATAAAGTTCAAGGGGAAGTCAAAAGAGGAAACGGCAAAGAGATTTTAGCTGCAATGATTGGCAGCAGGGTCTGTGCAAGTTATGGAGATTTTGCCTGATTCTAAGAGCTCATCCAAGTACTCAATTTAAGGGTGAGAGCAGGGTAGGGCAAAGTGTCATTACTCAAACAGGCCCAATAATAGGAACAGAGCCACACAAGGTGCCCAACCACCTCTACTCCCACCCCCTGCCCAACACACATACTTTGCCACAGGGAATATCAGAGGGAATATGAGCTTCTTGTGAAATATTATCATAGGGGCCAGAAAGAGCCTTACCGTCTGTGAAGAATTCTTCAACCCTGGCTTGATATCTTCTCTTTCCTGTTTTGTTGAGGTGTCAGAAAACTGCCTGAGAATATGTAGTCCCTTTAGCCTCCATTTCACCCTCCACTGTCCGTTTTGTCTAGATATGTGGCCTAGTCAGTAGCTTTTTGCTTCTTATTTTTAAATAAAATGGATGGAGTTTTGCGCCCTATTCAACAGACAATAAAAGAAAGAAAAGAAACAGGCATACCTCTCTTGTCAGACTTTTAAGACTATTTTCCCTGTGACATGTTCCTAAAGTCGTTTGTGTCTTGCAATCATAGTTTGTATGATTTTTTAGCCTGAGATATAGTCAGTGACTGTCTCAGGATTACATTGTAAAGTAATGTGCTCCAATAATCAATTATTTTAATGACCTTACTTACAGAGAGATCTCATATTTTACTAAAATTAATATCAGCATATGCCTGAAAACCCTCTTAATGGCTTTGAAGAGATCTACAACAGCTTCTGAAACCTGTACAAACACTTAAAAAATACTTTGCGTAAGCTTCAGTTGAGATTATCCAAGTCTAAATAATTTATATGTGTTTCTCAGAGTCATACTTTCCTGATATCACTGCCTTGAATTAATAGAGTGTCATTTTCCCCCAAGGTCCCATAGGACTCCACAGCAGAACACATTCATCCTCCTGCTACCCTTATGGCAAGGAAGGCACAAGAATGATTATCCCCATTTTACAGTCTGAGAAAATGAGGAACTAGGACATGAATGATATGCTGCACAGAATGGTGGAGGCAGACATGTAAGACTTACTGAAACTGGGGTAGAAGAAACACTTCAGGAAACTAATGACCCTGACAGATCTGTGACTCTGGAGCTAATTTGGAGACACTATTAATCAAAATCTGGCATGAATCCTGTATGTACTACCCAGACTATTACCATAAAATGCCATGATATCAAAACAAGACATCTATATAGGCCCAGGTACCACATTAAAGATATGCAGTGGCTCTTTAGCTGAAATAGAGATTGTTGCTCTAGAAATCCAGCTTCATAAGGTATAGTGCACCTGTAGGCCTAAGGGACATGGCAGAAATATCTCAGGCTACCCAAAAAGTAGGAACTGGACAAGGAGGGCTTATCTGAAACAAAAGCAACAATGATGTTGTCTCAAATAGACAAGTAATAAAACCTGGAAGGCAACATTACTCGAGTGCTACTTTTAATCATGCCTGCAGTCAGCTGAAGATGAAGAGTTAACAAATAATGGTCCAATAATGGAATAATTAAATACATTAAGAAATCACACCACAGGGAGAAATAGGAACGCTTTTACACTGTTGGTGTGAGTGTAAATTAGTTGAACCATTGTGGAAGACAGTGTGGTGATTCCTCAAGGATCTAGAACTAAAAATGCCATTTGACCCAGTAATCCCATTACTGGGTATATACCCAAAGGATTATAAATCATTCTACTATAAAGACACATGCACACGAATATTTATTGCAGCACTGTTTACAATAGCAAAGACTTGGAACCAACCCAAATGCCCATCAATGATAGACTGGATAAAGAAAATGTGGCACATATACACCATGGAATACTATGCAGCCATAAAAAAGAATGAGTTTAAGTCCTTTGCAGGGACATGAATGAAGCTGGAAACCATCATTCTCAGCAAACTAACACAGGAACAGAAAACCAAACAGCACACGTTCTCACTCATAAGTGGGAGTTGAACAATGAGAACACATGGACACAAGGAGGGGAACATCACACACTAGGGTCTGTCGAGGGGTGGGGGGATAGGGGAGGGATAGCATTAGGAGAAATACCTAATGTGATTGGTGGGTTGATGGGTATGTGTATACCTATGCCACGTGTATACCTATGTAACAAACCTGGACGTTTTGCACATGTATCCCAGAATTTAAAGTATATATATAACAGAAATCACACCACTGTGTTAGGTATAATCTACTGAACTTAAATACTACTACTCTTGTCTGTTTTCATTTTCATGATAATATGTGTGACACATAAACCCAGATAGCCCTGTGTAATACTAGGCAGGGAGTAGGTCCCCAGAAGATGCCTGCTGAGTTGACCAGTGGAGTCAACTGAAAGATTCTCAGGCAAGTATCAAGAGAAATACCAGAAAAGAGAGTCAGAGCATTAGTTAAATTAGCCACTTTATCATGTTTACTATGGTCCTTTCTGTCCATGAGGATCTTCATTTTTCTTTTTCTTTTTAATTTTATTATTATACTTTAAGTTTTAGGGTACATGTGCACAATGTGCAGGTTTGTTACATATGTATACATGTGCCATGTTGGTGTGCTGCACGCATTAACTCGTCATTTAGCATTAGGTATATCTCCTAATGCTATCCCTCCCCACTCACCCCACCCCACAACAGTCCCCGAAGTGTGATGTTCCCCTTCCTGTGTCCATGTGTTCTCATTTCTTATATGGGTAAGTGGTACCATGATGGTAATATAAGCCTATATAATCCAAATCAAAAAAGGCAGTGTAGGCACTTTGAATCTGATCTTCGCAACTATTACTTTATTGATCTCAGGGAAAATTATTGAAGTTTGCTGAGCGTCCATTTTCCCATTTGCAAAAATGGGTATATAAAAAGTACTTACACAAAAAGTTGCTGTAAGGATGAAATGAAATGAAGCATATCGGGAGGTGGAGCCAAGATGGCCGAATAGGAACAGCTCCAGTCTACAGCTCCCAGCATGAGTGACACAGAAGAGGGGTGATTTCTGCATTTCCAACTGAGGTTACCAGGTTCATCTCACTGGGGAGTGTTGGACAGTGGATGCAGTGCACCAAGCATGAGCTGAAGCAGGGCGAGGCATCGCCTCATCCAGGAAGTGCAAGGGGTCAGGGAATTCCCTTTCCTAGTCAAAGAAAGGGGTGACAGACGGCATCTGGAAAATCGGGTCACTCCCACCCTAATACTGCGCTTTTCTAATGGTCTTAGCAAATGGCACACCAGGAGATTATATCCCGCGCCTGGCTCAGAGGGTCCTACGCCCATGGAGCCTCGCTCATTGCTAGCACAGCAGTCTGAGATCAAATGGCAAGGCAGCAGCGAGGCTGGGGGAGGGGCGCTCGCCATTGCCGAGGCTTGAGTAGGTAAACAAAGTGATCAGGAAGCTCGAACTGGGTGGAGCCCACCGCAGCTCAAGGAGGCCTGCCTGCCTCTGTAGATTCCACCTCTGGGGGCAGGGCACAGACAAACAAAAGGCAGCAGAATCCTCTGCAGACTTAAATGTCCCTGTCTGACAGCTTCAAAGAGAGTAGTGGTTCTCCCAGCATGCAGCTGGAGATCTGAGAACAAACTGCCTCCTCAAGTGGGTCCCTGACCCCCGAGTAGCCTAACTGTGAGGCACCCGCCAGTAGGGGCAGACTGACACCTCACACGGCCCAGTACTCCTCTGAGACAAAACTTCCAGAGGAACGATCAGGCAGCAACATTTGCTGTTCACCAATATCCGCTGTTCTACAGCCTCCGCTGCTGATACCCAGGCAAACAGGGTCTGGAGTGGACCTCCAGCAAATTCCAACAGACCTGCAGCTGAGGGTCCTGACTGTTAGAAGGAAAACTAACAAAGAGAAAGGACATCCACACCAAAACTCCATCTGTACGTCACCATCATCAAAGACCAAAGGTAGATAAAACCACAAAGATGGGGAAAAAACAGAGCAGAAAAACTGGAAACTCTAAAAATCAGAGCACCTCTCCTCCTCCAAAGGAACACAGCTCCTCACCAGCAAGAGAACAAAGATGGAAGGAGAGTGACTTTGACGAGTTGAGAGAAGAAGGCTTCAGACAATCAAACTACTCCAAGCTAAAAAAGGAAGTTCCAATCCATGGCAAAGAAGTTAAAACCTTGAAAAAAAAATTAGACGAATGGCTAACTAGAATAACCAATGCAGAGAAGTCCTTAAAGGACCTGATGGAGCTGAAAACCAAGGCATGAGAACTACCTGACGAATGCACAAGCCTCAGTAGCTGATTCGATCAACTGGAAGAAAGGGTACCAGTGAAGGAAGATCAAATGAATGAAATGAAGCGAGAAGGAAGTTTAGAGAAAAAAAGAATAAAAAGAAATGAACAAAGCCTCCAAGAAATATGTGACTATGTGAAAAGAGCAAATCTACGTCTGATTGGTGGACCTGAAAGTGACGGGGAAAATGGAACCAAGTTGGAAAACACTCTGCAAGATATGCAGGAGAAATTCCCCAATCTAGCAAGGCAGGCCAACATTCAAATTCAGGAGATACAGAGAACGCCACAAAGATACTCCTCAAGAAGAGCAACTCCAAGACACATAATTGTCAGATTCACCAAAGTTGAAATGAAGGAAAAAATGTTAAGGGCAGCCAGAGAGAAAGGTCAGGTTACCCACAAAGGGAAGTCCATCAGACTAACAGCTGATCTCTCGGCAGAAACTCTACAAGCCAGAAGAGAGTGGGGGCCAATATTCAACATTCTTAAAGAAAAGAATTTTCAACCCAGAATTTCATATCCAGGCAAACTAAGCTTCATAAGTGAAGGAGAAATAAAATCCTTTACAGACAAGCAAATGCTGAGAGATTTTGTCACCACCAGGCCTGCCCTAAAAGAGCTCCTGAAGGAAGCACTAAACATGGAAAAGAACAAGCAGTACCAGCCACCACAAAAACATGCCAAATTGTAAAGACCATGGAGGCTACGAAGAAACTGCACCAACTAACGAGCAAAATCACCAGCTAACATCATAATGACAGGATCAAATTCACACATAACAATATTAACCTTAAATGTAAATGGGCTAAATGCTCCAATTAAAAGACACAGACTGGCAAATTGGATAAAGAGTCAAGACCCATCAGTGTGCTGTATTCAGGAAACCCATCTCATGTGCAGAGACACACATAGGCTCAAAATAAAAGGATGGAGGAAGATCTACCGAGCAAATGGAAAACAAAAAAAGGCAGGGGTTGCAATCCTAGTCTCTCATAAAGCAGACTTTAAACCAACAAAGATCAAAAGAGACAAAGAAGGCCATTACATAATGGTAAAGGGATCAATTCAACAAGAAGAGCTAACTATCCTAAATATATATGCACCCAATACAGGAGCACCCAGATTCATAAAGCAAGTCCTTGGAGACCTACAAAGAGACTTAGACTCCCACACAATAATAATGGGAGACTTTAACACCCCACTGTCAACATTAGACAGATCAACGAGACAGAAAGTTAACAAGGATATCCAGGAATTGAACTCAGCTCTGTACCAAGCAGAACGAATAGACAGCTACAGAACTCTCCACCCCAAATCAACAGAATGTACGTTCTTTTCAGCACCACACCACACCTATTCCAAAATTGACCACATAGTTGGAAGTAAAAGCACTCCTCAGCAAATGTAAAAGAACAGAAATTATAACCAACTCTCTCTCTCAGACCACAGTGCAATCAAACTAGAACTCAGGATTAAGAAACTCACTCGAAACCATTCAACTACATGGAAGCTGAACAACCTGCTCCTGAATGACTACTGGGTACATAACAAAATGAAGGCAGAAATAAAGATGTTCTTTGAAACCAATGAGAACAAAGACACAACATACCAGAATCTCTGGGACACATTCAAAGCAGTGTGTAGAGGGAAATTTATAGCGCTAAATGCCCACAAGAGAAAGCAGGAAAGATCTAAAACTGACACCCTAACATCACAATTAAAAGAACTAGAGAAGCAAGAGCAAACACATTCAAACCTAGCAGAAGGCGAGAAATAACAAAGATCAGAGCAGAACTGAAGGAAATAGAGACACCAAAAACCGCTCAAAAAATTAATGAATCCAGGAGCTGGTTTTCTGAAAGGATCAACAAAATTGATAGACCGCTAGCAAGACTAAGAAAGAAGAAAAGAGAGAAGAATCAAATAGACACAATAAAAAATGATGAAGGGGATATCACCACCCATCCCACAGAAATACATACTATCATCAGAGAATACTATAAACACCTCTATGCAAATAAACTAGAAAATCTAGAAGAAATGGATAAATTCCTCGACACCTACACCCTCCCAAGACCAAACCAGGAAGAAGTTGAATCTCTGAATGGACCAATAGCAGGCTCTGAAATTCAGGCAATAATTAATAGCTTACCAACCAAAAAAAGTCCAGGACCAGATGGATTCTACCAGAGGTACAAGGAGGAGCTGGTACCATTCCGTCTGAAACTATTCCAATCAATAGAAAAAGAGGGAATCCTCCCTAACTCATTTTATGAGGCCAGCATCATCCTGATACCAAAGCCTGGCAGAGACACAACAAAAAAAGAGAATTTTAGACCAATATCCCTGTTGAACATCAATGCAAAAATCCTCAATAAAATACTGGCAAACCGAATCCAGCAGCACATCAAAAAGCTTATGCACCATGATCAAGTGGGCTTCATCCCTGGAATGCAAGGCTGGTTCAATATACGCAAATCAATAAATGTAATCCAGCATATAAACAGAACCAAAGACAAAAACCACATGATTATCTCAATAGATGCAGAAAAGGCCTTTGACAAAATTCAACAACCCTTCATGCTAAAAACTCTCAATAAATTAGGTATTGATGGGACATATCACAAAATAATAAGAGCTAACTATGACAAACCCACAGCCAATATCATACTGAATGGGCAAAAACTGGAAGCATTCCCTTTGAAAACTGGCACAAGACAGGGATGCCCTCTCTCACCACTCCTATTCAACATAGTGTTGGAAGTTCTGGCCAGGGCAATCAGGCAGGAGAAGGAAACAGAGGGTATTCAATTAGGAAAAGAGGAAGTCAAATTGTCCCTGTTTGCAGATGACATGATTGTATATCTAGAAAACCCCATTGTCTCAGCCCAAAATCTCCTTAAGCTGATAAGCAACTTCAGCAAAGTCTCAGGATACAAAATCAATGTGCAAAAATCACAAGTATTCTTATACACCGATAACAGACAAACAGAGAGCCAAATCATCAGTGAACTCCCCATTCACAATTGCTTCAAAGAGAATAAAATACCTAGGAATCCAACTTACAAGGTACGTGAAGGACCTCTTCAAGGAGAGGTCAATGAAATAAAAGAGGATACAAACAAATGGAAGAACATTCCATGCTCATGGGTAGGAAGAATCAATATCGTGAAAATGGCCATACTGCCCAAGGTAATTTATAGATTCAATGCCATCTCCATCCAGCTACCAATGACTTTCTTCACAGAATTGGAAAAAACTACTTTAAAGTTCATATGGAACCAAAAAAGAGCCCACATTGCCAAGTCAATCCTGAGCAAAAAGAATAAAGCTGGAGGCATCATGCTACCTGACTTCAAACTATACTACAAGGCTACAGTAACCAAAACAGCATGGCATTGGTACCAAAACAGAGATATAGACCAAAGGAACAGAACAGAGCCCTCAGAAATAATGCCGCATGTCTACAACCATCTGATCTTTGGCAAACCTGACAAAAACAAGCAATGGGGAAATGATTCCCTATTTAATAAATGGTGCTGGGAAAACTGGCTAGCCATATGTAAAAAGCTGAAACTGGATCCCTTCCTTACACCTTATACAAAAATTAATTCAAGATGGATTAAAGATTTAAATGTTAGACCTAAAACCATAAAAACCCTAGAAGAAAACCTAGGCAATAACATTCAGGACATAGGCATGGGCAAGGACTTCACGTCTAAAACACCAAAAGCAATGGCAACAAAAGACAAAATTGACAAATGGGATCTAATGAAACTAAAGAGCTTTTGCACAGCAAAAGAAACTACCATCATAGTGAACAGGCAACCTACAGAATGGGAGAAAATTTTTGCAATCTACTCATATGACAAAGGGCTAATATCCAGAATCTACAAAGAATTCAAACAAATTTACAAGAAAAAAACAAACAATCCCATCAAAATGTGGGCAAAGGATATGAACAGACACTTCTCAAAAGAAGACATTTATGCAGCCAAAAGACACATGAAAAAATGCTCATCATCACTGGCCATCAGAGAAATGCAAATCAAAACCACAATGAGATATCATCTCACGCCAGTTAGAATGGCAATCATTAAAAAGTCAGGAAACAACAGGTGCTGGAGAGGATGTGGAGAAATAGGAACACTTTTACACTGTTGGTGGGACTGTAAACTAGTTCAACCATTGTGGAAGTCCGTGTGGCGATTCCTCAGGGATCTAGAACTAGAAATACCATTTGACCCAGCAATCCCATTACTGGGTATATACTCAAAGGATTATAAATCATGCTGCTATAAAGACACATGCACACGTATGTTTATTGAGGCACTATTCACAATAGCAATGACTTGGAACCAACCCTAATGTCCAACAATGATAGACTGGATTAAGAAAATGTGGCACATATACACCATGGAATACTATGCAGCCATAAAAAATGATGAGTTCATGTCCTTTGTAGGGACGTGGATGAAGCTGAAACCATCATTCTCAGCAAACTATCACAAGGACAAAAAACCACACACCACATGTTCTCACTCAGGTGGGAATTGAACAATGAGAACACATGGACACAGGAAGGGGAACATCACACACCAGGGCATGTTGTGGGGTGGGGGTATGGGGGCGGGATAGCATTAGGAGATATACCTGATGTTAAATGACGAGTTAATGGGTGCAGCACACCAACATGGCACATGTATATATATGTAACAAACCTGCACGTTGTGCACATGTACCCTAAAACTTAAAGTATAAAAAAAAAAAAAAGAAATGGTTACTGGAAGCTGGAAGGATGGAATTCATGTTATCTAATTGTGAAACAGTAAAACCATAACTCACAATAATTTCAGAGGCAGTACTTAGAAACTTTAGCTCTAAGATAAGAGAACGGAAAAGAGGACTTTTACAGCATGTGGGGAATGCTGCTGTCTGCATTAGATAAGGTAGTAAATGACTGAAATGTACTGAGAAAATAATAGGCCAATTTGCAAGAAGAAATGAAAGAGAAGAGAAAAGGTCCACAAATAAGAGGAATTTCACAGAGTGGAAGAGGCAACTTCTTCTTAATACCAAACAATAAAAGACAAAATCGAGAAATACTTTGAGTGAAAAAAGCTGATAAAAATCCAACCTGGAAAGAAAGATGCAATCTAGGCTATGGGCTTTACACCCTCTTTTAGAACCACTAAATAGATTAAAATGTTTCAACCGCATGAAATAATTCAGTAAAAAAGAAACTCAGAATGTCTCTTCCACAAAAGCCAAAAGACCTAAAATTAAGTTGAAAGAGAGAAGACAAATAGAGGTAAAACATATATATTCCATATTACACACACACACAGAATCTAAAATACTTGTCTATAAAATAACTGTTGATATGACTATAATTCCATGGGGATAACAGAAATCTCTTGACAAATTTATATTGGTAAAGTACTGTCAAGCTATAGTAAAATATAATGTGATCGTCTAGGAATTAAAATGACAGCTTGGTCACCAAACACTTATGCTACAAGTGAGCTATGAAAATTGCTCCTTCCTCAAATAGGTCATTTTTCCAATGCTCACTTTTCATATGGCTTACAAAAACAAACAAAAAGAAGTTCTGTGAGGTCACAACCAAAGGCCACAGAGAATTAATGGCTAAGCCTCTTCCAGAGAAAATGGGGCCAAATAAAGGATTATTTTCTGCTCTAGAGTAAGATGCCCTAGAAAGTCTGCCTAGAACTTACAAGTTACTACAGGCCAATGGATGCTATGACGCCCTTTATTTTCCTTTATAAATGGTAAGCATTATCTATTCCATAGTATATTTTGTTTGTGTGAGTTTCAATTAACTTGCTTTTTTCAGTACATTAATTTCTACATCAAGGTGATTCACAGAAAGTAGTACAACACATCATTCCCATTTAGAGTGACAACTGTGCACCGCTGAGAGATCTTGGACTAATTGATTCTGAGACTGGGTGGGATTTTGTTTTGTGTGTCTTGGTAAGTGGCAGAGTATAAATTGCGGGAAGGAGAATGAGCCACATATATGTTGATTAGAATAGAGGACTCTGGTAGCCATCAGTGTTCTTCAACAAATATTTTTCACTTCCCTCCTTCCAGGTACCCTTGAAAGTTAGCTGAGGTCTTCTTGTGACTGACTATGGCCAATGCAACAGAAGTAGTAGTAATATATAGAACTCTGGGCCAAAGCTTATCATAACCAATATGCATATCAACGTATATCTTCCCATTGTTTCAGCGATTGAGAAAAAATGAGTTGAAATAAAACCGGCAGCCATGCTCCCTTTGTGACAATGATATGTAGAGATGCTCACAACCCTCTTCCACTGACTCAAACTGGATATGTAGCATGAGCAAGAAAATAAACACTTCCATTACCTTAAAAAAACAAAAAGAAATGAAGCATGTCTACACTTATTAAATACTTAATATTTGCTATTATTATTATTATTATCATAATTGTCAGGATCATCATTCTACCCCAGTTTTCACTGGACTTAAGATTCTCTCTGGATCCTTCCAACTTCTCCTAGTCCTTCCCTAGCCAGATGAAAACATATTTTTAGCTACTTAACCATATTCATGGATTGGAGATACCTCCACTCAATCAGAAGTTCTATGCTCAATCCAGAAGGTAAACAATCCCTGATTCAGAATAGGACTTACCTCTGTGCTTCTGTAGCTGGTTCCTGTTCACAAACTACCTAAATTTCTGGATTTCTGACTGTCTGGACCTCAGAGAATTTATTTCTTCTCTGCATCATGCCCCTATGCCTGGATATCAGACCTTTAGCTTACTTTTGACCATGCATAACTCTAGACTCCTTCTCCTTGCCACAGTTCCTTGGTTTCCAAATATTGGCCCACTTTAACCTTCTGGCAATCACTAATATAGGAGACCTTCTGATTTCCAACCTAGATTGAAATTCTTATTTGGGGTTGTCAATCTGATAATTCCTATTATAATCTCATGTCTAGGCAGTCTTTTTTTCTTTTTCTTTTTTATTATACTTTAATTTCTGGGGTACATGTGCAGAACATGGAGGTTTGTTACATAGGTATACATGTGCCGTGGTGGTTTGCTGAACCCATCAACCCATCATCTACATTAGGTATTTCTCCTAATGCTATGCCTCCCTTAAACCCTCACCCCCCAAATGGCCCTGGTGTGTGATGTTCCCCTCCCTGTGTCCATGTGTTCTCATTGTTCAACTCCCACTTATGAGTGAGAACATATGGTGTTGGTTTTCTAGTCTTGTGTTAAGTTTGCTGAGAATGATGGTTTCCAGCTTCATTCATGTCCCTGCAAAGGGCATGAAATCATTCTTTTTTATGGCTGCATAGTATTCCGTGGTGTATATGTGCCACATTTTTTAATCCAGTCTATCATTGATGGGCATTTGGGTTGGTTCCAAGTCTTTGCTATTGTGAATAGTGCCGCCACAAACATATGTGTGCATGTGTCTTTATAACAGAATGATTTATAATTCTTTGGGTATATACCCAGTAATGGGATTGCTGGCTCAAATGGCATTTCTAGTTCTAGATCCTTGAGGAATCACCACACTGTCTTCCACAATGGTTGAACTAATTTGCACTCCTAGCAACAGTGTAAAACTGTTCCTACTTCACCACATCCTCTCCAGCATCTGTTGTTTCCTGACTTTTTACTGATCACCATTCTAACTGACGTGAGATGGTTCTCATTGTGGTTTTGATTTGCATTTCTCTAATGACCAGTGATGATGAGCATTTTATCATATGTTTGTTGGCCACATAAATATCTTCTTTTGAGAAGTGTCTGTTCATATCCTTTGCCCCCTTTCTGATGGGGTTGTTTGGTTTTTTCTTGTAAATGTGTTTAAGTTCTTTGTAGATTCTGAATATTAGCCCTTTGTCAGATAGATAGATTGCCAAAATTTTCCCCCATTCTGTAGGTTGCGTCTTCACTCTGATTATCGGGGAAACCAGCCCCCAATATTTCAATGTAGGTTTTTTCTATTTTCCCTAAGTGTCAGCCGGTCTGAGAAATAAAGAGAAAGAGTACCAAGAGAGGAATTTTACAGCTGCGCCTCCGGGTGTGACATCACATATTGGTAGGTCCATGATGTCCCCTGAGCTGCAAAACCAGCAAGTTTTTATTAAGGATTTCAAAAGGGGAGGGGGTGTATGAACAGGGAGTAGGTCACAAAGATCACATGCTTGAAAGGGCAAAGCAAGATCACAAGGCAAGGGCAAAATTAGAATTACTGATGAGGGTCTATGTTTGGCTGTGCACATATTGTCTTGATAAACATCTTAAACAACAGAAAACAGGGTTTGAGAGCAGAAAACTGGTCTGACCTCAAATTCACCAGGGCGGGATTTTTTCCCCACCCTAATAATCCTGAGGGTACTTGCAGGAGACCAGGGCGTATTTCAGTCCTTATCTCAACCGCATAAGACAGACACTCCCAGAGCGGCCGTTTATAGACCTTCCCCCAGGAATGCATTCCTTCCCCAGGGTATTAATTATTAATACTCCTTGCTGGGAAAAGAATTTAGCGATATCTCTCCTACTTGCATGTCCATTTATAGGCTCTCTGCAAGAAGAAAAATATGGCTCTATTCTGCCCGACCCCACAGGCAGTCAGACCTTATGGTTGTCTTCCCTTGTTCCCTAAAATTGCTGTTATTCTGTTCATTTTCAAGGTGCACTGATTTCATATTGTTCAAACACCCACGTTTTACAATCAATTTGTACAGTAGCCGTCCTGAGGTGATGTACATCCTCAGCTTACAAAAATAACAGGATTAAGAGATTAAAGTAAGACAGGCTTAAGAAATTATAAGAATGTTATTAGAGAAGTGAAAAATGTCCATATTATAATGAAATCTTCACAATTTATGTTCAGAGATTGCAGTAAAGACAGGCATAAGAAATTTTAAAAGTATTAATTTGGGGAACTGATAAATGTCTATGAAAGCTTCACAATTTATGTTCCTCTGCCACAGCTCCAGCCAGTCCCTCCATTCAGGGTCCCTGACTTCCTGCAACATCTGATGATAGTGTCTTTTGCTGTACAGAAGTGGTTAAGTTTAATTAGATCCCATTTGTCAATTTTGGCTTTTGTTGCAATTGCTTTTGGCATTTTTGTCATGAGTCTTTGCCCATGCCTATGTCCTGAATGGTATTGGCTAGGTTTTCTTCTAGGGTTTTTATAGTTTGGGGTTTTACATTTAAGTATTTAATGCATCTAGAGTTAATTTTTGTATAAGGTGTGAGGAAGGGATCCCGTTTCAGCTTTCTGCATGTGGCTAGCCAGTTTTCCCAACACCACTTATTAAATAGGGAATCTTTTCCCCCATTGCTTGTTTTTGTCAAGTTTGTCAAAGATCAGATAGTTTTAGATGTGTGGTGTTATTTCTGAGGCCTCTGTTCTGTTCCATTGGTCTATATGTCTGTTTTGGTACTAGTACCATGCTGTTTTTGTTACTGTAGCCTTGTAGTATAGTTTGAAGTCAGGTAGCATGATGTCTCCAGCTTTGTTCTTTTTGCTTAGGATTGTCTTGTCTATGCAGGCTCTTTTTTGGTTCCATAGGAAATATAAAGTAGTTTTCTTCCAATTCTGTGAAGAAAGTCAATCGTAGCTTGATGGGGATAGCACTGAATCTATAAATTACTTTGGGCAGTATGGCCATTTTCACAATATTGATTCTTCCTATCCATGAGCATAGAATGTTTTTACATTTATTTTTGTCCTCTCTTATTTCCTTGAGCAGTGGTTTGTAGTTCTCCTTGAAGAGGTCCACCACATCCCTTGTAAGTTGGATTCCTAGGTATTTTATTCTCTTTGTAGCAATTGTAAGTGAAAGTTCACTAATGATTTGCCTCTCCGTTTGTCTGTTATTGGTATATAGGAATGCTTCTGACTTTTACACATTGATTTTGTATCCTGAGACTTTGCTGAAGTTGATTATCAGCTTTAGGAGATTTTGAGCTGAAACGATGGGGTTTTCTAAGTATGCAATCATGTCGTCTGCAAACAGAGACAATTTGACTTCCTCTTTTCCTAATTGAATATCCTTTATTTCTTTCTCTTGCCTGATTGCCCTGGCCAGAACTTCCAATACTATGTTGAATAGGAGTGGTGAGAGAGGGTATCCTTGTCTGTAAAACCGTAGCAGTTTTCAAAGGGAATGCTTCCAGTTCTTGCCCATTCTGTATGATATTGGCTGTGGGTTTTTCATAAATAGCTCTTATTATTTTGAGATATGTTCCATCAATACCTAGTTTATTGAGAGTTTTTAGCATGAAGGCTGTTGAATTTTGTCAAATGCCTTTTCTGCATCTGTTGAGATAAACATGTGGTTTCTGTCATTAGTTCTGTTTATGTGATGGATTACGTTTACTGATTTATGTATGTTAAACCAGCCTTGCAACCCAGGGATGAAGTCATCTTGATCGTGTTGGGTGAGCTTTTTGATGTGCTGCTGGATTTGGTTTGCCAGTATTTTATTAAGCATTTTTGCATGTTTGTTCATCAAGGATATTGGCCTAAAATTTTCTTTTTTTGTTGTGTCTCTGCCAGGTTTTGGTATCAGGATAATGCTGGCCTCATAAAATGAGTTAGGGAGGAGTCCCTCTTTTTCTATTGTTTGGAATAGTTTCAGAAGGAATAGTACCAGCTCCTCTTTATACCCCTGGTAGAATTTGGCTGTGAATCCGTCTTGTCCTGGACTTTTTTTGGTTGGTAAGCTATTAATTACTGCTTCAATTTCAGATCTTGTTATTGGTCTATTCAGGGATTCAACTTCTTCCTGGTTTAGTCTTTGGCGGGTGTACGTGTCCATAAATTTATCCATTTCTTCTAGATTTTCTAGTTTATTTGCATAGAGTTGTTTATAGTATTCTCTGATGGTAGTTATTTCTGTGGGATCAGTGGTGATATCTCCTTTATCATTTTTTATTGTGTCTATTTGATTCTTCTCTCTTTTCTTCTTTATTAGTCTGTCTAGCAGTCTATCTATTTTGTTGATTTCTGTTGCCAGGCTGGAGTGCAGTGGTGAGATCTCGGCTCACTGCAACCTCCGCCTCCTGGGTTCAAGCAATTCTCCTGTCTCAGCCTCTGAGTAGCTGGAACTACAGGCACATGCCACCACACCCAGCTAATTTTGCATTTTTTCTAGAGATGGGGTTTCACCATGTTGGCCAGGATGGTCTCGATCCCTTGACCTAGTGATTTGCCTGCATCAGCCTCCCAAAGTGCTGAGATTACACGTGTGAGCCACTGTGCCTGGCCTAGGCAGTCTTATATCACTGGGTCATGATACTGAAAGACAATAGAATACAGTTCACCCTAAAGAAGCCAGTTGGTAGCAGCAATTGGAATCACCACTTTCAGTTTCTGATTGTGGTAGCCAAGTCTAGTAATGGTGCCAAACACATGAGCAAAGAACTCACGTGGCAGCACCAGCCCTGCCAACTATGTGTGACTTTTGAGCCATCCATGTTCAACAATCCATTTTGTACCAGTAAGAAGGCAAGGTTGTGAGTAATTCCACCAAAGAAACACAGTTTACACTAAATGTCATGCTAGAAGATTTTCAGAGTTGGAAATTCTAGTCTCAGATATGCAAATCAACACAAATGTAAGCACAGGCTAAACCCGGATGTTCCAATAAGGAGTTTGTTTACTATGATTAATGAATAAATTGAGGAAATGGGGAGTGCCAGCAAGTTTCATGACTCTGACAGTTTATGAGGAGAAGAAAATCTGAGGTCAGATTTACAACCTGAGAAAAAAATTAACCTTTCAAAAGTCTGCACCTCACACTTTTTCCACAAGATTTCTGGGAAATGAAACTCAAAACTCAGGCACATTACCTCCTGAACTTATTGGGTATCCACCAAATCATAGTTTCTGGAGAATGTGAGTTTTTTAAGCAGTTACATAAATGAGCAAAGATGATGGTGAGAGAGGCAGGAAGAGACATTTGGTATAAAGCCTATATGGCATGTGTGAATTAAAATGGCTCAAACAAACAAGTGACAGGATAGAGGGGAAGAAACCACTTCCTGCAGACAAAGTGTAATGAGGATTCATGGATAAATGGAGTCAGTTTGAGCCATGTTTGGTTTTTGTCATTAATGTGAGCTTCTTAATGGATAATCTTTAAAAATATATGATGAATTTCTACATTGAAATATAACTTGACATAACAGAATATGATTTATATTTTATACATATTGTTTTTCTCCCCAATTGTATGATGTCTCAAACACTGGCCAAGTGAAGAGTTAAATGAGAAAACCCAGGCAGGGAACAGAAGGCTATGCTCCCTGGCAGTGTGATGGTGAGGGTGCCCCCAAATGGAGATCCTGATAAGCAGGCTGAGAGTGAGTGCCCTGAAATTTTTAGAGTATGTTCTAAGGGGTATCAAAAAATAAGCTTCAACAACCCTATCCAAAATATCTCCACTTTTTGCTGCTGCCTAAATATCTCAAAATTCAAGACTAATTACCTGTACTGTCCCTCTTGTAAAAGCTATCATGATTATAATTGTTCATTGTTCATCCCCCCTACTAGATTGTAAACACTATAAAAATGGAGACCATGCTTGGGTGCCAAATGATACTGATCTGTGAACTTCATTGGATTAAGTCACTATTAAAAATCAAATACTCCTCTTAGTATTTGTTATTTACACATTTAAGGGATAATCCACCCCAAATTTCTGTTAGTTGTTTACAGCACAATGTGAACACCTTTCTATTAAAAGCAAGTTATGATTCGGGAGCAGGGGTTGCGTGGGGGCAAGATGTAACATATTGGTACTAGGCAGGTGAGGCAGAAAACTGATGCCACAAAGAACCTGGAGAAAACTGCCATTTTTCTAAGTTAAGTCTGGCACCAACAGACTACTTCAGGTGCCTCAAATATTGCCTCCCTGACAGTCTCTATTACCTCACAGAACAACCCCATCTTTCCCTAAAGTGAGCATTCTTCCCGCTCCATTACCAGATACTGCATTTGTTATCTTATTTGTTACACTCTATGGAAGTTTTTTAACAACAGCCAGCTCAAAATTCGCATCTGCATGAAAGTAATTCATCATCTTATATTTCCTTCTATCTAGATTGAGGATTTGTTCCATGCTTTTTCCCTTAAAATTCTCCCCATGGGTCAACTTTCTCCCAATGAGTTGATTTGTATTTATCAAAAATGCATTTAAAATCACAGCATCACATAGAAGAAAACTAGAGTGTAATGATGCCACTTCCTATTAATCTGTAACTAGGGGCTGTTTCAGTCAAAGCCTAGGTACACTCTCTGTGTGAATATGAATTCATTTGCCAGCTGTGTGTGTTTGTGTGTGTGTGTGTGTTCTCTCACCATTGCTGAAAATACACCAGTGATTCTCAAATATGTGTGGTTGGAGAAATGATACATAGCAGAATTCCCTGAGGGGCTTTTTCAAACTATACATACTCCCTGGAAGATTCTATAACTTCCCTCATACTGACCCCCTCCTCCTCCATGTTTAAAATCGCCACAAGGTAATGAGTGGTATTACTGATAGGTATCAATTTCACAATGTGAAGGCAGAAAACAAGTTGAGAACCACTATATTAAGCTCAAGATTAATAACTGAGTGCTTCCCACTCCTGTCCCATCAGTTTTACAAATCCACTCCATTAGAAATCACAATGGAAATTGCATTATCAGACCCATTAAAAACTGCCTCAGGAAAAACAATTAATCAAAATTCACATCTTCTATAAATTATGTACAGTTTAGATTTTTCTGAATTTTTCCCATACTGTCTTCACTTTCTTTCCTTGCCCAAACACAGGCTCTCATTACTTCTTCCTGTTGCCTATTCACTGGTGTCACTGACTAATCTAACACCCCTCCAAAGTGGCTTATTTTGCCAAGCTTCAAGCTAATTAGCTACTTTGTTTAAAATCGTTCAATGGGCCAGGCATGGTGGCTTGTGACTGTAATTCCAGCACTTTGGAAGGCCAAGGTGGGAGGATCACATGAGCTCAGGAGTTCAAGACCAACCTGGGCAACATGGCGAGACCCTATCTCTACAAAAAACAGAAAATAAAATAGCCAGGCATGGTGGTACGTGCCTGTAGTCCCAGCTACTCAGAAGTCTAAAATGGGAGGATCACCTGAGTCCAGGAGGTCGAGGCTGCAGTGAGCCATGTTCACACCACTGAACTCCAGCCTGGGCAACAGAGCGAGACCCTGTCTCAAAAAATAAAATTAAATAAATAAAAATAAAATCCTCCAATGGTTTCAAGCTCCAAGATGTTTGGCAAGGCATACAAAGCCCTCCCTTCCCATCCCTTTGTTTGCCATTTCAGTCACATCTCCTGTTATTCCCCCTAATAGTTTAAATTGTCATACTTAGCAATTAACACTCACAAGTCTCTTTAAACACACCACTGTGTTCCAGACTTCTGTGCCTTTGTAATGCTATTCACACTTCTGGAAATATTATTTCCCTTTCTTTCACTTGGCAAACTCTTGTGTGTCCTTTACAAATGTGCTCACATATACCATCCTCTGTGATACCCTACCTGACAACCCCAGGCAAACTTTCCCTTTCTCCTTTGCACTGCCTTTGCATCTTGTGCATACTTCTCTTACTGCACTTGGCACACTGCAATGCAATATTTGGATTACATGTCTGTCTGTCTTCCCTATTAGACTGCGAATTCCCTGAAGCCAGAGTCCATGTGTATCTTTATATCTCCATCTCCAAGCACGGGGACCGCCATATAGCAGCTCACAGTAAATGTTTGTTAAATTCAACTAAGCAGGAAAAAAATGCACATATATTCCAAATCAAGAAACAGCCCCCATTTCATTTAATGTAATCACATACCTTTAAGTTCAGAATAATCAGTAACTCTACTGTCACCAAGACGTCACCACATTCTATCAATAATTCCTGAATGTCTCTTAAAATCTTTCCAAACCCACCACAACTCTCCCAGATGAGACTTTTGTCCCAGCAAACATGACTAATAATGCAATAGCCTCCTAACTAATCTTCCTGATCCTGTTCTTTCTTTCCTTCTAGTAGCCACTCCTCCCAATGTCAAACTTGTTTTCTTGAAACCCTAGCATTCCCTTTCTCCAATAGTAGCTTCTCACTGACAGCATGATAAAGTCAAACTCCTAAACTAGATACGTAAGTTCTAGCCTACAATCTCAACTCATATTGATATGAAACCTCCCCATTCAAGTCTTGCCCAAAAGGCAAGAATATTTATTAGAGAGTTCAAAGATTCATAGTGTATAAAACATCTATATGTCAAAAAAAAATCAGATCATCAGTAGACAAAAACAAATTGAAAAATGTATTTTCAACATATACAACAGAAAATTAAAGTTCTGCAATGTACAAAGCGATCACAAAAGCCATCAGTTCAATAGACGAATGCTCAACAGAAATGCTCAAGTTTGCTGAAAAAGTAATAAAAATGGCACATAAATATGTAAGATGCTACTTCGTTCATAAATAAATACAAATTAAAACAATGAGATAGTATACTTCACATATCAAACTGGCAAACAGTAAAACTTAGAATACATGTGTTGGGAAAAGTGTGGCTAAAAAGTAACTTGCATAAACAATTGCTGAGAATATATATGATTATACCCTATGCACAGGTAAATATGACAATACCTAACAAAATCAAAATCACCCATACTTGTAGACCTGGAAATTGCACTTCAAAGGATTCTCTTCTACAGAAATCACCCACAGTAAAGTACAAAACTAAAAATACAAACATGTTTTAGCAGCACTGTTGATAATAGTAATAAACTCACCAAAAATATCTAAATATCTACCAATGAAGGGATTAGTTCAATAACTTATCATATAGCCATACAAAAAATTCTATAAAGTTGCTTAAAAGATTTATTTTTATATATATGTAAATATATATATTTACATGATTCAGCTGACAATTTTTTGAAGAAAAAAAGAAAAATATATATAGACATGAAAATGTGTCCACAATGTTTTTAAATGAAGTTGCACAGCATTATATATGTGACAATCTTTATGAAAATTCTATATGCATATAATATATATGCATATATAAAATGTATGCGTGTAATGTATGTATGCAATGTATGTATGCATGTAAGTGCTATTCATTTTTAACATGTGTTTTTACTTTATAACTAAAAAAGTTAACTTTGTTTCTTCTTCAAGGTTCAGCAAAAGCTAGACCCTCCACGATGTTTTCCTAATCACTTCAACTGCAAGTAAACTCATCATCCCCTTGAATTCTAATGGAACATATACAGGTTTAGTATCCCTTATTAGAACTGCTTGGGATCAGAAGTATTTCAAATTGTGAAGTTTTTTGGATTTTGGAATGTTTGCATATACCTAATGAGATATCTTGGGGATTGGACCCAAGTCTAAACACAAAAATCATTTATGTTTCATATATACCTTATACACATAGCCTGAGGATAATTCTGCAGAATATTTTTAGTAATGCTATATATGAAACAAAGTTTTGACTGCAATTCATCACATGAGGTCAGGTATGGAATTTTCCACTTGTAGGGTCACATTAGCACTCAAAAAGTTTCAGGTTTTGAAGCATTTTGGATTTCAGATTTTCACATTGGGGATGCTCAACCTATGTCTATACCATTTACTTAACACTTAAAACATTCTGTAATGTGGGCCAGACGTGGTGGCTCACACCTGTAATCCCAGCACTTTGGGATGCCGAGGCAGGAGGACTGCTTGAACTCAGGAGTTCAAAACCAGCCTGGGCAACACAGCGAGACCCTGTCTCTAGTAAGAATAAAGAATTCTCTAATGTGGTAATTTTATGCATATATCTAAGCTCTGTAACTAGATTATAAACCTAAAGGCACAGAACTATGTGTCAGTCCTTTTTATATGTCCAAGAGCATCTTAGAGTATCATCTTCTATAGATAATGTGCTCAACAGATTTATATTTTAATGTGATACTTTCTTTATAAAGCAAACCCTTTCATATCATGTATTCCCCCTCCTCCACCATTCCCAATCCCGTGAGGTAACCAATGTTGAACAGTCTATTGTGAATTCAACACCTTCTCCTTGTTCTTAAAAATTTACAAGCTTAGAGATACATATCTAAGTGTTTTTTGTTGAGCAAGAAACCTGCTTTCTTCAACAATATGTCAAAATGACTTCCTCTTAAGACGTACCTAGATATAACATGAGGTCAAAAAATATGCTTCAGACTATAAAACACATATTTCCATGTATTATATTAGAAAAAGTAATATTATTGTTAGTCCTATTCTATAACCCTAGCATCACAATGAAGGCTCACTCAGATAAAACAGGCAGTAAAACCATCAATCACCAGCCATCTTACTAAACTATAAGGTTAATCAGTTACTCTCTAGTTAAAATCTTTCAAAGGCTTCAAGCTCCACAATCTGGGATACTCTAAAACATATCCAAATTTTCTCAGCTACTTTTTAAACATGACAAGGAAACAAGGCAATGCTGTGTGTTAGAAAACACCTGGACTAGGAGTCTTAAGACCAGGATTCTAATCTCTCTCAGCTGCTAGGTAACAATAAGCATTTAGACAAACTCCTTTCTAACACTACTCCCTCTTGTGTAAAATGATGGAGTTAGGCTTTATGAACTAAAGATTGTTTCAGCTTTGGTATTCTAACCCATGTTTTTAACTTCCATATCCGGTAAATTCGTGGGAAAAAGTTTGATGGTACTCAATGAGCTTGGTTTATCACGCACATAGCATGGCTCTGTGTTTTCTACACATCATCTGCTTCCCTCTTCAGGAAAGACAGAGAAAAGGCCAGCTCATCCTATAACCTAATCTTCAGGTTATTCATTGTCTTGTCTTTCTAATTCCCTTTCACCTTTCTATACCTTCAATATGGAACCATTTCTTTCAGCTCTTTTGGTTACTAAGAAAATCTCTGTGTCTCAGATTCACTCACTCTTCAGTTTTCAGTTCCACAAAGCCCATGATTCCTCATTTAAAGGTACTTGTCTGGGCTTTAGGGAGTCTTTGAATCCTCTGACACTGTAGACAAAATTTTACAGGCAGATATACATGTGTATCTTTCTAGGGAAAGCATCTTCACTTTCAATATATTTCCATAGGAATCTGGTACCCCAAAATGATTGAGAATCTCAAGTCCTAAACTCTATCCTGAGAAATTTCCTACACCTCTTTTGTTCTGAACACACAGTTCAGTCTCAGTCTTGTTTTGTGAGCTCCAACAACCATCCTCAACCCTTCTTGCTTTTGTTTGTCTGTTTTTTCTCTCTCCCTAGTAGACTGACAACCCGGGCCAACTCATCTGAATCAGTATATCTAGATCTAGGGTTCTTTTTTTTTTTTTCTTTTTGAGACAGAGTCTCGCCCTGTCACCCAGGCTGGAATGCAATGGTGCAATCTCGGCTCACCGCAACCTCCAACCTCTGGGTTCAAGCAATTCTCCTGCCTCAGGCTCTGGAGTAGCTGGGATTACAGGTGCCTACCACCATGCCTGGGTAATTTTTTGTATCTTTAGTAGAGATGGGGTTTCACCATGTTGGCCAGGATGGTCTTGAACTCCTGACCTTGTGATCTGCCCACCTCATGAGCCACTGTGCCTGGCCCTAGGGTTCTTCTTAAATTTGCTGCGTCCTTTGCTTCTACAGCCCAGGACATTTAACAGTCCTATTTATTATACTCGACATTTGTCTACCAACTTCCCATATCGTGATTTCCCAACTTCTCATTCCATTTAGTGTCCCACATTTCTGAATCACAATCTCTAATTAAACTGCCCATAAAATAAAAGCACATTACATTTATAATTCAATAATAATAGCGACAATAATAATAGTTAAAATTTATTGAGTGCTTTCTATATGTTAAGTTATATGCAAGGTATTTTACCCACATTATCAAATATACTTTTCACAATAATTCTATGAGGTTACTACTATTATTATTTCCATTTTATAGCTGAGGAAACTGAGGAACAGACATTAAGTAACTTGTCCAAGGCCACATAGCTATTAAGTAACAAAGTCAAGACTTGCATTTAAGTCTGTTAACCTCAAAGCCCATGTTCTTAACCACTGTTATACATTTCCTTTTTTCATTTAATTTCTCAGGTCTCCATTTTAGTCATCCAGATAGATTTCATGACTGAGACTGACTTCCTCTGTGGACTACAAGGTAATTATTTAATCCTGTAAAATATTGTAAAGACATGATATGACACAAGAATACTACCAATAGGTATATATGCAAAAATAATGAGTATATACACCATGAAAAGAGTTCTACATGAATATTCATAGCAGGTATATTTACAATAGTGAAAAATCACAGATAACTGAAGTGTCCAACAACACATGAATGGATAAAAAAATTGTATTCTTTAATAAACAATTGTATATGTTATACATTACATGTTATAATTATATTGTATAGTATATAATACATAATTATATATAACTATATTATATATAATTATGTATTATATATTGTAATATATAACTATATATAATTATATAATTTATATTGTTTGTGTGTATATATATATCCCTTCAAGCATTTATCTTTTGTGTTACAAATAATCCAACTACATTCTTTCCATTATTTTAAAATGTACAATTAAGTTATTATTGACTATACTCACCTTATTAAAATAGTAAAATAGTAGGTCTTATTCATTCTTTCTAACTATTTTTGGTACCCATTAACCACCCCTACCACCCACCCGAGGCCCCCACTTCCCTTTCCAGCCTCTGGTAATCATCCTTCTACTCTCTATGTTCATGAATCTAGTTGTTTTCATTTTTAGATGCCACAAATAAGTGAGAACATGTGATGTTTGTCTTTCTTTGCCTGGCCTATTTCACTTAACATAATTATCTCCAGTTCCATTCATGTTTTTGCAAATGAATGAATCTTATTATTTGTTATGGCTGAATACTACTCCATTTTGTATATGTACCACATTTTCTTTATCTATTCATCTGTTGAGGGACACTTAGGTTGCTTCAAATCTTAGCTATTGTAAACAGTGCTGCAAAAAACATAGGAGTGCAGATATCCCTTCCATATAATGATTAATTTTCTTTTGGGTATATGCCCAGCAGTGGGGCAGCTGGATCATATGGTAGCTCTATTTTTAGTCTTTTGAGGAACCTCTGAACTGTTCTCCATAGTGGCTGTATTAATATACATTCCCACCAACAGTGTACAAGGTTTCCTTTTTCTCCACATCCTTGCGAGCATATATTATTGCCTGTCTTTTGGATATAAGCCATTTTAACTGGGGTGAGATGATATGTCTTTGTAGTTTTGAATTGCATTTATCTGATGATCAATGATGTTGAGCACTTTGGCATATGCCTGTTTGCCATTTGTCTTCTTTTGAGAAATTTCTATTCAAACATTTCACCCATTTTTAAATTGGATTATTATTTTTTTCCTATAGAATTGTTGGAGCTTCTTTTATATTCTAGTTATTAATCCCTTGTCAGATGGGTAGTTTGCAAATATCTTCTCACATTCTGTGGGTTGTCACTTCACTTTGCTGATTGTACCCTTTGCTATCCAGAAGCTTTTTAACTTGATGTGATCCCATTTGTCCATGTTTGCTTTAGTTGCCTGTGTTTGTGGGATATTCCTCAAGAAATCTTTGCCAAGACCAATGTCCTAGAAATTTTTCCTAATGTTTTCTTGCACTAGTTTCATAGTTTGAGGTTTTAGATTTAAGTTTTTAATCCATGTTGATTTGATTTTTGTATATGGTGAGAGTTAGGGGTCTATTTTCATTCTTTTGCATATTGATATCCAGTTTTCCAAGCACCATTTATTGAAGAGACTGTCTTTTCCCCAGTATATGTTCTTGGACGCTTTGTTGAAAATGAATTCACTGTAGTTATGTGGATTTGTTTCTGGATTATCCATTCTGTTCTGTTGGTCTATGTGTCTATTGCTATGCCAGTACCTTGCTGTTTTGGTTACTACAGCTCTCTAGTATAATTTTTAATCAGGTAATCAGATTCCTCCAGTTTCATTTCTTTTGCTTAGGATAACTCTGGCTATTCTGGGTCTTTGCGATTCCATATAAATTTTAGAATTTTTTTTTCTATTTCTGTGAAGAATATTGTTGGTATTTTTATTATAATTTATTATTTTTAAATTTTAAAAAATATTTCAATAGCTTTGGGGTACTGGTCATTTCTAGTTACATGAGTGACTTCCATAGTGGTGAATGCTGAGATTTTAGTTCACATGTCACCCAAGCAGTGTACACTGTACCCAATATATAGCATTTTTTTATTCTTCACCCGGTTCCCAACCTCCCCCACATCAAGTCTCCAAGCTCCATTATATCACTCTGTATGTCTTTGTGTACTAATAGCTTAGCTTCTACTTATAAGTGGGAACTAAGTAACTCAGAAATAGAAAACCAAATACTGTATGTTCTCATATGAGAACAGCTCCATCCAATTTCCTAACAAAGATACTATTTTGTTTCTTTTTTTGGCTATTATTCCATGGTGTATATACTCCACATTTTCTTTGTCCACTCTTACTGGCTGGTGGGCAGTTAGGTTGGTTCCATGTCTTTGCAATTGCAAATTTTGCTGCTATAAACATGCTTATGTGTGTGTGTGTTTTTCATATAATAGGTTTTTTCCCTTTGGGTAGATACCCAGCCATGGGATTGCTGGATCAAATGGTAGATCTACTTTCAGCTATTTAAGGAATCTCCATGCTGTTTTCCATAGTGATTGTACTAATTTACATTCCCACCAGCAGTGTAAAAGTGTTCCCTTTTCACCACATCCACTCCAACATCTATCGTACTTTGACTTTTTAATTGTGGCCATTCTTGCAGAAGTAAGGTGGTATGTCACTGTAATTTTAATTTGCATATCTCTGATGATTAGTGATGTTGAGCATATTTTCATTTGTTTGTTCACTGTTTGTATATCTTCTTTTAGTAAATGTCTAGTCACGACTTTTGCCCACTTTTTGATGGGATGATTATTATTATTATTTGCTAATTTGTTTGAGTTCCTGGTAGATTCTGGATAATAGTAATTTCTCTGATGCAAAGTTTGCAAATATTTTCTCTCACTCTGTGGGTTGTCTGGTTACTCTGCTGATTATTTCTTTTGCTATGCAGAAACCTTTTCAGTTTAATTAGCTTCCCTTATTTATTTTTGTTCTTCTTGTATTTGCTTTTGAGGTCTCAGTTATGAATTCTTTGCCTAGGCCAATGTCCAGAAGAGATTTTCCGATGTTATCTTCTAGAATTTTTATGGTTTCCAATCTTAGATTTAAGTTTTTAATCCACCTTGAATAGATTTTTATAGAAGGTAACAGATGAGGATCTAGTTTCATTCTTCTACATCTGGCTTTTCAGTTTTCCCAGCATCATGTATTGAATAGGGTGTTCTTTCCCCAATTTATGTTTTTGTATGCTTTGTCAAAGATTTGTTGTATTTGGCTTTATTTCTGGGTTATCTATTGTGTTCCATTGTTCTAAGTGCCTATTTTTATACAAGTACCATGCTGCTTTGTTAACTATAGCTTTGTAGTATAATTTGAAGTCTTGTAATGTAATGCCTCCAGATTTTTTTCTGTTTAGTATTGCTTTGGCTATGAGGGCTCTTTATTGGTTCCATATGAATTCTAGAATTGTTTTTTCTATTTCTGTGAAAAATGATGGTGGTATTTTGATGGGAATTGCACCAAATCTGTAGATTACTTTGGGCAGTATGTTGATTTTCACAATATTGATTCTTCCTATTCATGAGCATGGGATCTGTTTCCATTTGTTTGTGTCATCTATGATTTCTTTCAGCAGTGATTTGTCATTTTCCTGGTAGAGATCTTTCACCTTCTTGGTCAAGTATATGCCTAAGTATTTTATTGTTTGCAGCTGTTGTAAAAGGGATTGAGTTCCCGATGTGTTTCTCAGCTTGGTTGTTCCTGGTGTGTAGCAGTATGTACATTGATTTTTTATCCTGAGACTTCACTGAATTTTCTTATCAGACCTAGGAACTTTTTGGGTGAGTCTTTAGGGTTTTCTAGGTATATGATCGCATCATCAATGAACAGTGCCAGTTTGACTTCCTTTTCCAATTTGGATGTCCTTTATTTTTTTCTCTTGCCTAATTGCTCTGGCTAGGACTTCCAGTACTATGTTGAATAGAAGTGGTTAAAGTAGTCCAGTTCTCAGAAGGAATGCTTTCAACTTTTTCCCATTTAGTATGATATTGGCTGTGGGTTTGTCCTATACAGCTTATTGTTAATTTGAAGTAAGTCCATTCTACACTTAGTTTGTTGAAGGTTTTTATCATAATGGGATGCTGGGTTTTGTCAAGTGCTTTTTCTGCATCTATCAATATGGTCATAAGGTTTTTCTTTTTAATTCTGTTTATGCTACATATCACATTTACTGACTTGTGTATGTTAAACCATTCCTGCATTTCTGGGATGAAATCCACTTGCTCTGTTAGAATTGGTTACCTCGTATTCTGTTGAGAATTTTTTCATCTATGTTCATCACGAATATTGGTCTGTAGTTTTCTTTTTTTGTGGTGTCCTTTCCTGATTTTGATATTAGGATGGTACTGCCTTCATACAATGAGTTAGGGAGAATTCCCTCTTTATATTTTGGAATAGTTTCAGTAGGATTGGTAACAGTTCTTATTTGAATGTCTGGTAGAATTCAGCTGTGAATCCATCTGTCTTGAGCTGTATTTGTTGGCAATTTTTTTATTACTAATTGTGCTGCTTCTTATTGGTCTGTTCAGGGTTTCTATTTCTTCCCAACTTAATCTAAGAGGGTTGTATGTTTCCAGGAATTTGTCCATTACCTCTAGATTTTCTAGTTTGTCCATGTAAAGGTGTTCACAGTAGCCTTGAGTAATCTTTTGGATTTCTGTGGCATTGGTTGTAATGTCTCCAGTTTCATTTCTAACTGAACTTATTTTGATCTTCAATTTTCTATTCTTGATTAATCTCATTAATTGTTTATCAGTTCTTTTTATCTTTTCAAAAAACCAACTTTTTCTTTTACTTATCTTTTGTATTTTTGGTTGTTTCAATTTCATTTAGTTCTGTTCTTATCTTTCTTATTTCTTATCTTCCACTTGATTTGGGTTTGGTTTGTTCTTGTTTCTCGAGTTCTTTGAGGTGTGACATTAGATGGTCAGTTTGTGTTCTTTCAGACTGTTCAATATAGGCATTTGATGCTATGAAAGTTCCTCTTAGCACTGTGTTTGCTGTATCTCATAGGTTTTCATAACTTATGTCACTATTATCACTCATTTCAAATATTGCTTTAAGTTTCCATTTTAATTTCATTGTTAATCCAAAAATCATTCAAGAACAGATTATTTAATAGTTTTGAGGGTTCCTTTTGGAGTTGACTTCCAGTTTTATTCCACTGTGGTCTGAGAAGACATTTGATATGATTTTTATTTTCTTGAATTTATTGAGACTTGTTTTGTGACCTATCATATGGTCTATCTTGGAGAATGTTCCATGTGCTGATGAGAAGAATGTGTATTCTGCATTTGTTGGGAAGAATGCTCTGTAAATATCTGTTAAGTCTATATGTTCTAGGGTACAGTATAGTTTAACTGTATTATTTCTTTGTTGACTTTCTTTCTTGATGATCTGTCTGGTGCTGTCTGTGGAGTACTGAAATTCCCCCACTTTTATTGTACTGCTGTCTACCTCACTTCTTAGGTCCAGTAGTAATTGATTTTATAAATCCGAGAGCTTTAATGTTAGGTGCATATAAATTTAGGATAGTAATATCTTCTGGCTGAATTGATCATTTTTATCACTATATAATATTCTTCTTTGTTTTTTTTTACTGTTGATGCTTTAAAGTCCGTTTTGTCTGATATAAGAATAACTACTCCTACTTGCTTTTTGTTTCCATTTATGTGGAATTCTTTTTCTACCCCTTTACCTTGAGTTTATATGGATCTTTATGTGTTAGGTGAGTCTTTTGAAGACAGCAGATATTTGGTTTGTGATTTCTTTTATCCATTCTACCATTCTGTACCTTTTAAGTAGAGCATTTAGGAAATTTATATTCAGTGTTAATATTGAGATGTGAGGTACTATTTCTATTCATCATGGTAGTTGTTACCTAGATACTTTCTTTTTTCCATTGTGCTATTGTTTTATGGGCCTTATGGGTTTTATTCTTTTAGGAGGTGCTATTTTGCTGCACTTTGAGCTTTGTTTCAAGTTTTAGAATTTCTTATAGCATTTTATTTAGTGCTGATTTGGTAGTGGCAAATTCCCTCTGCATTTGTCTGAAAAATAGTTTCTCTCTCCTTCATTTATGAAGCTTAGTTTTGCTGGGTATAAAATTCTTGGCTGACAATTATTCTGTTTAAAGAGGCTAAAGATAGGACTTCAGTCCCTTCTAGCTTGTAAGGTTTCTGCTTAGAAGTCTGCTATTAGTCTGATAGGTTTTCCTTTATGGATTACCTGATGCTTTTGTCTCACAACTCTTAGAATTCTTTCCTTTGTGTTGACTTTAGGTAGTCTGATGACTATGTGCCTTGATGATTATCTTTTTGCAATGAATTTCTCAGCAATTCTTTGAGCTCTTGTATTTGGACATCTAAATCTCTAGTAAGGCCAGGGATGTTTATCTCAATTATTTCCTCAAATACATTTTCTAAATGTTAAGCCTTCTCTTCTCCCTCAGGCACACCAGCTATTCTTAGGTTTGGCTATAGATACAGTTTGAATCTGTGTCCCTAAAAAATATCATGTCAAATTGTAATCCCCAATGTTGGAGGTGGGGCCTATTGGGAGGTGACTGGATCATAGGGACAGAGTTCTCATAAATGGGTTAGCACCATCCCCTTGGTGCTATTCTCATGATAGTGAGTGAGTTATCATGAGCTTTGGTTGCTTAAAAATATGCAGCACCTCCTCCCCTCTCCTTCTGCTCTGGCCATGTAAGATGTGCCTCCTCTTTTGCTTTCTCCTATGATTGTAATTTTCTGAGTCCTCCCCCAGAAGAATCCGTTATGCTTACTGTGCAGCCTGCAGAACTGTGAGCAAATTAAACCTCTTTTCTTTATAAATTACCCAGTCTCAGGTATTTCTTTATAGCAATGCAAGAACAGACTAATACAGTCGTTTTACATAATCCCATATTTCCTGGAGCCATTGTACCTTTCTTTTGCTTCTTTTTTTGTTATCTTTGCCTGACAGGCTTAATTAAAAAACCATGTCTTCAAGCTCTGATGTTCTTTCTTCTAGTCTTTTTAGTCTATTATTGAAAATTTCCACTACATTTTGTATTTCCCTAAGTGTGTCTTTCATTTTTAGAAATTCTGATTGTTTTTTCTTTATGATAGCTATCTCTCTGGAAAATTATTCATCTTATCCAGAATTATATTTTTAGTTTCTTTATCTTGGTTTTCACCTTTCTCTGGTATCTCTCCTTGAGCAGCTTAAGAATCAACCTTCTAAGTTCTTTATCTGGAATTTCAAAGGTTTCATCTTGGTTTGGCTCTATTGCTGAGGAGCTAATGTGATCTCTTGGGGGTGTTATAGGACCCTGTTTTGTCATATTACCGGAATTATTTTTCTGGTTCCTTCTCATTTGGGTAGACTATATCTTCAAATTGTTATTGAATTTATTTTTGATCTGTGTTTTTTTTTCCTCTTAAAAATGTGTCTTTAATGTTTATAGCTTATTATAGTCTAATTTGGTTCTTGGTGCTTTTAAGGGAAAAGACTCTGTATGAGTTTCTTGGTTTTAGAGAGTCTTTGTGTGCTGGCTGTCTCAGATGTTGATTGTAGTAGTTATGTATTCAGTGTGTGGGCAAGTTCATTGTCTCCTATGGGGTTGGAATGGAAAGGATCTCAAAGCTTATCTCATTCACCCATGGTGTGTGTGTGTGTGTGTTTTTTATTTGATTTTTCCCCAGTTCTTTATTTAGTGAGTTGATGGTTCAGGCTTCAGGCTATTAGGGCAGGTATCCCTGGGTACAAACTGGTTGTAGCTAAAGCAGGTGGGTAGATGCAATACCCAATGGTGGGCAGAGGTTCCTGCCTTGATGAAGGTGACTGACAGAGGTCTAAATTAGATGCACTGAGTTTATATTAGCTTGAAGGTTGGGAACTGCCTCAGCTTCCCTGCCAGGCCAAGAGGAAAGCTATCCACCTCCAAACTTCACTGCTGTCCCAGTGTTCCAGCTATTCAGATCAAACAGGCAACTCTTTTCATTTGTAGGAATGTTGATGTTCCAAGTAATAAGGAATTGTGATTCTGCCTCTCACGCAAGCCTGAACCTGGAAAGTGCTCCTCCTGTAGTGATGCAATCACCGTGAATTGTTCCAGGAAGCTTGTCTATAGATGCATCCATGCTGAGTTCCTGTGGGAGAAGCCCCAGCTGTGTCTGCCGTGCTGGACAAGGGGGAACAAGGACCCCTTCTCCAAGACCCTACATGAGCACAAAGGCTGCCTGATTCTTTGGGTAGAGGCCCAGAATTTCTCTGCTGTGCCCAGCACCACAATTGTGTCTTTGCTGAAAGAAAGTTCCCACCAGTGGAAAGATCTAAGACAGAAGACCTGCTGTGCAGATTCCTTTGTCCCACAGGGTGTTCTCTTGATGGGGTGATCTCCCCCTTCCCCTAACAGTAGGAATTCCTGAGAGCCAGACTACAATGATTGCTATTGCTCTTCCAGATCTAGCCACCCAGTGGGGCTGCCACACTCTGGGCTGGTGCTAGGGAATGTCTGCAAGGGATTTGGTGATGTGACCTGTCTTCAAGTCTCCCAGCAGTGGGTACCAGCACCAACTCTGATGAGGATAACATAACAAGGAGTGGCATCTACTCTGTGAGATTCCTTCATTGGAGATAGGCTTAGTGTGCTGGTTTTCTCGAATGTTGTTTATAAAAGTAGTCAACTTGTCATACAGACAGATTCAGGGCCTCTGGTTAGCCAGGGTGTTGCAGGCAGTGGTGATAGCTGAAGTCACACCGCTGTTTCTCCTTCCTGGGTGCAGTGTTATTCTACCTAGACATGCTGTAATGGACTGTGTTGGTTGGTCTCCATCCAGGAGATGGCACTTGCAAAAGAGCACCAGCTGTGGTAGTAGCAGTGGGATTTGAGCTTGCCCTAAATTTCCCAGAAGAAGTATTCTGGTTTCTCAGGCAATAGGTAGAGCTATAAATCTCTCAAATATTTATCTACTTCGTGTTAAGCAACCAGGGCAGGTAGAGGGGCACAACCAGGTGGTACAGGTTTAGGTGAGTCTGCACTCTGACTCTTCATGAGAGGGGAAAGCTGTGGCCCTTGTGAGGGTCAAGGGGTGGCTCTCAGGCTGCTGGGGTAATGCTCCAGATGGGGTGTATAACTGCCTCTACTGCACAGAAGAGTTCACAGTGGGAGTGAGGAGTAGCAACGGCAGTGTCACCCAGCTCCCATGCAGTTGGCAAGGCAGATTTCACTGCACAGTGCTCCACTAACAGCACCAGGTTAAGATCCAGACAGTATGTGTACAGGACACAGACCTGCTCCAGGGCATAACCTTTCCCCACAGAAATATCAACCACAACTTTCAGGCCATGCCCCTCCCACATACTCCCACACAGGGAGGGGATGCAGGGCGAAAGAAGCTCTCCCACAGGACTGGGCACACAGATCCTGTGCTGGTGTCTACAGCACACTTTCAGCTTGACCCCAGGTTCTGGTAAAGGGAGTTCAGCTCCACTTGTAATTTTATCACAAAATTTAGCTGAGAGCTTCTTTCACCCTGTAAACCACTCCCTGAGCTAGTTGGTTGACTTCCCCGAGGTCTTCTGTGAGATATAATCAAGAATGGCTTCCTTTGGTCAATGCTAGAGACTGGGAATGCATACAAGGCACTTACCTCTGCTGCTTCTACTTTTATGTTTCTCACCACTCCCTAAATCAGTTTCAGCTATGGGTAAGGTTAAGGTCTTCTCCCATGACCTGGATTTTCAGATTCCACAGTGTAGATGTGTATCCTGGAGGCAATCACTTCACTGATCACACACAGGAAACTTGCAGTTTTTCAGTTGTCTCATGGAGTACATCACATCCTGCTGCTTTGTTCAAAGTGTCTGTGGATACTTTCCTTTGAGTGTATGGACATTTTAATAATATTAATTCTTCCAATCCATGAACATGGAACATTTTTCCATTTTGGGGTGTCCTCTTCAATTTCTTTCATCAGTGTTTTACAGTTTTCATTGTAGAGATCTTTCATGTCTTTGGTTAATTATAGGCATTTCATTTTTTTTGTGGCTATTGTAAATGGGATTACTTTTTAAATTTATTTTTCATACTGTTCACTATTGGCATATAAAAATGCTACTAATTTTTGTATGTTGATCTTGTATCCTGCAACATTGCTGAATTTGTTTATCAGTTCTAATAGTTTTCTTGTGAAGTCTTCAGGTTTTTACAAGATCATCTATCTGCAAACAAGGATAATTTGACTTCTTCCTTTTCAGTTTGGATGTCCTTTATATCTTTCTTTTGCCTGATTGCTCTAGCTAGGACTTCTAGTACCATGTTGAATAACAGTAGTGACAGTCAGCATTCTCGTTGTGTTCCAGATCTTAGAGAAAAGGCTTTCAGTTTTTCCACATTCAATATGATACTAGCTGTGGATTTGTCATATATGAATTTTACTATGTTGAGGTATGTTTCTTCTATCCCCAGATTTTTGAGGATTTTTATCATGAACGGTTGTTAAATTTTATCAAATGCTTTTTCAGCATCAATTGAAATTATAATGTGGTTTTCATTCTTCCTTCTGTTGATATGATGTATCACATTGGTTCATTTGCATATGTTGAACTAAACTTGCATCCCAGGGATAAATCACACTTGGTCATGACGAACGATCTATTTAATGTATTATTGAATTTGGGTTGCTAGTATTTTGTTGAGGATTTTTTAAATCACTTTCATCAGTGAGGTTGGCCTGTAGTTTTTTTGAAGTGTCTTTGTCTGATTTTCTTTTCTTGAAGTGTCTTTGTCTGATTTTGGTATCAGGATAATACTGGCCTCACAGAATGAGTTTGAAAGTACTCCCTCCTCACCTGTTTTTTGAGTTAGTTTGAGTAAGATTGGTATTAGTTCTTATTTAAATGTTTGGTAGAATTCAGCAGTGAAGTCACTGGGTCCTGGGCTTGCTTTTTTTTTTTCTTTTTTTTTTTTTTTTACTGGGAGACTTTTTATTATGGTTTCTGATATGGTTTGGCTCTGTGTACCCACCAAAATCTCATGTCACTTGTAATCCCCACATGTCAGCAGCCTGGTGGGAAGTAATTGGATCATGGGGGTGGATTTCCCTCTTGCTGTTCTCATGACATTGAGTGAGTTCTCACAAGATCTCATTGTTTAAAAGTGTGCAGCACTTCCCCCTTCACTCCCTCTCTCTCCTGCTACCATATGAAGAAAGTGCTTGCTTCTTCTTCACCTTCCACCATGATTGCAAGTTTCCTGACACCTTCCAGTCATGCTTCCTGTTAATCCTGCAGAATTGTGAGTCAACTAAACATCTTTTATTCACAAATGACCCAGTCTCAGGTAGTCCTTTATAGAAGTGTGAGAACAAATACAGCTTCAATCTTGTTACTTATTATTGGTCTGTTCAGGTTCTAGATTTCTTCCTGGTTCAATATTGGTAGGTTGTATGTATCTACAAATTTGACTATTTCTTCTAGATTTTCCAATTTATTGGCATAAAGGTCCTCATAGTAGCCAATAACGAAACCTTGACTTTCTGCAATATCAGTTGTAATGTTTCCTTTTTCATTCTTAATTTTATTGATTTGTATCTTCTCTTTTTCTTATTCTGGCTAAAGGTTTGTCTATTTTGTTTAACTTTTCAAAAAACCAACTTTTTCCTTCATTGATCTTTTGTATTGCTTTTTTCATTTAAATTTCATTGATTTCTGCTCCAATATTTCTTATTTCTTTTTCTCTTCTAATTTAGGTTAGCTCTCACTTTGCTAAGTTCTTTAAGATTCATTGTTAGATTGTTCATTTGAAGTTTTACTCTTTTTTGATGTAAGCACTTGTACTGCTTTTGCTGTATCCCATAGGTTTTAGTATGTTATGTTTCCATTATCAGTTGCTTCAATAAATTTTTTCTTAATTTCTTTATTGACCCACTGGTCAGTCAGGAGCATATTGCTTAATTTTCATGTGTTTATATAGTTTCCAAAATTCTTACTATTATTAATTTCTCATTTTATTCCATCGTGATCAGATAATATGCTTGACACTATTTCTAATTTTTGAATATTTTAAGGCTTGTTTTGTAACCTAACATATCATCTATACTTGAGAATGATCCACGTGTTGAGGAGAAGAATGTTTATTCTACAGCTATCGGATGAAATGTTCTGTAATTAGGTCAATTTGGTCTACAGTGCCAAGTAAGTCTCATGTTTCCTTGTTGATTTTCTATCTGGAAGATCTCTCTGATGCTCAAAGTGGGGTGTGGGAGTCTCCAGCTATAACCATATTGTGGCTTATCTCTCCCTTTAGCTCTAATAATATTTCCTTTATATATCTGGGTGCTCCTATGTTGTGTGCCTATATATTTAAAATTGTTACATCCTCTTGCTGAATTGACCCCTTTATCATAATATAGTGACCTTCTTTGTTTCTTTGTATTCTTTTATGTTAAAATCTATTTTCCTGATATAAGTATAGTGACAACTGCTCTTTCTTGTTTTCCATTGGCAAGGAATACCTTTTTTCTATCCATTTATTTTCAGTCTATGTGTGTCTTTATAGGTAAAGTGTGTTTCTTGTAGGCAACAGATCAATGCATCTTTTTTTGTTTTTCATCCTTTTAGCCAGTCTATGTCTTTTGATTTGGGAGTTTAATCCATTTGCATTCATTGTTAGTATTGGTAAGAACTTACTCTTTCTACTTTTTGCTTGTTTCCTGGTTGTTTTGTGGTCTTCCTTTTCTTCTTTCTTTCCTTCTTGCCTTCCTCTAGTGAAGGTGATTTTATCTGGTGATATGATCTAGTTTCTTACTTTTTATTTTTTGTGTATCCATTGTATGTTTTCTTTGACATGCAAATACTATATAACCTATTATTTTAAACTGATAACAACTTAACACTATTTGTATAAGCAAACAAAAAAGGGAAAATAAAACTACGGGGAGGGGCCAAGATGGCTGACTAGAAATGGCTGTGGTCAGAGGCTCCAACTGAGAAGAACAAAAATGGCCAATAAATCCTGCACTGGAAACTAAGGTATTCAGGTTCTCTCATTGGGACTGACTGATGGTTGGAGTGGCCCACAGAGAATGAGGAAAAGCAGGGTGGTGCGACAGCCCACCTGGGAGCCACATGGGGCAAGGGGAACTCCCACTTCCAACCAAGGGAGGCGGTGAGTGATTGTGCTACTCTGCCTGAGAAACCATACTTTTTCCATTGATCTATGGATCAGGAGACCTCCTTATGAGCCCACACCACCAGGGTCTTGGGTCCCAAGCACAGAGATGTGCAGATTCTCAGTGGTCACTCGGCTTGAGACTGCCTAAGACTACTGAGTCCCTGGGAGGAGGGGCAGCCATCATCACTGCAGCTGCCTGCTGCCTAAGACAAATGAGCTCCTGGAGAGAAGGGTGGCAGCCATCACTGCTGCTGCAGTCTGCCATTTTTTTTCCTGCTGGTGCTGGGGAGACTGGATGGTTTGGACCCAGGAGAAATTCTCCACAGCACAGCACAGTGTCTGTGGCAGATCACAACTAGACTGCCTCTTTAAGCTGGACCCTGACCCATCCCTCCTCAAACCCCTCCAACCAGGGGTTTAGGGACAGAACTATCATCTCCCTGGAACTGAGCCCCTGGGAGGATGGGAGGCCATGGCCTCCATGGATCCAGCCGACTTAGTCTTTCCCCTTGCTAGCTCTGAGGGATCCAGGTAGTCGAGATGAGTGGGATTACCCAGGGGTCAGCACACACCCTCCACCAAGCAGCAGCCAGACTGCTTTGTTTGTCCTGGATCCCATGCCTCCTGACTGGGTGAGACCTCCAACAGGGGTTACCAGACACCTTATACAGTAGCATTTCCACTGGCATCAGGTCAATGCCTCCCTGGGAGAGACATCCCAGAGGAAGGAGCAGGTAGCCATCTTTGCTATTCTGCAGCCTCTATCATTGACACCTCCAGGTATAGCAGGGACCCAGGTGAATAGTGTCTGGAGTGGACCCCCAGCAAACAGCAACAGCCCTACAGAGCAGGGGCCTGACTATTACAATGAAAACAAACAGAAAGCAGTAACAACAACAGTGTCAACAAAAAAGTTCCTATAAAACCCCATCCAAAGGTCAGCAACCTCAAAGATCAAAGCTAGATAAACTCATGAATATGAGAAAGAATCAATAACAACAACAACAAAACGCTGAAAACTAAAAAACCCAGAGTGCTTCTTCTCCTCCAAATGATCAAAACACATCTCCAGCAAGGACACAGAACTAGGAGGAGGCTGAGATGGATGAATGGACAGAAGTAGGTTTCAGATGGTGGGTAATAAGAAACTTCACTGAGCTAAAGGAACATGTTCTAACCCAATGCAAAGAAGCTAAGAACCATGATAAAACATTACAGGAGCTGTTAACAGAATAACCATTTTACAGAGGAACATAAATGACCTGATAGAGCTGAAATTCCCAACACGAGAACTTCACAATGCAAACCCAAGTATCAATAACTGAATAGACCAAGCAAAGGAATGAATTTCAGAGCTTGAAGACTATAACTTTCAGAAATCAGACAGGCAGACAAGATTAGAGAAAAAAGAATGAAAAGGAATGAACAAAAACCCTGACAACTATGGGATTATGTAAAAACATCAAATCTATGACTGATCAGGGTACCTGAAAGAGAAAAGGTGAACAGAACCAAGTTGGAAAACATACTTCAGAAAATCATCCAGGAGAACATCCCAAACCTAACAAGACAGACCAACATTCAAATTCAGGAAATCCATACAACCGCAGTAAAATCTTCCTTGAGAAGATCAACCCCAAGACACATAATCATCAGATTCTCCAAGGTTGAAATGGAGGCAAAAATGTTAACGGCAGCCAGAGAGAAAGGCCAGGTCACCTACAAAGGGAAGCCCATCAGACTAACAGTGGACCTCTCAGCAGAAACCCTACAAGCTAGAAGAGAATGGGGGTCAATAGTCAACATTCTTAAAGAAAAAAATTTCCAACCAAGAATTTCATATCTTGCTAAACTAAGCTTCGTAAGTGAAGGAGAAATAAAATCCTATTCAGACAAGCAAATGCTGAGGGAATTCGACACCACCAGGCCTACCTTGCAAGAGCTCCTGAAGGAAGCACTAACTATGGAAAGGAAAAACCATTACCAGCCACTGCAAAAATACACGGAAGTACAAAGTCCAATGACACTATGAAGCAACTACATCAACAAGTCTGCTAAATAACCAGCTAGCATCATGATGACAGGATCAAATTCACACATAACAATATTAGCCTTAAATGTAAATGGGCTAAATGCCCCAATTAAAAGGCATATAATGGTAAACTGGATAAAGAGTCAAGACCCATTGGTGTGCTGTATTCAAGAGAGAGCCATCTCATGTGCAAAGACTCACATAGGCTCAAAATAAAGGGATGGAAGAAAATTTACCAAGCAAATGGAAAGCAGAGAAAAATCAGGGGTTGCAATCCTAGTTTCTGACAAAACAGACTTTAAACCAACAAAAATCAAAAAAGACAAATAAGCACATTACATAACGGTAAAGGGATCAATTCAACAAGAAGAGCTAACTATCCTAAATATATGTGCACCCAATACAGGAGCACCCAAGTTCATAAAACAAATTCTTAGAGACATACAAAGAGGCTAAGACTACCACACAATAATAGTGGGAGACTTTAACATTCTACAGTCAATATTAGATCATTGAGACAGGAAGTTAACAAGGATATTCAGGACTTCAACTCAGCTCTGGCTCAAGTGGACCTGACAGGTATCTAAAGAACTCTCAACCCCAAAACAACAGAATATACGTTCTTTTCAGCATCACATGGCACTTACTGTAAAATCAATCACATGATTGAAAGTAAAACACTCCTGAGCAAATGCAAAAGAACAGAAATCATAACAAACAGTCACTCAGACCACAGTGCAATCAAATTATAACTGAAGATTAAGAAACTCAGTCAAAACCACACAACTACCTGGAAATTGAACAACCTGCTTCTGAATGACTACTGGGTACATAATGAAATTAAGACAGAAATCAAGATGTTCTTTGAAACCAATGAGAACAAGGAGACAACTTACCAGAATCTCTGGGACGCAGCTACAGCAGAGTTAAGAGGGAAATTTATAGCACTAAATGCTCACATCTAAAAGCTAGACAAATCTCAAATTGACACACTAACATCAAAACTAAAAGAACTAGAGAATCAAGAGCAAACAAACCCCAAAGCTAGCAGGAGATAATAAATAACAAAGATAGGAGTGGAACTGAAGGAGATAGAGACATGAAACCCCTTAAAAAAATCAATGAATCTAGGAGCTGGTTTTTTGAAAAAATAAAATAGACTGCTAACTAGACTAATGAGGAAGAAATGAGAGAAGAATCAAATAGACACAGTGAAAAATGATAAGGGGGATATCACCACTGACCCCACAGAAATACAAAACGTCATCAGAGAACACTACAAACACCTCTGTGCAAAAGTAATAAATACCCTACCAATCAAAAGAAGCCCAGGACCAGATGGATTTACAGCTGAATTCCATCAGAGGTACAAAGAGGAGCTAGTTCCATTTCTTCTGAAATTATTCTAAACAATTGAAAAGGAGAAACTTCTTCCTAACTCATTTTAGGAGGCCAGCATCATCCTGACACCAAAATCTGGCAGAGATACAACAAAAAAAGAAAACGTCAGGCCAATATCTCTGATAAATTTGATGCAAAAATCCTCAATAAAATACTGGCAGACCAAATCCAGCAGCACATCCAAAAGCTTATCCACCATTACCAAGTCGGCTTTATCCCTGGGATGAAAGACTTGCTCAACATACACAAATCAATAAATGAAATTCATCACATAAACAGAACTAAAGAAAAAAAACATAATTATCTCAATAGACACAGAAAAGGCCTTTGATAATATTCAACTCCCTCCATTTTAAAAACTGTCAAGAAACTAGATATTGAAGGAACATACCTCAAAATAATAAGAGCCATTTATGGTAAACCCACAGCCAATATCATTCTGAATGGGCAAAAGCTGGAAGCATTCCCCTTGAAAACCCACCCAAGACAAGGATGCTCCCTCTCACCACTCCTAATCAACATAGCATTGAAAGTTCTGGCCAGGGCAATCAGGCAAGAGAAAGAAATAAAGGTGTTCAAATAGGAACAAAGGAAGTCAAACTGTCTCTGTTTGCAGATGACATGATCCTATACCTAGAAAACCCCCATCATATCAGCCCAAAAGTGTCTTAAGCTGATAAACAATATCAGCAGTATCAGGATACAAAATCAATGTGCAAAAGTCACAAGCAATCCTATACATCAACAACAGGCAAGCAGAGAACCAAATCATGCATGAACTCCCATTCACAACTGTTACACAGAGAATGAAATACCTAGGAATATAGCTAAAATGGGAAGTTAAGGACCTCTTCAAGGAGAACTACAAACCACTGTTCAAAGAAATCAAAAAGGACACACAAAAAATGAAAAAAACATTCCATGCTTATGGATAGAAAGAATCAATATCATGAAAATGGCCATACTGCCTAAAGTAATTTATGGATTCAGTTCTATTCCCTTTAAACTACCAGTGACACTCTTCACAGAATTAGAAGAAAAGCTACTTTAAAATCCATATGGAACCAAAAAGGAACCTGTATAGCCAAGACAATCCTAGAGAAAAAGAACAAAGAGGGAGGCATCATGCTACCTGACTTCAAACTACACTACAAGGCTACAGTAACCATAACAGCATGGTACTGGTACAAAACCGAAACATAGACAAATTGAACAGAATAGAGATCTCAGAAATAAGACTGCATATCTACAAGCATCTGATCTTCAACAAACCTGACAAAAAGAAGCAACGGGGAAAGAATCTCCTATTTAATAAATGGTGCTGGGATAACTGGCTAGCCATATGCAGAAAATTGAAACTGGTTGCCTTCCTTACACCTTATACAAAAATTACCTAAAGATGGATTAAAAACTTAAATGGAAAGCCCAAAGTTATAAAAACCCTAGAAGAAAATCTAGCCAATACCATTCAGAACATAAGCACAGGCAAAGATTTCATGACAAAGATGTCAAAAACAATTGCAACAAAAGCAAAAATTGATGAATGGGATCTAATTAAACTAAAGAGCTTCTGCACACCAAAAGAAACTATCATCAGAGTGAACAGACAGCCTAAAAAATGAGAGAAAATTTTTACAATCTATCCATCTGACCAAGGTCTAATACCCAGAATCTACAAGGAACTTAAACAAATTTACAAGAAAAAAAAACCATTAAAAAGTGGGCAAAGGAAATGAAGAGACATTTCTCAAAAGAAGACATTTATATGGCCAACAAACATGAAAAAAAAGCTCAACATCACTCATCATTAGAAAATTCAAGTCACTATTTTATTGAAGATTTTTGCAGCAATGTTCATCATGGATATTGGTCTAAAATTCTCTTTTTTTGTTGTGTGTGTGTCAGGCTTTGGTATCAGGATGATGCTGGCCTCATAAAATGAGTTAGGGAGAACTCCCTCTTTTTATATTGACTGGAATAGTTTCAGAAGGAATGGTACCAGCTCCTCCTTGTATCTCTGGTAGAATTCGGCTGTTTTTTTTTTTTTTTGGTTGGTAAGCTATTAATTATTGCCTCAATTTCAGAGCCTGTTATCGGTCTATTCAGAGATTCAACTTCTTCCTGGTTTAGTCTTGGGAGAGTGTATGTGTCAAGGAATTTATCCATTTCTTCTAGGTTTTCTAGTTTATTTGCATAGAGGTGTTTATAGTATTCTCTGATGGTAGTTTGTATTTCTGTGAGATCAGTGATGATATCCCCTTTATCATTTTTATGGCATTTATTTGATTCTTCTCTATTTTCTTCTTTATTAGTCTTGCTAGCAGTCTATCAACTTTGTTGATCTTTTCAAAAAAACCAGCTCCTGGATTCACTGATTTTTTGAAGGGTTTTTTGTGTCTCTATTTCCTTCAGTTCTGCACTGATCTTAGTTATGTCTTGCCTTCTGCTAGCTTTTGAATATGTTTGCTCTTGCTTCTCCAGTTCTTTTAATTGTGATGTTAGGGTGTCAATTCTAGATCTTTCCTGCTTTCTCTTGTGGGCATTTAGTGCTATAAATTTCCCTCTACACACTGCTTTGAATGTGTCCCAGAGATTCTGGTATGTTGTGTCTGTGTTCTCGTTGGCTTCAAAGAACATCTTTATTTCTGCCTTCATTTCGTTATGTACCCAGTAGTCATTCAGGAGCAGGTTGTTCACAGTTTCCATGTAGTTGAGGGGTTTTGAGTGAGTTTCTTAATCCTGAGTTCTAGTTTGATTGCACTGTGGTCTGAGACACAGTTTGTTATAATTTCTGTTCTTTCACATTTGCTGAGGAGTGCTTTACTTCCAACTATGTGGTCAATTTTGGAATAGGTGTGGTGTGGTGCTGAAAAGAATGTACATTCTGTTGATTTGGCGTGGAGAGTTCTGTAGATGTCTATTAGGTCCGCTTGGTGCAGAGCTGAGTTCAATTCCTGGATATCCTTGTCAACTTTCTGTCTCGTTGATCTGTCTAATGTTGACAGTGGGGTGTTAAAGTCTCCCATTATTATTGTGTGGGAGTCTAAATCTCTTTGTAGGTCTCTAAGGACTTGCTTTATGAATCTGGGTGCTCCTGTATTGGGTGCATATATATTTAGGATAGTTAGCTCTTCTTGTTGAATTGATCCCTTTACCATTATGTAATGGCCTTGTCTCTTTGATCTTTGTTGGTTTAAAGTCTGTTTTATCAGAGACTAGGATTGCAACGCCTGCCTTTTTTTGTTTTCCATTTGCTTGGTAGATCTTCCTCCATCCCTTTATTTTGAGCCTATATGTGTATCTGCACGTGACATGGGTTTCCTGAATACAGCACACTGATGGGTCCTGACTCTTTATCCAATTTGCCAGTCTGTGTCTTTTAATTGGAGCATTTAGCCCATTTACATTTAAGGTTAATATTGTTATGTGTGAATTTGATCCTGTCATTATGATGTTAGCTGGTTATTTTGCTCGTTAGTTGATGCAGTTTCTTCCTAGCCTCCATGGTCTTTACAATTTGGCAAGTTTTTGCAGTGGCTGGTACTGGTTGTTCCTTTCCATGTTTAGTGCTTCCTTCAGGAGCTCTTTTAGGGCAGGCCTGGTGGTGACAAAATCTCTCAGCATTTGCTTGTCTGTAAAGGATTTTATTTCTCCTTCACTTATGAAGCATAGTTTGGCTGGATATGAAATTCTGGGTTGCAAATTCTTTTCTTTAAGAATGTTGAATACTGGCCCCCACTGTCTTCTGGCTTGTAGAGTTTCTACCGAGAGATCCGCTGTTAGTCTGATGGGCTTCCCTTTGAGGGTAACCCGACCTTTCTCTCTGGCTGCCCTTAACATTTTTTCCTTCATTTCAACTTTGGTGAATCTGACAATTATGTGTCTTGGAGTTGCTCTTCTCGAGGAGTATCTTTGTAGCGTTCTCTGTATTTCTTACTAGATTGGGGAAATTCTCCTGGATAATATCCTGCAGAGTGTTTTCCAACTTCAGAATGGGAGAAAATTTTTGCAATCTACTCATCTGGCAAAGGGCTAATATCCAGAATCTACAATGAACTCAAACAAATTTACAAGAAAAATCAAACAATCCCATCAAAAAGTGGGCGAAGGATATGAACAGACACTTCTCAAAAGAAGACATTTATGCAGCCAAAAGACACATGAAAAAATGCTCATCATCACTGGCCATCAGAGAAATGCAAATCACAACCACAATGAGATACCATCTCACACCAGTTAGAATGGCAGTCATTCAAAAGTCAGGAAACAACAGGTGCTGGAGAGCATGTGGAGAAATAGGAACACTTTTACACTGTTGGTGGGACTGTAAACTAGTCCCACCATTGTGGAAGTCAGTGTGGCAATTCCTCAGGGATCTAGAACTAGAAATACCATTTGACCCAGCCATCCCATTACTGGGTATATACCCAAAGGATTATAAATCATGCTGCTATAAAGACACAGGCACACGTATGTTTATTGAGGCACTATTCACAATAGCAAAGACTTGGAACCAACCCAAATGTCTAACAATGATAGACTGGATTAAGAAAATGTGGCACATATACACCATGGAATACTATGCAGCCATAAAAAATGATGAGTTCATGTCCTTTGTAGGGACATGGATGAAGCTGGAAATCATCATTCTCAGCAAACTATCGCAAGGACAAAAACGCAAACACCACATATTCTCACTCATAGGCTGGAATTGAACAATGAGAACGCATGGACACAGGAAGGGGAACATCACACACAGGGGCCTGTTGTGAGGTGGGGGAAGGGGGGAGGGATAGCATTAGGAGATATACCTAATGTTAAATGATGAGTTAATGGGTGCAGCACACCAACATGGCACATGTATACATATGTAACAAACCTGCACGTTGTTCACATGTACCCTGAAACTTAAAGTATAATTAAAAAAAGAAAAGAAAAATGCAAGTCACAACCACAATGAGATACTATCTTATGCAAGTCAGAATGGTGATTATTAAAATCGAGAAACAACAAATGCTGGCAGGGCTGTGGAGAAATAGTAACACTTTTACACTGTTGGTGGGAATGTAAATTAGTTCAACCATTGTGGAAGACAGTGTGGTGATTACTCAAAGACCTAGAATCAGAAATACCATTTGACCCAGAAATCTCATTACTGGGTATATACCCAAAGGAATATAAATCATTCTATTATAAAGTTACATGCACACATATGTTCACTGCAGCATTATTCACAATAGCAAGACATGGAATCAGCCCAAATGCCCATCAGTGATAGACTGGATAAAGAAAATGTGGCACATATGCACCATGGAATACTATGCACCTCAAAAAAGGAATGAGGTCATGTCCTTTGCAGGGAGAAGGATGGAGCTGGAAGTCATTATTCTCAGCAAGCTAACACGAGAACAGAAAACCAAACACCAGATATTCTCACTTATAAATGGGAGCTGAACAATAAGAAAATATGGCCACAGGGAGGGAAACAACACACACTGGGCCCTGTTGGGGGATGAGAGAGGGAGAGCGTCAGGATAAATAGCTAATGCATGTAGGGCTTAATACCTAGGTGATGGGTTGACAGGTGCAGCAAACCACCATGGCACACGTTTACCTATGTAACAAACCTGCACGTCCTGGACATGTATTCCAGAGCCTAAAATAAAATAAATTACAAAAATAAATGAAAACTAAGAAAAACCTGACACCCTAATTTCATCCCCCTGCTTTTTACCTTTTTGTTTTTACTTATATTTTATTTTACTATGTTTAAAAGTTTTTGTAGTTATTATTTTTATTGGTTCATTATTTATTCTTTCTACTTAAGAGTAATTTGCACACCAGTTACAGTGTCATAATATTCTGTGATTTTGTGGGTACTTACTATTACCAGTGAGTTTTGGACCTTTAGGTGATTATTTATTTCTCATTAATGTCCTTTTATTTCTTTTTTTATATCCTTTTATTTCTGATTGAAGTAGTCCTTCTACCATTTCTTGTAGGACAGGCTTGGCATTGATGAAACCTTTGAGCTTTTGTTTGTCTGAAAAAGCCTTGCTTTCTCCATCATGTTTTTATAATATTTTTACCAGATATACTTTTCTAGAATAAACGATGTTTTTTAGTTCAGCACTTTAAATATGACATGCCTCTCTCTCCTGGCTTGTAAGGTTTCCATGAAAAGTCTGCAACCAGACATATTGGAGCTCCACTGTATGGTATTTATTTCTTTTCTCTTTCTGCTTTTTGAATTTCTTTATCTTTGACCTTTGAGAGTTTGATTATTAAGTGCTGTAAGGTAGGCTTTTTTGGACTAAATCTGCTTGGTGTTCTATATCCCTCTTGCTCTTGGATTTTGATATCTTTCTCCAGGTTTGGGAAGTTCTCCGTTATTATCTCTTTGAATATACTTCCTACCCCTATCTCTTTCACTACCTCCCCTTTAAGTCCAATAATTCTTAGATTTGACCTTTTGAGGCTATTTTCTAGATCCTATAGGCATGCTACATTTTTTTTATTTTTATTTTTTTATTGTCTTGTCTGACCATATTTTCGAACATCTTGTATTCAAGCTCGGTAATCCTTTCTTCTGCTTGATCAGTTCTGCTATTAAGGGACTCTGGTGCATTCTTCAGTATGTCAATTGCATGTTTAAGCTCCAGAATTTTTGCTTGATTCTTTTAAATTATTTCAACCTCTTTCCTAAATTTATGTGATAGAATTCTGAATCTTTCTCTGTCTTTTCTTGAATTTCTAATGCATTTTCTCAACATAACTATTTTGAATTCTCTGTCTGAAAGTTCACTTATTTCTGTTTCTATGGGATTGGTCCCTAGTTGCTTATTTAGTTCATTTGGTGTTGTCATTTTTCCTGGATGATGTTGATGCTAGTAAATGTTCTTCCAGCATCTGGGCATTGAAAGGTTAGCTATTTATTGTAGTACTGTCTGGTTTTCTTTATACCTGTCTTTCTTGGAAAGGCCTTCTAGATATTTGAAAGGTCATGGGTGTTGTAATCTAAGCTGTATCTTTTTAGGGAGCTCCCCAAGCCCAGTAATGCTGTGGTTCTTGCAGATTCATAGAGGTACCACCTTGATGGTCTTGGATACAATCTGGGAGACTTCTCTGTTTACCAGTCAGACACTTTTGTTCCCTTTCCTTACATTCTCCCGAACAGAGTCAGTCTCTCTCTCTCCCTCTCCCTCTTTTTTTCTCTCTCTCCCTCTCTCTGTTCTGAGCTACCTAAATCTTGGTGCGGAGTGACACAAACCCCTGTGGCCACCACCACTATGACTACACTGGGTCAGAACTGAAGCCAGCACAGCACTTGGTCTCACCCAAAGCCTGCTGTAACCACTCTCTGCCTACTGTCTATGATATCTCAAGCCCCTGGGGCTCTACAATCAGCAGGGGGCAAAGACACCCTGGTCCTTGTCCTTCTCTTCAGGTCACTGAGTTCTCTCAGGGCCCCAGGTTGGTCCAGAGTTGCCATCTAGGAGTCAAGGACTAAATAGAGTAAAATACCTTAGAAGTCTACCTAGTGTGCCACTGTACTGCAACTGAGATTGCACTAAAACCACAAGACACAATTCTTTTCACACTTACCCCCCTTTCCTAAGGCAGAGGAGGCTCACCCCATAGCTGCCAGCACCCCAAGCCACAAGGAGTACTTGCTGATAAATACTTATGGCTAAAATCCTCCACAAAATAGTAACAACCTGAGTTCAGTAACCCATCAAAAAGATCATTCATCATTGCCAAGTTGGATTAATCCCAGAGATGCAAATATGGTTGAACATGCAGAAAGCAATTAATGTGATTCATCATGTCAACAGAATGGAGGACAAGAAAACATATCATTTCAATTGATGCTAAAAATGCATTTGATAAAATTCAACATCCTTCAACATAATAAAAGCCATATATGACTGACTCACAGCTAGTACCATGTGGAATAAGCAAAAACAGAAAGCCTTTCTTCTAAGATCTGGAACAAGACATGGATGCCCACTTTCACCACTGTTATTAAAATAGTACTGGAAGTTCTAGCTAGAGCCACCAGACAAGAGAAAGAAATAAAGGGCATCTGTATTATTCCATATTCATGCTGCTGATAAAGACATACCCATGACTGGACAATGTACAAAAGAAAGAGGTTTAATTGGACTTACAGTTCCACGTGGCTAGGGAAGCCTCACAATCATGGCAGAAGGCAAGGAGGAGCAAGTCACATCTTACATGGATGGCAGCAGGAAAAGAGAAAGTTTGTGCAGGGGAACTCCTCTTTTTTTTTCCTTTTTTAAATTTTACTTTAGGTTCTGGGATACATGTGCAGAATATCCAGGTTTCTTACATAGGTATACATATGCCATGGTGGTTTGCTGCACCTCACATGTTTCCTTTTCCATTCCTGTGTTAATTTGCTGAGAATGATGGCTTCTAGCTTCATCCATGTCCCTGCAAAAGACATGTCCCTGCAAAAGAAGATCTCATTCTTTTTTATGGCTGCATAGTATTCCATGGTGTATATGTGTCACATTTTCTTTATCCAGTCTATCATTGATGGGCATTTTGGTTGGTTCTATGTCTTTGCTATTGTAATAGTGTTGCGATAAACATACGTGTGCATGTGTCTTTATAGTAGAATGATTTATAATACTTTGGGTATATACCCAGTAATGGGATTGCTGGGTCAAATGGCATTTTTAGTTCTAGATCCCTGAGGAATCACCACACTGTCTTCCACAATGGTTGAATTAATTTACACTCCCACCAACAGTGTAAAAGAAGGGAACTCCTCTTTTTAAAACCCTCAGATCTCGTGAGACTTATTCACTACCACAAGAACAGTGCAGGAAAGACCTACCTCCATAATTCAATCACCTCCCACTGGGTTCCTCTCATGACATGTGGGAATTGTGGGAGTTACCAGTCAAGATGAGATTTGGGAGGGGGGGGACACAGCCAAACCATATCGGCATCCAAAATGGAAAGGAAAAAGTCAAATTATCCTTATTTGGACATTATATGATCTTATATTTGGAAAAACCTAAAAACTCCATGAAAAAACTATAAGAACTGATAAGTGAACTCAGTAGTGCTGCAGGATACAAAATCAACATACATAAATTAGTAGCATTTCTATATGCCAATAGTAAACAATCTGAAAAAGAAATTAAAAAGTAATCTCATTTACAATAGCTATAAATGAAATAAAATACCTTGAAATTAACTTAACCAAACAAGTGGAAGATATTTACAATGGAAACTATCAAATATTGATGCAAGTAATTAAAGGAAACACAAAAAAAGGAAAGATATTTCATGTTCTTGGATTGGAAAAAAATATTGTTAAAATGTCCATACTACTCAAAGCAATCCAGAGATTCAATGTAATCCCTATCAAAGTACCAGTGACATTCTTCACAGAAGTAAAAAAAAAAAAATCCTACAATTTATATGGAACCACAATAGACTTAGAATAGTCAAAGCTATCCTAAGCAAAAAGAACGAAACTGGGGAGGCTGGAAGTAGCAAGTGTATACCACTCTCATGGAGAGAAATAGAAGGGGTGAGTAAATACACCATCTTCAACTAAAACATCTAGGTACACACATTGGGATTAATCAAGAAAACAACTTAACCCACACAGAACAGAGAAAAGCAAGGCAGGACAACTACCCACTTGGAAGCAACACAGACCAGGGGAGTATACGTTGCCCAGGGAAGTGGTGAGTGAATGAATAACCCTGGGAATCCATGCTTTTTCCATGGATCTTCACAACCCATGGGTCAGGAGATCCTTTCATGAACCCACTCCATCAGCACCTCCAGTCTGACATGCACAATTACATGTAGTTTGGGCAGAGCAGCTGGGTATCCAGGGTATCCAACTAAAGCAGCTCCAACTGTGGCAAAGCAAGAGGTTAGGCCCCCTTACATACTCCTAAGGAAGGGGCTTAATTCGGAGGCTGAGCATTGATGGAACTCAGGCTCTGCTTCCACAGCACCTTGCAAGATAAGATGCACTGGTTTGGAATTCCAGCCAGCCACTGGTAGCAGCATTACACCTCCCTGGATGGAACTCCCAGAGGAAGGGGCAGGCCATTATCTTTACTGTTTTGCCATCTTCATTGTTGATACCTTCAGGAGCTGAAAAATCTGAGGAGATTAGGGAATGAAGCAGACCCCCAGTGTACTGCAGCAGCCCTACCGAAAAGTGTCCAGACCATTTGTTATGTAGGTACCCAATCCTGTATCTCGTCATTGAGAGGGTCTATTCCTGCCCTGGATACTCAGTCACACCCTGTGAAGGACATCAAACTGGTAGCAACTCTGTGACTCCCTGAGACAGAGCTCCCAATGGGAAGGGCGGTTTGCCATCCTTACTGTCTCATAGCACACATCCTTACTGACTCCAGGCTCTGGAAATTCCATGGGACCAGGGACTGGTCTGGATACCCATCAATGAGCACCCATTGATCAGAAAAGTGGCTGAAAAGTTCTCCATGCAGGTCCCAGTCCTTGCTTCTCTTCACTGGGCAAGCCTGTACGACCTGTGACTCCAACACAACCACTGTGCACCTGCCTGAACTCTTCTATCAGAGGCAGCCCCACATATAAAGAAACACCAACATGCAGAGATGAGAAAGAACCAATGCAAGAACTCTGGCAACTCAAATGGCCAGAGTGTATTATGTCCTTCAAATGATCTCACTAGTTCTCCCATGAGGGTTCTTAACTAGGCTGAAGGAGCTGAAATGACAGAAATAGAATTCAAAATATGTATAGGAATAAAGATCATCAGGATTCAGGAGAATGGAAAATCCCAATCCAAGGAAACTAAGAATCACAATAAAATGATACAGGAGCTGACAGACCAAATAGTCAGTATAAAAAAAAAAGAACTTAACCAATCTGATAGAGCTGGAAAACACACTACAAGAATTTCACAATGCAATCACAAGTACTAACAGCAGAATAGACCAAGCTGAGGAAATAATCTCAGAACTTGAGGCTGGGCTCCCTGAAATAAGACAGTCAGACAAAATGTTGTTTAAAAAATGAAAAGGAATGACCAAAGCCTCCAAGAAATATAGGATTATGTAAAGAGGCCAAATATATTATGTAAAGAGGCCATTGGCATACCTGAAGGGATGTGGAGAAAGCAAACAACTTAGAAAACATATTTCAGGATATCACCCATGAAAACTTTCCCTACCTCACTAGAGAGAGTCCAACAGTCAAATTCAGGAAATACAAAGAACTCCTGTAATATTCTACAGAAGATTATCCCCAAGACACATGATATGGTTTGGGTCTTTGTCCTTGCCCAAATCTCATGTAGAATTATAATTCCCAATGTTGGAGGTGGGGCCTGGTGGGAGGTGACTGGATCATGGGAGCAGAGTTCTCATGAATGGTTTATCACCATTCCCCTAGTACTGCTCTCATGATAGAGTTCTCACAAGATCTGGTTGTTTAAAAGTGTGTACCACCTCCCCCCTCTCTCTCTTTCTGCTCCAGCTATATGAGATGCTTGCTCCCCCTTTGCCTTCTGCCATGATTGTAAGTTTCCTCATGTCTCTCCAGAAGCCAAGGAAATGGCCAGCATCATGCTTCCTGTACAGCCTGTGGAACTGTGGGTGAATTAAATCTATTTTCTTTGTAAATTACCCAATCTCAGGTATTTCTTTATAGTAATGCAAGAATGGACTATTGGGGTACTTCTAGTACCAATGAAAAATTGGTACCAATGGAAAATTGGTACCAGAAGTGGGGTTTTGATATAAAGATACCTGAAAATGTGGAAGCAGCTTTGGAACTGGGTAATGGGCAGAGGTTGGAACAGTTTCGAGGGCTCAGAAGAAGATAGAAAGATGAGGGAAATTTTGAAACTTCCTAGAAACTTGTTGAATGGTTGTAACCAAAATGCTGGTAGGGATATGGATAGTGAATGCCAGGTAAAGAGGTCTCAAACAGAGATGAGGAACTTATTGGGAACTGCTGCAAAGGTCACTTTTGTTGTCCATTAACAAAGAGGTTGGTTAGATTGTGCCCCTGCTCTAAAAATCTATGGAACTTTGAACTTGAGAGACATGATTTAGGGTATCTGGCAGAAGAAATTTCTAAGCAGCAAGGCATTCAAGATGTGACCTGACTGCTTCTAACCACCTATTCTCCCATGTGTGAGCAAAGAAATGCTCTGAAACTGGAACTTATATTTAAAAGGGAAGCAAAGTGTGAAAGTCTGGAAAATTTGCAGCTTAGCCATGTGGTAGAAAAGAAAATCCCATTTTCTGGGGAACAATTCAAGCCTGCTGTAGAAATTTGTATAAGTAAAGAGAAGCCAAATGTTAATAGCCAAGACAATGGGGAGGCCTCAAAGGCATTTCAGAGAGCTCCAAGACAGCCCCTCTCCTGACAAGCCCAGAGGCCTAGAAGAGAAGAATGATTTAGTGGGCCAGGCCCAGGGCTCCACTGCCCTGAACAGCATTGAGACACTGCTTCCTGAATCCCAGCTCCTCCAGCTTCAGCCATGGCTTAAAAGGTCTCAGAAACAGCTTGGGCCACTGCCTCAGAGGGAGCAAACCAAAAGCCTTGGCAATTTTCACGTGGTGCTAAGCCTGCAGATGCAGCGAGTACAACCATTGAGGCTCAGGAGCCTCTGTCTTGATTTTAGAGGATGTATGGAGACTCCTGGATGTCAAGGAAGAAGCCTGCTGCACGGGTGGAGCCATCATGAGGAAACTCTACTTGGGCAGTGTGGAGGAAAAATGTGGAGTTGGCGCCCCCACACAGAGTCCCCACTGAGGCACTGCCTAGTGGAGCTGTAAGAAGAGAGCCACTGTCCTTCAGATTCCAGAATGGTAGCTCTACTGACAGCCTGCACTATGTGCCTGGAAAAGCTTCAGGCAATCAATGCCAGACAGTGAAAGCAGCTGGGGGAGCTGTAACTTGCAAAGTAACAGGGGAAACCTGCCCAAAGCTTTAGGAGCCCACCACTTCCACCTGCATGCCCTGAATGTGGGACATGGAGTAAAAGGAGATTATTCTGGAGATTTAAAGTTTAGTGACTTCCCTGCTGGATTTTGGACTTGCATTGAGCCTGTAGCCCCTTTCTTTTGGCCTATTTCTCTCTTTTGGAGCTACCATATGATCCAGAGAACTCACTGTTGGTTATGTACCCAAAAGTAAGGAAATCAGTATATTGAAGAGATATCTGCACTTCCATGTTTATTGCAACACTATTCAAAATAGCCAGGATTTGTGAGCAACCTAAGTGTCCATCAACAGATGAATGGATAAAGAAAATGTGGTACATATACACAATGGAGTACTATTCAGCCATGAAAAGGAATGAGATTCTGTCATTTGAAGCAACATGGATGGAACTGGAGTTCATTGTGTTAAGTGAAGTAAGCCAGGCACAGAAAGACAAACATCATATGCTCTCACTTATCTGCAGGAGCTAAAAATTAAAGCAATTGAACTCATGAAGATAGAGTAGAAGGATGGTTACCAGAGGCTGGGAAGAGTAGTGGGGTGGGGTAAAGGTGAAGTGGGGATGGTTGTTGCATGCAAAAATAATAGTTAGAAAAAATAAGACAGTATTTGCTAGAACAACAGGGTGGCTATAGTCTAAAATAATTAAATTGTACATTGTAAAATAAATAAAAGAATATAATTGGAATATTTATATCACAAAGAATAAATTCTTGAGGCAATCGATCCCCCATTTACCCTAATGTGATTATTACTCATTGCATGCCTGTATCAAGTGCACAGAATTAAAAACAAAGAAAAAATTAAAAGCAATATCTGAAAGAATAGCCCAGGATGACTAAATTATGATTGAGATGAGGAGGGTGGTATTAGGTTTGTTATTATCATGGGACTTGGTAGGATATCATAAAGGGCATACAAAAGGCAGTTGAAGGACACAGAGGTGAGGCTAAGAACCAAAGAGGACAAAGGCCTCAAAAGCCAAAGGTTGACCACTTAACTATTTTACCTTGGGCTATGCCTGCAAATGAACACAATGTTTCTTCATAATCTGAATTTTATTTAAGAGAAATAAGTTGGAGTGAGTGGGCTTATTATTTTGCCATAAGCCTGAAATTTTTTTCTTTTTAAAAATGAATATCGGCCGGGCGCAGTGGCTCACGCCTTTAATCCCAGCACTTTGGGAGGCTCAGGTGGGCGGATCACGAGGTCAGGAGATCGAGACCATCCTGGCTAACACGGTGAAACCCCCGTCTCTACTAAAAATACAAAAAATTAGCCGGGCGTGGTGGCGGGCGCCTGTAGTCCCAGCTACTCGGGAGGCTGAGGCAGGAGAATGGCGTGAACCCGGAAGGCAGAGCTTGCAGTGAGCCGAGATGGCACCACTGCACTCCAGCCTGGACGACAGAGTGAGACTCCGTCTCAAAAAAAAAAAAAAAAATGAATATCTACTTTCAAGAAGTCAAGTTACAGAGAGGGAAGTCATATTAAGCAAAGACAAAGGAAGACGTTGCTCTAGCAACCAAAAGTACGTACAAGATTCCATCAAACTCATTGTATGCTATTTCATTTTTTATTTGATCACTTTTCTTTTAACATGGAAAGCCTTGAAATAGACTGATAAATAATTGCCTGGATAGGCCTAATACTTCCTAATATCCCATCATGAAATTTCTTTCAGCACCATCAAGGGCATAATTCTGAATTGTAAATGCAAAATAGCATAATAGCCTCCTTCCCCCCTTCTTTCCATTAAAAAGCTCTACAGTATAAAGCAACAAAGGAGCTCTCATACAGTACAAAAGAGGTTTCTCTCACATACCAGAGTTGCACACTCTACTAAGCATGTAAAAAGCATTTCTCAAATCATTCCTTTTGAAAAGTAGCAATACTGTCTTAAGAACCAAGCATGTTACTAGCTAATCCCCTCAGCTGTTACAGATGGGGTACACTGAAGTAGGATGGAAATATATTAATGATTTTTAAAAGAAAGTGACTTTGGATTTAATTAAAATGATTTTACTATTGTTAAAATGCTTAGAGTAGAGATGACGAGTTAGTGGGTGCAGTGCACCAGCATGGCACATGTATACCTATGTAACTAACCTGCACAATGTGCACATGTACCCTAAAACTTAAAGTATAATAAAAATAAATAAATAAATAAATAAAAAAGAAAAATACAGAAAAGCAGCATAGTACAGTAAAAAGTACACTGGATTGGAAAATAGCAAGGTAGTCCTGGTTCTTCCACTAACTAGCTATAGGATATTAGGCAAGTTCCTATCCCTTTCTTGGTCTCAGTTATTTTGGGAGTAAAGGAGCTAGACCCATAATTTCTAGGTTTTCTCTCAAATCTATCACTCAAGTTTTAATATAAAGTAACACAATGGAAAAAGGACTCTACTTTTAAATGTCATGCTATTCTTTTTATTTTTTTTTTTATTTTTTTGAAAGACCCACAAACAGTGCCGAATCAGCTGCTGTGGTCTTATCTAAATTCATTTTCCGCCAGGCATGGTGACTCATGTCTATAATCCCAGCACTTTGAGAAGCCAAGGCAAGAGGATCACTTGAGACCAAGAGTCTGAGACCAGCCTGAGCAATATAGTGAAATCACATCTCTATAAAAATAAAATAAATTCACTTTCTAATCAGTATTCTTAATATACAGTACTAGTAAGCAATCACTGATTTTCAAAGAAATGTTATTCGTAACACTGGCTATCTAATAATCACTCCTCTATAATGTCCTAGCTATGAGTGAATTATTCTAGAAATATTAGGCAATGAGTAATTCAATAAAGACAGACTGTGAGCTGTTAGAAACTGCAGGAACACCTGTACTCATCAGAGACCACTGAGAATTTAACTGTAGAAGCTTCTTGTGCATATATACAAAGAAGGAATTAATCCACAGGAAGGAAAGCATTCTAAATTAAGAATGTCTATGGGAATTAACAGAGCAAGAGAAACCCTATAATTCTTTCCTAGAATAGGAAATGAATAATTGAGTTAACTATATAACCTAATGCTTGAGATTTAATTTTTATGTAATAAAACTACATTTTATATCAAAAAGATGTTTAAATGACTCTAAAGTGTAACAGAAGTCACATCTATATGATTGTGTTTAAAGGACTATATTCAGAGTATATAAGCATTTTGTGTAAGTAAAATAAACAAGTTAAATGTCTTAGATTTGGGGACATGACACTTTTTACCAAACTGCATTAAGAAAAATATAGGATCCCAAATAACTAAAGTTAATATACTGAATTGATGGTGGTAAAATTCCCTGTGACTTCCCACGTGTATCCTTCAGTTTGCTTCATGGTTTCTATCAATGTTATACTCTATATTTGAAGACAAATATTTACTGTTACTTCTAGAGTGCACAGGGATAACTCAAATTCAGCTCCTCTATAAATTATATTCGATTATTTTATAAAATAAACACAAAGATATAATCCTGGCACAATAAAGGAAATTTGAAAAACTTAGTGAAACAAATATATCAGAAGGCAGAAAAATAATAAGCAACAAAGCCAAGGACAATTAAAAATAAATTTCTATTGCTTCTTCCACAGAAGGTATTCTACCTCAGTGTTCCTCTATACAACTTGAATTACCAAATGGTAGACTAATTACCTAGTTCAAAGGTTTAATTACGACTAACAACCTAAGGATATGACAGAAGTTTATCATAGTCCCTTTTAGTTTGTTTCTGTCTCTTATAAACATGTGGCCTACCCTAAATGTAGAAAATAAGGATCCATACAGTTTTGGAGAAACGTTTATATTCCATAGTGTTAAAAATCACTGTAGCTTTAGCTCTTAATTATAACCAGAACATTAAGTGAAATCAGTCTTGAAGTTTTAGTTCAGCTGATTAATAGCCCAAAATGAGTTTGCTTATATGTTCTCATCAGGAGTAAATCCAATTATTCAAACATATATTGAGCACCTATTGTGTGCTAACCTCTCTTTCAATATCAGAAGAAGAAACCAAGAAGAGAATGTATAAGACTTATTCCTCAGAGTGCTCTAAGTCAAAAATTCAATGTGATTTGATGAAGGATAAGGGTTTTCAGTAGAAGGAATGAATAACTGCCTGAAGCAAATGAGTGTATAGAACAGAAAAGTCTTCACAAGGTGATATTTAAACTGCCTTAAAGGATGAGTACAAAACAAGAAAAAGCAATGAGTGGGTATGTCAGGAAAATAAATGAGCTGTTCATGAGACGTGGAAACATAGGCAAGCATGGCACAAACAAAGAACAACAGATTTGCTGATTCGGTATAATTTGAAGTGGGGTTCCTACGTGCAGCAGTGAAAGATAAGGTTAGAGAGATGGGCAGAAGTCATTTCCACTAGGCCCTTATATTCCATAATGAGGTGTCAAGACTGTTCTGAAAGCTGTGGAAAGCCATTACACAATTTTAAACACAGATGGACATGATGAGAATTGTATTTTAGAAAAATCAGTCTAGCAACAGTAGGAGAGATGGACTGGAGGGCATTAAGTGTGATGTTGGAGAACTAATGCAATAATCCATACAGTAAGAATGTAAAGAACCGAAGGCCATCACTATATATTACCATGAATTTTCACTTTTCTCAACAGCCTAGGGTTAGGAATAGAGAAAGGTTAAGTTACTAAGGTCAGTAGAAGAAAAAAAGGAGTGAGAAAATTAAGGACAAGGGCAAAATATGTTTGAAGTAATGAACTACGGGCTTCAGGCTGGTTATGAAATAAAATTAAACAACACGAGGTATAAGAGATATGGTAGGCAGGGTTTTGTTTCCCATTATCTCTGCTGCTGGTTTTACTCCCATGGTTGTTTAACCAGGCAAAAAGGAGGTGATCTGCATGGGACTAATCTAATCACATGAGCTCTTCCGAAGTAGAGTTTTGTCAGGTTGGTGGTGGAAGTGGGTAGGAGGGTGGCTGCGTTCAGCAAAATTCAAAGCACCAAGGGCATTTGTTGTTGGTTTTGACGATGAAGCAGGTCACTTACTAAGAAATACAGGCAGTCTTTAGAAGTTCAGAGCAGGCCTGGCTGATAGCCAGCAAGAAAACTGAACCTTAGTCTGACAGCTGCAAGTAATTGAATTCTACTAACAACCTGAAATGAGCTTGAAAGCAGATTCTTTCCTATCATCTCCATATAAGAGCACAGCCTAACCAATACCTTGATTGCAGCCTTGTGAGGCCCAGAGCAAAGAACCCAGATGGATATTCTGACCTACGGAACAGTGAGCTAACACATGGTGTTGCTTTAAGCTGCCACATTTGTGGCAATTTGCTACATAGGAACAAAAAACTAATACGAGTCAGTAGAGAAGGATAGATATCAAAGGAGCAGTTGTATCGTGACTAATATAAAGAATGATAGGGAAAGGATGTTTCAGTCTAGAAGTAAGATATTAGTTTAATCCTTGGGAGGTAAAGTGGTTCTGGGTTACTGAAATGATGTGGGAAAAACACTGTTAACATAGTGGACCACCATATATAGTTGTGCATGCTGTGCACTGCACAACTCCACAGGGCACCACTACCATAACAGGCATCATATATTTATAAATTTATTATAATTTTCAAGCAGGTGGGAATAAAGTTCCTTGAGGAAGGAGTGTATTTCCAAATTCACACACACATACACACAGACACACAAAGCACCATATGAGCTAGCTAATATGATAAAGAAGTAAACAAGACAGGTAGAAATTTGTATAGTCAGGTGGCATGAGTCCCAGTTGCATTAGAATGAGGATAGCAGAGTAACGTTCTGAAACTGGCTCCACAGAGCAAGAGGATAACAAGCAATTGATTTTATAAGAATACTACGGGAAAGTAGCAGTAAGTCAGTTATTACTTCTGCTCCCACAAGATCATATTTCCTTTAAATCAAATCATTCCCATATACAATAAAGTTAAAGCTAGACCAAGGCAAATGAGTAGATACTAGTATTTGACGTTTGTTATAGAATTCCAAAGAAAATATATGTAAACTTTCTAATTCACACAACAACCTACATCATATTACATGGTAATTTCTAATTACTTTTATTTTACATGTGACAAAACTGAGGCTTAGCATTAAATGACTTGATTACAATCACACAATTAGAAAATGGTGATGCCATGATTTAAATATAGATATTTCTGTCTCTTTCTACTCTGCTAAGATTCTTCCCACGCAGAGATGATGTGTAATAAGTGCCTCCTAACCCACTCTATGTTATCATTATCCAGTGCCTTTACACTGGATGCCTACAGCCACACTAGTGGTGCCCCAGTATACCCAGTTAGTCTGCCATGTTGCTATCCTCCTCCCTCATCTGTGCTTGACCCTTAGAGCTCTTGTCTTTAGGTGGGCAATCTTTAGTACATTACCCCCTCTCCCAAAGAAACATATAACTAAGTTCAAGTGCATGCCTCCTCAGGTACTACACTAAACTGGAGAGATGTCTAGTAAGCAGTTAGAGACATCCTTTCATTTGCACAACACAGATGGTTGTGTCTACTCATAATACTGGCTTTGGATACCATGGCTCTGAAACAACTGCAGACAGCAACCTAGAGCATGTTCAAAAAGACATCACGCTTTACAAACCCTAGACTTGTGGTATAAGATAGGCCACACTGGTGCCAAAACTATCTCCTATTATGGGGGAAGATACCTCTGCAAACACTCATATTCTCTCCTATACACTATACATGTGCATGTACATTCATGTACACACACATATTAGGGAACAGCACTGGCCTTCCTGAAGTGCCAAGTCCTAAGCAGCCAGCTGCTTACAGGAAACAGGTTGTATTTGGGAACTGACCAAGATGCCTAGGTTCTAGACCACACATACATACTTTTATAATATTAATTACAGCATATATGAAAATAAATATTAATGATAAGCTTGGCATTCCATATCATCTAATTATTTTCTCTTCTTTATAAGACCTGGATTTTCCCCCATTTGTAGTTGACTCCATTACTTCCAAACAGAAAGAGTTAAATTGAATTCAGTAAAATAGAGTAAGCCTCTATCCTTACTAGTAACATCTAGGTTGAAAAAAATCTACACTAAATATGACTGAACATTTTATTTTTCAACCCAGGTTTCTAACTCTTGTAGAAAATAAAGAGTCACAAAATTTAGCTACCACTAAAACCATATTTTGGATCTTTGTTCTGTTTCTCCAAGTGACTAATTTCCTGTAGGCATTTTTAAAAGCCTGAACATGATAATTGTTAACAAAGTACTTTGACATTATATGTAATTGTGCATTGGTGATAATTACGTATTCACGAGGAATGCCAAAAAAAAGAAACATATTTTGGGATTATCCAGATAATTCCAAACCACAAAACTGCTAGCTACCAATTTCTAGATGTGCTGAGCGAACAGTATTTGTAGTCCCAAACTTTCACTAATTGACACAATCCATCACTTCATTCTTAGTTGAAAGAAGGGATTTTTCCATTTTCTCGTGGAAAAAAAAACCATTCTTTCAAAGATGAGTTTTCTTACCAAATGATTACATGTATGGATCAAAGAGGTGGTTTGGTTTTATCAAAAAAAATCACTGCTTGATATAGGAATATGTATCCTAGCCTGTTCCAGTTCTCTTTTTCCAAAAGAAAGACCCTCTTTCTCAGCCAGGAAGATAGGCCTTATATTTACCTAATAAATACTTAAAGACAATAAAAGCTGGATTTTCCTGGATATTGCTTGTTAGCCTATGGTGGATCCAAATAATGAGTTCTATGCGAAAGAACTTCTGGGTATTTTTAAAAATTGAGGAAAATAAAAGGTCTATAAGCAAAGCAAGATTTATATTCTGTGTCAAACGTATGTGTGTTCAGCATCCAGGGTAAGTTACAACTAGCCTCAACCCCTCGGTGCCTGTCCCCATGGACATGTGTAACTGCTCCATGCTCACCTGCAGACAAAACAGGTCTGAGAAGAGGAGGAGAAAAGGGTTATACTGCTGCTAACCACCCACATAGACTGTGTGTATTTTCATTTCATGTCTCTTTTTAGCACCTGGTAGTGTTTCTCTTCAATTCAATGTGCACCAGCAAAAAAGTCTTATGAGGATACACCATCAACCATTTTGTTACATACTACTGATGATTCTGACTGCATTTAAGCCACAGTCATTTCTTTGTTCAGAGCTGAAGGAAAGGGTATTTATATATAAGCTGTTCTTGGTCCTAAAAAACCTGATTTCCATATTAATGAATGACCCAATTTACAGTTCAACAAAAATGGCTTATCCTTGCCTATATATACATAATATATAATATATAATAATATATTATATATATAACATGTTATATATGTATATTATATACATATACATATAATATATAAATATATTTATATATTATATATACAATATACATATATGTATATAATATATAATATATACGTATATAATATATATAATATATAATATATAATATATATTATATAATATATATAATATATGTATATAATATATAATATACATATTAGTATATAATATACATAAAATATACATATAATATATAATATACATATATGTATATTATATACATATTAGTATATAATATATAATATACATATATGTATATTATATACATATTAGTATATAATATATAATATATACATAATATATAATATATACATAACATATAATATATTATATAGTACTTTCAGGTACTCCTACCTCCCTAGCATTAATATTAACATATCCTAGCCCTAATACCTCCATACTCACTGAGCTCTGGTCGCACTGGCCTTCGCTCTGTTTTAACACACACTGAGCATTTCCTGCTTCATGCCCATTGCATGAATATTATTATAATATATATTATATATATAATAGATATATTTCAACAAAGAGGCTGATTCAAGAATGCCTGACTCCCCACCATGACCTGGTTTAGAATACAAATGAGGAACAGACTCCTGGATTGGAAGAAAAAAGACATTTGAGATTCTCTTTGTTTCTCTCTCACTTCCTGTCTTATTAATCATACACACACACATACACATACTTTCTCACATGCAAACACCACAAACTCTCACACTTACATTTGCACACACACCCAGACTTGCTCACACATGCACGTAAATACCACAGACTCTTCCACCTGCACACGAACTTGCTCATACTCACCATAAGTACCATATACTCTTGCACTCACACTCATTTACAGTCATGAACGAACATCACTCAATCACACACTGGCACACAACTCAGAGTGTATTTCATATTTTCTACAAAATTCAGCATGATTTTTGCAACTACGTTTTCCTCTCTGATTTGATTCTTTCACTGTACTCCTAGAATCTTCACTGGTTCCTTGCACTTACAGATATACATCACTACTGGTGACCCTCTTCATCCCTGTCTCTGGGGCCAAATTTATAAACCATGGGCTGACCGCCAGGGCTTTAGGTCTAATGGAAAGACATGGAAAGTTGCTTTCTTTCCTTACCCCTTTTCCAGGTAAAAATTCACATCAAGACCTAGGGACAGTGAATTTAAATCACTTATCACTTTTGAATTAAATCAATGTTTTCAAATACATATTGGCCACCAAGCAGGTGCTGATTTCAGTTCACAGGGGGATGAATGAAAAACTGACAACCTTGAACATTTTGTGCATGATGATTTTGTAAAGTGCTATTTTAAAATTTTTTAGTTGTCCTTTTTATTTATATTCTATTTTCTATCTCCTCTACTAGAATGTATGTTCCAAGAAAATAGGAATTTATCTGTCTGATTTTGTCAAGTGGGTCTTTAAATTCAATAGTGATCATATAAGAATAAGAATAGCTAATTTTGTGATAGACACTATGAATAGCTATACATGCATTATCTTATTTTAGGCTCACATTAATTATTTGATATAGTTGCTGTAAGTCTCTTTATCTTAGAAATGAGGAAATGGAGGTTCAAATAAGTTTAGTAATGTAGGGGGAAGAAGGTTTTGGCTTACCTCCTAACTCTTCTCTGCACGGCCTTTCTTGCTCATCAACCCTTCACAAGAATTGCTATTTTGATTGGTCAGTATGCATGACACTATGTGAGCGACATTTCTCGTAGGTGAGATAACTGTATAAAAAGGGCCCATGTGTATTCTAATACTCCTTGGCAATGGTAAACTAGTCAAGATCCCTTCAAAACCTTTTTAGGTTTATTTCTTCTGCCTTCCTCACATGCATCATCATCCCAAGTTCCCTTATAATGGCTTGCCATAGTCTATAAGATTCCCAGAGTTAGATTTGAGTTTCCAGAGAGGCAGAGGCTCTCTTTGGGCTACATTGTAAACTTTAACCCAGCTTTCTTTGTGACTACTTGTGTATTATCAGGCACTAGCCCAACAAAATATAATCTTGCCTCTTGTTTCTCACAGAAAAGGGATCTGTGTCAAAAGTTGCTTATAGTCAAAGCAACTTTCAAGTACTCCTACCTCCCTAGTGTTAATATTAACATATCCTAGCCCTAATACCTCCATCCTTACTGAGCTCTGGTTGCATTGGCCTTCTCTCTGGTTTTAACACACACTGAGCATTTTCTTGCCTCATGCCCATTGCATACCTCATTTTCTCCATCTGTCATGCTCTTTAGTACACCTCCATCTTTCCATTATGAGATTCATCTCATCCTTCGAATATCAAACTAAATGTCTGTGTACATAAAGTTATTTCCTTCACTACCTCTGCCCATTATTCCTTTTTTTCATTTATTATTTTTTTTTTACAGTTTAAGTTCTGGGATACATATGCAGAACATGCAGGTTTGTTACATAGGTACACATGTGCCATGGTGGTTTCCTGCACCCATCAACCAGTCATCTACATTAAGTATTTTTCCTAATGCTATCCTTCCACTTGCCCTCCACCCCCTAAAAGGCCCCGGTGTGTGATGTTCCCCTCCCTGTACCCATATGTTCTCATTGTTCAACTCCCAGTTATGAGTGAGAACACGTGGTGTTTGGTTTTCTGTTTCTGTGTTAGTTTGCTGAAAATGATGGTTTCCAGTTTCATCCATGTCCCCGCAAAGACATGAAATCATTCTTTTTTATGGCTGCGTAGTACTCCATGGTGTATATGTGCCACACTTTCTTTATCCAGTCTATCATTGATGGGCATTTGAGTTGGTTCCAAGTCTTTGCTATTGTGAATAGTGCTGCAAGAAACATATGTGTGCATATGTGTTTATAGTAGAATGATTTATAATCCTTTGGGTATATACCCAGTAATGGGATTTCTGGGTCAAATGCTATTTCTGGTTCTAGATTCTTGAGGAATCACCACACTGTCTTCCACAATGGTTGAACTAATTTACTCTCCCACCAACAGTGTAAAAGTGTTCCTATCTCCCCACATCCTCTCCAGCATCTGTTGTTTCCTGACTTTTTACTGATCACCATTCTAACTGGCATGAGATGGTATCTCATTGTGGTTTTGATTTCCATTTCTCTAATGACCAGTGATGATTAGCTTTTTTTCATATGTTTCTCAGCCACATAAATGTCTTCTTTTGAGAAGTGTCTGTTCATGTCCTTCACCCACTTTTTGATGGGGTTGTTTTCTTCTTGTAAATTTATTTAAGTTCCTTGTAGACTGTGGATATTAGCCCTTTGTCAGATGGATAGATTGCCAAAATTTTCTCCCATTCTGTAGGTTTCCTGTTCATGCTGATGATAGTTTCTTTTGCTGTGCAGAAGCTCTTTAGTTTAATTAGATCCCATTGGTCAATTTTGGCTTTTGTTGCAATTGTTTTTGGTGTTTTACTCATGAAGTCTTTTCCCATGCCTATGTCCTGAATGTTATTGCCTAGGTTTTCTTCTTGGGTTTTCATGGTTTTAGATATTACATTTAAGTCGTTAATCCATCTTGAGTTAATTTTTGTATAAGGTGCAAGGAAGGGGTCCAGTTTCAGTTTTCTGCATATGGCTAGCCTGTTTCCCAACAGCATTTATTATAAAGGGAATCCTTTCCCCATTGCTTGTTTTTGTCAGGTTTGTCAAAGATCAGATGGTTGTAGATGTGTGGTGTTATTTCTGCAGCCTCTGTTCTGTTCCATCGGTCTATGTAACTGTTTTGGTACCAGTACCATGCTGTTTTGGTTACGATAGCCTTGTAGTACAGTTTGAAGTCAGGTAGCATGATGCCTCCAGCTTTGTTTTTTTTGCTTAGGATTATCTCGGCTATATGGGCTCTTTTTGGTTCCATATGAAATTTACAGTTTTTTTCCAATTCTGTGAAGAAAGTCAATAGGCGCTTGATGGGGAGAGCATTGAATCTATAAATTCCTTGACGGGGATAGCATTGCATCTATAAATTACTTTAGGCAGTATGTCCATTTTCACAATATGGATTCTTCCTATCTATGAGCATGGAATGTTTTTCCATTTGTTTGTGTCCTCTCTTACTTCCTTGAGCAGAGTTTGTAGTTCTCCTTGAAGAGGTCCTTCACATCCCTTGTAAATTGTATCCTTAGGTATTTTATTCTCTTTGTATCAATTGTGAATGGGAGTTCATTCTTGCTTTGGCTCTGTTTGTCTATTATTGGTGTATAGGAATGCTTGTGATTTTTGCACATTGATTTTGTATCCTGAGACTTTGCTGAAGTTGCTTATCCACTTAAGGAGTTTGGGAGCTGAGACGATTGGATTTTCTAAATATACAATCATGTCATCTGCAAACAAAGACAATTTGACGTCCTCTCTTCCTATTTGAATACTCTTTATTTCTTTCTCTTGCCTGATTGCCCTGGCCAGAACTTCCAATACTAAGTTAAATAGGAGTGGTGAGAGAGGGCATCCTTGTCTTGTGCCGGTTTTCAAAGGGAATGCTTCCAGCTTTTGCCCATTCAGCATGATATTGGTTGTGGGTTTGTTACAAATAGCTCTTATTATTTTGTGATATATTCCATCAGTACCTAGTATATTGAGAATTTTTAGCAAGAAGGGGTGTTGAATTTTTTATGGGCTTTTCTGCATCTATTGAGATAATCATGTGGTTTTTGTCATCTGTTCTGTTTATGTGATGGATTACATTTATTGATTTGCATGGGTTCAACGAGCCTTACATCCCAGGGATGAAGCCGAGTTGATCATGGTGGATAAGCTTTTTAATGTGCTGCTGGATTCACTTTGCCAGTGTTTTAGTGAGGATTTTCGCATCAATGGTAATCATGGATATTGGCCTGAAATTTTCTTTTTTTGTTGTATGCCTGCCAGGTTTTGGTATCAGGATGATGCTGGCCTCATAAAATGAGTTAGAGAGGAGTCCCTCTTTTTCTTTTGTTTGGAATCGTTTCAGAAGGAGTGGTACCAGCTCCTCTTTTTACGTCTGGTAGAATTTGGCTGTGAATCCGTCTGGTACTGAGCTTTTTTTCGTTGGTAGGCTGTTAATTACTGCCTCAATATCAAAACTTGTTATTCGTCTATTCAGGGATTCGACTTCTTCCTGGTTTAGTCTTGGGAGGGTGTATGCATCCAGGAACGTATCCATTTCTTCTAGATTTTCTAGTTTATTTGCATATATGTGTTTATAGTATTCTCTGATGGTAGTTTGTATTTCTATGGATCAGTGGTGATATCCCCTTTATCATTTTTTATTGTGTCTATTTGATTCTTCTCTCTTTTCTTTGTTGTTAGTCTGACTAGCAGTCCATCTAATTTGTTAATCTTTTCAAAAAAACGGCTCCTGGATTCATTGATTTTTTTTAAGGGTTTTTCATGTCTCTATCTCTGTCAGTTCTGCTCTGATCCCAGTTATTTCTTGTCTTTTGCTAGCTTTTGAATTTGTTTGCTCTTGCTCCTCCAGTTCTTTTCATTGTGATGTTAGGGTGTCGATTTTAGATCTTTCCTGCTTTCTCTTGTGGGCATTTAATGCTATACATTTCCCTCTAAACACTGCTTTAAATGTGTCCCAGAGATCCTGGTACTTTGTGTCTTTGTTCTCATTTGTTTCAAAGAACATCTTTATTTCTGCCTTCATTTCGTTATTTACCCAGTAGTCATTCAGGAGCAGGTTGTTCCGTTTCCACGTAGTTGTGTGGTTTTGAGTGAGTTTCTTAATCCTGAGTTCTAATTTGATGGCACTATGGTCTCAGAGACTGTTTGTTATGATTTCCATTCTTTTGAATTTGCTGAGGAGTGTTTTACTTCCAATTATTTGATCACTTTTAGAATAAGTGCAATTTGGTGCTGAGAAGAATGTATATTCTGTTGATTTCAGGTAGAGAGTTCTCTAGATGTCTATTAGGTCTGCTTGGTCCAAAGCTGAGTTCAAGTCCTGAATATCCTTGTTAATTTTGTGTCTCATTGATCTATCTAATATTGACAGTGGGGTGTTAAAGTCTCCTACCATTATTGTGTGGAATTCTAAGAATAAAAATTTTTGTGTGGGGGCTGGGTGTGGTGGCTCACGCCTGTAATCCCAGCACTTTGGGAGGCCGAGGCAGGCAGATCACGAGGTCAGGAGATCGAGACCATCCTGGCTAACACGGTGAAACCCCGTCTCTACTAAAAATACAAAAAATTAGCCAGGTGTGGTGGTGGGCGCCTATAGTCCCAGCTGCTGGGGAGGCTGAGGCAGGAGAATGGTGTGAACCCAGGAGGTGGAGCTTGCAGTGAGCTGAGATCGTGCCACTGCACTCCAGCCTGGGCGACAGAGCCAGACTCCATCTCAAAAAAAAAAAAATTATTGTATGGGAGTCTAAGTCTCTTTGTAGGTCTCTAAGAACTTGCTTTAAGAATCTGGGTGCTCCTGTATTGGCTGCTGCATATATATTTAGGATAGTTAGCTCTTCTTATTGCATCGATCCATTTATCTTTATGTAATGCCCTTAATTGTCTTTTTTGGTCTTTGTTGGTTTAAAGTCTGTTTTATCAGAGATTAGGATTGCAACACCTGCTTGCTTTTTTTATTTATTTATTTATTTATTTTTTGCTTTCCATTTGCTTGGTAAATCTTCCTGCATCCCTTTATTTTGAGCCTATGTGTGTCTTTGCACATGAGATGGGTCTCCTGAATACAGCACACCAATGGGTCTTGACTCTTTTTCCAATTTGCCAGTCTGTCTTTTAATTGGGGGCAGTTAGCCCATTTACATTTAAGGTTAATATTGTTATGTGTAAATTTGATCCTTTCATTATGATGCTAGCTGGTTATTTTGCCCATTAGTTGATGCAGTTTCTTCATAGTGTTGATGGTCTTTATGTTTTGGTATACTTTTGCACTGGCTGGTAGTGGTTTTTCCTTTCCATATTTAGTGCTTCCTTCAGGAACTCTTGCAAGGCAGGTGGCAAAATCCCTCAGCATTTGCTTGTCTCTAAATGATTTTATTTCTCCTTCACTTATGAAGCTTAGTTTAGCTGGATATAAAATTCTGGGTTGAAAATTCTTTTCTTTAAGAATGTTGAATATTTCCCCCACTCTCTTCTGGCTTGTAGGGTTTCTGCAGAGAGAGCCACTGTTAGTCTGATGGGCTTCTCTTTGTGGGTAACCCGAACTTTCTCTCTGGCTGCCCTTAATATTTTTTCCTTCATTTCAACATTGGTGAATCTGAAGATTATGTGTCTTGGGGTTGCTCTTCTCGAGGAGTATCTTTGTGGTGTTCTCTGTATTTTCCAAATTTGAATGTTGGCCTGTCTTGCTAGGTTGGGTAAGTTCTCCTGGATAATATCCTGAAGAGTGTTTTCCAACTTGGTTCCATTCTCCCCATCACTTTCAGGTACACCAATCAAATGTAGGTTTGGTCTTTTCACAGAGTCCCATATTTCTTGGAGGCTTTGTTCATTCCTTTTCTTTTTTTCTCTAATGTTGTCTACATGCTTTATTTCATTAAGTTGATCTTCGATCTCTGATATACTTTTTTTCTGCTTGATCGATTCGACTATTGATACTTGTGTATGCTTCATGAAGTCCTTGTGCTGTGTTTTTCAGCCCCATCAGGTCATTTATGTTTTTCTCTAAACTGGTTATTCTAGCTAGCAGTTCCTGTAACCTTTTATCAAGGTTCTTAGCTTCCTTGAACTGGGTTAGAACATGCTCCTTTAGCTTGCAGGAGTTGATTATTACCCACTTTCTGAAGCCTACTTCTGTCAATTCATCAAACTCCTTCTCCATCCAGTTTTGTTCCCTTGCTGGCGAGAAGTTGTGATCCTTTGGAGGAGAGGAGGCATTCTGGTTTTTTGGAATTTTCAGCCTTTTTGCACTGGTCTTTCCTCATCTTCATGGATTTATCTAACTTTGGTCTTTGATGTTGGTGACCTTAGGATGGATTTTTTGTGTGGAAGTCCTTTTTGTTGATGTTGATGCTATTGCTTTCTGTTTGTTAGTTTTCCTTTTAATAGTCAGGCCCCTCTTCTGCAGATCTGCTGGAGTTTGCTGGAGGTCGACTCCAGACCCTGTTTGCTTGGGTATTACCAGCAGAGGCTGCAGAACAACAAAGATTGCTGCCTGCTTCTTCCTCTGGAAGCTTCATCCCAGAGTGGCACCCGCCAGATGCCAGCCAGAGCTCTCCTGTATGAGGTGTCTGTCGATCCCTGCTGGGAAGTGTTTCCCAGTCAGGAGGTACAGGGATCAGGGGCCAACTTGAGGAGGCAGTCTGTCCCTTAACAGAGCTCGAGTGCTATACTGGGAGATCCACTGCTGTCTTCAGAGCTGGCAGTCAGGAACATTTAAGTCTGCTGAAGCTGCTCCCACAGCTGCCCCTTCCCCCAGGTGCTCTGTCCCAGGGAGATGGGAGTTTTATCTATAAGCCCCTGACCAGGGCTGCTGCCTTTCTTTCAGAGATGCCCTGCCTAGAGAGGAGGAATCTAGAGAGGCAGTCTGGCTACAGTGGCTTTGTGGCACTACAGTGGGCTCCGCCCAATTCAAACTTTCTGGAAGCTTTATTTACACTGTGAGGGGGAAACCGCCTACTCAAGCCTCGGTAATGGCGGACGTCCCTCGAGCCACCAAGCTCAAGCATCCCAGGTCGACTTCAGACTGCTATGCTGGTGGCAAGAATGTGAAGCCAGTGGATCTCACCTTGTTGGGCTCCATGGGGGTTGGGATCCACTGAGCAGGACCACTCGGCTCCCTGGCTTCAGCCCCCTTTCCAGGGGCTTGAACGGTTCTGTCTCACTGGTGTTCCAGACCCCACTGGGGGGGGGGGGAAACTCCTGTAGCTAGCTACAACCTGATGTCTACCCAAATGGCTGCCCAGTTTTGTGCTTGAAACCCAGGGCCCTAGTGGTATAGGCACCCAAGGGAATCTCCTGGTCTTCAGGTTGTGAAGACCATGGGAAAAGCATAGTTTCTAGGCTGTATAGCACCATCCCTCATGGCACAGTCCCTCACGGCTTCCCTTGGCTAGGGGAGGGAGTTCCCCTACCCCTTGCGATTCCCAGGTGAGGCGATGCCCCACCCTGCTTCTGCTGACCCTCTGTGGGCTGCCCCAACTGTCTAAGCGGTCCCAATGAGATGAATCGGGTACCTCAGTGGGAAATGCAGAAATCACCTACCTTCTGTGTTGGTCTAGCTGGGAGCTGCAGACAAGAGCTGTTCCTATTCAGCCATCTTGCCATTCCCCTCCCCATTATTCTTTTCCAGCCCCTTGTTTGTTGCCTTTACAACACTTCTAATTTTAAATTTTTTTATTGTCCTTGTTACATATATGCTACTTTCTATTTCATCTACTAGAATGTATGCTCCCAGAAAATTGGAATTTATCTGTCTTGTTTGCCATGGTATCCCAAGCACCTAGTATAGCACATGGTGCATAGTGAATAGTCAACAAATATAAAAATTATTGATCAAATTAATTGAGTGAATGAACACATAACTTGCTACAGTCACATACATAAAAAATGGCAGAGATAGGACTGAAACTCAGGTTTTTCTGACTCCAGAGCTTTCAGAAAGTTTACATGCAGAGGAACTAATATATGTTGAATACCTATCATTTGCCAAGCCTTCTGAAAGACCCCAATGCAAACAGATGACAAGGGACCCTGCTATCGAAGAGCTTAATCTATTGCAAAAGACAGACAAGTAAATTATTCATCCATCAATCCAATAAATATTTATTCAGTGCCTACTCACTGCCAAACACAAGAGACTTGAAAAAAAGAAAGAATACTGGCCCACAGAGATTTCATTTTCTATCATGGTGGTTCTCTCTCAGCAATGCACATCAAATTTACCTATGGAATTTTTTGAAATGTTTATGGCTAGGCTGTATCTTTCCTTCCCCCAAAGGTTATGATTCTATGAGTTCAGGCTGGGCATCTGCGTTTGTTTAAAAGCTGCACAGCTAATTTGAATTCACAGGCAGGCTTGCAAATCACTGGTCTAGTGGAACGCAATGTGATAACATACTATTTTAGAAGGATAAACGAAATGTTATGGAAACCAAGAGGACAAAAAGTGAACATAAAGGAAGTGACACTTGAGCTACTTTATTGAAAAAGAGATTGGTATTAGATGGGAAGGGGGAGAAACATAACATGGAGACAGAAGAAACTTCATTTCAACTAATTACTTCAAAGAGAAAATAAGAGTAAAAATATTTATTAGTTTACTTAAAATTCTAAACGTTAGACCCCATAGACCTTAGAAATCACCTAAAGCAGTAGTTCTCAAACGTTAATGTGCATAAGAATCACATGGAGATCTTTTTAAAATGCAGATTCTGGCTCAGCAAATCTGGGATGGAGCCTGAAATTCTGCATTTCTAACATGCTCCCAGAAGATGCAGATGCTGCTCATCTAATTGCACACTTGGAGTAGCAAGATTTTAGGGATGCAGGAAGGAACATTGTCCTGCCAAGGTAATTATTTAAACAGAGGCATACCAACAGACTATTACAACCCCAAGGCAGATCAAAGATCACATTAATCTGTCGAGAGACCAAGACCCAATCTCTTCCTCTGGGAATGGCAGAGTAAAACCAATACCCATGGTAGTTTATAGCTTGTCAGATAATTCAGCAGTGATCACTATTTCTCTAGTTGTTTGCCCTTGAACAAAAGCTAATCTTACACCTCAAGAGTTTAAGCCCTCACAAACTCACAGCAATATTTTTCTCCTTCAACTTGTTATTAAAAGGGGTGGGCATGACAGATAAAGAACTACACCTCTGACACTTGATGACAGCAACCTTTCATATGCTTCAAAATTATTCCAACTTGAAGGAGTCCAACCCTAAGCAGCAGAATTTCAGAAATACTCATTTCCTAATCATTAATCCTGACTGGAAAACAATCTTACCCAGCTATGATATTAAAAAGATATCAAACTGATACAAAGGAGCAACTTTCAGGGCAACTAAAAATACGCACAGTTAAGGAGTTAAAGCACAAGCGAAGCCATACAATTCTACTTACATCTTCCAAAAAACCACTTAGTGCTGTTTTCCTCAATGAAGTGCACATTTGCCAAACAGTAAGTTATTCTACACATTTAAATGTAAATAACCGTATCAAATCCATCAAAGCAGACATCCAGGTTTAACCTGGATTGTTGCATTTAATCCTCCCAGCAATCCTAACATGAATATATATTATTAAATGTATTTTAGAGGTTAGGAGACTGAAGCTCAGAAATGTTAAGTAACTTACAAATTTATATATCTAGGAAAAAAGCAAAGCTGGGATTGGAATATAGACGGTTTGACTCCAAAGCCTTGTATTCTTTTCATTATAATGAACTGCTTTCTATAAGAATGCATGATATTATCTATTACTAGTCTCTAACTATCAATTTACTGAACATAGGACATTTCTGTGAAAGAACCCAATCACTTCTCCCTTAAATTGGCTAAGGGTTTTGTTGTTTATTTCACCTAATTGATTTTGAATGAAAACTTGAGAAATCAGCCTAGGACAATGGTTCTCAAAGTGTAGTCCATGAAATAGCAGTATCAACATTACCTGGAAATATTTTGGAAATGAAAATTCTCAGGACGTACTCCAGACCTACCTCACTGAACCACTGAGGGTGGACCCAGAAATTTGTGTTTTAATAAAACCCCTAGTGATTCTGATGTATACTCAAGTTTGAGAACTCCTGCTTTCTAGACTATCTCCAATTTAATGCCAAGATGTAAACCAGTCATCTTACCAGAGAGTGATAGCTTAGAAGGGGTTTATTCAATTGTTTCTCTTGATTAAAATCCAACAATGGAACAAAATTAGATATATTTTCTCAAAATAAGATCAGCCTTCATTTGAGAGAATCTCCATTCAGAGTAGTGGCTATTTGTCTCACAAACTCTCACAAAAATATCTGACCCTACTACCTTCCCCATGGAAAAAATATCCCTAAAGGGTCATGTATCAACTTTCTTTACATTTAAATGTGTAGAATAACTTACTGTTTCAAGTAATTTACTTAACTAAATAAATACTTAATTTTCTTCATCGTGCCCTATCCCACCTATTACATCAGAGAACAAAAGTTTCTCTGTGGCTTTTGGCATCAAATTGCAACTACATGGATTGGTTTTCCAGACATAACACCCCTATTTTCTAACTTTTGATTCCTGTCCCTAACCCAGACTCTGCATTAAAACCATAATCAGATTGGTTTCATGACCAACCAGCAGAGTTATTGTCATTTTCATGTCTTCGCCCCTGCTTATTTTGCTTTTGGCAATTCCCTTTCTTCTCTCTCTTCCTGTTGAAGCTCTGTCCTTCAAAGTTCATCTCAAACCCTATTGCCCCCTACTTTCAGGCAAATAGCTTTGTGTAGAAAAAAAAAAAACATTATCTGGCTTTGGAGTCAGAGAAACTTTAGCCCTAGCTCTAAATCAAATATTTAGCATCTTTGTGACCAATAGAAAGCTTGCTCTTTGATGAGCCTCCGTCTTCTCTTCCGTAAAATGAGAAGAATGAGAACATGCATCACAAAGTTGCTGTGTGGTTTCAATAAGGAAACGTATCTGGCCTTTTTTTTTTTTTTTTTTTTTTTTTGACACAGGGTCTCATTCTGTCACTCAGGCTGGTGTGCTGTGGCACCATCACTGCTCACTGCAGCCTTTACCTCCTGGGCTCAATCCGTCCACCCGCCTCAGCCTCCTGAGTAGCTAGAACTCCACCATGGTAGAGACAGGGTCTCACCATGTTGCCTAGGCTGGTTTTGAACTCCTGGGCTCAAGCAATCCATCCACCTCGACCTCCAAAACTGCCGGCATTACAGGTATGAGCCACTGCACCTGGCCTGTATCTGGCTTATTAATAGACTTTTTAAAAAGTCTTAGCCTATATTGCTTCCTTACTTCGCTAAACCCCTAGAGCAGTTGTAGGCTATATTACACAATTTGCCACCTAATAGCATAGGGCTGTCTTATATCATGTAAAACAGAAGTCAAAAAACCTGAAGCATATAAAAACTACACTAAAGGGGGATGTCATTATTGGATTTGAATATGGAATCCAGAAGCCTGGAAATATAACACAAAAACTTATGAACCAGGATCCCCAATTACTGGAATTTTTGAACTTTAGCACAACAAAGGTACTTTGAGAGGCAGGTATGTTAGCCTCAGGTAACATAATTTGTGAATAATAAATTACTCTCGTGTGCAGACAATTTTATTTTTAATAGAAATTAAAGAGGATTCAAGATTATCTCTATAATCACAAGAATTTCATTCACTTTCATTAAACTGTGAATTTTTGAATAGGAAAGAAAGGGTGGGGTTTCATCTTGCTTCTAACCCTGGTTACACATGTGATTGTCAGCTTCAATATTTGAGAACCATTGGCATAGAGGGCACGTCTAAAAGGATGAGTGCTTAACATAAGAGGTCAGCTTAGGATAGCATAGCTCCCCCTGCTACTTGGACACTATCCCTCCTCTCACTGACTTAGGTGGCACAGAGGTAAGAATCAGAAGATATGGACATTAGCAAGCTCCTGAGCTGGTTCTCCTTGAAGTATCCCTAAAAGAGGACTTAGGTTGTGCTCAAGGATAAAGGCTATATATTCTGTGATGGAAAGAGAACATAAGATAGCTAGGATGGTGTCAACTTTCCTTAGGGTTGATACTCTGAGCATGCTATTAGAAAGAGCAGCCTTCTTTTTCTGACCAAGCTCTATTTAAGTGGAGTCTAACTAGCTCCCCAAATGAGAGGTAAGTCAGGCCTCTGAGGTACTGACGCAGACTTCAGCAGCCACGGTGGGAAAGGTGGAATGGTACAAATGTCTAGGTATCTATAAAACAGGGGCTACGAGCTGAGAATAGCAAAGCATACCTTCCAAAGGGTGACAGAGAGGATACAAAGTATTTCTAACTAGTTGTGTGGTCTTGCTTCAATAATGTGATCTGAACTTCCCCACTTCTATCAATGAGATTCTACCTCCTCTTTTGGGTCCTGACACATGTCAATTGCAAAAATTATGTTTCTTTGTGTTTCATGAAAGGAAGTATTAGAAAGAATTAATAATAAGGCATAAGAACAACACAGCTACCAGTTGGAAACATTGGTTTTATTCTAGATTCCCGCCCCCCCCCCGCCCCACCTCCTTTATCCATCCAATACTATCAAATCTCTCTATCTCAATATCTCCTGGACTTTTCCCCTCTTCAATACTCTTTGGCCATTTACATTGCCCTAGTTTGAGCCCTCTGATCTTTGCCTAAACTTGTGCAACTGTCGCTCAAATGTTTATCTTCTTACCTCCAGTCCCATGAGCACAGACAAAAACAAAATCATCCTGGAATATTTTTAAACCATAAAACATCTATTACATGGTGTCTTGATTTCCATTTTCAAGTTTTCTTAACAAAAACCTTCAAGTAAACTCAGGAATGGAAAGGCCATTTGTAAACCTGCAAAGTGCTGCACAAATATATATTGTTCTTTTTAAGGATTGCAGGTTAAACAACATTGAGTGGGTAATGTTACAGCTACCATTGAATCTGTAAATAAGCTGCTTTCAATAACTCTTATTTCAGATTGGCCCATTAGATATGTACAGGAACTCACAAGTACACTTTGCCAAAAACAAAAACAAAACCAAAGTATTATTAGTTGCCAAGCTCAGAGCCTGACTTAAATTTTAACCTTTCAAGATTAGCAAATTCACAAAGTATGACCCAGGGATGCACCACTTAGATACTGTCATGATGCCTCCCCTACATCAATGCTGCATCTGCATTTGCATATGTTTATAGCTGCAAATAACCACATATAAATCCCAGCAAATATGCAACATTATAAAAGAAAAGAACATAATTGTGTAAAAAAGGTGGGAGGTGAAAGACCAGATTTTCAGGAAGGAAGAGGTTGGGGGAGTTAATAAGGAAGACAATATCTACTTATTTCTCTATCACAGACTGGTCTATGTCTTCCTAATGATTCCCAGTTTCAACTACATAGTTACATTTCAACATTCTGTTGAGGTTTATTATTAAATATTCAAATAATATTAAATATTAATACTAGTAGTATTTTTGTCCTAGTTTAAAAAAACTTTTTGCATACATCATCTCACTTTGCATTCACAGTTAATAGAACTAGTTTACCTTAATACTGGTGAGGGCAAAAAGAGGCAACTTAGTGTAATAGAAAAAGCACAGTACTCAGAGGGGCAGTCAAGTTCTTGTTCTGCTAATCATTGTGTAACCTTGAATGTGGAAGCAAACTCTAGACACCTGAGTTGCCTCACCTGTAAAATGGGAGAGTTGATCAGATAATATTTAAATTACTTTCAGTGCTTAAATTCTGATTTCATGGATCAAAAAATAATAGGTTTCAAAATCTAAACCCACACACCCACACCTGAAGTAAGTATATTTATTGTTATATCTCTCATCTCCTCAAAATAAAACTTAAGCCCTCATCCAAATAATTGAAGCATTTTGGATAGGAGAGCTTGGTTAGTCATATGAGAACAGCAATGTTACCCTACTGCATTTTCTAATCATACTCTAATATCTAGTTATTTTAGCTTTATATTTAGAAAAAAATATGGAGTCAATTAATAAGCTACCCATTACACTCTTGAAAAGCTCATATTCCAGTATTGCAATATGTTCATATTCACATGTTAATATTACAAAAGTTCATATTCACATGTCCAATTACAAAGTTCACTCTTAGGTTGAATTGAAGCCTGCTGCTTTACAACCTCTTTCTTCTGACTCTGTCATAGAACAATACAGAGTGAGTCCTTTCCCATGAGATTGCCCTTTGAATAATAGAGGACAGCTACATCTCCCAATTAGTCTTTTCTCCAGACTGAACATCCATAATTCCTTCAACCATTCTACATGTTGCATGGTTTTCAGAACACTCAGGTAACCCTCCTCAGGAAACACTTTGATTTGGTTATTGCTCTTTTTAAATGGGGTTACTAAGAACTGAATACAAATTCTACTAGACATGTAGCAATATTTGATTAGTGTCTTTTGAGTCTTGGACTTTTTAAAAAATCTGATGAAAGCAATGGACATTCTTCAGAGAAAGGTATATTCAGATTTTGTATATGACCAGTGGTTACACAAAAATCCCCTGAGGTGCTTCTATGGACTCCATACTAAGAACTGCTAATCTAGAAATATCTAGAACATAGTTGGGCTACTATTTCTGATTATTTTTGCCATATTCGAGTTAAATACATAGTGCCATTTTGTTTCTTTTAAAGGAAATAGAGGGATAAAAATAATTTGTGGTGGAAGTACTAGTAAATTAATATACATGTTCTTAGGTGTTTATAATGAGAGATTTGTGGGAATTCAATTGTGAAATAACCTATCTTACCTATCTATATAACTAAATTTAGTTCAGAGACATGTTAGTAAACATTGTGACTCCTCCCCAAGCACCAGTTCACACGAATGCACTTATCAGTGCTAGATAACACAACAGATTATACATGTTAAACAGCAGGATAATGATTTATCCTTAGCATGAGGAGTTGTCAAGCAGTCATGCAACCTGGCACACCTCCAGCTGTCAAAAGAGGTGTTTTCTAGTATTCTAGTTTCCACTGAATAGAGTACACCAATCCTCTGTTGAACACTAAAGTTAAATTAGACATAAACACAAGCCAAATAGCAATCTGTTTAATGTTATTTATTTCCTCAGGTACAATAACATTTTTGCTATGGCTATTCATCAATCACAGAGAAAATGTGGCTGCAGATGCTTTATTATTGATACTCTCCTACTGCTCTACTAGAACCTTTGTCAAAAAAATTAGATCAAAAATTGGAAGGAAAATTGTCAATTCCATATGAATAGTTAATTTTGGAAACCTGCCCTGCATCTCACTGTGAGATTATTGTTGAAAGCAAAGGAAAAGACCAAATAGTTGCACCACAGGAGTAATCACATGTGCCTGACCTCAAGCCTTGTTAACCTATGTTCAGTGACTTCTAAGTGTGTTAGATTGAATTACTGATCCTACTTATTACTCCTGCCAATCCCCACTCCTTTGCCATGTGACTTTACAGTTCCTCCCACTAATGGCAGAGTGTACCTCCCACCCATTTACCTTGGGCTTCACCATGTGACTTGCTTTGTCCAATGGAATGTAGGTAGAGGAGACAATGTGCCGGTTTCAAGCCTGAGCCTTAAGAGGGACCTCATGTTTTCTTGTTTTCTTTCATCTCTACTGTCACCATGAGAAAAACATGTCCTCATTAGCTTACTGGTCCTAGACACATAGAGAAGACTCAGACCCAGCCTGCAGCTAAGAGCTGTCCAGCTGAGCCCAGCCTAGATCACCTGACACCCATCCAACTCACAGACATGTGAGAAAAATTACTGTTGTATGCCACTAATATTTGTTGCTGTTTGGCATACAGCAATAGCTGACTCTATACTGACTTTTAAAGGATACAGCATACTAAAATCTTTGATTTTACAACATTTCCTTTTATCCTGTGGGATAAACATACACACATACACACACACACACACACATTTTTTTTTCAACAAAAATTTTGAGTGCCTACTTTATGCCTGGCACACTGTATTAGACACAGAGTATGTCATGGTGAATGATCAATTTATGGTTGCTTTTTGTCTATTGGTTTGAGCTTTATAACACCTCCTACTCCTTCTGACATAACTGAAAATATGGCAGGGTGTCATAAAATCAGGGCTGTAAGCATTTGACTTCATTTAGTTATAAGCAACTGATGGAATACATTACCTCTAAGAGAAATTCTTATTTTTATACATAGATATGTAATTATTTATAGCAATGCTTCATTTCTCTGACTTCATCGGGAAAAGGAAATGCTTCACATTGGTAACCTTGGTACACTTTACAGATAATGGAAGTGTGCATCTCAAGCTCAGAAATCTGAACCACATTGGAGGGAAATCATATTACCCACTTTCTTGTCACCCCAAAGGACATGGAACATAATTTACCTTTTTCTCAGCAACTCACGGCCATCATTATGAACCACGGTTATTATGCTGTGCTGTAATACAGCACTCTCTTTCCATGTTTCTCCTTCTCCTTACTGCCAGGCTGTCAACTTTCTATTCTATTGCTGTCCCCCAACCTGACTCTAATAGTCCTCTTTTCCTACCTAGTTTGATGTATCTCAACCAGTTAAGCGATCTTAAGAAGTATGTATCAAAAAGAAGCAAAAAGACTCAGAGTGTAGCATTATGCCCTTCTTGTGTGGAGTGCATAGTTTTTATGCATGGGCTTCATAATAACAAGCCCTGGCCTTTAAAATTATTTCTTACTAACCTTGGGATTCAATGGTAAGTATTTGGAGAACTGAGGTTACTGGATTAAACTCTGACTTCAAATGGGGCTTTATATACCTTTCATTTTATTGTGCTTAGAAATATTTAAAGTGGTTTTTTTGGGTAAGTAATCTTACTTAATAATCACAAAACTGTTCAAATAGCCAGACCGAAAGGATCTGAGACCTAAATGGAGTCCCATTTCAATGTACAAGCAGAGATTTTTCTGTTCTTCCCAAACACTAAGATTACAGAAAGTCAACAGTTGGAGACCCTAAAACATCATACATCATGCAGCTATAAGCAGTTTCTCTAAAAAGTAAACACCTGAAATGAGATACGGTTATAGGTATTCAGCCATACCATCTCATAAGTGATATATAATGGGCAAAATAACATTCTGGAGTAGAAAGAGAGGCTTGATAAAAATTCTGCCTGTGTCAGGTTTGGAATTTTTAGATCAGTTGTATAGAATTTTATCTAACTAAGCAAATCAGACCAAGCTGTCCTACACTTTGCTTTACTATTAAAAAGTAATATTTGTCTTAATTCCTACTTTTCAGAATCGAATTATTATTTTTATTTGGAAAGATAAATTAACATGAAATATTTATATTTCTATTTTCTTGGCATCACCAACAGTTATAGTGCTGAGGATTACTTCATTTCTGACTGCACACCAGACACTGTTATATCTGATGTTCTCATTAGTTTTTCCTGTCACATTGAACACAGTGCCTGGGACATAACAGGCACTCAACAAATGTTTGACGAATCAGTGAATTTGCAAACTCATCAGATTTGTAAATTATTTGCCTTGTTTCTTCTAGTTACAGTTATTTTAGAATCAAAAAAACAGAACTAGATTTAATAAACTTCTAGTCTATCATTTACCAAGCTATTTGTATTAACTATGACTTCCATTATTAATTGCTTTCTGTGTTGGACATGTCCAACAATGGCATGGAGAAATGAAAGCAGACACAGGGAGAGAAAGCAAGTAGAGAAAGTAGAAGTTACCTGAGGTAAAACTAATTGTTTCAAACCCACTACTTTTGGCTCCAGTTCACATAACTGTTTCTGTGCACTCTGTGACTGTACATTGCATGTCAGCACCACTGACAGAATACAATAAAAAATAAATTCCTTGTTCAATTCAACACTTGGACACAGGATGGGGAACATCACACACTGGGGCCTGTCATGGGGTGGGGGAGGGGGGAGGGATAGCATTGGGAGATATACCTAATGTAAATGACGAGTTGACGGCTGCAGCACACCAACATGGCACATGTATACATATGTAACAAACCTGCACATTGTGCACATGTACCCTAGAACTTAAAGTATAATAAAAATAATAATTAAATAAAATAAAAAAATAAATTCCTCTTGCTTCCCACCAGGTACACAGTCTATGCACATACCCAGTAAATGGTTCAAATGCCCTCACAAAAGCCTGTTCCAACTGTGGGTTCCATTTGCCCTATATGGGGTTGTGTAGAAATCATTCCCGAGAGAAGGTCTCAGCTATGGGTGGTGGAGTATTCATCTGTTTTCATCATTTTCTCTCACCGTGTTTACAAATTTATGACATAAAAACATGAAGTAGTTTGGATTATTTGTTGATATTTACCTCTTTAATCTACATAGCTCTCTGACATTTGCATATACTGTACATATTTAAATTCAGCAACCCTATAGTCAGAGTCCTCTAACAGCTGTCTAAACATAATTCACCATAAATTCTGTATTTCCTAAAAACTCAAGAACATCTATTTTCTATTTGTCGTAGTTATTGTAATTTTAAAAAATCACATTGTGAAGCCCTTTAAAATGCTTTTCTTTTATTTATTGTTACAATAAGAGGTATAGCAGGGTAAAAAGTAAAACGTTCTCCAAATTTTCCCACTCTTCTTCCAAATTCACCTCCATTAAAAAAGGTATCACTATCAAACTAAACAGCTTCTTCAAGCAAAGGAGCCAATCAATGGAGTAAAGAGACAACCTATAAAATGGGAGAAAATATTTCCAAACTATGTCTGATAAGGGGTTAATACACCAAATATATAAGGAACTCAACTCAGTAGCAAGAAAACAAATAACCCAAGTAAAAAATGGGCATAGGACCTCAACAGACACTTCTCAAAATAAGAAATACAAATGGCCAATAGGTAAATGAAAAAGTACTCAATATCACTAATCATCAGGGAAATGCAAATCAAAACCACAGTGAGATATCACCTCACCCCAGTTAAAAGGGCACTTATTAAAAAGATGAAAAACAAGTGTTGAAAAGATTGCAAAGAAAAAGAAATCCTTGTACACTGTTGGTGGGAATGTTAAGTTGCTTCTTATATTCATCTAGACATGAGTGTCTAAATGATTTTTTTTTCATTAGCCATCTGTCCCTAAGGTTAGGTCTTATACTACTTACTTCTCTTAAGAGTCTGGAAGTTATGGTCACTGGGTCAGTAACTTTATTAGTGATCTCTTTCTGGCAGAGTTCACCACCTTGGTCGGATTGAGTAGTCATAACTCACCTTTCTTGAAACTCTCTCTAGAAATTCCAATGTCAAAGTTTGCCTGGTCTTTGCTATCAATGTAAGTTATCTTATTCTTATGGTTTAAAGAAGAATGGAAGATATTCTGGACAAAAGGCCTTGAAGAATTGTTATATTTGGAAACATAGACCCCAATCTCTAAAGTATTTCACTGTTTCACCTTTAAAACTGTTTCTTTTCTCCCCTAGCTGCTGGTTACAGAACAAAATGGCCACCTTACAATATATGTAAACTGCAACTCAAAATCTAGCCACTCCTTCTCCAAAATCAATGCCTTTTTCAGTATTTTAAAGATGCTTAATGACTGTTTCCTTTCCTCACTTAATAAAGAAACTGAGCCTATAATCTACATGAGAGAAGAGAGAGAAACACTAGCCCAGCCAAGCAATATGCTCACCTGATCCCTCGGGAGTATACAAAGGAGCAGCTTTTATCCAACAAGAAGAAAGGAACACCTTTACAGATGCAGGGGATTTTTATGAGAAAGGAAGTACAGTAACATACTCAGCTAATTGACATCCCTCCTCTTTTTAGTATTTGGCAAGTTAATTACACCATTAAGGCCCAATGCTATATTTGGATTAAAATGCCTGACTCACTCTGTGAACTTGAACAAGTCATTTCTCTCTGGGCTCTGGTTTCCAGATCTATAAAGTGAAGTAGTTGTACTAAAAATCTCTAAAGACCCTGCCAGCTCTGACATTATAACAGTTCAACAACTGGGAAGATAGATCCAAAATACAGTTTGAATGATGGCCAACATCTGGACAAGGATCCCAACCTCATACTGCTAGCCTGGCATGCCCAAAATACTAATTACTATACAAAAAAGTAAGAAGCAAAATAATTTGCCCCACCAATCTATCCAGTCTTTTCTTCTCCCATAAGTCAAAATAGTCTACTCTCTGTCCTTTCAATTCTTTCACTCATTCCCACTACCACTTCCACACCTTTCTCCATACTATTACCCTATCTGGGTAGTTCTCCTTCCTCTACCTACTCAAATTCTACCCTTCCTTCAAAGCACAGCCCAATATTTGCTAAATTGAGTTTTTACTAATTGCTCCCAACCAGTGATATTTTCCTTCCTTGAACTCCAGTAGCTGATAATTCCTTTGTTTAATTGTCTGTTCAAAAGAGTATCTACATTTTGGCTGTGTCTTTTAAAAAGCTCTTTCTGGTTGTAATCCAAAGTGTCTCTGAAGTAAAACAAGGATTCTCATTAGCGATCAAGTGCCTTCATATTTAATGAGAAAAAGGAACAAGAAGATTTGTCTTATTCTACTCCTTAAAAACGTTAAAAGTAAATTTTACTAAAAAAATCACAGCTCTGGCTACAGAAACTTCAATGCAAGGCTTAGAAGTGCTCTAAAGTAAAGGGACTCTGATTTTTCTGGCACTTTTTCATTATTATTATTATTATTATTAATAGTAATGTTAGTATCAGTATCATTAAAGACTACTGTTGTTATAAACAAAGACAAGCTAGATTTTACACTGCAGAAGTGAAAGTTTTAGCAAAAGGTTTTAGAGAAGAGCATAGAGACCATTTTACCTGAGAGAGAAATCTAGAGATAGAAGGTAATGCTTTTTCTGATCAAGTGAGGAAGAAATGGAGAAAGCACTTTTGCTTTGGTAAAATAAATAATAAACTAAAACAAAGAGTTCAGTGTAATCCACTGCAAGGGTTTAAATCTTTTCCAAACAGTGACTTAGAATAGCACATTGATTTTTTAACTCTGTTAACTACTCTTAAAGGTACAATCAAGTAGCTCAGATCAAACATTCAGCCAATATTTATTGAGCAATATCATGTGCAGGGCATTGTGCTAGATGTTATACAGGAAACAAGAGTAAAAACATGCCCAGGAATGAGTTTACACTTTAATATAGGGAACTTTTGTTTGGTGGAAGAACGGAAGGAAAGAAGGGAGGGAGGTAACAAAAGAGGGAAGGAGGGACTACCATTTGTAGGACAAAAACTTAAGAATCCTTGACTTTCCTCTCATCTATCATGTTTTATTTTATTTTATTTTATTTTATTTATTTTATTTTTTGCATCTGTCCACTCCTTTTTCTAACATTTTCCCTGGCTACATTTTTCTGCCCCTCTAAGCTGTCCTATACACAACTGTCAAAGTGATCTTTCTACTTACACACCCTATGATTCAGCCACCAAAATTATTTGTGCCAGAATCACATGTCTCTGAACTTTCTCAGGCTGTTTTTGATTTTAGGCCAAGTCTTAAAGACTAATACGGGAGAACATATTACTCTTTAAGATGTGGCCAAAAATCACCTTTTAAGTGACATTTTTCCTGACACTTATGAGCAAAAATAGTCCTCCCTCTGTGATCTCATAGCACCTAGTAGATAACTGGATTAGCACTTAGCAAACTGTATAGGAATTATTTGTTTATATTCTGTCTCCCTCTTCAGACAGTTCTGTAAGTCAGGATTCGGTTGCAGGAAACAAAAACCACTCTGTGTGTAGGGTCATTGGAAATGATGGAGGAGTAGGCTGTAGGCTGGGCCTTTGTGAATGACTCCCAGAACAGCATACCCAGCTGGCCCCCTCAGAGAACCTTTGCCACAATCAGGAAATCAGAGAGTCATGAGGCCACTGTAGGAAATATTGAGCGATAGAACACACTACTATACATATAATCCAGGAAGCATGCATAGCCACCATCATACTGCCTCTAAATCCCCACAAAGCTACTGACTAAACCCCAGAAAGCTGCTTCAGAAATGCCCACCATCTCCACAGCTGTGCTTGAGGGCAGCAACAGCTAGGCCAGTGGTATGGCCACTGCCTCATTTCTGCCTCAAAACCCCATGTCAGAGCATCTATTTGGGGGATATACCAGAAGCCTAGCTATAAGAGACTCTGGATTTTTAGCTTTCAAAACTTGGCAATATAGAAATGCACACCAGAAGGAGGTAGTAGTAGATGCTGAGTGCCAATCTACCACCATACATACCACATATCTTTAGCACCTGGAAATAGTTCCTGGTCCATAAAATGTATTTGATAAACACTTGCTGAATTCATGAATTCTGAATATAAGAGTACCATGAAGGTGTTGGTAATTTTTTACACTGTCAGTTTCCTGCTTCCTCTCTTTCTGATTGTGAAAATTATCCATTTTAGAAGAATGTTCACCTAATCATTATTTATGAAGAGAAAATCTGTAATAGCCTACATATAAAACAAATGGAGATTCATTAAATGAATTATAATAGAATAATATATACAGTCATTAAATAATGATGTAGATCTCTCTGTTGACGTGGGAAGACACGTGATATATATGGAAAAGCAGGTTACAATTAAATGCCTATATCACACCACAAGAATCAATTCCAAGTGAATTGAGGAGATGAATGAGAAACAAAACTTTAAAATTTTGAAAATAGAAGATAGCCTCAGGATAGGGAACAATATCCAAAACAAGACAATAAAGGAGTACAAACTGTAATGGAAACTGCTAAATCTGACTCCATTAAAATGTGAAATTTCTATTCAACAAAATAACTACATAAGCCACACATATCAACAAAGGATTAATATTGAGATTATATAAAGAAATAATCATAATAAAAACACAAGCATCTCAACAGAAAAAGTAGGCAAAGGATATTAATAGAGAATTCACAGATTTCTAAAAATGGCTGATAAACATTTGAAAAGTTCCTCAACCTCAATAATAATCATGGAAATGCAAATTAAAATTACAGAGGGATACCAATATTAGTCAACTGACTGGCAAAAATCTTTAAATCTCATGTTGCCAAGTATTTGCAAAAATATGAAGCCACAGGAAATCATATACACAAGTGAAAGAGTATCATTTTGCACAAACACATTGTAGAGTAATTTGACTGTATTCTAAAGTTGAAGATTTGCACCTTGTACCCAGAAATGTCATGCCCAGATAATACTCCAGATACAGGTCATCACGCTTTTTCTGTAAAGGGCCAAATGGTAACTATTTTTGGTTTTGCAGTCCATACAATCTCTGTCATTGTGGCATAAAAGCAGACATAGACCACAAATAATAGGATATAGCAGTGTTCCAATAAAACCTTATTTACAAAATCAGGTAACTAGACAGATTGAGCCCATGGTATATAGTTTCTTGATCCTTGTCCTGGAGAAACTATCACATATATACATAAGAAAGGAGACAAGCAAAATAATATTCATTGCAGCAATATTTATGATGGTGAAAAACTGGAAATAATCTAAATCTCCATCAGCAACAGAATAGGTAAATAAAGAGGGCTAAAGTCATAAAATGGAATATGACACAGCAAGTGAAATGAATGAGTCAAATTATATTTAATGATATAGTCAAACCTTAAAAATAATGACGTTGGTTAAAAACGCAAGTGTGTGTGTGCATAGACATATATAGTTTAATAACATGAAAATCTATCAAATACCTGTATGTTTTATGAATACATATGTATGTAGTAAAGATATTATGGAAATGATGAATACCAAAATCAAAAGAGTGTCCCTTAGGGGAGAGAGGGAGAGAGGAAATAAATGGAATATGATAAAGGAGTAAACAGGTGCATTTAACTTCATCTATTTGATTTCATTTTTTAAAACAGCACAAAATTATCTGAATATGAATAAATCTCGTTGTGGAAAAATGTTGCTATTTGACAAAGCTGGGTTGTGGATACACAGGTATTCACTTTATTATTCTATTATCTGTGCTTTACTGTATGCCTAAAATATTCCATAATAAAAGAACAGGTTAAAAGAATGCACAGTATTATTTTAAAATATGTATTGAAAAAATTAATATGGATAGCATATTTTTTAAAGACTTAGAGGATATACACCAAAATGCTAACAATAGTTGTTTTGTGATTGTGGGCTTATGGGTACTTTTTATTTTGTTCATTGTGTTTTCCCATATTGCCAAATTATTAACAATTAACTTGTCACATTATTTTTCAACAATGCATTCATTATGGGATATTTGGAAAGCACATCAAAATATTAAAATGAAAAAAGTCATCCACAATCCCATTGCCTTCCTAAAGGAAACCTCCATTAATATTTTTAGCACCATTCTTTCTATTATATATTTTTGGTCCCCTATCTGTCTCCTTGTCATTGAGATCATCCTGAGTATACACTACTACTGTTTGCTTTTATTCATTTATTCTAAGCAGTTCCTTGTACTATTCAAAATTCTTTATAAGAATCATTTCTATAGCTGTGTACTATTTGTGTAAATTTGTAAATTTGCAACTTTAAGCATCTTTTGGAAATTCTGGAAAATATTTACCTACTAAATGTATAATGTAAGCCTCAAATTCCAGAGCTTCTTCCATACGTTCTATACATTAACTGAGGGTCAATGGGGCATCTATCAGTACTGTTATTTTTTGTTGGTTTTGTTCTTGCCAGCATTCCACAAATACTAAAACACTCACTTGAATACAATAATTTAAAAAATGGATTTCTTACACTGTCTTTTAGACCAAAATCAACTGGAGGCTTTCTCAATATGTTATCAAAGCTCCTTTGGGCTCTCATGATCCTCTGGTAAAACAGTCCGCTGATTAAGAGATTTTTTTTGTGCCCTTGATTCAACAGGGTAGAAGCTGACAGCTGTCATTGTGTGGCCCTGGCACATACCATGAGCTGGCGGCCTCCATCTGGGACCCTGAACATGCTTTGCAAACCTCTCAACCACATGCAAAGTTAGGTGACATTTTGAAATATGGTTTTATGGTGTAATTACCCAGAAACTCATCAATGCCTACGGGTACCTTGATATTTTATTGCTGTGGAACTCATCATCCACTATCTTAAAGTATGTCATTTGTTGGATCCCAATTCAGTAGCTCTGTCATTTCCTAGGTGTTATTTTAAAAGGTTATTGAGGGCTTTCTGTGAAATAATAAGGTGACAAATGTAAACAAGACACTTTCAAACAGCTATTTCATTAATCCAGTTGTTATTGTTTTTCATAATACATATCCTTGGGTCATTTAAAGCACTTCACTTTCTTAAGCAAGGTACAAACAAGCTTTGCTTTTTTAAATTGTGAAATAGAAAGTGACAGAAAAATCAAGACAGTTGGAAGTTCAATTTTGAATTGACCAGTCTCCAACTTTCATGTATTGCTAAATAAGCCCCTAGTCATCATTTGGCTTTTGTTATATCAACCTCCCCACTAGCCTTCCCCAACCTTCCAACTGCTTTTGACCTATCACCTTCCCAAATACAAGAGGTTTCTTCTTGTTGGCATAAAGATAATCTGAGGGCACATCCCGAATTTTAGCCACTCCAGACACTGACCCTACCAATCTATCTGGTGAATCTATAAGCTCCATAAGAGAGAGGACTGTGCTTTATTTATCCTTGTAATCCCAGCCAGTGCCTAGAATGATTCCTGAAGCACATAGTAGGAAACAAAAAATCCTTGTTAAATTGAATTGCAAATACCCAGAGGCAAGTCTCAAAATTTGTGAGTTACAGGCCACAGTGAATGTCAAACTAAGGAGAATAATTGGGTATTCATGTGTGAGCATTAGATCACACTGATTAATGATTTAAAGTATTACCTTACCACACAAAATATCTGCTTGGCTTATGAAATGTGAAATATGCTGGGTTATTTATAAAAGATCTGTATTTAAAAGAACATGAAGTCTTCTGTAAGAAAATATGCATCTCCTACTTCGCCAACAGTAAAAAAACATAATATATATTTTGAAGTACATACAAAGGACTAGTGTTGATAACATTAAAATAGAATGTGGCCTACCCATAAATACACATTGTATTTCACAACTCCCTACCTTCTTTAATCATCACCGTCTGAAATGTATCTCGTTAGTACGGAAAGTACAGTGGCCTTTCTGTCCTCTTAGTTTAGTTGCCAACTGCAACCCAAAATAAGCATATTCCTTGGACAGGAATACCCAAAGCATTTAATGGACTATAAGATTCTTGAGGGTTTTGTCCACCTCTATATCCATAATAATTATGACTTACTGGTTTATAGCAGGAAAATATTTATTGAATGTCTTTGCCCCTCCTCTAATTCTTGTCCCAGTGGGTGAGAGTGGGGGTTGGGGTGGCTGACAAACCTTGAAATTCTTTTGAGAACATTATTTGACCTCGGGTCCAGTTTCAGTCATCAGCAGTAGTAACCACACTGCACTGCAAAGTCCAATCGCTGTGTAAAAATAGCCACATGGAACAAGAGTTTGTGAAATTATTGCTCAAGGTAGCTGGGCATGGTGGCTCATACCTGTGCCTATAATTGCAGCACTTTGGGAGGCCAAGGTGGGTTGATTACTTGAGGTCAGGAGTTCAAGACCAGCCTAGCCAACATGGTGAAACCCTGTCTCTACCAAAAACTACCAAAATTAGCCAGGCGTGGTGGTATGTGCCTGTAGTCCCAGCTACTTGGGAGGCCAAGGTGGGAGAATTGCTTGAAAATGGAAGGCGGAAGTTGCAGTGAGCTGAGCTCATGCCATTGTACTCCAGCCTGGGCAAAAGAGTGAGACCCTATTCAAAATAATAATAATAAATAAAAATAAAAAATAAAATATTGCTCAAGGACTCAAAAAATAATAGAAGTACTAGACTATAATAGTATAACAAACCTCCCAGTTAATTCTTCAATTTGTCTTTATATCAAGTAAAAACTAATACCAATACAACTGTTTTGATGTCTTCATTGACACAATAAGTGACAGGAGCAGTACTAAACAGATTTTATACCTGCACCACATACATGCTAGATGCAATTTCTTTGCTACAGCTCAATGCAAATAATGAAATTTTCTATTAGGTAGGCCATGTGCTTTTATTAAAGTAGCATATTTAAAGGGAAATGGATGTACTTCTAAATATTTAGAATACATTTCTAGCTCTGTTTCCACATTATCATTTAGGCTCCTTTGTCCTTGGAATGTTAATAGTACCAATTAGGCTTACAAATAAGTGTAAGTTTAATGGCCGAGCTCTAACAAACCTCTTGCAGTGTTTATCACTGCAAAGATGAATAGTTTTAGGAGGCTGCTCTCTCAGCCAATCTAGTTAAAATCAACGGTGATGTGAATGTTAAAGTTAGTCTGGGGAGGTTTATACCTTGTAGCTGAAGAACCCAGTTGAATAACTTGGTCATTTCACACTTAGAGCTTTAGTTCTGTTATGTCAGTGGTGCTACTTGTGAGATCTCACAGACCTTACCCAGTCCTCAGGCTTAGGCTATACTACCGGCCACTGTTAGAGGTGATGCCTTATATTAGCACTGTGCTTAACAGTTTCTCAAAGCTTACCCACATGCATTAATTGCTTTTAAACTTAAGACTCTGAGAAATAGTCAGGGTAGGTATTCTCATTTCAAACAGGCTCTCAAAGTCTAATGTCAGACAGCTAGTAAAGTAATTGGAGCTGGTGGGAGGCCCTTAGGAGACTGTTGTAGATATATACATAGAGAGAGAGATAGTCAGATACCAGGTGATACAAATTTAAAATAGTGTTGAGTCAGAAAAAAATGAGAAAATATAAAATATTTTTAATCATTATAAAAGCAATGCATGTATATTTTTTAAACTTCCAAACAATTTATAAGTGTATACATTAGAAAGTTAAAGCAAATTCCACCCTTCCTCCAAACACCTTTTCCTATGGGTAATTATTCTCAATAATTTGGTGCATATCTCTTATCTTTATTTTTCCATACAAGTAATATATATGTGAATGTATGTATCTGTGTATAGGTGTGTAACCAAAATGGGACCATATTATACATGCTATACATGCTGGCCTGCAATTTATATTTTTATCTTAACAATGTACCATGGACATTTTTTCTTGTCACTACTTATGGATCCACCTTACAATTACTAATAGCTGTGTTCATAGAATAGATGTACAATTAACCAGTTCCCTGTTGCCTCATAGGTAGTTTCCTGTTTTGGGCTATTTTAAATAGTGCTGCAAAGAATATCTTGGTTTACATATGTTGACACACTTGAGTATTCCCATAGGATAGTTTCACAAAATTGTAAGTGGTAGGTCAAAGTATATGCATTTTAGATTTCAACAGATAGTGTCTACGTGCCTTCTAAAGAGGCTGTACCAATTTACAGTGTATGAAAGTGCATGGAAGGTTATTTTGAAGAAATAGCTGACAGGATGTGAAGACTGATTGGATTAGGAAGGAAAAGCAGAGTCAAAGATAACTTCAAACTCTGAGGTCTGAGTGATTTAAAGAATGGTGTCACCTTTGACAGACACAGGGAAGTTTGAGGGAAGCATGGTTTAAAAGGAAAAAAGAGTAAACATAAAAGGACAAAAGGCCAGAGACAGAGTCTCTAGGCTCCCCATAGTAAGAAAGCAGAAAGAAAAGCCATCAAGGGGAACAGAGGATGCATAGTCAGAAATGTAGGGTGACAAATCTACAAGGAAACAGTTCTAAGGAGAAGCTAAGCCTTGTGACATGGCATAGAGGTAAGGAATAAAACATGGCTTTGAATGTATTCATCAGAAAATCACTGGTAGCCTTCAAGAATGCAGTTTTATATTGGAGAAGTGGAAAACATAGAAAACAATTTTAAAAAATGGGAAAGGATCTTCCATAAAGATTAATCATTCTAGAAAGTCAGTAATGAAAGGAAAAGGGAAAAGAAAAGTGAATGCTGAACAATATGCCCTTCCTCCCATCTGAAGGACATCACTAGAAATTCCTATATTTGGGTCTTGCCTCTTTTTCAGGTTATAAGAGGTCTGATAAACAAATAAACGGTCCCAGTGCAGTAAGCTCTTGAGCTTTCCTTAGCCTAGAGAGGTCTAAACAGAGCAGGAATGAAAGAAGGAACCAATAATCAGGGGAGATAGGAAAAAATTTGAAAGAAGAATAAGACAGTAAAGACATGCTTTAACTACTTCAAATTTTCTTCTTCAAAATGCCAACCCAATGAAATAAACAATGTCAATATACACAATGCATCACTACACAAGCATTAAAATGATTTCACAGGCTGGGCATGGTGGCTCATGCCTGTAATCCCAGCACTTTTGAAGGCTGAGTCGGGAGGATTGCTTGAGGCCAGGAGTTCCAGACCACCTTGGGCAACATAACAAGACACTATCTCTACTAAAATAAATAAATAAATTAATTAATTGTACAACTCTCTATACATTGACATGGAAATACATACTCTATATTTTAGGTTAAAATAGGTGATAAAATGGCATGTTTGTGTAATCTCATGCATATAAAGTTATATTCATCTTTGCACTTAATACTAAACAATGTCCAACAGATGTTAACAGTGATTCCCTGGGTGGTGTGATTACGGGTAATTTTTTGTACTCTTTATTATTTGTAATATACGTGTGAGTTTATCATTTTACTGAATCAATAAGAGTATTTTTAACTGCCTTCTTGGCTCCTGGCTTTGGCAAAAGGCAATCACCACTGGGCTGGATAAGCCAGATGGTGGAGAAAAGATGGGAGTAAGTCCTGAGACTACTTTTTTTTTTTTTTTCTGAAAGATTGCCAGAACAGATAAGTCACAACTAGAAGCAGAAACAACCCAGGACATTTTGACAAGGACAATTTTTGAGTTAGGAATCAGGGATAAAATGAGAAATAAAGTGAAACCTAGGAATTGGATAATTGGATGAAATAAGGTGAGATAAGCTTCAGAGATGGGGCAGAGTTCAGACATAAATTGAGGCTGTCTCTGGCACACTGTACCAAGTTCCTTTTTCCCCGAGCTCCCTCTAGAGACAGAATTTCGCTCTTGTTGCCCAGGGTGGAGTGCAATGGCAGAATCTCGGCTCACCACAACCTCTGCCTCCCGAGTTCAAGCGATTCTCCTGCCTCAGCCTCTCGAGTAGCTGGGATTACAGGCATGTGCCACCACGTCCGGCTAATTTTGTATTTTTAGTAGAGACAGGGTTTCTCCATGTTGATCAGGCTGGTCTCAAACTCCCAACCTCAGGTGATCCACCTGCCTCGGCCTCCCAAAGTGCCGGGATTACGGGTGTGAGTCACCACACCCGGCCCCAAGTTCCTGTTTTAAAAAGATGAAAATGAAATGGTTTGTTCTTATATCAAAATGTCATGTTCCTATTCCAAAAGATCCAACCCATTCCCTAAAATCAGATTTCTTGGCTACCTTATACTGGCATATTTTCAGAAAGCCAACAAAACTGAATACCAGGTACACATCACAAAAATTTAATGATATCAGACACTCTCTCCAAGCAATCCCTGCAGTGTGCAAGTCTCCCAAGGTTGTGTTCATTTCTCATGCTTGTGTTATAAAATTATCACTACCTTAGGAAAATGGATTTACAAGTCCTAGGAATTGTTCTTTGAAGGTATGAAATACGGCCAAGTAAAGGGACTGTACTGAGACAAAAATAAAATCACCTTAGTCAGCTGCCCTATCTGCCCCTATTCAAGTAAGTCCTCTAAACGACCATACTCCCCCCACCCCCACCCACATGCACACACATTTCCCATATAGCTTGTTGAAAAGTGTTGAAAGATCTTGGGAGATATTTCTGTCCACATTTGAAAAATGGATGCAGGAGAAAACCAGTCATTTCATAATTGGCTGAAGACATGAGGGGTTAAAGGGATTACTCCATCCCATTAAAAAGGCTCCACTTAAATATAAAGATTTTCTTAAGATACCCCTTTCACAAAGAATGATTTTAAACCTCCTTTCATTGATATTCAAAAGGTAATAGTCCTGGAAACAGAATCTCTGCCAGTAGTCATCACCTGATGCTTGCAGTAGATTTGCAGGTATGTCAAAAACCGTTAATCATGTAGGTCTTTGATTAATCCACTTTAATTATCTCCATGGTCTATATAGCAAAACCAAGTGGATTTTTATTATGAAGAAAGAATCACTGTATAATTGCCAGTGATGCAAAATTAATGAGGATAACTCAAGTTTTATGGTAGACTAGCATAGGAAGCAAAAGCTGTAACAGGTGCTTAGTCAAAGTAATTTCCAAACTTCAGGACTGATCTTCCTTTTGCTTCTGATAAAGCAGAACCACAGCCCTAGAAATGCAAATAAAAATATTATCCACTGAAAGAAATTCCGATCACAAAATTGCCCCTGAAGTATATGCATCTATGCTTAAAGGATGTATATGAACACCTCCTAGCAAAGTGATGACTTTTCATTTTTAAGTGCTTGCCTTAAAAATCATTACTTATTCAACCAAAGGGATAGGGGAACAAATAATGAACAACTGAGAATCTTTCCTGGGCCTAATTAACGCTGAAAAAAATCAAAAGTACACGCACGTTTCTATCACATATGCATAGTTTAGAGTTCCTCCCCACCTCATGCATCCCTTATTTCACTTAGCTTCCTTGGAGGCACAGCACAAAGAAAACTATAGCCAAATATACACTCTTTTAATTCAAGCATCAATCACTCATCTTGGTTATCCATGTAGTTGCATAAGTCTAAAACTAAAGTCATCCTTGACACACTTCCACCTCCTTCATTCCCAATATTTAATCAGTTTCTAAGATGTATTGAGTGCATCTTCTAAATCTTTCGAATGCATATCCACTTTTCTCCAGTTCCACTAGCAATGTTCTAGCCAAAGCTATTAACATTTTTTATTCAAATTTGTAAAACAAACTGCCTATATGATATCTCTTAGATCTTTCAAATTTGACACCTCTAAAACTGAATTGATGGTAACAGTCCCCAAACCCACTCCTACCTGGTCCACTTTCAGTGCTTTCTCTCTTAATGAATGGAAGCACTAATCATCCAGTTATGCAAGATAGAAATCTAGGTGTCATCCACGGATCTCTCCTCTTCTCCCATATACAACTGGAATCATTTATACCTCCTAAATGCGTTCAAATCCTTCTACATCTTTTTATTCCTACCAGGATCACCATTATACTCCTTAAAACTAATGCCCAAAACACTCTAGAGGGCTCTAATTTGTGTACCAACATCCACTTCCCAATTCTAAATTATTTGTATATGCAGCAAAAAAATGTTTTAAATCATGCCCTCCTGGCCCTCTTGCTTAAGTCTTCACTGGCTTCCCATAACTCTTAGGATAAAAATTAAATTACCTGATAAAATCTCTGAGATCATGAGTGTTCTGGCTCCTCTTGCCTATTTCTCCAGTTTATCTTGCACATTCTTGCTCTCACTCTCTTTCTACTCAGTTCTCACTAGCCTTTTTAGAAACCAACTTGCCATGCTTGCTTTCTTCTGCAACAAGAACTTTGTACATGTTTTTCTTAGAAAGAAAACCCCATGATATTAACTTAAGTCACTCCTACTCATCTTTCTGATCTTACCTCAATCATCAATTCCTCCAGTTCCACCACATTGCACAGCTCCTGGGGATGTTCTTCATGGTGTAGTCCATAAGAATGGAACCTCTTGCAGTTGTAAAATGTGCACCCTGAGAAAAGTCCCAATTTCTTCTCTTTATCTCTTTCTCAGGGAAACCTTTTTTTACCTTTGTAACAAGGTTATAGGACCATGTAGCTTTCATACTTTACACTCACAACAGTTATACTTTTGACATTTGTGTGATTACTTGATTAGGTTTTCTCTTCCCCACAAGACTCATAAGGGTGAGGGCCTTGTCAGTTTTGTTCATTGCTCTATACTCAGTAGAGGTACTCTAGATACCTATAGCACAGTACTTGTTGTATAGAAGGGCGCTCAAAATATTTGTGTTGATCAAAGATAAAAATGGAGATGTAAGAGAAGCTATGAAAAGTTGCTCTTCCTTTATGTTTTATATTTTAGACTGGAACATGCTTTTACCTACCCCTCATCCCTAGATCATAGGAGGTTCACTTTCCATGGAAGCAGAAATGAATCAGGTTGGATAAATAATTAACATTTCCTCACTATAGAGTACTTAACATATGGTAATGAAACAATAAATAATTATCATTATCATTCATTCTTATATTTTTATTATGCTAATCCAATGAATTTAAAAATCAATGTAATTAACCATACCAACAGATATAAGAAATGTTGTCAAAATTAAAACTCATTTATGATAAAAACTCTCAGCAATCTAGAAATAAATGAGAATTTTGTAGATAAATGGTGTCTATAGAAAAAAGTCTTACAGATAGCGTTATCCATTAACAGTGAAAGGTAGAATATTTTCCTAATAAGTAATAAGGCAAGGATGTTCACTGTTTCCAATCACATTTAACATCATGCTAGAGATTCTGATCAGTGTAATGAGGCAATAAAAAGAAACAAAATACATACAAACTGGAAAGAAACTTATAAAACTGTCCCTACTCACTGATGTCATGACTTTCTATTTAGAAAATCTGACAAAATCCGCAAAAATAGGTCCTAGAATTAATGAATAAAGTTTAGCAAGTACACAAGATACGAGGTGAACATGTGAAAATCAGCAAAAGCAAAAACTGACAAATTAGGTCTAATTAAACTTAAGAGCTTCTGCACAGCAAAAAAAAAAAGCTGCACAGCAACAGAATAAACAGACAATCTATAAAGTAATACTTTTATTTTTGAATATTCAGTTATAGGGTTTTTGTACACTGTTGGTGGGAAAGTAAATTAGTACAATCATTATGAAGAACAGTCTGGAAGTTCTTCAAGAAACTAAAAATTGAGCCACCATATGATTCAGCCATCCCACTGCTGAGTATATGCCCAAAAGAAAGTTAATCAGTATATTCAAGATATTAATATATCTGCACTCCTATGTTTTTTGCAGCACTGTTTACAATAGCTAAGATTTGGAAGCAACCTAAGCATCTATCAACAGATGAATGGATAAAGAAAATCCGGTACTTATACACAATGGAGGACTATTCATCCATAAAAAATAATGAGATTCAGTCATTTGCAACAACATAAATGGAACTGGAGGTCATTATGTTAAGTGAAATAAGTCGGGCACAGAAAGACACATATCGCATGTTCTCACCTATTTATAGGAGTTAAAACTTAAAACAATCAAAATCATGGAGATAGAGAGTAGAAGGATGGTTACCAAGGCTGAGAAGGGTAGTGAGGAGTGGGCAGGGGTGAAGTGGGGATGGTTAATCGGTACTAAAAATAGAAAGAATGAATAAGATGTAGTATTTGTTAGCACAACAGGGTGACTAGAGTCAATAATAATTTAATTGTAAATTTAAAAATAACTAAAAGAGTATAATTGGAATATTTTTAACACAAAGGATCAATTCCTAAGGTAATGGATACACCATTTACTCTGATGTGATTATTACACATTGTATGCCTGTATCAAAGTATCTCATGTACCCCATAAATATATACCGCTATTATGTATCCACAAAATTAAAAATTTTTTAAATACCAACAAACTTTTTAAAAAATAGAGATAAACAAGTTAATTCTAAAATTAACATGAAAAGCAAAGGACCTAGAAGAGCCAAAACAATTTTGAAAAAGAACAAAGTTGGAGGCCTCACACCACCTGAACCGATGACTTGCTATAAAACTATAGTAATTACTACACTTTGGTATATTGCTGAAAGAAGACACATAGACCAAAGGAACATACTTGAGTCCAGAAATAGGCCCATACATATATGATCAGTTGATTTTCCACAAAGGTGTCAAAGTAATTCAATGGATAAAGAAAAGCCTCATCAATGAATACTGTTGAAACAATTGAACATTCATATGCAAAAAGAAAAAAGAACTTTGATCAGTGCCTTCAACCATCACACCATATAAAAATTTACTAAAAATGGATCATAGACCTATATGTTACCCAGTGGAAGTGGCAACACTCACCATCACTTCTAGTGACCCACTAGCAAAATTTTTGCTTCCTGTTCCCATGACATTATGTTCTGCCGGCCTAGTGGTCTTAGTTCCAGAGGGAGGAACGCTGCCACCAGGAGACACAACAACAATTCCATTAAACTGGAAGTTAAGATTGCCACCTGGATACTTTGGGCTCCTTCTATCTTTAAGTCAACAGGCTGGAAAGGGAGTTACAGTGTTCGCTGGGGTGACTGGCCCAGACTATCAAGTTGAAATCAGTCTACAACTCCACAATGCAGGTAAGGAAGAATATGCATGGAATACAAGAGATCCATTAGGGTGCTTCTTAGTATTACCATGCCCTGTGATTAAGATTAATGGAAAGCTACAAAAGCCCAATACAGGCAGGACTACAAATGGCCCAGACCCTTAAGGAATGAAGGCTTGGGTCACTCCACCATCTGCTGAGGTGCTTGCTGAAGGCAAAGGGAATACACAATGGGTAGTAGAAGACAGTAGTCTGAATACCCGCTACAACCACTTGACCAGCTGCAGAAATGAGGACTATAATTGTCATGAGTATTTCCTCCTCCTTTTGTTAAAAACATTTTGTGCATGTATACACTTGTACTAAAAAAAATCTGCATTTTATTTACTTTCTCCTTTATCATGTGATATAAGATTTATTGACTTCACATTAGCACTTAAGTATTGTTAACTTTATGTAATAGTATTTGGGTTGGGAATTGGTGTGTTTTCAGTTGTACAAAGGATAGTTGTATTATGTTAGGCATAATTATGACCTTATTGTCTTTATTTAAAGATTATGTATAATCTCAGGAGATGTGTATGGGTTCAAGTTGACAAGGGGTGGACTTGTGATGGTTAATACTGAGTGTCAAGTTGATTGGATTGAAGGATACAAAGTATTGTTCCTGGGTGTGTCTGAGAGAGTGTTGCCAAAGGAGATTAACATTTGAGTCAGTGGACTGGAAAAGGCAGACACTCCCTTAATCTGGGTGGGCAAAATCTAATCAGCTGCCCAGTCAGCCAGAATAAAAAGCAGGCAGAACATGAAAAGGCTTGACTGGCTTAGCCTCTCAGCCTACATCTTTCTCCCATGCTGGATGCTTTCTGCCCTAGAACATCGGACTCCAAGTTCTTCAGCTATGGGACCCCGACTGGTGTCCTTGCTCTTCAGCTTGCAGATGGCCTATTGTGGGACCTTGTGATCTTGTGAGTTAATACTCCTTAATAAACTCATGTATATATCCTATTAGTTCTGTCTAGAGAACCCTGACTACTACATACACCTAAAATTATAAAACATTTATTAGAAAACATAGGAGAAACTTCTGTAACTTTGTGTTAGATGAGGATTTTTAAATAGGACCCAAAAAGCATAAACCATAAAAGAAAAAAATAATAAATTGGACTTTATCAAAATTAAAGTGTTTTCCTCCAAAGACATTGTTAAGAAAATTAAAAGGCAAGCTACAGTCTGGGAGAAAATATTTACAAACCATGTATCTGATAAAGTACTTGCATGGAGAACATATGAAGAACTCTAACAACTCTATAAAAAGAAAGCCATCAACGCATTTTTTAAAAATGAGATAAAGATTTGAGCAAAATTTCATATTTTGAAAAAGATGCCAAATAAGCACATGAAAAGAAGCTTAACTTAATTAAACATTAAGGAAATGTAAATTAAAATCACAATGACATACTACTGTACAACATTAGAATCACTAAAGTTTCCAACACTGATAATATCAAGAGCTGATAAAGATGTAGAGCAACCTCATACATTTTTGTTGGAAATAAAAAATGGTACAGCCACTTTGAAAAACGAGTTAGCAGTTTCTTATACAATTGCACATACACTTACCATATAACTCAGTGATTCCATTCTTAAGTATTTAACTTAGAGAAATGAAAACCTATATCCACATAAAAGTTTATGCATGAATGTTCATATCAGCTTTATTCATAATCACTCAGAACTGGAAACTACCCAAATATCTATCACCTGCTGTACAGATCAGCAATCTGTGTTAACATCCATACAGGGAAATCCTACTCAGCCACAAAAATGGACAAACTACTAATAGATGCAGAAACATAGCTAGATGTCAAATGCATTACAATGAATGAAAGATACCAAACTCAAAAAGGTACATACTGTATGATTACACTTACATGTCACTGTGGAAAAGGTACAACAAACAGGTCCAGAAAACAGATCGATACTTGCTAGATGCTGGAGTTAGGGGGGGATTGATTATGAAAAAACATGAGAAATATATATCTTGATTATGGTGGTTACCTGAATCTGTGTTTATTTAAACTCATAAAACTCTATATTAAAAAGTGTATTAGTATGTTCTTATGCTGCTATAAAGAACTCTCTGAGACTGGGTAATTCATAAAGGAAAGAGGTTTAATTGACTCACAGTTCTGCATGACTGAGTAGACCTCAAGAAATTTGTAATCATGGCAGAAGGCACCTCTTCACAGGGCAGTAGGAGAGAGAATGAGTGCTGAGCCAAAAGGGAAGCCCCTTATAAAATTATCACATCTTGTGAGAACTGACTCACCATCATGAGAATAGCATGGGGGAATCCCCCTATGATCTACTTACCTCCCATGAGGTCCCTCCCCCAACACATGGGGATTAAAAATCAGATTACAATTCAAGATAAAATTTGGGTAGGGACACAGAGCCAGTCCATATCATTCCACTTCTGACCCCTCTCCAATTGCATCTTTCTCACATTTCAAAACACAATTATGCTGTCCCAACAGTTTTCCAAATTCTTAACTCATTTCAGCATTAACCCAAAAGTCCAAGTCCAAAGTCTCATCTGAAACAAGGTAAATCCCTTCAACCTAGGAGCCTGTAAAATCAAAAGCCAGTTAGTTACTTCCAAGATACAATGGGGGTAAAAGCATTGGGTAAATGCTCCTGTTCCAAAAAGGAAAAATTGGCAAAAACAAAGGGGCTACATACCCTATGCAAGTCTGAAATCCAGCGGGGCAGTCAAATCTTAAAGCTCCAACATGATCTCCTTTTACTCCATGTCTCACACCCAGGTCACACTGATGTAAGAGGTGGGCTCCCACAAACTTGGGCAGCTCTGCTCCTGTGGCTTGGCAGGGTACAGCTCCTCTCCTGGCTGCTTTCACAAGCTGCCATTGAGTGTCTGTGACTTTTCCAGTTGGCACAGTGCAAGCTGTCAGTGGATCTACCATTTTGGAATCTGGAGGATGGTAGCCCTCTTCACACAGCTCCACTAGGCAGTGCCCTAGCAGGGACTCTGTGTGGGGGCTCTGACCCCACATTTCCCTTCTTCACTGCCCTAGCATAGGTTCTCCATGAGGGCTCTATCCCTGAAGCAAACTTCAGCCTACACATCCAGGCATTTACATACATCCTCTAAAATCTAGGTGGAGGCTCCCAAATCTCAATTCTTGACTTCTGTGCATCTGCAGGCCCAACACCATGTAGAAATTGCTAAGGCTTGGGGCTTGCATCCTCTGAAACAACGGCCTGAGCTGTATGTTGGCCCCTTTTAGCCATGGCTGGGACACAGGGCACCAAGTCCCAAGACTGCACAAAGCAGCAAGGCCCTGGGCTGGCCCACAAAACCACTCTTTCCTCCTAGGCCTCCAGGGCTGTGATGGGAGGGGCTTCCATGAAGACCTCTGACATGCCCTGGAGACATTTTTCCCATTGTCTTAGCAATTAACATTTGGCTCCTCATTACTTTCTACTAAATTTTTGCAGCGGCTTGAATGGCTTGAATTTCTCCTCAGAAAATTGATTTTTCTTTTCTGTCACATCATCAGGCTGCAAATTTTCTGAAAAGCTCTGCTTCCCTTTTAAACAAAAGTTCCAATTCCAAACCATAACTTTGTGAATATGTAAAACTGAATGCTTTTAACAACACCCAAGTCAACTCTTGAATGCTTTGCTCCTTAGAAATTTCTCCTGCCAGATACCCTAACTCATCTCTCTCAAGTTCAAAGTTCCACAGAGCTCTAGGGCAGGGGCAAAATGCCACCAGTGTCTGCATGGCAAGAGTGACCTGTGCTCCAGTTCCCAACAAGTTTATCATTTCCATCTGAGACCACCTCAGCCTGGACTTTATTGTCCATATCACTATCAGCATTTTGTTCAAAGCCATTCAATAAGTCTCTAGGAAGTTCCAAACTTTCCCACATCTTCCTGTCTTCTGAGCCCTCCAAGTCTCTAGGAAGTTCCAAATTTTCTCACATTTTCCTGTCTTCTTCTGAGCCCTCCAAACTGTTCCAACCTCAGCTTATTACCCAGTTCCAAAGTTGCTTCCACATTTTTGGGTATCCTTATAGCAGCACCCCACTCTCTGAGGTATCAATTTACTGTATTAGTCCATTCTCATGCTGCTATAAAGAATTGACCAAGATTGGATAATTTATAAAGGAAAGAGGTTTAATTGACTCACAGTTCTTCGTGGCTGGGAAATCCTCAAGAAATTTAAAATGATGGTGGAAGGCACCTCTTCACAGGGTGGCAGGAGAGAGAATGAGTGCTGAGCCAAGGGGAAAGCCCCTTATAAAGCCATTAGATCTCATGATAACTCACTCACTATTACAGGAAGAGCATAGGTGCACCACCCCCATGATCCATACTTCCCATGAGGTCCCTCCCACAACACGTGGGGATTACATTTCAGATTACGATTCAAGATGAGATTCAGACCATATCAAAAGGGTTAATTTTTTCTGTATATAAATTATACTTTTTCAAATTTTTAATTTTAATTTTAATTTTTTTCAGATGGAGTCACTCTGTCGCCCAGGCTGGGGCACAGTGGCATGATCTCAGCTCACTGCAAGCTCCACCCTGCGGGTTCAAGCGATTCTCCTGCAGCTTCCCAAATAGCTGGCATTACAGGTGCATGCCACCACTCCCCGTCAATTTTTGTATTTTTAGTAGAGACAGGGTTTCACTATGTTGGCCAGGCTGGTCTCAAACTCCAATAAACCTGACTTTTAACAAAAAACCAGTCCTGAGGTTATCCAGTTTATGTGGTCTTATTATTCTGAAAATCAGTCATGTTTAAGAAAGTGCTATACCCTATTCTTCATGAAACAAATGTTTGAATATTTTCCTCAGGGGCCTATTTGAATTAGGTGATTTGTTGAGACCCTCTGATTATCTCTTTACTGTCGCTTCAAGGAAAAGCTAGAATGATTCAGGGAATCCCTTCAACTAGTGTAGTCCGAGGTTAGTGCTATTCAGTGGTTTCAATTCATTTACAATACAGCAAAATCTTTTCTTTCTTTCTCAAAAGAAATCTTTCATAAAACATCACTGTATGAAATGGGTAAATTTTACCCCATTCTATGTCATAGGGTGATTATGACTCTGAGAGAAAGTAGGGCATAGTGTTTAAGAGCACAGACCTTGGAGTCTTACAGACCAAGGTTTGAATCCAGGTTTTCCTTCTTACTTAGCTATATGGCTTTGGGTGAATCATTTAATATTTTGCAGCCCCAGGTTCCACTCCTATAAATTGATGATAACCCCTGTCTCAAAACAAGGTTACTGTGAGATTAGAAATGCTATATGGAAGGTGCCCAGAAAAATATTAATTACATAGAGTCAATTGTTATTATCCCTGCCTTCCACATCCTGCACCACCACTTTCTTCTTGTGTCCATCTGTCTCAGCTAGAGCCTAGGTTTCTTCACCAATTTCAATCCAAGCAACCTGCCATTGGAACTAGTGGAGTGCTCTCTTTTCAAGACAGCCTGTGCTCCCTGACTGGTCTATCATCTTCAGAGTTAGGCTACTTCAATACTCAATTCCAACCTGGAGAAGAACTGCCAATCTCCATATGGTCCATACTTCTAAATGATGATTAGGGCATCTAGTGATATCATAGCACCAACCTCCAATCAGTAAAATGAGCATACATTCATACACACACACACAAATATACATACCCACAAAAACCCTATAACTGAATATTCAAAAACACAATTATTACTCTCATTTTAGTAACAAAAAGCCATTACTGCCAAGGAAGAATTCCAGCCTCATATAGGATGGCAAGAAATACTAAGACTACAAGGAGATGACAAAGAAAGCAGTTTTCCACCATTCCATAGAATAGCCCAAACTATACAATGAGACTCAGATCAGAGTAAGGTAGCACATTAAACAGCAGGATCATCAGCCTTGTATTGCTGCTTCCCTTGCCTCTGAGTCCCACAGAGTGATGGGATCAGCCAGATGGAATCTATACATGCAGAAGTACTGGAACTAAAGGACTCAGTGCCAAGGGTTTAGCACCTTTTAGAACAAGCAGTAAAAAATCCAGTCCCCCTACCACTTCCCCTCAGAGGGCAAACAGTTGTCACATGCTGTGCTGGACTTGATCTATTTAACTGCTCAACTACAGAAACACAATCAGCAATTACATTCAAGAATGCTTGAAACACATGACAAACTGCCTCTCTGAACAATTACAACAGCTTAAAATTTAGATATCAGTCCCTTTGATTCCATACATTTTCATAAAGAAAATTAGTTTATCTAGGAAATGGTACATATTTCTACCCTGAGGTTAAAACATTGACTGTGCCATTGTCAGCCATAGACAAAATTTCCCCCAACTAGTCATAGTTTGGGCTCTGTGTGGATATTTATGGCCAATAAAATCCAAATAGTCATTCCTTAGTAGTCTCATCTTTAGGTCAAACCTGAAGCTAGGAGTGTGACATCAGCAAAATGGCAGACTAGGAAGCTTCAGGCCCTCATTCCCCCATAGAAACATTAAGTAAACAGCAACAGACTGACTGAAATTACTTTACAGAAGCTCTGAAAAACCAGTCAAAGTCCTACAGCAACCAAGCAAACACTCAATCAAGAAAAAGCCACATTCAAAACGATAGAAAATTCTATGGTCTTTTTATTCATGCTTGCTTCACACCTACCATGGCATGGAGTGGCATGATTTGCAGAGAAGTGGTAGCCTGGTCTCCAGTTCCCTTCCTTGAACCAGAGAGAGCAAAGTGTACATAATTTACAATGTTTTAAGCTGTCTAAGAGATCCGTCTCTATGTCCCCTAACTCTGAGGTACCTAGAAAAGTCAAATTCATAGAGACAGAAAGTAGAATGGTGGTATCGAAGGGCTGCAGGGACAGGGAATGGGGAGTTATGTTTAATGCATATGAAGTTTCAATTTGGGGAGATATTTTAAAGTTCTAGAGATGGATAGTGATGATGGCTGAACAAGAAGGTGAATGTATTTAATGCTACTTTAACAGTATATTTTTTTAAATGGCCAAATGGCAGATTTTATGTTGTATATATTTTACCACAATTTAAAAAAAATTGAAGCTGAAGAAATATATGTGCAAAAAGCCAACTTGCCAAAAATTTTCTGAGAAACAAACAGGTGAATAAAAGATAAATTTTATAGGCTGGGCATGGTGGCTCACACCTGTAATCCCAGCACTTTGGGAGGCCGAGGCGGGCAGATCACAAGGTTAGGAGATCAAGACCATCCTGGCCAACATGGCAAAACCCCGTCTCTACTAAAAATGCAAAAATTAACTGGGCATGGTGGTGTGTGCCTGTAATCCCAGCTACTCCGGAGGCTGAGGCAAGAGAATCACTTGAACCAGGAAGTAGGAGGTTGCAGTGAGCCAAGATTGCGCCACTGTGCTCTGGCCTGGCATCAGAGCAAGACTCTGTCTCAAATAAATAAATAAATTTTATAAAAGGCCTCAAAGTTTTCTGCTTATCCAGGGCTTTATTCAATCCATGAGTCTACTATCTATGATCTTCAAAATTAACTAGGGAAAGTTATTTTATCCATAAATGTATTTTCGCTCTTAGATTCCCATTCCAAAATTATCTAATATATTCTTGGATTACTTCTTTTTCTGGAGGACAGCAATTGAAAACAGTAAAGTTTTCAAGCACGACACCTACATTTCTCTACATCCTTGTCAAAATTCCCTTGTTCATTTTAAGTCACTTCAAGCAAAATTTCTTAACTGCCTGCTGTGTGCTGGGCACTGAGGTAGTTTACACAGTATTAAAAACAATGAAAAATATAAACTGTAGTCATGCACCACATAATAATGTTTTGGTCAATAATGGACTGCCTAGATGACTGTGGTCCCAACGATTATGATAAAACTGAAAAATTCCTATTGCTTAGTGACATCATAGCCATCATAATATCTTAGTATGTCACATGACTCACGTGTTTGTGGCGATGCTGGTGTAAACAAAACTCTTGCATTGCAAGGTGTATAAAAGTATAGCACACACAATTATGTATAGTATATAATACTTGATAATAATAAATGACTATGTTACTGGTTTGTGTAATTATTATACTATACTTTTTAATCATTATTTTAGAGCGTGCTCCTTCTAATTATAAAAAAGTTAATGGTAACAGCCTCAGGCATGTCCTTCAGAAGGTATTCCAGAAGAAGGCATTGCTATCCAAAGAGATGACAGCCCTATGCATGTGACTGCCCCTGAATATCTTCCAGTAGGACAAGATGTAGAGGTGGAAGACAATGAGGTTGATGATCCTTACCCTCTGTAGGGCTAGGCTAATGTATATGTCTGTGACTTAGTTTTTTACAAAAAAAGTTTAAGTAAAAAAATAAAATATTCTAAAAATTGAAAAAAGCATATAGAATACATATATACAGAAAGAAAATATTTTTGTACAGCTGTACAATATGTTTGTGTTTAAACTAAGTGTTATTACAGTGTCAAAAAGTTTAAAAATTAAAAGTTTATAAAGTAAAATGTTACAGTAAGCAAAGGTTAATTTATTAAAGAAAAATATTTAAAAATAAATGTAGTGTAGCCTAAGTGTACACTGTTTAAAAAGTGTACAGTAGTGAACAGTAATGTTCTAGGCCTTCACATTCCCTCACCACTCACTCACTGACTCACCCAAAGCAACATCCAGTTCTGCAAGGCCCTATACAAGTGTACTATTTTTATCTTTTTTTTTTTTTTTGACAGGGTCTCACTCTATTGCCCAGGCTGGAGTGCAGTGGCATGATCATGGCTTACTGCAGTTTTAACCTCCCGGGCTCAAGCAATGCTCCTACCTCAGCCTCTTGAGTAGCTGGGACCACAGGCGTGTGCCACCACACTCAGCTATTTGTTAAATTTTTTGTAGAAATGAATTTTCACCATGTTGCCTAGGCTGGTCTTGATCTTCTGGGCTCGAGCAATTTGCCCACTTCAGCCTCCCAGTGCTGGGATTACAGGCATGAGTCACTGTGCCTGGCCATTTTTTATCTTTTATGCCATATTTTAACGTATCTTTTCTATAGATATGTTTAGATACAGAAATACTTAGCATTGCGCTATAATTGCCTAAAAGGCTGGGCATGACTGCTCACACTTGTAATCCCAGCACTTTGGGAGGCTAGGGCAGAAGGACTGCATGAGCCCAGGAGTTCAAGACCAGCATTGGAAACATAGGTAGACCCTGTCTCTATTTTTTTTTAAAGGAAAAACAATCGCCTACACAGTAACATGCTGTACATGTTTGTAGCCTAGGAGCAATAGGCTATACCATATAGCCTAAGTGTGTAATAGGGTATACTATCAAGATTTATGCAAGTACATTCCATGATGTTGGCACAATGATGAAACTACCTAACAACACATTTCTCAGAAGTATCCCTGTCATTAAGCAAGGCATTGAAATTGGTTTTAAGCACAAAGGTGACTGTGAATGGTCTATTATGTAAAAAAAATCACAGGGCAATTTAATTTGGCATTCTGGTGGAAGATGAAAACCTATGAAATCAATCACACAGATACTCAATTTTTTAAAAAGGGAGTTAAGAAAACATGGACTCCCATTCACAATTGCTACAAAGAGAATAAAATACCTAGGAATTCAACTTACAAAGGATGTGAAGGACCTCTTCAAGGAGAACTACAAACCACTGCTCAACGAAATAAAAGAGGACAGAAACAAATGGAAGAACATTCCATGCTCATGGGTAGGAAGAATCAATATCATGAAAATGGCCATACTGCCCAAGGTAATTTATAGATTCAATGCCATCCCCATCAAGCTACCAATAACTTTCATCACAGAATTGGAAAAAACTACTTTAAAGTTCATATGGAACCAACAAAGAGCCTGCATTGCCAAGACAATCCTAAGCAAAAAGAACAAAGCTGGAGGCATCACGCTACCTGACTTCAAACTATACTACAAGGCTACAGTAACCAAAACAGCATGGTACTGGTGCCAAAACAGAGATATAGACCAATGGAACAGAACAGAGGCCTCGGAAATAACACCACACATTTACAACCATCTAATATTTGACAAACCTGACAAAAACAAGAAATGGGGAAAGGATTCTCTATTTAATAAATGGTGCTGGGAAAACTGGTTAGCCATATGTAGAGAGCTGAAACTGGATCCCTTCCTTACACCTTATATAAAAATTAGTTCAAGATGGATTAAAGACTTAAATGTTAGACCTAAAACCATAAAAACTCCAGAAGAAAAGCTAGGCAATACCATTCAGGACATAGGCATGGACAAGGACTTCATGACTGAATCACCAAAAGCAGTGGCAACAAAAGCCAAAATTGACAAATGGGATTTAATTAAACTAAAGAGCTTCTGCACAGCAAAAGAAACTATCATCAGAGTGAACAAGCAGCCTACAGAATGGGTGAAAATTTTTGCAATCTACCCATCGGACAAAAGGCTAATATTCAGAATCTACAAAGAACTTAAACAAATTTACAAGAAAAAGTCAAAATAAAAACCATCAAAAAGTGGGCAAAGGATACGAACAGACAGTTTTCAAAAGAAGACATTTATGCAGACAACGGACACATGAAACAATGCTCACCATCACTGGCCATCAGAGAAATGCAAATCAAAACCACAATGAGATACCATCTGACACCAGTTAGAATGGCAATCATTAAAAAGTCAGGAAACAACAGGTACTGGAGAGGATGTGGAGAAATAGGAACACTTTTACACTGTTGGTGGGAGTGTAAACTAGTTCAACCATTGTGGAAGAAAGTGTGGCGATTCCTCAAGGATCTAGAACTAGAAATACCGTTTGACCCAGCCATCCCATTACTGGGTATATACCCAAAGGATTATAAATCATGCTACTATAAAGGCACATGCACACGTATGTTTATTGTGGCACTATTCACAATAGCAAAGACTTGGAACCAACCCAAATGTCCATCAATGATAGACTGGATTAAGAAAATGTGGCACATATACACCATGGAATACTATGCAGCCATAAAAAAGGATGAGTTCATGTCCTTTGAAGGGACATGGATGAAGCTGGAAACCATCATTCTGAGCAAACTATCATAAAGACAGGAAACCAAACACCCCATGCTCTCAGTCATAGGTGGGAATTGAACAATGAGAACACTTGGACACAGGGCGGGGAACATCACACACTGGGGCCTGTCCTGAGGTGGGGGCATGGGGGAGGGACAGCATTAGGAGAAATACCTAATGTAAATGATGAGTTAACCGGTGCAGCAAACCAACACGGCACATGTATACATATGTAACAAACCTGCACATTGTGCACATGTACCCTAGAACTTAAAGTATAATAATAATAAAAAAAGAAAACATGGACATAGTGGAGGGGTAGTAAATAACCAAGGAATATGAAAAGTCTTTGAACAAATTTAAAATTTAAGACAAATATATGTTAGGTACTTAAAATATTAACAAAAACATGCAAAGACTATCTGGCCCTATTTCCCATACCTCTCTAATATTCTGCAGAGTTCTTTAGGCCCTATCTGTAAACTCACCTTCACTCCAAGGGTTTTTCTTTCTGTAGCTATGGGAAATTTAAACACTCCTTTACAATTAGTTTGGCAGCTTCACATTGAAGACTGGCTATGGGCCCAACTAATACTTCATGGCCCATTTCTAGTGAATATGCCCTTCCTAACTTGTTCCCTACCCAGGTCTAGTAACTATCTGGGATCCTTAACTGAGTCCTCTGGTCCCAGGATCCTTCCTTGCTTTTTACTAAAAGTCCTAAAACTGGATTCCACCTATTAATATCAGATTCTTTCACAGGCTGAGTGCTCACCACTGAACTTGTGTGGTACCTCACCCATGGCTGGCTGTCACACTTCTCTGATGTTCTCTCCAAACCGTCTGTCTTGTCATGACTTTCTAGATTTGACTGCCACATCTTGGCAAGTGTCTCATCTGTTAGATCTGACCCTTAAAGTTGACCTTCTGTGACCTGACTAGTCTCAGTGCCCACCAACCCTGGGTCCTGACACTAACTAGAATAACCCAAATGGTTTTGGAATGAAAAGAGGCATGTTTAAAAGAACAAGTCCTAGTGAAAACATACAGGAAAGCCTATATGACAGATTAAATATAAAATATAAAGCCCTATAACAACTTTGAGGAAAGTTTTGCCAGGACTAACAAAAACAAGAAAAATAGTTTTTACAAATCTCAAAGGGGAAAAAACGAAACTAAAGAGAATTTTAAAATGTTCACTTATTGACTATAGGCAGAGAAAATGCTTTAGAGAAATGGGTAGCCAATTGAAAAAAATCCTTGTATCAATCTACAGTGAGATGAACACCTAAGGAATTTCTTCTTCCCCATTGTTTCTGAAAGGCACAAGCTGGTATAACTGGGTGAAGCAATGGTCAATAACGAAGATGTGCATATACAATAGATAAATTACCAGAACTAGATAGAGATAGTCTCTAACCCAAGAATTTGGAAGGAAATCACGCGTAAGATTCTAAACTCATGGCCAAAATGCATTATGGCCTATTCTTAATATTATCAAACATGACATGATCTGGTAGTCACAAATGTGACTTCTGTTTGTAAAGACTCAATAGGGGACTTTCAGAGATTCAGCTCCCTATTAAAAAAAAAAAAAGCTGTATCAGAAGCTAAAGAGAAACCCTAGGATAAGAAATATGGAAACATTCTTGTCTACATTTAGTGTAAAGCTAACTCCTGCTCCAGAGAAAAGCCTAAGAAAGAGTTATGAAGGATAACACATGACCTTGAGGACATTCAGGACATAAATATGACTTGATAGCACATGGGAAATGGTCCTCAGAGGTTTCTCTCACAGGAATGTTTTGCTTAGATTGCTACGTACAGCAGGACTCAAAGCATATTCTCAAGTAGGGCTAACCTCTAACCCCAAGAGCTGGCCACTAACTCTTAGGCATTGTTTCTTCTAGAACATTCACTGGGTCACCTGGATCATACTTTAGATCAAGCCCCAAAGCCAAATCCCTTGGCAGTGATTTATTCATAATCCTCTGTCATTGTTTTTGCTTCTAAGGTTCCTACCACCCTTAGCATTTTATCTGGACATGAGGGCAGACACTTGCTCATAATATACATTTCAGTATATCTCCCTCCACCACCCTCCCACCCCCACCTCATTGCCACCACCATTACCCTGCTACCACCCCATCAACAAAACAGCACTATACCAGCTTTGCTCAGGTTTCATTATTTGTATAATTACTTAAAGCATGGCTTCCCAATCCATATAAACCGGACAGTCAACAGAAAATTATCTCCAATGCAGACAGTTAAGTCCTGAGCAAAAGGACTTACCCAGGTGAATAAGATAAGGCTCTTTGTTTATTTAGGAAGGCATGATTCCACTCAAAGTCTCTTAATAAACAGACCTCAGGTTGAGGAGGCTATCAACAGCTTTCAAAACCTCCTACTGCAAACGTTTGCTTTCCCCACCCCCATCACAATGATTTACTCATTCTTCTTAATAATATTTTAGCTAGCAGATGACATCATTTATAGACAAGCTATGAAATTTGAACAGAGACGGTTTTCTAATTTAAAAAATTATTTCATCTTTTCCAGTGTTCTCGACCTCCTAGCAGCCAAATAAACAGAAACCTAATGGCAAATCATTTTACCATCAAGAAGTTCAGTAATGAATTGATGCTACTTCTACCGATCCCTCAGCTTTCATATCCTGGTACAACATCTAAAAAAGATCAAAAGATTACAGCCTCAGAAAGGAAATTATACATCTTTAATTTTTTAAAGTGAATCATATATAGGTTTCTCTCATACCCTTTAGATTTGTCTCCAAGATAAAGGGTCTCATTATTTAGAGGCACATGTTTTGTGAATCATGTCAATGTCATCAACTGTTTCTTTCATCCCTTTATATATCCCATAAGAGATACTGAAAACCAAATGGTTTTTATGAAAGGCTGTCCCTTGACAAAATTATAAAGCAGGGAAAGTTTGTCTTCCCTTTTCTTTTTATCCCTTCACTAAAGTTCCATATTCCCCTATGCTATCTTCAAAACCCAAAGGAACAACTTGTTATTGACTGGAGTTCAGGTCCCCAGACATGCCAATAAGAAGGTCAAACCATAGCATGCTCTTCTATTCTTCTTTCTCCTGAGAAATTTTTTCTTATTTCTTCTTAAAAAAAAAAGATACATGTACAAAACATGCAGGTTTGTTTCACAGGCATATGTGTGCCATGGTGGTTTGCTGCCCTTATTGACCTGTCCTGTAAGTTCCCTCCCCTTACTCTCACCCTCTACCCCCAAACAGGCCCTGGTGTGTGTTTTTCCTCTCTCTGTGTCCATGTGTTCTCAATGTTCAATTCCCAGTTATGAGTGAGAACATGCAGTGTTTGGTTTTCTGTTCCTTTGTTAGTTTGCTGAGGATGATGGTTCCCAGCTTAATCCATGTCCCTGAAAAGGACATGATTTCATTCATTTTATAGCTGCATAGTATTCGATGGTGTATATGTACCACATTTTCTTTATCCAGTCCATCCTTGATGGGCATTTGGGTTGGTTCCATGTCTTTGCTATTGTAAATGGTGCTGCAATCAACATACCTGTGCATGTGTCTTTATAGTAGAATGATTTCTATTCCTCTGGGTATATACCCAGTAATGAGATTGCTGGGTTAAATGGTATTTCTGGTTCTAGGTCTTTGCGGAATCACCACATTGTCTTCCACAATGATTGAACTAATTTACATTCCCACCAACAGTGTAAAAGTGTCTCTATTTTTTCACAGCCTCACCATCTTCTATTGCTTGTTGACTTTTTAATAATCGCCATTCTGACTGTCTGGTTTTGAATTGCATTTCTCTAATGATCAGTGATGTTGAGTTTTTTTCATATATTTGTTGGTCATGTGAATGTCTTTTTTTTTTTGAGAGGTGTCTGCTCATATCCTTTGCCCACTTTTTGATGGGATTGTTTGTCTTTTTCTTGTAAACATGTTTAAGTTCCTTGTAAATTCTGAATATTAGACCTTTGTCAGGTGGGTAGATTGCAAAAATTTTATCCTATGTGTAGGTTGTCTGTTCACTCTGATGCTAGTTTCTTTTGTTGTGCAGAAGCTCTTTAGTTTAATTAGATCCCATTTGTCAATTTTGGCTTTTGTTGTGATTGCTTTTGGTGTTTTTGTCATGAAGTCTTTGGCCATGCCTATGTCCTGAATGGTATTGCCTAGGTTTTCTTCTAGGGTTTTTATGGCTTTGGGTTTTACATTTAAGTCTTTGATCCATCTTGAGTTAATTTTTGTATAAGATGTAAGGAAGGGGTCCAGTCTCAGTTTTCTGCATATGGCTGGCCAGTTTTCCCAGCACCATTTACTGAACAGGAGATCCTTTCTCCATTGCTTGTTTTTGTCAGGTTTGTCAAAGATCAGATGGTTGTAGATGTGTGGTGTTATTTCTGAAGTCTCTGTTCTGCTCCATTGGTCTATATGTCTGTTTTGGTACCACTAGCATGCTGTTTTGGTTACTGTAGCCTTGTTGTATAGTTTGAAGGTAGATAGTGTGATACCTCCAGCTTTATTCTTTTTGCTTAGGATTGTCTTAGCTATACGGAGTCTTCTTTGATTCCAAATGAAATTTAAAATCGTTTTTTCTGTCTGTGAAGAATGTCAATGGTAGTTTGATGGGAATAGCATTGAATCTATAAATTACTTTGGGCAGTATGGCCATTTTTGCAATATTGATTCTTCCTATATCCATGAGGATGGAATTTTTTTCCATTTGTTTGTATCCTCTCTTATTTCCTTGAGCAGTGGTTTGTAGTTCTCCTTGAAGAGGTCCTTCACCTCCCGTGTTCACTGTATTCCTAGGTATTTTAATCTCTTTGTAGTGATTGTGAATGGGAATTCATTCATGATTTGGCTCTCTGCTTGCCTGTTGTTGGTATAAAGGAATACTTGTGATGGGTATCCTGAGACTTTGCTAATGTTGCTTATCAGTTCAAGTTTTTGGGCTGAGATGATTGGGTTTTCTAAATACAAAATTATGTCATCTGCAAACAAAGACAACTTGACTTCCTCTCCTCCTATTTGAATACTCCTTATTTCTTTATCTTGCCTGATTGTCCTGATCAGAACTTCCAATACTATGTTAAATAGCAGTAGGGAGAGAAGGCATCCTTGTCTTGAACTGGTTTGCAAAGGGAATGTTTCCAGCTTTTGCCCATTCAGTACGATATTGGCTGTGGGTTTGTCATAAATAGCTCTTATTATTTTGAGATATGTTCCATCAAAACCTACTTTATTGAGAGTTTTTAACATGAAGGGATGTTGAATTTTATCAAAGGCCTTTTCTGCATCTATTGAGATAATCATGTGATTTTTGTCTTTGGTTCTGTTTATGTGATGGATTACATTTATTTATTTACATATGTTGAAACAGCCTTGCATCCCAGGGATGAAACCAACTTGATCATGGTGGATAAGCTTTTTGATGTGCTGCTGGATTTGGTTTGCCAGCATTTTATTCAGGATTTTTGCATCGATGTTCATCAGGTATATTGGCCTGAAATTTTCTTTTTTTGTTGTGTCTCTGCCAGGTTTTGGTATCAGGATGATGCTGCCTTCATAAAATTAGTTTGGGAGGAGTCCCTCCTTTTCAATTGTTTGGAATAGTTTCAGAAGGAATGGTACCATCTCCTCTTAGTATTTCTGCTAAAATTGAACTGTGAGTCTGTCTGGTCCTGGGCTTTTTTTTTTCTTTTTTAAATTATCATTATACTTTAAGTTCTGGGGTAAATATGCACAACTTGCAGGTTTGTCACATAGGTATACATATGCCATGTTGTTTTGCTGCCCTCACCAACTCATCACTTACATTAGGTATTTATCCTAATGCTATATCTCCCTGAGCCCCCCACCCCCTGACACGCCCCTGTGTGTGATGTTCCCCTCCCTGTGTCCATGTGTTCTCATTTTTTTTTGTTTCTTTTGTTTTGTTTTGTTTTTGGTTAGTAGACTATTAATTACTGCCTCAATTTCAGAGCTTGTTATTGGTCTATTCAGGGATTCAATTTCTTCCTGGTTTAGTCTTGGTAGGGTGTATGCGTCCAGGAATTTATCCATTTCTTCTAGATTTTCTAGTTTATTTGCATTGAGGTGTTTATAGTATTCTCTGATGGTAGTTTGTATTTCTGTAGGGTCAGTGGTGATATCCCCTTTATCATTTTTTACTGTGTCTATTTGATTCTTCTCTCTCTTCTTTATTAGTCTAGCTAGCGGTCTACCTATTTTGCTAATTTTTTCAAAAAACCTGCTCCAGGATTCATTGATTTTTTGCAGGGCTTTTCATGTCTCTATCTCCTTCAATTTTTCTCTGATCTTAGTTATTTCTTGTCTTCAGCTAGCTTTTGAATTAGCTTGCTCTTGCCTTCTAGCTCTTTTAATTGTGATATTAGGGTATAGATTTCAGATTTTTCTAGCTTCTGCTGTGGGCATTTAGTGCTATAAATTTCCCTTTTAACACTGCTTTAGCTGTGTCCCAGAGATTGTGGTACATTGTTTCTATGTTCTCATGGGTTTCAAATAACTTCTTGATTTCTGCCTTAATTTCATTATTTACCCAGGAGTCATTCAGGAGCAGGTTACTCCATTTCCATGAAATTGTGTGTTTTTGAGTGAGTTTCTTAATCCTGAGTTCCGATTTGATTGCACTACGGTCTGAGAGACTGTTTGTTATGATTTCAGTTCTTTTGTATTTGCTGAGGAGTGTTTTACTTCCAAGTATGTGGTTGGTTTTAGAATATGTGCCATGTGGCACTGAGAAGTATATATATTCTGTTGATTTGGGGTGGAGAGTTTTGTAGACGTCTACTAGGTCCACTTGATCCAGAGCTGAGATTAAGTCCTGAATATCCTTGTTAATTTTCCATCTTGTTGATCTATCTAATACTGACAATGTGGTGTTAAAGTTATGAATCTGGATGCTCCTGTATTGGGTGCATATATTCAAGATAGTTAGCTCTTCTTGTTGAATTGTTCCCATTACCATTATGTAATGCCATTCTTTGTCTTTTTTTATCTTTGTTGGTTTAAAGTCTGTTTTGTCAGAGACTAGGATTGCAACCCTGCTTTCTTTTTTTGCTTTCCATTTGCTTAGTAAATTTTCCTCCATCCCTTTATTTTGAGCCTGTGTGTGCCTTTGCACCTGAGATGGGTCTCCTGAATACAGCACACCAATGGGTCTTGACTACTCGTCCAATTTGCTAGTCTGTGTCTTTTAATTGGGGCATTTAGCCCATTTATATTTAAGGTTAGTATTGTTAGGTGTGAGTTTGATCCTGTCATCATGATGCTATTTGGTTATTTTGCACACTAATTGATGTAGTTTCTTCATAGTGTCATTGGTCTTTATATTTTGGTGTGTTTTTGCAGTGACTGGTACCAGTTTTTCCCTTCCATATTTAGTGCATCTTCCAGGAGCTCTTGTAGGGTAGGCCTGGTGGTAACAAAATCCCTCAGCATTTGCTTGTCTGGAAAGGATTTTATTTCTCCTTTGCTTATGAAGCTTAGTTTGACAGGATATGAAATTCTGGATCAAAACTTCTTTTCTTTAAGAATGTTGAATATTGGCCCCCGATCTCTTCTGTCTTGTAGAGTTTCTGCTGAGTGGTCCATTGTTCATTTGATAGGCTTCCCTTTGTAGGTGACCTGGCCTTTCTCTCTGGCTGCCCTTAACCGTTTTTCCTTCATTTCAACCTTGGAGAATCTGATGATTATGTGTATTTGGGTTGATCTTCTCATGGAGTATCTTAGTGGTGTTCTCTGTATTTCCTGAATTTGCATGTTGGCCTGTCTTGCTAGGTTGTGGAATTTCTCCTGGATAATATACTGAAGAGTGTTTTCCAGCTTGTTTCCATTTTCCACATCTCCTTCTGGTACTCCAGTCAATTGTAGGTTTGGTCCTTTTATAAAGTCACATATTTATTGGAGGCTTTGTTCATTCCTTTTAATTCTTTATTCTCTATTCTTATCTGCATGTCTTATTTCAGCAAGGTGGTCTTCAAACTCTGATAACCTTTCTTCCACTTGGTCAATTCAACTGTTGATACTTGTGTATGCTTCACAAAGTTCTTGTCCTGTGTTTTTCAGCTCCATCAGGTCGTTTATGTTTCTGTCTAAACTGGTTATTCTAGTTAGCAATTCCTCTAACCATTTATCAAGGTTCTTAGCTTCTTTGCATTGGGTTAGAACATGCTCCTTTAGCTCATCATAGTTTTTTACTACCCATCTTCTTCTTCTTTTTTGAAGGAGTTTTGCTTTTGTTGCCCAGGCTGGAGTGCAATGGCATGATCTCAGCTCACTGCAACCTCCGCCTCCTGGGTTCAAGCAATTTTCCTGCCTCAGCCTCCTGAGTAGCTGGGATTACCAGCACGTGCCACCATGCCCAGCTAATTTTTTGTATTTTTAGTAGAAACGGGGTTTCATCATGTTAGCCAGGCTGGTCTCAAATTCCTTACCTCAGGTGATCCGCCCACCTTTGCCTCCCGAAGTGCTGGGATTACAGGAATGAGCCACCGCGCCTGGCCCTACCCATCTTCTGAATGCATCTGATCCTCCATCCAGTTCTGTGCCCTTGTTGGAAAGATGCTACAGTCATTTGGGAAGAGGCACTTGGGCCTTTTTGGTTTTCAGCATTTTTTCATTGATTCTTTCTCATCTTTGTGAGTTTGTCTAGTTTTGGTCTTTGATGCTGCTGACCCTTGGATGGGGTTTTTGTGGAGGCCTTTTTGTTGCTGTTGTTGATGCTGTTGTTGTGACTTTCTGTTTGTTTTTCTTTCAGTAGTCAGGTCCCTCTTCTGTAGGGCTGCTGCAGTTTGCTGGGGATTCACTTCTCAGGCCTTATTTATCTGATTCGCTCCTGTGCCTGGAGACGTCACTCAAGGAGGCTGGAGAGCCACAAAGATGGGTGCCTCCTCCCTCTTCTGGGACCTCTGACCTCAAGGGGCACCAACCTGATGCCAATAGGATCGCTTCTGTATAGGGTGTCTGACAACCCTTGTTGGAGGGTCTCACCCAGTTGAGTGGCATGGGAAGCAGGACCCGTTTAACAAAGCACATTGTCCCTTGGTGGAGTGTGTTTCACTGGGGGAAAACCCACTCATCTGGGCTGCCCGGATTCCTCAGAACTACCAGGAGGGGAGGAGAGGCTAAGTCTGCCAGTTTGCAGAGACTGTGGCCACCCCTCCCCCTAGGGACTCAGGTGCAGGGAGATCCAAATTCTGTCCCTGAGCCTTTGGCTGGAGTTATTGGAGATCCTGCAGGGAAGCCCTGCCCACTAAGGATGGGTCAGTGTTAGACCTCAAAAGGCACTCTGGCATCTGACTGCCACAGCCCGTGTGTTGGGCTGTGGGGACAAATCTTGTGACCAAGCCATCCAGCCTCCCTGGCTCCAGCAGGGAAAAACACAGCCTGGGACTACAGAGATGGATGCTGCCCTTTCCCCTGCCCAGGGAGCCTAGCGTGTTAGGCAGTTGTGAGTCTCAGTTCTGGCTGCTGCCCCTCTCCCAAGGAGCTCAAAGGGCTTAGACAGCAGGCAGCAGCAGCCCATACTGGTCGCCCCCGTCCCAGGGAGTTTGGTAGGCTTAAGAAGATTCCAGCCGAGAGACTGTAAGAATCTGCACGTTCAGGGGTTGGGATGCTAGGCCCCAGTGGTGTGGGTTCGCAAGTGGGATTTTCCCATCCATGGGTTGCACAGTTCTGTGGACAAAACACAGTTTCCCTGGCTGGGTAGCACGCTCACTCACTGCCTCCCTTGGCTGTGGAAAGGGGGTTCCCCTTCCCCGTGTGTCTCTCAGATGGGCTGCTGTACCACACTGCTCTTCCTTCTCTTGGTGGATCATGCCAGCCTTTTAGTCAATTTTGATGAGAGAACCTGGATACCTTGGTTGCCAGTGAAGGATACACACGCTTACGGTTTTTGTCGATGGAAGCCTCCAAAGGTAGCTGCTTCTAATGGGCCATCTTGGCCCCTACCTCCTGAGAAAGTCTTGATCTCATATGCATCTTCTGAAAAACATCCCAGAGGCAAAATATGCAGATTGTGAGAGTTGTATACATCTACAACTTTGTAGGGAATGTGATTTTGGAACACCTGCTTCTGTGCCTGGAGACTATGAAGGGAAAAAAAAATCTGTGAATTGATGCCACTAGCCTGGCCAGTAGCAGCCCAGGTACCAGTGAATTTGAAGGGTTTCACAATTCAAGAAATTTTAATGAAGTGAAACACAAAATTATCTTGGAAACAGGGTATTAAAGCAAAAGTGGTAGTAATGAAAACAGGAAGTTATACAGCCTACAGGATAAGAGCACAAGTTGTGGAGCCAGAACGACTGGGTTCAACAACCAACTCTGACACCATGTGACCTTGGATAAGTCATCCCAACTCCTTGAACTCACATTTTCTTACCTATAAAATAGAGGTAATACTTATCTACCTCACAGGAAGTGAATGCATACCAAGTACCTGGTATCAGTACCCTGAATCAGGGAAGTGAATGCATACCAAGTACCTGGCATGCAATAAATGGGCATTACATCACTTTATAGTGCTATGATCTAGGTCGAGTCAGTTAACCTCTCTGCATTTGTTTTTTACCTGTAAATCAGAATAAACGATAATTAATCTGCCTATCATACAATTTTCACAAATTGCAAATGAAGAAATCAATGGGAAAGGGCTTTGTAAAGCCAAATACAATAATCAAACTAAAAGATCATTATCAATAACCTAAATATATCATCTGAAAATGCCAACAATCTAAATGAATGTCAGGAGAACCTGATTGGTTTTGTGACCTTGTTCCTGGCTCCCTAGATTAGGTGTAACATGTTGCCAAATCTAGTCACAAAATCTATCCTAATCAAGTTTCTTTGCTGGTCTCACCCAGTTTCCAACTATGAGTCCACTATTAGGGCTACAGCTTACCTTATTTGGTTTTGCCCCTGCACATCTTCTTTATGAACTTAGGAACCTATACTCCTAATTTTGACCCTGGCATCTGGATTTTTCACACTGCTCACCTAATTTAAGTCAACTAAATTTATGGTGTCTAATTCTGTTTCTAAGTTTCCAAACTGGTTCTTCCTTCTTACCAGCCCTCAAATATCTCCTGTCTTCCTCAAATGCTAGTCCCTTCGTCTCTGCTAGGGGAGCTGGGCTGCCCATTTGAACCGAATCTGTGCAGGCCACCATGTGATATGACAATTTTTTAGCATAAAGTTGTACATATTAATAGTTACAAAAATATTCCTGGATACAATGTATTCCTATGGGAAATGACATGTGACACACACCCATTGGACATAGGTTACAAGATTTCAGTTTCACTGGGTTCTGATGAGGTAGGGAACAGATGAGATCCCAGCCAAAGATACATATTTAAACTCTTTCTATGGACAGCATACTTCTTTGGCCTATTGCCATGGCTGTTAGTAGATAGAAAAGACCCAATGAGTATCCTAGAGTGAAATGGAGAAAAGAAAAGAATTTTGAGAAGACTAAAAAATGAACTAATTGAGCCTTAAAAGTATTTGTCTGTCCAGAAAACAGAAAGTTTGAAGTGGGTGAAATTAACATAGTCCCTGGCACATAATTAACAATCAATACATATTTGAAGAATAGATTAATTACCTGCTCAGTTTTTAAGGTCATATCTAGATAAGAATTTTAAAAGGGCAATTTTTTGTATGTCTTATAAATCACATTATTTTTCTTAATTGTTTCAATAACAAACACCTGGGAAAATTATTGTTGTAGCACAGGAGAGACTGGGATGTTCTAGAAATCATGAGCTTTATTAATAAATTAAGGACATAGGATGGATTTAGGGACACAGTGGACCCACTGTGAGATGGACCTCAGATAAAATTTCATAGATCAAGAGCCAAGATGGCTGACTAGACGCAGCCAGAAAGGGCTTCACCCACCAAGAGAAAAGAACATCAAGAAGACTGGCATACTCTAAGTGTATCTTCAGAAGGAAGGGAGGACACAGACCCTGGGCCGAAGGGGGAGGAAGCTGGGAACCCTGCACAGGGTTGTCGACCACCAGGACTCATTCTTGACCCTTGGCATCTGCAGCAGAAGGGATGTGTTAAACAGGCAAGAAGTGGTCCACACTTGCCATGGACCTCAGGAATCCTAGATGCAGGAGACCCCATGAATCCCACAGTGCATCTGAGCTGGCAGGGAGAGCTTCTTGAAGAGTTGATAGGGACAGGACTCCAGCCTATGCAGAGCCCAGAGACTTTGGCATAGAAACAGCTGCAGTGGAACACAGCCAGGGGCACACATCCCCTAAGACTTACCACATCCCTCTAGATGGCTTTGGATTTTGTTGATTGTCGGACATAGACAGAACAGGGCTATCTTGACTGTGGGACAGGACCAATCTGATATAAGTCCTCCCCATCTGCCAGCCTCTCCCAGGGTTCCTGCCTGGCAGCACCTGCTTGTAGCACAGCCTAAGATGCCCAATCAACAGGCTTCCCAGTGGCCACCTCCATAGCTCCTTTACTGGTAGACCCCATCTAATGATCAGAGAGCTTCTGTAGATGGGCCCCCGGTAACACACACCCACCCACAGCCTCCCCCAACAGCTTTGCCAGTGTGTGCACACAAGTGGACCTTGACACCCTGTCACAACCAGTGCATGCACACACATGTGCACAAAACCCATCACCTTGCAGCAACTGGAACATGTGCAGACCTTGCTGCCACCACCCTGCCCTTGCCAGCACACACACAGACCCTGCTGCCCTACTACCGCTAGTGCACATACACTAGTGCACATTCTGCTGCCACTGCCCTGACAAAGCACTTTTCCTGGAACCCTCACATCAAAATGTTATCGTCAAGGACCAGGAACCCGTTAGTCCCTTGACTGCAGCAGGTGCTTAATGTCAAGAGGCCACAGAACAGTTACAGGCATGGTACCACCCTCCCAGGGTTAGAGCACGCAACCTCCCAGGGTTAGAGCATACCTCCCAGGGTTAGAATGCTGAACTGAGCCTTGGCCCACTGAAATCATAAAAAAATGAAGCCAGTCAGTTGAACTAAACTTGTACCATACTCAAACCCTCAAGGTCATCAAAGTCTATAAAAGCAAAAATCCCCATCCAAAGGATAGCAACTTCAAAGAATAAAGGAACATCAGCCCACAGAAATGAGAAAGAATCAGGGCAAGAACTCTGGCAATTCAAAAAGTCAGAGTGTCTTCTTACATGCAAATGATCATACTAGCTCCCCAGCCATGGTTCTTAACCAGGCTGACATGGCAGAAATGATAGACATAGAATTCAGAATCTGGAGGACAGTGAACATGATCAAGATTCAGGAGAAAGCTGAAACCCAATTCAAGGAACTTAAGGAATTCAGTAAAATGATATAAGAGCTGAAAGAAGAAATAGCCATTTTATGAAAAAGCCAAACAGATGTGATAGAGCTGAAAAACTCATTTCAAGAATTTTATAATACAATCAAAAGTATTATCAGCAGAATAGACCAACCTGAGGGAAGACCCTCAGATCTTGAACAATGGTTCTTTGAATCAATTCCATCAGACACAAATAAAGAAAAAAGAATAAGAAAGAGTGAACAAACCTCAAGAAATATGGGATTATGTAAAGAGACCAAATCTATGACTCATTGACATCTCTGAAAGAGAAGAACAGAGAGTGAGAAACTTGAAAAACATATTTGAGGACATAGTCCATGAAAATTTACCCAATCTCACTAAAGAGGTTGACATTCAAATTCTGGAAATTTATAGAATCCCCATGAGGTACTATACAAGACAACCATCCCAAAGACACATAGTAAACAGATTCTCCAATTTCAATGTGAAAGAGAAAATATAAAATGGAGCTATAGAGAAGGATCAGGTAACTTACAGAAGGAACACCATTGGGCTAACAGCAGAACTTTCAGCAGGAACCCTACAAGCCAGAAGAGATTGAAGGTTATATTCAGAGTTCTTAAAGAAAACAAATGCCAACCAAGAACTCCATATCTAGCCAAACTAAGTTTCATAAGTGAAAAAATAAAATAAAATCCTTTCCAGGCAAGCAAATGCTAAGGGAATTTGTTACCACCACACCTGCCTTACAAGAGGCTCTTAAGGGAGTGCTAAATATGGAAAGGAAAATTCGTTACTGGCCACCACAAAAACACACTTAAGTACAGACACCATTGACACTATAAAGCAACTACACAATCAAGTCTGCATAATAACCAGCTAACCACACAATGGCAGGATAAATCCTCACACATCAATATTAACCTTGAATATAAATGGGCTAAATACCCTACTTAAAAGGCACAAAGTGGGCCGGGTGCAGTGGCTCACGCCTGTAATCCCAGCACTTTGGGAGGCTGAGGCAGGCGGATCATGAGGTCAGGAGATTGAGACCATCCTGGCTAACACAGTGAAACCCCGTATCCACTAAAAAAATACAAAAAAAAAAATTAGCCAGGCATGGTGGTGGGCACCTGTAGTCCCAGCTATTTGGGAGGCTGAGGCAAGAGAATGGCATGAACCCGGGAAGCGGAGCTTGCAGTGAGCGAAGATCGCACTACTGCACTCCAGCCTGGGCGACAGAGTTAAACTCTGTCTCAAAAAAAAAAAAAAAAGGTACAAATTGGAAAGTTGGATAAAACAGCAAGTCTCAACCATATGCTGCCTTCAAGAGACTCATGTAATGTGCAATGACACCCACAGACTCAAAATAAAGGCATGGAGAAAGATCTATCAAGCAAATGGAAAGAAAGGAAAAAAAAAAGAGCTGAGGTTGCTATTCTAATTTCAGACAAAACAAACTAAACCAACAATGATCAAAAAGGACAAAGAAGGGTATTACATAATGATAAAGGGTTCAATTTGACAAGAAGACTCAACTATCTGCATATATATGCACCCAACACAGGAGCAACAAGATTCTTGAAACAAGTTCTTACAGACCTACACAGAGACTTAGATCGATAACCACATCATAACAGTGAGAGACTTCAACACCCCACTGACAGTATCAGATAGATCATCAACAGATATTCAAAAGCTAAACTTGACACTTGATCAACTGGAACTAACAAACATTTACAGAACACTCACATCCAACAAAAAAATTTACATTTTTCTTACCTGCACATGGCACATGCTCTAAAATTGACCACACAATCGGCCATAAAGCAATTCTCAAAAAATTCAAAAAAATGAAATGATACCAACCATACTCTCTGACCAAAGCACTCTAAAAATAGAAATTAATACCAAAAAGGTCTCTCAAAAGCATACAATTACATAAAAATTAAACTGGCTCCTGAATGACTTTTGTTTAAACAATAAAATTAAGGCAGAAATCAAGAAATTCTTTGAAACTGGCAAAAAAAAAAAAAAAAGATGCAACATACCAGAATCTCTGGGACACAGCTAAAGAAGTGTTAACAGGAAACTTTATAGCACTAAATGCCACATCACAAAGTTACAAAGACCTCAAATTAACAACATAACATCACACCTAGAGGAACTAGAAAAGCAAGAACAAACCAACATTAAAGATAGCAGAAGACAAGACATAACCAAAACCAGAGCTGAACTGAACAATTTGGAGATGTGAAAAAACATACAAAAGATCAACAAAATCAAAGTTTGTTTTTTGAAAGAATAAATAAGATTGATAAACTGCTCTCTAGTACCCTAAAACTTAAAGTATAATAATAATAAAAAAATACACATAACATAAAATTTACCATTTTAACCATTTTTGTGTACAATTTAGTAGCATTAAGTACATTCAGAATATAGTGAAGCCATCACCACTATCCATTTCCAGAACTATGAAAATAAAAAATTTTAACATAGATTAAAAAAAAAAGAAAGATGAGAGAAGACCCAAATAAACACAATCAGAAATGACAAAGGGGACATTACCACCAACCCCACAGAAATGCAAAGAAAACCCAGAGAGTATTATGAACACCTCCATGCACACAAACTAGAAAACCTAGAAGGAAACCTCCCAAGATTGAAGGAGGGAAAAATTGCAGCCCTTAACAGACCAGTAGTGAGTTCCAAATTTGAATCAGTAATAAAAGGCCTACAACCATAAAAATGCCTTGACCAGAAAGATTCACAACTGAATTCAACCAGACACATAAAGAAGAGCTGATACCATTCCTACTGAAATTATTCCAAAAAATCAAGGAGGAGGGACTCCTTCCTAACTCATTCTACTAGGGCAACATCATTCTAGTATCAAAACCTGGCAGAAATACAACAAAAAAAGAACACCTCCACCCAATATCCCTGATGAATATGATGCAAAAATCCTAATCAAATTATTAGCAAGCCAAAACCAGCAGCAAATCAAAAAGCTAATCCACCACAATCAAGTAAGCTTTATCTCTGGGATGCAAGGTTGGTTCAACATATACAAATCAATAAATGTGATTCATCATGTAAGCAGAACTAAAAACAGAAACCACAAGATCATCTCAATAGATGCAGAAAAGGCTTTCAATAAAATTCAACATCACTTCATATTAAAAACCCTCAACAAACCAGACACTGAAGGGGCATACCTCAAAAAAATAACAGCCATCTATGACAAACCCACAGCCAACATCATACTGGATGGGCAAAAGCTGAAAGTATTTCCCTTGAGAAGCAGAATAAAACAAGGATGCCCACTCTCACCATTCCTATTCAACGTAGTACTGGAAGTGCTAGCCAGAGCAATCAGGCAAGAGAAAAAAATAAAAGGCATTTGGGTAGGAAGAGAAGCAAATCTATCTCCCTTCACAGACTATATGATTCTATGCTTAGAAAACACCATAGTTTATGCCCAAAGGCTCCTGGAGCTGATAAACAACTTCTATAGTTTCAGGATACAAAATCAATGTACAAAAATCAGTAGCATTTTTATACACCAATATCCAAGCTAAGAGCCAAATCAAGAAGGCAATCCCACTCACAATTGCCACAAAAAGAATAAAATACCTAGGAACTCAGCTAACCAGCGCAGTGACAGATCTCTATGATGGGAATTACAAAACACTGCTGAAAGAAATCAGAGACAGCACAAACAAATGAAAAAGTATTTCATATTCATGGACAAAAAGAATCAACATTGTTAAAATGGCCATACTGCCCAATGCAATTTACAGATTTGGTGTTATTCCTATCAAACTATTGATGACATTTTTCACAGAATTCGGAAAAATATTCAGAAATTCATATGGAACTAAAAAAGAGCCCAAATAACCAAAACAATCCTAAGAAGCAAAAAGAACAAAGCTGGTGGAATCACACTACCCAACTTCAAAATATACTACAGGGATACAATAACAAAACAGCATTGTCCAATAGAAAAATTGACACATAAATCAATGCTACATGTTAGAGAACCCAGAAATAAAGCAGCACACCTACAACCATCTGGTCTTCAACAAAGTCAACAAAAACAAGCAATGGGGAAAGGACTCCCTAGTCAATAAATAGTGCAGGGTTAACTGTCTAGCTATGTGCAGAAGATTGAAAATGGATCACTTCCTTTCACCATAACCCTAAACTATAAATACCCTAGAATAAAACCTAGGAATACCATTCTGCACACAGACCCTGGCAAGGATTTCATGATGAAGATTCCAAAAGCAATGGCATCAAAAACAAAATTGAAAAGTGGGACCTAATCAAACTATAGAGCTTCTGCACAGCAAAAGAAACTATCAACAGAGTAAACAGACAACCTACAGAATGGGAGAAAATATTCACAATCTATGCATCTGAAAAAGATCTAACATCCAGAATACATTAATATATGGGATTTAAATCAACAAGCAAAAAAACCGAACAACTCCATTAAAAATGGGCAAAGGACATAAACAGACACTTCTCAGAAGAAGACATACCTGTGGCCAACAAGTATATGAAAAAGTTTTCAACACCATTAATCATTAGAGAAATGCAAATCAAAACCACAATGAGATATCATCTCACACCAGTCAGGATGACTATTATTAAAAAAGTCAAAACATAACAGATGTTGGCAAGGCTGCAGAGAAAAGGGAACACTTACATACTGCTGGTTGGAATGTAAATTAGCTCAGCCACTGTGGAAAGTAGTGTGGCAATTCCTCAAAGAACTTAAAACAGAACTGTTTGACCCAGCAATCCCATTACTGGATGTATACTCAAAATAATATAAATCATTCTACCATAAAGACACATGCATGCATGTGTTCATTGCAGCACTATTCACAATAGCAAAGACATGAAATCAACCAAGGTGCCCAACAATAGTGAACTGGGTAAAGAAAATGTGGCACATATACACCATTGAATAGTACATAGCTATAAAAAAAAAAGAATAAAACCATGTTCTTTGCAGTAACATGGGTGCAGCTGGAGGCCATTTACTAAGCCACTCAATGCAGAAACAGAAAACCAAAAACCACATGTTCTCACTCATCAGTTAGGAGCTAAATATTGAGCACACATGGACACAAAGAAGAAAACAATAGACACCAGGGACCACTTGAGGATGGAAGGTAGACAGAGGGTAAGGATTGAAAAACTATGTATCATATATTACGCTCATTACCTGGGTGACTAAATAACCTGTACACCAAACCCCCATAACACACAATTTAGCCATGTAAAACCTCCAAATGCACCCCTGAAACTAAAATAAAAAGTGGAAAGAAAATCACAATAATAATATTAATATTAAATCAAAATTGGGCTCAAGATTTTAAAAGAATAATGATATTGATTGAAAGACTGGTGGATAATTTTTTGGCCAGAAAATACAGCCTTTTTCCCCTAGAGGTAACTGCGAGTCATGAGAAAGCCCACCTTCTCCAAAGTTAATCATGATATTAATTTGTAAAACTGTATGTGATAGCACATCTATCTGGGACAGATTTTGAAAGACCACAAAAGTTTTCATATAAAGTATCAAGTTTTTATTATTTTTCAATGTCTAGTGAAAAAACACACATCCCATATGAATTGTTCCCTGTCACAGTAAAATCCAAGACCCGTTTGCGTACTTAGGCAGTGACAATGTAATGCCATTGTTTAGTGTAATATCTGGGCAGTGGCAGGGACTGTAAGCCAAGGGCCAGCTTCTTACATGAGGCCAGAAATTGCCTTTCAGCTCCTTTTATGTTTATTTCCAACCTATGTCTGCTATTTTTACACAACTGTCTACCCTTTATTCATCTTTCTCTTTCTTTTTGTTCTACTTCCTCTATCGAACTCTGAGAGGATGTGATTTAACAGATATACTGAGCTATGAACTTCTCTGAGAGTAAGCCCAATAGAAATCAAAACTATTAATAGCGCCTGTTTCAACCATGGCTACATTAAACTTTTTCCTTTTCCTATCATTACTTCCTTTTTCAAAAATCTGTGCATTTTCTGCCATAAATCTGGGTTTATAAAGACATCACTAGTGAGATGATTTTAAGATAAAGAAAACATCTCTAGGAAAAACAAAGTTTTAACAAAAATCAAAACAAAGCACATAAAAGAATTTGAAAGACAGAAGAGATAATTTAATTATTGATTAATAAGTTTCCAATTACCAACTTCAGTTTTAAAACTGAATATAACTGAAGTCTTCACATCTGTGTACAGAGACAGTTAAAGTATAATGCATGAGTATCTACTAGTGTTTCTGAGAATTCCAGCATTTTAGAGCTGTAAGTGATCCTAGAAATCATCCCTTATCCTCTGATGTTTCAAATGAGAAAACTGAGACCCAGAAAGACTTACCCAAGTTGACACAGGTAGCTAGTGACTGAGCAAGGTCTAAGTGTAGTTCTAAGCTCAAGTTTTCATTGATCTGGTCACTTAACTTGGTTCACATCACAGAAAAAAACAAGAGAAGTTTTAAATCTACATTTGAATTTTCTTTCAACATGTCTTAAATAAGTCAGAAATATATCAGTTAGGAATCCTTGTTATAGTAAAGTTAGCTAATACACTTTCATGAATATATTTGCCTAAGACTCTACAGGTAGCACAGTAAGAGGATAAGAGGTGCTAAATAGAAAGATTTTATATTATTATATCAGGTTGGTACTTGGACCTTGAGAATATGTGCTTCAATTGGATTTTTTCAATTACCTAAATTATCACAGAGGTTCCAACAAATGATTTTTATGTACTCAAAAGGTCCAGGAGAGGAAGACTCTCCAAAATCTCTTCCACCATGGAAGGTAAAACTATGGCTGTGTTTCCATAACCAAATCAAATTACTATCTTTAAAATGACTCTCACCTTTCTTTTTTTTTTTTAATATTTCCCAGATTTACTATTTGACTTACAAACATTGGATTTAGACAAAATAACAAAGAAAAATAGAGTTTAAGAGGTACAATCAAAAAATTTAAATCGAGTTGTATCTACCTATTTTACTCCCTTACTTTAGTATAAAAATAAACACTTCATGCCAGGTGCAGTGGCTCACACCTGTAATCCCAGCACTTTGGGAGGCTGAGGTGGGCAGATCACTTGAGGCCAGGAGTTCCAGACCAGTCTGGCCAACGTGGCGAAACCCCCTCTCTGCTAAAAATACAAAAGTTAGCTAGATGACTCTCACCTTTCAACTCGAGGAACATCCCGGTAGATAACACAAGCCGAAAGCATTATTATTAAATTCTACAAATTTCCTTAAATTGAGTATTCATCAAGACAAAGAACTCAGTCTCACATTTCCCAGATAAGGTTATTCATGAGATTTCAATTAGCTGACCAACAAATTATAAAGTCACCAGCAAGGAATAAAACAAGATTGTTTTGTCAACCAATGATGGACACTTTGGATTATGTTATGTTTTAATGGTCTACACACCATAAAGACAGCTCTCAAATACTTCCTAAAAATAGCTTAAAAACTTTGTGATAAAGCCAACATATAGTTGAGTAAATAACAAACACAGATCTACAAATTATACAAATGCACATCTTAGTTTCACTCTGAATAATGTTTTCTACTAATCAGTTAGTACTATGAAGAGGTTCTGAACAATTGACAGAGCCAGGGCAATGTCGAAATACAGCTTAGAAATGTACCAAGATGCATTCTAACAATCAAGGATATTTTCTTCCTTTTTGATCAGCAACACCCAATCCAATCATTGATTATTTTAGACCTAGTGGAAAGGAGCTAGCAAAATGCATGAAGAGGAGGTTTCCTAAAGCTGTTAAGGCCAATGTTTTCCATAATACAGCAAATTTTAAATAAATAAATATATGTATACATAAATGTACAATAGTCCAAATATATTTGCAATGTAAAAACAAAATGCTTGAAACTATAACATATATTTTTAATCTAAAATATGAATACATGCTAAGTAGTCAGATCTTTTCCCCTTTAACCTCACATTTTGGGGAGGAGGTGGGTAATCCATTGAAAAATCTGCAGCCATAACAGTTGTTTTAGATCAGCAGTTGTGCTTCAGAAGGGGATGAACTTTCCCCAGTTCTGAAGCCCTCAAGCTTCTATTAACAACCCATAGACCACAATTAATTGCATTGTCCTGCCTAACTGCAAATGGTCTGAATAATGTGGGAAGCATATGAATCTGATGAGCAGTTAGTATCTCTAGCACAGTTCCTTCCAGGTTTTTAACCCTGACCAAGTCACTTGACCTCTCTATGCTGTATTTTCCCTATTTGTAAGATGAAGTATATAATAGTACCTACCTTAGAGCACCAATGTGAGGGGTCACATGAGTTAATAAATGAAAAGTATAGTACAGAATATAGCATGTAGCTCTCATTTTCCTATTCTTAACACATTGATTTGCTGACAGTCTGGATATATGACACTCTTCAGACAGAGTATTAAGTAGCAAAAGAGTTATCCTACCTACTCCAAGCAACTAGCTAAATTATACATGACCTGGAGTCCGTAAAACCATATTAATGGGATGTAGGAGACCACATGACCAGACAAATAGGAAAGCCACAGTTAGATGGGCAGATAGGATTTTACAGTACTGCTGATTTTCGGTTAGAAAGTATGATGACAGAATGAAGATAAACAATAGTTTGGAGTCAAATCTGAACTTGAATCCTGGCTCTATCACCTATAATTGCGAGACCTTTTACAAGTCCATGAAAGGGTCTTTATAAGAACCTTGCCTGAGGCTGGGCACAGTGGCTTACGCCTGTAATCCCAGCATTTTGGGAGGCCGAGGCGGGCAGATCGCAAGGTCAGGAGATCGAGACCATCCTGGCTAACATGGTGAAAACCCGTGTTCATTTGAAGACTGCCAGGTTAGCACGGATAGGGGATTATTGTTTCTCTAGGAGAGGCATAGAAAGGCCTAAATGGAAGCAAAGCAGTACCCAGGTAGGGTTATAGCTTAGAGTCAAGAGGTAAAGGTATGTTACTGAGGGACTAGAACCAGAGACATGGTAGCCTACTCAAGGCATCTGTAACTGGAAATGCCAGAAACAATATAAATCCAAAATTCCTTAGGTGAGCAGAGTTAAACCCTGGGAATTAGGTGCAAACGACAAGTCCAAACAATCAGAGACAGGATTGGATTGATGATGAAGTTGAAACTTTAGAATTAAATGAAGAAAAGTTGGAAGGATTTCAAGTTTTCAAACATGAAAAAAATTCAGTACAATTGCTAAACATCAGTCTCCTCATTTATTAACCAGTGGAAATAATAACTACCTACAAGGGTGGCCAAGAAGTTTCACTCGGAATAATAAACATAAAACACATACTAGGATCACCAGCTGGTAATAGAAAATAAATGGTCATGCCCTTGTACTTAAAGGTAGTTCAAACCTATTTCTGGAAACATGATTCTACATTCATTAACTCATGTCACTACTGATGCAAAATGCTTGGGACCTGCATGATGACAAAGCCTTCCAGTCCTAATGATGGCAAATACCATGGGCAGAAAACAACACTGTGAATCTCTCCAACACCATCAAGGTTTTTCTCTTCTTTTCTCACTCTAGGGAAAACCTGTACACTCTCTGTACCTTTCTCTCTACCTGGCTGTCATCTGCTTCTCCCACTGTTTTTTTACCCATTTCCTTTAGCGAGACAATATTTCCCAATGATGTAATGACAAATAACTCTCTGAGATAGCCAAGTGTGGTCCCTGAAATTCACAGACGAAAAGGGTTATACTGGAAGTAAAAATAACACTTGATTACAATACTGTCCATCTCCTAAAGCAGGGGTCCCCAGCCCAGGGACCACAGACTGCCACAAGTTCGTGGCCTGTTAGGAACCTGGCCACATGGCATGAGGTTAGAAGCTGAGCTCTGCCTCCTGTCAAATCAGATCAGCAGAGGTATTAGATTCTCATAGGAGCGTGAACCGTATTGTGAACTGTGCATGCGAGGGATGTAAGTTACACACTCCTTATGAGAATTTAATACCTGCCCCTGAATGTCCATGGGAAAATTGTCTTCCATGAAACTGGTCCCTGGTGCCCTAGTGGTTGGGGACTGTTGTTCTAAAGAATTATCATTGCTGGGTGTTGTTTTTAGGTCTGAACAGAGAGAATCCAAGGTCACCATTTGAAGGAGTAGACTCATACAACAGCCTCACCTTCATCTATGAACTTCCAAGTACACATAATTAGAACTTCCATTTTGTATATATCTTGAAAATTTAGAAATATCCAGAAAGATCTGCTAATCCAATTCTCTCTTTTAAAGATAAAGAAACCAAATGAAAGACACTCACAAACAGGGCTTGTGTTACCCTGTTCATATTCACACTCATAGAACGATGCACTTTCCACTATACCACATCACCTCTCTCCTCTACATTTTACTCTGAAACATAAGAGAGTACTTTTAGGGTTTCAGTAGTTCTGTGAGCTTCTTTCCCTAGCTGGTTAAGAAAACTTTGTCATGACTTTGGCTATTTATTTAATTTCACAATGATTAAAGTTGAAATTTGTTACAAGCTGGCTGCAGCAACCAGTCAGAACAATCACTAATTCTTTCCAAGATCTCATTGAATTTCTATGGTTCTTGCTGGAACTGCATTTAAGTATTCAAGGGAGAAAAAACAAAAGTAACATCTCAATTCAATAAGAAACTGGGTTTACACCAACAGTGATAAAAAAAAAATAGCAACCTTTCCCTGTGGGTTCATTTTTTTTCCTGCACTGACTGAATATGGTAAACTTCACAAAATACATCTATGGATGTATGCAAGTGGACAAGTCTATTGGGAGGAAAGAGGTGTGTGTGTGTGTGTGTGTGTGTGTGTGAGAGAGAGAGAGAGAGAGAGAGAGAGACAGAGAGAGAGCGATTACATGAGTTTATTGATTGATTTGAAATAAAAGACATATTTTGTTTTTATAATTAAGTATTGAGGAAATAATCATATTCACCTTGCCATAGAGAGTCTAAATGCCTATGTGAATCACCTTCATAAAGTTAATTTCAGGATTAGCAATAACAGAAGAATAAAAGACCCAAACGGTACCAAAGACTGCTATGGTTATGAACTAAAATATGTTCCCCTTTAAACAGTGAACTAATGCCAAAACTCAAAACTGTTTGTATTTATATTACATAATGTAAATTAGATTTACATTACATCATTTACATAAAACATTCATGAGAAGTTGGATGAGAGTTTTTCAAATTGACAAGTTTGCACCTAGACTGATAGAATAAATGAATACAGCATTTTACATGCATAAACTGTGGAAAATAATAACTACCTAGCAAGGTAGTCATCAAAGATGTAAAGAGAATCGTAAATATAAAGCACATAGTAGGATCATCAGCTGATAACATAAATGGTCATTGCCTTGTCCTCAAAGGACTATTCAAATCAGTCCTTAAATCTTTGACATTTCAAGGAATGCATTTCCGAACAATAACTCATCAATTTAGAAAATGTATTCAGTGCAAGGTAAATTTGTTTCTTCTATAAGATTTTAGTCAATAACACAGTAACTCATTTCCATTCCTGAATCCATGCTTTTCAACAAAGTGGATAGAAACAGAGCTGTCCTCTCACCTCCCTTATCGGTGCCAATTCTGTTCCCTCTACCCAGTTGCCAATTCTCAGATACTTTGAGAATCTGAGTATTCTCTTTCCCCTGGCCTTTACTCTTAGCTGGATATCATTATTTCCCCAAAGATATCAATTGATGATAAATTCTGCTATTTATTTCCTGGAGTCATTTGCATTTCTTTGAAGACTTTGAAAGGCAGAAAAACATCTGAGAGCCAAATATATCCATTTTTAATAATGGAAGCAATGTAATTTGCAGGAAGTTTACTGTAACTCCACCCATTTTCATCCCAGTATCAGGACTGGGAGTAGAATCCTAGATGGGTCAGAGGATTGAAGAATCTATACAGTCTACTCTGAAATTATTTGTGTGAGTCAGTTTCCCCCTACAAAAAGGCTAGCTCTACCTTTGTGCTAGAAGGGCTAGATTTCACAGTAAGTTGCACTTTCTGGCCGGGCGTGGTGGCTCACGCCTGTAATCCCAGCACTTTGGGAGGCCGAGGCAGGTGGATCACGAGGTCAGGAGATCGAGACCATCCTGGCTAACATGGTGAAACCCCGTCTCTACTAAAAATACAAAAAATTAGCCGGGCGTGGTGGTGGGCGCCTGTAGTCCCAGCTACTTGGGAGGCTGAGGCAGGAGAATGGCATGAACCCAGGAGGCAGAGCTTGCAGTGAGCCGAGATCGCACCACTGCACTCCAGCCTGGGCAACAGAGCGAGACTCCATCTCAAAAACAAAAAACAAAAACAAGTAAGTTGCACTTTCCCTCACTTACCTACATTACTTTTGCAAACCCAGCCAGAAAAATGAATTAGTAAAGTAAATTTATTTATTTAGATAAGAATAAATCAAACCACAGAACTTTCAAATAGGACTAACAGTAATTTCTAGTAGGCGTGGCTAAAGAGTTCCTAGTTCCTACTTAAAATTTAGTTGGGAGTAGGGGAATAGGAGGGAATACTGCTTAAATGACAACCACCGGGCATTCATGTAATAATACTTTGAACATTATTTATAAAGGACTTGGCATGGGGGCTCACGCCTGTAATCTCAGCACTTTGAAAGGCAGAGGCAGGAGGATCACTTGAAGCCAGGAGTTCAAAACCAGCCTGATCAACATAGCAAGGCCCTGTCTCTATGAAAGAAAAATTGTAAAATTAGTCAGGCGTGGTGGCACATGTCTGTAGTCCCAGCTACTTGGGAGGCTTAGGCAGGAGGATCACTCGGGCAGGAGGATCACTCGAAGCCCAGGAGTTCGAGGATACAGTGATCCATGATCATGTGACTGCATTCCAGCTTGGGCGACAGAGTGAGACTATTTCAAAAATCAAGGGGTTTGGATCTGGCCCATTCCACTAATACTGTCAGTCATCTCTCAGATCTCACCTACCTACTTGCCAAGAGAGGCTATATCTAAATACTGGAATGTTTGATGTTGTTTCCTGAGCAGTATTTCCTTGATATAGGCCAAAACTTATACCTAAAATTGGAAGGGGGCTTGTCGAAGAAAGCCACAACTCTCTGGTTCTTATTCTTTGAAACATTATGTGACATTGGTAAGTATGCAAACCTTGTATTTCAAGTATCTTTTAGCACCTTTCCTTCCTTTTTCTGGTTACAACTCGCCTGATTTTAAAAATAATTTTGTATATCTCTTAGCAACAGCTTTAACACCATTTACATCCTGTTTCAGCATAAGAATTCAATCTTTTTCCAAATAATCAAATCTTATAAACAGCAACATACTTTAAGAATGTAATAATATAATGGTTTTCAGAGTGAGTTCTTCAGTCCCTTAGGGTTCTACAAGGGTGTCTCAGAAGTCATTGCTGCTCAAGTACCCAGCTCTACCTTTCATTAAAGCTGCTTCATTTCTATCTTTTTTTTTATAAATTCACGTTCTGAGGTATTACCAAAAGCTTTCACAGCTGCAAATAATTGCTTGAAAAAATATATCTGTATCTATCTATATATCTCCATCCACATTTTGTGATCCATGTATATTTTTGATAGATTTTTCCATTTTGATCATTGTTCTATCATATATTAAACATGACATGATACTGTAAAACCCAACTGGGCAGCTTTTCTCCCCTATACCAAGCTGTCTTTCCCAAGCAATTGGTTAACTTTAGTAGGGCTCATCAATCTAGAGAAATAGTGTATACATTAAAATAATCTCTACATTCTAAAATTAGTTCCTCAAAACCCATATAACTGTTGACATCATAATTGTGGGCTATTTGTCAAAAGTTGCGAGATAAGTGACTATTTGTGTCACATTCAACCCCATGTCAGTGTAGACACCTGGCCAATGCCTGACCTTTGGTTTAGTTTGCCTGCATTAACCATGTCTGTATGAGGTTTTGATGTCTGATAGATCCAAAAGAAAAAGAGACAGCTATCAATGCCTAAATCTAGACAGCTATCAATGCCTAGTATCTTGGAATACAATGAATCCTTGCGGGACTGAAAACAATACTGAAAATACTGCTTTAAGCAGGTTAATAATGATTTACAAATGTTTCACGATATGAAATGTTAGCATGCTCAGACTGTCATAACAAAATACCACAGTCTGGGTGGCTTAAACAACAGAAATTAATTTTCTCACAGTTTTGGAGTCCAGAAGTCATGATCAAGGTGCCAAGAAAAGTCTGTTCCTGGTGAGAACTTTCTCACTGGCTTGTAGACAGCTGCCATCACTGTCCTCACATGACCTCTCCTCTGTGCAGGAGGACAGAGAGCTCTCTCATGTCTTCTCTTCCTTTTATAAAAACACCAATCTCATCGAATTCGGGCCCCACCTTTATGACTTTATTTAATCCTAATTACTTCCCAAAGGCCCCATCTCCAAATATCATCACATTAAAGATTAGGGCTCTAATATATAAATTTGGGGGAGGGCACAAGTCAGTTCACAATAGAGAGTAATGATACATGAGAATGTCTTCTGGCCTCACATTTTATACTTTTCTGTAGTCTTCTTTAATCATTTGATTGGCCATGGGATTTATTTATTTATTAGGATTAACCAAGTGTGCCATTTATTGCTAATGCCACTCCTGCCTTAAATTTACCACTTCACTAACCTTCTTGGACACTGAGTCTGGAGAGACACTTACATCTCCAATGTAAGCAGAATTGGTCCACCCATGAGGGATGATGAAAAGAACACTTAAAAAGTCCTATTGCTCTCAAAATCTCTCCTTCTGAGGTCTGTCATGATGCTGACCATTTTCTCCTCCTATCTGCCCTAAATTCCTACATCAGAGTTATCCCTGAGATTCAGGAAGAAAGAAAAGAATGAAATAGAAAATGTAAATAAACTTTCTCCTGAAAGTCATTAGTTAAGGGAATACATACTACCAGGGAAGGGCAAGGTGAAACCCCACTCTTAGAATTCTACTATTAAAAGACTACCACATGTTAATTTTTCAGATTAGCCAACTGCCACATTAAGACGGTACAGAGTCTTGTCTTGAGACTATGAGAAACAATTTTGTGACTTTCAAGGGGTTCAGGAAGCATAGTAGGAGAGACACAAAAATAAACTACCTATATCACCATTTTGCCTATAGTACATTTTGGATACTTGATGGAAAACTAATTACAGCAACTCAGAGCACTAAACCAAAATAACAACTGGGGCCAGATCAGGTAGCACAAAGTCACCATCTCCAAAGGTGAATACCTTGCAGATGTTTAATACATGTCTGCTAAATTGAACTGCTGTTAGGCTGGCCCTACCTGCATCCTTAATTTAGATGCTTTACGTTTTGTTGGTGGGTTATCTGTTATAATCTAACAGTTCATCTGTTAATTAGCTTTTCCACATGCATTACATGTCTCAAAAGTCAGAACGAATGCATATAAAACATACCAAAAATTAGGAGCAATTTTTAACAGCAGAGTACAGTTATCCTAGGCACTGCTGCATTCACTTTGTCTTTGAAGGGTGAAGAAGAAAAACAATAAAGTCTTGTTTTTTCTATAACACCTCTACATTACTGATGGCTTTTCATTACCTCTCACAGATTATTTGTTATAAACACAATTTTAAAACACAGAGTGGTACCAAATCAGAGAATCCTTATTTTACCACCCTCTGTCTGAGAAAGGTAGGAGTGTGAAAAACAAAAAAGAAAGAACCTGTCATTCACAGCTTCAAGCAGTTGGAATACCTTTGGGACTCAAGGTGACACAGAACAAAACTAACCCACAAAAGACTTTCTTTATGATCCCTCTTGTTCCTCTATTTAAGCCAACAGACAAAGCCCTGCATACCAATTCCCTAGCTGCTCACAGTGCCAAAGTAATTTCAACACCAAAAGCCCACTCAGCCCTGGAGAATAAGAAACAGCGCATGCACTCATGGTTGTCTGATTAAAGTTCAAGTGCTGCATCTCGGAAAGCTTCTGCCCTTTAGAAAGCTTGAAGTCCTTAGGCCATGTATGCCTTTGATTACCTACCCTCCAAAAAGCCTGAGACTGCCTCTTCTGCTTCATCAAAGGCCAGAGAAAAAGGGTGGGGAATTTTGGTTTTACCACATCACCTCAAACACTGGGAGAACTTGAGAAATGACCTTTGCATACCCAGAATATTTTAGTAAAATTCATGTACAGCTTGGTTATTCAGATATTCACAAACATATTAAAATATACAATAAGGCTCTGCCTATGTAAGTGATGTGCCATTTGCAGTATGAGTAACAAAAACATAACTTCAAAATGGTAGGGTTGTCTGATACTCCCACAACAATTTTTAAAAACTAAGTATTTTTAGAGATTAGGTATATGGAAAAATTGAATTGATATTACCAAGAGCTTCTAAATGCCTTCTCAATCCCTCCTCACCATATACACAATTTCCCCTGTTATTAACATCTTGTGTTACTATGGTAATTTGTTACAATTAATGAGCTAATATTGACACACTGTTTTCACTAACATCTATAATTACACTGGGATTTACTCTTTGTGTTGTACATTCTGTGGGCTTAAACAAATGTGTCGTGACAGGTATCCACCACTGTAGTACCATACAGAATAGTTTCACTTGCCTAAACATAATCCGTTCTCTACTTAATCCCTCCCTCCTTCCTCCCAGGTCCCAAGTAACCACTGAGCTTTTTACTGTCTCCATAGTTTTGCTTTTTCCAGAATAGTAGGACTCATAAATTATGTGCCTCTTTCAAATTGTCTTCTTTCACCTAACAATATGCATTTAGGGTTGCTGTATGTCTTTTCATCACATAACATTTCATTTCCTGTTAATGCTGAATAATATTCATTTTTATGAGTGTGCCACAATTTATCCACTCACTGATTGAAGGACGTTTTGGTTGCTTCCAAGTCTTGGCACTTGTGAATAAAACTGCTATAAACATTTGTGTGTTGGTTTTTGTGTACTTAAGTTTTCAATTCACCTGGGTTAATATCAAGTTGTGCAATTGCTGGTTCGTATAGTAAGTGTTTGTTTTATTTAAAAATTGCCAAACTATCTTCCAAAATGGCTGTATCATTTTGTGTTCCTACCAGCAATCAATGAGCATTCCTGTTGTTCCACATGCTCGCCAGCATCTGGTGTTGTCAGTGCTTTGGATTTCAGCTATTCTAATAGGTAGAGGTACATCACTCTTGATTAAATTTACAATTCCCTGATAACGTATGATGTAGAACATCTTTTTATATGCTTATTTGCCATCTGTATATTTTCTTTGGCGAGGTGTATGTACAGATCTTTAGCCCATTTTTAATTGGGTTGTTTATTCTGTTATTGTTGAGTTTTAAGAGGTTTTATATATTTCAAATACCAGTTCTCTATCAGATATGTGTTTAGCAAAGAATCTTCTCCCAATCTGTGCCTTGTCTTTTCATTGTATAACGGTGTCTTTGGCAGATAAGTTTTTAATTTTTATGAAGTCCAACATACCAATTTTTTCTTCAATGGATCATGTTTTTGGTGTTATATTTTTTTAAAGTCATCATTAAACTCAAGGACACCTAGATTTTCTCGTGTTATATTTCAGAAGTTTTAGTTTTCTATTTCACATTTAAATCTATGATCTACTTGAGTTCATTTTTGTGAAAGGCATTAGGTATGTGTTTAGATTCATAGTGTATTTATTTATGTATTTATTTACTTTTTGCCTGTGCGTGTCTCATTGTTCCAGGACCATTTGTTGAAAAGACCATATTTTCTCTGTTGACTTGCCTTTGCTTCTTGTCAAAGTTTAGTTGACTATATTTGTGTGGGTCTATTTCTGGGCTCTCTGTTGTCTCATTAACCTATTTGTCTATTCTTTTACCAATGCAACAGAGTCTTGATTACTGTAGCTGTATAGTAAACCTTACAATTGTATAGTGTGAGTTCTCCATATTTTCCCTCCTTCAATATTATGTTGACTATTTGGGGTATTTTCCTCCAAATATAATTTTAGAATCAGTTTATCAATACCCACAAAATAATGTGCTGGGATTTTTTATTGAGGTTGCATTAACACTACAGATCAAGTTGGGAAGACTGACATATTCACAATATTAAGTCTCCTTATCCAAGTATATGACATCTCTCTCCATTTATTTAGATCTTTAATTTCCTTCATCAGAATTTTATAGTTTTTCACATATAATTCTTGTGCATATTTTAGTTAGATTTATTACCTAATTATTTTATTTTTGGTGTTAATGTAAATGGTATTGTGTGTGTTTTTAATTTTTAAATGACAATGGTTGCATATATTTATGTGGTACAATGTGAAGTTATGAGATTTGTATCCATTGTGAAATTATTAAATCAAACTAAAACATCCATTATATCACATATTTATCACTTCTTTGCAGTGACATTTAAAATATTTAAAATTGACTCTTTTGACAATTTTTAAATATACAATATTATTAACTATCGTCACCATGCTTTCAATAGATCACTAAAATATAGTCCTCATTTCTCACTGAAACTTGGTGTCTTATGACCAACATCTTCCCATTCCCTGTTCATTCCCCTCTACAGACTTAGGCAACCACCACTCTACTCACTACATCTATGGGTTTGACTTTTTATATCCCATATATAAGTGAAATCATGTGGTATGTCTTTCAGTGCTTGGCTTATTTCATTAGCATAATATCCTCCAGGTTCATTTATGTTGTCACAAAGGACAGAATTTCCTTATTTTTAAGGCTGAATAGTATTCCATGTGTATATATACCACATTTTCTATGTTTGTTCATCTGTTGATGGACACTTAGGTCATGAACCATCAAGGAAATGCAAATTAAAACCACAATGAGGAATCTAGAGGGTGGGTCAAAATGGTGGAATAGAAGGCTCCACTGCTTCTGTGTGTACCCTCCCCCCCACACACACACCACTGCAAGGTCACCAAGTTAACAACTACCTACACAGAAAATACATCTTCATAAGAACCCAAAATCAGGTGAGTACTCATAGTACCTGGTTTTAATTTCATATCACTGAAATAGGCACTGAAGAGGAAAAAAAAAAGTCCTGAATCACCAACACCACCACTTTCCCACCCCAGGCAGCGGAAGCATGGTGTGAGCTTCTGTGGATGCTGGGGAAGGGAGAACACAGCAACTGTGAGGCAATGAACTCATTGCTGTCCTGTTACAGCGGAAAGGAAATCCAGACAAACTCAGCTGATGCCCAACCAGGGTGGGAGCATTTAAACTAGCCCAAACCAGAGGGGAATCACCAATCCCAGCAACTGGAACTTGAGTTCCCGTAAACTTCTCCACCACGGGATACAGCACTCCATGTCTCCAAGTAAACTTGAAAGACAGTCTAGGTCATAAGAGCCACAACTGTTAGGCAAGTCCTAGTGCTCAATTAGGCCTAGAGACATTGGACTAGGGAGGTATGGGACATACTGGGACACCAGCTGGTACAGCCAAGAGAGTGCAGGCATCACCCCTCCCCTAAAACCAGGCTGCACATACCATGGCTCTAAAAGAGACCCCTTCCTTCCACTTGAGGTGAAGAGAGGGAGGAGTGGGGAGAACTTTGTCTTACACTTAGGAAACCAGCCCAGCCATAGCAGACTAGGTCACAAGTTAGAGTCATGAGGCCCCCATTCTAGTCCCTAGGTCCCAGATATTTCTAGACACACCTTGGGCCAGAAGGGAACCCACTGCCTTGAAGGAAAGAACCCAGTCCTGCCAGCATTAAGCACTTGCTAACTAAAGAGACCTTGAGCCCTCAATAACCAGCAGCGATATCCAGGACTGCCTCAAGGGCCTTGGGCGAGTCACTGAGACTTTCTGACCTCAGGTAAACTTGGCACATAACAGCTGTGTGGCTATGGGGGCAAAACTCCTCCTGTTTGAGAACAGCAGAGGGAAAAGTGAAGGAGACTGTGTCTTGCACCTTAGGTTCCAGCAGGGCCACAGGATGGTAGAACACCAAACGGGTTCTTGGGGTTCCAGATTCCAGAATTGTACTCTTGAATGGCATTTCTGGGCCTGCCTTAGGCCACAGAGGAGCCTATTTCCCTGAAGAGTAAGTCCCAAACCAGGCAGCATTCACAACAAGCTGACTTAAGAGAGCTTCAGCCTTAAGGAAACATCAGTGGTAGTCTGGCAGCACTCCTTGTGGCCTGGGGTGGTGATGGCTATGGGGTGAGGCTTCTCTGCCTTTGAAAAGAGGAGGGAAAAGTGGAAAAGGCTGTGTCCTGTGGTTTGAGTGCCAGCTCAGCCACTACACAATAGAACACCAGGTAGACTTCTAAGATTTTTGACTCTAGTCCCTAATTCCCACGTGGCACTTATGGATTCACCTGAGGTTTGGGGTACCTCACTGCCCTAAAGGGAAGCATATGGGCCTGACTGTCTTTGCCACTGGCTGATTGCAGAGCCCCAGGGCTTTCAGCAAACATAGGCAGTAGCTAGGGAGTGGTTACAGCAGGCCTTGGGTGAAGCTCAGCACTCTGGTGGCTTCAGGTCTGACCCAATGGAGTTATAGTTGTGGTGGCCACAGGGTGCTTCTCTCACTCCACCCTCAGCTTTAGGTGGTTCAGAACAGAGAAACTCTGAATGTTTGGGAGAAAGTAAGAGAAGGAAACACTGTTTTTGCCTGGTAATCCAGAGAATTCTTCTGGATCCTGTCCAAGACCATTGAAGTGGTACCTCTATAAGCCTTTGAGAAACACGGTGTTACTGGGCTTGGGGTGCCCACTAAAGCAGATACAGTTTAGGTCACAACGTTCAAGTCTTTTCAAATATCTGAAAAGCTTTTCCAAGAAGGACGGCTACAAATAAGCCCAGACAGTGAAGACTACAATAAATACCTAACCATTCAATGCCCAGGCACCAAGGAACATTTACGAGTATTAACATCATGCAGGAAAACATGACCATACCAAATAAACTAAATAAGGCACTAGGGATTGATCTTGGTAAAACAGAGATATGTGACCTTTCAGACAGAGAATTCAAAATAGCTGTGTTGAAGAAACACAAAAAAGTAAGATAACACAAAGAAAGAATTCAGAATTCTATCAGATAAATTTAACAAAGAGATTGAAATAATTAAAAAGAATCAAGCATAAATTTTTGAGCTAAAAATGCAACTGGCATGCTGAAAAATGCATCAGAGTCCTTTAACAGCAGAAATGAACAAGTAGATGAAATAATTGGTGGGCTTGAAGACAGGCTAATTGAAAATACACAGTCAGAGGAGACAAAAGAAAAAAGAATAAAAAATAATGAAGCACACCTAAAAGATCTAGAAAATAGCCTCAAAACAGCAAATCAAAGAGTAATTGGCCTTAAAGAGGATGCAGAGAAAGAGATGGGGTAGAAATCTTATTCAAAGGGTTAGTAACAGAGAACTTCCCAAACCTAGAGAAAGACATCAATATCCAAGTACAATAGGCTATAGAACACCAAGCAGATTTAATCCAAAGATTACCTCAAAGCATTTAATAATCAAACTCCCAAAGATCAAAGATAAAGAAATGATTCCAAAAGCTACAAGAGGAAAGAAACAAATGGCATACAATGGAGCTCCAATATGTCTTGCAGCAGACTTTCAGTGGAATCCTTACAGGCCAGAATAGTGGCATAACATTTTTAAGTGCTGAAGAAAACACCTTTTACCATATAATAGTATATCTGGCAAAAATATCCTTCAAACATGAAAGAGAAATAAAGAGTTTCTGAAACAAAAGCTGAGGAATTTAATCAACACCAGCCCTGTCCTACAAGAAATGCTAAAGGGAGTACTTCAATCAGAAATGAAAGGACATTAATGAGCAAGAAATAATCACCTGAAAGTACAAAACTAACTAGTAATAGTAAGTACACAGACTATCATTACACTGTAACTTTGGTGTGTAAACTACTCTTATCCTACATAGAAAAACTAAACAATAAACCAATACAAAATAATGACTACAACTTTTCAAGACATATTAAAAACAATAAGATATAAATAGAAACAACAAAAAGTTAAAAACTAGGGGAGAAAAGTTTAGGTGTAGAGTTTTTATTAGTTTTCTTTTGCTTGTTTGTTCATGCAAATAGTGTTAAAGTTGTTTCAGGTTAAAAAAATGGGTTATAAGAGTATTTGAAAGCCTCATGGTAACTCAAGCCAAAAAATTACAATGTATACACAAAAAATAAAAAGCAAAAAAATAATAATATCACCAGAGAAAATTGCCTTCACTAGAGAAAAATGGACAGGAAAGAAATAAGGAAGAGAAGACCATAAAACAACCAGAAAACAGACAACAAAATGGAAGGAGTAAGTCTTTACTTATCAATAGTAACATTGAATGCAAATGGACTAAACTCTCAAATCAAAAGACATAGACTGGCTAAATGGATCAAAAAACAAGACCAATTGGTCTGTTGCCTACAAGAAACACATTTCACTTATAAGCACACAAGTAGACTGAAAATCAAGGAGTGGAAAAAAAAATATTCCATACCAATAGAAACCAAAAAATAGCAATATTTGCTATACTTATATAAGATAAAATAGATTTCAAGACCAAAACTATAAGAAGAGACAAAGAAGGCCAATATGTAATGACAAAGTGGTCAATTCAGCAAGAAGATATAACAATTATAAATACATATGCACCCAACACTGGAGCACAGAAATACATGAAGCAAATATTATTTGAGCTAAAGAAAGGGATAGGCACTCATAAAATAGATTTTATAGACCGAAAATCAGCAAAGAAACATCACACTTATCTGCACTATAGACCAAATGGATCTAATAGATATTTACAGAACATTTCATCCAACAGCCTGAGAATATGCATTCTTTTCTTTAGTACATGGATGAGTCTCAAAGACAGACCATATGTTATGTCACAAAATAAGTCTCAAAACATTCAAGAAATTGAAATAAAATCAAGCATCTTATGTGACCACAATGGCATAAAACTATAAATTAATAATAAGAGGAATTTTAGAAACTACACAAATACATGGAAATGTACACAAATACATTAAACAATATGCTCCTGAATGACCAGTGAGTCAACGAAAAAATTAAGAAGGAAATTTTTTAAATTATTAAAACAAATGATAGTGGAAATACAACATAACATAACGAAACCTATGAGACACAGCAAAAACAGTACTAAGAGGGAAGTTTATAGCTATAAGTGCCTACATCAAAAAAGAAGAAAAACTTCAAATAAACACTCTAACATTGCATCTTGAAGAACAAGAAATGCAAGAGAAGAGATGAAATAATAAACATCACAGCAGAAATAAATAAAATTGAAATAAAAAATACAAAAGATCAATTAAGCAAACAGTTGGTTTTTAGAAAAGTTATACAAAATTGACAAACCTTTAGCCAGACTAACAAGAAAAGAAAGAAGGTCCAAATAAATAAAATAAAAAATAAAAAAGGAGACATTACAATTGTCATTGCAGAAATTCAAAGGATCATTAGTGGTTAATATGAGCAACTATATACCAATAAATTAGAAGACAGAGAAGAAATGGACAAATTTCTAATTACAAACAACCTACTAAGATTTCATCAAGAAGAAGTAAAAAACAAACAGACCAATAACAAGCAATGACATCAAAGTTGTAAAAGCATCCCAGAAAAAAAAAAAAAGCCCAAGACCTGATAGTTTCACTGCTGAATTCTACCATTTAATGAAGAATTTAATGAAGAACTAATACCAGTCCTACTCAAACTATTCCAAAAAATAGAGAAGTGAATACTTCCAAACTCATTATGCAAGGCCAGTATGACCCTGATACCAAAACCAGACAAAGACACATCAAAAAAAGAAAACTACAAGTCAATATCTCTGATAAATACTGATGAAAAAAATGCTCAACAAAATACTAGCAAACCAAATTCAACAATATATTAAAAAGGTCATTCATCATGACCAGATGGAAATTATCCCTGGCATGCAAGGATGGTTCAACATATATATATATATATCAAGCAATGTGATATATCATATCAACACAATGAAGGATAAAAACTATATGATTATTTCAATTAATGCTGAAAAAGCATTTGATAAAATTCAACATCCTTCATTAAAAAACCCTCAAAAAACTGGAGATAGAAGTAACATATTTCAACATAATAAAATCCATATATGACAGACCCACAGCTAGTATCATACTGAATGGGAAAAAAACGAAGTCTTTACTGTAAGATCTGGAAAACAACAAGGATAACCACTGTTACCACTGTTATTCACCATAGTCCTGGAAGTCCTAGCTAGAGCAATCAGACAAGAGAAAGATATAAAGGGTATTAAAATTGGAAAAGAATAAGACAAATTATCCTTGCTTGCTGATGATATGATCTTATATTTGGAAAATCCTAAAGACCCAACAAGAAAATTATTACAACTCATAAACGAATTCAGTAAAGCTGCAGGATATAAAATCAACATACAAAAATCAGTAGCATTTCTATATGCCAACAGTAAACAATGTGAAAAAGAAATGGAACAGTAATCACATTTACAATAGCCACCCATAAAATTACAATAAATAATTAGGAATTAATTTAACCAATGAAGTGAAAGATCTCTATAATGAAAACTGTAAAACATTGATGAAGGAAATTTAAGAGAACATCAACAAATGGAAAAATAGTCCATGTACATGGATTGGAAAAATCAATATTGTTAAAATAGCCATAGTACCCAAAGCAATCTGCAGATTCGATACAATCCCTATCAAAACACCAAAGACATCCTTCAAAGAAATAGAAAAAACCATCTTAAATTTTATATGGAATCACGAAAGACACAAAATAGCCACAGTTATCCTAAGCAAAAGGAGCAAAACTGGAGGAATCTGATTACGTGATTTCGAATTTTACTACAGAGCTATAGTAATCAAAACAGCATGGTACTGGCATAACAACAGACAAATAGACCAAGGGAACAGAATGGAGAATTCAGAAACGAATCCACATACTTACAGTCAACTCATTTTTGACAAAAGTGCCAACAATATACACTGGGAAAAATAGAGTCTCTTCAATAAATGGTGCTGGAAAAACTGGATATCCATATGCAAAAGAATAAAACTAGACACCTATCTCTCACCATATACAAAAATCAAATCAACATGGATTAAAGACTTAAATTGAAGACCTGAAACTATTAAACTACTACAAAAAAAACATTGGAAAAATCTAGCACATTGGTCTGGGCAAAGACTTCTTGAGCAATACCCCACAAGCACAGGCAACCAAAGCAAACATGGACAAATGGAATCTTATCAAGTTAAAAAGCATCTGCCCAGCAAAGGATAAAATCAACAAAGTTAAATGACAACCCACAGAATGGGAGAAAACATTTGCAAGCTACTTATCTGACAAGGGTTTAATAACCCATTGTCAGGACTAATAATATATATCAGAAAATATAGGTAGCTCAAACAACTCTATAGGAAAAAAATCTAATAATCTGATTTAAAAATGGGCAACATATTTGAAGACATTTTTTAAAAGAAGACATATAAATGGCAAACAAGAATATGCAAAAGTGCCCAACATCATTGATCATCAGATAAATGCAAATGAAAGCTACAATAAGATATCATCTTACCCCAGTTAAAATGGCTTATATCCAAAAGACAGGCAATAACAAATGCTGGCAAGGATATGGAGAAAAGGAATCCTTGTACACTGTTAGTGGGAAAATAAATTAGTACAACCGTTTGAAGAACAGTTTGGAGTTTCCTCCTAAAACTAAAAATTGAGCTGCCATATGATTCAGCCATCCCACTGCTGAATATATAACCAAAAGAAAGTTAATCAGTATATCCAAGATACATCTGCAGTCCTATATTCTTTGCAGTATTGTTTACAATAGCTAAAATTTAGAAGCCACCTAAGTGTCCATCAATAGATGAATGGATAAAGAAAATGGAGTGCATATACGCAATGCAGTATTATTCAGCCTTAAAAAAGAATGAGATCCAGTCATTTGCAACAGGATGGATAGAACTGGAGAACATTATGTAGAGTGAAATAAGCCAGGCACATAAAGACAAACATTACATATTCTCACTTATTTCTGGGATCTGAAAACAAAAACAATTGAACTAGTGAACATAGAGAGTAGAAGGATGGTTACTGGAGGCTGATATGGGTAATGGGGGATTGAAAGGGAGTTGAGGATGGTTAATGGGTACCAAAAAATAGAAAGAATGAATGAGACCTACTATTTGATAGCACAATAGGATGACTGTAGTCAATAATAACTTAATTGTGTATTTTTAAATAACCCCATTCTCCATGATGTGCTTATTTCATATTGCATGCCTGTATCAAAACATGTCATATACCCCATAAATATATATACATACTATGTACCCACAATTTTTTAAAAATCATATGATTTTTAAAAAATCACAATGATGTATCATCTCATACTTAAATTGGGATGGCTATTATAAAAAAGATGAAAGATAAAAAAGTGTTGGTGAGGATGTGGAGAAGAGGGAGCCCTCATACCCCTCTGATAGGAATGTATATTAGTGCAGCCATTATGGAAAACAGTATGGAGTTTCCTCATGAAATTAAAAATGGAATTATCGTATGATTCAGCAATCTCACTTCTGGGTATGTATTCAAGGGAATTAAAATTAGTATGTCAAAGAAATATCTGCACTTTCATATTCATTGCAGCTTTACCCACAATAGACCAGAAATTATATTTTGTTTTAATTTCAAATTCCCTACTTCATTGCTGGTACACAGAAAAGCAATTGATTTTTGTACATTAACTTTGCATCCCACAACCTTGATATAATCACTTACTAGTTGCAGGAGATTTTGAGACTTTCAATATAAACAATTATGGTCATCATCAAACATATACAGGTTCAGTTCTTCCTTCCTAATCTTTATAAATTTTATTTCCTTTTCTTGTATTGCTGAAAGTGAGGAGTTCCAGTACAATGTGGAATATGAGCGGTAAGAGATGATAGCCTTACCTTGTTCCTGATCGTAGCAGAAAAGCATCTAGTTTCTGACCATTACATATGATGTTAGCTGTAGGTTTTCTGTAGATGTTCTTTATAAAGTTGAGGAAGTTCCCCTCTATTCCTAGTTTGCTGAGAGTTTTTATCATTAATGAATGTTGTATTTTGTCAAATGTTATTTCTCCATCTATTGATATGATCACTTGAATTTTCTTCCTATTGGTGTGATGGATTACATGAACTGATGGCAAAAATTTTAAAACCTAATGTCCCATGGTAGTGTAATGTTGATGAAGTTATTTTATATCAGGAAGCCATTAATCAGGTTTTCAAAAATATTTTATAACATGGAAAAACGCTAATTTACATAAAAATGAAAAGAGAAGTGTACCGTGTGTATATAAAACACATAAATACAACGTTGTGTGTGTATACATAGTTATACATGCACATATATATGTATTAAGTTATCATTATTCACAGTAATTATGTTCTATAAGGTCACCACAAACACAGAATTAGCAAATACTCAGCAGAACTCTTAGAGAAACTAAAGAATTAGATTCCTGTGAGCTTCTAGTCACATTTTCATCAACCAATCAATACATGATCTTGTTTTATGTGTGCTTCTGTTTAAAGACACCTTATTTAATATATACTGTTGATTTATTAATGTAAAACTCATGACCAACAGCTCCATAAATCATACCTGAACAAACTTTATCTAACACACATATTTTCTCCTCAAGGCACATCACAGCCTTCTTGCACTTAGGAAAACAGGACAGTGTTTCAGCACTTATGGGCTATTTTAAACAACAAAATCGCCAAGAAAAGGCACAAAATTTTAAAAACGTGGCACATAATACACTGCAAAATGACATTTGTTTATAGTATAAGACTGAAACAAGAAGGAAGGGCATTGCATTGTTCAGGCTCAGCTTGGAATACGTGTTGGGTAACTCAGATTTTTTGCAACTCTGCATGTCTGTGAATGACCATGAAAGAAATGGAAGTATTAATTTTGGGTTTACAAATAAATTTTAGTGAGTAGAGGAATTTGCAAATATGAAACCTATCAATAATGATAATCAATTGTGTGTATATACGTATATATACACACAGATATAATGTTTGTACATATATATTATGATTTTAAATTGTATTAAAAAGGGAAAATAAATATATAATACTAAAAGGAAATATATTAGGTTTATAGTAATGTTTATTACAGATGTTTAAGTTTTATTCTTTGTACTTTTCTGTAGTTTTTCCATTTTTATGTGTAAAGATATTCATTGCAAAGTCAACTACAATGATAAGTTTACTAAACCAAAGTGTTCAGTGAACACTTAACTGTGTCAATTTCATTAACATAAAATACTATGCAGCCTTTAAATATTATATTTAAGAATAATTTTTGATGATGTAGGCAATGCTTATGATAAAATGTTAAAGGAAAAAGATATCAAAGTGTATATATAGATATATAATGTGTATATAAATACACACAATTACTATAAACCTAATGTATTTCCTTTTTGCACACACACACACACACACACACACATACACTGGATTCTCAACTTTTTCAAGAAATGGCTATCAGTACAGAGGTCAAATATTAGCAATGTTTCTGTCTGAAGGATTTTTGAAAAATTACTATCCTTTTCTCTAAACATTTCTATATTTTCTAATCTCCTCAAAATCTCCACAAATTTCTGTATTTTCTAGTCCCCTCTTAAAAATAGAAAAAATATATTTACCATGCCTAGTAACTAATCAAAATCTCGGTGATATAGGCCATTTTTCTGCAACTTAAGATAACTGCATAAATTTCAAATTCTTTTCCAAGAAAACATTCAGTTTTAGAACATGTCAGGTTTAATAGTCTTTGCATTTCCAACCAATATTTCTATAATTAACATGGAATGCTTTAATAATAAATCAAAAACAAAAAAGGAAAAGGAAAAAAAGAAAATTGTCTTGGGAATTGTTACTAATATGTTAACAGAATGCAGACATGAATTTAAAACTGAACTAATCTATGTAGCCATTTCAACATGACATAAATTAGAGGAGGATATTATTCATATCTCTATTCCCATCAAAGATAAGGTAGGGTAAAGATGAGAAAAACGTGTGAGTATAAGTCATGTTCAAAAAGTAGGAGAAACTGATGGTGAACATTTGTTTCCTTATGCTACATGCTGCAACAAGTTAGCATCATGAGTTTCCTTGCAAATAAATATTGGTTTTGAAAGTATGTATACATTTTATTGAAACATACTGTATATTTGAGTGTGCTGAAAAGCCTGTTTGTAAGGCTATTAAATTATACAACACATCAAAGACAACACAGCTTCTAAACAAATGTGCAAGCTTTTGTTAAAGCAAAACTCTTATTTAACTTTGGAGCATGGTAAATTTTACAATGGATTTGGTTCAACAAGATGATTTCTTCATTAAGACTTCTTTGGTTATGGTATAGAACCTTTCTTTAGAGTCCGCACATAAACTTGAAGAAACAATAAAAATTTTAGAAGCCCAAGACTCAGAACCTCTTGGGCTTCTAAAATCTGACAGCAAGAACCGAATAATGTGGTTTATGTAGCTTGCCTTCTGAAGTTAGGAAGGCATATATCATACAAATATTTCAAAAACAATTATTAAGATGTAAAACAGTAAAAATCAAATTGTTAAGTGAAATAACATTAACACATTACTGAGGCTTGGACTGTTAGCATCTGTTATATATTACAACAATATCCCTTCAGAGTAGTTGTCAAGTGTTTTCTTACTTTTAATGTCATCTCTTGTTTTTAAGAAGTGTGATTATAAAGTAGTCTGACTATTTTAATCTAACATACTATATACCACTTTTCTCCTAATGAGCACCTCTTCCTTTAAATGAATCATTTTAAGATGCTACAGATTTCCTTCATTGCTGAAACCTTGCTTGGAACTCCTTTTTAGAAACTACCTCTAACACATGAAGAAGGCCACTGGAATATTTTATAGTCCCCCTTTATTTTTTGACTCCAGTTTAATGGAAAGACACTCCTTCAAAACCTTTTTACTATTTGTCAGCCAAATTTCCCACTCCACCAAGGAGAATAATTGACCACTGTTAAGATTAAAAGGATGAAAACATAAACTTGATAATACATATTAGTATTTATAGATATGGGAGAATCTCACTATATATTAAGTTTTAAAAGTCATTTAATAAATGCCATGTATAGTATGATATTTACATATATATTTCCAAATTTTTATTCAACAGATATTTGTTGAACAACTTACTATGTGCCAGGCACCGTTTATTGTTTAAGCAATAAATAAAACAACATCCTTGTCATTATAAAGCTTATGGTCTAGTGGTGGAGGCAGACATTAAACTATACATATAGTATATTGAGGATAAGTGACAGGTAAGGATAAGTGCTAGAACGAAAAATAAAGCAAGTAGAAAAACAGGCAGTATCAAGAGAAAGTGCTTTTTAAAATACAATAGTGGGTGACATTTATGCAGATACCTCAATGAAGTGAAAGAGCAAATCATGTGACTATCTATGGGTAGAACATTACTAATAGAGGGAACAACAAGCTGAAGTCCCCAAAGCTGAATCATGCTTTAATTTGAGAAGCAGCAAAGAGGCCAATATGACTAAAATGGCATAAGAGGAAGAATGACAACTGATGAGACAATAAACACAGGCAGGAGTCAAATGGACTTAATAGACCATGTAAAAGAGGGTGGATTTATTGGAAGTCTGATGGGAAGTCACTGGACATTTTTGAATAGGTAAAAAGCATGACCAGATCAACATTCTAAAAGGATCACTCTGGATGTTGGGTGAAGAATAGACCGTAGACCAGCTAGACGTTATTGATATACTCCAGGCAGGATATCATGATGGTTTGGACAAGGATGGTAGTAATGTTGAAGACAGTGAGAACTGGTTAGATTTGATAAAATTTTTGAATGTAGAACTGACAGGCTTTGTATATATGCACATCAATAGATACTAACAAAATATTCAAAATATTAACAGTTAATATCTATGAGTTTTGGAGTTATAAGTGATCTTCAGTTTCTTTTTCATGTATTTCTATACTAGTTGATGATTTGTTTCCATCGGTACCAAAAAAAATTGTTTTATTTGGGGGTAGGGTGGGGCAGGGTACTTAATCAAAAACTCAGCCCCTGAAGCCAATTGACAAAAATACAGTGCCAAATAATTGTAGCCATTTGGTAGTTGAGGTAACTGCTGCCAGAATCACAACTGGGGGTACCCTGCTAAGAAGGGGTGAACATTGGATGGTAAGACAGGTCAGTCCAAGGAAAGCCCAGGTCCTGAGACCATGAAGACTTCCTGGGGTATGGCAGACCACTGAGGAAGAACTCAACGGTTACTACAGAAAAGGATCCTGATAAGAGGGCAAAACATTCTGGGAGCCTGACAACAAACAACAAGCAGAAGTTAAGGCTTGAGCATGGAGAATATTCAGTGGCAGGCAAGATTTTCTAACAAAATAGTGTTCCTCAGTTTTAGAGGAATATGGCAATAGGCAGAGGCCTCAGCAGGCAAGTGGTGGCATAGGAAAATATGGCAGAAATAGAAGGAATCAATCTTCACCAAACCCATGAGAAGTATGATAACCCTCTGCCCCAAGCCAAGCCACTAATGCAGTGGAAGAACAACAGTTGCTCTATAGAAGGTACAATTTCCTTTATTGACAATCATCACAATCTAGCCTAATGGTTCCATTATTCCTTTTATTATTATTATTTTTTTTTTGAGACGGAGTCTCGCTCTGTCACCCAGGCTGGAGTGCAGTGGCACGATCTCAGCTCACTGCAAACTCCACCTCTAGGATTCACGCCATTCTCCTGCCTCAGCCTCCCAAGTAGCTCGGACTACAGGCATCTGCCACCATGCCCGGCTAAGTTTTTGTATTTTTAGTGAAGATGGGGTTTCACCCTGTTAGCCAGGATGGTCTCGATCTCCTGACCTCATGATCCGCCCGCCTCGGCCTCCCAAAGTGCTAGGATTACAGGCATGAGCCACCGCGCCTGGCCGGTTCCATTATTCTTTAACCCTTAAAAACACAAAGAGGGCTGTCTCATTTGCAAGGCTAGTTGAAACAGATATGTTTCCAAGAGGGATAAAGAATGGCATTCATTTCAGGTCTTCACATGCACACCACACCATGCTCACCCACCAGCAATCTTTCCTCACTATGACATAAAACACAAACACAAGCCTACACTATCTACTAATTAGCTCCTATCCTGAAATCTTGATGCTAAATTCCTTAATAATGAGAGGCTTGCCTCATTCATCTTTATACTCTCAGTATATAGAGTGTCCAGCTCATAGTAGGTGTCCCATAATTATTTCTTGAAAGAAGGAATAAATGAATGGACAAACCCGATATCATGGAAATTCTGCTTGGTGACATTATGATGACATTGTGTTTATATTACATACCTGCATATAAGTTGTACATTCATCTTCATAACATCACCTGCCCAAACTTGTTGAAATTCTGACTGGAAAAGTAACCTGTACAAATGTCAGCTAATCCAACTGAATTGTTTTCTAAGTCCTGCCTACAATTTTACACATGTTGATACTAATCATTTTGAGCCAACCCTGTACTCAGCAGTTTCTCAAGGCTGATCTGAATCAGCAGTGTCTTTCTAGAGACATAAGACTGTTCCTTCCTTCCAGAGGCATAGTGTAGCATTTTCTATCTGAAACAAGTGACTGAAAACAAGTGACTGAAAACCAAGTAGTGGAAACTAATGGACCTTTGTCAATTCTAGCATTATCAGAAGATGCACTGACTGGACAGGACATCAAAAGACCTAGGTTCCAGCCCAAACTCTGTCACTAAATAGCACTCTAACCCCAGACAGTTCACTTTGTCTCTCTGTGCTATCATTTCCCAACCCATAAAATATGTATGTAGAGCCAGAGGCCCCATGATGCCACATTTGGCTTTAAGATTGCATAAGATCTATGAGGACAGGAAGCTGACATCATGGATGCTGGACAAAACCTTTTGAATGAAGGGGCAAAGGAGCATCTAAATACAATAAAAACTATAGACAATGTTTCTCCCCACAAAGTAGAAAGGGCCTTAGTGAATGAACACAGAGAGTCTAAACATGTTCATAATTGAAATGCAAGTACTTGTACTTAAAAAGGAATTTCTATGGGGACTCAAGTTATGTCCATCAAAATTCAGTCACACATCGACTATAAGTGAAAAATAGCTTCCTGACCAAAAGGTATAATGAATTAAAGAGAGGAGTCTTCCCTAAAGCATACGGGGTGAGGTTCTGCCACTTGATTAAGATGAATATGTCTTGTATAAAATTAGGTACTTCCTTAGTGATATTTAGTTAACACTTTAAAACCCGGAGGCACCATATAGTTCAAAAGAGTAATATTTTATTTAATCCAATTAAATGTTCCCTCAGATGCCTCTAAATTATTCCTGTGGAATTTTTCAATCCATCTTCAGTCTGAAAATACTTTTGTATAGTCAAAAACTACTTCTTCAAACTTTACTTTCCTCCCTCAAACGACAATTCATAGTCAACTACAATAACAGTAAACATCTTAATTAGTAATAATCAAAGTTATTACTATAATTTTGATTATTACAATCATTTATCAAAATTATTATTACAAATATTCAGAAAGTATTTACAATCCATATGTTTCTGAGCATTTTAGATACATCATTTTATTTCATGCTCACAGTGACCCTATAAATTAGCTATCACTATCACCATTTTACAGATGAGCAAATGAAGCTCAGGAAGGTTAAACAACTTGCCCAAGGTATTCATAGCTCATGAGCAACAGAGCTGGGACATAAATCCCAGCCTCCCTGACTGCAAAGTCCAAGCTCTTATTCTTTATGTTACATTGTTCAATAGCACACTGGTGTTGGACTGTTATTCTTTCCATAAGTGTTCATTGAATACTAAGTGCTGGATACTGTGCTACATGTGGAAATAAAATAGTGGGCAAGATAGAACCTCTCTCATGGTGCTTATACAGTAGCAGTGAAGACAATTAAACAAGCAATAACAGTGTAATAACTGTTATGATGGTGAATTAAGAGGTTGTAGGAGATCACAGAGCCAATCCCTTTTAAATGGAGATTCAGCAGCAAAACTCACCTCTTCGTTGGATAAACCTGCCTCAGTTTTGTGTATGCATCAATTTCTATAGCAACTGACTTAATGAATTAAGCTGGTGTTTTGGGCAGGTGATGTTATGGAGCTGAATGTACAACTTATATGCAAATGTGTAATATAAACACGATGATGTTCTTGTAACATCACCAAGTAGAATTTTCAGTGATATCAGGTTTATTCATTCATTTATTCCTTCTTTCAACAAATAATAATCACAAACACGGGGGAGGGTTTTCTTAACTCTAATTTTCATTAGATAATTAACATTTGCCTGTCCCTCAGGATGACTCTGGAAACCGTCCTCCTGCTAGACAGTTCCTACAATATATGATTAATGAATGCAGGCTTTGGTAACTATTTCCTCTCTTAGAAAATCCTAGTAATGTTATGTACATAACACTAGTGAAATATGCATATGAACCTGAATGCATTTATTATCTGAATTATCAAATTAAATTTCATAAATGTTAGTAAAATCACAGGAACCTTCAAAAAGACATGGGTAACATAGATGATTATCTTTGATAATATCTGAAAAATCTACTGTAATGATAAAACTCCCTTTCTAATTTCATTTAGAGGCTTGAAATGCCCATTTTGGTTGCTATATATGGAAATATATATATTTGGCTATCTGGTCCATGAAACTAATGAGGCAGAATCTATCTGGCAATCATAATACATATTATAATAATGGCTACAATTCTTGAACACATAATGTGTGTCAGGCATTGTGCAATGTACTTTTTAAGTGTAATCCCATTTAATCCTCACAGTTAAGAATTAGTATCCCCATTTGTCAGACTGGAAAACTGAAATTTAGAAAGATGAAGTAACTTTCCCAGTAATTTGGATCTGAACCCAAGAAGTCAGAATATAGAACCCAGAGTCTTAACCACTGAAGGCATTGGCAAGCACTTGTAAAGGACTTAGCACAGAGCCTGCACTTAGTAATTTGCTGAGGATCACACATGAGAGGAGTTGCTCTTTGTACACAGACTAGACACCACATTGAAAAGGACAGCTGAAAAGGCAAACTTCAATCTCTCTCTCTCTCGCTCTCTCTCTGCCCCCCCCAACCCCCCGCTGCCTTTTTCGTCTAGCTCATTCTCTCACCATGCTCCACTCAGCCCCAATTCTAGGTTCCATGCTATTTTCCAAGACACTCATCCTCGTCAATTCCTCGCTTTCCCAGGCTGTCGTTATGATCCAACCTCCACCACCACTTATTAGAGATCTGCAACCTTATTTAAATAAAATATAAAATTACTCTTAAGAAGGAATTAAAAAATGAGGGGGAAAATGTTGGGAAATACTGTTGCAACCATTTCCTGTCCTCCAGATCTTTCCTGTGGAATGAGGTTCTTCACCCTAAGGATGCTATGGATGGTTTGTGAAGAATCAAGTGCAACTATGTAGTTATTAGGTTGCTGCAAAAGTAATTGCGATTTTTGCGATTGAAAGTAATAAGCATCTGTATTTTTTTTTCTGGAGGGGGGTAAGTAAAGTACATAGCTTTCATCAGATTAAAAAAGGGGCCTATGTCATAAAAAGGTAAGCATCTTTTTGTTTAAATTAATGTTTAAATCTTAACTAGAATTCTTGTCATATACACAGCATTCCCCCTACTGTATTTTTCAGTCTCTACCACAATTCTGGTCCAACTCCTAAGGCACTTCCTCACCCTACATCCCTCAGACAGCCTCTTTCCTGACTCTTATCCTGCCTGCTTTCCTGCCAGAATTTGCTGATAACTCCCAGGGACAAGCTCTGTCTGTGGCAATCAAAGGGATGGAGAAAAGTGCCTGAATTCACAATTCTCCAGCCCCACATGGCACGCCAGCTGCAGTCTGTGCAGACCTATTACAGCAAAAGCTGTGTTATCTGGCACTTCTCCAACATAAAAGAACTGGAAACCAGCATTTCTAAAATCCTCTAATACAAATCCCCAACCTAGTAACTGAAATTGATGCCATTGAAATTCAGCTACAGTGACACAACCCTTTGAAAGAGGCCTGATCAAAATCCAAAGCTAAAAGTTGTCTCTGATAAGTTGAGCTAAGCAGCATAAACCCAGCAGGCAGAAGAAAATCTAGCCCTGAAACTTTAGATTGAAACAAAACAAAAACAAAAACCAGGAGACAGTAAAGACATTTTAAAATACTAAATGAGAATAGGAACTAAAAAACTAGAGGTAGTTGTGAAACCTTGAAAAGTACCTTAGTCTTTAAAATGATTATAATGACTATATAGAAATGTGGAAACTTATATAACACATGATATTAAATGAAAAAGCAGGATATACAGTTTTTATGATCACAACTGTAGAAAGGTATATGCATGTGGAAAAAGGATGAGAAAGGATATATGAGAGTAAAATCATTGTAAATTTTAAAGTGCTTGGACTCAGGACAATGTTTTTATCCTTTTTAAAATTTATATATTGTCACTCGCATCATGTGTTTACTATTTAAAGACAGAAAGAGGCAATACCCTCAAATAAAAAAGAAGTACTAAAGGTCATTAAGCTCAGAGAGGCAATTTATAGAAAAGTACATCTAAAATTGCATCTAAATCATTATGTTGACTATATCTAGACACTAAATCTATTTTATTCCTATCAAAACTGCAGCACTTAAAATATTGAGAACATAAAAGAAAAACAAGTTTTTCAAATCCCTGGGAAATTTAACCCAATTAAAAATATTTATGGAGCTTGGCCAGGCGCAGTGGCTCACACCTGTAATCCCAGCACTTTGAGAGGCCGAGGCGGGCGGATCACGAGGTCAGGAGATCGAGACCATTCTGGCTAACACGGTGAAATCCCATCTCTACTAAAAATACAAAAACTTAGCCGGGCGTGGTGGCGGGCACCTGTAGTCCCAGCTACTCGGGAGGCTGAGGCAGGAGAATGGCGTGAACCCAGGAGGCGGAGCTTGCAGTGAGCCGAGATCTGCCACTGCTCTCCAGCCTGGGCGACAGAGCAAGACTCCGTCTCAAAAAAAAAAAAAAAATTATGGAGCTTGAACTATACACTTAGCTCTGTGAAATGACGGAGAAATAGATTTAAATGGCAAAGATTTGCCAGCTAACCCCCCAAGGACCCATTCACCTGAGTATCTCTCTAGCGACTGCCTGCCTCCAGACTCTCCTTCAGTGCAGTGTCGGTTTTGCCTTCCTATCCCTGCCTCTCAAAACCTGTTTATACCTGACATCAATTTTTATTTACCACATGGTAATTCTTTGGTAAATTCAAGTAGTAATCAATGGGATTTTTAAAAAATTTACTGACAACCACACCCCCACACTCATTCTCCCTATTATTGGCCTTCCAGCTCAGTGCTGGGCAAAGTGGAAAAAGAAACTGTTTCATGGTAGGCTTAGGTCATCAAGGTTCAATGTCCAGACTCTCTTTATTTCCCTCTGAGTTCTTTGTATGCAATTCATGTCACTACCAGGAGGTTAATGGTTGACTGGGCTTATTTATGGTCAAGGATCCTCATAGGAATGACGAATGAACCTGAGACTGCAATTTACTTCTGTTTTTACATAAGACATACAAGTTAATTATTATACTTTGTAACTGTAACAAACTCTAGTTACTCAATGTACCAAGTGATAAATTTAGAGCAACATTGTAAAAAATATGAATGTTTAATCTAGTCCTTGAAGGATATCATCCTGACATTAGTAAAATAATTATTCCTGAATCTTAGTCATTTGAAATTCATTTTATATCTGAGCTTCAGTTGCCTCACCTGGAAAATTAGAATGTTGTTACCTGCCCCAAAAGGAGTACATGGAACCAAATGATCTGAGGTCCCTTCCAACTCTAAAGTATGGAAGAGTATAATAAGACAAAAGACAACTATGTTTTAAAATAGTTTTGCGGTGATTTCTCCAAATAGGTGCATAATATTTATTTACTCAATGTTTTGGTGATGAGAAAGACAACAAATGCAATTAAAAGTATCCCTTACTTGCAGAAGAGCTTTGTGCACAAGGTCACGTCTAGGTTCAAAGCATCTGGTATTGACTCCAGGACTTTGTCCTGTTAGATTTTGGGGTGTGTGTGTGTGTGTGTGTGTGTGTGTGTGTGTGTGTGTGTTGCTCTAGCCTGAAAAGTATATTTTCAAAATTTCCACATAATATAAAAATATAATTTCCAAAGATGTAATGAAATACATATGCCTCCCCACCTCCCTCAAAAAAAAAAGTTTCTTTTTTTCTAGGAATAGATGATAATGTAAACAGCTTCCATGGAAGACACCCATCCCCAGGGAGGAAACCTGTACTCAACATCTGTAAGTTCCCACTACCAGGTTAAGCTATAAGTGAATGAAAGTAGAGTTCCAGGAAATACCATGTGTCAAGGTTTTAGGAAAAACTGAAGGAATCTACAAAGTTTATCCCAGTTTATCCCAAGTCTCATGTTTGTCAATCGTTTTGACTAATAACAGGCCCAAATTTCTGCCTTTGGCTGCTAGTTTAGCTACTATCACTTATATAGCAAGTTTGGGTTGTTAAAGACCATTGATCTTCTTTTCTCGCTCTAATTTTTTATTTTTATTTTTTTGGACACAGAGTCTTACTCTGTCACCCAGGCTGGAGTGCAGTGGCATGATCTTGGCTCACTGCAACCTCCACCTCCCGGATCCAAGCGATTCTCCTGCCTCAGCATCCCGAGTAGCTGTGACTACAGGCATGCACCACCACGCCTGGCTAATTTTTGTATTTTTAGTACAGACAGGGTTTCACCATGTTGCCCAGACTGGTCTTGAACTCCTGACCTCTAATGATCCGCCCACCTCGGCCTCCCAAGGCCCTAGGATTACAAGCATGAGCCACTGTGCCTGGCCTCTTGCTCTGATATTAATGTTTCCTCTTTTAGTTAGAAGTAGCAGAAATGTGCCCAGGGTGAACACCACCAACAGCTAAAAGAGTAGGCAGATGAGCAGTGAGAATAAGTTAATATACCTGGTGGTGGGTAAGTCAATTTCATTTTGAAGAAAGCTTTTTTTAAAATGTCATGTGCTATATGTCTTAATATATTATAGCATATACCAAGAAAAATTATAAACAACTTACAATTATAATATTCTATTTCATTTCTACCAGTATTTGGCAAGTAATAAGTACTCAATAAACTTGATATCTTTTTATTGAGAATCTACCATTTCCAAGGATGTGATGTTTATTATAAGTCTTGGGATATGAAACTTTGTTTATATATATACATACATACACACAACCATCCCACATTCTGCTCACCAGTTTCTCAATGCCTAATAAACCTAAACCAGGGATTATAAAGGTGCAACCCATAGAGCAAATCAGCCCACAGTCATCTTTTGTTTTCGTTACACTTACACAGTATTGCTTAAAATTTTTACATAATTGCCAATGTTTAACACAAGGGAAATTGTCTTGTGGAATCTGTAGCTCTGGTCTCACAGGATTACATGGTCTGGAGCTGCAAATAAGTTGCCCTCTTTCGATGGGGCATTCGTTCTTCAGTTTGCCAGCCTCTACCTGGTCCCCATACACAGCTAAGTTTTTGTTTCCTGATCTAAACATTATCAGTCATTTTTATGACAAATTATTTCTCTCTCTTTAATGTACCTGGCTTAGAAGTTGACAATCAGGCAACTGAGTGCTTTGCCTAAGTAAAACCACGGGAAAAAAAAAAAATCAGTCCCTAGGAATACTCTTTGGTTTGACCTGTATCAGAGGTATTTGCACTTTTCAGTGGTCATTATCTTAGCCCAGATCCTTCTCCCCGTCACCTGGATTAGTAGAGTAGTCTTCTAGTGTTCTCCTGATATCCACACCCTTCACATCTTCTTTTGAACTGCTATCTGAGTTTATTTTTCAAAAGCAAACCTGATTCTGCCTCTCTCCTATTGAAAACCTCTGCTAGCTAGTGCAGCTATACATTTGATAGAATAAAATCTGAACCCCTCAGCAGAGCAAATATATGTAGTAGGTATGAATTTTAACAGTCTTCATTCTGGAGACTGTAAAAATATAAGTTTGTTGTTTTATAACATCTAAATCACTCTTAAGAGGCCACATTCCATCAAAACGCAAAGATCTCAATTTACCCAATTTCAGTTACTCATGGATTTTCTCAGTCATTTTAGGTTTAAACACAATCCAGGATTTTCACCTCTGTATGCTCTTCTACTTTGTTCTATGATCACTCTAAGTCCAAGGGGCTTACAAATCTTCATGACATAGAGGCTGCAAATATAAGGCCCATATACATATCTACCCTCCATCAAATGTGGAGTATATAATCCTAATCGAGTTTTTTACTGTCATCCCCTCTCTATGCTAGCATCTGCTGACTTAGAAATCTTCCCATTTGGGCTGGGTGCGGTGGTTCACGCCTGTAATCCCAGCAATTTGGGAGGCCAAGGTGGGTGGATCTCCTGAAGTCAGGAGTTTGAGACCAGCCTGGCAAAGATGGTGAAACCCCATCTCTACTAAAAATACAAAAATCAGCCGGGCGTGGTGGTGCATGCCTGTAATCCTAGCTACTCAGAAGGCTGAGGCAGGAGAATTGCTTGAACCCAGGAGGTGGAGGTTTCAGTGAGCCAAGATCGTGCCACTGCACTCCAGCCTGGGCAACATAGCAAGATTCCATCTCGGGGGAAAAAAAGAAATCTTCCCATCTGACCTCATCCGGTCCTGTCGTTCAAGCTTCTTTCCATCCTGGTGTCCCTTTGTTATGATTGACAGGCCCCTCCAGGTCTGCATGCTCTCAGTGGCCTATAGGAAAACTGATGGCTGCTTACCACTCCAGGTCCTATTCTAAAACATTTGCTATGCATTTTAAACTATTTGTTCAGTGTCTGTCTTTCTCACTAGAAGAATAATGCTAAATTTGGGGTATATATTGTGCCTTGCTCACAAAATGGTTGGTGAATGAATAAATGTTGCCTCACAACTTGGCTTCCCCTGACCTTTCTGGTTTATTCTACATACACAAACAGGCACAGACACATGAAATACAGGGTGCTATGGAAGTACTTAATAGGAAATACTAATTTAATCTGACTTTTATCAGGTCTATCTGAGGAAGTGATGTTTAAGCACTGTCCACATCCTCATTTTTAGAATCTGTGAATATGTTGCCTTATGTGAACGGAAATTAAAAATTCCAGACTCCAATTCACTCTGCCAAAAGAAAAATCTAAGCTGAAAGCTGAGTCATACAAGAAACTGACTTTCCTTTTGTTCCTAAGCAGATAGCTACAGATAAAAGGTTAAATATCTCCACAGGTAGTTACTCTCTATGTTCACTTTATCTTATGTAAAGTGCTGATTTACTGAGAGCCAGATGAATACATAATTGATTCTTCCCCTACCTGCTCCTTTTCTCTTGCAACATGTGGATTTGGTAGTGTGACTATATCCTCCCTCTTTTCTCTCCAGCCCACTTTCCCCCTTTAAATATTGAAACCCTCAAAATCATCTTTGGAGAAAGGTACAAACCACAGACTGTTTCTGTAATTCCCTGTTTATTTCTTCTGGGCATGTCCTTAGTGTTGTCAAAATAAACTTCTAAATTGATTGAGACTTGTCTCAGCTAGTTTTTGGTTTACAGTTACATAGCAAAAAGTACTTTGCAAATATGATTAAAGTTAAGTATCTTGAGGAGTTTACCTGGATTATCCCAGTGGTCCCAGTTGAATCGCATGGGTCCTTAAAGCTGTAGAACCTTTCCCAGCCTGTGATCAGAGACAGACATGATGAGAAAAGAAAGGCCAGAGAGATGTGATGTTGCTGCCTTGGGAAGGGGGCCTCTAGAATCTGGAAAAAAAACAAGGAAACAGTTCCTTAGAGCCTACAGAAAAGAACACAGCCTGCTGACAACTTGATTTTATCCCAGTGACCTTCACAACTGGAAAATATTAAATTTGCATTGTTTTAAGTCTCTAAGTTCACAGTCATTTGCTATGGCAGCCATAGAAAATGATTATCATTCCCCTATTACCCACTCCTTCAGCTGCTTCAAACAGGGTTGTTCTGCATTTATATCTTTTCCCTACTGGAGTTCTGCATAAAATTTCATTTGAGGTTAGGGCTCCAGGATGACCTGCCTCATTCCCTCAGACATGCCTTGACACATTTCCTCTTGCTGTTGCCTCTATCCAGACTCCTTTACCCCCAGCCATTGGAGTTCACTCAGCATTCTTCCAGTAACCATTCAAGAACCGGCTCAGGTGACACCCTTTTTCTAACTGTCTCTGACATTACTACCCCATTCTACCCCAGGCAGAATTAATTGCTCCTTCTCTAAGTTTCCATTATTATTCATACATGCTTTTCTTATTGAACTAATTATAAATCAATAATTTCTTAGGGACAGGGATCCTGTCCACCTACATCTTTTTAACAAACCATCTAGCTGAGTGTCTGACATATGGTAGATACTTCTCTGACCACCATGTCTAAGTGAGATTCTGCTTATTGTATTTTCAGTCACAGTCTGTGTTTCTTTCTTACAACAACTTGTAATTCTGTATTTACTTCTGTATTGACTGTCTTCCCCACCAGATTAAGTTTGAGGACATGTCAGCCCTGTATATCATGGTATCTATAGCATCTGCAACAGTGCCTGCCGTCAGTGTGGGCTATTAATGAGAATTTAGGTAATAAATACGTTGCTGAATGCATGTCTGCTTAACTTAATTAGTAGTTGGGAGAATGGGATCTAGTTGCAGAGCTGATCCTAACCATAGCTGTTGAAAATTGCAGAAAGAGACTTGCAGCAAAGGATCCCAGAGATCAGGTCCAGCCACCCTCTCTCAAATCACAGTACCCATCCCCACACTTGCTAATAGGAATAGCCAGGCCTCACCTCACTGAAACAGCTGCTCACTCCCAGGAGAGTGAATAAATGGAGTCCTGGCACACAGCTCTGAAAAGTTGCCAACTTGTAATACAACTTGTCACTGGATATTGGAGGCATTTACTTGAAAATAATTAGTAGCCTTTCTGTGCATCAAAAGTGACCAAATCCATAGCATCCCTATTGAGATTGATGACTTTGTTTCCCAAAACTCATCAGAGAAGATGTTTTCAATTTCAGTGGTAAAATCAATATGCTGAGCAAACACCCATATTGCATATTGGGTGACTTTTATTGAGTATGTTGGTCTGGTAACTAATGGGTTGCCACAGATAAAGTGTTCATATCTACTAATTAGAAAATCCTAGTCAGAAACATGTTCCTTTTGAGGCTTCTTTATAATGCAAACACACCTAAGTGTTTTAGATAGGTAACTCTTCGGAGTTTGTTTTTCCTCAACCAAAGCTAGCCTCGTAAGAAGGCAAGATACATAGCACCGTATAGAGTGATTTAAGGAACACTGTGAAGACTTGCCCTCAAAAGTATCTCTCCCACTGTTAGTACTAGTGGCAAGTTTACCAGTTAACAATAACTCCCCTAAATTACAGCCATACACACACCATCCAGTTAAAACTCAAATATCTGAAAAAGGAAGTTGTAGTCCTTAACTATGAATAAGGTGATATGATTCTTGATTTGAAACAGACTTTATATAGAAGAAACAAAGGAAAACATAAGAGTTGGAAGAAATGTGTGAGTGTTTTTGTATATCATTGGGATGGGGGGAATCTGAGTTGTGCACAACATCCAAAGAAGAGAAGTAAATATCGAGGTGGGAGGGTTTTCTGCAGTGAGGGTAAGGTATCACTGCAGGTAAACTTGCCTAATTTCAACCTGCCCTAAGAACACCAGACTTAAACATTTCCTCTCATGAATATTGACATGGCTCGGCTCTGTGTCCGCACCCAAATCTCACCTTGAATTATAATCCCTGCGTGTCAACAGCTGGAGGTAATTGAATCATGGCAGTGATTTCCCCCATGCTTTTCTCGTGATAATGAGTGAGTCTGACAAGATCTGATGATTTTATAAGGGTCTGGCATTTCCCATGCTTGCACTCATTCTCTCCCCTCCTGCCCTGTGAAGAGGTGCCTTCTGCCATGATTGTAAGTTTCCTGAGGCCTCCCCAGCCATGTGGAACTGTGAGTCAATTAAACCTCTTTTCCTTATAAATTGCCCAGTCTCAGGTATTTCTTCATAGCAGTGTGAGAACAGACAAATACAAATATGTTTGTCACATAGCAATGTCTTCTCTGGGAAAACAGCAAATCTCTTTCTGAAATGAGTCTCCCATGCTTGATAGAGCTTAGGCCAAGGCCATCCCTCAAAAAAGTTGTAAAGCTGCTCATGATTTTATAAGTTTCTCCATCAGCCCTGTTCTGGGCTCTCTCACCTAGGCAGTTCTATTTTTTTCTCTTTATTTGAACTCTTAGGAAAGGATTTAAAGGCTCTGGAGGCAGTCATCTACTTGTCTTTATATCTGATTGTGGAATAATAACAGAACTTATACCTGATTGTGAAATAATAATAGAACTTGATACCTATTGAAAATATGTGAGGCATTGGGGAATTGCTGGAAGGGGAACTAGGGATAAAAATAAGGATTTCGATAGATAGAAAACTTGCCCAAGTTTTCTGAAATTAGACAGTCATCACCTTAATCTAATGGTCAATCTGAGCTTCACTACTTCACTAATGGTGGGACACTTTCCTGATGCAACATAACATAGAGTATCCAACATTGCCTATAATATAATCTTGTCGAAAATGTTTGGCTTGAATCTAAGCAAGGCTTTACTCCAATTTTCAGTTTACAGGAAATAAAGGGGATAGAGAAACCAGCTAAACAGCGCTTCCAAGAAGCCTAGAAAATGACTGGCCTAGTCTCTTCAGAAAGTTCTTGTAGTGGAGAGGAAATTGTTCTAGATTAAAAGATAGTTATCACAATGATCAGATCCAACATATGGTCCTGGATAAAATCCTGGTTTGGACAAGCAAACAAAAATGTAAGGAGTATTTTGAGGATCATCAAAATTTGAATATGCATGGGTATTGAACAATATTTAAGAATTATTAATTTTTAGATGTGCTAGTGTTATTTTAACTCTAAAAGGAAAAATATTCTTATTTTTAGAGATGCATACCAAAATATTTAGGGTTAGAATGCTATAGTCTCTGTGTGCTTCATCATAAAACAAGATCCTGAAATCATACCATACTGATTATTACCTATTCTACCTGTGCTTAAGAACAATAAAAATGATCCAAAATTTGGCCAGATATTTCCAATATAGACAAGAGATCATGACTTGAACTTTGCTATACAAATGATCCTTACACACTCCTAAGAGGCACTGAATGAAGGGCATAATGATACTTTTGAATTCGCTTGCAAGAAACATTCCACCATTTGTATTTCTGTGCAGATATTCAACAGACTGAAAACTGGGACATTCTATTTCTCTAATTCTGTTTATCTAAACTGATCTAGTTTAACTAGTTTAACTAGACCAGTGGTGTGTTCAGCTATGCTGACAATCAATAGAATTTAAAAGGCAGAATATTAAAACTCAGAGTCCATGAACAACTATTTAAAGATGGGTGCTTCTGAAAACAAGAAGCAAAGACAAGATTGATGGCCAATACTACTAAAGCACAAAGTTCCAATTAGATAGAACTTTATAAGACTCACTAGAGGCTGAATGGTATAAAGTTGTATAGGCCCTGAAGCCTACCAGAATCCTGTATTTGAATCCCAGTTCTGCTACTTCTAAGCTGTGTTCTCAGGGCAGGTAGCTAATTTTTTGAACCTTCATTTCTTCATCTATAATTAATGTGCATTTGCCCCATAGGGTCATTGTGTGGATTAAATGAGATAATGTACATGAAGTGTTTAGCACAGGGCCTGAGATGTACTCAGCAGTCAATAAATGGAAGCCATTTTTTTCCTATCTCTAAATCAATGGTTTTTCAGCACTGGTCTATTGATGGATTTTGGGGAATCTATTATCTCTATGAAATTGAATGTAAAATTTTGTGAAGTCTCATTTTATCAAGACTCTTCATTTTTATCAAGACTCTTCGTTTTTATCAGGTTTCCAGAGGTCCACAACTGACTCAAATGTTTAACACTCACTGTTTAAGAAGTATTTTATTAATCAATTCTAGATATGTGATATGGCTGTATTGATTATGGCAACTGATTTCAACAAATTATATATGTCCTGTCAAAATGTTTTTATCACCTCTCCTACCAACACTTAGTTTTGTTAGTTATCACCAGCCAAGGGAAAACAAAGAGACTGATGAAAGGTCAAAGAGAAGCCCACTCTTGGGAGTAGGCCCAGCAAGACTGTACAAAAAGGGTAGCAATATCTTTTTTTCCTGTCTAATCCTTGTTGGCTGTAGAGAGTGAAGCCCTGATTAATGCCTTGTTATAACATTTTTAAAGTTCAGCTTATGAAATGGAGGTACCAGGACTAGCTATATATTAGAGAGATTACTATCAGACATGAAAATAGAATAATACTTGTCTGGAATGTACACTTTACCCAGAAGCTGGTGGCTTCCTGAAAATCTTACTAAAATTTTAAAGTGTCTTGGCAATAGTTTTCAAGTACTACAAGTTTAACCTGACCCTACTTCTGCAGCACATCTTCTAAAATCTCCTACAGGCAAATCCCTGCAAAGTCTACAAATTGTTGGCAAGGAGACATGTCTATAATCAAGGACTAATCCTATTGACCATCATTAACACTTCCATACTCCAGCCTCTCAGTTCTGAATGCTATGTCACGATTCCACCTGTCACTACACATCCCTCAGAGGATTACAGTGTCTTTTAAATCTCCTTTTAGAGGAGCTATAAGAATCTGATACATAGGTCACATCCATTTTAAAGATGTTACATTTATCATCTCAGATAGAGTTTTTTTCATCTATCATGTGATTCTACTTTATATTTGCAATTGCCTGGTCTCAGATAATTGTGTGGACACAGGCATAGGAACTTGGTGGTCAGATGGTATGTCCTCACAATGACAATTGAAAAAAACATCAAAAATAATTTATCCCTGAGCATGCACAGGGTGTGACCTTGTGTTACATTAGACAAGTACTTATTGTGTACCTACCAAGTTCTAGTCACTGTGCATAGATCAGACGATGCATAATAAGGATACTCTTCCTGCCCTCAAGGAGCTTCCTGCTGTCTAGAGACATGTAAACAGATAATTTCAATAAAATCTCACAGAAAATAATTACAATAGCAGTAATTACAGGACACTGTGGAAATAGAGGAGACTTCTTAAAAGAGAGTTAGTCTAAAGTAAAAGTTACCCATGTGCATGTGTGTATTGTGGAGTGTTCCAGACAGAGGAGATAGCATGTACAGAGGCTCAGAGGTAGAACATAATGCATTTGTGGAACTGCAAGAAATTCCATGGCTGATCTGTGGAAGTCAAGAGAAGAATTGCAGGAACTGTGACCAAAGATAGAAGTGAGATCATGAAGGTTCTTAGAAGCTGTACTGAGGTGTTTAGACTCTGTAGAAGGTATGAGAAACTATTAGAGTTGTAAGCCATAGTAACATGATAGGAATTGGATTTTATAATGATAATACCAGTTGCAGTGCAGAAAATAGACTGAATTAAGGCATGATTCAAGGCAAGGGACCAGTTTGAAGGCTACTGCAGTGATTTAGGCAAGAGATGATGGTGCTCCAAATGAAACTCTGAATATTGTAGTAAATGCAGTGGTACACCACCCAGAACCCCACTTTAGGACCAAGGCATTTATCCCCCTAGTTGATGGGAATATTGGCTACGGAAGCCTCACAGATGAGTTCCTCTCTAGAAATTTCCATTAGCCAAAGGAAGCTGACTTGTTCAATGATATGGTCTCTCTCCATGGGCAGCAAACATCCACCAACTGAGCAATGCAGGCATTCAAAGGCCCATGTCTGACCCATACCTCAATTTTAGACAACTCTGAAGTACCACCTCGGTTCATAAGCTTGCTGTGGAACAGGCTAAGACCTTTGTTATGACTGCATCACAGTTCATCTGTTCCTTCTGCCCGATTCGCTTCATTCCCTTACAGTTTTGTTCCTGAGAATACTTCCCAATAAATTTCTCACATGCAAACCTCTGTCTCGGTCTATTTTCACAGGACTAGATTGAAACAGAACCTCAGTAGTTCTCGTCTGTAAAATGAGAGGGTAGATTTAATGCTTGCTAAAAACACTTCCTGTTTGTGCTACCATGCCATGGACTTTGGGATTCTTCGACAATTCCTACAGCTGTTTCAAAACAACAGAAAATGGATATGACAGATGCTTAATTTTAGCAATCTCAGCAGGACTCATCACAGTAATTAGAAATGTTTCACAAACAGACCACCCACAAATCTTGCACTCAGTTGGGGTTGACATTGTCTACTTTTATAGATATAAAATTCTTAATGGCTTCCATGCCAAAGCTTGCTTCTTATAAAAAATACTGCTGCTCCCTGTGGACCAGCATGAAACAGTGCTGCTATCTTTTGCTGATACCAGAATTAAAAGCAGTAATCCCAGCACTTTTGAAAATGCACTGTAAAGCTAAATGTATGATTAATATATCAAGTAGGATATTGCTGCTATGACTGTCCTCCCTTTCCAAAACATTCTCAGCAAAATAAAATTGAAATGCGGAATTCTTTTGTGAGCTATACCTCACTGCTATCAATGGTGATCCATTCCTAAACTCTAAATCATGTTATTCTGACCATCTCAGAACAACAGTTTCTTATACACTTTCCATGATTTATGAAGGGCATTTTCCTGTAAAGAAGATTTTTAAAGCATGTATTTATAAAGTGTAGTTCCAATCTTAGAATGTGAGAGCTACAAACATCTTCCAACATCTTGACCTGGAGTTTTTAACCTAGGGTCTCTGAAACCCTAAAGTTGTGTGCAAAATTTTGTGAAGTGGTGCCATAGTTGTTATTAGAATATATAATCTAATATATAAAAGGTTGATGGCCACTGAAAGGTTAAGAACCATTGTTTACACACCAATCATCTTGCTTCATACTTGAACACAGGTTTAAGAGATGAGCTTTAGACAACTTATCCAAGGTTGACTAGTTTATTAGTAGCTCAACTGGCACTAGAACTCTTGTTTGTTTCCCCTCAGCCCAGTGAGCTTTCTGCTACACTAAGCTTTGAAGGCATTTGAAACCAAGGCATCATTTCTAGTACATTATAATTTCTTTCCCATCACACCAACACTTTCCTACTGCCAAGAAAATGTTTCTCAAAGGAAACTAAAGCTAGGCTCAGTAACTTTTATAATACCTCCTATTTATCTAGCATTTTATAGTTTTCAAAGCACTTTCACACACGATTACATTTGATTTGAGCCTTGAAACTCCTGCAAGGTAAGAAAGTCAGAGTTAAAAGCATAGGCTCTGGAACCGGGCTGCCTGGGAAGGAATCCCACCTCTGCTAGCTTTTTGTGCCTCAGCTGCCTCATCTGTAAAATGAGGATGATGGCTGTATCTATATCATGAACACACTGTAAACAATAATTGAGTTAACACACGAAAATCGCAGAGAGCAGAGCCTTCCATACAGTACACATGTAATAAATAGTAGCTATTATCATTATCCCTATTTTATAATTGCCAGTCAGAAAATTAAGAAACAATATTATGTGACTTGCTCAAAGGTGTCCTGGAATAGTGGATCTAGGACTCAAAAACAAGGTATTTTAACCCCAGGTCAAAAATGTTTCAATGTACAACATGTAGAATTCTGAGTATAAATATAACAACCATAAAGCAGTCAACCTCCCTGTGATTAAAACAGCAATTAATTTATTTATATCCAGTGATAAGCTAGACATCATGGGTACCCAAGCATGAAATTCAAAATCTGTTCTAAAAATCACCTCTTATTTCCTGTTCTTAAATGCATAGAAAAGAAAATCAAATGAAATCACTGAATATGTTATGTCTAAGCTTCTTTATAAGCCACATTAGGCATGTTCCTTGAAAATGAGTTTTTAATTAAGAAGGCATGTTGGGTATGGTCAATTATTTGGGGGAATTTATTTTAAAAGAAATTATATGCAGTATTAAAAACCCTGGCCAAGAAGAAGGCAAGTGACCTTAGAAATGCTTTCAATAAGCTCAAAAAGGCCCAAGTCATATCCCCAAACAATCATTAAGGCCTGTACTCATGGTGTGTTCAAAATGAGCAAGGCCTCAGACAACAAGAGCTGGAGTGCTCTTGCCTCCTGGCTGAAAAAGAACAAGGAGGTCTCAGTTACTTTCCTTTAAATTGTGCGGTGGCCACTTCAGCTGCACTAACTCAGAGCTCCCAAATGCACTGGGGCTGAAGGAGCCTTTTAAATGAATTTCTCAGTTACCATAAAATACTTTATAAACTTTTCTAACCAAGTCCCTTTATACTTGTAGGTTGGATGAGCTGGATTGTGTGAAAAGCATCCCTTTTTTGCAAGAATGTCCCTGAGGGCAGTAGGCATGTTCTTCAGTGATTGATTAGCAGGCAAGTTATAACATGCCAGACTAGGAGAAGTCCGCAGCCCTTTTCTTTGAACAAACTCACCCATTTTCTTGCCTTCCAACTTTCCATTTGTAATTTATTAAAATACTACCTACTCTTGCTCCCAATCAGTTGAGACCATATCTGACAAAATTGATAGCATTATGAATGTGAGAAGGCTCTTATTTAACCTTTATTTTTCACTCCTGTGAAACATCCTTTTTTTTTTTTTTGAGATGGAGTCTTGCTCTGTTGCCCAGGCTGGAGCACAGTGGCATGATCTCGGCTCACTGCAAGCTCCACCTCCCAGGTTCACACCATTCTCCTGCCTCAGCCTCCAGAGTAGCTGGGACTACAGGCACCTGCCACCACGCCCGGCTAATTTTTTTGTATTTTTAGTAGAGACGGGGTTTCACCATGTTAACCAGGATGGTCTTGATCTCCTGACCTCATGATCCACCCACCTCGGCCTCCCAAAGTGCTGGGATTACAGGTGTGAGCCACTGCGCCCGGCCGAAACATCCTTTTTTCCAATGTCATGAAAACCCATGATATCTATTAGTTTGTTTTAGTAGTGGCTTTGTGCTTCCCTATAACAGCATTCCACGTGAAACTATTTTTAGCAGACAGGAGTCTGGTACTGACTCTCCTTTTATTTAAGTTCAAAGCAACATACCCCAATGTGTCCATCAAAAGCTGAGAAAGAAGCTATGCTTATGCCACTGGAATCCAGAACAGGAGGGTGCTGAAGCTGGGGCCTGATCCTGGGCATAAGATTGGAAGAAGAGACCATAGTTGGGCATCAAACCAACAGCCCACTGAACCATCAACTGGGTGAACATTCCCTTCTACCTGCACAGTCAGCTGAAACCCACACCCCAAGACCAGCCCTGGCTCAAGGCAGAAAGGCAGTGTAATGTGATGGGAACAACACCAACTATATTAAGCATCTGGGACCTGAGTCTTAATACCAGTTCTACTAAAATTTAGCCATGTGACCTTAGGCAAATTACTTCTTCCCAGAAACTGTTTTCTATGACATGAGAGAGATTGAAGAAAATGAGAGTTTTTTGCAGGTTATCACATGCTAAATAAACAGCCCTAAACCCACAACTTAGCATCTTCTTTGGTGTATTTTGATTTCATTATGACTTTGAGACTGCAATATTCCAGTAACTATGTCTGTATCTTGTTTCTCTATATCCAAATCCTTATCTAGAAATCTAATTCTCACACGGTGACTTAATATCTGGCCACCTGATCCCCAGTCTCCATGAGTAGATCCTCAATTTTTTTTTTATTATACTTTAAGTTTTAGGGTACATGTGCACATTGTGCAGGTTAGTTACATATGTATACATGTGCCATGCTGGTGCGCTGCACCCACTAACTCATCATCTAGCATTAGGTATATCTCCGAATGCTATCCCTCCCCCCTCCCCCCACCCCACCACAGTCCCCAGAGTGTGATATTCCCCTCCCTGTGTCCATGTGATCTCATTGTTCAATTCCCACCTATGAGTGAGAATATGCGGTGTTTGGTTTTTTGTTCTTGCCATAGTTTACTGAGAATGATGATTTCCAATTTCATCCATGTCCCTACAAAGGACATGAACTCATCATTTTTTATGGCTGCATAGTATTCCATGGTGTATATGTGCCACATTTTCTTAATCCAGTCTATCATTGTTGGACATTTGGGTTGGTTCCAAGTCTTTGCTATTGTGAATAATGCCGCAATAAACATACGTGTGCATGTGTCTTTATAGCAGCATGATTTATAGTCATTTGGGTCTATACCCAGTAATGGGATGGCTGGGTCAAATGGTATTTCTAGTTCTAGATCCCTGAGGAATCGCCACACTGACTTCCACCATGGTTGAACTAGTTTACAGTCCCACCAACAGTGTAAAAGTGTTCCTATTTCTCCACATCCTCTCCAGCACCTGTTGTTTCCTGACTTTTTAATGATTGCCATTCTAACTGGTGTCAGATGGTATCTCATTGTGGTTTTGATTTGCATTTCTCTGATGGCCAGTGATGGTGAGCATTTTTTCATGTGTTTTTTGGCTGCATAAATGTCTTCTTTTGAGAAGTGTCTGTTCATGTCCTTCGCCCACTTTTTGATGGGGTTGTTTGTTTTTTCCTTGTAAATTTGTTTGAGTTCATTGTAGATTCTGGATATTAGCCCTTTGTCAGATGAGTAGGTTGCGAAAATTTTCTCCCATTTTGTAGGTTGCCTGTTCACTCTGATGGTAGTTTCTTTTGCTGTGCAGAAGCTCTTTAGTTTCATTAGATCCCATTTGTCAATTTTGGCTTTTGTTGCCATTGCTTTTGGTGTTTTAGACATGAAGTCCTTGCCCATGCCTATGTCCTGAATGGTAATGCCTAGGTTTTCTTCTAGGGTTTTTATGGTTTTAGGTCTAACACGTAAGTCTTTAATCCATCTTGAATTGCTTTTTGTATAAGGTGTAAGGAAGGGATCCAGTTTCAGCTTTCTACATATGGCTAGCCAGTTTTCCCAGCACCATTTATTAAATAGGGAATCCTTTCCCCATTGCTTGTTTTTCTCAGGTTTGTCAAAGATCAGACAGTTGTAGGTATGCGGCGTTATTTCTGAGGGCTCTGTTCTGTTCCATTGATCTATATCTCTGTTTTGGTACTAGTACCATGCTGTTTTGGTTACTGTAGCCTTGTAGTATAGTTTGAAGTCAGGTAGTGTGATGCCTCCAGCTTTGTTCTTTTGGCTTAGGATTGACTTGGCGATGCGGGCTCTTTTGGTTCCATATGAACTTTAAAGTAGTTTTTTCCAATTCTGTGAAGAAAGTCATTGGTAGCTTGATAGGGATGGCATTGAATCTGTAAATTACCTTGGGCAGTATGGCCATTTTCACGATATTGATTCTTCCTACCCATGAGCATGGAATGTTCTTCCATTTGTTTGTATCCTCTTTTATTTCCTTGAGCAGTGGTTTGTAGTTCTCCTTGAAGAGGTCCTTCACATCCCTTGTAAGTTGGATTCCTAGGTATTTTATTCTCTTTGAAGCAATTGTGAATGGGAGTTCACTCATGATTTGGCTCTCTGTTTGTCTGTTGTTGGTGTATAAGAATGCTTGTGATTTTTGTACATTGATTTTGTATCCTGAGACTTTGTTGAAGTTGCTTATCAGCTTAAGGAGATTTTGGGCTGAGACAATGGGGTTTTCTAGATATACAATCATGTCGTCTGCAAACAGGGACAATTTGACTTCCTCTTTTCCTAATTGAATACCCTTTATTTCTTTCTCCTGCCTAATTGCCCTGGCCAGAACTTCCAACACTATGTTGAATAGGAGTGGTGAGAGAGGGCATCCCTGTCTTGTGCCAGTTTTCAAAGGGAATGCTTCCAGTTTTTGCCCATTCAGTATGATATTGGCTGTGGGTTTGTCATAGATAGCTCTTATTATTTTGAAATACGTCCCATCAATACCTAATTTATTGAGAGTTTTTAGCATGAAGGGTTGTTGAATTTTGTCAAAGGCTTTTTCTGCATCTATTGAGATAATCATGTGGTTTTTGTCTTTGGCTCTGTTTATATGCTGGATTACATTTATCGATTTGCATATATTGAACCAGCCTTGCATCCCAGGGATGAAGCCCACTTGATCATGGTGGATAAGCTTTTTGATGTGCTGCTGGATTCGGTTTGCCAGTATTTTCTTGAGGATTTTTGCATCAATGTTCATCAAGGATATTGGTCTAAAATTCTCTTTTTTGGTTGTGTCTCTGCCCGGCTTTGGTATCAGAATGATGCTGGCCTCATAAAATGAGTTAGGGAGGATTCCCTCTTTTTCTATTGATTGGAATAGTTTCAGAAGGAATGGTACCAGTTCCTCCTTGTACCTCTGGTAGAATTCGGCTGTGAATCCATCTGGTCCGGGACTCTTTTTGGTTGGTAAACTATTGATTATTGCCACAATTTCAGCTCCTGTTATTGGTCTATTAAGAGATTCAACTTCTTCCTGGTTTAGTCTTGGGAGAGTGTATGTGTCGAGGAATTTATCCATTTCTTCTAGATTTTCTAGTTTATTTGCATAGAGGTGTTTGTAATATTCTCTGATGGTAGTTTGTATTTCTGTGGGATCGGTGGTGATATCCCCTTTATCATTTTTTATTGCATCTATTTGATTCTTCTCTCTTTTCTTCTTTATTAGTCTTGCTAGCGGTCTATCAATTTTGTTGATCCTTTCAAAAAACCAGCTCCTGGATTCATTGATTTTTTGAAGGGTTTTTTGTGTCTCTATTTCCTTGAGTTCTGCTCTGATTTTAGTTATTCTTGCCTTCTGCTTCGTTATGTACCAAGTAGTCATTCAGGAGCAGGTTGTTCAGTTTCCATGTAGTTGAGCGGCTTTGAGTGAGATTCTTAATCCTGAGTTCTAGTTTGATTGCACTGTGGTCTGAGAGATAGTTTGTTATAATTTCTGATCTTTTACATTTGCTGAGGAGAGCTTTACTTCCAAGTATGTGGTCAATTTTGGAATAGGTGTGGTGTGGTGCTGAAAAAAATGTATATTCTGTTGATTTGGGGTGGAGAGTTCTGTAGATGTCTATTAGGTCCGCTTGGTGCAGAGCTGAGTTCAATTCCTGGGTATCCTTGTTGACTTTCTGTCTCATTGATCTGTCTAATGTTGACAGTGGGGTGTTAAAGTCTCCCATTATTATTGTGTGGGAGTCTAAGTCTCTTTGTAGGTCACTCAGGACTTGCTTTATGAATCTGGGTGCTCCTGTATTGGGTGCATATATATTTCGGATAGTTAGCTATTCTTGTTGAATTGATCCCTTTACCATTATGTAATGGCCTTCTTTGTCTCTTTTGATCTTTGTTGGTTTAAAGTCTGTTTTATCAGAGACTAGGATTGCAGCCCCTGCCTTTTTTTGTTTTCCATTTGCTTGGTAGATCCTCCTCCATCCTTTTATTTTGAGCCTATGTGTGTCTCTGCACGTGAGATGGGTTTCCTGAATACAGCACACTGATGGGTCTTGACTCTTTATCCAATTTGCCAGTCTGTGTCTTTTAATTGGAGAATTTAGTCCATTTACATTTAAAGTTAATATTGTTATGTGTGAATTTGATCCTGTCATTATGATGTTAGCTGGTTATTTTGCTCGTTAGTTGATGCAGTTTCTTCCTAGTCTCGATGGTCTTTACATTTTGGCATGATTTTGCAGCGGCTGGTACTGGTTGTTCCTTTCCATGTTTAGCGCTTCCTTCAGGAGCTCTTTTAGGGCAGGTCTGGTGGTGACAAAATCTCTCAGCATTTGCTTGTCTGTAAAGTATTTTATTTCTCCTTCACTTATGAAGCTTAGCTTGGCTGGATATGAAATTCTGGGTTGAAAATTCTTTTCTTTAAGAATGTTGACTATTGGCCCCCACTCTCTTCTGGCTTGTAGGGTTTCTGCCGAGAGATCCGCTGTTAGTCTGATGGGCTTCCCTTTGAGGGTAACCCGACCTTTCTCTCTGGCTGCCCTTAACATTTTTTCCTTCATTTCAACTTTGGTGAATCTGACAATTATGTGTCTTGGAGTTGCTCTTCTCGAGGAGTATCTTTGTGGCGTTCTCTGTACTTCCTGAATCTGAACATTGGCCTGCCTTGCTAGATTGGGGAAGTTCTCCTGGATAATATCCTGCAGAGTGTTTTCCAACTTGGTTCCATTCTCCCCATCACTTTCAGGTACACCAGTCAGACGTAGATTTGGTCTTTTCACATAGTCCCATATTTCTTGGAGGCTTTGCTCATTTCTTTTTATTCTTTTTTCTCTAAACTTCCCTTCTCGTTTCATTTCATTCATTTCATCTTCCATTGCTGATACCCTTTCTTCCAGTTGATCGCATCGGCTCCTGAGTCTTCTGCATTCTTCACGTAGCTCTCGAGCCTTGGTTTTCAGCTCCATCACCTCCTTTAAGCACTTCTCTGTATTGTTTATTCTAGTTATACATTCTTCTAAATTTTTTTCAAAGTTTTCAACTTCTTTGCCTTTGGTTTGAATGTCCTCCCGTAGCTCAGGGTAATTTGATCGTCTGAAGCCTTCTTCTCTCAGCTCGTCAAAGTCATTCTCCATCCAGCTTTGTTCTGTTGCTGGTGAGGAGCTGCGTTCCTTTGGAGGAGGAGAGGCGCTCTGATTTTTAGAGCTTCCCGTTTTTCTGTTCTGTTTTTTCCCCATCTTTGTGGTTTTATCTACTTTTGGTCTTTGATGATGGTGATGTATAAATGGGTTTTTGGTGTGGATGTCCTTTCTGTTTGTTAGTTTTCCTTCTAACAGACAGGACCCTCAGCTGCAGATCTGTTGGAATACCCTGCCTTGTGAGGTGTCAGTGTGCCCCTGCTGGGGGGTGCCTCCCAGTTAGGCTGCTCCGGGGGTCAGGGGTCAGGGACCCACTTGAAGAGGCAGTCTGCCGGTTCTCAGATCTTCAGCTGCGTGCTGGGAGAACCACTGCTCCCTTCAAAGCTGTCAGACAGGGACATTTAAGTCTGCAGAGGTTACTGCTGTCTTTTTGTTTGTCTGTGCCCTGCCCCCAGAGGTGGAGCCTACAGAGGCAGGCAGGCCTCCTTGAGCTGTGGTGGGCTCCACCCAGTTCGAGCTTCCAGGCTGCTTTGTTTACCTAAGCAAGCCTGGGCAATGGCGTGCGCCCCTCACCCAGCCTGGCTGCCACCTTGCAGTTTGATCTCAGACTGCTGTGCTAGCAATCAGCAAGACTCTGTGGGCGTAGGACCCTCCGAGCCAGGTGTGGGATATAGTCTGGTGGTGCGCCTTTTAAGCCCGTTGGAAAAGCGCAGTATTCGGGTGGGAGTGACCCGATTTTCCAGGTGCGTCCGTCACCCCTTTCTTTGACTCGGAAAGGGAACTCCCTGACCCCTTGCGCTTCCCAGGTGAGGCAATGCCTCGCCCTGCTTCGGCTCGCGCACCGTGTGCACACCCACTGGCCTGCGCCCACTGTCTGGCACTCCCTAGTGAGATGAACCCGGTACCTCAGATGGAAATGCAGAAATCACCTGTCTTCTGCGTCGGTCATGCTGGGAGCTGTAGACCGGAGCTGTTCCTATTCGGCCATCTTCAGATCCTCAATTTTTATGCTGACTACCCCACCTGCTATCCTTCTAACTTCCCCACACCAGGAGCTAGCTACCTCAGTCTCCACTGACCACCTGCTACACACCAGACTGAGTAGACATTCTAGGTCCTGGATTTATTGTGTTCGTTTATTGGTTGGTTTGTTGATTGGGCTTTTGGTTAACTATACTTAACAATGTTTTCCATTCTCCATCCTAATATGATGATGTGCTATATTCAGAACTTCCTCAGACACATGTTCAGAACTGTCTACCTCAAAGACTTTTCCTATTTCATATCCCCTGTCTCCATGGTCTGTCTGGACTCATGGTCACAGCTTTCCCCATCATACCACTGGCCAGGCTCCCATTCCTACGTGTTTTCAGACTTTTCTAATCCCTGCTTGGAGGCTAAGCCCTTGCTTCTGGGGTGGTTTCCCTGATGCACAAACACATTCACATTGAGGCTGAGCTCTTAGTGGGAAACAGGGACTGAGTCCCCTTACCGGGAGTTTCACGGGAAGACTAACGACAGTGATGGTGAATACAGTGCTATCTTGGACACATCAGTAGTGATGCATTGGGTATGCACTAGTGTAGAGTGCTGGCCAGCATGCATTGTGATTGTTCTGACTGGCTTATGTCCATGCCATGCAGATTGTTAAATATTGTAAATAGCATCGCTCCATAGGGTCTTCCTTCTCTTTTTCCCCCTTGTAATCTCAGATTGTGCCCCGCTCCATTCCATCAATGTAAAATAGCAAATGTATATCAATTTCATATTTTCACTCCTCTTTCTTCTCCATTAATAATTGAATGTTTCCATGGGGCTCTTTGGATTTATTGCCCCCTCATGCCCTTTTAAGATTCGCGCATATTTCTAAGATCCCAGGTGTGGCAGGCAAAATCCTAAATATGTCTCTCTCCTACCACCCAGGATTCCCATTCCCTGGTTATTCTATCAAACACTAATCTAGGTTCTAGTGTGAAGGGACTTTGCAGATGTAATTAAGCTTACAAAACTTAAGATAGAAGCTAATCCAGGTAGACCCAATCTAATTACACAAGCTCTAAAATAGGAAATACTGCCTAGTTGAATTTAGTAGAGGTAGGAGAGGGAAGGGAAAAATGCAAGTCAGGAAAATTTGAGGCATGAGAAGGACTTAAGTAGCTATTGCTGGCTTTGAAGAAGGCCACAAACCAGTGAATGTGGGCAGCCTCTAGGAGCTGAGAACAATCCCCAGCCCACAGAAAGCAAGGATACAAGGACCTCAGTCCTACATTACAGAAATAAATTTGGCCAACAAACTGATTGAGTCTAGCATTAGCATCTCCCAGAAGGAATGCAACCTGGCTATCCCCTTGATTCTGGCTTGTGAGACCCTAAGCAGTGGAACCATAAAAGCCACATTCTGCCCAGACTTCTAACTTACAGAACTGTGTGATAATAAATTTATGTCATTTTAATTCACTAAATTTGTGATAATTTGTAACAACAGCACTAGAAAACACATCAGGATAAATATTTCTGAATGTTCAGCACTATTTTATATTTATCATTATAGTTAAATAAATACTTTAAGTTTGTGGTAGTCTTCTCCATTAAATTAAGATCATCTATCTTTACATCTCGTCTTTTGCTTTTTTAGTCCTGTCCCCTTGCTCAAATCTTCATTTAATACCCACTTCTCCATACCAGAGTCAGCCCCATCCAGGCAAAAGTATATCAGGTCTCTCCCATGCCCACCCTCAGGTCTAAGCAGGGTGCCACCTCCAGTCATGGTCAACAGAAAATTCACATTGCAAAGTTTCATATGTATTCTTACTTCCAAGATTGTAATTCATTTAAAGGTGATAGAATCCCAGGCCAAAGTTTAATGCTCCATACTACTGTCCCTTCCTTATCTATGTCTTCTTCCCTGTCCCTTCTTCTTAAGTAGCTCTGCCATGTTATCTCTTGCTGTATCTCCACTGAACTCCATACTCACTTAAACATAGGCTAGAGAGTTATTATTCTTTGAAGAAGAATAGTATTAGAAATCTGGTTTTAGTCATCCATCACGGCTTTTTGTAAAACATCAGAAATATATGCTTTTACAAGCATAGGCAAATCTACTGTCATTCCCATCTCACTGGAAAGTTAATTTTCCTAAAATTTACTGTTGCGTGTTTATGGGGTGGTCTTATCTAAGAGAGGAAATTGAGGCAAGAAACCCAGAAGCATCCCATTTTTTCATGTGTTATCACATTTGGGTTCAGTTTTCATCTCACTTAGGTTCATATTTTCTTGATATAGAGGATAATTTCATCAAATATGCAAACCTGCCTAGGGAGGGGTTAAATTGGTATGAACGCTGGGTTGATTGTACACATGCCAATCAATTAGCATTTCAAACAGTTATCAAAGCAGTTGAGGGAGATTTTTTTTAACATTTACTAGTATTAATACAAAGGCTTCAGAGACTATGGGAAGCTAATCTTCCCTGCAAAGTTATGGGGAAGAAATAAGAATGAATTTGTTTGGAATTTGGGGGTATATTTTCATTGTACAGTGGAATTTTCCCAGTGCAGGAGCTGTGAATTTCTGCAACCATACTGGAGAGTTCTAAGATGCTTCCTTTTCTGCTATGGTCATACGTCTACATACCTTTGCTTCCTAACATAAAACATCCTTAGAAACCTCTGTATAGACAAAAATGGCCCACTTACATGACTTCAGAAAAAAGGATGCTGGTAGTGCCAATCTTTTTATTGTGTTGGGGATAAAATGTTAAAGAGAAAAAAAGGTAGAAAGTATGGAGGATTTGCTGCCTCCTCCCCCTCCTCCCACAGGCTTTTAAATAGCTTTGGAAAATTTAGCCTGAGCCTCTCTCTGGTACTTAACATGCTTAGTTGCAGCATCCACATTAGGAACTAATCTTGGACTTGCTGAGAATCCTTGAACTTTTTAATATCCTAGACCTCAATATACCTCCTAGCCTCACTAACACCATATCTTCCGATGTCCCTAAACCTTGGGGCATACTAGGCCCTCTGACACTCCTGGAACTCAATGTTCCCTTGAAACCAGAATGGATATCTCTGGTACCTTTTTTTCAGGCATCAGAGAAGAAAGGTTATTCCTGAGTCCTGCAATGCCATCAGACCACATGCATAACATTTTACTCGTAAGTAAGAGTTACAAATCAAAATGAGTTAGTTAACTAGTTATTGTTTTATATATAAATAATAAACAGAATGTGTATCATATACTTAGGCCTCTCAGTTATTCACATCTAAAGGCAGCTAAACAACTGCAGACATATACTGAAATAGGCATCATTGTTCATTAGAGGCAGCCCCCTGAAGTTCAAGCCTAGCATCTGGTGGAAATGAAGCCAACTCTGCAAGTGTTTAAACTTACAACCTCTGATCCTTTAAAGTGATCCTGATTAACCACAGGTGTCTTCACCAGAGGCTCCATGACAGTCTTTGCCAAAATGTCTCAAGGTCCAAGACGACATAGGAGAACAAATAAGGGGTAGGAATAAAGTCTGGGTTCCCTCTAGTATTCTATATTGGAATTCTGTTTGACAAAACACAAGCCTAATGTCTACTCACAAAGAAGCACCTTTATTGCCTTGAATAATTTGAAAACTCTTCCCATGTGTTTGGCTGCAAATCCCAACGTTGATTTCAAGTGGCTTCACAGGAAAAAACATAGACACTTGATTTACCTTGGGATGAGATTCCATGAATAAGTTATTGGAAGTTGCAGGGGAAACTATGGAAAATCTCCCTATTTATTGCACCCCTTTTAATATAGTCAGAATTTCAGACAATGGTTTTAAATTTGCTTTATCATAGAAAAAGTCAATTTTTTGAATGTTTAAAGATATATTCCTTTTCATCTCATTTCACATTCTTGTCAACACATTTGGAACAGGAAAATAAAAACCTACTGGCTACTAAATTGGTTCAAGTTGTTCCATCTTTCCCTATCATAATATTCATTGCTCAGGAAATTTTCACCTTAAATGCAATGTTTAAGAAATAAACATTGTGTGTTCCTATGCTGTTTTGGCATCATTTTGTAGGTTTGGGTTTACAGTGCTAATAATCTAAAGAGTTTTCTTTCCTCCAGGATGTGAGGCCCACGAATCAGGTGTGCTGCCATCAGTTGGACAGACTGTCTATGCTATGGTCTTGTGATCCAAACAGGAAGGATTCTGTCCCATTTACTCCAGCTTAAAGAATGGCCAAGGTAGCAAATTAGAACAGTGCAGCTGCTTGCCGCCTTTAGCCCTGGCCTGACCACTCCCTAGGAAGCCAGTTTTTATTCTGTGATACAGGCTAGAAAATATAAAAGGCTATCTGACCCAGACAGATTTGGTCTGTATCTCAAAGACTTCTTATCTCTGAGGTAATATGTCTGCCTTTGCTATCCCTACTATTCCCTTGACATTGACTGCTGTTCTCTCTTTGAATTCTGTATTCTCATTCATTTTTCATTCAAGACCACAGACTCAGATTAAATCCTATACATCATTTACAACCACTTCCTTTGCTTTGTGAATACTAGTTTTGAACCCTACAGTATTGATTACCTAGTCCTTTCAATTCAGAGGGACACGTCCATCATAGATAACAACTATAGGGAATAACAGTGTACATTTGTATATGTTACACACAGACATTTAAGCTTTTATATACAAATAAAACTCTATTAAGAAAAATACAAATAATTTCTAATTACAGCATAAGAAAATATTATACATAACCTATAGTAAGATTTTTAATACTAGTTAAAATGAGGTAGCCCTTGAGGAAGCAGTAGCTATTGTTGTTTAGTCTAATTCTAGTTGTTCACCTCATGCCTAAGTAAACAATGACTCTCTAATTCACCCTAAGTACTTTTAGAGTCAGAAATTCATAGGAATATATATATGTATAAATGTCTGTAACTCCTGCATATGGTTCTAGCACTTCAAAGCCCTGGAAGAGCTTATCATAAAAAGCTCTTTCCAATAGCTTTTATTCAACTGTTAATATCCCCACTGGCAGGTCAGACCTATAGTAGCCAATTTACAACTCTTTTTTTAAAAGGCCCTATTTTCCGTTCCAAGCTTCTAGCCTCTAAATTATCTTTCCTTGTTAGCAGAAAGAAAAGGAGCAGGGGGATGGAAATTATGGTCAGACCCTGCATGTTTCACAGCATGCTGTCAGTGACTTTTAGCTGAAATTAGCACACCGTTGGTTTCCTAACAGACTTAAAGTCTCTTCCAAACCCATTTAAGTTTTCTAGGCACCACATCCTGTTTCCTCTAACCAGTTTAAAAAATATTTAAATGGAGTATAATATGGCTTTTAAACAGCAGGAAAACTATAAGCAGCTTTTCTACAGCTACATTTAGAGATCATATTAAAAAAATACACATGCAGAAAAATAATCTAAACCATTCTTTCTGATTCATTGATTATACTCAAGATAAAAATTATATCATAGATAAAAAGAGAAGCACTATAACATGCATATTCTCATGGGGTCATAAATGGGACTGGAATAGCAGGTAAATCCTGGGGTCTTGAACTCTAAACAGTATCTGAATCTATTCACCACCCTCTCCTTAAACAACCAGCTCTTCTTTAAAATGTATCTCCTTCTATGCTTTTTGTGACACTATACTGTCTTTTTCATCCAATCTCTTCGACCATATCTTTATATATACTTACATAGGCTATGCTTTCCTTTCTGCTTCAATCAAGGCTGAATTTTAGACCCACTACTTTTCTTACCCTATACTCTCTGCCTCAGGGACAGCAGCTAATGCCATAGTTTCCACCGTCACCTTATTGCAAATAATTAATTCCCTAAGTTGTACATTCAGTCTTGACCTTTCTCCAGAGCTTTAATCCCACATTCCCAGTCAAAGATAACCAGCGAATCTGTCTGCCACTTCTAACTCAGTATGAGTGAAATCAAACTCCTATTTCTTCCTATAAATTAGCGCCCCTTCTAGCCATCTCCCTTGTCTATGAGTGACACCAACATTCTCACAGGCAGGCTCAAAACTTTGGTACATTTTTTTACTCCATTCTTTTCTTCTTCCTCTGTAAGCTGTCAGTCATGAAATGTTCAGATGAGATTTCATTCATTCAGCAAATATTTATTGAGTGCCTAACATTTGTAAACCACTTGGCTAGACATTAGAAAACTAGTTGAGCTGTTTCCATTTTTTCCATGTACAGTCATAATCTGCAGTTACCAATAATATAGTGGTCCAGGAACCCCCAAAGCCTTCCTGCTCGAAATATCAAAAGATGAGGAATTTCTTTAAAGATGGAATTTTAAATGCTCAGCTGAACTCTCATGAAGGTAAAGAAAATCACCAGAGACAAAAAACGAAATGATACCTGAAAACCAGGGCAGTAAGCACACGACCTGATATTAGAATAGCCTTGGGGATATCCGTTGATCTCCTTTAGCTAGAATCTTGTATTGGAATGCTCACACATGTAAACATGAAAAGGTCGTGGCTCAAGGCAAGAGTTTGGAAATGAGATCTCAGGATAAAACTAGAACTTCCTAAAAGACCATGCTTTCATTAAATGGGTACACAAGAAAAAAATCTGCATATAGGCACAGAAAGATGAAACATAATAGTTTACTTAAAAATAAAAAATTCTTACTAAATAGAAATAGAAGAAAACTTCAACCTGCTAAAGTATGTCTCCAAAATCTGATAGAAAACATTACTTGTAGGCTAACATTAGAAGCATTCATTTTAAAGTTAGAAATAAGAAATGGATGTCTGCTATCTATGCTCCTATTAAATATTGTGCTGGAGAATCCTACCAGTGCAATAAGACAAGAAAATAAAAAAGTCTAAAGTTTGGAAAGGATGAAACAAAATGATTTATATTTGCATACCAGTATCTAAAATACAAAAGAAGCTACAAACAAACTAATATAATTAATAAGCATTCATAAAAATATGACTATAAAATTTGTATGGAAAGGCAAAGTAACTAGAATACTGAATACAATCTTTTAAAAAAATAAGAACAACGTTGGAGGCCTCATATATAAGACTTACTATACATCTACAGTAATAATGAAAGCACAGAATTTGAAGACAGTAAAGACATACAGATTAACAGAAAAGAATCAAGAGTCCTGTGCTACAACAACCGAATACTCACATGTAAAATGATAAGCCTGGACCTCTACTTCATACCATACAGATAAACAAACTCAAAATGGATCACAGGCCTAAATATAAAATTCAATATAAAAACTCAAATTATAAAATTCTTATGATAAAACATAGGAGTAAATGTTCATGACGTTGGGTTGGGCAACAATTTCTTAGATATGGGAGATGCTGCACAAGCAATAAAATAACAAAATATCTAAGTAGAATTTCACCAAATTTTAAAACTTTTGATCTTCAAAGGATACAATCAAGAAAGCAATGTCTTCAAGAGAGTGGAAAGAATATCTGTAAACAATATCCGTGGTAAAGGACATATAATGAACTCTTACAACTCAATAAGAAAATAACCCAATTAAAACTTGTAAAAGATTTAAATAGATATTTCTCTGAGGATATCTGAATGGCCAATAAACCCTTGAATATATGCTCAACATGATTAGTCATTAGGGAAACACAAATGAAAAATGAAATACCACCAGAATATCTGCCAACAAAAAGGCCAGACAACAGCAAGTGTTGGTGAGGATATGGATAAATTATTACTCTCATACATTGCTGGTGGAAATGTAAAATGGGGCAGACACTTTGGAAAACAGTTTGGAAGTTACTAAAAAACTTAAACGTAGAGTTAATATATGACTCAGCTATTTCACTCACAGGTATGTAATCTACAAAAATGAAAACATATGTCCACACAAAAACATGTACATAAATGTTCCTAGCAGCACCATTCACAATAGCCAAAATATTGAAACAATCTGAGTGCCTGTCACCTGATTAATGGATAAACAAAATGTGTTATGTCCATACAATAGAATATTGTTCTGCAATAAAAGAAAGAAGTACTGATATATGCTACAACATGACTGAACCTTGACAATATTATGCTAGGTGAAAAAAGCCAGACACAAAAGATCACATATTGTATAATTCCAATTACATGAAATGTCCAGAATAAGCAAACCCATACAAACAGAATGCAGATTAGTAGTTGACTAGGGCTGGGGTGAGCAGTGAGCAGTGGGCAACGAAATTGATTTACTGCCAATGGCCAACAGGTTTCTTGTGGGGGAAGTGGAAATGTTCTAAAATTAGATTGTGTTGATGGTTGCACAATTCTGTAAATACAGTGAAAACCGTTAAATTCTTCACTTAAAATTGGTGCATCTTATGGTGTATAAATTACATCTCGATAAATGTCTTTAAGAAAAATTTTTTCCAACGCAGCAGATTAGAAGCTTTTAGTATGCCTCTGCTCCTTGGAAATAGCAAGATAGCACATAAAGATAAATGCTATGAGCTTTAATTCAAGAAGGAAAAGAGGCATCCACCAGAATGGTACAGGACATCCCAGATCCCGGGGAGGAGAACACAAGCAAATAGCTCCGGTGAAGGCATCCAGCTGATAAAAGTGAATAAATCTTCAGTACATAAGAGAGGCAGAGAGCCTCCCTCTGTGACTCACCTTTCCACTGGGGATCTGAGCAACCCAAGTGGAGAGAGAACACTTTGTTTCTCCCATCCCTGGAGCTAACTTGGGGAGAGGCTTGAAGACGCCGAGAGAGAAAGATACTGGGAAAAGCTTTAGGCATTTTCCCAGACTCAAGACCTAGAGCAGGATGCCATTTTTAATCTGGGAGCATAAAAATTCAGTCATTCTTTGGTGACCTAGCAGCGTGGTTCTGCAGGAATTTTAGTATCAGACCACAGACTAGAGCACTAACTCTGGAGTGCAGTAGGGGCCTCCACAACCAGAACTGTGGAAAGCACCTCAGCAATAGGTACTAGAATTGTGCTCTCCCTGGTTGCAGGCCTGATTGGGAAAAAGAGCTGCTATAGCTGTGATTTCTTCTAGGTAATGAGACACAGCTAGAGCCAGCTTGGCAACCTGGAATTGGTCTAAATGTGTCATCCTGGGTACCCCAGCCTGCTCCCCTGAGATTGTAGTACAGTGGGGTCCTCTCCACTCCACACTCATAGGCAGATCTCTAGTAATTCAGAGTAACCGCTGCCATGAACTAGTAGCCTGAACTGCCCCACCCTTCCTGCATAGGGATCCTGGTGAAGGAAGGCACTTCTCTATTTCATGCCCAAGCAGATATCCTGGCATTTAGAGCACCTACATGCATGGATGACTAGCCTGAGCTGCCCACCATTTCTGTACAGAGATCGTGGTGCAGAAAGGCCTTTATGCTTCATGCACATGCAGATCTCCAGGCATTCAAAGCACCCACTTGCACAGATCAGCAGTGTGAGCCATCCTACCCTTCCAGAGCAAAGACTGTGGTGAAGCAGAGCCCTCTTCGCTTCATACCCAGGAATATCTCCAGGCATTTGGAGCAACCCCCCACCAGGATCGGCAGCCTAAGTCACACCCTTCCTGGGGACAGGTCATGGTACAGTGGGGCCCTCTCTGCTCCTCAAGCAAGCAAATTTTCAGGCATTTGGAGCACCTGCTCACATAAACTGGCAGCCTGAGCTGCCCCACCTTTTCCATGCAGAGACTGTGGTAGAGTAGGGTCTTCTCCCCTCCACACCCAGGTAGATCTCCAGGCATTCAGAGCACCCACTCACCTGGATCAGCAGCTTGAATCGGCCCACCCTTCCTGTGAAGAGAATGTAGTAAAGTGGGGCCTTCTCTGTCCCATGCTCAGGCAGATCTCTAGGCAGTCAGAGCGCTAATTCACCTGAATTAACAACCTAAGCTGCCCTATCCTCCCTGTGCAGAGATTGTGGTGCAATGGAGCCCTCTGGACTCCACACCCAGGCATATCTCCAGGCATCTTGAGTACCCACTCTCCTGGATTAGGAGTTTAGGCTTCCCACCTCCCAGTTCAGGGAGCTTGGGGCTGAGGAGGTTTCCCAGCTTCATGCCTAAGTACCTCTTGGGACTTGGTGGCCAGTCACTGAATTCTCTGTCAGTGCTGGTGTTTGCATCTGCCTTTGGGGGACCTATAGGTGGGTCTGCCCAGTCTGCCCTCACTCATCTTGCCCTCTGCCCCCCGGGACTGAGCAGGGAGATCAGACCACTGTGCACTCCATGGATCAGCCCATTGCCTGAGACAACACAGAGTTTATCCTGGTAAGCAAGTATCAAGTATATTCCCAGCCACATTGGCCACAGCCAGCTCTTGCCCATAAGAGCCATCTGCTGGCTTGTAGGTTGAACTGCAAAGTCTAATATAACAACCTGCTGAAAAAATGCATAGGGCTACAGAAGCAAAGCCAAAAGAAGCTACCCAGAATTCTCTAAAGTCACACCCCATAGGGAATGGGGGAAGGGAAAAGGAAAGAAAAAATGATAATATCATAGAGAAAGAAAAAGAAAAAATCCTACTTGCACAAAAGTAATTACAAAAATTAGAAGTGCCAGCATCTCTAGATGAGAAGGAACCCATGCAAGAAATACCAGCACCATGGAAAATCTGAATGTAGTGACACCACCAATGGATCACACTAGCTGTCTAGCATTCATCACTAACCAAACTGAAAACTCAGGAATAATAGGTAAAGAATCCAAAGCATGGACTGTAGAGAAGCTCAGTGAGATCCAAAACAATGTTGAAAATAAACACCAAAAAAACTTCTAAGCAATCCAGGAAATGAAGGAAGAGATAGAAACATCTTAAAAAGAAATCAATCAGAGCTTCCAAAATAAAAAAAATCACTTCAGGAATTTCAAAACACAATTGAAACCTTTATCAGATTGGACCAAGCAGAAGATAGAATTTCAGAGCTTGAAGATTGGTATTTTGGACTAACCCAGTCATAAAAAAAGTAGAGAAAAAATTAAGAAAAATGAACAAAGTCTTTAAGAAACACGGGGTTATGTAAAGCAACCAAACCTATCAGCATTCCTAAGAGAGCAGGAGAAAAAGCAAACAACTTGGAAAGTATATTTGAGGGAATTATTCAAAATTTCTCTAATATCATTGGAGAGGCAGACATATAGATACAACTAATGTAGAGAACACCTGTGAGATACTTTACAAAATGAATAACACAAAGGCATATAGTCAACAGACTGCTCAAGGCCAATGCAAAATAAAAATTCTTAAAGGCACCTAGAGGAAAGGCCAGAATTCTACTGGATAAATTTAACAAAGAGACTGAAATAATTTAAAAGCATCAAGCAGAAATGCTGGAGCTGAAAAATGCAACTGGCATACTGAAGAATACATCAGAGTCCTTAATAGCAGAATTGAGCAAGCAGAAGAAAGAATTAGTGACCTTGAAGACAGGCTAATTGAAAATACACAGTCAGGGGAAAGAAAGAATTTTTAAAAACATGAAGCATGCCTACAGGATCTAGAAAATAGTGTCAAAATGGCAAATCTAAGAGTTATTGACCTTAAAGAGGATGGAGAGAAATATCAGCATAGAAAGCTTATTCAAAGAAATAGTAACAGAGACATTCTAAACCTAGAGAAATTATGAATATCTAGATAAAAAACGTCATAAAACATCAAGCAGATTCAACCCAAATAAGACTTTAAGGCAAATAATAATCGAACTCTCAAAAGTCAAGAATAAAGAATGGATCCTAAAAGCAGCAAGAGAAAAGAAGCAAGCAACGTATAAAGGAGCTATGATAGGTCTGGCAGCAGACTTCTCAGTGGAAACCTTACATGCCAGGACAGAGTGGCATGACATATTTTCAGTGCTGAATGAAAAATCTTTCAACCTAGAATAGTACATCCCACAAAATTAACCTACAAACTTGAAAGAGAAATAAAGACTTTCCCAGACAAACAAAAGCGGAAGGATTTTGTCAACACTAGACGTGCCTTACAAGAAATGCAAAAGGCAACTCTTCAATCTGAAAGCAAGGAACATTAATGAACAAGAAATCATCTGAAGGTATAAATTTAACTGGTAATAGTAAGTACAGTAACAAAACCAAATATTCTAATACTGTAATTGTAGTATGTAAACCACTCATACCTTTAATCAGAAGACTAAAAGACAAACCTATCAAAAATAATAACTGCAACAACATTTTAAGAGATAGTACAAAAAGATGTAAATAGAGACAACAAAAGTCAAAGACTGAGGAGGATGGAGTTATAGTGTAGAGTTTGTTTAGTTTTCCCTTTGCTTGTTTTGTTTTCTTTGTAGTCAGAGTTGAGTTGTCATCAGTTTAAAATGGCTATAAGGTGTTGTTTGCAAGCCTCATGGTTACCACAAAACAAAAACTCATAAAAAGATATACCAAAAATAAATAACAAGAAATTAAAACATAATCCCAGAGAAAGTCACTTGTATACAAATGATAAGAAGAAGACCAATAAAACAAAGAGAAAACAAATAAAATGGGAGTAGGAAGTCCTTACCTATCATTAATAACATTGAATGTAAATGGACCAAATTCTTCAGTCAAATGGCAGAGAGTGGCTTAATGGATTAAAAACAAACAAGACCCAACTATATGCAACCTATAAGAAATTCACTTCACTTATAAAGACACACATATACGGAAAATAAAGGGATAGAAAAAGATATTCCTTGTAAACGGGAACCCAAAAAGAAGAGGAGTAGCTATACTTATTTCAGACAAAATAGATTTCCAGACAAAAAGCATAAAAAGAGACAAAAAAAAGTCATTATATAATGATAAAGGGGTCAGTTCAGCAAGGGGATACCAAAATTGTAAATATATATGCACCCAACAATGGAATACCCAGATATATAAAGCAAATATTATTAGAGCTAAAGAGAGAGAAAGACCCCAATACAATAATAGTCAGGGACTTTAACACCCTACTTTCAGCATTGGACAGATCATCTAGACAGAAAATCAATGAAGAAACATTGGACATAATCTGCTCTATAGACTCTTGTCTATAGGATGTCTATTAGGAACAAATGGACCAATATACCATTCATAGAGCAGTTCATCCAAGAGTTTCAGAATACACATTCTTCTCCTCAGCACAAGGAACATTCTCAAGGAAAAACCATACGTTAGACCACAAAACAAGCCTTAAAAAATTATTTAATAATTGAAACCACTTCAAGTATCTTGTCTAACCACAACAGAATAAAACTAGAAATCAATAACAAGGTAAAGTTTGGAAACTACACAAACGCATAAAAATTAAACAACAGGCTCATGGATGGCCATTGGGTCAATGACAAAATTAAGAAGAAAATTTGAAAAAAATTACATGAAACAAATGAAAATGGACACACAACACACCAAAACTTATGGGATAGTGTAAAAGCAGTACTAAGGGAAAATTTTAGATAGGAACAAACATTTATGTCAAAAAAAGTAGAAAAACTTCAAATAAACAAACTTACGATGCATGTTAAAGAACTAGAAAAGCAATAGCAAACCAAACCCAAAGTTAATAGGAAAAAAGAAATAGTAAAGCTCAGAACAGAAATAAATAAAATTTAGACTAAACAAAAGATCAACAAAGTGAAAAGATAAATCAACAAACCTTTAGCCAGACTAAGAAAAAGAGAGAAAAGACCCAAATAAATAAAATCAGAGATGAAAAAGGAGACATTACAACTGGTACCACAGAAATTCAAAGGATCATTAGAGACTATTATTAGCAAGTAAATGCCAAAAAATTGGAAGGCCTAGAATAAATGTATAAATTCTTAGACACATACAACCTACAAAGTTTGCACCACGAACAAATCCAAAACCTGAATAGAGCTGTAAAAAGTAACAATATAGAAGCAGTAATAAAAAGTCTCCCAGTAAAGAAAAGCCCAGGACCCAGTGGCTTCACTGCTGAATTCTACCAAACACTTAAAGAATAATTAATACCAATCCTACTCAAACTACTCCAGAAAAAGAGGAGGATGGAATACTTCCAAACTCATTCTATGCAGTCAGCATTACCCTGATACCAAAACTAGACAAAGACACATAAAAAGGTAAAACTATAGGCCAATATGTCTGACGAATATTGATGCAAAAGTCCTCCACAAAATACTAGCAAACCAAATTCAACAATACCTTAAAAAGATTATTCATCATGACCAAATGGGATTTATCCATGGGATGCAAGGATGGTTCAACATATGGAAATCAATCAATATGATACCTCATACAAACAGAATGAAGAGCAAGAACTATATGATCATTTCAATAGATGCCAAAAAAGCATTTAATAAAATTTAACATCCATTCATGATAAATAAACTAAGTATGAAGGAACACGCCTCAACATTATAAAGGGCATATATGACAAGCCCACAGCTAGTGTCATATTGGATAAGGAAAAACTGAAAGCCTTTCCTCTTAGATCCAGAACAGAAGGATGCCCCCTTTCACTGCTGTTATTCAACATACTGCTGGAAGTCCTAGCCAGGGAAACCAGACAAGAGAAAGAAATAAAGGGTATCCAAATTGGAAAGGAAGAAATCAAATTATTCTTATTTGCAAACAATATGACCTTCTATTAGGAAAAACCTAGACTCAACCAAAAAACTACTAAAACTGATGAATGATAGGTAAACATATGGTGGCATGTTCAGACAGTATAATACTCTTCCATAGCTAAAATGAAGTGGTTCTTAAAATATGATCTTAGAAATTTGTTACCAGTGCAAATTCCTGGGCTTCAATCCAGACCTACAGAATCAGAAACTCTGGGGGTATGTTTTAACAAGCCCTCCAGGGGATTCTGATGCATGCTGGAGTTTGAAAACTATTTAACTAAACCTACATATATAGGTTGGATAAATTTCAAAAACAATGATATTGCAGAACGACAGGTTCAGTATGATACCATTATATGAAGTTTTACAACTTGCAAATAGTACTTTATATTGTTTGTGCATACATAACATGGTAGTAAAAATATTAAAAAGGGCCAGGCACGGTGGCTTATGCCTGTAATCCCAGCACTTTGGGAGGGCGAGGCGGGCGGATCACGAGGTCAGCAGATCGAGACCATCCTAGCTAACATGGTGAAACCCCGTCTCTACTAAAAAATACAAACAATTAGCTGGGCGTGATGGCGGGCGCCTGTAGTCCCAGCTACTCGGGAGGCTGAGGCAGGAGAATGGCGTGAACCCGGGAGGCGGAGCTTGCAGTGAGCCGAGATCGCGCCACTGAACTTCAGCCTGGGCAACAGAGCGAGACTCTGTCTCAAAAAAAAAAAAAAAAAAAAAAAAAAAAATATATATATATATATATATATATATATTAAAAAGATACATGAAGATCATTAACACCAAATTTAGTATAGTACTTACAGAGTAGGGAAGGAGGCCAATGGGATATAGGAAAGGAGGTGTCAAACAGGAGATTTCAACCGCATTTGTGATGTTTTATTTATTTAAAAAATGTTTAAGATGCTGAAATAAATATCTCTATATACACATCTTGACACTATTGTTTAGTTAATTCCTTAGAATGAATTTGGAGAAATGGAATTGCTGAACCACTTCTTTATTTCAATTACCACTATTACCATTCTAATTCTCATCTCCTCAGGTGGGTGGTATTGCAATTGTTCATTACTGATAACTGTATTCTAATATATACCCAAGCAATTCAGCATACACACTGAAACCTCCAGCTTCCAAAAATGTTACCTTGTACATATATTAATGGCAACTTCAATGGCAAAATAACTTCAAAGTCTAAACTTCTCACTTCATATTCAAGCACCTCCAAATTATGCTTACTATGTACCTCAGCTATTAATATATAATGCCAGTTACATTTAACAGCTCACATAAATATCTCTCCTTTTCCAAAATAGTTTTGCATTGCTCCATAAATGCACCACACACGCTTCGGCCTCCTTGCCTTTGCTCACTACTTATAATGACCTTATTCCCGGATATGTAAGTCCTGCTTGCACTGTAAAATCTGGCCCATGTTCTAGACACCAGCCTTCCCACTTCCATCATTTTAGAATAAATTAGATCATAAAATTACCCTCACTGATCATTTCTTTCTTTGAAGTCTTCTAGCATTATCTTTGTCACTCATGTGGTACTCAGCCACATCATGCTTTATTATTTTTATGTAACTATGCCTGATCAACCCAGCTATACTGTATTTTTTTCCAGTTAAATTTTGTCATGCTTCGGAAAGGATTTAATGTGGTTCAACCACGGTATAAATATCCCAAGGCCATAGAGCATATTTCCCTAGCACCAAGTAGAGTACCCTACATATGACCTAAACTACAATTTCTATGAGAACAAGAAACATGACAGTATTTTTTTTCCATTGGTGTATAGCGAGTACCCAGAAAAGATTGTACTGGGGTGGTGCAAAAGTAATCGCGGTTTTTGCCATTAAAAATAATGGCTTTTAATGGCAAAAACCGCGATTACTTTTACACCGAGCCAATAGCACACTTAGTAGACACCCAATGGCCATTTTCTGTTGAAAAAATGAATGAATGAATGAATGAATGAATGAATGTGCTTTATAATTTTGTTGTAATAATGATTACTACTTCCAGGTACTAAATACTATTTGAGGCCTGCAGAATGAACAAGGAAGAAAATAACCCCTCAGAAGCCCCACAGCCCACACCATTAGCTCCCCAAAGGTTATCATCCTGGTTGGATATTATTATTAACCTCTTATTTCAAAATAAGATCAATAGCTAGCATTAACTGAATGCTTGGTTTGGAGAGGCGCTGTTGTAAGCATGCTGCTGGCATGACTTTATTTTCATGGCAATCCTCTGGGGCCAGTATTATGATTATTCAAAATTACAGATGAGGAAACTGAAGCCCAGAGAGGATATAACATGTCCTACATGCCATTGTTAGTAAATGGGCAAGCTAGGTCACAGAAACATGACAAAAGAGTTCATGCTCTTAACCATACTGTGACCACATGGAAAACTGGTTTGAAACGATAATAGTAAATTCAAATAGTTAAATTTCAATAAGGTTTATTATCTGGTTCTAAATAACCAATCAAGTTAATGAATTCGACCACTTATGTGCAAACTGCTCTACATTTGTAGGAAGAAAACAGAGATTGACCAGGCTTCCACTACCCATCAGGTGCTTTTCTATTCTCTATTTAATTTTTTCATCCACAACATCAACTATTGCAAAGAAGTGGCATCATTATCACCATTTTGCAGGAGAGAAAATCGAGAATCAGAGAGGTGAAGTACCTTGCTCAAGATCACACACCTAGCAATTGGCAGAGGTTGGTTTTGACTCTGAGTCCAGATGTTTTACCCTGTACCACAGATGCTTATTTTAGAAATTTTTAAAGATAATAAAGGCTTCCATATACCACATGATTAAGAAGTCCCAGAACAGTTATTATTGCTGTGTGTTATCTAATATTCTAGTAACCTAAATAAGGTAAACACACACACACACACACACACACACACAGACTTCTATTCCGTTTACTATGCAGAGATTATAACATATGTTTAGGACAGCTAGTCAATATTTACTTTAACTCAGTTAACTTTCAGTACCATAAAATACCAGGTTTCCCATAGATCTAGTATAGGCCAACACACAAAATAAATGTTCAGGACATGTTTGCTGAGAGACCTCTTCAGACCAACTAAGAAAAAGGTGGGGCCAGGAAAACCGTAATCATGTATACTACATTTGCTCTAGAAGAGAAAGTGGCAGTTATTTACAGTCTGGGACATCTTATAGATTTCTTGAAATATTGAACTTTGGTGAAATATTTTGTGGCTCACTGACTTCTCTTAATATACCTATTAAGGTATTTGTAGAACTATAATTATAGCCACTATATCTTGTTTATGCAATATTCAATTACTTACATGGCATGCCATTTATCTCAATAATTATTATATTAAATCTAAATGAGTGTTCTTAAATCAATCTATGTGCTACAGGTTTTTCCCTTATTGTACCCCCATCCTTGTGTTCATCATCTGTTTATGGAAGCAGCTCGGCTTGGAGGTTGTGGCAAATCAGCATACAGGAAAGCTTGAAAGTAATGGGAATTAGAACCAAGCTTTTGAGGGTCTTTGACATTGTTAACGCAAAATAACTGGCAAGATGCTTCGCATACCAAAAATGACTAACTCTATTCATGTATCCACTCTTCCCCCACCCCCAAACTCCCAAGAGATGCTTAAACAGAACACACTTTGTCCTAGCATGGACAGGAAAAAAGATTAAATTAAAGAAGCTGGTGCTGCTGGCCACTCACAGAAATACAAGGGGAAATAGTACTCAACCTCTCCTCCTGATTAGCTTACTTACTTCATATCTATTTATTCTCATCTCTGTCTCTTTCTTACCCAGGCATGAAGGATTCTCACCTATGCCCAAGCATTCCCTGCCCAGTGCAATTCAGACTTGTGTGTAGACGTGGACGCTAATATATTTTAGCTGCCTTAACTTTCTTATCCTGGACTAATGTTGCTTCAGTCCCACATCTTGTACTTACAGGGAAAGGAAATTGTAAATAGAAACTGCCCATTTCATTCCCTCACAAGTCATTTTCTGTGGCACACTAACTTCAAGCATTCTGAACTCAGGAATAAGGAGAAAAAACAATTTTATGAATCTATAAGACATTTTCCCTTTGATTGTCATCTCATGATCCTTCATTAAATGTAGGGGTAAAGTGTAGGAATTAAGCTAGATTACCAAGAGTGGTGAAGAAGTAAGATCTTCCACATCACTGCCACTTCTCACACACTTACCCTATAAGTATGAGGGTGGAGAGAGAAGTTCATGTCAGAATGTGCATTCATTATTTTCCTCTATTTCAGTCTTTAAAGTAATACTTTCAATCCCTAGCCAGTGTGCTATTCCTGTTGCCTGTTAACTTGATTTAGTTAACTTGGATGTTAAAGCTTGAAGACTACCTGGAGATCCACAAAGGCATGAGGAACAGTGGAAAAGACTTGTGGCAAAGTTACTATTCTTTTTTATATGATCAAAACAGCTGGGGCAAGAGGAAGGAGGGCAGCAAGAATGACTGAAGGAAGAAGGAAGCCACTGCCTGTCAACCATACCCCAAGAGAACAGGTGTTCTCTATCTACATATGTGCTCTGTATGCAAACAGGGTAGCTCTTATGCTATGTGTTTCACAGTCATTAAGAAACTTGAAAAGATATATTAAGTACCAGTAATAGTCATTCCTTTAATGCCAGTCATAATGGCCAGACCATGAAATTATGCAGCTCTTTCAAGTATCATAAAAAGGGTATTAAATGTATAGGCAAGAACAAATTAGAAGAGACTTTAAGGAGCATGGCTCAAAGCCCACCTTAGAAGAAATAATCTTTTACAGCATCCCCAGAGTTGGTATTTTTAACCAATAGTTCACTCTCTTCTCTACGCATAATTTTCCACATCTATACAAAGCTATGATGGGATTAAGCCAGTGTTCCTCAAAAACGTGCTGCACAAAACATCTGCATCAAAATCACCTAAGTGAGGATTTTGTTAAAATTAAGATTCATGAGTCCCTCCTAAGATCCAAGGAATCAAAAATTCTGAGACTGGGACCCGGAAATATATATTTTCAACAGAGCTCCTTTCCCTCTCACCCCAGATAGTTCTAATATATACTTAATAAGCTGGAAAGATACTCGACCTCATGTGTGATTATGTTTACATTGTTATCTTTTTTAGACCATGCTTTCCCCCAACAATTTTATCGGTGCACCTCCTGCCTGTGTTTCTAGGCTCAGCTCAAAAGCAGCCTCCTTTCTAAAACCTCCCTTATCCATTTCGCCAACAATTCCAGCTCCCCTATAGCTAGGGACAGGACATGGAAAGGCTTCAGTGCTGGGATAGACAGAAGGGCTGTGCGCACTGGGACGGAGCTTAAGGAAGGGCTCTGATGTTTGCACTGAACTTTTGTGCTTGAGTTTATTCATTTTAGTTTCATTTGCTTAAAGAGCTTTAAAATGTGTAAACCAATAACTAGGCCACTTGTATTGAGCTTCTAAATGGTAAGAACACTGAATTACAAACATTTAGCAACTATAGTTGGGAAGGAATTTAGTTATTCATTTAAGGATGGAAGAACAGGAATCAAAAGGTTTGGTTACATTCACATTTTGAAACTTCATTAGGTGAAAGACAATATCAATGTTTCTTAAAGTGTGGTCCAGAAACACCCGCATCAGAAACGACAAGAGCTTATTAAAGATGCAGATTCCTATGAAATATAATCTCTAGGAGGCAGGACTCAATAACCAGCATTTGAGAATAACACCACCAGATGAAATTCCCGTCTAGTGTCAACACTTCACTTTTCTAATTTGTCATCATACTAATTCTTGGGGCTTTAAAAGAGCCCCAGGAAGCATAAGCCATGAGAAAGAAGTCTTAATTAGGAGATGACTGAGGCTCAGTGGAGAATCCCAATCTCTCTGCTATGTTAGAGGGAATCAGGTAAAACCAACAATCAGGGATCATCAAGTCCTGAAAGGTTTATTTTCAGACCCTTTCCTACTTAACTGTTAACTTTTTCAAACAAAAATGGAAGAAAAAGATGTCTCAGTCAAAGACTTTCCACCTTTGTTAGTTCTGCAGGAATAGCAAAGTGCCACTGCTTATTTTTCTCGAGACCCTCAATTATCTTCTTAATAACCTCTCATATATAATAAAATTGTCAAGCCCAGGCTCCTCTGTGGACTTTCCTGATTTACACCAGCAGATTCATCTGCACCCATAGATTTACAGGAAAACTATCTCCCCAACTCTGGCTTCATTATTAGTTATTAAACCTGGTGTCCAATACTCCCAATGCCTTCTAGAGCCTGTTTCACTGAACTCAGAAATCACTCCAAATCTGTACATATAAAGTGAGGCAAACAACATATAAGATTATCTGAGCAATTCAATGTAAAAACAAATATATTTACTTCACACAGCCACACATGTGGTTGACTGGTATGAAGCATATTTTTAGATGCCCAACGAAGTTTCTAAAGAGAAATGCAGAAGGACAGTACATTAGGGTTCTTTCCAATTAGAGACACAACTTGTTCTAATGAGCTGCTACCCTGTAATTTGCAGACAGTTCCATGCAGTGGTGGGACAACACTGTCAGCCATAATGATAATCTCAAAAGCCAGTGTAAAGATCTCTGCCATATCTATTCATCTATCCATCTATTCAACAAATATTTATTCTACTACTCCCTAAGTCCTGTTCTAGATGCCATGATACAGCAATGAGTGAAACAGATGAACTGGCTCCCCTCATGGGGCTTATATTCTAGTGAGAGAAATTGACAATAAATGTGAAGAAAAATAAATAATTTCAGATAGCAATAAATTCTACAAAAAAATAAAACAGAGTAATAAAATGGAGTGGGGGATTGGGAAACTACTTTGGGTGGTTACAAAAGGCTTCCTTGAGGAGGTAACACTTGAATTGGAACATGAATGACAAGAAGGAGACACCAATGGGAAGATCTAGGTCAAAGGGAGAGGGAAATGCAAATGCAAAACCATGAAGTTGGAAAGAGCTTCTTCTGGCTGAGGAATAACAAAAAGGCCAATATGGCTGTAACAGAGAGAAGGAGGAGAGTGGCTGGAGATAAGGTCAGTTAAGTAGCCAGAGCCTTATTGTTTAGGGTTCTATAGGCCATGGAGAGGATCGTAGAGTTTATTCTAAGTGCAATGGGAAGGCAAAGAGCCTGTGTGGACTGATGGAAGCATGATACCTGAAGATATATTTGCTTTCTTATTGGTAGCAATAGCTACTGTATATCAAGGCACTACCATGTGCTGAATTCCTTTAGAAAACAACATCTCATTTTAAACCTCTCAACAACCCTGTAAAGTGAAACTTTTCCCAGATAAGGCAATGGAAACTTCACATAAAGTCACACAGATAATAAAGTGTGAAACCAGAATTCAAATCCATGTCCATCTGATTTCAAAGTCAAAGGCTATTAATCACTACACAAAGTAATATTTATTGTTAAACCAAAGTATACCTAAGTAGGAGTAACCATGTAAGTTATTTATGAAGAGCTTACTATATGCAAGGCACTAAGTGGAACTCAGTTAATCTTAACTGTTACCCTACGAGATAGGTACTATTACTATGTCATTTTGCTAATGAGTAAATTGTGGGTGAGACAGGCTAAGGCCCAAAATTCAAATGTAGATCCTTCTGATTCCAAAACCTATACCAATAGTATTTGCCCCAATGCCAAATGTCACTTGTCTTTAGGATTATTTTAATTCAAATGTTAGCCTAGTTAGGACACTTGACACTATCCTGCTCCTCCATGCACAGTCAGCAAGAGCACTGGAGGGACAGCAGATATCCTATGATCAAAACTGAAATTGACTGGAAGGCAAGGCAACATTTGCAAGCTAGCTCTCTTCTCTGGGTCCTTTGCAGGCAGAAGAAACTGCCCATCTGTGTGAGGACAGGAAGCTGCAAGATTTCTTTTGTATGTCTGCATCTGAGATACAATGATTATTTTGTCTTAGCTAAAAATAGAAAAGAAAGGACTCGATAGGTCTGTAATGTCAGTAGGGATGCTAAGATCCAAGCATTCAGTGGTAATGTGCCTTGAACAACCTCTGGTATCCACTCTTCTCCACATGCCTAACAGTGTCTGGGACTCTTAAGGACCTCCTTCTATTAGGAAAAAGAAAGAGAAAGGATAGCTACCCTGAGGATGTTTTATAAGTTAAAGATTTAAAGTGCATATTACTTAAACATTGGAAAATACCAAACAATGGAATATTATTCAGCCATAAAAAGGAATGAAGTACTGACACATGCTACAGCATGAATGAACCTGAAAACATTATGCTCTGAAATAGCCAGACACGAAATACTACATATTGTATTTTTCCATTTATATGAAATGTCCAGACAGGTCAATTCCATGGAGACAGAAAGTAGATTAGGGGTTGCCAAGTACTGGGACACTTAGGGGAAATAGAGAGTGACTGGCAATGGGTTTGAGTTTCTTTGTGGTGGGGGGGTGGCGCTGATAAAATATTCTGAAATTAAATAGTGGTGACAGTTGCACAACGTTGTGAGTATATTAAAACCACACTGAATTATGCACTTAAGGTGAATTCCATAGTATGTAAGTTATATTTCAACAGAGCTATGATAAAAAGTATATGTTTGGGGAGATAATATGAACAGTATGTAATATTAACAATATATATATTCAACATCAACACACATTTTAGAAGCTGTCTAGGCAAAAGCACTTATGGTGATTAGGACCCAGGCCTCACAGAAACTCAACACTAATGATAAGTTTTCTTTTCCTTTTTGTGCTTCTCTTTTTCTTCTTTTTTTTATTTTATTATTATTATACTTTAAGTTTTAGGGTACATGTGCACAATGTGCAGGTTAGTTACATATGTATATATGTGCCATGCTGCTGTGCTGCACCCATTAACTCGTTATTTAGCATTAGGTACATCTCCTAATGCTATACCTCTCCCCCCCCACCACCCCACAACAGTCCCCAGAGTGTGATGTTCCCCTTCCTGTGTCCATGTGTTCTCATTGTTCAATTCCCATCTGTGAGTGAGAACATGCGGTGTTTGGTTTTTTGTCCTTCCAATAGTTTACTGAGAATGATGATTTCCAATTTCATCCATGTCCCTACAAAGGACATGAACTCATCATTTTTTATGGCTGCATAGTACTCCATGGTGTATATGTGCCACATTTTCTTAATCCAGTCTATCATTGTTGGACATTTCGGTTAGTTCCAAGTCTTTGCTATTGTGAATAGAGCCACAATAAACATACGTGGGCATGTGTCTTTACAGCAGCATGATTTATAGTCCTTTGGGTATATACCCAGTAATGGGATGGCTGGGTCAAGTGGTATTTCTAGTTCTAGATCCCTGAGGAATCGCCACACTGACTTCCACAATGGTTGAACTAGTTTACAGTCCCACCAACAGTGTAAAAGTGTTCCTATTTCTCCACATCCTCTCCAGCACCTGTTGTTTCCTGACTTTTTAATGATTGCCATTCTAACTGGTGTCAGATGGTATCTCATTGTGGTTTTGATTTGCATTTCTCTGATGGCCAGTGATGGTGAGCATTTTTTCATGTGTTTTTTGGCTGCGTAAGTGTCTTCTTTTGAGAAGTGTCTGTTCATGTCCTTCGCCCACTTTTTGATGGGGTTGTTTGTTTTTTTCTTGTAAATTTGTTGGAGTTCATTGTAGATTCTGGATATTAGCCCTTTGTCAGATGAGTAGGTTGCGAAAATTTTCTCCCATTTTGTAGGTTGCCTGTTCACTCTGATGGTAGTTTCTTTTGCTGTGCAGAAGCTCTTTAGTTTAATTAGATCCCATTTGTCAATTTTGGCTTTTGTTGCCATTGCTTTTGGTGTTTTTAGACATGAAGTCCTTGCCCATGCCTATGTCCTGAATGGTAACGCCTAGGTTTTCTTCTAGGGTTTTTATGGTTTTAAGTCTAATGTTTAAGTCTTTAATCCATCTTGAATTAATTTTTGTATAAGGTGTAAGGAAGGGATCCAGTTTCAGCTTTCTACATATGGCTAGACAGTTTTCCCAGCACCATTTAGCAAACAGGGAATCCTTTCCCCATTGCTTGTTTTTCTCAGGTTTGTCAAAGATCAGATAGTTGTAGATATGCGGCATTATTTCTGAGGGCTCTGTTCTGTTCATTGATCTATATCTCTGTTTTGGTACCAGTACCATGCTGTTTTGGTTACTGTAGCCTTGTACTATAGTTTGAAGTCAGGTAGCATGATGCCTCCAGCTTTGTTCTTTTGGCTTAGGATTGACTTGGCGATGCGGGCTCTTTTTTGGTTCCATATGAACTTTAAAGTAGTTTTTTCCAATTCTGTGAGGAAAGGCATTGGTAGCTTGATGGGGATGGCATTGAATCTATAAATTACCTTGGGCAGTATGGCCATTTTCACAATATTGATTCTTCCTACCCATGAGCATGGAATATTCTTCCATTTGTTTGTATCCTCTTTTATTTCATTGAGCAGTGGTTTGTAGTTCTCCTTGAAGAGGTCCTTCACATCCCTTGTAAGTTGGATTCCTAGGTATTTTATTCTCTTTGAAGCAATTGTGAATGGGAGTTCACTCATGATTTGCTTCTCTGTTTGTCTGTTATTGGTGTATAACAATGCTTGTGATTTTTGCACATTGATTTTGTATCCTGAGACTTTGCTGAAGTTGCTTATCAGCTTAAGGAGATTTTGGGCTGAGACAATGGGGTTTTCTAGATATACAATCATGTCATCTGCAAACAGGGACAATTTGACTTCCTCTTTTCCTAATTGAATACCCTTTATTTCCTTCTCCTGCCTAATTGCCCTGGCCAGAACTTCCAACACTATGTTGAACAGGACTGGTGAGAGAGGGCATCCCTGTCTTGTGCCAGTTTTCAAAGGGAATGCTTCCAGTTTTTGCCCATTCAGTATGATATTGGCTGTGGGTTTGTCATAGATAGCTCTTATTATTTTGAGATATGTCCCATCAACACCTAATTTATTGAGAGTTTTTAGCATGAAGGGTTGTTGAATTTTGTCAAAGGCTTTTTCTGCATCTATTGAGGTAATCATGTGGTTTTTGTCTTTGGTTTTGTTTATATGCTGGATTACATTTATTGATTTGCATATATTGAACCAGCCTTGCATCCCAGGGATGAAGCCCACTTGATCATGGTGGATAAGCTTTTTGATATGCTGCTGGATTCGGTTTGCCAGTATTTTCTTGAGGATTTTTGCATCAATGTTCATCAAGGATATTGGTCTAAAATTCTCTTCTTTGGTTGTGTCTCTGCCCGGCTTTGGTATCAGGATGATGCTGGCCTCATCAAATGAGTTAGGGAGGATTCCCTCTTTTCCTATTGATTGGAATAGTTTCAGAAGGAATGGTACCAGTTCCTCCTTGTACCTCTGGTAGAATTCGGCTGTGAATCCATCTGGTCCTGGACTCTTTTTGGTTGGTAAGCTATTGATTATTGCCTCAATTTCACAGCCTGTTATTGGTCTATTCAGTGATTCAACTTCTTCCTGGTTTAGTCTTGGGAGGGTGTATGTGTGGAGGAATTTATCCATTTCTTCTAGATTTTCTAGTTTATTTGCATAGAGGTGTTTGTAGTATTCTCTGATGGTAGTTTGTATTTCTGTGGGATCGGTGGTGATATCCCCTTTATCATTTCTTATTGCGTTTATTTGATTCTTCTCTCTTTTCTTCTTTATTAGTCTTGCTAGCAGGCTATCAATTTTGTTGATCCTTTCAAAAAACCAGCTCCTGGATTCATTAATTTTTTGAAGGGTTTTTTGTGTCTCTATTTCCTTCAGTTCTGCTCTGATTTTAGTTATTTCTTTCCTTCTGCTAGCTTTTGAATGTGTTTGCTCTTGCTTTTCTAGTTCTTTTAATTGTGATGTTAGGGTGTCAATTTTGGATCTTTCCTGCTTTCTCTTGTGGGCATTTAGTCTATAAATTTCCCTCTACACACTGCTTTGAATGTGTGCCAGAGATTCTGGTATGTTGTGTCTTTGTTCTCATTGGTTTCAAAGAACATCTGTATTTCTGCCTTCATTTCGTTATGTACCCAGTAGTCATTCAGGACCAGGTTGTTCAGTTTCCATGTAGTTGAGCGGTTTTGAGTGAGTTTCTTAATCCTGAGTTCTAGTTTCATTGCACTGTGGTCTCAGAGACAGTTCGTTATAATTTCTGATCTTTTACATTTACTGAGGAGAGCTTTACTTCCAAGTATGTGGTCAATTTTGGAATAGGTGTGGTATGGTGCTGAAAAAAAATGTATATTCTGTTGATTTGGGGTGGAGAGTTCTGTAGATGTCTATTAGGTCCGCTTGGTGCAGAGCTGAGTTCAATTTCTGGGTATCCTTGTTAACTTTCTGTCTCGTTGATCTGTCTAATGTTGACAGTGGGGTGTTAAAGTCTCCCATTATTATTGTGTGGGAGTCTAAGTCTCTTTGTAGGTCACTCAGGACTTGCTTTATGAATCTGGGTGCTCCTGTATTGGGTGCATATATATTTAGGATAGTTAGCTCTTCTTGTTGAATTGATCCCTTTACCACTATGTAATGGCCTTCTTTGTCTCTTTTGATGTTTGTTGGTTTAAAGTCTGTTTTATCAGAGACTAGGATTGCAGCCCCTGCCTTTTTTTGTTTTCCATTTGCTTGGTAGATCTTCCTCCATCCTTTTATTTTGAGCCTATGTGTGTCTCTGCACATGAGATGGGTTTCCTGAATACAGCACACTGATGGGTCTTGACTCTTTATCCAATTTGCCAGTCTGTGTCTTTTAGTTGGAGCATTTAGTCCATTTACATTTAAAGTTAATATTGTTATATGTGAATTTGATCCTGTCATTATGATGTTAGCTGGTTATTTTGCTCGTTAGTTGATGCAGTTTCTTCCTAGCCTCGATGGTCTTTACAATTTGACATGATCTTGCAGTGGCTGGTACCGGTTGTGCCTTTCCATGTTTAGTGCTTCCTTCAGGAGCTCTTTTAAGGCAGGCCTGGTGGTGACAAAATCTCTCAGCATTTGCTTGTCTGTAAAGGATTTTATTTCTCCTTCACTTATGAAACCAGTTTGGCTGGATATGAAATTCTGGGTTGAAAATTCTTTTCTTTAAGAATGTTGAATATTGGCCCCCACTGTCTTCTGGCTTGTAGAGTTTCTGCCGAGAGATCAGCTGTTAATCTGATGGGCTTCCCTTTGTCGGTAACCCAACCTTTCTCTCTGGCTGCCCTTAACATTTTTTCCTTCATTTCAACTTTGGTGAATCTGACAATTATGTGTCTTGGAGTTGCTCTTCTCGAGGAGTATCTTTGTGGCGTTCTCTGTATTTCCTGAAACTGAATGTTGGCCTGCCTTGCTAGATTGGGGAAGTTCTCCTGGATGATATCCTGCAGAGTGTTTTCCAACTTGGTTCCATTCTCCCCATCACTTTCAGGTACACCAATCAGACATAGATTTGATCTTTTCACATAGTCCCATATTTCTTGGAGGCTTTGTTTCTTTTTATTCTTTTTTCTCTAAACTTCCCTTCTCACTTCATTTCATTCATTTCATCTTCCATCACTGATACCCTTTCTTCCAGTTGATCGCATCGGCTCCTGAGGCTTCTGCATTCATCACGTAGTTCTCAAGCCTTGGTTTTCAGCTCCATCCGCTCCTTTAAGCACTTCTCTGTATTGGTTATTCTAGTTATACATTCTTCTAAATTTTTTGCAAAGTTTTCAACTTCTTTGCCTTTGGTTTGAATTTCCTCCTGTAGCTCAGGGTAGTTTGATCGTCTGAAGCCTTCTTCTCCCAACTCGTCAAAGTCATTCTCCATCCAGCTTTGTTCCGTTGCTGGTGAGGAGCTGCGTTCCTTTGGAGGAGGAGAGGTGCTCTGCTTTTTACAGTTTCCAGATTTTCTGCTCTGTTTTTTCCCCATCTTTGTGGTTTTATCTACTTTTGGTCTTTGATGATGGTGATGTACAGATGGGTTTTTGGTGTGGATGTCCTTTCTGTTTGTTAGTTTTCCTTCTAACAGACAGGACCCTCAGCTGCAGGTCTGTTGGACTTTGCTAGAGGTCCACTCCAGACCCTGTTTGCCTGGGTACCAGCAGTGGTGGCTGCAGAACAGCGGATTTTCATGAACCGCAAATGCTGTCTGATTGTTCCTCTGGAAGTTTTGTCTCAGAGTAGTACCCAGCCGTGTGAGGTGTCAGTCTGCCCCTACTGGGGGGTGCCTCCGAGTTAGGCTGCTCGGGGGTCAGGGGTCAGGGACCCACTTGAGGAGGCAGTCTGCCCGTTCTCAGATCTCCAGCTGCGTGCTGGGAGAACCACTGCTCTCTTCAAAGCTGTCAGACAGGGACATTTAAGCCTGCAGAGGTTACTGCTGTCTTTTTGTTTGTCTGTGCCCTGCCCCCAGAGGAGGAGCCTACAGAGGCAGGCAGGCCTCCTTAAGCTGTGGTGGGCTCCACCCAGATCGAGCTTCCCGGCTGCTTTGTTTACCTAAGCAAGCCTGGGCAATGGTGGGCACCCCTCCCCCAGCCTTGCTGCTGCCTTGCCGTTTGATCTCAGACTGCTGTGCTAGCAATCAGCAAGACTCCCTGTGAGTAGGACCCTCCGAGCCATGTGCGGGATATAATCTCCTGGTGCGCCATTTTTTAAGCCCGTCGGAAAAGCACAGTATTGGGGTGGGAGTGACCCGAATTTCCAGGTGCCGTCTGTCACCCCTTTCTTTGACTAGGAAAGGGAACTCCCTGACCCCTTGTGCTTCCCGAGTGAGGCAATGCCTTGCCCTGCTTCGGCTCGCACACGGTACGCTGCACCCACTGACCTGCGCCCACTGTCTGGCACTCCCTAGTGAGATGAACCCGGTACCTCAGATGGAAATGCAGAAATCACCCGTCTTCTGCGTCGCTCACGCTGGGAGCTATAGACCAGAGCTGTTCCTATTCGGCCATCTTGGCTCTCTCCTTCTTTTTTTCTTTAGTGTCCTAATAAGGATTCTTCTTGCAATCCCTCAAGAATGAAAGAAATTGAGAGGCTCAAGACTCAGACAGGAAGAAAGAGGACTATTATCTTAAATCTGTTGGTAGACTCTGGCATTGGCCATTTATTTGCTAGCATTAGAGTTAGAACAGATTAAGAGAAAAGTATAGAGCTGACTGAAAGTTTTGGAACCTCAACTTTTTCATGCTGGAGAAAACATTGAAAGACACTACTCATAGTATTATTCATGATAATGATTGCATGTGTGATTATAATTAAAATAGCAGCTAATATTTGAATACTCACTTTGTGCCAGGTACTATATTAACTGCTTTAAGTACATTTTCTTATTTACTCCTCCCATTATCCTGTGAGGCAGGTGCTACTATTTACTCCATTTGATAGATGAGAAAAGAGAGACACAGAAAGCTTAAGCAACATACTCCATGTCAAAAATCTGGTAAGTGTTGGGACCAGAATAGAAGCCTAGCCGGTCTGATAACTCATGTCCTTAGCCACTACACTATATACTAGTTACCAGTAGCAGTGGTGATAATCATAGTAAAATTGGCTAAAATGTGCTGAGCACCTGCTTCCTACCAGGCAGTCTATGAGGTAGGTGATAATATTAATCTCCATTTGGTAGATAAAGAGACAGAGACATGGGGAGACTTGGTAACCTGTCCAAGGGCATAGGATGACCAACCTTCCTAGAAAGTAGCAGACTATGGAATCAAATTCAGGTGGTCACTAAACCCCGCTACCTTCTTTTCTGACATTTTTGTCCTAAGCTCACATATAAGGGGAGATTCAGTACCCGCCTAACCCAACTCTCAAGTCAATTGCATTCATCGTCCAGCCTCCTCTAACCTGTGAAATCAACCAATGTAGGTGTTTGACTGGTATCTCTCATTCCTCTCTGCACACCAATGGCTACTCTCTGTGCCACCCTAGTCCTTCTGGCCTATCTGTGGAAGAGAGATATTTTTTCCTCCAAACATAAATCATGCAGCAGTAAGTGCACTGACCAGCCTTTGAGTTGTACAAAGGCAGCCTTGGCATTTCTCTTTTCATGTATTTTGCACAACAGAGAGCAACTGGGACAGGCAAATCCCCACTGCCTATAAGCTGCAACAGGAGTTTTACAGGCTTCTCATCTAATTAAGAAAAGGTTGGATTTTTCAGGGTCTTTGGCCTGAAGTACATCTGTTTTATTCATTGAAAAAGGCTTCCCAAAATGAGGCATTAAATAAAAGTGCTGATTGAATTTTATCACCCTATGTAATTAGAAAATAAAAATGAATCTGATAATACATTTTTAAATGATACTGTCCTTCACACACAATAAATTTCTTCAATTTTTCCCCTTATATATGCATTCACATCTGTATAATCTATTTTAGAGTGAATACATTTTAAGGATAATGTTACAATCTATCTTGTCAGATGTAAATATTAAATATGTTCTAACATCAGGACATAGTCAGTGCCAAAGTAGGGATTCTAAGGACAATAAGGAAAAGGCCAGACAGTGATATGAGCCTGGGAATAGTAGGCTGAGGCATAAATCCCCTATGGTTGCTAAAATCAACGTAAGTAAATCAAGGTTCCGGGATCTAGATTCAAAAACAATGAAACAGCTAGGTCTCTATAGTCTGCATTCCCAGAAGTCTGATAGGCAAAAAAAAAAAACAAAAAACAGTAATCAGATTATCAATATGAGCTTGATACTGGGATAGAGTTTCATTGCCACAAAGGTCCCTTATACACACACACACACACACACACACACACACACACACACACACCCTGACAAGGCAGGATATTTTCTCAGTATGTAAGTGGAACTGGACTTAAAAGAGTCAGAAAAGTGGCAGCAGCTGGCAATGGAAAGAGTGACAAAATCAATAGCTATAGCTGGGTTCTAATAAATGTCAAAAAAGGCTTTTATTAAGGCAGTGTTGTTCTCAATTATGAATATGCATGGACTGAGCTGGTAAGCAGCAGATTGCCTGAATAACTCTTTCAACAGGGGCTCAATGTCATTCTGGAGTTACAGAGCCAAGGATGGCACACAAGAATGCTGCTGTCAAGAGCACCTGCTCTGGACTCATCTCTCTTCTCACTACATACTTCAGACAGTGGCCTTCAAAAGGCCAGACTGCATTAAGCATGTCTTATACAATGTGGAATGCTTTCTTTCTAAAGCCCTCAATTGAAACAAAAATGTTGCTTTTGTTCTATTTTAAAGAAATCTCGTATTATTTAAAGGAAGGGGCAGTAGCACACTTGGTATTACTCTAGTGACCTTAGAGAATTTCTTCACGAGACCTGACCAGCTCAATGGGCATAAGTTAATATTTTGATGGTCAATCTTTTATGAATGTTGCATTTATTGAAATGTAATTCCATTTGCATTATGGTCATGCTATGTCATATTTTTGTAATGTCCCCTGTAGGAAATGCATCAGAAACTTTACTTACATGATAACTAAGCAGAGGGGGAATTGGGAGTGACTGCTTAATGAATATATGGGTATCAGTCTCCTTCTGAGGTAACGAAAATGTTTTGGAGCTTGGTAGGGTGATGCTTGAACAATATTGTAAATATACTAAATACCACTGAACTGTATACTTTTAGAAAGGTTAATTTTATGTTATGCAAATTTTATCTCAATTAAAAAGTATGTCACTTCCATTAAATAAACCTATGCTTGATACTTATTTTGTTGTAGGTATTGTGCTAGATTCTCGGTATACAAATAATAATCACGGTTCATGTTTGTTTGTTTGTTTGTTGAGACAGAGTCTCATTCTGTCACCCAGGCCGGAGTGTAGTGGCACAATCTCAGCTCACTGCAACCTCTGCTTCCCAGGTTCAAGCAATTCTCCTGCCTCAGCCTCCCGAGTAGCTGGGATTACAGGCGCCCGCCACCATGCCCAGCAAATTTTTGCATTTTTAGTAGAGACAGGGTTTCACCATGCCAGTCAGGCTGGTCTCAAATTCCTGACCTCAGGTAATTCACCCACCTTGGCTTCCCAAGTGCTGGGATAACAGGCATGAGCCACCGTGCTCGACCCAGTTTATGTTTGTTAAGTCCTTACGGGGTGCCAGAAAGCAGTCTAAGTCCTGCATGTGAGTTAGCTCATTTCTTCATCATAGCAACCCTGTGAAAAAATTAATATTAGCTCCATTTTACAGATGAGGAAACTGAGGAATAGGGAGGTCAAGTAACTTGCCTAAGACATCATAAATAGTAAGTGGTAGAGTTAGGATTTAGATCCAGCTAGTTTGGCTCCATAGACTGTGCATTTAAGAACTATGCCACATTGCCCCTTGCCTCAGACGCAGACACTAGCCTCAAAAATTTCACAGTCAATTGGGGGTGAATGTCAAGAAAGCTTACAGGAGAGGTACCTAAGGAAGAGCAGAGAGCAGGGAAGTATGCAAGAAGAGTTAGCACCTAAGATGAATCATAAATGATGAATAAGAATTAAACACATGAAGAGGAAGAAGGGAGAGTGTTTTTGATGGGGGGTTCCAGAAAGGTATAAAGATGAGTACTATGTTATAAGCAGCTTCGTGTTACTAGAGTATGGAAAATGAGATGAGGAGTGATAGGCTGTGGAGCTAGGGAGGAAAATGGCTAAGGCAGGGAGACTTGCTGCTCTATCTTATAGACATAGGACAGCTATTGACATATTCTAAAGCAGGGATGTCACAATCAGAGTTGACTTTTAGAAATATCATTCTGGTGGCCCCCTGAAGGTTGTAATTTAGAGGGAGAAGACTACAGATAGGGAGGGAGACCTATGGGGAAGCTGCTTCATTAATCCAAAAAATAAACAATGATGCGCTGAACTAGAGAAATGGTAATTGGCATCAAATGGAATGGATGGAGTGAATAAGTATTTAGGAATTCAAATCAGCAAGACTCATAATCTCAATTAGAGTCTCAGAAACTTGGAGCTGCCAGAAAGATCAAAAGCAAACCATTTCTCTTGATAAGTGTCACCTTTCCATTGTTCTGTAAGAAGTGTAAACATCATCATTTCTAAACAGAATTCAAGAATAGCTAGTCTGTTCTTCATTTTCAAAAGCTATGGCATTGAAATTCTAAATGTAAACAATCTTTATAAAGCCACATTCAGGAATACCAAGTTACTTTAGGAAAAGTAAAAACATCCAGATTAAGTGGCTAAATAGTATTTATGCATTCCCAGAGACTTGAAAAGAGAATGGATTGAAATGGATATAAGAAATTAACGATGCAGCATGTGGCTGTCTGGATTGCTTTCCATCCTAACTGCATGTGGTTTCAAGATAGCAGGAATTAAAACACCATGCCAGGAGAGTTAGCCTTCATTGGAAAATGATCATGGAATCAGAAAGAAGAGACTAAACATGGGAAAAATAGAGAATTGTTAATCAGTAATGAAAAAATTTAAACAAATGTTTCCCATCTCAGATATCTTTTATTTGACCAATAGCTATCATTTTTACACTCACTAACTCAGTTAAAGATCCTTTGGTTTGCACAATGTGCTCGACTATTTAGAGATCACAACAAAAAAATTGACTATAGCCTTCCACCCTCAACGGATATATAATTTCACCAAGGACTTGAAAGGTACACAAATGAAGCAACTAGAAAGTGATATGAGATGAAATACAGCCGAGGGTCATCACGAGTGTTGTGGTGAGTATGGGTTTTATGAAGTCAATGAGAGGAAGGCCCTAGTGTGAGCTGGATGGGTCACTATGAATTTCCAGCAGAGATGCAATGTAAACCCAGGTAAAGTGGGAGAATTAGAGCAGGGTATGTGAAGTAGAGGCAGCAGCAAGAATTCCAGAGACTGAAAGGCATCTGGCTGCATTGGAAAGATACTGGCCAGAGTAGAGGACACAAAGGCACCTTTGGATGGGTAAGGTAGGGCCATATTACAGATGACTCTGAACACCAGGTAAACACATTCAGTCTAGGTTTTCGTATTGGTGCAGAAGAATTTCTTTCACAAACTTTCTATCTCTTTGAAATTCTTATCTAAGAAATGCTTTTCTGAAAACAAAATTACTCATATGGCCATGAAGGACTGAGGATTTCCAAACCAGAGAAGCTGCAAAATAATTCTCAAGCTCCCTGCACCACAACTCAAACCACAAAATGGGCTGGAGTTGTTCAGTGATTTTAATTTTACATTCATCAGGGGCTGATTAGTGTTTCAAAGTTCTGTGCAAAGTTTAAAATGCCAGCTCAATTTTTATCAACATTCCATTAGCCCAATTGTTCCCTGGGAGAGTGGCAGATTGTTTTAAGTCTGAGAAAGACCAGATTTATGGTGAGAACGAGAGGAGGGATTGGAGAACAGTCTAGAGAACCGTTCTGTTTATACATTCAGGTGCACTAATCACATGGCACAACACAATGCCCACAGAAAATTCTATCATTTGTCATTTGTCAGTCCTTTACTCTGGAAGATAATTTATAAGTCTCTGACCTCATCTGGGCTACAGGAACCTCTGTAGTCCCAAGGCAGGTTGTGAGAGGTGACAGCGTGCTGGCAGCCCTCTCAGCCCTCGCTTGTTCTCAGCGCCTCTTCGGCCTTGGCACCCACTCTGGCCGCGCTTGAGGAGCCCTTCAGCCCGCCGCTGCACTGTGGGAGCCCCTTTCTGGGCTGGCCAAGGCCAGAGCCGGCTCCCTCAGCTTGCGGGAAGGTGTGAAGGGAGAGGCGCTGGCGGGAACAGGGGCTGTGCACTGCGCTTGCGGGCCAGCGCGAGTTCCGGGTGGGCTTGGGCTCAGCGGCCCTGCCCTCTGATCGGCAGGCCAGCCCACTGGCCCGGGGCTTAGCACCTGGGCCAGCAGCTACTGTGCTCGATTTCTCGCAGGGCCTTAGTTGCCTCCCTGTGGGGCAGGGCTGGGGACCTGCCGCCAGCCATGCCTGAGCCTCCCCGTCCCCCTCCCCCCCCCTGCCCCCCGCTGTGGGCTCCTGAGTGGCCGGAGCCTCCCCGACGAGCGCCGCCCCCTGCTCCACTGCGCTGGGTCCCATCAACCGCCCAAGGGCTGAGGAGTAGGGGCCCGCCTTGCGGGACTAGTGGGCAGCTCCACATGCAGCCCTGGTGCGGGATCCGCTGGGTGAAGCCAGCTGGGCTCCTGAATCTGGTGGGGACTTGGAGAACCTTTGTGTCTAGCTGAGGGATTGTGGATACATCAATCAGCACCCTGTGTCTAGCTCAGGGTTTGTGAATGCACCAATCGGCACTCTGTATTTAGTTAATCTGGTGGGGACTTGGAGAGCCTTTATGTCTGGTTAAGGGATTGTAAATACACCAATCAGCACTCTGTATCTAGCTCAAGGTTTGTAAACACACCAATCAGCACCCTGTGTCTAGCTCAGGGTTTGTAAATACACCAACTGACACTCTGTATCTAGCTAATCTAGTGCGTATGTGGAGAACTTTTGTGTCTAGCTCAGGGATTGTAAATGCACCAATCAGCACCCTGTCAAAACGGACCACTCAGCTCTCTGTAAAACAGACCAATCAGCTCTCTGTAAAATGGACCAACCAGCAGGATGTGGGTGGGGCCAGAGAAGAGAATAAAAGCAGGCTGCCCCCAGCCAACAGTGGCAACGCCTCTGGTCCCCTTCCACACTGTGGGAGATTTGTTCTTTCGCTGTTTGCAATAAATCTTGCTACTGCTCACTCTTTGGGTCCACACTGCCTTTATGAGCTGTGACACTCACCGTGAAGGTCTGCAGCTTCACTCCTGAAGCCAGCGAGACCACGAACCCACCAGGAGGAACCAACAACTCCAGAGGCGCTGCCTTAAGAGCTGTAACACTCACAGCGAAGGTCTGCAACTTCACTCCTGAGCCAGTGAGACCACGAACCCACCAGAAGGAAGAAACTCCGAACACATCCGAACATCAGAAGGAACAAACTCCGGACACACTGCCTTTAAGAACTGTAACACTCACCAGGAGGGTCCGCGGCTTCATTCTTGAAGTCAGTGAGACCAAGAACCCACCAATTCTGGACACAGTTGCATCTGGCAGGAAGTATAGAAGGGCAGAGCAGAGGATAGATAACTTCTGGTCTCTGAGAAGTACTTACTAGCCTTGCATCCCAGCACCATTTTTATGTACCTTCGCACTCCTCACACCCCACAGCATGACTGCCTACCTAGGACTCCAATACTTCCCACTAGTAACTCACTAGTCTCCACCCCTCAACTATCTATATTTGTGGTATCCACCATACCCCACCTACTTGGCTGGGTTCCAGGTCTAGCCTAGCCTTGATTTTATTACCAACAATCTCCCTAAAATTCAAAGTTAGCTCCTCAATGGGCAAGAGAGATCTTCTATTCAAACCTCTTTCATTATAAGTCTATAGACATGTCTGATCCAAAAAAAAAAGATTCCATGAGAAGGCAGCCAAGGCTATATCAGAGCATGTACCTTTTTCCAAGCCCAACCTTAAAGAGGTACCCTGAGGAGTTGAACCTTGCAGCTATTTAAATAATTATAATATGTATTTGTATTTACAATAAAGTCTAATCCAATCCTAACTCTTCAGACAGCTCCTTTTAGCAAGAGCTTAATATTAGCCTGTGCTATAAGAATATATAATCCCTGCAAATGGCCAATTTCATATTGGGGTGAATGTAATAAAAAGTAAATGTTAAAAAAATTAAGTAAATGTGAAGTATTTGGTATTTTCATACAAAAAGACAGTACTGAGGCGTCTCGAAGCAAGATGGACTATTAAAGGTGCAGAGAAGTAAGAGTCATTGAAAAGGGGATGTGATCATTGTAGCAGAAATGTAACAGATCTACAAGCTGGACCTGGAAAACCTATACTACCATGGGATGTGCTGGAGAAGGCTGAGGGGCCCTTGAATGAATCAGTATTTAGGAAGGAAATGGCATCCTGGGAAAAAAAATCCTACGCACATTCCTTCCAATTCTCGGCCTCCAATTTTAAACTAGCATTGAAAACACACTTGAGGAAGTATTGTATTTGGAGAATTTTGGGAGAATGAGGACTGCCTTAGAGCTCCATTTTACCATAGCTTATAACATCAGTATTTTTAAAATCTTCCACTGTATTTACTCTCCTTTAAAATACACAGGGTCTTCCCCTCCCCCTCTCCCAAGTGGTTTGGTAATAGTTGTTTGCAATATCCACAAGTGGCAGCTATAATCAGTGAAATTGCTGGAACTTTTGCTTTGCTGATTCAGCAGATGTGCTTAAGATCTATAAAAATATAATGATCTCCTGTAAATAGTCAGGGCTGGCAGTTCCAAAAGAAATAAAAATAAAGGTATAATCATTAATCATTTTCATATGCATTACTTGGAAGGGGGTGGAAATCAACTGATAAATTACCACAGGCAAATGCTATGCTAACAAACTAAACCAGATACCTGATATATTTGAAAGAAATGTTTGAATTGTCAGTGACTCAGGGATGCTCCCTGATAAGAACAACGGGTACCACATGAGGCAGCTTCCAAGTGATTCATTGCTGAGACAACTGGCAATGCATTATATTTTTGAGGAAAATAAAAGTATTTGCTAAGGATATGAATTTTCTTAGAGTCTAAAGCTTGGTATACAAAAATCAAAAGAATTTGCCAACTTTAGCAGTTTTAACAAGATCTAGGAAAATACATATCAACATCTTGACTTTATAAAAATGTTGATAGCTGTTTATGGAAGATTTTTCTGTGTCCTTGAAATTTCTTTATTTGCAGACTCAAAAAAGAGGATCAGTTTAAATATGTGAGCCCCTGTGTCACAAATGCTAATGATAAAATCTTCAGCACTTGTGGTAAAAACCATTTCTAATCATCGTCTTTCCTATTAAAAATGTAAATGGGGAAGAATAAAATTACAAACACTGATGAACAGAGAACTCAATTCCACTTTCACATGTAAGTATAGAAATCCCATCTTGCACAGCATTTTCATGAGAGAGAGAGATTTTGTTTTTTACCCCCACCCAAGCCACACAGTCAGGGACCAATGAAACCATCACTCAGTCACTGGCAACTTTGATTTTAAAAGCATAGCTAATTGCACTTACAGGTGTATAGCACCCAGGGTGTGCTAGCTGCAGGATCAGAGCTGTCACTAGCTGAAAATATTATACTTCTAATGGTCTTAATCTTTTGGTTGTAAATTAGAGGAGACTCATTTAGTGTGTATAAAAATTACTCACCAAATTTTTAAAAATTCTTGCTAGAGTTTTGGGTAATAACATCAAGAAAAGGTAACCTGGCCAAATATCAGACTGTGCTGTAGAAAAAAATTAATCATGACATGTCATGTTAATTATGCAGAAAGAATGTAAACAAGCACAATAAGTAATCACATCTGATTTAAGGTTTATGCACAATTCCCATGACCTCCATCTCCATTTTTTGCAGACAAACAGACTAAAACCATGAAAATGAAATTTTAAAGAGGAGAATATGTGATTATTCCAGGTGTAAGAGAATTTAATCCAATAATTATTACACTGTTAGCTTCTGACCCTGTAAGTGTGCTTAAAGTATCATGTGGTACCCATGAGGTATCTAGTGGAACGTGGTTTTTATTCTAGCCTAGCAATTGTAAAGAGACCTTATCTTGCTTTTGAGGAGATAGTGCGCTGAACCTTCAAATGGCTGAGCAGGACCAGGAATAGAATTCAGGGATTCGGCCACAGCCTCAAGGAAAATAGTATTCTTCACTTCATGAGGGAAAAAAAATGTCTCTATGAAATGAGGAAGCAAGGAGAATTAGGGAAATTCTTGGGGAAAATAATTAATGTAAACATTGTATTTTTTACTTTCTAATTATTCCAAATGTCTTTTCGTTGTCAAATATATTCAATGTCTTTGTATGAAGGGGTAAAAAAAGATTTCCAGAATTATATGCAGTACAGCATGTAATTTTTAAAGCTTATATGCTGCTCAGAGGTGCCTTGAGTCCCCTTCACTCAAAGAAACTAAGAGTTCTTCGTTTCACTGTCTCCCACATCATTTGGGTTAGAGATTTTCTCTTTAAAAACAGGGTCATGGATTTGTATATCTCTGCCCATAGGGAACTCCTTCGTACTTTTTGCAGATCTCTCCAAACAGACTACCTGGCATCTGGCTGCCTCACGGGCAAACCTGTAGATTCAGAGCATTCGTGGCTGAATAACTATTGCCTGGGTATAAGTATATTCCATGTAGCATTAACATTTTCATACCAGTAAATTGACCCTGTTGGTCTCCCTGACTGCACTCCTTTCCAAGAGATGTTAACTTGGACACTAAATTTGACCCTTTGCTGCCATGTTATGTGAGTACTGCCTATCGTGCTTCATAAAATGAGTTCTTTTGTGAGAAATATCCCTCCCTCTAACTGCCTGTGTGTTCTATATGGAGTATTTTTCCACGAAGTCTACAAAGTCAGACATATCTGTTGTGCTGGGATAAATGGATATCCACATGCAAAAGAATGAAGTTGGACCTTTCCCTTATATCATATACAAAATGTATCTCAAAACAGATCAAAGACCTAAATCCAAAAGCCAAAACTACAGAATTCTTAGAAGAAAACATAGGAGTAAATATGTATAACCTTGGATTTGGCAACATATCCTCAGATATGACACCAAAAGAACAAGGAACAAAAGAGAACATAAACAAATTGGACTTCATAAAAACTAAAATATTTTGGCCATCACTCAATACCATCCAGGAAATGAAAAGAAAACTGACAGAATGGTAGAAAATATTTTCAAATCATGTTTTATAGACAACAATATGTATTGGTGAAGATGTGAAACTATTAGAACCCTCGTACATCACTGACGTACATGTACAGTGGTACAGAATCTATAAAACACAGTTTGGCAGTCCCTCATAAAGTTAAACACAGAGTTAGCATAGGACTCAGCAATTTCATACCTGCTTATACACCGAGGAGAATTAAAGACATATGTCCCCATAAAAACTTGGGCAGGAATGTTCATAGCAGCACTGTTTATAATAGCCAAAAAGTAAAAACAATCCAAATGTTCATTAACTTATGAGTGTATTAACAAAATGTACGATGAAATATCATTTAGTCATAAAAAGGAATGAAATACTGATAGATGCTACAACATGGATGAACCTTGAAAAAATTATGCTGAGTGAAGGAAGCCAGACACAAAAGACCACATATTGTATGATTGCATTTCTATGAAATGTTCAGAATAGGCAAATCCACAGAGACAGAAAGTACATTAGTGTTTGCCAGAGGCTGGGAAATTGTGGGAAAATGAAGAATGGTGGTGGTTGCATAACTCTGAATATACTAAAAAACATTTAATTGTATACTTTAAGTGGATGAATTATATGATATCTGAATTATATATCAATATAGTTAATTTGATTTGTATGTGTGTTGAATTAGTTATTCCCTGGCCCTATGTGATGATCAGAAACATTTGCCCCAGTAGTAGAACTCAGTTTTCTCACGTAGAAATGTTTCATGACAAGACAATACAATATTCCTTTGGACATAATACCATTGTTGGATACATATGGTTAATTAGAGTATTTTCACCCATGACAATACCATGACCTCAGGGCCTCTACCTCTCCATAACCTCTACTATCTTCTCAACTGAGTCCTTTAAGATGGAGAATATTATATACTCATGGTGCTTTCTTGGGGGCATTGACAAACATTCATTGTTGGAAATGAAAGAAAAGAATCTCCTATGCAGCTCCTAAACCTAAGTGGCAGAAGAAAGGATGTTCCTCCCCCAACACACCTCCTTCACAATTGTGAAAGAAACTGTGCAAAATTATTTTATATTTGTTCACCCAGATATACTCTCTAGCCTTTCCTACATTACTCTTTGCTGACAGGATGACCTTTATGGATTACATCAAATGGTCTCCCTTGCCTTCTGGTTTCCTATTGAGTATGGCCAACGGGAGACCCTAGCAGAAAACTTGACTCTCTTCCTGCCAGGCAGTGAGTTAGCAGTGTGTATTTGTCCATTTTTATACTACTATGAAGAAATAGCTGAGACTGGGTAATTTATAAAGAAAAAGAGGTATAATTGACTCACAGTTCCACATGGCTGGGGAAGCCTCACAATCATGATGGAAGGCAAAGGCCTGTCTTACATGGCAACAGGCAAGAGAGTGTGTGCAGGGGAACTGACCTTTATAAGACCATCAGATCTCATGAGACTTACTCACTATCACGAGAACAGCATAGGAAAGACCTTGTTCCCATGATTCTATTACCTCCCACCAGGTCCCTCCCATGACATGTGGGGATTATGGCAGCTACAATTCAAGATGAGATTTGGGTGGGGACACAGCCAAACCATATCACAGTGACTGTGTGGCCACAACTCCTATCAGGTAGCCCTCTCCTCCAGGTAGAGCTCCTGCAGTGTTTCAGCAGTGATTCTCTCTCCAAAATCTTTTAGGCCTAGAAGTAGAAGCAGCTCTTTGGGGGTGCGTTTCACTATCTTTGTTTTCCTTAATCTTGCATGCCACCGTTTTAATAAGGCCTTTCATGAAATTCCCTTCAAGCACCCCTTTGGATGTACCACTTGCTTCCTGCTGGGACTCTAAAGGATACAGAATATTTTCCTTCTGTAGGTCTAGAACAGGTAGTCAGGTTATAGTGATCTCAATAATGAAAAATGGAAATGCTTTGTACATTTCTCACATTTTTTTTTCAGCAATTCCATCATACTTGGCTGTCACAGATTATTAAACCTCTAACTTGCTTAGAGCAATGTAGTTCAGGTCACTTAGGCCACTTAACTAGTAGGTTCCTTTTCATTTTAAGAAGGTCCCAATGATGCCTTTTGTGGAGGCTCTGGTTAAATCTTCCTGCAAAATGAAAGCCCACCTCCATCTGAAAATGGCTGTTTGTAAAGCCCAATGCCCACTTCGGCTGTAATTAATCACTACTGTTAGGGAACAATTACACAATTGCTAAGGTAGGGACTTTGCTGCTGTCCTTGCCTAGATGTATGAATTTAGTATGCACTACTTCCTTACACACAAAAATATATGCTCTTATACCAGCTATCTCTAAACCCCTGTCTTTCATGCCAACAGTTACTTCCGTTACCTATTTTATTTTCTGGTTTGTAACTTGGATTTTTAAACTCTGTTCATTGTGGGATTTTATTAGTGTACCCTAGCACCATTACTTCAGGCACACTAATGTTCTGTTAATTAGATTTCCCCCTGCCTTGTCCTTGTTTATAAAACCTCCCACAGAAGTTGTTTGTAACCATTATTCTTAACAAGAGAATTCAAACCAAGAAATTACATGATTCACCACATTTTAGAACATTTTCTCGCCTCTAAAAAAATGCCATCAGATCTTCATTTTGCAAATTAATTGTACCTGTACTTAATGTTATAGAAAGAGTAGGAACATGAACATAAAGTTGGCATTTAGACATTTTCTTCTCGAGAAGAAATACTATAGAAGAAAAGTTTTGCTAGCCTGATACTTTCACCCATCTGGCCTTCGGTGAGCCCAAACTTGCAGTCTTTCATGCAACCCACGTCCCTTACACAATTTCTCTCCTTTCCTAGCTCTCTTATTATGTCAGAATGCAATCTATTTTACCAAGCTTCCATTTATTTTGAAAAATAATTTCAGTGGTATACCTTTCCAGTCCTCCAAAGCACTACATGAAGCTCTCTTCAGTGCCCCCAAACTTCTCACCATTTACCTTTCCTCCATCAGCCCCTCAAGTATACCATGTGTATCTTCTATTGTTCACACATAAAAGAGGTCCAATAGACCAAAAGGTATTAGAGACTACAAGTGCCACATCTTCCAGGAGGGTCATTGGATTTCAAAAGATGACCACAGGAAAAGAGCCACATGTGACTAAAAGGAATCAATTGTAGCAGTAGAGTTTCTTTTTTTTTTAATTTTGAATAACATTTCAGTAACACAGTATTATTTTCAAAAAGATTTAGTAGTGGAGTTTAGTGAGAACTCTTCATGTAACAGTTAAAGTATAAATTATTATTGCAAATATTTTTTCCATATCACTAAACATGACCGTTTAATGACATTATTTGATAAAGTTTAACTCCATTTAGTGGAGATCTAAACCTAAATTTAAATTAGGAAATCCTGCTATAATCTCTCATTCCATTCCTTTTTTTTATTAATAATTTTTGTTATTATACTTTAAGTTTTAGGGTACATGTGCACAATGTGCAGGTTAGTTACATATGTATACATGTGCCATGCTGGTGTGCTGCACCCATTAACTCGTCATTTAGCATTAGGTATATCTCCTAATGCTATCCCTCGCCCCTCCCCCAACCCCACAACAGTCCCCAGAGTGTGATGTTCCCCTTCCTGTGTCCATGTGTTCTCACTGTTCAATTCCCATCTGTGAGTGAGAACATGCAGTGTTTGGTTTTTCGTCCTTGCGATAGTTTACTGAGAATGATGATTTCCAAATTTCATCCATGTCCCTACAAAGGACATGAACTCATCATTTTTTATGGCTGCATAGTATTCCATGGTGTATATGTGCCACATTTTCTTAATCCAGTCTATCATTGTTGGATATTTGGTTTGGTTCCAAGTCTTTGCTATTGTGAATAGTGCCGCAATAAACATACGTGTGCATGTGTCTTTATAGCAGCATGATTTATAATCCTTTGGGTATATACCCAGTAATGGGATGGCTGGGTCAAGTGGTATTTCTAGTTCTAGATCCCTGAGGAATCGCCACACTGACTTCCACAAAGGTTGAACTAGTTTACAGTCCCACCAACAGTGTAAAAGTGTTCCTATTTCTCCACATGCTCTCCAGCACCTGTTGTTTCCTGACTTTTTAATGATTGCCATTCTAACTGGTGTGAGATGGTATCTCATTGTGGTTTTGATTTGCATTTCTCTGATGGCCAGTGATGATGAGCATTTTTTCATGTGTCTTTTGGCTGCATAAATGTCTTCTTTTGAGAAGTGTCTGTTCATATCCTTTGCCCACTTTTTGATGGGGTTGTTTCCTTTTTTCTTGTAAATTTGTTTGAGTTCATTGTAGATTCTGGATATTAGCCCTTTGTCAGATGAGTAGGTTGCGAAAATTTTCTCCCATTTTGTAGGTTGCCTGTTCACTCTGATGGTAGTTTCTTTTGCTGTGCAGAAGCTCTTTAGTTTCATTAGATCCCATTTGTCAATTTTGGCTTTTGTTGCCATTGCTTTTGGTATTTTAGACATGAAGTCCTTGCCCATGCCTATGTCCTGAATGGTAACGCCTAGGTTTTCTTCTAGGGTTTTTATGGTTTTAGGTCTAACGTTTAAGTCTTTAATCCATCTTGAATTAATTTTTGTATAAGGTGTAAGGAAGGGATCCAGTTTCAGCTTTCTCCATATGGCTAGCCAGTTTTCCCAGCACCATTTATTAAATAGGGAATCCTTTCCCCATTGCTTGTTTTTCTCAGGTTTGTCAAAGATCAGATAGTTGTAGATATGCGGCGTTATTTCTTAGGGCTCTGTTCTGTTCCATTGATCTATATCTCTGTTTTGGTACCAGTACCATGCTGTTTTGGTGACTGTAGCCTTGTAGTATAGTTTGAAGTTAGGTAGTGTGATGCCTCCAGCTTTGCTCTTTTGGCTTAGGATTGACTTGGCGATGTGGGCTCTTTTTTGGATCCATATGAACTTTAAAGTAGTTTTTTTCCATTTCTGTGAAGAAAGTCATTGGTAGCTTGATGGGGATGGCATTGAATCTATAAATTACCTTGGGCAATATGGCCATTTTCATGATATTGATTCTTCCTACCCATGAGCATGGAATGTTCTTCCATTTGTTTGTATCCTCTTTTATTTCATTGAGCAGTGGTTTGTAGTTCTCCTTGAAGAGGTCCTTGACATCCCTTGTAAGTTGGATTCCTAGGTATTTTATTCTCTTTGAAGCAATTGTGAATGGGAGTTCACTCATGATTTGGCTCTCTGTTTGTCTGTTATTGGTGGATAAGAATGCTTGTGATTTTTGTACATTGATTTTGTATCCTGAGACTTTGCTGAAGTTGCTTATCAGCTTAAGGAGCACCAAGTGGACCTGATAGACATCTACAGAACTCTCCACCCCAAATCAACAGAATATACATTTTTTTCAGCACTACACCACACCTATTCCAAAATTGACCACATAGTTGGAATTAAAGCACTCCTCAGCAAATGTAAAAGATCAGAAATTATAACAAACTGTCTCTCAGATCACGGTGCAATCAAACTAGAACTCAGGATTAAGAAACTCACTCATAACCACTCAACTACATGGAATCTGAACAACCTGCTCCTGAGTGACTACTGGATACATAACAAAAAGAAGGCAGTAATAAAGATGTTCTTTGAAACCAATGAGAACAAAGACACAACATACCAGAATCTCTGGGACGCATTCAAAGCAGTGTGTAGAGGAAAATTTATAGCACTAAATGCCCACAAGAGAAAGCAGGAAAGATCCAAAATTGACACCCTAACGTCACAATTAAAAGAACTAGAAAAGCAAGAGCAAACACATTCAAAAGCTAGCAGAAGGCAAGAAATAACTAAAATCAGAGCAGAAATGAAGGAAATAGAGACAAAAAAAAACCCTTCAAAAAATTAATGAATCCAGGAGCTGGTTTTTTGAAAGGATCAACAAAATTGATAGACCGCTAGCAAGACTAATAAAGAAAAAAAGAGAGAAGAATCAAATAGACACAATAAAAAATGACAAAGGGGATATCACTACCGATCCCACAGAAATACAAACTACCATCAGAGAATACTATAAACACCTCTACGCAAATAAACTAGAAAATCTAGAAGAAATGGATAAATTCCTTGACACATACACTCTCCCAAGACTAAACCAGGAAGAAGTTGAATCTCTGAATAGACCAATAACAGAATCTGAAATTGTGGCAATAATCAGTAGCTTACCAACCAAAAAGAGTCCAGGACCAGATGGATTCACAGCCGAATTCTACCAGAGGTTCAAGGAGGAACTGGTACCATTCCTTCTGAAACTATTCCAATCAATAGAAAAAGAGGGAATCCTCCCTAACTCATTTTAGGAGGCCAGCATCATCCTGATACCAAAGCCGGGCAGAGACACAACCAAAAAAGAGAATTTTAGACCAATATCCTTGATGAACATTGATGCAAAAATCCTCAAGAAAATACTGGCAAAACGAATCCAGCAGCACATCAAAAAGCTTATCCACCATGATCAAGTGAGCTTCATCCCTGGGATGCAAGGCTGGTTCAATATACGCAAATCAATAAATGTAATCCAGCATATAAACAGAACCAAAGACAAAAACCACATGATTATCTCAATAGATGCAGAAAAGGCCTTTGACAAACTTCAACAATCCTTCATGCTAAAAACTCTCAAGAAATTAGGTATTGATGGGACGTATCTCAAAATAATAAGAGCTATCTATGACAAACCCACAGCCAATATCATACTGAATGGGCAAAAACTGGAAGCATTCCCTTTGAAAACTGGCACAAGACAGGGATGCCCTCTCTCACCACTCCTATTCAACATAGTGTTGGAAGTTCTGGCCAGGGCAATTAGGCAGGAGAAAGAAATAAAGGGTATTCAATTAGGAAAAGAGGAAGTCAAATTGTCCCTGTTTGCAGACAACATGATTGTATATCTAGAAAACCCCATTGTAGCAGCAGAATTTCAAGCATTTACAGAAGAGATTTCTACAAGGAAGGCCTTCCCAGCACACTTGAAATCACATAGCACTTAGGTAGTGCTGACTTGGCTTACTAGTTAGCTGGCTGTGTTTGAGGTAGAAAAGAGGGATAAAGGATGAGTCACCTAATCATTTCCTAATACTTATTCAATTTGATCAATTTAAAAAAGAGAGATAATAAATTATTTTTTCCCATTAAAAAGATTTAAAATATCAGTTCTTGAATCCAGTTATAGAAACCATTGCTTCAAAGTTATAATAATTCTCTATTCACTAATATAAGAACACTGTATTTACAAAAAGAAGAAAGATGAAATTTTAATCCAAACCAGAAGAAAGTCCTTCTTGCCATTTTCATTCACAAAAATTACTGGTGTTGAAGAAATAACAACATAGGTGCCTTTAATAAAGCTTTCTTTGCTATTAACAATACATTAGTTTTCTTCAGAGATATAATACTGGAGCAATAAAAGCCACAACAGGCCAGCTGTATAAAAAAGCAATAGTGTACAACATATTCTATTATGAACCATAGCTGGCACAAAGGTTTCGTTCTGAGAGAGCTCATCCCTGCAATAATGCTTGATTTTTCCCTTAGCATTTGTTTTGCTTACTCTAGTGGCTAAAGTCTAGCCTAACATTTCTATTTCTACTTTAAAAAGTCTTTATGATTCTTCTTTGGGCAATAATGGTTGAATAATATTAGATATCATCAAACAGGTTACTTGTTGACTCAAGAATCAACGAGGGTTAGATAATAGATAGTTTTATTTTTACTACTGTAGTAATAATTCCTAGAAGGCTGGTAACACAAAATAAAATGATAGGTATACATTCAACTATATCAGTAATCACAATAAATGTAAGTGATTAGATGCTCCAATTGAAAGACAAAAATTTTAAGATTGGAAAAACAATAACAATTTATTCAAGTCTATGCCGTGTACAGGAAACAGGCACAACATAGGGATCTAAAAACAGTGAAAATAAAAGGATGGAAAAAACACATAGCAGACAGCTTCTACACAAAATTAAGAGGATGTATGTACATTAATATAGGCAAAACAAACCATACAGCAAAAAGCATTCATAGAGATAAAGAAGATCAATCCTCAAGTTTATTTTTTGGGAAATGCTTTAGGGTGAACACTGTCTGCAGCTTTGCTTACCTTTCTGAGTTCCAACTCTTACTTATTTTGTGGCATAAGAAATACATTTTTTGCATGTCATTGATGCATTTACATTTAAAGTTTTTTAAATATATTTGGTACAAGATTTTACTTGTTTCCAACAGGAGAACTGAGCTCAGTGCCTAATCTGCCATACATAGTCTATATTGAGTTTTTCATACAGTTCAGTTTATTTAATTTGAAGGACTATGTTTAGTCTGAAATCATGTCTTTTATATATCCTTTTTTGTAATGACAGGATAAGTAATAATTGTTTCTTTAAACACTGGCAACTCATGTTAATCCCTGTCCCCATCGCCTTCATTTTTAAAATAAAATTTCACAGGTCTCATAAATCCAAGTCTGCAAGCCACTGCCTTAAGAGATAACCAGTTCTGGAGGACTGGTTTGAGTGGTAGGATGCTTTTTGTAAGACTGGAGGTGGCAATGTGAGGTTGTTACAGACAGCTGAGTCCATTTCACAGTAGCATTTTAAGAACGTTTTCTTTCAACCCTGAAGCCAGTATAGGATAATTAAATCCATATGTTTCTGATATGTTAACTCACTCATCAAACTGACTCTGCCAAGAGGCTGAATGTCCAAGCAAATCTTATATTTTGTGTATATTTAAATGAAAGTTACAGTACTTTTCTGAAGTGGGAACTCAAGTTTTATAAACATTAAGCACGAGATAAATCTCAAGTTTTCTAATTTGAAGATAAGCATATTAGAATTTATTGACATTTTTCTCAGGCCTATGTTATTCTTTGTAATGAAGCCAATACACAAACAATAACAAAAGGACTTAAAATAGGCTTCCCCCATGATGAATATAATCAAAATTCAAGTTATGTATATCAGAAACCTTTCTGTTGCTGATTAGTTTAGTTCAGTCAAAAAGAAGAGAATATATAGATAATTATGGATGAATTTCAATTAACATGAAGTATGATGGGGGATGTGGTTTCTTCGGTAAACAGACTTGATAGGTTTGAGAATCTCTGTAATAAAAACTTGATAGGTTTGAGAATCTCTGTAATAAAACAAAACAACTTTTCTGGTACCACAGTTGAAGTACAAGGCATTTTCTGGAATAGTTCTTATAGACGAAATCCAGGAAGAAATCCTTGAACCAAGTATTTTAAAAGAAGGTATTAGATATGGCACACTTACAGCAATTAGTTCAGATGATGTAGTCTGGCTAATAACAACTTCCATACATTTCTTTTTCTCCTTGATTTTAATGTTTCTTGAGCTAGAAATAGTAACAGGAATTTCTCCGTGTGTTTCATGACTTAATCTTATGTTTTACTTTTTTTATTCTTCCACTGGAACTATTACCATGGTGGTAAAAATGAAAACAGGTATTTTATCTTCACCTTTTATTGATTCTTGAATCAAATAGCCTGTTTGATGACATCTCCTGTTATTCAACCATTATTGCCCACAGAAGAATCATAAAGACCCTTTTAAGTAAAAAGAAAAAAAAGTTAAATAAGACACGAAGTACAAGTCATAGAGGAAAAGACTGATAAACTTGACTACATTGAAATTAAGAACTTCCATTCATCAAAAGACAACATAAAGAGAATGAAAAAACAAGACATCACATGGAAGAAGATATTTGTAACACATATAACACTATATATATGCATATATGTTTATAAAAATATGTTTATACATATTCCTAAAAATAAACATAAAAGAAATCACAAATCCAGCAGAAAAAAAAATGGGCAAAAGGCTTGAATAGACTTTTAGAAACAAAGGGAAGCCTCAATGACAATTTCATTGGCAAACAGGGTAATGCAAAGCAAAACCCTAATCATATACCCTTATACACCCACCAAATTGGCAAAAAAAAATTTTAAGTATGATGATAAAGTACCAAGTATCAATGAGAATGTAATGCTTTGGGACCTATTAGATATCTTAAAAACTCTTAAATACTTTATGAAACAGGTTGGCATTACTTAGTGAAGTTAAGCATACACATATTCTTTAGCCCAGCAATGCTACTCCTAGGTAAATACCTAATGCATTTACTTCTCATGGATGTCCAGTAAAAGACAAGAAAAAGAAAAATAATGTTTCTAATGGTATTTGCTTGTAACATAAAAACATCTGGAAAAATCAAATATCCATAAATAATAGATTGGATACGTAAATTGTGGTATATATTCCTACACAATAAAAGAAATAAACTACAGCATCATGTATTAACATGAATAAAACTCACCAACATAATGTTGAATCAAAGAAGCAAGTCAAAGAAAAATATGTGGAGTATTATTCCACTTTTATAAAGTTTTAAAAACAACCAAACTAAGCAAGATACATATTTAGGGATACATACTTGGTTGCTATCATGATAAAGGGGAGAAATGAATGATTATCACAAGTCAGAATAGTGTTTTGTTTTTTTTTTCTGGAGCAGGGTAGTTATAGATGGGGGTGCTTTTGAGGAGGGGTTTTAAGGGGGAGTTTTAAGATACTAGCAATATTCTATTTCCTTATCTATGGTAATAATTTGATTTGTTGATTGATTGATTTTATTAAAGCCAGAATCTGTCACCCAGGCTGGAGTACAGTGGTGCAATCATGGGTCACTGCAGTGTCAAGCTCCTGGGCTCGAAAAATCCTCTTGCCTCAGCCTCTGAGTTGCTGGGACTACAGGCAGCATGACCATGCCCAGCTAATTTCTTTAAATACTTTTAAGTGATGGGGTCTCACTATGTTGCCCAGGCTGGTCTCTAACTCGAGGCCTCAAGTGATTCTCCTGCCTCAGTCTCCCAAGTTGATAGAATTATAGGCATAAGCTACTGTGCCTGACCCAACAGTGTTTTAAGAGATGGGGCCTCTCTATGTTTCCCAGGCTGGTCTCTAACCCACGCCCTCAACTGATCCTCCCACCTCAGTCCCCCAAGTTACTGGAATTATAGACATGAGCCACTGCACCTGGCTAAGTAATATTTTTATTCCTTATACTTGTATGTTTTATTGTACATACATAATATTTCAAAGTGAAAATATAATGAATATACTGGAATTACATTGTATCTATGGGGCTGAATCAAACCTTTCTCTTCCTCCCCCCAAAAAATTACTATACATAGCTCTTTTCAATATTTGTGAGAAGGGGTGAAGACTTGATCACAGGTAACACCAATTAGGCCTAGGAAATTATTGTTTAAGAATTCCTGTCTTTAGAAATCCTCAATCCGTGCATATAAAAAGGATCAGGGTGAATGTTTTACAGCCTGACTCTTCCAGGGAGAAACCTGTACAAGTTCATTATGCTGAAGCACACCTTCCTTTGGAAGGGGAACTATCTCATGACAGGCCCCTAACCTCATTCAGGGAACTCCGAGTTCTCTCTTTAGAAAAGAAACATACCAAATGCATTGCCAACACAACTCCTTACTATTGCATACATCACCTTTTCTCCTCATTGCTTGTTTCCCTGGTAACAACCAACATTGGCTTCCTGACTACTTGCTGCCTGTACATCATCTGTCTATTCCAGTTTATGATTCAAAACATTTCAAGTTGGGCTGCTTGCTCCAGGAAAGAATTTGGACTTGATTTTTGCCCATGTTCCTGCATTGGCCACTAATCTAACCTCTTTCTTTCTCCTTGAAATTGAACTCCTTTCTTTGAACCTTGAAATGTTCAACCTTAGCCATTTTGATCCACACCTGCTAACATCCACTGACATTTTTCTTGATTCTTTTTAGTACTCTGCCAACCCAATTCCAAAGCCTAAGTCCATGACCTACCATTACATCCACTTTAAACCCATCTACAACTGTAAGTAGCCCTTCATCCCAGCTCTGGTGCAGGCAGCAACTACAACTCCCCACACTTACCACCGTATTGACATCTATGAAGATTGCCTTGGTTTCCACACCTTTAAATAACACTGATGAGTCAGGTTTATCGGGGATTTGTGATGCCCCTTTCTCCAAGAACACAAGATACATCTATGACATGCTGTTCTAACCAACATTGTAGAGCCAAAGGCTGATGGGGGCTAAAGCCCAAAGACCAGACAAACCCATAGGGCATACACTTGGAAAAGTCTACACCATTAGACCTGATTATCAAGGTATCCAGCTATGGGCCAAGTGGATGCTTTGAGAGGAGAAGGTAAAATGCAGTATAGTTATCCATTGGTATCCATGGGGAGTTGATTCTAGGACCTCCCTCAGATACCAAAATCCACAGATGCCACAGAGGTACATTATTTGCATATAACCAATGTACACATTCCCATATATTTTAAATCATCTCTAGATTACTTATAATACCTAATACAATGTAAATGCTATGTAAATAGTTGTTGTACTGTATCATTTAGGGAATAATGACAAGAAAAAGAATCTGTGTGTTTTCAGTATAGATGCAATTTTTAAAACATATTTTCAGTTCATTGTTGTTTGAATCTGCAGATGCAGAACCCACAGACAAAGAGGGCCGACTGTATTATGGTGCTAGCTAGCAGGCACTAAAATGATAGGATTGGACTGATTCAACCTGGGCAGCAGAATATCTAAGAAGGTTGATAAATCTCTTGCACACTCTTCTAACTCCTTCCACCTGGTTAACTTCTATACTTATTGTTGAAACCTCAGATTAACTAACCATCATGTCCTCTTAAAAGTCCCCACCCCACTAGATTAGTTGACCCTATGTGCTCCAATACATAACATCATGTATTCACTTTTATAATATATAATTAAAATATATTGTACTGTATTACATTTACCTATTCACTTATTCTGTTTCTCTGGTTAGAAAGGTAAGCTTCATCAGGACTGGGAACATGTTTGTCTTATTCACCACCATACCCTCAGCATCTATTACAGTACTTGACCCATGAGAAATATGTCACAAAATAATAAAGTTTTTTAAGTGAATGAATGACTCCTTTAAAAGATGGTGGTGGTGAGTTTGGATGAAGGGCAAGGAATCTTAATCCTAGGGAAAGTGGGGAAGGAAGACCCAATACAGGAAGTGGAGTGTAAGGTAGGGCTTAGTCATAAGCAGCATCTCAGGTACAAAGTCAGACCATGGTTAGCAACCACATCAATGATGCTGAGTCTCCAAACTGGTGATCTTAGTATCCTTAAGTGCATTTAAAAGTGGCCCCAAATCCTAGGGTAGGGCTGAATCATCAGAAAGTGGCGGGTCCCCAACTTGTACACAGGTCCAGGAGTCCAAAGAGGTCACTAGAAGACCTTAGCTGATATTAAAGTTCTTCCAAAAGTACTGATACAAACCAGAAACCCTAGGATTGCTTGGGAAAATAAGTTCATTCAACATTACATAGAGTTACTGATGCTTCAAATCCTTTCTAAAAGCACACAAATGATAAATTATGAAGTAGTTAACTGACTACATCCTCATTCTACTTCTGGCTTTCTCATGACTTCCAGAGTGACTGAAGATTGACACACACATATTTCTTTCACTCAGGGTAAGGCACCTTCTCTTTTTATTTTGAGAGAATCCTCACTATCTCCTAATAGTATCTATCCCCAGTCTCAGAAATTCAAAGGAATCTAGAACTAATTCCATTTTTTTCTTTTAATGCTCCCTATAATGGACTACATTGAGAATAATTTTGGTTTATACTTACTATACATTAAGAATCTGTAATCTGTTCATGATAAGAAACTACTTTTGACTTTAGTCTTAGAAAAGATCTGTCCTTTCTACTAAAAATCCAGGAAATGTGTATAACGGGAATCAACCCAGAAAATGTGTATAATTAGGCAAGCAAACAAGGTCAACAGGTAGGTCAAGGTTAACTGTTTGGAGTGGTCAGCTGAAGCATTGTAAACATAACAGTAAACATTAAAGTTGATTTAAAATGAGTACCCTTGTATATTCATAGACTACCTTTGGAAAGAAACACAAAAATAATGTAATAGTGGCTGTTTCTGAGAACAGAATCAAGGTGGCTAGTGGACAGGAGTTCAAGTGAGAATTAATTTTCATTGTATACCCATTTGTGCCTTTTGAAATTTGTTTCATGTGCTTATAATACTTTAAAAATTAAATAGAATTTAATTTTAAATAAAATAAAACAAGCATCCTCCCCATGGCTTGGCTCCACTTCACAGTCAAACTCATCCTTTCTTGAGCAACTCCCACAGCATGCTACTCCAAAGAGACCCCCCTGGTGCTTTGCATGTGGGCAGATATTTCAAAGGAGGGCCTACTGCCAAGCTAAGATCCACATGTGATTTTTACAGAGGCAATACAGGCTATAGTGACATGGGAGAAGACAAAACAGCTGCTGATTATAGGCAAAGTGGATATGGATCAGATTTTATCCTTTCAACTGGCTAATGTCAATGTCATTGTTATACCAGTGTGTTCATCTTGCCTACGCTGATTTAATTAACTGGAGAGAGCATTTACCAGACCTTGGTCTAAGTTAGTAAAAACGTCAGAGTTATTTGGACTGTTTGCTGAAGAGGATAGTGCGAATACCCCAAAAATCAACTGCAAGACTCTAAGGTTCAGAAGAACAGGGGCCAAGCCTGTCTTATTCACTACATCCCCAGTGCTCATCATAGTGCCTGGCATTTAGTAGGCACTCAATGAATAACTGTTCAAAGAATGAATGGGGACACGATAGGTAGAAAGATGTGCTCCTCACTTGTCAGAGAAATTAATTGACTTGTCTAACATCACACAGCTCGATTTTTGGCAGATCTAAGACAAGAATTAGGTCTGCTGACTCACCATCCATTGATCTTTTCATTACACAAAGCTATGGATACAGCAGCACCAACAGAATAAGGCCTCAAGCTATTACCTCAAAAACACTTGATGATCGGCAATTTCATAGAGTTTAACCAAGAAAATGGATTTTGAGATGATCCAAGCATACAAGTTTAAATCTTTGTATAAACATTGGAAAAAGATTACTACGAAGGTCTCTTTTAAATATACTGTGAACAAAAGAACATTTCAGCTTAACTTAAAAAAGAAGTATTAACTTAGTTGATTATAAATTAACATAAAATAGGTAATATGTTTTTGAGAATGTTACCTTACATATGGAACTACAAACAAAAGACTGAAAGAGAAGCTCCGGACAGTTACTACACAGGTTTTTGGACTTTCAAAATTACCCCCCAGAGACCAAGCCTTGGATCAAGGATGCACCATCAATAAAACTGCACCCTCCATTTAGTAGCACTGCCCAGCACCCACACTATTCTCCCCACTCACCTGACAGCCAGAGCCAAAACCACCAATTCTGGATGCCTTTCTTTTCTCTCTGTCTCCTTCTCTGTCTCTGAACTTTTTCAAACTAAAGCCTATTCTCAGCTGGCAACAAATCATCCATCACTTCTCATAATAAAATTAAAAAACAAAAAGAGCTTGTCTAGAATTTCAAGCTTTAGATTAATTCACCAAAAATCAAATCATCCAAAGCCAATTCTCTAAAATTCATGTCACCAAAAAATTAACTTATCAAAGCCTATTAGTTTCAGTCAGGTCTCAGAGCTGCCCCTCTATCTGCCTGCTCTGTTGACTGCCCCATGGAGTGTGTGTGTGTGTGTGTGTGTGTGTGTGTTGGGGGTGGCAGCTGCTAAGGTTACCAACTCTCCTGCCAATCCTCATCTATAACCAACTCCTGCTACAACAAAACCACTACTTGCAAATTTCAGTAAAACTGAAATTTCAGAAAAAGCCTCCCAAACATTAAGTCCATCCTGTGTAGATATTATTAGCTGTCAACAGTTTCTGTTGTCCTTTCCATAAAAGGGACCTAGCCACTCTGCAATTAGATAGGGATATATAACTAGTTCTGACCAATGAAACATGAAACGAAGTTGTGTGTATCGCTTCTACCCTAAAACAATCTTTTGTGATTATCTAGTCACTTCTCCTACTCTGGCATGTGTTCCAAATAGTGCAGTTAAAAGATGATAGAGTCTTCATCAGCCTAGGTTCTTCCTTCAGCAGCTTGGTTCCCTGAATATCTTGTGTAGTAGAGCTTTCTCACCAAACTCAAACTGCATTTATGTCCACCATACATATGAAATAAACCTTTGTTATATTAGGACACTGAGATTTTAAGGTTAATTACTTACTGCAACATAATCTATCCTCTCCTGACTAATACACATCACATATAGCATAAATTATTTTTAAAAAACTTTTAAAGTAGTTAATTGAAACAAGTTTTGGTGAATGCATAATTAAACTATTTTAGAGGAAGGAGAGATATGCTGTTATCTCAAAGGGGCAGAATCTCCCTATAACACTCACCCTACTCCTCTCCCCCCACCCTATGCTGGCTGAAAGATGGCTGCAGCAAAACACAGTAAATCTTTAAAACACAATCAGTTGATTGGTGACTTGGCCAATTAATCATTAAGTAAGATAGTTTTGGTGAATTAACTCTCAGTGAATTGACGACTTTCAATTACTTAGTTGGCTTCTGGAATATCAGGCTCTGCTGAAGGCTTGTGAGATATTCTTTTTTTGTGGAGGAAACTCTCAAATCTTTCCGCAAAGGAAACCCCTAATCCATCCACACAAGATGGATCCTGCCTCAATCACTCTGAACTTAACTTCTCTCCTGAACATAGCATCTTGCCTTTGCCTAACAAATCTGGTAACTTCTCAGAATGCCCCAGAATATCTTTTGATCAGAAGTTCTAAAAAGACAAGCCCAACTTCTGGAAGTCTGTTTGCAAGTAAGTTGAGACTGAGTTCAGAAGCTAGAGCTCTTATTCCTCTATCGTCTCAAAAAAAATGTTTATACTCTAACTCCATTTGTTTCTTGCCAAATGCCTTCTGGAATAGCATGACTCAAAGAAAATGACTTGATTTTACTGAGGATCAGCACTTAACACCTAGTGAAATGTTGAGTAAAAAGACTTTAGGCTCTAGCAAATAATGATAAATGTTTTTCTCAGTAGCACCTTCACACCTTAGCAGTAGCTAAATAAATTTTCCTTCACAAAAATGCAAACTTCTTCCCAGCACACAAATTATTATTTTTAATATTCTAGTGAAATCATCATAGATGTAGCAGATCTAGATGACATCTAGGGTCATCAGAGAGACATCTAGGGTCTCTGAGAGGTCACATTCGAGGAGTCCTTGAGTCCATAAGATCTGCCATTTACAATTCTCAGATGGCTCCTACCCTGACCCACTTTGTTTTGAGAAAAACATTATTGGGTCATATAAACAGTTGTTCAGTCAGCCAAGTTCTGTAACAATGGCTGCAGGAGCCAGTTTCTGAAGATTTATGATAGCTATCCTCACAGGCTTCTACCAATGGAAGATTACAAACCTATATCAATTCATTTTACAGGTACTTAAGTGGCTAACATATGCCAGATACCAGTGCTCAAGATGTAAGACAAAATAAGGCATGGTTATTAAGAAGTAATCTAGGAATTTGATTACTTCATTCTTGACCTTGCATATTTAGACCCATCTCAGAAATAGTTTACATATACCATTTCCTGACGGCAAGTAACACAGTTTCTAAGATTATTTCCCATGGTAATAGAGTACTTTGGTTTGCCTATCCTGAAATAAGCAGCTCTAAATGGTCCCCCCTTCATAAAATGGACAAATCCTATGCTCACCATCTGCACAGCCACCTTTGGTCCTGTGATACTGACTGTCTCTTCTTAAATGGGGCTTGCAGAATAGCAAACTAATATTGTGGTAGAAGAGCCTCAAAACCTGGACAATAAGAGAAGCAGAGGCCGGGCGCGGTGGCTCACACCTGTAATCCCAGCACTATGGAAGGCCGAGGCTGGTGGATCACGAGGTCGGGAGATCAATACCATCCTAGCTAACACGGTGAAACCCTGTCTCTACTAAAAATACAAAAAATTAGCCGGGAATGTGGACGGGCGCCTGTAGTCCCAGCTACTCGGGAGGCTGAGGCAGGAGAATGGCATGAACCCGGGAGGCGGAGCTTGCAGTGAGCCGAGATCGCGCCACTGCACTCCAGCCTGGGCGACAGAGCAAGACTCCATCTCAAAAAAAAAAAGAGAGAAGCAGAGCCTAAAGTTTGGGAAATATGATTCGATGCTTGAAAATACTTACTCTCTTGTCTATAAGATTTTGCATGATCTGGTTTGGGTCAACCTTTCCAACTAATGTTTCTGTATTCTACTTTTCACTCATGATAAACAAGTTACACCCCTTCATATCAGAACCTTCACACATGCCTTCCCCTTCTGCAGGAATATATCTCATCTCTATTCACCTAGCTAATTTCCACTTATTATGCAGGTCTCGGGGAAGCCCGCCTTAACTCAGCCACCCTCTCCTATCCCACCTGATGACCCTATATCCCATATTTTCGTAACATTCTGTATTTCTTTTTTAGCTTCTAATACATTGTTGTGTCCTCCCTCGAGGCCAGATAAGTGTCTGGCAAACTGTAAGAACTTGAATATTTGTTTAATGACTCAGTGGATGAATGAATGACCAATCCTTGGCCTCAGCTCTCCAGGACCCATCCCAAACTAAGAGTAACAGGTACAAGTAATACAGACTTTTTGGTAATAAAATCTGACAGTGTTATATTGTGTGTGTGTGTGTGTGTGAGAGAGAGAGAGAGAGAATGTGTGTGTGTATGTTTATACGTGTATTTGAGGGGAGGAGAAAACAGGGCTGTAGGCCTTTGGTCCAAAAAGTATTTTGAGTCATAGCCGTTACAGCTGAAATAGAGGGCCCCATGAAACCGGAAAGAAAATTGAGTTCAGGGAAAACCGTATTCCAGGCGTTACATATGCCTTAGGAGGCCATGGCTTAGTGTGAGTACGGCTCAGTGTAAGTTTTTGTCCCTCAGTAGTTGCTGTCAGGGTTTGCTCCTTTCAAGTTCTCCTAGCTACATCCAGCAATCATTCATAATATGGTTGTCCAGAACTGTTTTTACCTCAGTGAGAGCCCATTTGTTGTTTGTTCTCCAAAAGGACCTACAATACAATAGCTCTTTTCCTTTTACAAACAAGAAAATTTGGTCAGGAGGCAAAATTACAGTGGTAAGAGTGAAAAATGTTTACTCTTGGGAGTCTAGTTAAATTTCAGATAAATAGTTTGTGTGATATTAAGTGATTTGAATATAGACGGTACAAAGAAATTCCAGGAAACTCATCTTTACTTCTACTCCCTCCAATCTCAACCTCTTCCAGACTAAAATCACACAGTACAGTAGAGAACCCTCCCAGTTAGTCCTCAGTATCAGCTGTCAGGAAATAAATCATACCAAGGCAAGAGGTTTAACAGTCTTCATTTTTGTCATATTAATGATATATGGTTTTAACTCAAAGATTTACTACTTCCAAAGGTAAGATTATAAAATATTGTTGGTGCTTGCCCAGCTTAGGTAAGTGCTATTAGTAGTATTTTTATTGGGCTGCCATAGAGCAATAAAGAAATCATTTGTAAAATTCTTCTGAAAAATTCTACAACCTAGGAAAGGTGGCAGTATCTCTCCCAGTCAATCTTTAGGTTACAGCTAACCTTCAGTTGCTATAGAGAAACATATGTTTTCTACTAAACCTTCAGAACAGTTTTGCAATTGTTAACTTGGCCCTGGGGTATCATCAGTTTCCTCTGAGAGTTTCCAAGATCCCTTATCAGGAATATAACAGGATTAGTTACCACGTCACGTCAAGAGGAAGCTTTAGAAATCACCAGTAAGTTCCCAACAGTAGAAGTAGCAAGCAAGTGGTCCAGATTCCAGGAAACAACCCCAGGGACAGGAACTGAGCACAAAAGAAAACAAGACAGATGGGCAAAAAACCCTTGATGTGTATCAGTATCCTACCGAATAGGGCCAATTCCAAGATCTTCAGGGCTAAGTGAAGGCTAAGTCTTCTCATGGGCTGAAATATGTCTACAGCAGACCACGGGGCAAAGCACAAGATCAAAACAGGGACTTAAATCTGCATCAGAGCCAGAGTGGGATATGGAGGAAGGAATCTGGGTCACCAGTCAGCTATATTAAAAAAACTTCAGAATTAAGAAAAAGTTCAAGTTGATGGTGCCATTTGCTAACAGTGAAAATATCTGAGTAACATTGTCTCAAATAGTCCTAGGGGATGGTCATGTCCATACCCAGTTATTTTTCAAAAGTTTGACATCTGAAAGGGCAAGAAAGAAAAAGCGTTTTTAAATATGAGCAATTCAAGTAGGATAGATAGAAAGTGCTCTGAATTGAGTCAGAAGACCTAAGTTTTAATTACGATTCTGCCACTTACTATCTTTATGGCATTGGGCAAGTCCCTCGCCTCTGTACACCTCGATTTCCTCATCTATCAAATAGGTGAATACTTGTAGACAAGAGATATCAAAATTATTTAGAATCAAATAAATTCAAAGTTTTCAATTTAAAATGATGATTGTACAACTTCACAAAAATACTACTGGTTATTTCTTTCAAGAAAACAAGCCCTATAGCCACATAGCATTCATCATTCTCTTTCTGGAAGGTGACTTCCAAGACTCCTTCTGTTAGTCTGCCAACTTTGTACCGAGCAAATATTTTTTAGAGTACAAAGAGGAAGAACAGTGTACTCATGCATTACTAGATTGAACTTTTAATTATTGCCTCAATTTGCCATTTTCATGTAAAGGGCTATCTCCCATACATGGCAGTTGATGAGGCAGTGTAACATGCCGTGATAAGCCAAGGAGTCAGAGACATGAGACCTGTGTTCTAGTCCATTTTTAAGTAACATGCTAAATTACCTTGAGTAAGTCATTTAACCTCTACTCTTCAGTTACCTCATCTATAATCTTATGGTGATGATAATAAAAATAGATACCATTTCCTGAACACCTATAATGTGCTTTAGATATACATAATCTCCAATCCTCACAACAGCCCCTATTAGAAGGCACTGTCATCTTCATTTTTCTGAACTGGAAACTGAGACCCAAAAACGTTCTCATTTTCCCAAGGTCACCCACTAAGAGTGGGATTCAAACCTAGGTCCATCTGACTCCAAAGCATATGTTCCTTTTTTTCTCCCATTATCCCACATTGCCTTCCGTTTGAGAAACAGGTTAGAGAGCCTCTAAGATCCCTTCCAACTCTGATGTACGGTATTTTGGGACCCCAGCAGTTATGTGGTTAAGCTTACTTAATAAGTAACTAATTGTACAGTCTTCACAAGCCCTACCCCTTTATTTTAGCACATTCTTAATCCTTCTTTCTAAAAGATTTCTTATATTTTCATTGAAGACCTTGAACAACTTAGCAAAATGAGCTCAAATATATTTGTATATTTCAAAAACCTTAGCCCTTTTATTGAAACAAGAGATACCTGAAGCACTTGTTCTGGAACAGATTCTTGGTTTGAGACAAATTTTCAAATCCCCAGGAATTGAGGCTACCATTATTAAAAATGCCTTTTGTTTACTTGAGAACTGCTAGAGTACGGGACTGCCTCTAAGTGACGGGATGCTGCGATAAAAAGAAGCCCCTAACTTACATGCACACTCTTCTATGAAATTCTACCAATAGAAACTCATTCCCTTGGTCTTTGAAGAGCTTTCAAGTCTTTTAAGAGTTCCTTATTCAAATGGTTAAAAACTATGAAACGATAATACCTTAAACCTGAGGGCAGGTGAGAAGCAAAATTAGCTGCTTTCCAGGCAAGAATCTCAACCCACCATAGGAATGAGAATAAGATCATAGCTTAAGTTCCTAATGGAGGTAAGAGTTCTTCGGGGAAAGAGCAGTGGGAAGTGGGAAGGCATTAGAATCAACTTGACTCACTTCTAGTCTTGCTGAGTGTGAATCCTGCTCATGGAAAACTATAAGAAGCATGACAAATAAGAAAGGGTGAAGATAAAGCAGCACTTAATATGGGAAAAACAATAGTCAGAAATTGGAGGCATTAGCTTTCATACCTCAAAAAATGCTGGAAGCAAAGAAAAAGGAAAGTAATCAATTGGCAAAGATTTTGAGATACACAAAGCAGTCTATCAACCTGACAATGAAGAATATAATGTCAGACAAATCTAATTTCCTTCTGTGACAGAGTGACAACCCCAGCAGTTTGGAGAATGTAACAAATATAGTGTTCATTTGGTGAGCCCCCATAGTGAGGAAAATGAGGTCCTGGATTAGTTCACCAATAGCAGCATCCCAGAACTGAGTCAGAGCCAGACTCCAAGTGCAGGGGCTCTAATGCATGATCACTTAAGGACCACCACAAATGGTATTTGTCATTCGAGTTCTGCTACTATTGTTCAGGATTTGAGATAATTCTTACATAGGTTCTGAAGGTCTTACATAGGAATTTTACCTCAGCCCTGAGCTTTCACTGCCAGTAAGTGCTAAAAGCAACCTAATATTTGCCAGCTGTAACTGAACTGCCTGTCAACAAAGAAATGAGTGTAAATTAGAGATAATGTAAGTCAGAGACTAAATTCTTAAAAACTATGCAATTTACAAGCAAAAATACAATATAAGGACTTAGTGAATAAATCTGGAGTTAAGAAATACCTATTAGGGCAAATCCAAAAACACAAAATATTTTATCTGTTAATAATTCGTACATTGACTTACAATCTACCTCTCAAAGATAAATTTCTTTTCAACCCTGGCCCTACCGGCCACTATCAGTCAATATCTGACCTGCTCCCACCTCTGTCACCTAACCTGCTCCCTTCTATGTCACCCTCTTAACAGACTTTCAATGAGCTTTATAATGCCAACTATTTACAGTGTTGCTTTGTTTTCCCTTCAACATATTTAAAGATTTTTAAAATTTAATCAGAGTAAAGATAGTCCTGGCTGGGTGCGGTGGCTCACGCCTGTAATCCCAGCACTTTGGGAGGCCGAGGCAGCGGATCACGAGGTCGGGAGATCAAGACCATCCTGGCTAACATGGTGAAACCCCGTCTCTACTAAAAATACAAAAAATTAGCCAGGCGTAGTGGTGTGCACCTGTAGTCCCAGCTACTCCGGAGGCTGAGGCAGGAGAATGGCGTGAACCCGGGAGGCGGAGCTTGCAGCGAGCCGAGATTGCGCCACTGCACTCCAGCCTGGGCGACAGAGCCAGACTTTATCTCAAAAAAAAAAAAAAAAAATAGTCCTTTCAGTTATACTTGGCCTTTTGAACAGAGTGGGCCCTTCACTATCTTGTTCCATTTCAAGTCCTCTCCCACATCCCCCTGAGATTGAATCTAAGGGATAGTCACGTGGGATGATGTTATGGGCTAAGATGTGTCCTCCTAAATTCATATGTTTAAGCCCTAACCCATGCTATGGTTTGGACATTTTATCGCCTCCAAAACTCATGTGTTGGAAATTTAATCCCCAATTGAACAGTGTTGGGAGATAGAGACTTTTGGGAGGATGAGAGCTCCATGCTCATGAATGAGTTAATGCTGCTATAAAAAGGACTTGCTGGAATTCCTTCCTTCTCTCTTGCTCTTCCACCATGTTAGGATACAATGTACCTCCTATTCAGAGGATGCAGCAATGAGGCACCATCTTGGAACCAGAGATGGAACCTGCTGGCATCTTGATCTTGGACTTCCCAGGCTCTAGAAAATAAATTTATTTTCCTTAAAAATTATCCAGTCTCAGGTATTTTGTCATAACACAAAAAGGACTAAACATCCTTCAATGTGACTGCATTTAGAGATGGGGCATTTAAAGTGATAATTAAGGTAAAACAAGGTCATAAGGGTAAGCCCCTATTCCAATAGGACTGGTGTCTTTAAAATATTCAGTAAAAAAGAGGAAAAGTTACTGGGGATGCATGCACACAGAAAAAAGGTCATGTGAGGACACAGTGAGAAGGCAGCCATCTGCAAGCCAAGGAAAGAGGCTTCTGGATAAACCAAATCAGCCAACACCTTGACCTTGGACTTTTAGCCTCCAAAAATGTGAGGAAAAAAATTTTTTAAGTCACCCAGTCTGTGGTACAGGCATATCTCAGAGATATTGTGGGTTTAGTTCCAGACCACGGCAAGAAAATGAATATTACAATAAAGCTAGTTACATGAATTTTTTGGTTTCCAAGTGCATATAAAAGTTAAGTTTTCTATGCAGAAGCTCGTTAGTTTAATTAGATCCCATTTGTCCATTTTGGCTTTTGTTGCCATTGCTTTTGGTGTTTTTGTCATCAAGTCTTTGCCCATGCCTATGTCCTGAATGATACTGCCTACGTTTTCTTCTAGTGTTTTTATGATTTTAGGTCTTACACTTAAGTCTTTAATCCCTCTTGAGTTAATTTTTGTATAAGGTATAAGGAAGGGGTCCAGTTTCTGTTTTCTGCATATCACTAGCCAGTTTTCACAACACCATTTATTAAATAGGGAATCCTTTCCCCATTGCTTGTTTTTGTCAGGTTTGTCATCAAAGATCAGATAGTTGTAGACGTGTGGTGTTCCATTGGTCTATATATCTGTTCTGTTCCATTGGTCTATATATCTGTTTTGGTACCAGTACCATGCTGTTTTGGTTACTGTAGCCTTGTAGTATAGTTTGAAGTCAGGTAGCATGACGCCTGCAGCAAAAGAAACTATCATCACAGTGAACAGGCAATCTAGAGAATGGGAGAAAACTTTTGCAGTCTATCCATCTAACAAAGGGTTAATATCCAGAATCTACAAAGAACTTAAATAAACTTGCAAGAAAAAAAACAAGCAACCCCATCAAAAAGTGGGTGAAGGATATGAAGAGACACTTCTCAAAAGAAGACATTTATGCAGCCAACAAACATATGAAAAAAAAAAGCTCATCATCACTGGTCATTAGAGAAATGTAAATCAAAACCACAATGAGATACCATCTCATGCCAGTTAAAATGGCGAACATTAAAAAGTCAGGAAACAACAGATGCTGGAGAGGATGTGGAGAAATAGGAATGCTTTTACACTGTTGGTGGGAGTATAAATTAGTTCAACCATTGTGGAAGACAGTGTGACAATTCCTCAAGGATCTAGAACCAGAAATAGCATTTGACCCAGCAATCCAATTACTAGGTATATACCCAAAGGATTATAAATAATTCTACTATAAAGACACATGCACATGTATGTTTATTGCAGCACTGTTCACAATAGCAAAGACTTGGAACCAACCCAAATGCCCATCAATGACAGACTGGATAAAGAAAATGTGGCACATATACACCATGGAATACTATTCAGCCATAAAAAAGGATGAGTTCATGTCTTTTGCAGGGACATGGATGAAGCTGGAAACCATCATTCTCAGCAAGCTAACAGAAGAACAGAACACCGCATTTTCTCACTCACAAGTGGGAGTTGAATAATGAATACACATGGAAACAGGGAGCAGAACATCACACACAGGGGCCTGTCGGGGGTATTGGAGAGGGATAGCATTAGGAGAAATACCTAATGTAGATGACGGGTTGGTGGGTGCAGCAAACCACCATGGCAGGTGCATACCTATGTAACAAACCTGTACGTTTTGCACATGTATCCCAGAACTTAAAGTATAATTTAAAAAACATTTTTAAAGTTATGTTACATTACACTGTAGTCTATTGAGTGTGCAATATCATTATTTTTAAAAATAAATCATATATTTTAAAAATAAAAATACTTTATGGCTAAAAAATGCTAACAGTCATCTGAGCATTCGATAACTTGTAATCTTTTAACTGGTGGGAGATCTTGCCTCGATGTTGATAGCTGCTGATTGACCAGGTGATGGTTCCTGAAGGATGGGGTGGCTGTGGCACTTTCTTAAAGTAAGATAGCAATAATGAAGTGTACCACATCAATTGACTCTTCCTTTCACAATACATTTCTCTGTAGCATCCAATGCTGTTTGATAACATTTTACCTACAGTAGAACTTTTTTTTCAAAATTGGAGTCAATCCTCTCAAACCTACTGCTCCTTTATCAACTAAGTTTATGTAATATCCAACTCTTTTGTTGTCCTTTCAACAATGTTCACAGCATCTTCATCAAGAACAGATTCCATCTCAAGAAACCACTTTCTTTGCTAATCCATAAGAAGCAACACCTCATCTGTTCAAATTTGATCATGAGATTATAGTAATTCAGTCACATCTTCATTCTCCACTTCTAGTTCCTTGCTATTTCTACTACATCTGCAGTGAATTCCTCCACTGAAGTCTAGAACCCCTCAAAGTCACCCATGAGGGCTGAAATCAACTTCTTGCAAACTCCTGTTAATGGTATTTTGACCTTCTCCTATGAAGCAATAGTGTTCCTAATGGCATCCAGAATGGTGAATCCTTTCCAGAATTTTTTCAATTTACTTTGCCCAGATCCATCAGAGGAAACACTGTCTATGGCAGCTATAACCTTAAGAAATGTAGTTCCTAAATTGGACTTCAAAGTCAAAATCACCACCTTGATCCATGGGCTGCAGAATGGATGTTGTGTTAGTAGGCATGAATATAACATGAATTTCCTTGTATATCTTCATCTGAGCTCTTGGGTAATCAGGTACCTTGTCAGTGAGAAGTAACATTTTGAAAGGAATCTTTTTTTTTTTTTTCCTGAGCAGTAGGTGTCAACAGTGGGTTTAAAATATTCAGTAAACTATGCTGTAAACAGATGTGCTGTCACCCAGGCCTTGTTGTTTCATTTATAGAGCACAAACAGAGTAGAATGAGTATAATTCTTAAGAGCTCTAGGATTTTGGGAATAGTAAATGAACCTTGGCTTTAAGTTAAAGTCACCAACTGCATTAGCCCGTAACAAGAGAATCAGCCTGTCCTTTGAAGTTTTGAAGACAGGCATTGACTTCTCTCTAGCTAAGAAGGTCCTAGATGGCATCTTCTTCCAGTACAAGGCTGTTTTGTCTTCGTTGAAAACCTGTTTTTAGTGTAGCTATATTCATCAACAGTCACAGCCAGATATAGATAACTTGCTGCAGTTTCTATATCAGCACTTGCTACTTCACTTTGCACTTTTATGATATAGAGACAGCTTTTTTCCTTAAACCTCACGAACCAATCTCTGATAGTTTATAACTTTTCTTCTACACCTGCCTCACCTCTCTCAGCCTTCACAGAATTGAAGAGAATTGTAGCCTTGCCCTGGATTAGGCTTTGGCTTAAGGGAATATTGTGGCTAGTTTAATCTTTTATCCAGGCCATCAAACTTTCTCCGTATTGGCAATATGGCTTTTTCACTATCTTATCATTTATGCATTCACTAGAGTATCACTCTTAATTTCCTTCAAGAACTTTTGCTTTTTATTCACAACTTGGCTGTTTGGCACAAGAAGCCTAGCTTTTGGCCTACCTCAGGTTTCAACGTGCTTTCCTCGCTAACTTTAATCATTTTTAGCTTTTGATTTAAAGTGAGAGATGTTCAATTCTTCCTTTCAGTTGAACATTTAGAGAGCATAGTAGGCTTATTAATTATCCTAATTTCAATATTCTTGTGTCTTAGGGGATAGGGAGGCCCAAGGAGATAGAGAGAGATGGAGGAACATCTGGTTGGTTGAGTAATCAGAATACACACATTTATCGATGAAGTTCACTTTCTTTGACAGTTTCAGTCTGTGAAACTCCAAGACAATTACAACAGTGACATAAAAGATCCCTGATCAGAGATCACCAGAATACATGTTGCAATAAAGTTTGAAATATTGTGAGAACTACCAAAATGTGACACAGGGACACAAAGTGAGTACATGTTGTTGGAAAAAAATGGTGCCAATAGAATTGCTCGGTGTAGGGGTACCACAAACCTTCAGTGTCTACAAAGTACAATAAAACAAGTATGCCTGTATTTTGTTATCTCAGCCCAAACAGACTAAGACAGCTGGGAAGAGTACATGTTGTAGAGTTTGGCCAAGCTGCATTCAGAGCCTGATACTTATTTATACAATGTTGAAGAAGTCTCTGTACCTTTCTCAGTTTACCCTTCAGTAAAATAAGGATATGGACATCCTCTGGTGTTAGCAGTATGAAGATTAGCAAAATGTTTGTAATCTGACAGTCATATAGGTCCCCTCAATAACTAGTGATGGGTATTTTTAATTAGCAACTTTAATTCAAATACGCTTACATAGATATTTATTTTTATCCAAGTTGAGGTTTTGTTGGCTTCCAGAGGCTTATTTTCAGTTAAAATTCAGCCTTTAAAGCTCATATAGCTTCCTGTTCTGAAGTTTTTTTATTTTCCTACAAAGCCCATTTCAAACTGCTCAGTCTCTCTCAGTGTCAGACAGAAAGCTTTCTTAAGTGTTTTATGCACTTCCTAACATCAAAAACAAATCCTTTGGTTAATTCCTTATTTTAACTGACTCATTTTAGAAGATAGTCCCTCGAAATCAATATCAACATATTCAGGTTAGAGTTATGCTCACTCTGACTGCACTAATATATTTCTCTCACAAGCCTCATCGGAACTACCATCTTTCTCCAAAGTCCTTATCAGAGTCCTCACCACAGTCTGCTGTACCTCTCACAAAGGCAATGCATTCTAAAACAGAACATTGTCACAGGGCCAATTTGTCTTCACATCAATGGATAGCATAAAGTGATAGAGACATGTAACAAATGTAACTCAAACATTTACAGTAAAAAATCACAAGAGATTGTTTTGTTGCTATTCTCTTTAATCAGAGGTAATTCTTACTTGTTTTAGAAACTCTGCTGGTACAATAGAAACCCATGTACATAAACACAGATCATCAGAGTTAAAGCCCAAACACAATTTATAGTCGAGGACAAACATGTTTATAAGTTGAGGTTCCACATGTATTGTTGCTGCTCCAGATAATTAATTGCTAAAGTGGATTTTCCTTGGAGGAAGCCATTTGTGGCCATAAGAAAATAAAAATCAATTTCCAACATCTAGCATATCAGATGGACCTCATTTCAAATCCCAGCTGGGCCACTTGCTACTTGTGTAAGTTGCAGAGTGTAGGTGCACAATAAATATTAACTTCATTTATTCCCCTGTAATAGGAACTAAGGCTTAGTCGAAATTTTAGAATTCTGACACCAAAAACCAAGTCATATATTTTTCCTTGTTATCCTTTGTAAAGTTATGGATGAAACCCTCATTAAAGGATCAGCTGGCTTTCCTTCATGATGTAGATATTAGTGTTTATTATTAGTTGTAAAAATTAATCATATCATCAGTACACTCTTCAAAGAGATGGACTTTAAGAAAGAGCACATGGACAACCAATTCTTGTACTTCAGTAGCAAGTTATTACACTTAGTCAATGGGTGTAATTGGTGTGCATATTTATAGACCTGAAAGGGTGCTGGCTCTTTCTTTGGATGGTCACTAAAGTCATTTATCCTTTGTGGATAAGCAAAGTTGGCAAGAAAACAGTAGGTATAGTAAACAGTTCTGGATGAGCATAAGGTACTAGGTCAGGTTCAGAAACAGGAGATGGTGACTAACGTGTCAAATGAAGGCCAAAAATAGAAACCAGAGTCATTTATCCAAACCAAGTCAGAGACAGGTGAAATGGGGAGAAGCTGTCAGCCCTATTGAGTTGGATGATACTAAAAAGTCAAGTACAGACACTTAGAACAGAATCTTAATGCTCCTTGTCACTGATGGCATTTCATAGGTTGGGCACTGGTCTAAACATATTTGAATTCTATTAAGTTTGGTGTCTTTCAGTTACTGATGTTACATCTGAGATTACTAGCTATGGACTTTGAATCAAAGAGATGAGTGGAACATGGTGATTTGCTTTAACCTAAGAACAGACTCCAGCAGCACTCATTCGAAAGGATGCACAGGGGTGTGGCTCTTGGTTAAGCCAGTTCACCACAATGAGAGCTACTTTAAATCAAGAATCATACTGTTTTCCAATTTTATATCCTCAAAGCATCCAGCTCTGTGCATATATAAAACTATAGTGACAATTATTAATAAATCATGTTGAGCCACATTTCATTCCTAGCTGTTTTTTACTGTACACAGGCTGATTATTGGGATGGAGTAGCATAACATAAGCTCTAATATATGTTTGGCCTTGGAATAAAATTTACGGAGCCAGGGGGATTCTGATATGAATATTATAAACCTTTCTAATGATTAATCATAATCAATAAATATAACCATCCTTACTATCATATGGGATGGACAGTCTTTTGTGGTAGTATTTCCCAAGTTTAATATTCACCACAATAGTGGAACTATTTTTTTTGTTTTGTTTTGTTTTTTTGAGACAGAATCTCACTCTGTCACCCAGACTGGAGTGCAGTGGCACGATCTTGGCTCACTGCAACCTCCACCTCCCAGGTTCCAGCGATTCTGCTGCCTCAGCCTCCTGAGTAGCTGAGATTTCAGGTGAGCACCACCACGCCTGGCTAATTTTTGTACTTTTAGTAGAGATGGAGTTTCACCATGTTGGTCAAGCTGGTCTTGAACTCTTAACCTCGTGATCCGCCCGCCTCGGCCTCCCAAAGTGTTGGGATGACAGGCGTGAGGCACCATGCCTGGCCTGAAATTATTTTTAAATGTAGACTTTCTGACTCCACTTCTAGGGACTCTGATTTATTATATCTAGGTCAGTGCTCAGGAAGCTCTATTTTCACCAAGCACCTCAGGTTGCTGCAAATGTTCTATGGACCACATTTCGGGAAACACTTAGCATATGTACACATAATAAAACAGGGCAGGGAGAGGGAAATATGGAAAGAAGGAAAGAGGGAGGGAGGGGAAGGAAGGAGGTGAGAGGAGAGAGAGACTGATTCATCCCTTCAAACAAATTCAATGAGCCTTTCTGCTGAATATGGATTTTAAATAGAACCACAAAAAAATATTCTAACAGTATATTTGGCTTGCCCACTGGCCAAGGGATGACATGCAATATTAAACTAAGGACATTTGACACCAGGTTTGCAGGTCTCATACAAAAGCTGTAACATTCCAACAAACTCTTAGCCTTTGACTCGCTTATAGATTCTAATTCACTGAATACCTGTCAAGACATATATGGGGTCAGAAGAAGACCAGCAAATGAATTGTGCTGTTCTAGCATCAACATTTCACCTGCAGCTGCATCCAGGAATCTGCTTCAACTTTAGGTTGAATATTAAAGGTCGATTGTGAATTTTTTGAAACTCAAAATTCTCTCTTCTTTACTAGCCCCTCAACCAATACCTTCTTCTTCATTAGGACATTTAATTGAAAGTCTAATATATAACAAGTTACTGATATACAAAACAATTGTAATAATATTTAACACTTAATAAATGTATCCCAACTGCTGTGCTAAGCTCTCTTAATGCATTATCTTGTCTGTACAAGAAACCTCTGAAGTGAGTACTAAATTATTCCCGTTTTACAGATCAGAAAGCGAAGAAGCAAATTCAGGGCCACACAATGAGGGGTAAAACTTAGATTTGATCACTGGTAAGAGTACACATGCTTAACCACTCTCCTTTCAACTATACCAGCACAGATTATGGATTTGTGGTTCTCAAAAAGGTCTTCAGGACGGCATCAAGATGGCTGGCTAGAGGTGCCCAGTGCTCCTCTCCTTTACAAAGAAGAACCAAAACAAAAAAACGCATAGCTATACTTTGAGTAAAGTACCTAAGGAAGAACACTGAAATTTATAAAGGAAGTAATGAAGACCCTCAGATACCCAAATAAGAAAGAAAACCTTATCACAACAGAAAATGACAAAGCCACAAAGAAAAAATGAGAGAGGAAGAAAGCATCAAAGGCTATATAAACGCACTAGAAACCGTATAACAAAACGACAGGAGTAAGTTGCTACCTATTATTAATAATCTTATATGTAAATTAATTAAATTCCTCAATTAAGAAGTATAGACCTTAGTAGTGGAGAGGGAGGCAGAGAAAGATGGCTGAATAGAAGCCTCCACGATTGTGTCCCCCCAGGAACACAAAACTCAATATCTATCCACACAGAAAAGTACCTTCATAAGAATGAAAAGTTAGATGAGCAATCACAGTACCAGGCTTTAATGTCACATCCCTGAAAGGGGCACTGAAGAGGATAAGAAAGTCTTGAATTACCAATGCCACTCTTCCCCCAACCCCCATCTGTGGCTGCATGGTGGAGAGAGAGAATCTGCGCACTTGGGAACAGGAGAGCACAGTGACTGTGGGACTTGGCATTGGAACTAAGTGCTGCCCTGTCACCATGGGAAGCAACACCAGGCAGAACTCATCTGGTACACACAGAGGGGTCATTTAGACCAGCCATATCCAGAGGGGAACTGCCTGTCACAGTAGTTGAAACCTGGACTCTGCCAAACCTCGCCACCACAGGCTAAAGTGCTCTGTGGTTCTAAACAAACTTGAAAGTCAGACCAGGCCACCTGGACTGCAATTTCTAGGCAAGTTCTGGTGCTGTGCTGGGCTCAGAGCTACTGGAGTTGGGGGGCATACAACCTAGTGAGATACCAGATGACGTGGCCAAGGTGGGTGCTCATGACACCCCTCTCCCAATTCAAAGCAGCTCAGTTCACAGGTCTGGGGAGACTCCTTCCTTCGGCTTAAGAAGAAGAGAGGAAAGAGGACTTTGTCTTACAACTTGGATACCACCTGAGCCACAGTAGGATAGGGCACCAGGCAGAGTCCTGTGGCCCCAATTCCAGGCCCTAACTCCCAGACAACTCTTCTAGACACACCATGGGCCCAAAAGGAACCCATTGCCTTGAAGGCGAGAACCTCATCCTGGGAGGATTCATCACCTGTTGACATGGGCCCTGAATAGTCAGCATTTGTAGCTAGGCACTACTCGCCATGGGCCTTGGGTGAGGCTCAGAGATGTGCTTGCTTCAGGTGGGACCTAGCACATTTCCAACAGTGGTGGCTATGGGGAGAGATTCCTTCTGCTTGAGAAAAGGAGAGGAAAGAGTAAAGGGGTCTTTGTCTTACAGCTTAGGTACCAGCTTGCCCACAACGAGGTAGAGCACCAAGTGGGCTGTAAGGGTTTCTGATTCCAGGCCCTAGCTCTTGGATGGCATTTACAGGCATGCCCTGAGCTAGAGGGAAGCCCAGCACTATAAAGGGAGAGCCCCAGGCCTCACAGAATTCACCACAAGCTGAAGACCCCTTGGGGCTTGAGTGAACATTGATGGTAGCCAGGCAGTACTCTCCATGGGCCAGGGTCAGTGACCACAGCAAGAGGCTTCTCTGCTTGTGGAAAGGGAAGGGAAGAGTAGGAAGGACTTTGTATTGTGCCTTAGGTGCCAGCTCAGCTGCAGGACAATACAGCACCAGGTAGATTCCTAAGGTTTCTGACCCCAGGACTTGGCTGATGGATAGCATCTCTGGATCACCCAGGGTCAGGGGAAAAATCACCACCCTGAAGGGAAGGACACAAGCCTGGCTGGATTCACCACCCTTCTGATTGTAGAGACCTAGGGTCTTAAGTGAACATAGGTGGTAGGTAGAGTAGTTACCATGGGCCCTGGTTAATCTGTGCTATGCTGGTTTCAGGTGTGACCCAGTCCAGTCCCAGTGGTGGTAGCTACAGGGGTGGTTGTGTCACCCCTCCTGCAGCTCCAGGCAGCTCAACATAGAGAGAGAAAGACTCCATTTGTTTGGAAGAAAGTAAGGGAAGAGAACAAATGTCGCTGCCTGGTAATCCAGAAAATTCTTCTGGATCATATCCAAGACCACCAAGGTGCTACGTCTAAAAGTCTGCAAGAGCCACAGTGACACTGGGCTTGAGGTGCCTCCTAATGTACATACAGCTGGAGTGAATAAAACTTAGATGGCAACACCCAAGTCCCTTTGAATACCTGGAAAGCCTTCACAAGAAGAATGGGTACAAACAAGCTGAGACTGTGAAGACTATAATAAATAAATAACTCTCCAATGTCTAGATACCAAAAATAATCCACAAACATCAAGACTATAAAGGAAAACATGATCTCACCAAATGAACTACAAAAGGTACCAGAGAACAATCCCAGACAGATATAGATAAGTGACCTTTCAGGAAGAAAATTAAATTAGCTGTTGTGAGAAAACTTAATAAAATTCAAGATAACACAGAGAAAGAATTCAGATTCTATCCAATAAATTTAACAAAGAGATTGAAATAATTAAAAAGAATCAAACAGAAAGCTGGGAGAGGAAAAATGCAATTCACATACAGAAGAATGCATCAGAGTCTCTGAGCAGCAAAATTTATAAAGCAAGAGAAAGAATTATCAAGCATGAAGAAAGCCTACTTGTAAATACACAGGCGGAAGAGAAAAAATAAAAAAGCATAAAAACAAGTGAAGCACCCCCATCCCCGACAGCAGCTGCAGCAAGCCCCGCCCAAGAAGAGTCTGAGCTCAGACACTGTCTAACCCTGCCCCCACCTGATGGTCCCTTCCTACCCACCCTGGTAGCTCAAGACAAAGGGCACATTCTCTTGGAAGTTCTAGGGTCCCACCCACCACCTGATCCTCCCTATACTACCAAAGCTGATGCTGTCTTGAAAGCACCACCTCCTGGTAGGAGGCCAACCAGCACAAAAAAGGTCCATTAAACAACCAAAACTAAGGACACTCACAGAGTTCATTTCACTCCCCTGCCACCTCCATCAGAGCACATGCTGGTATCCCTGGCTGAGACTTGAAGACAGTTCACATCACAGGACTCTGTGCAGACAACTCCCAGTACCAGCCCAGAGCCTGATAACCATGCTGGGTGGCTAGATCCGGAAGAGAAATAACAACCATTACAGTGCAGCTCTCAGTAAGCCACATCCCTAGGAAAAAGGAAAGAGTACTACATCAAGGGAACACCCTGTGGCAAAAAAGAATCTGAATAGCAGCCTTGAGCCCCAGATCTCCCCTCTAAATAGCCTACCCAAATGAGAAGGAACCAGAAAAACAATTCTGTCAATATGACAAAACAAGGTTCTTTAACGCCCCCAAAAAATCACACTAGCTCACCAGCAATGGATCCAAACCAAGAAGAAATCCCTGATTTACCTGAAAAAGAATTCAGAAAGTTGATTATCAAGCTAATCAAGGAGGCCCCAGAGAAAGATGTTCAATTTAAGGAAATCAAAAAAAGATACAAAAAAATGAGGGGAGAAATCTGCAGTGAAATAGATAGCATAAATAAACAATCACAACTTCAGGAAATAAAGGATACACTTACAGAAATGCAAAATGTTCTGGAAACTCTCAGCAATAGAATCAAACAAGCAGAAGAAAGAACTTCAGAGCTCAAAGACAAGGTTTTCAAATTAACCCAATCCAACAAAGACAAGGAAAAAAGAATTAAAAAAATAACATAGACTCCAAGAGGTTTGTGATTATGTTAAACAACCAAACCTAAGAATAATTGGCCTTCCTGAGGAAGAAGAGAAATCTAAAAGTTTGGAAGACATATTTGGGGGGAAAATCAAGGAAAATATCCCTGGCCTTGCTAGAGACCTAGACATCCAAACACAAGAAGCTGAAAGAACAACTGGGAAATTAATTGCAAAAAGATCATTGCCTAGGCACATTTTCATCAGGTTATCTAAAGTCAAGACAAAGGAAAGAATGTTAAGAGCTGTGAGGCAAATGCACCAGGTAACCTATAAAGGAAAACCTATCAGATTAACAGCAGATTTTTCATCAAAAACCCTACAAGCTAAAAGGGATTGGTGGATCCTTAAACAAAACAATTATCAGCCAACAATTTTGTATCCAGTGAAACAAAACTTCATAATTGAAGGAAAGACACAGTCTTTTTCAGAGAAAGGCTGAGAGAATTTGCCACTCCCAAGCCAACACTACAAGAAATGTCACTATTTGCTGATGATATGATTGTTTACTTAGAAAACCCTAAAAACTCCTCCAAAAAGCTCCTAAAACTGATAAATGAATTCAGCAAAGTTTCAGGATACAAAATTAATGTACACAAATCAGTGCTCTGCTGTACACCAACAGTGGCCAAGGTGAGAATCAAATCAAGAACTCAACCTCTTTCCCAATAGCTGCAAAAAAATAAAATAAAATACTTAGGAATATATCTAACCAAGGAGGTGAAAGACTGCTGCAAGGAAAACTACAAAACACTGCTGAAAGAAATCATAGATGACACAAACAAATGGAAACACATCCCATGCTCATGGATCAGCAGAATCAATATTGTGAAAATGACATACTACCAAAAGCAATCTACAAATTCATGGCAACTTCCATCAAAATGCCACCATCATTCTTCACAAAACTAGAAAAAACAATCCTAAAATTCATATGGAACCACAAAAGAGCCTGCATAGCCAAAGCAAGACTAAGCAAAAAGAACAAATCTGGCGGCATCACATTACATGATTTCAAACCATACTATAAGGTCATTGTCACCAAAACAGCATGTACTGGCATAAAAATAGGCATATAGGCCAATGGAACAGAATCAAGAACCCGGTAATAAGCCCAAATACTTACAGCCAACTGATCTTCAACAAAGCAAACAAAAACATGAAGTGGGGAAAGGACACTCTATTCAACTAATGGTGCTGGGATAATTGGCAAGCCACATATAGGAGAATGAAACTGGATCCTCATTTCTCCTGTTATATAAAAATCAACTCAAGATGGATCAAGGACTTAAATCTAAGACCTGAAACTATAACAATTCTGGAAGATAACATTGGAAAAACCCTTCTAGACATTGGCTTAGGCAAAGATTTTATGACCAAGAACCCAAAGCAAATACAACAAAATCAAAGATAAATAGGTGGGACTTAAACTAAAGAGCTTTGGCAAGGCAAAAGCAACAGTCAGCAGAGTCAACAGACAACCCACGGAGTGGGAGAAAATCTTCACAATCTATACATCTGACAAAGAACTAATATCCAGAATCTGCAAGGAACTCAAACAAATTAGCAAGAAATAAACAATTCCATCAAAAAGTGGGCTAAGGACATGAATAGACAATTCTCAAAAGAAGATATACAAATGGCCCACAAACATCTGAAAAAAGGCTCAACATCACTAATGATCAGGGAAATGCAAATCAAAACCACAATGTGATAGCATTTTACTAGCACAAGAATGGCCATTATTGAAAAATCAAAACATAATAGATGTTGGTGTATAGGCAGTGAAAAAGGAACACTTTTACACTGCTGGTGGGAATGTAAACTAGTACAACCACTATGGAAAACAGTATGAAGATTCCTTAAAGAACTAAAAGTAGAACTACCATTTGATCCAGCAATCCCATTAATGAGTATCTACCTAGCCAAAAATTAGTCATTATATGAAAAAGATACTTGTACATTAATTTTTACAGCAGCACAATTCACAATTGCAAATATGTGAACCCAGCCCAAATCAACCAGTGGATAAAGAAACTGTGGTGTAATATATATATGAAGGAATACTGCTCAGCCATAAAAAGGAATGAATTAATGTCTTTTGCAGTAACCTGGATGGGATCAGAGACTATTATTCTAAGTGAAGTAACTCAGGAATGGAAAACCAAACGTCGTATGTTCTCACTCATGCCAATGATATTCCATGCCAATGGAAACCATAAAAAAGAGCATGAATAGCTATGCTTATAAAAGAAAAAACAGGTTTCAAGGAAAATCTATAAAAAGAAACAAAGAAGGTTATTATATAATGATAAAGTTGTCAATTCAGCAAAAGGATATAACAATTGTAAACATATATGCACCCAACACTGGAGCACACGATATATACAGCAAATATTCTGAGAGCTCAGGGTGAGATAAACTCCAATACAATAACAACTGGAGATTTCAACTCCTCATTATCAGCGTTGAACAGATCTCCCAGACAGAAAATAAACCAAGAAACATAGGACTTAATTTGCACTATAGACCAAATGGACCTAATAGATATTTACAGAACATTTCATCCAGGGGCAACAGAATAAACATTCTTTTCTTCAGCATATAGATCATTCTCAAAGGCAGATTATATTTTAGGCCACAGAACAAATTTTTAAAAGCTCAAAAAACAAAAATTACATCAAGTATCTTCTCTGAACACAATGGGATAAAATTTGAAGTCAAAAATGGGAAATTTTGGAAACTTTACCAACACTTGGGAAGTAAACAATATGTTCTGAATGACCAGTGGGTTAATAAAGAAATTAAGAAGAAAATTGAAAAAATGTTTGAAATTAATGATAATGGAAAAGCTACGTACCAAAATGAATAGGATATGGTGAAAGCAATAATAAGACATAACTATGAGCACCTACATCCAAAAAGTGGAAAACTTCTAATAAACCACCTAAGAATGCATCATAAAGAACTAGAAACTCAAGCACAGACCAAACCTGAAATTAGTAGAAAAGGAATAAGAATTACAGTGAAAATTAAAAAAAAATTGAAATGAAGAAAATAATATAAGAGATTAATAAAATGAAAACTTGGCTTTTTGAAAAGACAAACAAAATTGACAAGTCTTCAGCCAGACTGAGGAAAAAAGAGAGGGAGAGCACACAAATAAAATCAGACATGAAAAAGCAGACATTACAACTCAAACTGCAAAATTTCAAAGGATAACTAGTGACTACTATCAGCAACTATATGCCAATACATTGGAAAACCTGGAAGAAATGGATAAATTCCTAGACACATACAACCTACTAATATCTAACCATGAAGAAATCCAAAACCTAAACAGACCAAAAATAAGTAGCAAGCTTGAAGCTGTAGTAAAAGGTCTCCCAGCAAAGAAAAGCTCAGGACCCAATGGCTTCACTGATAAATTCTACAAACATTTAAAGAACTAATACCAGTCCTACTCAAACTATTCCAAAAAATATAGGAAGAAGGAATACTTCCAAACACGTTCTATGAGGTCAGTATTATGCTGATGCCAAAATCAGAAAAAGACACATTAAAAAAAATAAAACTATAAGTCAATATCCTGGTTAATGCTGATGCAAAAATCCTCAATAAAATACTAGCAAACCAAATGCAAAAACACATTGGAAAGATCATTCATCATAACCAAGTGGGATTTATTCCAGGGCTGCAAAGATATTCAACACACACAAATCAACCATTGTGATACATCATATCAACAGAATGAAGGACAAAATCATAAGATCCTTTCAATTGATCCTGAAAAGCATTCGATAAAATTCAACATCACTTCATGATAAATGCCCCCAGTAAACTAGGTATAAAAGGATCATACCCCAACACAATAAAATCTATATATGACAGACCCACAGCTAATGTCATACTGAATCAAGAAAAATTGAAAACCTTTTCTCTTAGATCTGGGACACAAGGATAGCCACTTTCGCCACTGTTATTCAACATAATACTGGAAGTACTAGCTAGTGCAGTTAGACAAGACAAATAAATAAATGGCATCCAAATTGGAAAGGAAGAAGTCAATTATACTTGTTTGCAGATAATGTAATCTTGTATTTGGAAAAGCCCAGAGACTCTACCAAAAAACTATTAGAAGTAATAAAAAAATTTAAGATAATTTCGTATCTTTCAAATAATAAACAAGTTGCAGGATACAAAATCAACATATAAAAATTAATGGCATTTCTATTACCAACAACAAACAATCTGAAACAGAAATTTTAAAAGTAGCCCCATTTACAATAGCCAACAAACAAAATCAAATACCTAGCAATTAACCAAAGTAGTAAAATATTTCTACAATGAAAACTATAAAACATTGATGCAAGAAACTGAATAGGACATAAACAATGGAAAGATATTCCATGTTTGTGCATTGAAGAAATCAATATTGCTAAAATGTTCATGCTACTTAAAGCAATGTACAGATTACATGCAATCCTTATCAAAATACCAATGACATTCTTCAAAGAAATAGAAAAAAAACCCTAAAATTCATATGAAACCACAAAAGACCCAGAATAGTCAAAGCATTTCTGAGCAAAAAGAACAAAACTGGAGGAATCACATTACCTGATTTCAAATTATACTACAAAGCTATAGTAACCAAAACAGCATGATACTGGCATAAAAAGAGACAAATAAACCAATTGAATAGAATAGAGAACCCAGAAAAAAATCCATACTTCTACAGTGAACAAATTTTCAGCAAAGATGTCAACAACATACATTGAGGAAAGAAGAGTCTCTTCAATAAATGGTTCTGGGAAAACTGGATATCCATATGCAGAAGAATAAAACTAGAACCCTATTTCTTGCCATATACAAAATTCAAATCAAAATGAATTAAAGACTTAAATTTAAGACTTCAAACTATGAAACAACTAAAAGAAAACATTGAGGAAACTCTCCAGGACACTGGGCTGAGCAAATATTTCTTGAGCAATACCCCGCAAGCACAGACAACCAAAGTAAAAATGGACAAATGGGATCACATCAATGTAAAAAGCTTCTGCACAAGAAAGGAAACAGCAAAGTGAATAGACAACCCACAGAATGGGAGAAAATATTTGCCAACTATCTTGACAAAGGATTAATAACCAGAATACATAAGGATTGTAAACAACTCTATAGGAAAAAAGAAACTAATAATCTGATTAAAAATGGGAATAATAGGGCCAGGCGCAGTGGTTCATGCCTGCAATCCCAGCACTTTTTGGGAGTCTGAGGTGGGTTGATCATAAGGTCAGGAAATCGAGACCATCCTGGCCACCATGGTGAAACCCCATCTCTACTAAAATACAAAAAATTAGCTGGGCATGGTGTTGCACGCCTGTAGTCCCAGTCCCAGCTACCCAGGTGGCTGAGGCAGGGGAATCACTTGAACCCAGGAGGCAGAGGTTGCAGTGAGCCGAGATCACGCCTGGCAACAGAGCGAGACTCTGTCTCAAAAAAAAAAATGGGTGTAATATCTGTAGAGACATTTATCAAAAGAAGACATACAAATGGCAAACAATCATATGAAAAGGTGCTCAGCATCACTGATCATCAGATAAATATAAATAAAAATTACACTGATATCTCACCCCAGTTAAAAAGACTTTTATCCAAGACAGGCAATAGCAAATGCTGACAAAGATGTGGAGAAAAGGGAACCTTCGTGGACCTTTAGTGTGAACGTAAATTAGTACAACCACTACGGAGAACTGTTTGGAGTTGCCTCAGAAAACTAAAAATAGTGCTACCATGGGCAGGCATGGTGACTCACGCCTATAATCCCAGCACTTTGGGAGGCCGAGGCAGGCAGATCACTTGAGGTCAGGAGTTCAAGAACAGCCTGGCCAATATGGTGAAACCCCATCGCTACTAAAAGTACAAAAAACAGCCGGGCATGGTGGTGAGCGCCTGTAATCACAGATGCTCTGGAGGCTGAGGCAGAAGAATCGCTTGAACCAGGAAGGTGGAGGTTGCAGTGATCTGAGATCACACAACTGCACTCCAGCCTGGGTGACAGAGTGAGACTCCATCTCAACAACAAAAAATAGTACTACCATATGATCCAGCACTCCCACTGTTAGGCACATGCCCAAAAGAAAGGAAATCAGTATATTGAAGAGATATTTGCACTTCCATGTTTATTGCAGCACTATTCAATTAGCCAAGACTTGAAAGCAACCTGTGTCCATCACCAGATGAATGGATAAAGAAAAAGTAGTATATGTACACAATGAAACACTATTCATCTATAAAAAAGAATGAGATCCAGTCATTTGCAACAACATGGGTGGAACTGGAGGTCACTATGTCAAGTGAAATAAGTCAGGCACAGAAGACAAACTCATATGTTCTCACTTATTTGTGGAAACTAAAAATAAAAACTATTGAACTTACAGAGATAGAGTGGAAGGATTGTTACCAGAAGCTGGCAAAGCTAGGTAGTGGTGGGGTGAAGATAATATGGTTAGTGGATACAAAAATATAGATAGAATAAATAAGATCTAGTATTTGATAGCACAACAGGTTGACTACAGTCAACAATAAAGTATTGTGTATTTCAAAATAGCTAAAATAGTATAATTGGATTGTTTGTAACACGAATAAAAGATAAATGCTTGATTTTTAAAAATCTGTTGAGACTTGTTTTCTGGTCTAATATGTGGTCTATCTAAGAATTTTCCATGTGCTGATGATAAGAATGTGTATTCTGAGGTTGTTGGGTTAAATGTTCTATAAATGTTTGGTCCATTTGGTCTATAGTGCAGCTTAAATCCAATATTTCTTTGTTGATTTTCTCTCTAGATGATCTGTTTAATGTTGAGAGTTGGTTGGTAGAGTTCCTATTATTGTATTGGGGATATCTCTCTCTTTAGTTTTAATAATGTTTGCTTTGTATATCAGAGTGCTCTGGTATTAGATACCCCATTTACCCTGATGGATTACACACTGTATGCCCATATCAATACATCTCATGTATCTCATAAATATATACACCTACTATATACCCCCAAAAATTAAATATGAAAAAATAAAGATATATAATGACTCAATGGGTAAGAAAACAAGACACAAATATATGCTGCCTAGAGGAAAATCAATTCACCTGTAAAGACACAGAAAGACTGAACTTGAAATGATGGATTCTATGCAAACAGAAAACAAAAATGTGTAGGAGTAGTTAAACTTATATGAGATAAAGTACACTTTAAGTTAAAACTGTAAAAAGAGACAAAGGACATCATTATATTATGTTAAATGGATCAATTCAGCAAGAAGATATAACCATTGTAAATATATATGCCCCAATGCCAGAGCACTCTGATATATAAAGCAAATATTATTAGAACTAAAGAGATAGACCTCAGTACAATAGTCTTTCTTTCTTTCATTCATCTAGAGAGAAATTCAACAAAGAAATATTAAATTTAAACTTCACTATAGACCAAATGCACCAAACAGGAATTTATAGAGCATTTAACCCAACAACTGCAGAATACACATTCTTATCATCAACACATGGAACATTTTTAAAGATAGACCATATGTTAGACCAGAAAACAAGTCTCAACAAATTTTTAAAAATCAAAAAAAAATCATATCAAATATCTCCTCAGACCACAATGGCATAAAACTAGGAATCAATAACAAGAGGAACATTGGAAACTGTACAAATACATGGAAAGTATACAACATGCTCCTGAATGATCAATGGGTCAATGAAGAAATTAAGAAGGAAATTTAAAAATGCCTTGAAACAAACTGAAATAGAAACATCACATACCAAAATCTATGGAATATAGGAAAAACAGTAATGAGTGTGATTTTTATAAAAATAAATACTTACATCAAAAAATTAGAAAGATTTCAAGGAACAACCTAATGACGCACCTCAAGGAACTAGAAAACCAAGCAAAAACTAACTCAAAATTAATAGAAGTAAATAAAGTTAAGAGCATAAATAAATGATAGATTAAAACAGTACAAAAGATCAACAAAAATGAAAATTTGGTTATTTGGAAAGATAAACCAGCTTGACAAACAATTAGCTACACTAAGAAAAAGGAACTAAATAAATAAAATCAGAAAAAAGGAGACCTTACAACTGACACCACAGAAATACAAAGGATCATTAGAGACTACTACTATGAACAGATATATGTCAAGAAATTGGAAAACTTAGAAGAAATGGATAAATTCCTGGACACATACAACCTATCAAGACTAAGACAGAAAGAAATAGAAAACCTGAAGAGATCAAGAGCCACTAATGAGATCGAAGCAGTAATACAAAATTCTCTCATCAAAGAAAAGCCCAGGATCTGATGGCTTCACTGAATTCTACCAAACCTTAAAAAAAACTAACACCAATTCTTCTCAAACTATTCCAAAAACTTAAAGGGCATGGAATTTTTTCAAACTCATTATACAAGGCCAGCATTAATATCCTGATACCAAAGCCATAGAAGGATAAATACACACACACAAACATACACACACACACTTTACAGGCCAAAATCCCTGATGAACATAGATGCAGAAATCCTTAGCAAAATATTAGCAAACCAAATTCAACAGCACAACCAGAAGATTATACAACATGATCAAGTGAGATTTATCCCAGGGATTCAAGGATGGTTCAACATATGCAAATCAATAAATGTGATACATTATATCAACAGAATGAAGGAGAAAATCCATATGATCATTTCAACGGATGCAAAAAAAGCATTTTACCATTTCATAATAAAATCCCACAACAATTAGGTATAGAACGAATGTACCTCAACACAATAAAGGCCAGATATGGCAAACCCACAGCTAACATCATACTCAATGAGGAAAACTTAAAAGATTTTTCTCTAAGAACTAGAACAAGACAAGGATACCCACTTTTATTACTCATTCAACATAGTACTGAAAATCCTAGACATTAGACAAAAGGAAAAAATAAATGGCACTCAAATTGGAAAGGAGGAAGTCAAATTGTCCCTGTTTGCAGATGATATGATCTTATATATAGAAAAACCTAAAGACTCCATCAAAAAACTCTTAGAACTGATAAATTCAGTAAAGTTGCAGAATACAAAATCAACATACAAAACTAAGTAGTGTTTCTATACACGAATAATGAACTAACTGAAAAGGAAATCAAAAAAGCAATTCCACTTACAACAGCTACAAAAATAAAACAAAATACTTAGGAATGAATTTAACCAAGTAGATGAAAGATATCTACACAGAAAATTACAAAACACTGATAAAAGACATTGAAGAGGAAATAAAGAAATGTAACAACATCCCATGTTTATTGATTGAAAGAATTAATATTGTTAATGTTAATTGAAGCAATCTACAAATTCAATGCAATTCCTATCAAATTACTAAGGCCCTTTTCCCAAAAATAGAAAAAAATTCTAAAAGTTGTATGGAACCACAAAAGACCCAGAATAACCAATGCATTTCTGAGCAAAAAGAACAAATCTGGAGGCATCACACTACCCGACTTCAAAATATGCTACAAAAAGCTATAGTAAACAGAACAGCATGGTACTGGCATAAAAGAGACACATAGACTAATGGAACAGAATAGATAACCCAGAAATAAATCCATGTATATACATCCAACTGACTTTCAACAAAAGCAGCACGAACATACAACGGGGAAAGGACAGTCTCTTCAATAAATGGCGCTGGGAAAACTGGATGTTCATATGCAGAATACTAGACTAGGCTAGACTCCCACCTTTCATCATATACCAAAATTAACTCAAAATGGATTAAAAACTTTAAGACAATAAACTATAAAACTCCCAGAAGAAAACACACAAGAAACATTTCAGAACATTGGTCTGGGCAAAGATCGTATGCTAAAACCTCAAAAGCTCTGGCAACAGAAGTAAAAATAGACAAATGAGATTATATCAGACTAAAAAGCTTTTGCACAGCAAAGGAAACAGTTAACAGAATGAAGAAACAACTGGCAGGATGGGAAAAATATTGCAAGCCATTCATCTGATGGCCAGGTGCAGTGGCTCATGCCTGTAATCCCAGCACTTTGGGAGGCTGAGGCAGGCAGATCACCTGAGGTCAGGAGTTCGAGACCAGCCTGCCCAACATGGAGAGACCCCATCTCTACTAAAAATATAAAATTAGCCAGGCATGGTGGCGCATGCCTGTAATCCCAGCTACTCGGGAGGCTGAGGCTGAGAATCACTTGAACCCAGGAGGCGGAGGTTGCGGTGAGCCGAGATCATGCCATTGTACTCCAGCCTGGGCAACAAGAGTGAAACTCCATCTCAAAAACAACAACAACAAAAAAAAAAAAACCTATTCATATGACACGGGATTAATATCCAAAATACATAAGGAACTGAACACAACAGCAGAAAAACCCAAATAACCTCATTTAAAAATGTGCAATTGATCTGAACAGACATTTCTCAAAAGACATACAAATGGCCAACAGGTACATAAATAAATGCTCAACATCTCTAATCATCATGTAAATGCAAATCAAAGCCTCAATTTGATATTATGTCACCTCAGTTAGAATGGCTATTATCAAAAAGATAAGGTTTAAAAAAAAACCCGAAGAATATAGTTTCCAAGCATCAAAAAATAAATAAATAAATAACAAATGCTGGTGAGGATGCAGAGAAAAGGGAACTCTTAGACACTCTTGGTAGAAATGTACAATTAATACAACCATTATGGAAAACAGTACGGAGGTTCATCAAAAAACTAAAAATAGAACTACTGTATGATCCAGCAATGCCACTACTGGCTATATACTCAAAGAAAAGGAAATCAAGATGTTGAAGGGATATCTCCACTCCTGTGTTTATTGCAGCACTATTCACAATAGACAAGATATGGAATCAACGTAAGTGTCTGTCAACAGATGAATGGACAAAGAAAATGTGTTATAAATGCACAATGAAATACTAAGGAATCACAAAAAAGAGCGAAACCCTGTCATCTGCAGCAACATGGAAAAGCCTGGAGAACATTATGTTAAGTGAAATACGTTAACCACAGAAATACAAATACTCCCCATATTCTCACTTGTGCAAAAACTAAAAGTTGATCTGATAGAAACGGAGAGTAAAATACTGGTTACTAGAGGGGAGTGAGGATAGAAAGAAGTTAGTTAACAGATACAAAATTACAGCTAGGTAAGAGGAATAAGTACTAGCGTTTTATAACACTGTAGTGTGACTACAGTTGACAGTAATTTATTGTACATTTTCAAAACATTAGAAGAGAGGATTTTGAATACTCCCAACACAACGAAATGATAAATGTTTGAGATGACAGATATGGTAATTACCCTGATTTGATCATTATATGTTGTATACATGTACCAAAAATCACATTGTACCTCATAAATATGTACAATTATCGTGTCAATAATTTTTTTTAGATTTTATTTTTATTTTTATTTTTATTTATTTATTTATTTATTTTTATTTTTATTTTTATTTTTTTTTGAGATGGAGTCTTGCTCTGTCGCCCAGGCTGGAGTGCAGTGGCGGGATCTCAGCTCACTGCAAGCTCCGCCTCCCGGGTTCACGCCATTCTCCTGCCTCAGCCTCCCAAGTAGCTGGGACTACAGGCGCCCGCCACTACGCCCGGCTAATTTTTTGTATTTTTAGTAGAGACGGGGTTTCACCGTTTTAGCCGGGATGGTCTCGATCTCCTGACCTCGTGATCCGCCCGCCTCGGCCTCCCAAAGTGCTGGGATTACAGGCGTGAGCCACCGCGCCTGGCCTTATTTATTTTTATATATTTTTTATTATACTTTAAGTTCCAGGGTACATGTGCACAACGTGCGGGTTTGTTACATATGTATACATGGGCCATGTTGGTGTGTTGCACCCATTAACTTGTCATCTAACATTAGGTATATCTCCTAATGCTATCCCTCCCCCTCCCCCCACCCCACAACAGGCCCTGGTGTGTGATGTTCCCCTTCCTGTGTCCAAGTGTTCTCATTGTTCAATTCCCACCTATGAGTGAGAACATGCAGTGTTTGGCTTTTTGTCCTTGTGATAGTTTGCTGAGAATGATGGTTTCCAGCTTCATCCATGTCCCTACAAAGGACATAAACTCATCATTTTTCATGGCTGCATAGTATTCCATGGTGTATATGTGCCACATTTTCTTAATCCAGTCTATCATTGTTGGACATTTGGGTTGGTTCCAAGTCTTTGCTATTGTGAGTAGTGCCACAATAAACATATGTGTGCATGTGTCTTTATAGCAGCATGATTTATATTCCTTTGGGAATGTAAATGGGATGGCTGGGTCAAATGGTATTTCTAGTTCTAGATCCCTGAGGAACTGCCACACTGACTTCCACAGTGGTTGAACTAGTTTACAGTCCCACCAACAGTGTAAAAGTGTTCCTATTTCTCCACACCCAAGGTAATTTATAGATTCAATGCCATCCCCATCAAGCTACCAATGACTTTCTTCACAGAATTGGAAAAAACTACTTTAAAGTTCATATGGAACAAAAAAAGAGCCCGCATCACCAAGTCAATCCTAAGCCAAAAGAACAAAGCTGGAGGCATCACGTTACCTGACTGCAAACTATACTACAAGGCTACAGTGACCAAAACAGCATGGTACTGGTACCAAAACAGAGATATAGATCAATGAACAGAACAGAGCCCTCAGAAACAACGCCGCATATCTACAACTATCTGATCTTTGACAAACCTGAGAAAAACAAGAAATGGGGAAAGGATTCCCTGTTTAATAAATGGTGCTGGGAAAACTGGCTAGCCATATGTAGAAAGCTGAAACTGGATCCCTTCCTTACACCTTATACAAAAATTAATTCAAGATGGATTAAAGACTTAAACGTTAGACCTAAAACCATAAAAACCCTAGAAGAAAACCTAGGCGTTACCATTCAGGACATAGGCATGGGCAAGGACTTCATGTCTAAAACACCAAAAGCAATGGCAACAAAAGTCAAAATTGACAAATGGGATCTAATTAAACTAAAGAACTTCTGCACAGCAAAAGAAACTACCATCAGAGTAAGCAGGAAATCTACAGAATGGGAGAAAATTTTTGCAATCTACTCATCTGACAAAGGGCTAATATCCAGAATCTACAATGAACTCAAACAAATTTACAAGAAAAAAACAACCCCAACAAAAAGTAGGCAAAGGTTATGAACAGACACTTCTCAAAAGAAGACATTTATGCAGCCAATAGACACATGAAAAAGTGCTCATCATCACTGGCCATCAGAGAAATGCAAATCAAAACCACAATGAGAGATCATCTCACACCAGTTAGAATGGCGATCATTAAAAAGTCAGGAAATAATTTGTTTTTAAAAAAAAATGTTCCCAGGATAGCAACATTAGCATCATCTGGTAGCTTCCTAGGAATTCCAATTCTTGGCCCTCACCCCAGATGTAATGAATCAAAAGCTCTGAAGGTGCAACCAGACAACTTTTGTTTAATATTTTTTATTTCAATAGCCTTTGGGGTACAAGTGGTTTTGGGTTGCAAGAATGAATTGCACAGTGGTGAAATCTGAGATTTTAGTGCACCTATCACCCAAGTAGTGTACACTGTACCCAATATGCAGTCTTTATCCCTCACTTCCTCCTATCCTCCCCCTTCAGAGTCTCCAACGTCCATTATACCACTCTGTATGCCTTTGCATATCCATAGCTTAGCTCCCACTTATATGTGAAAACATATAGTATTTGGTTTTTCTTTCCTTATTTCACTTAGAATAATGGACTCCAGCTCCACCCAAGTTGCTGCAAAAGACATTATTTCTTTCTTTTTTTAAGGCTGAGTATTATTCTATGGTGTATATATTCCACACTTTCTTTATCCACTCATTGGTTGATGGACACTTAGGTTGGGTCCACATCTTTGCAATCGTGAATTGTGCTGTGATGGACATACACATAGAAGAGTCTTTTTGATATAATGGCTTATTTTCCTTTGGGTAGATACCCAGTAGTGTGATTGCTGGATTGAATGGTATATTTGCTTTCAGTTCTTTAAGAAATCTTCATACTGTTTTCCATAGAGGTTCTACTAATGTACATTCCCACCAGCAATATATAAGTGTTCTCTTTTTACCACGTGCACGCAAACATCTATTGTTCTTTGACTTTTCAATAATGACCATTCTTGCAAGGGTAAGGTGGTATCTGATTGTAGTTTTAATTGCATTTCCCTGATAATTAGTGATGTTGAGCATTTTTTCATGTTTGTTGGACATTTGTATATCTTCTTGTGAGAAATGTCTGTTCATGTCATTTGCCTACTTTTTCATGGGATTAGTTTTTTCTTGCTCATTTGTTTGAGTTCCTTGCAGATTGTGGGTATTAGTCCTTTGTCAGATACATAGTTTACAAATATTTTCTCCCATTCTGTAGGTCATCTGTCTGCTCTGATGATTACTTCTTTTGCTATAAAGAAGATTTTTAGTTTAATTAGGTCTCATTTATTTCTTTTTATTTTAGTTACATTTGCTTTTGGGGTCTTAGTCATCAATTCTTTGCCTAGGCCAATGTCTAGAAGAATTTTTCCTAGGTTATCTTCTAGAATGTCTATGGGTTTCAGGCCTTAGATTTAAGTCTTTGATCCATCTTGAGTTGATTTTTGTATAAGGTAAAAGACAGGGATCCAGTTTTCCCAGGATGATTTATTCAATAGGGTGTCCTTTCCCTGATTTATATTTTTGTCAGCTTTGTCAAAGATCAGTTGGTTATAAGTATTTGTCTTCACTCTTGGGTTCTCTATTCTGTTCCATTGGTTTACGTGTCTACTTTTATAACAGTATCCTTCTGTTTTGGTAACTCTAGCCTTGCGGTATAACTTGAAGTCTGGTAATGTGATGCTTACAGATTTGTTCATTTTGCTCAGGATTGCTTTAGCTATTCAGGCTCTTTTTTGGTTCCATATGAATTTTAGGCTTGTTTTCTCTAATTCTGTGAAAATGTTGTTGGTATTTTGATAGGGATTGCATTGAATCTCTAGATTGCTTTGGGCAGTACGGCTATTTTTATGATATTGATCTTCCTATCCATAAGCATGGGATGTGTTTCCATTTGTTTGTGTCATCTATAATTTCTTTCAGCAGTGTTTTGTAGTTCTCCTTGTAGAGATAATTTGCCTCCTTGGTTAAGTATATTCCTAGGTATTTTATATTTTTACAGCTGTTATAAAAGGGATTGAGTTCTTCATTTGATTCTCAGCTTGCTCATTGTTAGTGTATAGCAGTGCTGCTGATTTGTATAAATGATTTTGTAACCTGAGACTTTACTGAATTCATTTATCAAATCTATGAATCTTTTGGAAGAATCTAGCATTTTCTAGGTTTACGATCATACCATTTGCAAACAGCAACAGTTTGACCTTCTCTTTTCAAATTTGGATGCCCTTTATTTCCTTCTCTTGCCTGATTGCTCTGGCTAGGACTTCTAGCACTATGTTGAATAGAAATGGTGAAAGTAGGCACACTTGTCTTGTTCCAGTTCTCAGGGGAAATGCTTTCAACTTTTCCCCATTCAGTATAATGTTGGCTGTGGGTTTGTCATAGATGGCTTTTATATTTTGAGGTAAGCCCCTTCTGTGGCTAGTATGTGCGTTTTATCATAAAGGGATGCTGGATTTTGTCAAATGCTTTTTCTGTATCTATTGAGATGATCATATGGTTTTTGTTTTTAATTCTGTTTATGTGGTATATCACATTTATTGACTTGCATATGTTAAACCATCTCTGTATCTCTGGGATGAAACCCACTTAATCACGGTATATTATCTTTTTGATGTACTGATGGATTTTGTTAGTCAGTATTTTGTTGAGGACTTTTGCATCTATGTTCATCAGGGATATTGTCCTGTAGTTTTCTTTTTTGGTTATGTCATTTCCTAGTTTTAGTATCTGGGTAATATTGGCTCATAGAATGAGTTAGGAAGAATTCCCTCTTACTCAATCTTGTGGAATATTTTCAGTAGGACTGGTACCAATTCTTCTTTCAATGTCTGGTAGAATTCAGCTGTGAATTCATCTGGCCCTGGGCATTTTTTGTTGGCAATATTTTTATTACTTATTCAATTTCACTGTTATTGGTCTATTAATGGTTTCTATTTCTTCCTGATTTAATCCAAGAAGGTTGATTCCAGGAATTTATCTGTTTTGTCTAGATTTTCTAGTTTTTGTGCATAGAGGTGTTGATAGTAGTCTCAAATAATTATTTGTATTTCTGTAGTGTCTATTGTAATGTCTCCAGTTTCATTTCTAATTGAGCTTATTTGAATCTTCCTCTTCTTTGCATGATTAATCTAGGTAATGGTCTATAAATGTTGTTTATCTTTTCGAAGAACCAACTTTTTGCTTTATTGATATTTTGTATTTTTTTGTTTCAAAATCATTTAGTGCTGCTCTGATCTTTGTTATATCTTTTCTTCTGCTAGCTGTAGGTTTGGTTTGTTCTTGTTTCTCAAGTTCCTTGAGGTATGACATTAGGTTGTCAATTTGTGATCTTTCAGACTTTTTGATGGACGTATTTAGTGCAATAAACTTTCCTCTTAGCATTATTTTTACTGTATCCCAGAGGTTGTGATAACTTGTGTTACTATTGTCCTTCATTTCAAATAATTTTTAATTTCCATCTTGATACCACTGTTAACCCAAAAATTGTTCAGGAGCATATTGTTTAATTTCCATGTATTTGTATAGTTTTAAGGGTTCCTTTTAAAATTGATTTCTAGTCTTATTGCACCATGATCTGAGAAGATCTTTGATATTATTTGATTTTTTTTTCAAATTTATTGAGACATGTTTTGCGGCCTATAATATGGTCTATCTTGGAGAACATTCCATGTGTTGATGAGAAGAACGTATATTTTGCAGTTTTGGGGTAGAATGTTCTGTTACTATCTGTTAGGTCCATTTGTTCTAGAGTGTAGTTTAAGTCTGTTCTTTGTTCGTTGACTTTCTGTCTTGATCTGACTAGTGCTGTCAGTGGAGTGAAGTCTCCCACTGTTATTGTGTTGCTGTCTATCTCATTTCTTAGTTCTAATAGTAATTGTTTTATGAATCTCGGGCTCTAGAGTTAGATGCACATAAATTTAGGGTTGTAAAATCTTGTTGGATTGATCATTTTATCATTATAGAATGACTTTCTTTGTCCTTTTTTTACTGTTGTTCCTTTAAAATCTGTTTTATCTAATGTAGGAATACCTACTCCTGCTAACTTTTGATTTCCATTTGCATGGACTATCTTTTTCCACGCCTTTACCCTGAGTATAATGAATCCTTATGTATTAGGTGAGTCATTTTTTTCCCCCAGAAGAGTCTTGCTCTGTCACCCAGACTGGAGTACAATGGCATGATCTTGGCTCACTGCAACCTCTGCCTCCTGGGTTCAAGTGATTCTTCTGCCTCAGCCTCCCAAGTAGCTGGGGTTTCAGGCATGCACCACCACACCCTGCTAATTTTTGTATTTTCGGTAGAGACAGGGTATCACCATGTTGGCCAGGCTGGTCTTGAACTTGTGAGTTCAGGTGACGCCTCCGACTCGGCCTCCCAAAGTGCTAGGTTTACAGGCCTGAACAACTGCACCCAGCCTGATGAGTCTCTTAAAGATAGCAGATATTTGGTTTGTGATTTTTTTTAACCATTCTGACATTCTGTATCTTTTAAGTGGAGCATTTAGGCCATTTATGTTCAACATTAATATTGATGTGAGATACTGTTCCAGTTACCATGTTAATGGTTACTCAGTTTGTTTTTTTTATTGTGTAATTGTTTTATATGCTCTGTGAGTTTCATGCTTTCAAGAGGTTCTATTCTGGTACATGTTGACTTTTTATTTCAAGATTTATTTATTTTTATTTTTATTTTTTTATTATTATTATACTTTAAGTTTTAGGGTACATGTGCACAACGTGCAGGTTTGTTACATATATATACATGTGCCATGCTGGTGTGCTGCACCCATTAACTCGTCAATTAGCATTAGGTATATCTCCTAATGCTATCCCTCCCCCCTCCCCCCCACCCCACAACAGTCCCCAGAGTGTGATGTTCCCCTTCCTGGGACCATGTGTTCTCATTGTTAAATTCCCACCTATGAGTGAGAACATGCAGTGTTTGGCTTTTTGTCCTCGCGATAGTTTACTGAGAATGATGATTTCCAATTTCATCCATGTCCCTACAAAGGACATGAACTCATCATTTTTTATGGCTGCATAGTATTCCATGGTGTATATGTGCCACATTTTCTTAATCCGGTCTATCATTGTTGGACATTTGGCTTGGTTCCAAGTCTTTGCTATTGTGAATAGTGCCACAATAAACATATGTGTGCATGTGTCTTTATAGCAGCATGATTTATAGTCCTTTGGGTATATACCCAGTAATGGGATGGCTGGGTCAAATGGTATTTCTAGTTCTAGATCCCTGAGGAATCGCACACTGACTTCCACAGTCGTTGAACTAGTTCACAATCCCACCAACAGTGTAAAAGTGTTCCTATTTCTCCACATCCTCTCCAGCACCTGTTGTTTCCTGACTTTTTAATGATTGCCATTCTAACTGGTGTGAGATGGTATCTCATTGTGGTTTTGATTTGAATTTCTCTGATGGCCAGTGATGATGAGCATTTTTTCATGTGTCTTTTGGCTGCATAAATGTCTTCTTTTGAGAAGTGTCTGTTCATATCCTTTGCCCACTTTTTGATGGGGTTGTTTCCTTTTTTCTTGTAAATTTGTTTGAGTTCATTGTAGATTCTGGATATTAGCCCTTTGTCAGATGAGTAGGTTGCGAAAATTTTCTCCCATTTTGTAGGTTGCCTGTTCATTCTGATGGTAGTTTCTTTGGCTGTGCAGAAGCTCTTTAGTTGAATTAGATCCCATTTGTCAATTTTGGCTTTCGTTGCCATTGCTTTTGGTGTTTTAGACATGAAGTCCTTGCCCATGCCTATGTTCTGAATGGTAATGCCTAGGTTTTCTTCTAGGGTTTTTATGGTTTTAGGTCTAATGTTTAAGTCTTTAATCCATCTTGAATTAATTTTTGTATAAGGTGTAAGGAAAGGATCCAGTTTCAGCTTTCTACATATGGCTAGCCAGTTTTCCCAGCACCATTTATTAAATAGGGAATCCTTTCCCCATTGCTTGTTTTTCTCAGGTTTGTCAAAGATCAGATAGTTGTAGATATGCGGCATTATTTCTGAGGGCTCTGTTCTGTTCCATTGATCTATGTCTCTGTTTTGGTACCAGTACCATGCTGTTTTGGTTACTGTAGCCTTGTAGTATAGTTTGAAGTCAGGTAGCGTGATGCCTCCAGCTTTGTTCTTTTGGCTTAGGATTGACTTGGCGATGCGGGCTCTTTTTTTGTTCCATATGAACTTTAAAGTATTTTTTCCAATTCTGTGAAGAAAGTCATTGGTAGCTTGATGGGGATGGCATTGAATCTATAAATTACCTTGGGCAGTATGGCCATTTTCACGATATTGATTCTTCCTACCCATGAGCATGGAATGTTCTTCCATTTGTTTGTATCCTCTTTTATTTCATTAAGCAGTGGTTTGTAGTTCTCCTTGAAGAGGTTCTTCACATCTCTTGTAAGTTGGATTCCTAAGTATTTTATTCTCTTTGATGCAACTGTGAATGGGAGTTTACTCATGATTTGGCTCTCTGTTTGTCTGTTATTGGTGTATTAGAATTTTGTACATTGATTTTGTATCCTGAGACTTTGCTGAAGTTGCTTATCAGCTTAAGGAGATTTTGGGCTGAGACAATGGGGTTTTCTAGATATACAATCATGTCATCTGCAAACAGGGACAATTTGACTTCCTCTTTTCCTAATTGAATACCCTTTATTTCCTTCTCCTGCCTAATTGCCCTGGCCAGAACTTCCAACACTATGTTGAATAGGAGTGGTGAGAGAGGGCATCCCTGTCTTGTGCCAGTTTTCAAAGGGAATGCTTCCAGTTTTTGCCCATTCAGTATGATATTGGCTGTGGGTTTGTCATAGATAGCTCTTATTATTTTGAGATATGTCCCATCAACACCTAATTTCTTGAGAGTTTTTAGCATGAAGGGTTGTTGAAGTTTGTCAAAGGCCTGTTCTGCATCTATTGAGATAATCATGTGGTTTTTGTTTTTGTTTCTGTTTATATGCTGGATTACATTTATTGATTTGCGTATATTGAACCAGCCTTGCATCCCAGGGATGAAGCTCACTTGATCATGGTGGATAAGCTTTTGGATGTGCTGCTGGATTTGGTTTGCCAGTATTATCTTGAGGATTTTTGCATCAATGTTCATCAAGGATATTGGTCTAAAATTCTCTTTTTTGGTTGTGTCTCTGCCCGGCTTTGGTATCAGGATGATGCTGGCCTCCTGAAATGAGTTAGGGAGGATTCCCTCTTTTTCTATTGATTGGAATAGTTTCAGAAGGAATGGTACCACTTCCTCCTTGTACCTCTGGTAGAATTCGGCTGTGAATCCATCTGGTCCTGGACTCTTTTTGGTTGGTAAGCTACTGATTATTGCCACAATTTCAGATCCTGTTATTGGTCTATTCAGAGATTCAACTTCTTCCTGGTTTAGTCTTGGGAGAGTGTATGTGTTGAGGAATTTATCCATTTCTTCTAGATTTTCTAATTTATTTGCATAGAGGTGTTTATAGTATTCTCTGATGGTAGTTTATATTTCTGTGGGATCGGTGGTGGTATCCCCTTTATCATTTTTTATTGCATCTATTTGATTCTTCTCTCTTTTTTTCTTTATTAGTCTTGCTAGCAGTCTATCAATTTTGTTGATCCTTTCAAAAAACCAGCTCCTGGATTCATTAATTTTTTGAAGGGTTTTTGTGTCTCTATTTCCTTCACTTCTGCTCTGATTTTAGTTATTTCTTGCCTTCTGCTAGCTTTTGAATGTGTTTGCTCTTGCTTTTCTAGTTCTTTTAATTGTGATGTTAGGGTGTCAATTTTGGATCTTTCCTGCTTTCTCTTGTGGGCATTTAGTGCTATAAATTTCCCTCTACACACTGCTTTGAATGTGTCCCAGAGATTCTGGCATGTTGTGTCTTTGTTCTCATTGGTTTCAAAGAACATCTGTATTTCTGCCTTCATTTTGTTATGCACCCAGTAGTCATTCAGGAGCAGGTTGTTCAGTTTCCATGTAGTTGAGTGGTTTTGAGTGAGTTTCTTAATCCTGAGTTCTAGTTTCATTGCACTGGGTCTCAGAGACAGTTTGTTATAATTTCTGTTCTTTTACATTTGCTGAGGAGAGCTTTACTTCCAACTATGTGGTCAATTTTGGAATAGGTGTGGTGTGGTGCTGAAAAAAATGTATATTCTGTTGATTTGGGGTGGAGAGTTCTGTAGATGTCTATTAGGTCCGCTTGGTGCAGAGCTGAGTTCAATTCCTGGATATCCTTGTTAACTTTCTGTCTCGTTGATCTGTCTAATGTTGACAGTGGGGTGTTAAAGTCTCCCATTATTATTGTGTGGGAGTCTTAATCTTTTTGTAGGTCGCTAAGGACTTGCTTTATGAATCTGGGTGCTCCTGTATTGGGTGCATATATATTTCGGATAGTTAGCTCTTCTTGTTGAATTGATCCCTTTACCATTATGTAATGGCCTTCTTTGTCTCTTTTGATCTTTGTTGGTTTAAAGTCTGTTTTATCAGAGACTAGGATTGCAACCCCTGCCTTTTTTTGTTTTCCATTTGCTTGGTAGATCTTCCTCCATCCTTTTATTTTGAGCCTATGTGTGTCTCTGCACCTGAGATGGGTTTCCTGAATACAGCACACTGACGGGTCTTGACTCTTTATCCAATTTGCCAGTCTGTGTCTTTTAATTGGAGCATTTAGTCCATTTACATTTAAAGTTATTATTGTTATGTGTGAATTTGATCCTGTCATTATGATGTTAGCTGGTTATTTTGCACGTTAGTTCATGCAGTTTCTTCCTAGTCTCAATGGTCTTTACATTTTGGCATGATTTTGCAGCAGCTGGTACCGGTTGTTCCTTTCCATGTTTAGAGCTTCCTTCAGGAGCTCTTTTAGGGCAGGCCTGGTGGTGACAAAATCTCTCAGCATTTGCTTCTCTGTAAAGTATTTTATTTCTCCTTCACTTATGAACCTTAGTTTGGCTGGATATGAAATTCTGGGTTGAAAATTCTTTTCTTTAAGAATTCTGAATATTGGTCCCCACTCTCCTTTGGCTTGTAGAGTTTCTGCTGAGAAATCAGTTGTTAGTCTGATGGGCTTCCCTTTGTGGGTAACCCGACCTTTGTCTCTGGCTGCCCTTAACATTTTTTCCTTCATTTCAACTTTGGTGAATCTGACAATTATGTGTCTTGGAGTTGCTCTTCTCGAGGAGTATCTTTGTGGCGTTCTCTGTACTTCCTGAATCTGAATGTTGGCCTGCCTTGCTAGATTGGGGAAGTTCTCCTGGATAATATCTTGCAGAGTGTTTTCCAGCTTGGTTCCATTCTCCCCGTCACTTTCAGGTACACCAATCAGACGCAGATTTGGTCTTTTCCCATAGTCCCATATTTCTTGGAGGCTTTGTTCATTTCTTTTTATTCTTTTTTCTCTAAACTTCCCTTCTCACTTCATTTCATTCATTTCATCTTCCATCACTGATACCCTTTCTTCCAGTTGATCGCATCAGCTCCTGAGGCTTCTGCATTCTTCACATATTTCTGGAGCCTTGGCTTTCAGCTCCATCAGCTCTTTAAGCACTTCTCTGTATTGGTTATTCTAGTTATACATTCGTCTAAATTTTTTGCAAAGTTTTCAACTTCTTTGCCTTTGGTTTGAATTTCCTCCTGTAGCTCAGAATAGTTTGATCGTCTGAAGCCTTCTTCTCTCAACTCGTCAAAGTCATTCTCCGTCCAGCTTTGTTCCATTTCTGGTGAGGAACTGCGTTCCTTTGGAGGAGGAGAGGCACTCTGCTTTTTAGAGTTTCCAGTTTTTCTGCTCTGTTTTTTCCCCATCTTTGTGGTTTTATCTACTTTTGGTCTTTGATGATGGTGATGTACAGATGGGTTTTTGGTGTGGATATCCTTTCTGTTTGTTAGTTTTCCTTCTAACAGACAGGACCCTCAGCTGCAGGTCTGTTGCAGTTTGCTAGAGGTCCACTCCGGACCCTGTTTTCCTGGGTATCAGCAGCGGTGTCTGCAGAACTGCGGATTTTTGTGATCGCGAATGCTGCTGTCTGATCATTCCTCTGGAAGTTTTGTCTCAGAGGAGTACCTGGCCATGTGAGGTATCAGTTTGCCCCTACTAGGGGGTGCCTCCCAGTTAGGCTGCTCGGGGGTCACAGGTCAGGGACCCACTTGAGGAGGCAGTCTGCAAGTTCTCAGATCTCCAGCTGCGTGCTGGGAGAACCACTTCTCTCCTCAAATCTGTCAGACAGGGACATTTAAGTCTGCAGAGGTTACGGCTGTCTTTTTGTTTGTCTGTGTCCTGCCTCCAGAGGTAGAGACTACAGAGGCAGGCAGGCCTCCTTGAGCTGTGGTGGGCTCCACCCAGTTCAAGCTTCGCAGCTGCTTTGTTTACCTAAGCAAGCCTGGGCAATGGCGGGTGCCCCTACCCCAGCCTCGCTGCTGCCTTGCAGTTTGATCTCAGACTGCTGTGCTAGCAATCAGGGAGACTCCGTGGGTGTAGGACCCTCCGAGCCAGGTGGGGGATATAATCTCCTGGTGCTCCTTTTCCTAAGCCCATCAGAAAAGCGCAGTATTCAGGTGGGAGTGGCCCGATTTTCCAGGTGCAGTCTGTCACCCCTTTCCTTGACCAGGAAAGGGAACTCCCTGACCCCTTGCACTTCCCAAGTGAGGCAATGCCTCACCCTGCTTCAGCTGGCACACGGTGTGCTGCACCCACTGTCCTGCACCCACTGCCTGGCACTCCCTAGTGAGATGAACCCGGTACCTCAGATGGAAATGCAGAAGTCACCCGTCTTGTGCGTCGCTCATGCTGGGAGCTGTAGACCCGAGCTGTTCCTATTTGGCCATCTTGGCTCTTCCCCTTATTTCAAGATTTAGAGCTCCTTTTATGATTTCTTGTAGGGCTGGTCTGGTAGTGACAAATTGTCTCAGCATTTGTTTGTCTAAAAATAACTTTATTTCTCCTTCATTTCTGAAATTTAGTTTTGCTGGATACAAAACTCTTGGCTGACAGTTATTCTGTTAATGGAGGCCAAATATAGGACCTCAGTTCCTTCAGGCTTATAAGGTTTTTGCTTAAGTTTTTTTTATGTAAGTCCTCCATATGCTTCTAATGCACACTAAATTAAGAACCACTGAATTAGAGAACTGGCTGCAGGACTCTATGAGCCTTAGAAATCGATTCGAAGTCTCAAGTTAATCAACTCTGGGTACTCCTTTTTATTGTCAGTATAATTTTCCTATGGGACAAATATAACCACAAGCAGTCCCACTTCCTCTTCTGATCCATATCTTTTTATTTTAAAGGATAATTTTTTTCCAAAACTGCAGTAACAACTGACAAACACTCCCCTTACCAACAAGTCAAGCTATCGCCTAGGCACATATTTGCTCATTCACCCATTCATTCATTTACTCAATCATTCACTAATGTGTTCCACAAGTATTCAAGAACCTCTTATGTGTCATTCACTGGTGCTGCATACTAAGGATACATAAAAAGTGGATAATGACAACCACAAATAGGAAATTGCACAGTATATGAGACTGAACTTTGACATGTGGCAGCAGTGCTGACCACTTCAAAGGCTATGACTTGATACAAGTAATGGCCATATCAGTTCAAATGACTGAGGTAATTAAACCCAATAAGAAGTACACTATTCTTTTGTTTTATTACTGGTTGTTTATCACCAACAAAGGTGTGCCTGGAGCATGAGATAAAACCATTCAAGGAATAAAGTTCAATTCTATAGTCCCCCATTGAAGTGTCGGCTAGAAGTTATTGCCAGATGCCTTTTTCAACATCTCCCATGTGACATAAATAAATACTACTTTAATAGTTGGTTTCACATCATCAAAGTTTATTTACTATAAGGCTAACACCTGAAAAGAGCTCATTTTTTAAAAACACTCCAGGAAAGACCTTTCAAAGTGTGGTGATATACAGCCCTGCTTCTAGAATGTTAGCTCCACAAAGGTAGGAATCTTATTGTTTATTTTGTGCCCTGATATATTTCAAGTACTAAGAATGGTGCTCAGTACATAATAGGTGCTCAACAAATATTTGTTGTAAGTTATTCTGGCCTGTCCTAATTTCATATAACTTCATATAGCTATTATTTTCATAATAAAGAAGATTTGTCAAATTTGTCAACTATATGTTACTTTGTGTATCTTGGTCAGGCTTTTCACATATGTAAATTTCTCCCCTCAGAAGCCATGGTTAAAACATTTAACCATGTTTTGGTTTAGGAAATATGATCATCTCACTTAAAGCACATACCCGCTGAATTTTGACAAATAAGCCAAGAATTAGGTTTGGAAAAATAAACCCCTTAGAAGCACCCAAGCCAGATACAGTTTCTGGTCCCTAGAAAGTCTTTCCAACTGGAGAACTCTTATTTTCTCGCTGCAAGCCAGGAAGGTTGAGAACACAAGGCTTGCTCTTCCTGGCTGGCCTCTGGAAAAACCAGGCTGACGTAAGAAAGCCTCTGGTGCCTGTTTCCTTTTCCAAAGCTGTTGCTATGGATACCCAAGGCTAGAAAGCAATGGGCAAAATATCAGATGCCTAGGGTCAAGTTACCAGACTCAGGCCAATGATGGGCTAAGGCAGGAGCAGCGGGGAAAAACAAAGATTTTCCCTCATATACTAGCCAGAGAGGAGGTCCTTGGCCAGAGCTGGTGGTCCTTGGGAAGGTCTTGACAAGAGGTCTGTGTGTGTGTGTCTTTGAGTGTGTGTGTGTGTGTGTGTGTGTGTGTGTGTTACCTAAGCCTCTTCCTGGTGTTAAGATGCCAAAGACTGAAATTCAACATCAGAAGATTACAGGATGCACATGAACTCAGAGTACAGATAAGATGGTGTTTCTGGGTAAAAAAGTATATATTACCCAGGCTACAGTGAGGCCTATCCCCCAGTTGAGAAAAAGGCTTCCCCGATGCCTGAAATGTACATTCCTCCTAGAATCTGTATCTGAGTCCCTCTGACCCTGGCCACTCTAGGCTTTCCTTGCTGACTCTTCTTTTTCTGTTTCTCTATTCTTCCCTTCAATTAATAACACTCATTATACTACAGTCAGTCTTTTCTCCTAAATTCTAGCTTGACTCACAATGTTCTGTCTCTAATTATTATGTGTTGGTTGTATGAGTCAATATTTTGACAGTCTAAGGATTCCTTACCATTGCCTCTATGTGTGGGCTTCAACACAATTCCATATTTTAAATTGTTTGTTAAGCCTCAGAGTGTAATATATACAGAGAGAGTGAGGTAACACCTCTTAGATCTGAAGATAGGTGTCCTTGTTGTCTTGGTGTATACCTTACCCTACAGAAGAGAGGAGTGTGTGCAGGGTGAGACAAGGAAAGAGAGAGAATGAAAAAGAGAAAGAAAAGGGAGAAAGACACTTGATTATCTGTGATCTGGGCTACAGGTGAAATAAAAACACAAATGTTAACTAATGAACTCAGAGAGACTAACACTACTGTCCATGCTTTGTGTAGCTAACTCTTCCAGCTACTTCCAGACTGTTTCACAAAGTGTGTGTACTAAAGCAGGCTCCACTGGGTCCTCTTTGCTCATTCTGATGCTCCCCTTCCTAGATCATCAGGGTGATGATTATCTCATGTATCTGTGGTTGCTGTATCTCATTCATGCTCATAGGATTTTGTTGAAGTTGTGTATCATATGGCTATAGGATTCCTTATGAAAGGTTCATGGCTATGATATATTTTCTTCTATTTGTTTTCCCAGCATGGAATGGAAACCGAACAAATGATTCTTTCTGAAATTGTTTTCTCTCCTAGGGACTCAGTGGAATTACCACACAAAGCCAAGAACTCCTCTGCTAGAAATCACAGAGGAGACTGGTTATTGCCTGGCTACGAAGAGAAGCTTCACAAAGGCTGATGCCACAGAGGATGGGTAGGAGTCAAGGAATCCTTTGTTTTGTACCTTATGCCCAGGGGAAAAAAGCTCCTTCTTTATTCATTGTTGATTCAACTCACCAAGCATTGAATGAACACTAGTAGGTACTGTAGAAGATAAAATAATAAATAAGGAAGGTCCCTGCCCTCAAAGAGTTGAAGTCTAGAAAGGAAGATGTATATTTGAAAGAGATGGGAGGACAAGACATTGGTTTAAAAATGACACAAAATACTGGAACAATAAAGAAGAGATAGCAATTACACTGATTAAAATTGCTTTGTGATAACATCCACCAGGCCAACAGACTGGCACCATTTTTTTCCAAATGATGTTGACACACATCCTGCCTGCTCCAATTAAAGTCCCCAGCTTGACATCCTCTTTGGTAGAAACACCAATGTGTTCTGCCAGTATGAACAGAGAAAGCAGAAACTCAGGAAGGAAAAAAGGAGGAGATGCTAGGAAGAATAGGAGATATAAGTCAGTGTTTGATTTATCAAAACAGGAATATTCACACCTCATTTTAATCCAAAAAGCACTACTTAGAAAAAAGAATTGAGTTGGAAAGGATCTGAGACCTCATCTCATTTCACTCAACCACCATGTAATGCTTCAGTTCCCTTTATAATATCCCTGTCAAACAGATGCCCCTAAGGGAGATATCAAAAAGTTTTATGAAAGAAAATGGCATTTCAACCAGGTCCTCAAAATATTGAATTTTGATGTTTGAAAACAAAAAGGATGAGGAAATGACAAAAATCTAAAGGCTCTAAAAATGTACGGGTCATTTACAGGGGATAAATGTCACAAGCTGGATGGAATATACAAGGGTATAAGGGAAGGAGTGGATAATGAGGACAGAAATCACAGGAGGAGTTAGATCATGAAGACTTTTGAATCTGGCCAAGTAATCTGGACTTGATTCAACAAATAATAGGTAGCTACTGACAATTTCAGAGCAGGAAGAAGACATGATTAAATGTGGATATAGGAAGATGAATCTGGCAGTGAAGTGGAGAACAGATTGTAGAACAGAAAGACTGAAGGCAGAAACATAGGCTAGTAGACACTTGTAGTAGCCCAGGAAATGGGTATGAACTCTGGTTGTGGGAGAAAAGTGCAAATAGAAAAAGGACAGAATTTCGTAACTATTCCAGAGGTGAGACTTGGTGACTAGTGGTGGGTGTGTGGGTAAGACAGAGTGTGTGTATGTGTGTTCCATTTAAAGATTTTCAAAGATCTAGAAAATTATTTCCTTTGATCCTTCCAATAACTTTATTAAGTCGGTAAGACAAGTATTTTGTCTCCATTCTCTAGATAAGGAAGTTCAACCAGACATTCAAACTTATGAGAGGTAAGTGTCATATTGAATAAAATTAGCCTCAGGATCTGGGCAGGTACCGAGACCTCCCAACAACCAAAGCAACATCTTTCCCTTTATACTCACAATCCTACACTTGTACTCCAGGCTTTGTGAAACATTCTACCAATAAGGAAACTTCTCTTTTCTCTTATAAATGATCTATTTTCAAAAAATATTTGCTCTTCTTTGCTGAGTATAAATTGCTCATGACAGACTAACCAACTTTCATTAGTTTGTCTCCTTATTTTAAAAACAGCTCCAGCTCAAGGTAATCTATTCCCCGTAGCACTTTAATCTCACCTGAGCCATATTGTTCTGTGGATGAAACACACCAAGGGAAGAGCATCATTCACTCAGCCTTCCCACAAAATAAGTGGCCGCTGGTACAATACAGTAAGGGAAGCCTGCACTGCTATAAGAACAACACCTCTTTTTTCAACTATTGATTTAGAGGATTTCTGCTACAAATAAAATGAAAACCTAAGAAAAAGTCCCATCTGGGGCTATTAAAATTGCTACCAAATGAAAAGCAATGTGACGACTTACTGCCAAACCTGGCCTGACCCTGAGAACAGACACAAATGAACACAGAGGAACTTTCTAGATCTGTTCCAAGCAGAAGACAGGAACAGTTCCTGGTCTCGGGGAAAAATGAAGGGCAGGTAGCAAGAGCTCAAAAAGAGAGTTCTAAAGAAGGTACCACGAGGCCTTCAAGGAAGTTCTAAAGGCCACATTGTAGGAAGAGAACTGAGACTGAAAACCATATGGTTCAGTCAGGCATGAAAATGCAGTAACATGGGTAATGGATAAGGCCATTTGTTCAGTAATTTTTCTTCTTGTAAACAGGTGTTTGGCCTCTTGATGCTCAGAGGAACCACTCAGGTCTGTGCCATTCATGGATTTTCTCCTATAATCAAAAACTTTTCCTGTCTCTGACTATATGCCTTACAAATAGGTTCCAGTTGAGAAATTTGGGAGTAAAGGTATCAACCACCCTTGAAATGAGGTATTTATAAAGTGCAGCTGGGACACACTACATCTCAGTGAACCCTGGGCATAAGTAGCCCAGTGCTGTGGAGAAGGAAGAAGGGAATTATATCCCAGTATCAGCTACCAACTCACAATGAGAACTTCCTGTTAGCTTCCTTCCCTTGGTAATTCAAGTACAGACACGCCCCAAAGCAAGTGTTATCTGCTGGGCTCCTGGGTCCTGCTCAAAACCCAGAGCAGGGTGGTGAAAAAAGTGGTAAATCTGGGCAGTAAGGTAATAGGATTATGCCTTTCAAACCCACCTGGGCATTTTACTATGTTTCTTACATCAGATGTATCCCTGCCCTAAGTTTACCAAAAGGAGCCCCTTCAGGCCACTAATAGGAGGTAATATGACATAATAAAAAGATCGCTGAACATGAGAGTCCAAGTACATAGATTTAAGTCTTGACTCTACTACTTACCCCATATCCCTCCCAAAGCAACTCACTTCACCCTCTGAGCCTCAGTCCCTCATCTATAAAAAAGGAGTATTTATTCCTACCTTTTTTATAGTTAAGTATGGTGTAGATCTGTGGTTTGCAAACTTTTATTTAGCAGAATAATCATTTTTCCTAAATGAAATCCTGGTTGAAACCCTAATACCAGAAAAGCAGGCAGAAATGGAACTACTCCGTTGAAAGCAACCCTGGAGAGTCTAGGAGCTCACCTGTTGGGCCTCCACTGCCCCTGCTGGCACTTGTAGGAAGTGATTTGAAGATCACCTGACCAACAGAAAAGAACTCCCCAAAGGGAGGAGTCAAGAAATGAAATATCTCATTTCAGTTTACCAATAGCTAGCTGAAATCCCATCTTTAATACCATACCTCATCAGGTTAAGGCCTTGATACCTGGTGAAATCCTACCCCACTCTTCTTTCTCAAAAGAGTGATATTCAGAATTCTTGTCAGTGATTCATATCTCAATGTGAATAAAGAATATCAAAAGGGACTCTGTTTCCTTTTAACAAAAAGAAATCTATTTTTGTTTTTATTGATCATAAAAGTAAAGCATACTTGTTACATAAAAACATAAACACCACGGAATATAAAATATAAAATAAACCTTTTCCTTAGAAACCCCATTCACACCAGCCACCAGATAAATAGTTGATATTTGGTAAAACGCTTTCCAGATTTCTATGAGTACAACATATACATACACATGAACCTGGGGGTAGGGGTGGATATACATGCTTTTTAAAAAACAAGTATATTATCCTACATCCTACATCCTATATCCTATCCTGTCTTTTTAAACAGCTGCTTAGCTTCTGTTTGCACCTTATATAAGTTATCTAACCTCTTATTGCTAGGTCTTTAGGTGCTTCTACCTTTTTTGCTATTGAAAACACCGCTACAAACACAGATCTCACAATCTCTTGATTGATTGTGGGAGTAGAGAACATGAGGGCCCTAGTTGCTCGTGGTGAAAATACCAACACCAAAGTCGCAAAGGATAGAGAGTCTGGGGCACCAGAATTCAGCCTTGGCCTCCTTCTTCATTTTGTTGGTGGTTCTAAATGATTTCTTTTATCCCTGCAAAAGCCTGAGGCAGATTTTTTTCCATTTATTACCACACTGCTTAGAAATTCAGCAATGGTTTTTCCACTTTACTCAAAAGTTAGTGTTGACTATATAAAGTCCATCTCAGGCTTTCCGGATAACCAAACAAAACCAAATGGCCTGGTGATAATAATTACTCTTCAAGCCTCAAGCCCATGTGTCAACCCACCTATGAACTAGACCTCTCAATGACGTTGACTTTCTGACCCCTCTGGCCTCCCACTCATCAATAGGAAGTGGTGCATGACCGGTCTTGAAATTTCTTCATGGTGAAAGACTGAAACAGCCATAAACCTCACCTTAATTTAGTCACTGATTACACTAACCATGCACATTCATTTTAGAGCTTCCTAGCTTATGGGTTTTCACTCCATTTACTTTCCAAAGCCCATCCTGTTGAATATGAAATTTTTTGCCAGCCAAGACTTCTCAGTGACTGACGTCAATACCAATTTGGAAGCAAAACTAAAGAAACACAGATCCTGTGCCAGCACTGTGGATTGAGTGAAAAACTACTTTCTATCTTTCCCAGAGGATCATCTGGTCAGATGCTTCTTGAATTCTTACCAAGAAGTGTTATTATACATTTTTAAATGCATTTCTACAAAATGCTTTTTGTTCTGTGCACTTCTGTACCTTAGCTTTGCAAAAAGAGTGGTTTCTCTGACCTATCAATAAGCATCAAAGTGCCTAGCATGACCAAGACAGCTACTAGATGTTGAGGTTGCACAGATGAACAAAATAGAATTCTTTTTTTTTTTTTTTGTCATTTTATTTTATTTTATTTTATTTTTTTTTTTAATTTTTTTTTTTATTATACTCTAAGTTTTAGGGTACATGTGCACATTGTGCAGGTTAGTTACATATGTATACATGTGCCATGCTGATGCGCTGCACCCACTAACTCGTCATCTAGCATTAGGTATATCTCCCAATGCTATCCCTCCCCCCTCCCCCGACCCCACCACAGTCCCTAGAGTGTGATATTCCCCTTCCTGTGTCCAAGTGATCTCATTGTTCAATTCCCACCTATGAGTGAGAATATGCGGTGTTTGGTTTTTTGTTCTTGCGATAGTTTACTGAGAATGATGGTTTCCAATTTCATCCATGTCCCTACAAAGGACATGAACTCATCATTTTTTATGGCTGCATAGTATTCCATGGTGTAGAATTCTTATTCTCGGGGAGCTTAGACTTCATTGTAGGTATATAAGTAAGACCTGCACATACCATTGACACAAAGATGAGGAAGAAGTATATTTCATGCACTTTAAGAGAAAAATGGTGGAGTAAGCAAGAAATTTCTTGTTATAGTCAATGACGAAGACTTTTATGGAAGAGAAGGTATTTGACATGGCCCTGAAATGATGAGCAGAAATTTAAATTGGAGTGGAGGGTTTCTCAAACTGAGATGCCTTCAGAAGCCCAGTGGAGAACATAAATCAGTATAAATGGGCTACATGTAAGAAAATAGCAAATGGGGCCAGGGGCGGTGGCTCACGCCTGTAATCCCAGCACTTTGTGAGGCCAAGGCGAGTGGACCAGGAGGTCAGGAGATCGAGACCATCCTGGCTAACACGGTGAAACCCCGTCTCTACTAAAAATACAAAAAAATTAGCCGGGCATGATGGCGGGTGCCTGTAGTCCCAGCTACTCGGGAGGCTGAGGCAGAAGAATGGCGTGAACTCAGGAGGCAGAGCTTGCAGTGAGCCGAGATCGCACCACTGCACTCCAGCCTGGGAGACAGAGTGAGACTCCATCTCAAAAAAAAATAAATAAATAAAATAGCAAATGGTGGGTTATATGATGAATGAGTCAAACATGCCCCCATTTAAAAGCAGGTAATAAACATTTACAGACCAGACAACACATATGGTGAGCAGACTTTAGATGTAAAAATGCTAATCTACGTCAATGGAAGAAGGGAATGGGGAAATTTCAGGAAGAGGCAATGACAAAATCAAAAGTAGAGAGTTTGGAATGAGTAAATTATGCTCAAATAAAAGAAACTAGTTTGATTAGAGCACACTGGAAAAGGGGAAAGGTGGGGTGGCAGGTGGGGAAAGAGAAAAGAGAAAGGAAAATGAAAAGACAAAAAGATATTTATTTAATTTCAAATATCACCTACATTGTCCTATTTGATCTCTGCAACTGCCTTTTTAAAGTAGCTATTATCCTTTCTCCATTGTTTGTTCTTGCCATCTGTGTCAAAAAACAGTTGGTTGTAAGTGCTTGAGTGTATTTCTCTGTTCTCTACTCTGTTCCATTGGTCTATGTGTCTATTTTTTATGCCCATGCCATGCTATTTTGATTACTATAGTATTGTAGCATATTTTGAAGTCAGGTACTGTGATGTCTCCAGCTTTGATTCTTTTTGCTCAGAAATGCTTTGACTATTGTGGGTCTTTTGTGGTTCCATATGAATTTTAGAATTGTCCTATTTCTGTGAAGAATGTCATTGGTATTTTGATAAGGATTTCACTGAATCTGTAGATCATTGCAGATAGTATGAACATTTTAACAATATTAATTCTTCCAATCCATGAGCATGGACTATCTTTCCATTTATTTGTGTCTTCTTTAATTTCTTTCTTCAGTGTTTTGTCATTTTCAATGTAGAGATCTTTTACCTCCTTGGTTAAATTTATTTCTAAGTATTTTATTTTTTGGCTATTCTAAATGTGATTGTTGATTTCATTTTCAGATAATTCACAAACAGTGTATGGAGACACTCCTGACATTTGTATGTTGATTTTGTGTCCTGCAACTTTACTGAATGTATAGGTTCTGACAGTTTTTTAATGGAGTCTGGGGTTTTATATATATAAGACTATGTGGTCTGCAGACAGGGACAACTTAACTTCCTTCTTCCCAATTTAGATGTCTTTTATTTCTTTCTCTTGTATAGTTGCTCTTCAATAAATGGTGCTGGAAAAAGTGGATATCCACATGCAAAACAATGAAGCTAGACCCCTATCTCTCACCATATTAAAAAATGCAAAATGGATCAAAGACTTAAACGTATAACCCAAAACTATGAATGTACTAAAATAAAAGAGAGTAAACACTTCAGGACACTTATCTGGGCAATGATTTTTTGGTAAGATCCTAAAAGCACAGGCAACAAAAGCAAAAATCGACAAATGGGATTATATCAAACTAAAAAGCTCTGTACAGCATAGGAGACAGACAACAGAGTAAAAATACAACCTACAAAATGGGAGAAAATATTTGAAAACTATGCATTCGACAAAGGATTAATGTCCAAAATATGTAAGAAACTCAAACAACTTAATAGCAAAAAATAATCTCATTAAAAAGTGGGCAAAAGAGCTGAATAGACATTTCTCAAAAGAGAAGATACAAATGTCCAACAAATATATGAAAAAATACTCAACATCACTAATCATCAGAGAAATGTAAATCAATACAATAATGAAATACGAGATATCACCTCACCCCAATTAGAATGGCTATTATCAAAAAGACAAGAAATAACAAATGCTGGCATGTATGTGGAGAAAGGGGAACTATTGGTGGGAAGGTAAAGTAGTACAACCATTATGGAAAACAGTATGGAGGTTTCTCAAAAAATTAGAAATAAAACTACCATATGATCCAGCAATTCCACTACTAAGTATATATCCAAAGGAAATGAAATCAGGATGTTCTAGAGATATCTGTACTCCTATGCTTATTGTAGCACTATTCACAATAGACAAGATATGGAATCAACCTAAATGTCCATCAACAGATGAATGGATACAGAAAATGCTGTATATAGCATGTTCTCACTCATAGGTGGGAATTGAACAGTGAGAACACTTGGACACAGGGTAGGGAACATCACACACCCCGGGACCTGTCATGGGATGGGGGGAGGGGGGAGGGATAGCATTAGGAGATATACCTAATGTAAATGAGGAGTTAATGCATGCAGCACATCAACATGGCACATGTATACATATGTAACAAACCTGCACGTTGTGCACATATACCCTAGAACTTAAAGTATAATAAAAAAGATTAGAAAAAAAATAAAAAATAAATAAAAGGCTTCACTCTACCTGAAGATGAAAAACAGAAAAAAGAAAATGCAGTATATATACACAATGGAATACTATTCATCCATAAGAATGAATAAAATCCTATCATTTGCAACAACATAGATAAGCCTGAGAACATTAAGTGAAATAAGACAAGCACATAAACGCAAATACTGCATGTTCTCACTCACATATGAAATCTAAATTTATCACACAGATGCAGAGTAGATAGTGGTTACCAGAGGCTGGGGTGGGGGTAGAAGGAGGATGATATAGGGAGAGATTGCTCAACAGGTACAAAGTTACAATTAGGAGGAATAAATTCTGGTATTCTATTGCACAGTAGGGTGACTATGATTAACAACATCATTTTGTATATTTCAAAATAAGTAGAAGAGAGGATTTTGAATGTTCTTACCACAAAGAAATAATAAATGTATGGTGGTGAATATGCCAAATACCCTGATTTGATTTTTATATGATGTATGTATGTATCAAAACATCACACTGTACCCCAGAGATATGTACAATTATTTTGTGCCAATTAAAAACAATTTTAAAATTTAGACCAAAAAAGTAGGTATTATCAGTCCATTTTAAAGAAAAATAAAACTCAGATACAAAGAAGCAGCTAAATTTCTCAAAGCCATACAGGTAAGAGTGGGAGAGGTAGGGAACAAACCAAACCTTCTCTATTTCTAAAATGTATTTCCATTATATCACACTGAGTGGAATGAGCAAAGGTAAAGGTGAAAATTTAGGATTAGGTTGTGAAGGTCCTTACAAAAAGCAATTAGCTCAATGAAACAGGTAGTTGTATAAAATCAGATAAAACATTTAAAATGTTATAGTTTTCACAGGTTCCATATGTTATGAATATGGAACTTGTAACCATTTCATATGAAAGACATGCTATTCTTACACTGCCTTTCTCTGCCCTTTTCCTACTTGTATCTCATTCCATTTTGCTAACTCTAAATCAAGCAGTGCTGTGTTAATAATCAGATCCTGGCACCAAACTACTTGCATTTGAATTGAATCCTAACTCTGCCACTACTGAGCAAATTATTTAACCTCTCTGTGCTTTGATTTCCTTGTCTATAAAATGGGGATAATAACAGTCTACGTCAGAGCATTGTTGTGCAATGCTTGGCATAGAGTAAGTGCTCAATACATGTTAGCTTTTCATTTTATCTGAACCAAAAAGAAAACCCAGTTACAACTAATAGGAACAAGAGGAGTCTTAATGATAGTCCCAAATTGAGTTTTGAAAAGTAACAAATTTGGATATGAAGTTAGACAAAGAGCTGGATTGGCACTGTGGCAAGGACTGTTTATTGCTTCCCAACATTTATTCTCCCTTCTTCTTTAACAAAGAGAACCTTGAGTTTTAGTTGAGAATATTCAACACAGAAAATACTGGATTTTCTAGCCTCCCTTTCAGCTAGATGAAGCTATGCTCCTAAATTCAAAAAGGTGAGATGCAAGCAAAAATATTACATGGAACTTCTGGGAAAGACTTCTTCAAAGAGGGCACACTCTTTCTTCTTTCTTCCTCCTTTCTGCTGCCTGGAAAGTAGATGTGATAGCAGGAACTCTAGCAGCCAACTTGGACTCTGGGGGTGGGTTCTCCAAGATGATTCCAAAGTACACAAAGGTTTAACAATTTTTTATATCTAATGTGAGTTTTACCTTCCATAAAAATATAAATTTATTAAGACTGTTCAATTCATAATATAAATGATTTTATCAGATCCTTTTTTAGGAAAAAGGTTACAAGATATAAACAGTATCAGGATAACAAATATATCAACCTGTTTTCCTTTCACTTATCATGATATGTAATTATCCATCTTTTCCACTAGAATGTAAGCTTCATATTATCTAGTAAAAACTCATAATATTTAATATGGGCCAGTCAATCATATATAGTCCTCATAACAATCCTATGAGGGAATCTACCATTATTCCTATTCTACAGATGCAGAAACTAGGGCACAGAGAGGTCAAATGACTTGTCTACTATCAAACAGCTGGGAAGAAGCAGTGCCAGGATTCAAACCTAGGCAATGTGATTGCAGAGTTAGCATTCTAACTGCTACTCTATGTGGCCGCTTTGTGAAAATTGAGATCTAGCATTGTTCACACCTTGTGTCCTCCATGCCTAGTACAATGTTTGAAAAATAATCAAAGCTCAGTAAACACATTAAGTAAATGAAGATTTGTTCATTACACATTATATGAAGTTATCGAAATACCACATGTTCCCTGAAAATATGTACATCTATTATGTATCAATAACATTTTTAAATAAGCAAAAAAAAAAACAGAATGAATGAGGGAGAAGGACAGAAAAATGGACAGACACTGGATTTTATTTCACATAATTCATAATCTTGGCTCCAGGCAACATTCTTCCAGAAATAATAAAGAATATAGAAACTTACAATACTGTGGGGATCTAGATCCTACAGACAAGGCTCTGAGAGCTTTCTCCCCTGAGGTTGTATTGGCTTTAGCCAAGAACTCTTGTTAGACAAACAAGATGAAGTTTCCCTGATAAGACTAATTTTGAGAAATAGAGTTTATAAGGGCCATTTCTATCTAGACCTCAGCAGTAAAAGTTATCCTCCCAACCTGATCTCTGAGACAGTTTTCAGGAGGTGGGCATAGACTCTGGTTGGCCAGGATCACCAATTAAACCAGAAATGTAAAGAACACTGCTAGCCGCTTCCAACTCTCTTGCTCTGCACCAAACAGAATGATTTAATCCAGAATCAATGCAGTGACAGCTACAATCAGGGAAGCAATAGCAACTTCAGATCACCAGAGTTGGAAAGGGGAGCAAATAGAGGCCTGTCATTGTCTCAGATCCCAACTTGAACTTCAGTGAGCCAGGGACATTCAATTCCTGGTTTTAAAAGAAGGAAACAAATGCCCCTAGGAGAAAAGAGAGTTTACTTTGTCAAAGGCGGGAGGAACCTTGTTTTACATTCAGGGTTCAAACTATATTAACATTTTCAAATACTCCTGTTGTTTTCCAAGAACACATTCAGAACATTTATATAAGATCCAACTGTGCATTTAAGCCTCTTATGTACTCAGGGCTCTCCTAGTGGTCTCTCTGAGGCTGAAAGAGATCTTTCCATAATATTAATGGCTTCTCCTTAATGAAGCACTTTCCCTGGATTTGCAGATAAGAAAAACTCTTCCTCTACACCCCCATGAATTTTGGCCACTTTGTTCCCTCTTAGTCTAGGAAAAGTTTGTAAATTTATTTATTTATTTATTTATTTGGAGCCTCGTCCTGTCATCCAGGCTGGAGTGCAGTGGCATGATCTCTGCTCACTGCAACATCTGCCTCCCAGGTTCAAGCAATTATCCTGCCTCAGCTCCCAAGTAGCTGGGATTACAGGCATGTGCCACCAAGCCCAGCTAATTTTTGTATTTTTAGTAGAGATGGAGTTTTGTCATGTTGGCCAGGCTGGTTTTGAACCCCTGGCCTCAAGTGATCCGCCCACCTCGGCCTCCTAAAGTGCTGGGATTACAGGCATGAGCCATCTTGCCCGGCCAAGAGTTTGTAAGATTCTTAAAAGTTACACACTTCAGAAGTTTCATGTATGAAATAGGAACATTAAGCAAAGGTACTGATTACATTAGCCACATGCCATGCCCTTTATGGTTATATGAATCATAATTCAATATGGCACTTTACTTCCATTATCTTCCCATAAACACATTATTCTCACAATGTGCAGTTCCTATAGCAAAGTGGCTACAGTACCGGATATGGTAAACAAGGAAAACTCAGCAGACTTTACTGGGGTTAAAACTGGTCTTACCCTATTTGAAGTCTCAGCAACTGACAACTATGGAATCTTAAAAGAAGCAAAATGTTCAATAGATGAAAGGCAGCATCCTCTGTCACATATAATAGAAGCTTTAACGAATGTTTCCATATTGATGAAATTTGAACATTCCTGTTTTCCTAAGAAGAATGGTGTCTATAGTTTCTGCAACAGTTTGGACTTCAAGTATTCCATTCCATTGTCTCCTTAAGTACACTGAAATTGGTCAGACCATGTGTACTCACTTGCAATTGGAAAACATGGTCACCACATTCATAGTTTGAACTATGCTAGACAGCTGTTACACAAGCTCTGAAGAAAGATGAGAGCAGAGCAAAAACATGCCACAAATTTGTCACTCAGGAGCTGATAAAATGCTGAACTGGGGTTTTTCACATGGCTGCAAATATGCAGACAATACTCAGCACAATAAAGAATTTAGATATAGCTTCTCTGTGTAAACCAAACCTTAACAAAAAGAGGACATTCACCTTCCTCAGAAGGAAGGGAAGTTTGTGAGTTCTACTTCGAGCTCTGTGATCTCAAGTATTTCTCCTTCGTCAAGCCCTTAATACTGTTTCAATATGGCCTTGGCATAAGGTTCATCAAGAAGGTACCTCCGTATTCAAAGGGATAGACAAATCATTTAGAAATGCACCATGTTGATATGAAGCAGAGCTTAGTTGTTTCTTCATACAAAACATCTGTATAACAAACAAGGATTTTTTTACAGACCTAAAACAACTAGTAAAATGAGAGGTTTACATTAGAGTGGCTGTGAACTAAAGGAAAACCAAGCAAGCTCTATCAATAATACAAGAAGTGAGAGGAACAAGAGGGAAGAATACAGTAAAAACAAGAACGGTCAAGGGAAAAAAAAAAGAGTCATAAACAGAAAGCAAATTCTGTAAACTTAAATAATAAATTGAAATTAAAATTTTAGAAGATTGCTGATCTATATTAAAGATCCCTATTCTACTTTGAAATTTAAATTATCAAGTGGAGCTAAAAAGAAGAAAAAATCTACAATGGAGCTTTTAATAAAAGTAAGTGAACAATAATACAATGCCTTTCATGACCACTTGTATACCTTTCTACCGTTCTTAATTTCATTTCCTTTCTTAGTTCACCAAGGAAAACATCTCTAGCTCACCTGTGGAACCTAACATAGATTCCTCTTCCTGGCACCGTGCCCCACAAATGTGGCTACACTATGATCTCAAACATGTGACATTCAATGCTTACCTCAGAATTTTCTGGAAAAATTCATGGGAGAGCCTGAAGGGGTGATATGAGCAACTCCTGTCATGCTTTGAAACACCCTCTCTCCTGCCAGTTGAACTTGCTTACTGACTGAAGTATCCACACCAGTCTCTGGATTCTGTAGAACTAATGAAGTTATTCCCACAGGTAACCATTTTGAACAAATTGCTTAAGTCTAAAACAATACAAATATCCTATACACACATCTCATACTTCACTTAAATGTTCCCGATCAGTGATAGAAAAGTTATCTCAGTAAAACCTAAGACTCTTCAATGCCTTTGATTTCTGAGTTAGGAAGGGCACTCCACCCAGCAGACCATACAGCAACTTTGGTGATCTTGAAGTTCCAGAGTCCTCCATCTGTAACATCATTACAGCTATTTTGTTTGTTAATGAGCACCTACAGATTAATAATACATTTAAGAGGGTTTGAGGCCCTATAACCCTTTGTGGTCCAAAATGCCCTCATCAACACAGTGTAGTAGAATGAGCATGTACTGAGAGTCATATGGGCCCAGGTTTAAATCCCAATTTTGTTACTTCTTACCTATAGGATCTGGTCAAGTCACTCAAACTGAGACTCAATTTTTCTTCATATAAAATGAAGCTAATGAAGATAATAATGACCATATATCCATAAATGAATATAATGTAGGTAAAGCACATGGCACCATCCCTAGCACATAGAACAAGCGGCCACTCCAGAAATTCTGGAAAGAGGGTCTCAAGGGTAACAGTCTGGTTGAAAGGGGCTGGTGAGGGAGACTCAATACATTTAGTTCTCATGAAAGCCCATACCATTGTAAAGATCAGAGATTCAGTGTCTTTCAAGGCTGGAATCCCTTTAGGAACTAATACCAGTACAATCTTCTTTAATCCTGACAGTTCCACTCTTTTGAACACAAAATCCGGTTTTATCTAGCTGGGATCAACCCACTGAGGCACATGCAAGAATAAACCAGTCTATTACCATAAAGTAACTGAGTGGTTGTAACAAAATCACATGTGCAACATGTATGTTCAGGTCCATAAATTCAAGCTATTTTTCTTTTGTAAATGATAAACAGAATTAGCAGCTCTCATCAGACTTCTGCATAAAACATAAAGGAGCTAAATTGACCTGAACTCAGAATGCTTGAAAACAATTAACAACAACTGCAAAGCCTTGTAGACCTACTGTTTAGCTCAGCCTGTATCTAGGAACCTTGATAAAAAGATATATACCAGAACATACCAGAGACTCAGTCCTGAGGTTCTGCAAGGATCTTGCTTCCTTGGCTGTTACCAGCTAACAGAACATGGAGGGCAATTCTTGGCATTCAGAGAATAATTCCATTTCACTTCCATCTTTGATCCAAGCTTTACTAATCCTACATATTGCCTCATTCAATGAATATTTACTAAACAGTGAAATGTAATAAATATGGGGTTTGGAGCCTAATGAACCCAGGTTAAAGTCTACTTTGCCACATACCAGTTGCTACATACCAACTTAGAAGGGAAAGGACAAGCTGTGTTATTGAAACCAAATAAAAAACATGTGTCATGCCTGTAATCCCAGCACTTTGGGAAGCCAAGGCAGGTGGATTGCTTGAGTCCAGGAGTTTAAGACTAGCCTGGGTGGCATGGTGAAACCCCGTCTCGACAAAAAATACAAAAATTAGCTGGACATGGTGGCATGCACCTGTAGTCCCAGCTATTCAGGAGGCTGAGGTGGGACAACCACTTAAGCCCAAGAGGCAGAGGTTGCAGTGAGCTAAGATTGCACCACTGCATTACAGCCTGGGTGACAGAGTGAGACCCCACCTCAAAAAAAAAAAGTTAAAAAAAATAGGCATACATGTGCCTTGATTTCTTCATTTAAAATGAGAATAATTGCTTCAGAGGGTTTTCATTTAGCACAGTGCCTGATATAGAATAAACACTCAAGAAATAAAAATAGATGTTTATCAAGTGCCCACTGCCAGACACTATTTTAAATGCTTTATATGCAAAAATATACTAATGGCAGATAATTATTTAAACTCTATAATGATCAAATGAGAGCTAACACTTATTGAATGCTTAGTACCCTGTACTGTTTTAAGAACATATATTGACTCTGTAAATCCTCACAACAACCCTATGAAGTGATACTATGATTCTGATCTTATAGATGAGTAAGTTGAGGACCAGTTGAATAAATTGGTCCAGGATCCTGCAACTGGAAAGTGGCATAGCTGGATTCAAAACAAGATAATCTGACTTTAGAGCCCATGAGAGCTTCTGAGCAGCTGTTATCCTGCCCTAAGTTACACTTCATCCCCTTCACCCTTCATTCAAAGCTGCCCCATTGCAGCATAGGGTGAAAGAACTATAATGCAGCCCACGTTATAACAACACATATGATTTATTAGCTTTTATTGTGTGCTAGAGGGTGTTTTGCATATGTTATATTGAATCCTTACATTGATAACATAACATGATTACTATTAACATTGTTTATAGATTAGAATAATGAGACTGCCCAAATTTACAGCTATGTTTCCTGCTCTCTGCAAACCCCAATTCCTCTGACTCCAAGCTACATGTTCTTTGTAATTCTTCATGCTGATTCCTCACTGCCCATATCCATTCCCCATTCTCTACCTCTAGAATGGACATGGATCATTAACTAGAAGAGAATGGATTTTTTTAATTCCTTTTTTAAAATGTCTTAATATAGTTTCTGCACAAGAAATTTCTAGCCATTGCATGCAAAATTATGATTGTATCTTATCTGTATCTGAAAAGTATCTTTTTAATGCTTTGTTTTAATGAGGAGTGGCACTCAGCTATCAGGATACAAGAATCTTGAAAGGTTCTTTGCCAATCTGGGCATCAAGGTACCTTTTTAGACTCCAATTAAAAAATCATCATTTCTCCCTTTTCAGCCTCATAAATTATGACTTAGTATATCTGCCCCATACTTGTACAATGTTCATCCTCTTCCCAGGACAGAGCAGGGGCTCCAAAGCATAAGAGATGCGGGTATGATGTATATGTGAGTTGGGGAGATGTCTTTATATTTCTGAGGACTGAAAGTTCCTTGAAATACAGAAAGAAACTGGAAAAATATCTCTTTGATTAGTAGTTCATCCAACTGGCTAAAAATTATGCAGAGAAGCTGGATAGCCTAAATGTAAAGCCTTGAAAAGAATTAAGCTTTAGGAGGTATTAAAACCAAATGAAGTTTTTTTCTGAATTCAACAGAGAAACTATACATTTTATGTCTTAATAAGTGTAGTTCATCTAGTTGATTTTTTCATCTCTAGGATCTGAAAGTTCAGTGTCAAAAATCTTCAAAGGAACCTTGTTATACCCAGCTGTCATCACTTATAGTACTGAAGCAAGTGCAAGACCAGGCCTCAGGAATTCCAAGTTCTAATTCAGGCCTCGTTGCTGGCTCACCAAATGGCCATTGGAAGTAGTGTAAGATCCTTGCCCCAGTTTGTCAGTGTTAGCAACGGTCAGACCACAGGTGGGATCAGTGAAGAAAATCTGCCTGTTCTCATGCTAAAAGGGAATAGACAGAATAACTACTAAAAATGTGCCCAATGTGAAGTCCAGATTGAGTCCTCTCCCTGTGAATGACAAAAGGACCCCTTCTCCTTACTCCTGCCATCAGGAAAAGTGGGCTTGGTTAATCAAGAACATGAGTCTTGGGCAAGAAGTTTGAAAAAGGAGAATGTAGGTTATTTTTCTTCTTTGATAATCTTACCAAAAAGTAGAAGTCATATGCCTAAGTGTTACAGGTAATTCAGTTTACTTTTCTAGATGTATCTGTAGACACCCACGAGATACAGAATAAAGGCTCTATGCCGAGGCTATGGGCCCCACAGAACCCACTCTAATCCATGCTTTTCTTCAACATCTCTGATTTCTTCAAAATCAACTCAAAATTTGTTGCATGAATGAATAAGATTGTCCTACTTACCCTACTTAGAAAAGGGACTTCATGAGGCAAATGAATGACTGACAAATCTTTAGAAACTCACTAATTCTCTTAAATTTGGGGGAATAAAACAGTTATCGATTATCACAGGATATACTGCTAACAAGCACTTACCTTAAAATCAAAAGATGTAGGTGTGAGATTTTGCTTTGACAACTTACTCATAGCAGTTGGGCAAGTCACAACCCCTTGTAGTTGCAGCTTGCTGATGAGCAAAAATGGAAATAATACTTGTGTCATTTATTTGGTATTACTGTTGCTCATTTATTCATTTACTTCTTTAACAATAATTGAATGCTGACCATATCCCAAATACTGTGCTAAACACAGTGGCAGATGCAGAGGAATAATACAAGCCCTGGACTTTTTTTCCTTATGCAGTTTTTGAAACATACGAATAAACAGAAATACTATGATGATGGTGACAGTTGATCTTTCTCGATAAAATATACCCTATTTATTGAGCACTATGTTATACCAGGGACTATGCTCTTCATAAATTACAACATTCTTTAGGAATTGGCATTATCATATTCATTTTACTTATGCGATAACTACTTGTCATAGATCACACAGCTTGTAAATGGCAGAACTGGAATGATTTCAACCCAGGACTATCCAAACTCTAAACCTGTACTCTTTCCACCTTATCATACTGTCCACAGATGTAGCTATTAGCTGGATGTTGTTTTTTTTCTTTCTCATCAAATGTACCAATGACTCACAAATGTATTTTTTTGCCCAATCCACCTTCTGAAAAAGACAACAAATCTTTCTTAACTCAGCCTTGGCACAATGCAATCTGTCTGAATTGTCCTCTAAAAATGAAGGACAGTGTGTGTACATATAACATATCTTCCAAGAGTGAAGATGACTAAAATAGTCCTAGGCAAAAAAAAAAAAAAAATAGCACATCAGCCTAATCAGGGCCAGATAAAATGACACATACAGCATTTATTACCAACAGAGAGAGACTGGATGTGCACGGTCTCTGGGACTCAACGTCAGGCCAATTATGGATCGAAGGGACAAATGTGCTTCCATTTTTCCTTCAGGTATTATCATAATCATTTAGCATCATTGGTGGCATGGCAGTCAGTCATAATGTAGTGTGAGCAGCAGTTTTCTGGATCACTTGTGTCGATGCAGGTCATTGGACAAAGAAACCTTAAAATTCTTCCTCACACAAGTCACAGTGGCTACCATGAGGTCCAAGTTTAAACATTAACTCTTCATTGATTCACATTCAGACAGCAGTAATATTTCCACTGGAACAACTATGTAGCTGAAGGAAACAGATACTGTATAAATGATTAAGAGACTGTGCTCATTGACTGTTAATTGTGTTACGTCAGGGCTGAAAGGAAACTTAGAGGGCATCTGACCTAACTCTCACTTTACAGGTGAGAAAACTGGAGCTCAGGAAAGGGAAGTGACTTCCTCATGTCACACAGTCATTGCTTACTACTTACTGCAAAAAAAAAAAAATCAAGTTGGGGGAAGGGATAGGATATTAGAGGTGAACTAAATTATTCATCCTTCTCAGTCAAAAATCAAAAAATGAAAGAGGGACACAAAAGTTATTTTGTGTTATAGATGTAACCAATAGAAGAACTGAAAACAAAATCAGTCCTGATAAGACCACAACCTACCTATGTGACCTTGTGTAAACTCCCTGAATTTCAGTTTGGTCACCTATAAAATAGGGATGCTGCCACTGGTGCAGCTCATTTCTTAAAGTTCTTATTAAAAAGTCAGGAAACAACAGGTGCTGGAGAGGATGTGAAGAAATAGGAACACTTTTACACTGTTGGTGGGACTGTAAACTAGTTCAACCATTGGGGAAGTCAGTGTGGCGATTCCTCAGGGATCTAGAACTACAAATACCATTTGACCCAGCCATCCCATTACTGGGTATATACCCAAAGGATTATAAATCATGCTGCTATAAAGACACATGCACACGTTATGTTTATTGAGGCACTATTCACAATAGCAAAGACTTGGAACCAACCCAAATGTCCAACAACGATAGACTGGCTTAAGAAAATGTGGCACATATACACCATGGAATACTATGCAGCCGTAAAAAAGGATGAGTTCATGTCCTTTGTTGGGACATGGATGAAGCTAGAAACCATCATTCTCAGCAAACTATCACAAGGACAAAAAACCAAACACCGCATGTTCTCACTCACAGGTGGGAATTGAACAATGAGAACACTTGGACACAGGGTGGGGAACATCACACACCAGGGCCTGTTGTGGGGTCGGGGGAGTGGGGAGGGATAGCATTAGGAGATACACCTAATGTAAATGACGAGTTAATGGGTGCAGCACACCAACATGGCACATGTATACATATGTAACAAACCTGCACATTGTGCACAAGTACCCGAGAACTTAAAGTATAATAAATATATATATATAAAAAGAAAAGTGTTTGTAAAAAATATAAATAAATAAAAATAAAAAAAGAAAAACAAACAAGATGGTAGATGTAGGAAATGGTGATAATTCTCAAGTCAAATCCAGGGATGGTTTCTTAGCAATTTTTTCCAGTTCATTTATATAATAGGGCTCCTGTAACAGCCCATCAATACCTACACTGACTTCCTTACCCAGGATGTCACCCAATACTACAGTCTACCCTTTCAAGCCTTGAGTTAGGAAAAATTCAATCTTTGAGATATAAGTACAATTAGAAAATATCCAATTGAATGGTCTTTCTCTCCCTTCCCCCCAATCAAGATTTCCATCTGTTACTGGGTTTTCTCTTTGGAGTCTGAGATTCCTTATTCTAGAATTTACTCACTGTAAATGGAAAAAAAAAACTACCCTGTTTTTTTGCCCTTGTCAAAGAGGTGCTGAGTAGAGTGGCAAGCAATATAGGAGGACAAATACCATTCTCTCTAAAGGGTTTTAAAGCCAAGTTGGCAGAGCATCAGAGGCTGGTTGGGACCACAAATAGTCATCCCAGAACATGTTGTGGCACTAAGAAACAGTAGAAAAACATCATATGTGCTCCTCTTTCCAGTATTTATTATTCATAAGCCTGAAAGGAAACTGCTGATCTACCATTCTAATCTCCAGAGATATGTTATATGTACACACATACAGGCAAACATGCACAACATAAACACATAGGCTCACACTCTCCCTTGCTTTGTGGGAAAAAATTTCCAGCCCTTTGAAAGGCTTTTTGGCATTAACAGATTGTATAGTCCCACTAAACAGAAAATAAGACTTACATTTTTATAGAGAAATGCACGCTTGTTCCAATTTTCCTATCTAAATTATCCAAGCCCTTACAGCGGTTCACTTAAAGATCATTACTCATGTTACTGAGTGGGCTACAGAGTGATCATGCCTACGCAAGGTATTCTTCTGGGTGTTGGAAAAATGACAGGAGTTAGCTATATCATCGAATGTGCTGAGATTAAGTCAAACTTGCAAAGTTCCATCAGCACCATATAAGGCAAGATATTTATCCTGCAACTGAAGTCAGGAAGGGAAAGGGGGAAGGATGGAGGTATTAAGTGATTTATGAGTGAAAATGTTCAAATTGGCAGACAGGCTAAAGGTCCCACAGGAAGTTGCTAGCAATTAACAATATAGCCATTTGAAGCTGTGCTTAACATAAACCACTAATGCAAAATTAGAAGAGTTTACTAAAAAAAAAAAAAAGATCTGTCAAATTTTCCCAGTTAATTTTGTTTGGCACATAAAGACTGCTTTCCATGTGTCAATTTTAACTATGATCAAACAAGCATCATTTTAAAAGAAACTGAAGAAATTATCACCTGAACATGGAGGAGAGATTACTTTTTTAACAGTGAAACAAATCTCAGTTAAAAGCTTTTTGTTTCTTATAATACTCCCCCAAGAAATGTCTCAGGTCTTAATTAGCTTTCCTCCTTATCGCTGGTAAAATGGGCTTACAAAGTTTTCCATGTCATTTCCACGAAGGAATTTGAAAAATATGTGATCACCCACCTGGAAGATGTGTAAGTTCATTTCCAACCTATTTGAGACTTATTGCTGGCAATGTCTGTACATTTGTACATTTTGACTAATGATTATATAAAATTATGGGAGATGCTGTTAGGAAAATTGGTTCCATTAAATTAGGGAGGAATATTCTTCCAATATTTCTGCAGTCAGAGTTCTAATATCACAATAATTTACAAAATGAATTTCAAGTCATTTTGATGAAAATTATACTTTAAACTAGAATTATATACTCATTCAGAATTTGATGCTATTCCATTGTGTTCTTAAAAGCACAACGATTAGTTAATTGAAATTTATTTTAAATACATTTGATACACACAAAGGATCAGTTTTTGAAGAGTTAGTTCCCTAAGTAAAGGTATCTACAAGCATCCTGTGTTGCTTCTCACTCTTCATTAGTCAACTCCAACTTTTTGATATTTTGGCTAATATATTCCTTGCCAAACTCAAATAAGTATGGTATTGCTACTACTAATGAGACTTTGTTGCCAGTCTTTCCACATTTAAGATTATTAGCTCCAGTTGAAATGCACATTTTAAAGTGTGACTCATTTCATTCTTCTAATATGTTTACCTCACATTTCACAGAGTTCTTGTTTGAGTCTGGAGCTAAAATCTGAAAGGAGGTTAATTGGCCTCAATGCCCTCTTGCTCTAAAAGCAAACCAGGCTTCCCATGGGTAGAATATTAGGTTTGGTGATCATCAAGTGACTTCTTTTTATCATGCAGGAAGTTTCTGTTGTTGTTATTATAGTTTTTAAAATGTATATTCCAAGAATATCCACAAGAGAGAAAAGAGAAAACAGGAATTTATAAAGCTCGCCTCTCATATTCTGTATGATCTTAACCCACCTCTCAGTGCTGCAATTGTTCCTTTACCCCACAGCAACATAAGGGCATGCCCCAGGCTGGTAGAACCCAGCTGCTTCTCTGTGGCCTGGTTCTGGCTGTGTAGCTGCCCCAACCCAGAGACAGTATGAACCTTGATCATTGGTGTGGAATATAACACAAGAGACAATATATCAATATGATTCCCATTGAATTCAGGGTTGTGGTTTCTGTAACATAACTAAGGCAGGCCTATTTCAAATATTTCAGTCCCACTTTACAGTAAGTCTACATCTCTTTTAAATAGATCACCCTACACATAGCTACATCAAGACAGTCTCATAGCTTCAAGTTGTATCATTTGGCTAATCCTTCCATTAATATAATTTTTAAGTAGCCACTTTTTAAATACAGAGGAAAAATAATTTTTCACATAATAATAATGACTATTATATGGCATGATAGTAATAATAAAAACAGCTATCATTTATCAAGTGCTTACTGGGTTTCTGGCACCATGCTATGTGCTTTGTGGACCTTATCTCATTTAATCTCTACAAAAATCCTGTGAGGTCAGTACATGATTACGTTCATATTATAAATGAGGAAGCTAAGGCTCAGAAAGCTTAACTTACCCAATATCATAGCAGCCATAAATGAGAGAAATGAGATTTGAACATAGCTTTGTTTTAAACCCACTCTCCTAACCCCCAAACTGGTGATTCTTAACCCAGTCTGCAAATTAGACTCACAATTAAATTTGTATCTTTGGAAGTGGGACCCAGACATAAGTCATTTTTAAAAGACCTCCATATGTTTCTGTATAACCAAAAGACTCTTGAAGTTCTACTGAAATCTATGCTTGAAAATATTTGTGGTAGTTTGGTTACTTTTATAAGTTAGTAATTGGCCATATTTGACCTTCAGAAAATTACTTCACCTGTTCAAGAGTCACTTTCCTTATGATGGAGGTGGATTGGGGACCTCTAAAGACCTAGTCAAGCTTAAATATCCCAAGATCTACAGTTTAAATTAAAACTTGGGAAGATCCAGTTACCTAAAAACCTAAATCTAGAAGATTTTAATGGTCATATATATGGAGCTAGAGCAGCCTAACTAAATTATTCCACCACTGAGGGCATTGCTGTTTGAGTAAACCTTTCCACTTCCCACTCTTTTGAACACGTTTTGATTTTTGCCTGCTAGACACCTTACCCTGCCCTTTGGTTCCTGATGCTGCCCAGAATTTCTTGTGGCCTTTTTTCCATGTTCACATATAAATTCTTACTCTTCAGGCATAAGCAGCCACTACTAACTGTTCTTCCTTTCATTTCTTCGACAATTTGCTGAGTGGATACTATGTGCCTGGCACTGCTCTAGGAGTAAATATATTAAATGTTAATGTAACACTGAATGCACCAGAAAAAGCCCTGCCTTCATGGAGCTTATATTCTCATGGCAGAAGACAAACAACAAATGAGTAAACAAATACAATATCTTTGGTGGTGACAAGTGCTAAGGAGAAAAAAAAAGACAAAATAAGGAGTTAGAAAGCCAAGGTGCTACTTTGGATAAGGTGTTAAGGAAAGGCCTCTCAGAGAGGGTGTTGCTTGAACAGAGGTTTGAGTGAAGGGAAGAGCAAGGCCATCTGGTGGAAGAATATTCCAAGCAGCTGGAAGAGAACATTTTTCTAGAACCACACCACAAAACTTCAGGGGACATCTCATGGGTGAGGATTGGGCCAGAGCTGAAAATGCATCTATACAATTTGGAGATCAGATGAGTTCATCTTAGCCTAACCTTGCCTTCTTAGCTCCTACCTCTGAGGCCTTTGTTATAATATGCTCATTGAAATAATCTTTGAAAGAGGTTTCTTCAGAAAAAGTAGGCTAAAAAACATAGTAATAATTCAAGGCATAATGGCTAATAACAGAGTTTACGTGTGACAGACATGGAATCTAATCTCAGCTCTACCTCCTAAGAGCTGTTTGACCTTAACCAAGATACATCAGCTTTCTGTATCTTACTTTCTTTGTCTGGAAAACAAGAAGAGTGAGTTAATAAAAATATCTTACAATATCTGATGCAAAAAAAAATGCTCAATAATATAATTATTATAATTCAAAACAGAGGAGTAGAAAGGGAACTTGTCCTAGAGGCAGGGAACCTGGGATAATGTCCCAGTTACATCACTTATTAAACACATGACCATGAAAGTCACTTAACTTCTCTGGGCCTCAGATTCTTCTTCTCAAATATGGACATGGAAATAATGATTAACACCTGATATGGTTTGGCTTTGTGTCTCCACTCAAATCTTATCTTGAATTGTAACCCCATAATTCCCACAGGTTGTGGGAGGGGCCCCATGGGAGATAATTGAATCATGGAGGCAGTTTCTCCCGTGCTGTTCTCATAATAGTGAGTGAGTTCTCACAAGATCTGATGGTTTCATAAGGGGCTTTTCCTCCTTTGCTCAGCAATTCTTCCTGCCACCATGTGAAGAAGGACGTGTTTGCTTCCCCTTCCACTATGATTGTAAGTTTCCTGAGGCCTCCCCAGCCCTGTAGAACTGTGAGTCAACTAAACCTTTTTCCTTTATAAATTACCCAGTCTTGGGTTATATACTTATGGCAGCGTGAGAATGGACCAATACAAAACCTAACCTCAAGGATTGTCACATGAAACAAAAAAATTGAAAATTGTAGAACTGTTTAAGAGTGGTTTAGGTAAAGAGTAAGCTGTGATCTGAGAATTTGTATTGGCTTAAGGCACAGGATTTTGTAACTACCGATACTTGGCAACACAAATAGCCATTCCAAAGTAATTTTTGCAAAATTACAAACACAGGCAATTTTTTTCCTCTTCAGCACTAATCCTTACATTTTCTAGTCACTCAAATCTGATAAAATTGTTTTTAACATGTTTAATTATTGGAACACAGACGTTTCTGACAGGATTCTCAGAGTTCATCCTATCCAATCTTATCTTTGTACAAATAAAAAACTTGAGACCCAGAAAGGTAAAGTGATGAGGTATAGCCACACAGTTACTTAGTAGGAGATCCACAAGCAAAATCCAGATCCCCTGACTCTCTCCAGTGTTCTCCAGAGTATAGAAATATTCTCTATTTCTTACTGTTTCTTAGCCTCAATCTCACGTAGTTTATTGTGTTTTGAAAAGGGTTTTTGCTTACAAAATGAACTCCCTAGGTATTTTTCTCAAGATATGTATGTTTCCTTATCTGATATAGCCACATGCACATATGAGAGAAGTCTACTGCAAATCTCACAATATTTCACATTCATAGTTAAAATAGTACCCAACAGTTGGACTGCATTCAATTATACATTCATTTTTGTGGGACCGTTTCAACAGACTACAATAAAATTCCTCTTATCGTCATAAAATAATATTTGAATAACAGAAAAAAAAGGAACTAGTGGTTTTATAATGTCAAAGACCATTAAAACCCACAAATGGGTTAAATCACCAGAAAAATTCTAGCATTCGCAGAAGAAAAAACAAAGCATGATAACTAGCCAAAAGCTGGCCAAATGTAAGGATTCCTATGGAGAATAACAGGAAGCACCTTATAGACAGACAAAACTTGTCATCTCACTTGACACTTTCTTCCAAAGTCCTGGAAGCACTTAAGTCACAGATATGGTTTTCCCTAATGACATCATGCTGTGGGCAAATAATGGACAGAGTTTTCACCAAAAGATCTCCAAATAGCTTGCAACATAATGCACTCAATAGAGACTGTACTATAACGCCTAGATTCAACCTCCTATGAAGTTCCGGACATCATCTGAAAGGCCCGGTAAAGATGAAGAGGTCAGTGGAGTATGAGAATGTTCTGCAGCAGGACTAACAGAAATTATCACAGAAACAATTCCTTTTCTTTCCTGTAGATTCAGGACTGGAATAATTGTTCAAGAGACTGGCGTTCTCCAGCCACCTAACTAAATTAAATTTTAGAAATGTTTCCTGCTGAGGCAGCACCTCTTTTTGTAGTGCCAAATTTAAAAAAAAGACCCTAGCTCATATGGTGCTTCCTTCCTGCCCCACCTCACTGGTCAACAGGTCTCGTATGCCATTCAAAGACAATGGTCTCCTCTCCTGAGCTAAAAATATCACATGCCATTTCAGATGCCAATGCTATATAATAATGCTGATCACAGTGATAATAGATCTCATGTTTATTGAACACTTCACTTTGTGCAAAGTAACTCCTACCAGGTCATTTAATCTCATAGCATTCAGAGGTAGATACTATTATATCTCATTTTTGCCAGTAATGAAATTGAGGCTCAAAAAGGTGAAGCAAGTTGAGTGAGGTTATGGACTAGTGAGTGATAAGTAGGAATTAGGTCCCAGCGAATATGACTGCACACCCTACCTTCTTAACTACTCATGCTTGTTTTAGAGGTTAAAACCCTATATGATCTAAAAGGCAAGAAGATAATTCAAGCTTAGGAGCAAGGGCATAAAACAAAGAATACTAATAAGATTCTACACACTGTCCAGGAAACCTCCCCTTCTGATGGTTCTTGCAAAACGCACACCTCTTTCAACAGATTGTCTCTCTCCCTCCCACCACCCCCCCACACATACAAATATATATATAGAGAGAGAGGGGCACAGCATTGTAGGTATACTAAATACCACAGAATTGTACACTTTAAATAAGGCTTTTATGTGGATTTCACCTAAAAAAAAACTGTATTTGAGAAAGATGTTTTTATTTATGGAAAACTTCTATCCCCCCCACCCCCCAAAATTGAAATGTTTTTCCTAGCATTTTGAGAAAATCAAATATAAAAGAGAGAGAGAAATTCTACTTGAAGTTCATTATTTCCTGATATCACACGGAGAAGCTCCGTTACTGCTTCAGTAAAGCTATTTCTATTTTTCAGAAACTATAGTATCAGAATTGGAAAAGACTATGGAGGTCATCTGGGAAACCTCCTTCCCAAAGCAGGAATCGTCCCTATAGTGTCCTTGACACATAGTCATCCAGCTTCTGTTTAACTCATTCAGTGACTCAGAACTCACTACTTGACAGTTGGCCATTCTATTTGTAAATAGATCCAATTAGTAGAAAGGTCTTGCTTAGGCCACATTAACTCTACTGGCCTGGTGCTTCTATACATTTTTCCTTCTTTTTTTTTTTTTTTTTTTGAGACAGAGTCTTGCTCTATCGCCCAGGATGGAGTGCAGTGGTGCCATCTCGGCTCACTGCAAGCTCCGCCTCCCGGGTTCACGTCATTTTCCTGCCTCAGCCTCCGGAATAGCTGGGGCTGCAGGTGCCCACCACCACACCCGGCTAATTTTTTGTATTTTTAGTAGAGACGGGGTTTAGCCAGGATGGTCTCAATCTCCTGACCTTGTGATCCATCCACCTAGGCCTCCCAAAGTGCTGGGACTACAGGTGTGAGCCACCGCGCCCAGCCACATTTTTCCTTCTTTAACCTTCTAGAGCTGTTTTGTCCAACTCAGCAGACAGCAGTCAAATATGGCTATCTGAATCTAAAACCAGTACTATTTTTTTAAATTATAGATTAATAAATTTAAATCTCATTTCCTCAGATGAAGTAGTCATATGTCAAGTTCTCAGTAGCCACTTGTGGCTAGTGGCTGCCATATTGAATGGTATAACTACAGAACATTTCCATCAGCTCAGAAAGTTTTATTGGAAAGCACTGCTTATTAGTAAAACAGAATATTGACTACTTCTTTCACATGAAAAACTATCCAAATGTTCCCCCTCAGTCATTTTTATCCAGATTAAACATCCGTAGTTCTTTCAACATTATGGAATGGTATACAGGCTCTTCCTGGCTTACAATGGCTCAATTTAAGATTTTTCAATTTTATTATAGTGTGAAAGCAATACACATTCAGTGCAGGGTTACATCCGGATGAATGTAACTCTGAATCGTAAGTCATTACTTGTGATATTTTCAACTTACCATAGGTTTATTGGGACATAACCCCATAAGTCAAGGAGCATCTGTACTAGTTTTCTATTGCATAAAAATTACTACCAATTTAGCAGCCTAAAACAACACTTATTTATTACCTCACAGTTCTAAGGCTGGAAGTCAATGAGCTCAACTGTGTTCTGTGTTGAGTCTCACAAGGCCGAAATCAAGATGTTGACCAGGTTAGGCTCTGGGGTACAGGTCCGTTAAGTCGTTGGAAAAATTCTGTTTTGTTCAGCTGGAGGACTGAGCTCCCCATTTCCTTTCTGGCTGTCAGCCAGGGGTGCTCTCAGCTTCTAGTCACTCCTTCCATGTGGACTCCTCTATCCCCTCATCTTCAAAGTCAGCAAGAGTGCATCAAATCCTTCACATGCTTCCAATCCCTCTGACTTCCTTTTATACTACCAGCTGAAGAAAATGCTCTGTTTTTAAAGGCCTCATATAATTAGATTGGTCCCATCTGGATAATCACCCTATCTTAAGGTAACCTGTAGAATCCCTTTGTAGATATGTCATAGTATTCACAATCTGGGGATCAAGGTGGGAAATCTTATGGAACCATCATAAAATTCAGCCAACCACAAATGTAACTATCTAATCATGGCTATGATGCTTATATTTTCCAGAGAGCTATTGGGCCTAGGTCAGTTCTTCCTTTGGGTTCTACAAAACGGGTGTTACCTCAGCTGAAAATATTTCTAAAATTTAATTCCAACCAAAATTCTAGTAAGGTGCATAAGTGCAGTTTGAGGCCTCCTAAAGATAAGCAATTTGCAACAGGATTAATACCCAGAACTAAAGATCTTTTTCCACCACCTCACTATTTAAAGGAGCTAGAAGATCACAGTTATTCATTTAATGATATTCACATGTGCTCAACTAGTATTCAATGAGAAAACCTGAATCCAAGGAGAATTTAAATGGGATTGGTTTTGTGTGTCTAAAACAAAGTGTATTAAGAGAAAACAAAGCAGATTTTAATAATTACAAATATAATACAGATACTCAAGGAAAATTATTAGAGGCAGTGGAGTTAGATAAGGGTTAGCAAAATATTACATTTAATGGTAATATAAATTTTTGACTTTTCTATTACCAGCACAGTATTACCCTTGTTAACCCTTTCTAAATGCCAAACTTCACAAAAACACTTCCCTCTATTGTGGCTTCTTGCAGAAGACAATTATTATGACTTGGGAAACCTTAGAAGTAGTGGGATATTCCAAAGAGTTTGAATATGTTCAAGTGGTGAGTCAATGACAACATTCTTTCAGCCAGAAATAACTATTGGGTGAATATCCAAAACATTACCAAGCATTCTCCTTTGTAAAAAAAAAGTCAAAAGTCATATCTACCTTGCCTACCTCAAGTGCACAGAACAGATACGAAGAAACAAAGTAATAATGAATCAAATGTGCTTTGAAAGGTTAAAAGTGCTATATGAGTAAAGGGGTGATAATAATAATGGTGACGATTACTATTACTATTTTTACTATTATTACAGTACACAAAACTGAGGGGGAACCTACTTCACTGGATTCCTGTAACTTCAGGCAAAGCCACAGGAACATATCACTCTGCAAATTCCTCATCTTGAAAATGGAGACAATGTATATATAAACAATTCTGCAATAGACTATGACTTATATTTCCTGGACAACAGTGTTGTTCTGATTGAAAAATAAAAAAGCGTTTATAGGCACTGCGAGTGGATAATACTCAGACAAAAGAGGGATCCTCCATTACTATTTCCCACAGTGTATGCTGACCTCATATCCTGCTCCCAACATCATCCCTTATCCCCAATATCCAATAGGATGTCATACCTGCTAACAAGGTAACACTTATAGGACTGGTCCTGGCTATTTTGTAAAGGGATTTCACAAGTCACCATTATCTCCAGAATTATTGCCAATCCTACTACCTCCAAAGAAGTTGACCCTCCTTTGACATCCCTGTTTCAACGTTTCCCAAAGTTTATTTTCCTCAACATGTACAGTTGAGGTAGAAGTAATGCCATAAAATTTCAAAACTTTAAAGCATTGTTTAAAAATTGAGTTTAATTCCATCTTTTCTAAATGAGGAAATTGAAGTGAAAACAGGTTAGGGTCATAGAACTCAGTCCCATGCTCACACTCATTGTTTCACAATCATCCCTCAGCCTGGCCTAGGATTGTCATTACCCGTATATGTAAAAAACCTGCAAAATCTGACTCGCTTATAAGGCCAAAAAAGAATCATGGATCAGACTCATGCCCACTAGTAAATGCTGAGTTTAGCTCCAGTATGGCTGGTTTATTTCATGTTGGACAGTTAAGATTGTACATATAAACTTCAGATCATTTTTAACTTCTTATTCGAAAATAATTTTGGACTTACAGAAAAGGTGCAAAAACAGTCCAGAAAGTTCACATATACTCTTTACCTAGCTTCCTTTAATGTTAACAGCTTGTATAACCTTCATAAAATTATCAAAACCAGAAAATTACATTGGCTTAATACTATTAACTAAACTACAGACCTTATTGGAATTTCATCAGGTTTCTTGCACGAATGTCCCTGATCTGTTCTAATCCAGGTCCCCTTTTGTAATAGTTGTTGTATCTCTTTGGTCTCTTCCAGTCTGTGATGGTACTTTAGTCTTTGTCTTTCATTGCCTGGACACTATTGATGATATTAGTCAGTTATCTTGTTGAATGTTTCTCAATTATTTTAGATCATTATAGAGAAGTCCAAATCTCATGGTTCAATAAAGTGGAGCTCTCACTTTGCATTTTCATCAGTTTCACCTCTACTGAAGTAGTGCCTGGGTTTGTTTTTCACTTATGACCATTCCCTAGATGAATGAAATGAAATTTATCATCACTCATTTGCCAAAATTAGACTTGCTATTCTTCAGGTGCCTGTGGAGAATCACTTTGTGATGCATCATGAGTAATGAGAAATTTGTCAGGACATATGATATGAAGTTTATTAATATGTTAATCATGAGTCTGTGTTGTTATCTTGCCTAGTTTAATTATGATAGAGTACAGTGGTAAAGCTGAACAACTGGGCAACAGTGGTGCAGTTAAAAGCCATGAAAAGATGATTTGTATGTTACATGAAAAGCTCTGGAAATGCAAACCACAGGAGGTCCAAGCAATGTTAAGCCAGCCATATCCCAGAGCACCAAAACCTTCCAAGTTCTGGGGGATGTTGGGCATGATGGACAGCAATAAACATTCCACACCACACCCCATCCTTTGATACATCATGTTTCCATCATAAAATAGAGGATATGTGTCTATGGAAGGTAGCTGAGAAGAAGTCTGCCTGGGTAAGTGATCTTAAGCAAATCTCTTAATATTTATGAACTTGAGTTCCCTTATCTGTGACATGGGGATAACAGAGCTAGCTACGTTTGCCTCACAGGTCTGCTGGCAATGAGGATGCGGGAGGGGAGACAAATGAGAGGATATAAAGGAAAAGACACTAGATAACACAAAGAGCTAGTGTGGCAGAGTCATGTAAGGGATAATTAGATAGCATTATCTGTGGCACCAAAATGCTGCTCTTCTCACAAAACCTTTTACTAATACAACCCCATGGTTGATATTTTGACAATCTTGTTGACAATAAACTCTTGCCTTATCGTCAGGCTTCTCATGCTTACTCCCCTGTTTCCCCAGCTCTGTGCATGAGCTCCATGGCAGCACCTTTTTTCAGGTGTGTCTTCCCTTTGACACTGAAAACTTCTTGGGAGGAATGGGCAAGGCTACCATTGGGACATACATGGATCAATAAATGTTGGTCAAATGAGTTAATAAATGAAGAATCTGTTGTCTTATTTGATCCTCCCAATAACCCTGAAAAGCACGCAGGACAGGTATTATTTCCACTTTAATGAAGAAAATGAGACTTACAGTTTAAAAGACCTGCCTGAGGTCACATGACTTAAGTGATTTCCGCAGTGCTAAACCAGGGAAAATAAAGAGAATGACCTGCATTAAATGCCAAATTTGTTCCATGACTTATGCTAACTAAGCCAGTAATAGCACACTTAAATGCCTTTAAGGATAATCTTAATGTGGGCTATCAGAGAGTGTTAGACAATAGGAGCGGTAGGGGCAGTGGCAAAGTGAAGTGTGTGCATGGTACAGCACAAACAAAGTATGCCTGCAGGTCACATTCAGCCTGAGGAACTGGCAGGTCATGACGCTTATGGGCATCTTCACACCCAGGATCTCATTTTACCCTTATCACAATCTGTAATGTCTGCATTATCATTTCTCTTTTACAGATGAGGTCACTGGGGTTTAGAAATGCTAAGTGCCTGGGCACTGCTGTGTGGGAGGATGGGCCCGGGCATTGCTGTGTGGATGGGAGGGTAGATGCGAGGGCAGATAGGCCTAGGGAACCATGTCCTGCAGATGCGGAATATCTGACTTTTATAACTGCTGACAAGTAGAGGAAAAGTCAAAGAGAGAGACTCAGGAAGGCTGCAGCTATGGATAAATGTTACTGTGTTTTGCCAAGTTTCCAGTATAAATCCTCTAACTTTTAGCATATTTGAGCAGAAAAATATCTTTAAGACCCTCCAGTTCAGTGTTCTTCAAACTACCAGTCATCACTCTCAGAGTTGTAAAATCAGTTTCACTGGGTAACAGCAAGCAATTAAAATAACAAAAAAGAATAGCGCAAAAAAATATCAGGGTCCCTCACCCATGAGTAGTGCTGAATGTTATTTAGTGAAAATTGTAGTCACAATTTTTTTAAAAAGATGGAAATGGAAAGTCATTTCTCCATTTTACTCTCTTCACAGATGAAGTAACTGAGTGGGAAAGTGACCTGTCCAAGTGGAGGGAAAAGACAACGTCAGAATGTGATTGGTTAAAGGAGAATTCAACTAGGCCCCTTACCCTAGGTGTATCTGAGAGTAGAGAAATGAAGACAAAACATTCTGGAAGAGCCATTTCATAGAAGGCAGAATACAGCAGAGGTTGCTGGGGGATGGAGAGAGATTTATTATGATACATGATCATGAGCCTCAAGGTTCTAAATAGATAACGGACCAACTGCTTTTATTGTGTGGGTTTTCTTTCTTTCCTATTTCAAAGCTGGCACTCTTCAGATCTTTCAAATTTTTAAGCGATATTACAGGACCAACTTCTTTGTGCCATCTTGCTCTCCTTCTGCTTTTATTTTTCTTCATATTTTTAAACATGAGCTCTCTGTGCCTGGCCTCCAGGATAGAGTCTGTAGGGCTAAACACTCCTTAAACCAGATAGTTAAGTGATTTATGGATGCCAAATCAAAGATCTATTCTTGTGGAGAAATGGGGTGGTAAGGAAAGAATGGAAATGAGATTAAAGATAACGCAAGGCTCAAGGTTGAGATTGGACAAAGAAATGAACAAAAACAAAACCCAGGGAAATCTTAGGATCTAGGTCACCACCAAAATTAATTCCAGTGATAGCAAAGAAGCAAAATGGCAGAATAGAAGGCTCCACCGATTATTCCCCAGCAAGCACACCAATTTAGCTACTATCTATATAGGAAAAAACACCTTCATAAGAACCAAAAATGAGGAGAGCACTCACAGTAACTACATATTACTGAAAGAAGCACCGAAGAGAAAGAAAAAAGTCCTGAATCTCCAACACCATCCCTGCCCTACTCCCAGCAGCAGCAGCATAGTGCTGAGAGCATCTCTGGGCACTGGGGGAAGGAGAACACAGCAATTGTGAGGTATTGAACTCAGTGCTGTCCTGTTAGAGCAGAAAGAAAAACTGAACAAAACTCAACTGATGCTCACTCATGGAGGGAGCATTTAAACCAGCTCTAGCCAGAGGAAAATCACTCATCCCAGCAGTCTGAACTTGAGTTCCTGAAAACCTTGCCACCTAGGGCCAAAGAACTCGCAGTGTCTAAGTAAATTTGAAAAGCTGTCTAGGCCATAAGGACTGCAACTCTTAGGTGAGCCCTAGTGCTGAACTGGGCCCAGATACAGTGAACTGTGAGAAGCAAGCAACATACTGAGACACCAGCTGGGGCAGCTAAGAGAGTGCTGGCATCACGCCTCCCCTAACCCTAGGCTGCACAGATCTCATCTCTTAAAAAGACACCTTCATTCTGCTTGAGGAGAGGAGAGGGAAGAGTGGATACCACTCTTCATTCTGCTTGAGGAGAGGGAGGAGTGGAGAGGGAAGTCTTGAATACCAGCTCAGCCACAGCACGATAGGGCACCAGTCAGAGTTGCGAGGCACCCGTTTCAGGTCCTAGCTCCCAGACAACATTTCTAGACAAACCCTGGGCCAGAAGGGAGCCTGCTGTCTTGAGGGAAAGGGCCCAGTCCTGGTAGCATTCATCACCTGCCGAAGAGCCCATGAGCCGTGAATAACCAGCAGCAATACACATGTACTATGTTGAGAGCTGATATGGTTTGACTCTGTGTCTCCACCCAAAACTCATCTTGCATTGTAATCCCCATAATCCCTGGTGGGAGGCGATTGTATCATGGGGGCAGTTTCCCCCATGCTGTTCTCATGACAGTGAATGAGTTCTCATTATTTTATAAGCATCTAGCATTTCCCCTGCTTGTACTTCTCTTGCCTGCCACCATGTGAGAAGGTCCAAGCTTGCTTCCTCTTCGCCTTCCACCATGATTGTAAGTTTCTTTAGGCCTCCTCAGTCATGTGGAACTGTGAGGCAATGAAACCTCTTTTCTTTATAAATTACCCAGTCTCTGGTATTTCTTTATAGCAGTATGAGAATGGACTAATACAAGGGCCTTGGTGAGCCTCTGAGATTTGCTGGCTTCAGGTGAAACTCAGCACATTCCCAGCTATGGTGACTATGGGGTAAAATTTCTGCTTGAGAAAAGTGAAGGGAAAAGTACAGGATATTTTGTTTTATACCGCAAGTACTGGTATAGCAATAGTGGGGGTAGAACACAAAGTGGGCTTTTGGGGTCACTGAGGACTTGAGTCTTGGATGGCATCTCTGGACCTGCCCCGGGCCAGATGGGAGCCCACTGCCCTGACAGGTGAGTCCCAGAACAGGCAACATTCACCACAAGCTGACTGAAGACTCTTGGGCCTTAAGGGAACATCGGCAGTAGTCTGGCAGAACTCCTCAGGAGATGTGGTAATGGTGGCTATGGGGTGAGACTCCTCTGCCTTTGCAAAAGGGAAGGAAGACTGGAAGGACTGTGTCTTGTGGTTTTAGTGCCCGCTCAACTGTAGTACAAAAGAATACCAGGTAGATGTCTAAGGTTTTTGACTCCAGTCCCTGACTACCAGACAGCATCTCTGGACCCACCCAGGGCCTCGGGGAACTCACCACCCTGAAGGGAAGGGCACAGGCCTGACTGGCTTTGCCACCAGCTGATTGTAGAGCCCTAGGGCCTAGAGTGAACCTAGGCAGTAGCCAGGGAGAGGTTACAGCAGGCCTTGGGTGAAACCTAGTGCTGAGTTGGTTTCAGGTCTGATCCAGTACAGTCACAGTGGTGGTGGCCACAAAGGTGCTTGTGTCACTCCACCCTCACCTTTAGGTGGCTCAGAACAGACAGAGAGACTCCATTTCTTTGGGAGAAAGTAAGGGATAGGAACAAAAGTCTCTGCATGGTAATCCAGAGAAATCTTTCAGATCTTGTCCAAGACCATCAAGGTGGTACCTCTACAAGTCTGCAGGAAACAAGTGTTACCAGGCTTGGGGTGCCGCCCAAACCAGAAGAAGCTTAGACCACAACACCGAAGTCCTTTCAAATACCTGGAAAGCCTTCCCAAGAAGAAAGACTGCAAATAAGCCCAGACAGTGAAGACTATAATAAATACCTAACTCTTCAATGCCCAGACATCAAATAATGTCTACTAGCATTAAAACCATCCAGGAAAATATGATCTCACCAAATGAACTAAATAACGCACCAAGTACCAATCCTGGAGAAACAAGGATATGTGACCGTTCAGACAGAGAATGCAAAATAGCTGTAGTGAGGAAACTCAAAGAAATTCAACACAACACAGACAAAGTATTCGGAATTCTATTATATAAACTTAACAAAGAGATTGAAGTAATTAAAAAGAATCAAGTAGAAATTCTGGAGCTGAAAAATGCAATTGGCATAGTGAAAAATGCATCAGAGTCCTCTAGTTGCAAAACTGAATAAGCAGACAAAAGAATTAGTAAACTTGAGGACAGGCTATTTGAAAATACACAGTCAGAGGAGACAAAAGAAAAAATAATTTAAAAATGAAGCACACCTACAGAAGCTATAAAACAGCCTCAAAAGGACAAATCTAAGAGTTACTGCCTCTAAAGAAGAGACATAAATAATGGTAGAAAGTTTATTCAAAGGGATGATAACAAACAACATCCCAAACCTAGAGAAAGATATCAATATTCAAGTACAAGAAGGTTATAGAACACCAAGCAGATTTAACCAAAAGAAGACTATCTCAAGGCATTTAATAATCATACTCCCAAAGGTCAAGGATAAAGAAAGGATACTAAAAGCAACAAGAGAAAAGAAACAAAGGGAACATACAATGGAACTCCAATATGTCTGGCAGAAGACTTTTCAGTGGAAACCTTACAGGCCAGGAGAGTGGCATGGTATATTTAAAGTGCTGAAGGAAAAAAAAAAATCATTTACCCTACAATAGTATAGCTGGTGAACATGAAGGAGAAATAAAGACTTTCCCAGACAAACAAAAGCTGAGGAATTTCATTGTTTTAGTCCATTCTCATGCTACTAATAAAGACATACCTGAGACTGGGTAACTTATAAAGGAAAGAGGTTTAATTGGCTCACAGTTCAGCATGGCTGGGGAGGCTTCAGGAAACTTACGATCATGGTGGAAGGGGAAGTAAACACGTCCTTCTTCACATGGTGACAGGAAGGAGAAGAAAGAGAGCCAAGTGAAGGGGGAAGCCCCTTAATCAGATCTCGTGAGAACTTACTATCACGAGAATAGCATGGGGGAAACTGCCCCAATGATCCAATTACCTCCTATCCTTCCACCACACATGGGGATTATGGGAACTACAATTCAAGGTGACGTTTGGGTTGGGACACAAGAAAACCATAACATTCATCAACACCAGATCTGTCCTACAAGAGATGTTAATGGGGGCATTTCAGTCCAAATGAAACGGATGTTAATAAGCAATAAGAAATCATCTGAGGGTACAAAATTCACTAACAAAATAAGTTTACAGAAAAGCAGATTATTATAACAGTGTAACTGTGGTGTGTAAACTACTCTTATCTTAAGTAGAAAGACTAATAAACAAGTCAAAAATAATAACTACAAGTTGTCAAGACATAGATAGTCCAATAAGATATAAATAGAAATAACTGAAAGTTTAAAAGCGGGGGAACAAAGTTAAGGCATAGAATTTTTATTGGTTTTCTTTTTGCTTATTTATTTTTTTTTCTTTTTTTTTTATTATACTTTAAGTTTTAGGGTACATGTGCACATTGTGCAGGTTAGTTACATATGTATACATGTGCCATGCTGGTGCGCTGCACCCACTAACTCGTCATCCAGCATTAGGTATATCTCCCAATGCTATCCCTCCCCCCTCCCCCCACCCCACCACAGTCCCCAGAGTGTGATATTCCCCTTCCTGTGTCCATGTGATCTCATTGTTCAATTCCCACCTATGAGTGAGAATATGCGGTGTTTGGTTTTTTGTTCTTGCGATAGTTTACTGAGAATGATGATTTCCAATTTCATCCATGTCCCTACAAAGGACATGAACTCATCATTTTTTATGGCTGCATAGTATTCCATGGTGTATATGTGCCACATTTTCTTAATCCAGTCTATCATTGTTGGACATTTGGGTTGGTTCCAAGTCTTTGCTATTGTGAATAATGCCGCAATAAACATACGTGTGCATGTGTCTTTATAGCGGCATGATTTATACTCATTTGGGTATATACCCAGTAATGGGATTGGTGGGTCAAATGGTATTTCTAGTTCTAGATCCCTGAGGAATCGCCACACTGACTTCCACAATGGTTGAACTAGTTTACAGTCCCACCAACAGTGTAAAAGTGTTCCTATTTCTCCACATCCTCTCCAGCACCTGTTGTTTCCTGACTTTTTAATGATTGCCATTCTAACTGGTGTGAGATGGTATCTCATTGTGGTTTTGATTTGCATTTCTCTGATGGCTAGTGATGATGAGCATTTTTTAATGTGTTTTTTGGCTGCATAAATGTCTTCTTTTGAGAAGTGTCTGTTCATGTCCTTCGCCCACTTTTTGATGGGGTTGTTTGTTTTTTCCTTGTAAATTTGTTTGAGTTCATTGTAGATTCTGGATATCAGCCCTTTGTCAGATGAGTAGGTTGAAAAAATTTTCTCCCATTTTGTAGGTTACCTGTTCACTCTGATGGTAGTTTCTTTTGCTGTGCAGAAGCTCTTTAGTTTCATTAGATCCCATTTGTCAATTTTGTCTTTTGTTGCCATTGCTTTTGGTGTTTTGGACATGAAGTCCTTGCCTATGCCTATGTCCTGAATGGTAATGCCTAGGTTTTCTTCTAGGGTTTTTATGGTTTTAGGTCTAACGTTTAAATCTTTAATCCATCTTGAATTGATTTTTGTATAAGGTGTAAGGAAGGGATCCAGTTTCAGCTTTCTACATATGGCTAGCCAGTTTTCCAGCACCATTTATTAAATAGGGAATCCTTTCCCCATTGCTTGTTTTTCTCAGGTTTGTCAAAGATCAGATAGTTGTAGATATGCAGCGTTATTTCTGAGGGCTCTGTTCTGTTCCATTGATCTATATCTCTGTTTTGGTACCAGTACCATGCTGTTTTGGTTACTGTAGCCTTGTACTATAGTTTGAAGTCAGGTAGTGTGATGCCTCCAGCTTTGTTCTTTTGGCTTAGGATTGACTTGGCGATGCGGGCTCTTTTTTGGTTCCATATGAACTTTAAAGTAGTTTTTTCCAATTCTGTGAAGAAAGTCATTGGTAGCTTGATGGGGATGGCATTGAATCTGTAAATTACCTTGGGCAGTATGGCCATTTTCACGATATTGATTCTTCCTACCCATGAGCATGGAATGTTCTTCCATTTTTTTGTATCCTCTTTTATTTCCTTGAGCAGTGCTTTGTAGTTCTCCTTGAAGAGGTCCTTCACATCCCTTGTAAGTTGGGTTCCTAGGTATTTTATTCTCTTTGAAGCAATTGTGAATGGGAGTTCACTCATGATTTGGCTCTCTGTTTGTCTGTTGTTGGTGTATAAGAATGCTTGTGATTTTTGTACATTGATTTTGTATCCTGAGACTTTGCTGAAGTTACTTATCAGCTTAAGGAGATTTTGGGCTGAGACAATGGGGTTTTCTAGATATACAATCATGTCGTCTGCAAACAGGGACAATTTGACTTCCTCTTTTCCTAATTGAATACCCTTTATTTCCTTCTCCTGCCTAATTGCCCTGGCCAGAACTTCCAACACTATGTTGAATAGGAGTGGTGAGAGAGGGCATCCCTGTCTTGTGCCAGTTTTCAAAGGGAATGCTTCCAGTTTTTGCCCATTCAGTATGATATTGGCTGTGGGTTTGTCGTAGATACCTCTTATTATTTTGAAATACGTCCCATCAATACCTAATTTACTGAGAGTTTTTAGCATGAAGGGTTGTTGAAGTTTGTCAAAGGCTTTTTCTGCATCTATTGAGATAATCATGTGGTTTTTGTCTTTGGCTCTGTTTATATGCTGGATTACATTTATTGATTTGCGTATATTGAACCAGCCTTGCATCCCAGGGATGAAGCCCATTTGATCATGGTGGATAAGCTTTTTGATGTGCTGCTGGGTTTGGTTTGCCAGTATTTTATTGAGGATTTTTGCATCAATGTTCATCAAGGATATTGGTCTAAAATTCTCTTTTTTGGTTGTGTCTCTGCCCGGCTTTGGTATCAGAATGATGCTGGCCTCATAAAATGAGTTAGGGAGGATTCCCTCTTTTTCTATTGATTGGAATACTTTCAGAAGGAATGGTACCAGTTCCTCCTTGTACCTCTGGTAGAATCCGGCTGTGAATCCATCTGGTCCTGGACTCTTTTTGGTTGGTAAACCATTGATTATTGCCACAATTTCAGCTCCTGTTATTGGTCTATTCAGAGATTCAACTTCTTCCTGGTTTAGTCTTGGGAGAGTGTATGTGTCAAGGAATTTATCCATTTCTTCTAGATTTTCTAGTTTATTTGCATAGAGGTGTTTGTAGTATTCTCTGATGGTAGTTTGTATTTCTGTGGGATCGGTGGTGATATCCCCTTTAACATTTTTTATTGCGTCTATTTGATTCTTCTCTCTTTTTTTCTTTATTAGTCTTGCTAGCGGTCTATCAATTTTGTTGATCCTTTCAAAAAACCAGCTCCTGGATTCATTAATTTTTTGAAGGGTTTTTTGTGTCTCTATTTCCTTCACTTCTGCTCTGATTTTAGTTATTTCTTGCCTTCTGCTAGCTTTTGAATGTGTTTGCTCTTGCTTTTCTAGTTCTTTTAATTGTGATGTTAGGGTGTCAATTTTGGATCTTTCCTGCTTTCTCTTGTGGGCATTTAGTGCTATAAATTTCCCTCTACACACTGCTTTGAATGCATCCCAGAGATTCTGGTATGTTGTGTCTTTGTTCTCGTTGGTTTCAAAGAACATCTGTATTTCTGCCTTCATTTCGTTATGTACCCAGTAGTCATTCAGGAGCAGGTTGTTCAGTTTCCATGTAGTTGAGCGGCTTTGAGTGAGATTCTTAATCCTGAGTTCTAGTTTGATTGCACTGTGGTCTGAGAGATAGTTTGTTATAATTTCTGTTCTTTTACATTTGCTGAGGAGAGCTTTACTTCCAACTATGTGGTCAATTTTGGAATAGGTGTGGTGTGGTGCTGAAAAAAATGTATATTCTGTTGATTTGGGGTGGAGAGTTCTGTAGATGTCTATTAGGTCCGCTTGGTGCAGAGCTGAGTTCAATTCCTGGGCATCCTTGTTGACTTTCTGTCTCGTTGATCTGTCTAATGTTGACAGTTCGGTGTTAAAGTCTCCCATTATTATTGTGTGGGAGTCTAAGTCTCTTTGTAGGTCACTCAGGACTTGCTTTATGAATCTGGGTGCTCCTGTATTGGGTGCATATATATTTCGGATAGTTAGCTCTTCTTGTTGAATTGATCCCTTTACCATTATGTAATGGCCTTCTTTGTCTCTTTTGATCTTTGTTGGTTTAAAGTCTGTTTTATCAGAGACTAGGATTGCAACCCCTGCCTTTTTTTGTTTTCCATTTGCTTGGTAGATCTTCCTCCATCCTTTTATTTTGAGCCTATGTGTGTCTCTGCACCTGAGATGGGTTTCCTGAATACAGCACACTGATGGGTCTTGACTCTTTATCCAATTTGCCAGTCTGTGTCTTTTAATTGGAGAATTTAGTCCATTTACATTTAAAGTTAATATTGTTATGTGTGAATTTGATCCTGTCATTATGATGTTAGCTGGTGATTTTGCTCATTAGTTGATGCAGTTTCTTCCTAGTCTCGATGGTCTTTACATTTTGGCATGATTTTGCAGCAGCTGGTACCGGTTGTTCCTTTCCATGTTTAGCGCTTCCTTCAGGAGCTCTTTTAGGGCAGGCCTGGTGGTGACAAAATGTCTCAGCATTTGCTTGTCTGTAAAGTATTTTATTTCTCCTTCACTTATGAAGCTTAGTTTGGCTGGATATGAAATTCTGGGTTGAAAATTCTTTTCTTTAAGAATGTTGAATATTGGCCCCCACTCTCTTCTGGCTTGTAGGGTTTCTGCCGAGAGATCCGCTGTTAGTCTGATGGGCTTCCCTTTGAGGGTAACCCGACCTTTCTCTCTGGCTGCCCTTAACATTTTTTCCTTCATTTCAACTTTGGTGAACCTGACAATTATGTGTCTTGGAGTTGCTCTTCTCGAGGAGTATCTTTGTGGCGTTCTCTGTATTTCCTGAATCTGAACGTTGGCCTGCCTTGCTAGATTGGGGAAGTTCTCCTGGATAATATCCTGCAGAGTGTTTTCCAACTTGGTTCCATTCTCCCCATCACTTTTAGGTATACCAATCAGACGTAGATTTGGTCTTTTCACATAGTCCCATATTTCTTGGAGGCTTTGCTCATTTCTTTTTATTCTTTTTTCTCTAAACTTCCCTTCTCGCTTCATTTCATTCATTTCATCTTCCATTGCTGATACCCTTTCTTCCAGTTGATCGCATCGGCTCCTGAGGCTTCTGCATTCTTCACGTAGTTCTTGAGCCTTGGTTTTCAGCTCCATCAGCTCCTTTAAACACTTCTCTGTATTGATTATTCTAGTTATACATTCTTCTAAATTTTTTTCAAAGTTTTCAACTTCTTTGCCTTTGGTTTGAATGTCCTCCCGTAGCTCAGAGTAATTTGATCGTCTGAAGCCTTCTTCTCTCAGCTCATCAAAGTCATTCTCCATCCAGCTTTGTTCCGTTGCTGGTGAGGAACTGTGTTCCTTTGGAGGAGGAGAGGCGCTCTGCGTTTTAGAGTTTCCAGTTTTTCTGTTCTGTTTTTTACCCATCTTTGTGGTTTTATCTACTTTTGGTCTTTGATGATAGTGATGTACAGATGGGTTTTCTGTGTGGATGTCCTTTCTGTTTGTTAGTTTTCCTTCTAACAGACAGGACCCTCAGCTGCAGGTCTGTTGGAATACCCTGCCTTGTGAGGTGTCAGTGTGCCCCTGCTGGAGGGTGCCTCCCAGTTAGGCTGCTCAGGGGTCAGGGGTCAGGGACCCACTTGAGGAGGCAATCTGCCCGTTCTCAGATCTCCAGCTGCGTGCTGGGAGAACCACTGCTCTCTTCAAAGCTGTCAGACAGGGACATTTAAGCCTGCAGAGGTTACTGCTGTCTTTTTGTTTGTCTGTGCCCTGCCCCCAGAGGTGGAGCCTACAGAGGCAGGCAGGCCTCCTTGAGCTGTGGTGGGCTCCACCCAGTTCGAGCTTCCTGGCTGCTTTATCTAAGCAAGCCTGGGCAATGGCGGGCGCCCCTCCCCCAGCCTCGCTGCCGCCTTGCAGTTTGATCTCAGACTGCTGTGCTAGCAATCAGCAAGACTCCATGGGCGTAGGACCCTCCGAGCCAGGTGTGGGATACAGTCTCGTGGTGCGCCGTTTTTTAAGCCGGTCTGAAAAGCGCAATATTCGGGTGGGAGTGACCCAATTTTCCAGGTGCGTCCGTCACCCCTTTCTTTGACTCAGAAAGGGAACTCCCTGACCCCTTGAGCTTCCCAGGTGAGGCAATGCCTCGCCCTGCTTCGGCTCGCGCACCGTGCGCGCACCCACTGGCCTGCGCCCACTGTCTGGCACTCCCTAGTGAGATGAACCCGGTACCTCAGATGGAAATGCAGAAATCCCCCATCTTCTGCGTCGCTCACACTGGGAGCTGTAGACCGGAGCTGTTCCTATTTGGCCATCTTGGCTCCTCCCCCCTGCTTATTTATTTTTATGTAAACAGCATTAAGTTCTTATTGGGTTAAAATAATTGTTTATAAAATAGTATTTACAAGCCTCATGGTAACCTCAAACCAAAAATCATACAATGGAAACACAAAAAAGAAAAACACTAAATCATATCACCAGAGAAAATCACCTTCACTGATGGAAGACAGGAGGGAAATAAATAAAGAACAGAACATCACAAAACAGCCAAAAACCAAATAAGAAAATGGCAGGAGTAAGTCTTTACTTATCAATAATGACAATGAATGTAAATAGATGAAACTCTCCAGTCAAAAGACAGAGTGGCCGAGTGGATGAAAAAAATAAGACCCATTGATCTGTTGCCTACAAGAAACATACTTCACCTATAAAGACACATATAGACTGAAAATAAAGAAATGGAAAAAGATAATCCATGCAAATGGAAGCCAAAAAATAGCAAGAGTAGCTATTCTTATATCAGACAATGTAGAATGCAGATTTCAAGGCAAAAACTATAAGAAGGGATAGAAGTCACTATATAATGACAGAGGGGTCAATTTAGGAAAAGGATATAAGAATTGCAAAAATATATGCAACAAACAGTGTAGCACTCAGATATATAAAGCAGATATTATTAGAGCTAAAGAGATAGACCAAAATACAATAATAGCTGAAGATTTCAACAGCCCACTTTCAGCATTGAACAGATCTTCTAGACAGAAAATGAAAAAAGAAACATCAGACTTAATCTGCACTGTAGACCAAATGGATGTAATAGATATTTATGGAACATTTCATTCAACAGCTGCAGAATACACATTCTTTTCCTCAGCACATGGATCATGCTTAAGGATAGACCACATGTTAGGTCACAAAAAAGTCTTAAAGCATTCAAAAAAATTGGAATAATATCAAGCATCTTCTCTGACCACAATGGAATAAAACTAGAAAATAATAACAAGAGGAATTCTGGAAACTATACAAATGCATTGAAGTTAAACAATGTGCTCCTGAATGACCAGTGGGTCAATGAAGAAATTAAGAAGGAAATTTAAAAATTTCTTGAAACAAATGATAATGGAAACACAATATACCAAAACCTATGGGATACAGCAAAAGCAGTACTCAGAGAGAAGTTTATAAGTGCCTACATCAAAGGAGAGGAAAATCTTCAAATAAACAATCTAACAATGCACCTTAAATAACTAAAAAAGCCAGGCACAGTGGCTCATGCCTGTAATCCCAGCACTTTGGGAGGCCAAGGCGAGTAGATCATCTGAGGTCAGGAGTTCGAGACCAGCCTGGCCAATATAGTGAATCCCCAACTCTACTAAAAATAGAAAAAAAATACCCAGGCATGGTACTGTGTGCTTGTAATCCCAGCTACTTGGGAGGCTGAGGCAGGAGAATTGCTTGAACCTGGGATATGGAGGTTGCAGTGAGCCAAGGTCACGCCACTACACTCCAGCCTGGGTGACAAAGTGAGACTCAGTCTCAAAACAACAACAACAACAACAACAACAACAAAAACTAAAATAGCAAGAGCAAGCCAAACCCAAAATTAGTAAAATAAAACAAATAATAAACATCAGAAATAAATGAAATTGAAATAAAAAAATACAAAATATCAAAGAAACAAAAAGTTGGTTTTTTGAAAAGTTGAACAAAATTGGCAAACCTTTAGCCAGACTAAGAAAAAAAGAGCAGATCCAAATAAAATCAGAGGTGAAAAAGGAGACATTACAACTGACATTGCAGAAATTCAAAGGATCATTAGTGGCTACTATTAGCATCTATGCCAATAAATTGTAAAATCTTGAAGAAATTGTCAAATTTCTAGACTCAAATAATGTGCCACGATTAAACCAGGAAGAAATCTAAACTCTAATCAGACCAACAACAAGTAATGAGATTGAAGCTGTAAAAAAACTCTCCCAGTTAAAAAAAAAAAAAAGCCCAGAACCTGATAGCTTCTCTGCTGAGTTCTACCAAACATTTAAAGAAGAAATAATACCAATCTTACTCAAAGTATTCTGAAAAAATAGAGGAGTTGGGAATACTTCCAAACTCATTATATGAGGCCAGTTTTACCCTGATAGGAAAACCAGACAAAGACACATCAACCAAAGAAAACCACAGGCCAATATCTCTGATGAATATTGATGCAAAAATCCTTAACCAAATACTACCAAACTGAATTCATCAATATATTAGAAAGATCATTCATCATGACCAAGTGGGATGATTTATCCCTGGGATGCAAGGATGGTTCAACTTATGCAAATCAAGCCATCTAATACATCGTATTAACAAAATGAAGGATAAAAGCCATATGATCATTTCAGTTCATGCTGAAAAAGCATTTAATAAAATTCGACATCCCTTTATGAAAAAGCCCTCAAAAACTGGGTATAGAAGGAATATACCTCAATATATTAAAAGCCATATATGACAGATTCACAGCTAGTATCATACTGAACAGGGAAAAACTGAAAGCCTTTACCATAAGATCTGAAACACCACAAGGATGTCCATTGTCACCACTGTTATTCAACATCCTCCTGGAAGTCCTAGCTAGAGCAATCAGACAAGAGAAAGAAATAAAGGGCACCCAAATTGGAATGGAATAAGTCAAATTGTCCTTGTTTGCAGATGGCATGATCTTATATTTAGAAAAACCTAAAGACTCCACCAAAAAAGCTGTTAGAACTGATAAACAAATTCAGTAATGTTGCAGGATACAAAATCGACATACAAAAATCAGTAGCATTTCTATATGCCAACAGTGAACAAACTGAAAAAGAAATTAAAATATAGTCCCATTTTTAATAGCCACAAATAAAATTAAATACCTAGGAATTAGCTTAACCAAAGAAGTGAAGGATTTCTTACAGGAAAACTATAAAACACTGATCCTAGAAATTGAAGAATACACCAAAAAATGGAAAGGTATTTCATGATCATGGATTGGAAGAACCAATATTATTAGAATAGCCAACTACTCAAAGCAATCTACAGATTCGATGCAATCCCTAACAATATACCAATGACATTCTTCACAGAAATAGAAAAAAAATCCTAAAATCCATATGGAACCACAAAAGACCCAGAATAGTCAAAGCTATCCTGAGCAAAATAAAAAAACTGGAGGAATCACATTACCTGACTTCAAATTATACTACAGAGCTATAGCAACCAAAACAGCATGGTACTATCATAAAAACAGACACATAGATAAATAGAACAGAATAGAAAACCCAGAAACAAATCCACATTCCTACAGTAAACTCATTTTCAACAAAGGTGCCAAGAACATGTGCTGGGGAAAAGACAGTCTGTCTTCAATAATTGATGCTTGGAAAACTGGATATCCATATACAGAAGAATGAAACCAGATCCCTATTTCTCCCCATATGCAAAAGTCAAATCAAAATGGATTAAAGACTTAAAGCTAAGACTTCAAACTATGAAACTTCCATAAGAAACCATTGGGGAAAATCTCCAGCACATTTCACTGGGCAAAAATTTCTTGAGAAACACCCTGCAACTACAGACAACCAATGCAAAAATGGACAAATGGGAATCATATCAAGCTAAGAGGTTTCTTCACAGCAAAGGAAGCAATCAATAAAGTGATTGTCAATTATTTAACCCACAGAATGGAAGAAAATATTTCCAAACTACCCATCTGGCAAGGGATTAGTAACCAGAATATATAAGGAGCTCAAACAACTCAATAGGAAGAAGTCTAATAATCCCATCAAAATAAGGGACAAAATATTTGAATAGACATTTCTCAAAAGAAGACATACAAATGGCAAACGGGCACATGAAAAGGTGCTCAACATCACTGATCATCAGAGAAATGCAAATCAAAACTACAATAAGATATCTTCTCACCCCAGTTAAAAGAGCTTTTATCCAAAAGACAAGCAATAACAAATGCTGGCGAGGATGTGGAAGAAAGGGAACCCTCGTACACTGTTTGTGAAAATGTAAATTAGTACAATCACTATGGAGAACAATTTGGGGGTCCCTCAAAAATCCAAAAATTGAGCTATTATATCATCCAGCAATCCCACTGCTTGGTATATACCCCAAATAAAGGAAATCAGTATATTAAGGAAATATCTGTACTCCCATGTTTGTTGCGGCACTGTCCACACTAAGCTAAGATGTGGAAGCAACCTAAGTGTCCATCAACAGATGAATGGATAAATAAAATGTGCTACTTACACACAATGGAGTTCTATTCAGCCATAAAAAAGAATGAGGTCTTGTCACTTGCAACAACATAGATGGACCTGAAGTTCGTTATAAAATAAGCCAGCCACGGAAAGACAAATATCACATTTTCTTATTTATTTGTGGAATCTAAAAATCAAAACAATTGAACCTGTGGAGATAGAGAATAGAAGGATGGTTACCAGAGGCTAGGAAGCACAGTGGAGGAGCTGACGGGGGGAGGTTGGGAAGGTGAATGGGTACAAAAAAATAGAAAGAATGAATAATAACTAGTATTTGATAGCACAACAGGGGGATTATAGTCAATAATAATTTCATTATACATTTTAAAGTAATCAAAAGAGTATAGCTAAATTGTTTGTAACACAAAGGATAAATGCTTGACCAGATGGTTACCCCATTTTCCATGATGTGATTATTACACATTGCCTGCCTGTACCAAAAGTTCTCATGTACCCCATAAATACATACATCTATTACATACCCACAAAAATTAAAAATTAAAACATTTTTTAAAGTGCTTTAAGGCATACCACATGCAGCCACCCTAGTCATTTATAATAGTGGTAGGCTTTGTTTCTTGGGACTTGATTGTTGTCACTTAGTCCTAAGAGAAGCACTAGGAAGGAAAAGCAGATTGATAAAAGGAGATGAATGCAGGTCTTGGGGGGACTAATAGGTGGAAAGACAATTAAGCACACATTTAACCAGAAAAACAGTGGGATAGGGGTTTAAGATAAAGAATCAGCCAAGACACTGGCTTGCATAAAGGAAAAGCTGGCAATCAGGGGGCCTCCTGGGAAGGCAGCTCCCTGTCTAGAGGGCACATGGACTAGACCCAAGGTCAGGGGAGCAGCGGGTCCTTATCAAAAAAATTAAAGCTACTGAATGTGCAGCTGTCAGTGGGGAAATAGCTAAAACTGGAATGCATGCCAGGTGCTTATTCCAGCTAATTACAAAAGATTATTCACCATTATAAGACACAAGTTCTTTACTCTCACCATAAAAGGTATCTCTTATATTATTATTGCATTATTTGAGATCTAGTATGTATTATCTTGGAGCAGTGATGCCACATGAAGCCTACCACTCATTTTTGTGTTGCCAGGATCATGAACCATTTTTCTGGCTTAAGTGGTTGAGGAAACCTAGGAGGACAGTCAGAGCTGCTGATCCCAGTGGTGGTGGTGGTACAAAGAAGAGATCAGTGGAGATAGGTGGCTTCCAGTGACTCAAAGAGCCAAATCCTACATTGATCCCCAGTTTAGAAGGAAAGGCTTTGCATATACCTTTTCTGTATTTAATGAGACAGAAAACCTGGGCAAGAATCTTGAAGGGTGTAGGTATTCTGAGGCCTCCGCAGCCACATGAGACTTGCTGTTTCCTCATTCCTGCACACAGACATGTAAGTCACAGGCCCTGGTCCTCCTGAGGTCTATTTCTCAAGCCAAGGACTGTGAGGCAGAAGGGGCGGTGTCAGGTGGAGGAAGACTGGGTATGAATCCATACTGATTAGTATATGTTTTCTGTTTTACGAAGGTACTACGACCAGTATCTTTCTTTTTACTTCCAGGTATCCCTGCTAAGCCTTTTCTGGGATTCCTGGCCTCCTGTACTCCAGATGGTCCAGCTCTAGGCTGCCTATTTCCCTTTTGATACATGTTTCACTACATTTCCACCATTGCCCAAATCAGCTGTGTTCTTTTTTTAAAAAAATATATTGACTGAGTACAAGTGCCGTTTTATTACATAGGATATATTGTGGAGTGGTGAAATCTGGGCTTTTACTATACCCTCACTCAAATAGTGTACATTGTACACAATAAGTAGTTTTTCATCCCTCAGCCCCTTCCCACCCTCCCACCTTTTGGAGTTTCCACTATTATTCCATTCTGTATGTCCTTGTGAATGTATTATTTAGCTCCCACTTATAGGTGAGAACATGCAGTGTTTGATTTTCTGTTTCTGAGTTGTTTCACTTGAGATAATGGCCTCCAGCTCCACCCGTGTTACTACAAAAGACATGATTTCATCCTTGCATTTTTGACCTTCCTAAACACTGTGGGTCAAAGGTGCTGCCAGATCCTCTTGTTATGTGTTGCTACTATGGCAGACTTCAGGCCAACTCTCTTGACTCTTTCTTTCTTTGATTAGAGATTACACACATTCTACTTTGGACTCACCGGAAAGCAATGGTAGACACAGTTACAATTTCACTGTTTTGACTCTATACAGTCTCATGGACCACACACATTCTACCTTGGACACGCCTAAAAAAACAGTGAGAACAGACAATATTTCACTATTTCTTTGTCCCACTTAAGAACGGAGGGAATCCCAGTTTTCGCTTAGTCACCGTTCCCAACAGGGCCTCTATCTTTGATGCTACACTAGCAATTGAGAGGCCTCTGCCCATGACTGTTAGTGTCACTGTTGCTCTTCTCTTTCCTCCAGTGATTAGCTTTTAATCATGCTCTTATTACTGTGCTGAACCCTTCCATGGCACTGCCACTTTCACATGGGCCTCTCTAGTTGTGATAATGCTCACTATTGGTGAAAAATTCCTCAAGAGGTGGTTGCCCACCTTGTATTGCTGCTACCCTCAAAGGAACTATAAATTGAGTCCTTCTCAATTCTTGTGAATGACCATGAGTCTGTAGCTAAGCGAACCTAGGGCTGATTTTTTCTCCATTTTCCACTGTCAAGGACTGACAAGAGACCTGGATCCATCTCTCCCTCACTTAACAAAAGGACCATTTTCCAGAGACACTGATGTCGTGAAATGGGCTCATTGTTCTACAACCTATTGTGCTCTTATATCTAACTCTTTGTCAGTCCACCAGTATCCTCCAGCACACCGGGCCATATGACCGTTTGTTTCCTTTATATGCTTAAAATCTTAGCGAACTAGGTGGATGGCTTACTGAGTTGTCAGGCCTTTGTAAGCAGTCTCATCACTATATATAGAAAAGAACAGATTGGTGGCTCCCTGCATAATGAGTAAAACGTTCATTTGGTAGCTTTACTAAAAGCCACCCATTGCTCACCCTTCATAGTGTGTTGGAACATTTTAATTTTCCAGGATGCCTTATTGGATTTTTGTCTACCACAAGACAGCCCCTCCCTGACCATGCAGCAGCATGAGTAGTATGACTGAGATTCCCCATATGAATGGGTGCCCAAATCTCATTATGGCCACCCTCGCAGATATTCAAAAACATGAGTGGTACGTGTAAGACTCAGTCTATGCCTTTGAGGCTGCTATCCGGTTCACAGTGAAGAGGAAGGTAGCAAGATGTAGAGGCTCCTTGATCAATGTGTTTGTGAGGCAATTTTTCCTGCTGCCTCACTACCTTCAGACTTCTAAGGGATAGTTCACTCTTCATAACCCACCCTCTAACAAAGGGATCAGTTCTTCCATTTATATGCCCTGCTAACTCATTGAGATCTGTTTTTTTAACCTGTGACAACACACAATTTTTGCCTCGGAAGCAAAATTGGCAGTGCCTTCCTGATGGATGAGTGCACGTTCTTTCAAATTCCAGAGACTCTCGATATCTCTATATATCCCCCCTAAGGTTACTGCCAGATATGCTTATGAAACAGAACCAGTCCTGATAACTCACACGAAGAGGTAAGTAACTTATGGAGATTAAAATGAGAAACCTTCAAAGAGTAGAAAACAAAAAGAGCAGCCAGCAGATGTAGGAAATGTACAGTCATGTATTCTAGCCATGTCCCAAGGACTCCTGGACTCCTGACAAAATATTTCTTCCCTGTTCTCTCTGGATGGAATTGTGCCCTGGAGCTGATTTACACTGCCTCAGGAGAAATTATTATTTACATCTCTTCCCAACTCCACTTTCAGGAATGGCACATGGGAGCTTAAAAATCAACCATGGTGGAAATATTTATACTACAAATGATATACATTGGGGCACCTCCCTTTCTTTTCCCCAGACTGTTAAAATGTTTACCTGCATAACACTGAGTATAAATGATTGAGCTTAAATATAAAGAACCCCAAAAAGTAGGGGAACACAGAAAGCAGTCAGAAAATATAATTATGTCACAGAACCCCAAGCATTTCACAGAAGTGATTCACCTGGCCCATCTCTTGAATACTTTCCTGTGTTTTTTTGTCCAATCTTGGAGAATGGATATGAAAAGCCTCCTGCAATAATGATCAAAATCCTCCTGTTTGAGATCATGGTACACAGGGTCTATGCCCTGCTTCAATAATTTATAACAAATTTCTCATTACCATTCCTTGTGCATAGCTATGGGTTTTATGTTTTTTCTCTTACAAAAAAAAGAACCAACCCATACCTCAGAGGTCATGACTCAGTTTCTTCCTGTATTTTGCTCTTGATTCTTCACTTGACATGAGGCTGAATGACATTCAGCCCATTCTGCTGAATAAGCATAGCTTACAGTTCCCTGACTTTCTGATACCCTAGCACTGTGCTCATATGCAGTCATGCGCCACATAACGTTTTGGTCAACAATGAACTGCATATATGGTGGTGGTCCCGTTGGATTATAATACCATATTTTTACCATACCTACTCTATGTTTAGATACAGAAATACTTACCCTTGTGTTACAATTGCCTATAGTATTCAGTACAGTAACATGCTGTACAGGTTTCTAACCTAAGTGCAACTAGGTGGATACATATAACCTAGGTGTGTAGTAGGCTATACCATCTAGGTTTGTATAAGTACGCTATGATATTCATACAACTATTAAATCACCTAAAGACATATTTCTCAGAATGTATCCCCATCATTCAGCAATGCATGACTGTACTTCAGGAACTCACCCAGGAGTGAGTGGCAAAGGTAAAAGTTATGAAAATTTTTCGCACCTGCTACCCTGATCTCACAGTCTGAAGTCATAGCCAATGGGGTCTCCCTCACTGATACATGCAAAAGCAGCCCATTCTTGTCCTCTAACTTTAAGATCTCATATACTCCATGAGATCTTTTTTTACTCACAGACCCTTTATGATATTCTGCCAGTTTCTTGGAAACAGCCTGTATCTTACATCAAAGATGAAACTCACTATGGCTGGATCTGCTAGTGCTTTACCACAATTTTTCCCTCTTCAGAGTTCAACTTTAGCCTATATTTCCTACTCTCCTTGAAAGTAGTGTGAGAATTAATGTGCACTACATCCAGATCTGGCCAACAAATCTTCCCACCTGCTCTTCAATTGATCCCTCCTCCCTTGTTCTTGCTCAGTGGGTTGGAGATGATAATGGCTGTTTGGGAAGCCATAGATAAAAGACAGTTCCTGAGTGACTGCATGGAAAACAGCTATCGTTAGACCTGGAACACAGTGCTTGACTGTTATATGAGTAAGAAGTAAACATGTTTTGTTTAAGCCATTTTCATTTTGGGTGTGTTTGTTGCATTAGTTTAGCTTACCATAATAAATATAAAAGCTCACTCGTGTTCAATGCCATAGATTTCCCAGGCATGCTTCTCAGGTTTCTGGCTCTGCTTTTGACAGCTCTGAAAAAAATATCACCCTCCAAAATCCCTGACGAAAATTTCTATTGTTAGAAAATTTTTCACTGGTGGTGATCATTAGCCTTTTGAGCCCTTGGGCTAGAACAACCCCTCCTTCTACCACAGGCCCAGCATGTTCAGAGACTTGGCTGAGACATCATACATAGATGGTGCCTACCTTTCTTACTCTTGTACTAGCAAATATTCTAAAATTGTCCTCTTGGGCCACAAAGCCCCCTTCTATTCTGGCTTGAACAAAGGCTTGTATGAGATAGTTGGGGAATAACCGGGGAAATTTCAATATTTAGTGTGTATTTAAATGTGTACTGTGTTAGAAATTAAGAATTTTATTAGGCAGGATAATGGTGTTTGTTTTAAGAGGGAGAATTCCTTCAGTTTTAAATATACATACCAAAGTATTTATTGGAGAAATGTCATAATGTTAATTATTTGCTTTAAAATACTTTAACAAAAATTAGATTAAGCAAATATGAAAAAATGTTTACAATTGTTACATATAAATGAGTATGCACTTGTTCATTACACTATTCTACTTATCAGTACATTTGAAATTTTTAATATTAAAAATGAAATGAAAAACAAAGTCTATATTCCTTGTAAACAGCTCTCAAGTTATGGGCTTCCTTGCACAATCAAGTTTGAAATATTATGGTGCCCATCTTCTGTCTCTGGTCATTTTGTTATTGTGCCTCATCCTGGCATAAGAGGCTCAATGGTTTTGTGAAATGGGTGGGAGGGCACAGTAATAAAAAATCTCCCTTCCCGGGCTGCCCCATGACTCTGACTGTACCCTTCCTAAACTCATCCAGGCCTACATGGAATATCTAAGACTCATATTGACCTGAACTTTAGCATAAGGGAGAAGGCAGAAGATGGGTGTACTCCCAATGGTGTGTATGCGTAAGTCAACTCTTCTTGCCAACTCACTGACTTGAAAATCCTGAAGAACAGTTCTCTAACTATGACCTCCTCTACCCTCCTCACAGGATCAGTTTTGCTGACTGCCCACCACTACCACACCTCTAGCTTGCCATGTCCTTGGAAACCTTTTTTATCTCTATCAGTTGTCCCAGACATTTTATTCTGGGTCCCAAATTAGTGGAGACTTATGACCTGTATGCACACATTCAGAAGCTTTCCAAATGTATCCACACCTTCCTTGCAACCTTCTTAATTCCTCTAGCAGGATAGTATCTTATCATCTCACTGACATGAGGGTGTCAAAAGCCAATTAGGTTTAATATGGGCAACCTTCTAATAAAGGACCAGAAAGAAGACACAAAATATGATAAGGAAGGTCACAGATGTCCCAACTTTATGACTTCTTGCCGCCTTCGGGCACCTGCTCCTGTGTCCAAGTATCTTGACCTCCACTCACTCTAATTTGTCCCACAGACACAGCTCTAGGGCAGGGGATTTTCTCTCTGATGGAGGGCGCAAGACTTTTGTGCAGCACTATGCCTCTGCTTCTTCCCTCCTGCCATAGAGCAGGAATATAAATGTTTAAGGCTAGAACATGCTAAATGTGTTTGGGTACCCTGCTGCCACATTCCCAGCTATTCCAGACCGAGCCTTGTTACTAAGATTTGCTACAGCAACTTCATCTCATATTTGTTGTGTTTAACTAAGTGCTTGGTGGCTTCCTTTTTAAGTAGTCTAAAACAAATGCTTCGAGATGTTAGCTCAGATTCTGCCATATTTTGTCATTTTGCATTTGCTTTTCTACCTAAACCAAGATAGCATACAGTGAAGGCAATCAGTTATGAGATGCAACAGTGCAAATTCTCCCTCCCTGGCTGCCTCCCATTCTTGGCCATAATGATGGCTTTTTGAACACTGGAAAGCCTGAATGCATGCCCGAGCTTTGGTGAGGTGGAAAGTAGAAAATTGTATGGTACTCACTGACTCTTGAGTAGAGATCAGCCCTCTTCATGGATTCTGTCAACTTTTTAGAAATATCTGGCCTTTTGACAGGCAAACACATACATTTTCCTTTGGACATCAGGAGGGTAACTGTACCTTGACCTAGCTATTGTTGTAGACATCAATTTGGGGGACTGCTTGGCACGAATAACTTCCTTGTTCATGGGAAAAGTATTTTTTGTAGGGATTGAGTCACCAGCGTTCATATCAGCACTCAGGCCCTTTGGCAGAGCCATTGCTTATTGATCCAAAGGTAAGTATTTGAGCTAAACCTGGTCAATGACTGTGATTACCAAGGAGTCTTTAACTGGTGATGCGGAGTGGGTGACATTTTCTTTATGGTGGGGAGAGCTGGAAGTTTTGGGAGCTCCCAATCACAGTCAGTACCATGTCAAGGAAGCTGGTCTGCAGGAGGAGGCAATGAATCTCACCCTCGGAGAAAAGCAGAGTCACAGAGCACTGTCAGCATTTCTTTCTTCCTCCAGTTTTTACTGTATCCTAGTTTCAGCTCTGGTCTTCCTAAGGTTTTGAGAGATGCCCCACTACTGGTCTACTATGTTTTTCCTTTTAGTCTAAGCTGGTTGGAGTTTAGTTTCTGTGGCTTACAATCAGGGCTTCTTTTCATTCCACGTTTACTAATGTCTACCAGAACTACTGTTCCTTTTGGGAAATGCTTTCATTAAGAGATTTGCATAAGGAATTTAAAAGCCTACTACTAAGATTGTGTACCATTTATGGTACATTTGGTGCTATGTGTTCTCCTCAAATGTAGCTATCATGCAAATTCCTCTAAGATCAGGAGGGAACCTATAGGTAGTTGTCTTCCTCCGGGTTTTGGTTTTAATTACCAAGGAAATGAGTAAGTTTTAAGACATGAGAACTGAGAAATCAGACTTTAGGTAATGTATTTCTCTGCATCTTGCTCTTTGGTGTCAGGACTTTGAGCAATCTAGAAAACTTGAGTGTGCTCCTCAGTGGTGGTGGGAGGAAGGCTTTTGTTATACAGAGTATGTGGTCAGCAGCTAGTGAACAGTGTTTTCAGCCATTTTTGATCAGGCCCTACATTAAGAAATATTTACAATGCAACTCTGTGTGTGTGTGTGTGTGTATTGTTTTGTGAACAATTTTATTATATATACCTATATGGGTATGTATATGTGTATAAGTATATATGTATACATAAATATGTAATATGTATATATATACACATATATAACCAAAATAAAAATTCACAAAAACCTTAAAATTATGATGTATAGTACAGTCTATGTTTTATTCCATTTCTGTAAAAAAATGTCGCTTATAATCCACTAAAATCAATTTTAGAACGAACACCAGCTGTACCAGCTGTTCTCAATCTTTCTGGTCTCAGTACTCTTTAACACTCTTAAAATTTTTTGAGCACATGAAAGAGGTTTTGTTCATGTGGATTATATCTATTGATGTTTACTGCATTCAAAATGAAATATGAGAATATTTTTATATACAAGCATGTATAAACTCATATTCTATTACCTGACTGATCAACTATATCATTATGCATTCTTTAGCCTCTGGAAAACTCCACTATACATTTGTGGGGAAATGAGAGTGAAACAGGCAAATGATGTCTTAGTATTGTGATGAAAATGATTTTGACCTTGTGAACCCTCTGAAATGGTCTCAGGGACACCAGTGTGCCTAGACCACATTTTGAGAATTTTTGTACTAGTAAGTTATGACCAGACTTTTTGAAAAACACTAATCTAGAAAAAGCCCAAGCTGATTACAGACAAACTGAACAAAGTAAATCCAATTAGCTAAATTTCGTTTCCCTATGTGTTTTCCTTTTGTTCTTCCTGAGTGAGAAGGGTATTATGGTTAATTCCATAATGATTTCATATAAGATAATTAGTCTAAGCCAATCCATGCATGAAATTCCCCTAGCAACTGGGCCAGGGGCAGTCATATCTCCTAAGTTGACTCCATCAGACTGAAAAAAAGGATTTAAATTCCATGGTTGGGGAGAGGTTTTCTCTCTCTGGGTCTTAACTAGAGATGATACTGGCAATACAGGTTTGCAAAGCTATTGCAAATGGAATGTAAAGAAAAAAAAAACCCTAGGTGTTTGAGGACATTTAGCTAATTATACCATGCCTGAGTCTTCTTTTACCTCCAAGAAGGCATTGAAGATTTGTGAGAAAACACATTTCCTTATTGTTAAAATTTGGGGTTTTCTGCTTCTTGTAGTAAAAGGCATCCAATACACTGAGGATTTAGAGAAACCTTATGAAATATCCCATCCTGATTTTTGCTGAGTTTCAGAGTATTTTGAAGGACAAGTTGTATATGACTCTATCTAGCACAGAACCAGCAAGTTGGTAGTTGGTGTAATTAATGAGAGATTTGCAACAGGAAGTTGTACCTCAGAGGATAGGTGCTAGGATTTCAAAGAGAAGCTACCCTTTCCCTACGAGTACTCTCTCATTTCCACCTTTGTGGCCACAGAAACTGTATTTTATTAGGGCAGGCCCTCATTTCTTTACAGCCTTCCACTCATTTTACAAAGACCTATTCCTATGACTCTGCTCAGATGTTGCTTCTTTACACCCATCATAGCCTCAAGCACAATACAGTGTAAGTACCTATCTCCCCAATTAGACTGAGCTCATGATGGCAGGAATTGTTGTATTCATCTTTGTAGCCTTAGGACTTTTCATTGACTGATACGAAATAGGTTCACAATAAATTTGTGTTGAAAGAATAAATGAATGGTAATGAAATATGCTTTTGTAATGGGGGGGGTCAGCAAACTACAGCCTGTCAACCAAATCTGGTATGGCTCATGAGCTAAGAATGGCCTTCACATTTTTAAATGGTTGAAAGAAGTCAAAAGAAGAATATTGTGTAATACATGAAAATTATATGAAATTCAAATTCCAGTGTCTATAAATAAAGTTTTATTGAAACACATCCACACTCATTCATTTACATATTGTCTGTGTCTGCCTTCACACTGCAACAGCAGACATGAGTAGTTGTGATGAAGACCATATGGCGCACAGAGATTAAAATATTTGCTGGCTCTTTACAGAAAGTTTGCCAAGCCCTGTTGTAATATCCCCTCTTTTTTTCTTTCGATAAATGTATGGCCTTTAGTCTCACTTTTTTAATTCAGTCTTTTTTTATTTTAATCACATTGCCAAATAACACATACAAGGTAAAGATGCATTTGACAAAGATTTGATAATACTTGATAACACATGATTAGTAAGGAATGCTAAATGTAAATAGAGATGAAATATCCACTATGAGATATGAATTATGCAAATGAGGTTCATTGATGAAATAAATGTTTTAATTGTCTGGCATCACTATTGCTTAATTATGCAAACATCTCATTTGATCATGTCAATATTCAGTATTTTTTAAACTGACAAATGCCCAACACATTACCTAATTGTTGAACTTCACTTACTACACATTACAAAATTGCATCCTAAATATTGCATTGATGTATTTTGTATCAGAAGTTAATGCATTGGTGTATTAGAACGTATTTTATACCAGAAAATGATGTATTGATGTATCAGAACATACTTTATATAGTATATACAAAAATAATGCTGATTTTTAAATAATTGTGTATAAATAATGTACTCATAATTGGCAATAGTTATCTTGATATGTGGAAGACCATGACTTTTTTCTTCCTTCTTATACTTTTCAATTTTTCTATATTTTGCATTTTTATAAATACCAGAAGTTTTAAACACTGAATTATTTGACCAATTTAAAATAAAACTCCCCATCTCTAAGAACTTGCTTTGCATTTACTTTTCTTCCTGCCTACTCACAAAGCTATTTGATGTGCAAAGGACTAAACCTGTGGTTTTGTGGCTGAAAATGAAAAACACAAGGAAAGGCATAGGAGCTAAGAATAAAATTAGAGGCATAGCCAACTTTCCACACAAGAATGTTTGCTTACTATTCTTGTGGGAGGAAAACACGCAAAGGCCCTTGAAATGAGAAAATAAAAGGTCACATGGTGGAACTAATTAAATAAGACACTACTTAATTGCCCTGTGGTGCACCCTGTCATGGGCTAATATGGAATTATTTTAGCAACTCCCAAAGAAATATTACATAGGTATGTATTTAAGCATGCATCTATATTTTAGTCTCTAAAGTAATTTTAGAAAGGAAAGAGTTTCAGGTCATAATTTCACTTTTCAGGGTAAATACTGATTATCAGATGAATTTTCTAAAAATTATAGAAATAGGCAAATTCTTTCTTCATTTTTCAAATTCCAGTAATCTTGACCAAGAAGGAAAATCACAAACCTTTTGAGATTTAGTGAATTCTGTAACTCCTCTTTCAAGTAGGCTAAGAACTTAAGAGAAAATATGAGAAATGCTTATAAAGCCAACTAATAACTGGCAGGTATTTTTTCATAAATAAAAAGTTAATTCACTGTAAAGCAAAATGTGTAATAATTTTCCAGCTGTTAGAATTGTTTAGTAACAGCACCTACAGTAAAGTGTGAAATAAATTGCTATTCTAAATAACATACATAGGTGCAGAAAAGCTACGTTGTCAAAAAGAAGTGGATATGTATGTTTTGTGTTATTCCCTGTGGCAGACTGCTAGAAGATCACCAGCTCCATTTCTTCTTCTTTCTGGGCACACAGCTTTCTGATATTTTCTAGTTTTCTTTGTGTTTATATGTAGCCACAGAACTGACTTCTGGCCACTAGAATGTGGGTACAGGTGATGTGGGTAGAGGTAATGTATGCTTCTTTCAAGCCTGACCACTATAGCCCTCCCACCTGCAATCCTCCATTTTTCTTCTTCTGACTGACTGGAGAGGACTCTGAGAACCTAAAAAGGGGAGGCCACAAGATGGAAAGAACCTTTGCTGCTCGGAGAAGAGCCACCTGATCAGGCTCTTCAGTTGTTTCTGATAATTCAGTTGTTTCTGAATTATCAATCTGTCTTATATACTCCTTGTATTAGTCCATTTTCACATTGCTATGAAGAAATATCCAAGACTGGGTAGTTTATAAAGAAAAAAGAGGTTTAATGGACTCACAGTTCCACACGGCTGGGGAGGCCTCGCAATCATGGCAGAAGGTGAAGGGGGAGCAAAAGCATGTCTTACATGGTGGCAGGCAAGAGAGCGTGTGCAGAGGAACTGCCCTTTATAAAACCATCAGATCTCATGAGACTTATTCACTATCACGAGAACAGCATAGGAAAAACCCGTCCCCCTGATTCAATTACCTCCCACCGGGTCCCTATGAGAGCTACAATTCAAGATGAGATTTGGATGGAGACACAGTCAAACCATATAATGCCTCCATTTTTAGACAGGTGTTAACTATGTGCAAATGCCTGAATTCACTCTGCCTATAAGCAGAGAACTGATACCATTGACCAGCTGCTCTGACTTAAGAACAATAATGCTCAAGAGGGATTTTCAAATTCATACCAAGCTTTTCCTATTGAGAAAATTGTTTCCTTAATTATTTAACTCAAGATAGATGCAGTGACATCTGCACTGCTAATTACCTAATGGTAAAGAAATTTGGAATCTCACTAGTTGTATTATCATAGCCCTAAATTTTTGGCTCAGATTTAATCTGATCATCTGCAGATAAAGTAGAGAAGATCACAATACGATGCTAATATAATTCTCAAATAATCTTTCACAAAAACATTTTTCCTTTGGGATCCCAGGTCGACAAATCTCTAAGGTAATTTTACACAATCCCTTCTCATCAGGCAAGATGGATCCTCTTGAAGATCAGGGAGACTAAACTCGGAATTGTAACTGCTCTTCTGGTTTAGATATGGCTGGCAGTTCTTCTGTGGTGATGAAAAGCCAGTTAGCATCTTCCATAATCTAATTCCCCAAACACAACCAGCAATGAGTTTTGATGAATAAGGTTAGATTTTGTCAAATTCTTTTTTTCCTTGAATAAAAAGGCATATTCACTCATCCAAGCTGCTCAGAGCTGTAAATTCTGATCACATTTTGCCATGCCAAAAATATAGATATTTAATCAAAGGAAGTCAAATCAGACAATAATGGGATGTCTCAGACCAAAATGACATTAAATGTTTTTATTGAACAAAAAAAGATAAAACATGGAAGTTGAATTTACTGAGCAAAAGCAGCTCTCCAGGTGAAGCTGCTATACTTTGTGCTAAATAACCTTATGAACTGAGTATACAGAATACATATAATATGCAAGTTACCTCAACAGCAAAGGAGAAGGAGTAGAATACAGTTTTTGAAGATAAAATCTGGTCAAGTGACAAATTTTGTTGCTCAAAATTTCTAGCCCTTATCCACCTAAATTCTGTATGGTTCTACATATATGCATTCAGTATGTGCATACTGAATTCCCATTTTAATGGAAGCTGCTTTTTGGAAGAATTCTTTTTAATTTCACATTTCTTTGATGTGCCACTCAATTTTTAAAAAAATTATATTTGACATATGTGCATGTGTGTATGTGTATGTATGTATACACACTTTAAAAACACCAAACCCTTGTTTATAAGTAGAGGGTTCATGCTGCTTTTTAAATTAATATTAGTGAATTTAAGCTACTTCTCCTGTGTGTCTAGGAAACTTTGTGTTCTCAATGCACCCACACAGTCAAGTGGGTTGACAGATATGTCAAAAATACTTTATGAAAAGAGGGAGGTAGCTCATGCGAGTTGGCAACCTTTTGTGTATTGTTTCCTGTTCAAGCAGGCTGCCTCCCTTTGACATCTTACAGTCAAAGATGAAAGGAAAACTTTTTACTTGAAGCCTAGTGAGCACAGTTGTACATTTACTATAATCCACCTTCAACTTGGCTTATTGGGTTTACTAATGTAAGATGACAAATACCTTACACCCAATACACAGCATTTAAAAAGTACTGAAGAAACATTTTATAGACAATACTTTTTTTTTCATATGTTAAACATCAGCTTCTATGGGATACATTTCCAGAATGGTTGTGTTACCACTTTATAAACATTCTAGGCCAAACAAAGAGCACAAATAACATCAATGTTGTCTTTTTTCCAATATCTGTATCAATTACCAGAGGGTAATCCTAACATATATACTACTTAAGGGGGAAAAAGAAGAGAATTTATGACACATTGCAAAGATAGAACTACAGCATCTTAGTTGTAGAGATGATCTTAAGGTGCAGAAAGAGGGGACTCTCTAGAAGGTGATGGTGTGGTTTCTTCTGGTGGAAAAACTGTGAGTGTGCAAGCACGAATGCCACCAAGGGATTCTGGCAGATCAAAAACCTTATGCCATTCATCTTTATCTGGATCATATTTCTGCACTATCTCTACCATACAACGATTATTCCAAGAATACCCCCCAACCACATAGATTTTATTTTCGAAGACAGCGACCCCAACATCACTCTGCCCTCTTAACATGGCAGCAATTGGGGTCCACTGGTCAAGGATAGGTGAATAGTATTCACAGCTTAGGACATCATCATAATCACTTGTTCCTCTGAAGTGATTGCCACCAATGACATAGAGCCTTTCTCCCACTGTACACATGCAATGCAGACCTCTGACAGTGGTCATTGGCGCCTTCTGGATCCATTTGTCAGTATCAGGGTCAAAGCACATGAGCTCCTTTTGGAAAGTATCATGAGTAATTCCTCCTAAAGAATGAAAACAATAGTTTTGAAGTAAATAATTATAGAAATGCAAAAGTAATTAAAGGAGCTCTGTCACAGATAACTTTTAGTCACATATTATGACATATACCTTATCAATACTGTTCTTAGGACTGTCTTCCCTCTATAAATACATTCTCTGGATTAAAAGTAAAGAAAATAGCATTTTCATCTTCTTAAAGAACAAAACAATTACTTTTTTTGCAATCACTTACATTATTGCAATGACTTTCTCAAATGTAGATCCCTGGTATTTAAAAGGCTTTGCTGAAGGAAAATATATTTTGATCACTGATAGAGTTGGGTCTGTAGTAAATTCCAACTACAAAGCATCATTCACTACTTACTGCCTTTTAGTGGGTACCCTCTGGGTACTGAGCACTGGGCTAGAGCACATTAAATTCCAGGTTCCCATTTCCTCACTTGTCACAAAACAATATCTACTCTAGTTATTGCATCAGGATTGTGACTCTGAAGTGAGATATTTATCAAAATGCTTTGAAAAAGTTGAAAGTCTTGCACATGTGTAAAAGCTTATAAGAATATTCAGAATTGTTTATGTTTATAGAGTTTTCTGTGGGCAGAGTGAGGGTGGATAATGTCATCTCTTATCAGAATGCATATTTAAAAATCTAAAGAATTAGAATGCTGAATATACGTGGAATTTTATACATGCACCAATTTGTTGTTAATCTAATTTAGTCTGTATCATCTACAAAGTGTACTCTTAGATCACATATAAACCAGTCTCTACAATGAAAGTATTAAACGATACCTTCTGTAGACAAGGGAAAGAAGTAAGCTAATCTTTAGTCAAATCATTCAAACCTTTACTGTCAAATGGCCAGATGCCAATCACTATCACTGTTTCCTTCTGCTTTTTAAAAATATTTTCCTTGTGCTTTACAGAATTCCCAGAAAGCAAAACAGTGTTCATTGTTTTGAAAATCAGCTATAGTTTCTAACCACTCTTGATTGGGAAGGTCATTTCTGCAATATACGCCAGTTATGCCAAAACACCACTAAAACAATTCAGGTGTCATTTTTCTCAGAGGAGTTGGAGCTCTCATTATAATGGTACAGCAGCTGCCCACATAAAATAGATAGATGGTGTAAATCATTGATTAATGGGAGCATATTTATTACCTGGATGGCTCTTCCAATATAAGACATTCTGTAGTTGCTCATGAATTTAACACCAGAAACCTGCCAATCATATACTATAGGCCTTTCATTGATTCTTATTGATTAAAAATTTCATAAGGCAGTGGTCAATCAGGTCACAAATAGTGCCTTTACACCCTTGGTCTCTAGTAATGTAACTGCTGGCCTGGCACTGGCAGGCCTTCATATGGGGAAGAATTGTCCCAGGCAGAGTGTGTCAGGGCCAAATGATAATAACCTGACTAACAAAGTTAAATGTCAATACCAGAGGTGGTCATTACATTAAAGTGAGACTTCTTCCTAAATTCTACAGGAGAATGAAAGCAGAAAATGCATTAAAAAAAGAAAGAAATTCTACAGTAGATTGATTTAAACACCAACAATTTGAGAATGAAAGTTGCTACTGGGACACTGTGAACAAACTATAGCCATTTCAGAATTTTTTAACAGAAAAATATATCTTCATGTGCATAAAATACAGATAATCAGCACAGAAATATTTATGCAATGACACCATAGTAGAATCCCCCTATAATGCTAAGGAAGAAGGAAACCCATATTATGGACTATACTGAAAGAGAGAATGAACATTATTATGTACTATTATGCATATTGGAAGCACGTTTTATGCATAGGAGAACTTATATGTTATATAATGATACACTCCTTCACATAGTTTAGCTAAATCTTAAATAAAATGAATTAATTGTTGCTACAGAAACTATGAATGGTGTTTATCAGAATACAGAGCATGGGGACTGGAAAGCAAAATTTGAATGCTTTCCAATTTTTTCTAAGTTATACCTTACAACAGGATTGGTTTACTAGTACTCTTATAAATTTACAGAATGCCCAAGACATTCATATGCAAATACACACAAAAATAGTTTCTAAAATCAACATAAATTATATTTTGATTCTCCGTTTTTCTGGATTTTTTTTTTTTTTGAGATGGAGTCTCGCTCTTTCACACAGGCTGGAGTACAGTGGCGCAATCTCGGCTCACTGCAACCTCCGTCTTCTGGGTTCAAGAGATTCTCCTGCCTCAGCCTCCCAAGTAGCTGGGATTACAGACGTGCACCACCACACCCAGTTAATTTTTGTATTTTTAATAGAGACAGGATTTCACCATGTTGGCCCGCCTGGTCTCAAACTCCTGACGCCTGAATTATTATTATTATTACTACCACTATATGGAAAGATAACCATATAGTTAAAAGCTTATATATTATATTGTGTTCACATGATACTTGTTTACCTGAAATATACATCACTCCTCCATACACAGTTCCAGCATGGCCATAGTGGGGCTCACTCATTTTGGCAACATAGGTCCATTCATTTGTTCTTGGATTGTAACATTCTACTGTGGCTGTTAAAAAAAAAAAGAAAAGAAAATTATTTTTAACTTCAAATTTAGCAATTAATTATTTTTCTCTTAAGTGGAACAGTAATAATATCCAAACACTTGAAACATATCTATTATAGCTATGATAGATATGTGTAAGACTTTGGGGGAGCTCTTACAGTAATTATTGAGACTATATTAATAATATAAACCATTAGTACATGTTACATTAGACTAGATAGTGTAAGAATCTAACAAATTTCTGTCATTGCAGAAATCACTAAGATTTATTCTGTAATCTGCTTACATATTTATAATTTGACATTTCTCCATTTTCTTTGCTCTAAAAACATAGGAAGAAAGGATGAAAAAAATCAAAAGAAATGAAAAACTCCTCAATTCTGGGTCCCCATGTTGATAGAAACAAACGTTAATACATAAGAAGCAAACTTTTACATTGAGAATGAAAATATACACACTTCTTGGTTTATGTTCTGAAGCCCACTGCTTTAATTCATATACAGACTACAAAATGGACACTGATAATAATTTCTCTACATTTATACTTTAAAGCTAATAGTTCGTATATACCCACCATCATTGCAGCCAGTACTACTCTTAACCTGAAGATGGTTGGCGGCATAATATGAAGATCTTTATTAAGAATACTTCCTGTCAGTAATGTATTTATCATCTTTTAACATAATGTATTTTGGAGAAGTGACCTCAACTCACTTAAGTATCTTTCAATCAGTCTGTTATAACCTCAAGAACAGAACAATGTCACCAAGAAAGATGGAAAATGTAATCACTTTTTAAAAGGCAGAGAAGCTGTTAAGAGAACTCATCAAAAGCATGAGGTCTAGATTGACTTGAAAAGTTCATATTATTTATTGCAGACACTGCCAACTGCTAATCCAATTTCTTGCGTCCCCCAACCCTACTTTTTTAAACTAACAGAACCACAACACTGCTTAGGGAAGCACTACACCAAGCTAAAAACGAAATTTAATTTAGCAGGTTCCCTTGAAGCTTTGGTCCACCATATGATATAGTTCTGGGCAGCGACGGGTAAGCAGAAGTTTATTGAGTAGGACAATTTGATCAAGCCACTGGAATTAGGTTTAGCTACTTGCAACCAAATGCAATCCTGATGAATCAACCTTTGAATGAGATTCTCTACTTAAAAAAAAATAACATGGTGACAGGCAAAACACACACACACACACACACACAGAGAGAGAGAGAGAGGAGAGCGAGAGAGAGAGAGAGAGAGAGAGAGACTACTTTTCCGCTCTATTCAATAATTTCATTTCATCATCAAATTCACTACGCAAAGTATGCTTTTCTCCTCCAAGCACACCTATATCATGCCACTTCTTGTATCTCTCTACTGACTTCCTTTTCCACTTACTTTAGCTTTGAATTTTCAGTCTTATTTCAAAGGCTTTTACTATTCTCATTTTTACCTACTGCTTTGTTGGCTTTGTTCATTGCTTTAGGCCTGGATCCTTGCCAATTCTATTTCTTTTAAACCCTATTTCTAAAATTAATAACAAGTTAAACTGCCACATGCCCCAGTACTGTTGTTTTTTTTTACTATTTCCAGTCACTGGATGCCTTTTCAAATGTTCATTTCTATTTGCCTTTGGCATGACTTTTACCTAACGGACAAGCAAAATCCTACATTATTATTCTCTCTCTCTCTCTCTCCTTCTCTCTCTCTCGCCACATAAGAGAAAACCTAGTGCATTGATTGGTACTTGGCATTAGCAAAGCCATTAATGGGAAGCTTTTAGAAGTAATTAAACCACACATCCTATCAGAAACGGGGTCTAAAAAGACTTCCAGATATCATCTTCATCTGCTTGAAGCCAAAGACAGGATTCACTATAGTTTTACACTTTTCTTAATGCGGGACTCTGACTTAAACTTTGAAATTTTTGGATTGTAACTGTCCTTTCTTATGTTTAATTCAAACTGTTCCAATGTGATTTCCATTAGTTTCTTCTTATTCTTTTTATAGTGGAGTTAGAATTTGAATACTTATTCACTTTTTATTATTATTAATATTTTCCTATGTAGAAAGATAATTCCTCTGTCAGTGACTTAATTGCATTTTCCCCTAATAGTGGTTATAAGAATCCATTTGTACTTTCTCACACAGGAGGCCCTCAGTTCAAGATAGCTATTAACCACCAATAACAAAATTACTATATAATAGTCCATCATTCTTAAGCTTTTTTCCAGCTAAAAATGCATCTCCTTTAGCTGTTCCAGGCATTTAATTTTTATTGTCAACTTTTATTGTCATGCAATTCTCCATGCAGAGTTGCTATTGTTATCAGTAAAATCAATAGTATTTTATTTTAAAATAAAATACATCTAATTAAAAAGTAGATACACATGCTCTTATTTCCATTTTCCATATTTACACGACACTCAGATATAGGTTAGTACCAACAACTCTGATGGGAAGAGGGAGTAAGGGATGATGCAAGGCAAAGAGTTGGAGCCACAAAGCAGTGCTTCAATCGTAGTCTATAAGAGTTGGAAATGGTAAAGAGGCAACTGGAAAAATCTAGAGCAGGTGGCAGCAAACCTCAGTCCATAGGCCAAATCCAGTCTACTTCCTGTTTTGTAGGGCCCAAAAGATAAAAATATGAATGATTTTACATTTTTTACACATTGAAAAAGAATCAAGACTATTTTGTAACTTATGAAAATTCTATAAAATTCAAATTTCATGTTCACAAATAAAGCTTTATTGGAGCACAGCCTCACTCATTTGTTTATGGATTATGTAGGGTTGCTTTTACACTACAACAGCAGAGTTGATTACTTGTGACAGAGATTTAATGGCCCACAAAGCTGGAAATAGACTCTTTCTGGCCCTTTACAAAAGTTTGCTGGCCCCTAATCTAGAGAATTAACTTCAGTAGTTTGGTGGCCTAGTGTTTACATTAAAGAATCTCTCCAATTTAAGAATTATACTTAGGTTGGTTATCTCACATATATCAGGAGTTCTTATTTTCTGAGATAATTCCATAGGAATCCAGAATCGGTCCCAGAAGAGGATGTGGAATTTATTTGTTCTTTAAGATTAGGAAAGAGATCAGCCTAAAGAAAATCATTTAAACAGTGATGGCTGTCATACAGGGGAGATGGACTCTAGAAACATAGAACGCTGGTGAGTGATCAAGAAACCCCCAAATCCTTTGGGGGGTATAGAGGCATTTAATAAATTTTAGTAGTTTTATTGTGCATGTATTTGAAAAACATCTAACATGTTTTCTATAAGTTATTTCATTATTTGAAACCTTAACTTATTAATATTTAACTGAAGTGAAAGATATTGGAGCTGTCATAATCTTCTTCAATATAGGAAGCCTCAATAGAAGATTGATTTCTTATATGACACAATTTTGAAAGATGCCAGAAATAACTGACTCCTTTTACACTTAAGTGACAGCTACTCTAAGCCTCCCCTAGTTTCCCATTGTAACCAGTGTCAAAGGAAAGCAGCATTTTGAAGGAATTATATTTCAGCACTAAACCAGGTGAGCACGTGTGCTAGTGCGTGCACACACACACACACACACACACACACACAGTCTTTTTTTGATGAACAATGGGCTTAGGTTTCCTTTGGTCCAAGTACCCCATGGAAAGATTTTAAAAGGCCTAATGCATTAAAGTGATCTAAACTGTCTTGCAAATGTTGCCACTGTTTTTTTTTTAATTTTTAATTTTTGTGGGTACATAGTACGTGTATATTTTTATGGGGTACATGAGATGTTTTGATGCAGGTATGCAATGTATAATAATCACATCATAGAAGATGGAGTATCCATCCTTTCAGGCATTTATCCTCTGTGTTACGAATAATCCAATTATATATACTCATACTTATTGTAAAACATACAATTAAATTATTATTGACTATAGTCACCCTGCTGTGCTATCAAATACTAGGCCTTATTAATTCATTCTAACTATTTTTGTACCCATCAAATTTTTCTTTTTATAATTATATACAGGCAATAGTTACTGTGTGTATGAAGTGATATACTGGTACTAATCAACCTATTAAATTGTTAAATGACTTTCCCATCAATCCCCTCTTCCTGCCACCCATTCCCATCACCTCCTTCTATTTACATAGGCATATGAATGTCTCAACTTAATCAGTTACAATGGGAATGTTAATTTATTATAACAGATGTTAATGTGTGCGTTGAAGGAGGAATTCTATTTTTAAAAAGCGCTTGTAGGGTAGGGGAAATGTTAAAACCTCAGTTTCTGGCAGGAACATTCAGAAATATAGGCAAGAGTTTCTTTAGAATCAAAATCTGCTATTCTGCAAAAACAATGGGTCCAAGAAAACTGGAAATGCCAACTAACACAAATTCATTTTTTATTTATATAAAGAGAAACACGATCATGGATAGAATTCAGGAAATTTCATTAATATTATTCTTTGGGAGCAATAGTAATCAAGGCAGGTTTCATCAAGTTTGGTTACCTCCGTAATACAGGATGTGACGTGACAAGACAATCTACTTCTTGCTTCTATTTGAGTATAACATAGAAAGAACTCAAAGGGGGTGGAGTGGATCAGAAACAAATGAAACCTCTTGCTTCTTGGCTTTATCTAATGACTCTTTTTGGCCTTTTTTCTCCTGAAATCAAGACTCTAAATTTGAATGCACTTACTAAGTCAATCACAAAATATTTTTTAAACTTCCAATATATTATATAATAAAATGTTTAGTACAGAATGCGTTTGATGGGTATGCTGATTTTAAGGGACGCAATCATTTTCTACAAAAGTTTAGCTACTTATAGGTTACAAATCTATGAGGTCATTATAGATTTGTAATCTATAGATCATTTCAAATGGAATAAAATATCAAATAATTGGATGATAACTAGAATTAGAATTCTTGGAATAGATGGTTTGTGCCTGTATTATAATGACATGTGCCTTTTTTTAAATGCAGTTTATGAAATAAGATTAAAATGGACCTATATTTACCATTAGAGGGGAAATTTTTTTAAGTCATTATCCTTAGGTTAAGCTTTAGAAATTTTATTGTTAAAGCCTAAATATGAATTTAGGAATACCCTAAGAAAAGCATGATTTCCTTGTTTCTTTTCCCTTTCAAAATGAAACACAGAAGACTGTTTTTAATCAGAGATGGAGGGGTGGTTTCTGAAGGTCAGGAGCAAGGATTCCTGTGTATGAGCCACTTGCCCAACAGTGTGGTCTATTTCTAGTTCCTAGATGGGTATACCATAGGAGCAGCTGAAAGAGAGTTGGGATAGGTTCAAAGAAAGAAGCCTCTAGCATCTTGGTTTTATGTAATGACTCTCCTTGGCCTGAAGATTAAAAACTCCCAGAAGAATATGGCTTTTAATTAGTATTAGGAACTATATATTGAAAGCTAAGTAGCCGCATATTAACAGGGGTGATAATATCAACAAGCAAGGACTGACTTTGAAAAACGGAGCTACTTCCTTTGAGAAAAGAAGACTGACCAAGTTAATGACCTGTTATTTGTGAAGAAAATATTTAAGAAAACATTATCTTATACAGGGATTTTCTAAGAAACAACCAAGTCACTACTTGCACCTTCTAGATATTTCCAGATACCGCAAATTTAAAATAGTATAATAACATGAAAATAATGTGTGTAGGTTGACTGAGGAGGCCTAAAGAACAATTGTACACTAAGGACACTTATGCCTTAACTGCTTTTAAAAGTCCAATTATTAAAATATATTGGAAAACCTATGCAGTTCATGATCATGCGACATAGTCCAACAATCTAGAAAATCTGGTCTTAGAAAAAAATATCATTGTAACAACAAAGAAAAAAAAACTTTGGGTAGAAAAGATCAGGAAAAAGACCATGTCACTAACAAGAAAGGGTTTTATAAACAGGAAAGTATAAAAGCTGAGAACAGTTATTCTATTCTCTGATAAATAGCTTAGTCTCAAATACATTAAACTATCTTTTATTTCTTAGAATATTGAAAAATAAAGATTCTGAGAATTACTCTGAACTTATCCAGAGCCAATGCCAATATTTTGAACTTTCCCAGCTCTATGGAGCCTGGAATTGGTCAACTACAAGGACATTATTTATTTATTTATTTATTTATTTATTTATTTATTTATTTATTTATTGTGTTCAAGCAATCCTGCTTCAGCCTCCCTAACAGCTAGGACTACAGGCATGAGCCACATCTGGCTTTCTTTCTTTCTTTCTTCCTTTCTGTCTTTCTGTCTTTTTTGTATTTTTTATTTATTTACTTATTTATTTATATTATTATACTTTAAGTTCTGGGGTACATGTGCAGAACGTGCTGTTTTGTTACATAAGTATACACGTGCCATGGTGGTTTGCTGCACCCATCAACCTGTCACCTACATTAGGTATTTCTCCTAATGCTATCCCTCCCCTAGCCCCCCAACCCCAGACAGGCCCTGGTGTGTGATGTTCCCCTCCCTGTGACAGACTCTATTTATAATAGAGAATAAAATAATTGAAAACAAGGCCAAACAATAATGGTAATGACAAATATATGTCACAACATAAAATGTGGACTTCCTGCCTTTATTTTTGGAAAAATTATACTATCCCAATTTTATCTGAAATAATAAAATTTTACCTTTTTGGGTTAATTTACATAGCCAAAGTATTCTACATCAAAGTACATTTATGACCAATTTTATACTGGGAAGACAAAAAGGTGACCATCAAATAAAGCTTACCAGATGGGCTTATGGAAAAGAAAACTATCTGATATTACGTCAACAGAATTATTTTTAAAACAGTCATAGATCATAATATTCACAGTGAACAAACTTTGGATAATGTTGAACTTTGTACATTTAATCTATAAAGAAAATTATCTTTGTGGCCACTAATAGGTAACATATTTTGTAAAAGAAGAAACAATGAAAGTTTTCTGTAATGAAGGATTGTAACCTGTTCAGTAAAATATCATATGGCCTTTTAAAAGCAGAAAATGAGAAAACATGCCAAACTTCTATCCAAGACCTTATTATAATTTAAATGAGCTAAGTATACTCTTTAGATGAACCTTCAAGATGAAGACCATATATACTGCACAGGTGAAATATGCTACAATATACTGATGTATTTGTAACGTACAATTTGTTCCCTTGCCAACGATATATGCCCAGATAAGGCATAAAGATGGTCTTCAATATTTTCTCAGAAAAATAGTTTTAAAATAAAACCCTAACTACATTTTTATCTGATTTTACAGGACTGCTTATTTTATGATTTGATAAGAATTTCTGAGTGAAGAAATTTGTCTCTATGCTTAATATAAATGCACTTACGCAGTTCACCTGCTGCATTTCGCCCACCAACTGCATACAGATATCCTTTGAGGGCACTTAGGTGGAAGAAGGTGCGCTTTTCATTTAAAGATGCAACTTGCATCCATTTATTGTATCGAGGATCAAATCTGAAGACTGTATCAACTGCCGTTTTTCCTTTTGTATCATAATTACTCTGTCCGCCAACCACATAGAGAAAATTTCCAATGACGGCGATGCCATGCTGGTACCTTGGGGCATCCATGGGGGCTAACGATTTCCACTCATGGGCCTTTTCATCATACATGCGCAATTCCTTACTGACAACCAGCTGCTGCCTCAGCACTCCTCCTAGTGTAACCAAGTGAGTGGTGTCAGACCTAATGGCAGTCCTGTCTGACTGCATAACTGGCTGCATATATGGCATCATTTGGTAATTGCTGGCTTCCAAAAGCAAATTCACACAAGTATTGTCAGTTCTCATGAAATCCACCGTTTGCACGTAATTAATGAGCTCCTGTGGTGTCATCAGTGGAAATCGTATGTTCTTCATTAATTTTGCAGCAAAGTCCATCCGAGGCTCTTCCAGGCGAAGCCAACGACAGGTAGCCTTAAAGAGCTCAAGTTCAGTACAGTGCTTAAGGCTATTACTGGAAAGCACGAAGGCAAGACGCTCAAAAGGGAGTTTCAAGAACTCCCCTGTGCTCAGCAATGCAGGAAAATTCTTCAAGACGAAACTGTTAACGTATTTATCCACTTCGGTTAGATTGTAGGTGTTGGCAATCCGTCCAACTTCAACACAGTTGTCTAAAGTGACCTATTAAGCCAATTAAAAAAAATTAAAACATGACTACTTTCATGGCAATCACATCTTGATAGCACAAATACCTGTTCTAGAATAAGAGTAAATTATGCTTTTAATGTTCAAATAGATACAAATAGGATTCTTATCTAAATGTATCAATGATCTACAAACAGATAATTTGCAAACCACCTTTACTTAATCCACTAGAAGGCTGACTAAAAGAAAATGATCAAAGTCAGTAAGTTAGAAGCTACTCTAAGAAACAATGTTATAACTGGAATATGGCCAAACCAGTTACTCTTCTCTCCTCAAAAATGTATCCCACCCCCACCCCCAAAATACTGATAAAATTCCTGCCAGATGGAAACTTGGGAAAATAGAAGGTTGTTCTATTATGATTCATCTCAATCCACTTCTTAGTCATTATTCTTAAAAATACCACACAGCTAGCAGATCCATGAACAGAAAAGCTCTAATACCCAAACCCTAGATTTCCCTTTCACGTAAATAGGCATCACTCATTACTATCATTCATTTTGGTTCCTTCAAAGTTATCACTCATAATGAAAATAATTTAATAAGATAATTATCCCTAGGGCAAATTAATTTTCAACATTATTTATCTGGAAATATAAGCAAGGAAATGTCTTTCTTAAGGGCAGAGGGGTATATCTACAACAAATCTCTCATGTAAATGAGATTTTGGTATCTGTGATGACTGCTTCCATCTGGGCAACACAGCTTTCCTTAGCCACTCTTACTTTCAGCACATTCTGTTTCTCTCTGGCGTCAACATGAGCCCAGAACCATCTCCCCACCATAGAGCAAAATATACCATAAAGTGAAAAGCTGACAAAGAAGAGAAGTGACAGAGAGGCCTTTCCTCAGTAGAACCTCTTTTCAATGCTCTAATAACTGACTCATCAAAGGAAAAATAGGAAAAATAATATTAGCAAATATAATACAAAGAACAAACCACAAAAACAAGCCTACAATAAAAAATGCCAGTGTGTATGTATACAAACAGACACAGATCACAGGCAAAAGACTTAAATGTTTGGTTGTTTTTAAAATTTTGTCAGGTTATGTGTCCTCAATATCACACAAACTTTATCAATGTATTGTTAACCTCACACCTGTATAGTTAACAGATTTGGCAGATGGTTAAGAGAAAATAAAATAATCCTCCTGTTGACATTTCTTTAAAAACTGAAACAAAGCTAAAAACATTACTCCTCCGCATAAAATGACAGCCCAGTTAGGATATAATATCACTGAAATCTCTAAGGTTAACACACACACATTGTTATTTTCATAGATTATTTTAATTAGACTTTAACTTATGGGATATACATGCAGAACGTGCAGGTTTGTTACATAGGTATTACACGTACCATGGTGGTTTGCTGCACCTATCAACCCGTCATCTACATTAGGTATTTCTCCTAATGCTATCCCTCCTCTAGCCTCCCAGCCTCCAACAGGCTCTGGTGTGTGATGTTCCCCTCCCTGTGCCCATGAGTTCTCATTGTTCAACTCCCACTTATGAGTGAGAACATGTGGTGTTTGGTTTTCTGTTCCTGTGTTAGTTTGCTGAGAATGATGGTTTCCAGCTTCATTCATGTCCCTACAAAGGATATGAACTCATCCTTTTTTATGGCTGCATAGTATTCCATGGTGTACATGTGCCACATTTTCTTTATCCAGTCTATCATTGATTTATTACTCAAAAAGAATTTGTGCTCTTTTAAGTAGCTGATTTGCTTTACAAAAATGTTTAATTGCTTATTTTACTTAGTAGCTACATATTTTTAAAATACCTAACACATAACTGTAACATAAAAAAATAGAAAAATAAGTTAACAAATTATGAGTCTCTAGAAATAGACAGCATAACACTGTATAAATACCCTGGATTTCTAACGTGGTTAATAAAAAGTCCATTTAATCCAATTTGAGGAGCTGCAGGTCGGTGGTTCAAAAATTTAAGTTTTGTAAATGGAGTTACAGTCAATACCTGTTTTCCCAATTCACCCTGAGTGGAAGGAATTTGAGGTCATGAATTCACTTCCCAAGACAAGTAAGAATTATCTCGTCCCCAGAGTGAAGGTGATTTATACTTTTGAAGATGTTTATTAGTACAGTTAAGCAAAAGTTGATGACAACACAAATATAATTCCCAAGTATGCAAATTCTCATCATTATTGATATGATTACTAAAAAACAACAAAGAATGGGTACTTTAAGAAGACAAAATGATACTACCAGTTGCCAGTCACCAAACTGAAATCTAAATTTATAGCATGTAAAACAGAGCAAGATTAAAGATTAAAAGCCAAACTGTATAATTCAGAAATGGGATCAAGGTATTTAATTCCTTCACCTTTTCCCTCTTCAAATTTATCCAGTGAGAAAACGATTGCTAGAATAACATGAGAAAGAAACTTAAATTTTATTTACAGGCATTTGGAAAATACCTTCTGTATATCAATACGTTCATATATACAGACACACAAGACTAGAAAAGACTTTGACAGACCATCTAACCAATACAAATAGCTGCCTACTTTTTTCTTTAAAATCACCAGAGAAAGGTATTCCATAACCTTCCGAACTGTTATCTTCTTGACAGAAGAACTAAGTATTTTCTTTTTTTATTTCTTTCAGTTTTTAATTTTTGTAGGCACATAGTTGGTATATATATTTATGGGGTACCCAAGACTAAGTATTTTCTATAGCTCATATACAACAGCTACTATACTGTGAGTATACAACAAAGGCTAAATACTACAAGTATCAAAAATATAAAAAGTAAAGATACGATGATAGATGCAATTAAAAATAGGATACCTGTTGAATTAATGTAGCAAATTACTAAAACCTTATTAATTTCAAAATGAGACACAGACAAGAAAAATATGTAATAGGAAATTAATTCTTAGCAAGTATATGTAATCAAAGCTTAAAAATTAATCATAGAATATAGAAATTAAAGAAGCAAAGTCTACAGTAATAATTAACAATATAAATAGACCAAAACTGATGGAATTATAGTAAACAATGGCCCAGAGAAATACATAATATTCTATTATGGTTCATTTTAATCCACTTCTCCATCATGATTCTTAAAAGTGACTCAGCTAGAAATCTCCAAACATTAAGCCTAGACAGTATTTTTAAATGGATACATGTGTTTGTTTATCCACTGGATACATAAAAGGATAAATGGATAATTGGATATCCATAAATGGATAATTGGACTTATAATGCAATTTACATATATAATAGAATACACATTGAAAATATAAAATATGAAGTTTAAAGCTTATTTTAAAAATTTCTAAGTAGAAATTTCATCTGAGTTCATCTTTTATTTCATCTGAAAACCTGGCCACAATTCCAAAGAAGGTTCACTTAAAAACAGAGTTATAACAGAAGTTAATCCAAATAACTACATTGGCATTTAAAAAGAACAACAAGGCCGGGGGCGGTGGCTCACGCCTGTAATCCCAGCACTTTGAGAGGCCTTGGTGGGTGGATCATGAGGTCAGGAGATCGAGACCATCTTGGCCCACATGGTGAAACCCATCTCTACTAAAAATACAAAAATTAGCCGGACGTGGTGGCACACGCCTGTATTCCCAGCTACCTGGGAGGCTGAGGCAGGAGAATCACTTGAACCCGGGAGGCGGAGGTTGCTGTGAGCCAAGACCGCACCACTGCACTCCAGCCTGGTGACAGAGCAAGACTCCATCAAAAAAAAGAAAAAAAAAAAAAAGAACAACAAAAAAGGATAAAACTCTTCAAGCACCTGTGGGAACCTATAAAATTGTTCTTAAAATAATCAACTGCTCATTTACATTTCTTTGATATAAATTATTATAAATTATTCTTTTATAACCAAACAACAGTCATAGTCATCCTAAAGGCACTTCCAACATCATAATATTGCAAGTGGTATTCTCAATAACATACTGGTCCTCACTGCTGCTGTACTATTCAAATTATAACTGATGTACCCAAAACACTGTCATTAACATAATTTGCTATTTTAATGGAAGATTTCATCTGAAATCTAGGACTTTTTTTAAAAGATTGGTGTTTTATACAAAGAAATTCCCATTTAGAAAAAAATGGGTATCTGCTTTTTTTTTTTTTTTTCTGGCTAGCCGAGTGAAGCAGTCAAAGTGAAGAAGGAACAAAGAAATCTGTAACTGGTTGTGATCAATTAGTTGTAAACACCACTGCACTCGGACCAGCCAGTATCTGCTTTTGTACTCTCAAGGGAAATGCAAAGACTAAGAAATCTGGCAAAAATTTGGGGAACTCCTTAGCCATTCAATGCGCCAAATTCTACTTGGTGCTATCTAGTTTATTAAAATGACAGCCTGATATCTAGTACAATCAATGCAGAGAATGAAACCATGTCCACAGAATAAGACTAGGAAGAAATCCAACAAGGTACTTCAGCAGGCAGAGAATGTACAGGTATCTTTTCTCAAGCCTCCTTCCACAGATGAGACCATCACAGGACACAAAGAAGAGACACTTTGGTAAGAACAAAGGGATAATTGAATAATAAACACCTCTCTCTCTTTCAGTCTTTGTCTTTCTTCAGTTTCTAAATGCTATTTGAGGTGAATGCCACTGGTGTCTCCAGCCCAAAATATTCAATTCTCTATTTATTTGCACTTTGAATGCAGTTCCTTTATTGAATGCAATGTTAGTTATTACAATGGCTTTTGTGAGGTTGAAGAGGTTTGAGCCCAGGCTAGGCCTCTTCTTCCCAGACAGAGTCCCAGATAGCAGATAGGCAAGAATGGGTGCTCAAGGTTATAGGAGGGATATTTAGAATATTTAAAAACCACAAAAGATGGGTATCAACCAATCAGAATGGATGGCCGACCATAAGCAACGGGGATGGCCTTCTATGTACTATTTGCCCAATATCAGCCCTGTCAATAAGGAAGTCAAGACTGGTTTGGTGGGGAGGGAAATAATTTTGATTCATTTTTAATTTTAATTATCTATACAATTTGTCTCTAACTTGCATTAAATTGCCCTCAAAAGTGAAAAAAAAATCTTAAAAAACATGTCTGTTAATCTTTACGGGTAAATACAATTTAGATTAAATGAAAAATGTGAAATATATGTACTATGCAGGAAATCCTCAGTAATTTAGTAACAGAGGCAAAGCAAAAGGAACTGTCTTCTCCAATGACTTCTGATTCTTTTTGTTTTTCTTTTGAGAGAAACATATTCTCCCTATTCCTCTCTCTTGTCTCCTTCCCACTTATGTACCTCCTTTATTTTGTCTCCAACTCTTCATCACCTCCAGTCACCTCAATAAACTTTCTCTCTACTTCATTGTAAGCTCTCCACCCCATCACTGATAACAAATGTGCAGGTGAAACCAGTAATCTACCTGCATCAAGGGGGGAAAACACAATTAAAAAATTATTTTAAGAAAGATTATCCCCAAGTCTAAAGCCCAATGACATATCTCATTCTCTTGTTAAAAAATGCTTTTATACAAACATAAAGTGATTTCTTTCTCACCTTTATTCTGTTTTGTTCATTCTATATATTTGTATATTTAAATTGTAATCTTTTGAGTTCAATTACAGATGCCCTATTTCAGCAACCTAACATTAAATTAGGTTGTTTTGTGAACTAGCCTAAAATCCTCCATAACAAAAGTTCCGTGGGGCAAATGCTAGATGCTAAAAATTTCAAATTGCAAACAAAGGATAAACAAAACTTACACAACTTTCTTATAAACTAGCAAATGGGGCTGGGCGCGGTGGCTCACGCCTGTAATCCCAGTGCTTTGGGAGGCTGAGGCGGGTGGATCACCTGAGGTCAGGAGTTTGAGACCAGCCTGACCAACATGGAGAAAGCTCGTCTCTACTAAAAATACAAAATTAGCCAGGCACAGTGGTGCATGCCTGTAATCCCAGCTACTCGGGAGGCTGAGGCAGGATAATCGCTTGAACCTGGGAGGCGGAGGTTGCGATGAGCCAAGATCCTGCCATTGCACTCCAGCCTGGGCAACAACAGCGACACTCCGCCTCAAAAAACAAAACAAACAAACAAAAAAAAAAACACTAGCTAATGGGCACAGTATTTAACATGTTGTAGTTATACAATGTCATAAGGACAAAACCAATGTAATTTTTAGGTATGACTAAACAAAGGCAATTTTCCATTATCTTCATAGTATATAAAAGTGGTTTTAGTTTTACAGAAATTTTTACCTACCATGCTTCATATCTATCCTTCATTGTCATCCTTCTGTATTCATTTCATTGTCCTCTTTTCCATAACTCCAAGAAAATAACATAGCAAAAACAAAAATGCCACATCCTATAAACCACTAAGTAACACTGCAAATGATGGCAAAGTTAGAAGGGAGGTTGGCTCTTGTTCCATTAACACTGATGCTCTGTTATAGAAAACTGGTATCTCTATCCCACCAAAGGTGAGTGTGGCTTTACTAATGTATCTAGAGTTATCATTTAAAACTAATACATACATGTTTTCTAGGTTCTTTACTGATTCGCATTTTACATACCACTGTTACTGATTCACACTTTACGTACCACTGTTCTTCTTCCTCCACACAAATGATTGAGAATAGGATAGAACAGAATTGTATTAGAAGGGAATTTTTCTGTCTAAAAGTTCAAACCCAAATAGTGTTTTGATTATGTGAACTATAATATCACTATATCATTAAAAACATAAAGCCTATTTCCTCTAAAACATCTTATTTCAGCACACCGTTCTTAAACATGAGAACATTATATTAAAATTTATCTATAATAACTTAGCTCATGGAAGAACTTCAAAAAATCCTCCTTTAAAAAATATAGTATCTTGAGATGTTCAGTTTTTATAAGTAGAAAATACACTGGGCTACTATTTTTCCTTTTTCACTTGATTGCTGAGAAGGAAAGGGGAAATAAATAGAGCAAGACTGAACATAGGTTTAACTAAAAAAACAGAATGCATGAAAGAAGGGTAAAGGAAAACTTGGGTTTTGCATGTTCCTGGAACTAATCATCTGCCAGATTTTCTCAAAAATTACAATGGATTCTGAGAGGGAAGAGATTTCTACTCTAAAACCATACAGACATATCCTCTGCAAAAAAGGATGAAGGACAAGTAAGGTAGAATAATGCAAAGAAAAGAGGTAATTCCTAAAAGTTCATAGGCAAGAAAATTCTAAAACTGAGAGGTAGGAGTAAACTCTATCACAAGTAATCTTTGCTACAGAGAAGCCTCTTCTCCATTAGAAATAGGTTTTAGGATGTCTGCAAAGGATGCAAAAAAAAAAAATGAACATGATATTTAAGGCAATATTAAGTGTTTATAAAAATGAAGACATTTCTAAATTGTTAAACAATTATAATAAATGTTTCAACACAGGTTAAGGAACCAACAGTCTAATTACTGGAAATTAGCAATACAAAGTGACTATGGTCTCATCTTTAAATAAAATTGCTTTAAATACAGTTATCTAGAACAAAATTCTTTTCTATTATTGTGACAGTAATATTACTATAACTTTTTTGTATTGTGTATTATCCAGTTTGGTCATTTTCTTTCAGGTAAAGGAATTGATCACAATCAATACCTGAAGTTCTAAGTACTAAACTTCTGCATTAGAGGATAGGCCAACAATGTCTCTTGTTAATGATTAGTTCCAAAGAAATCATGGCACTTTCCTTAATTTGGCTCAGGATGACCATGTGTTGCTAAGATCAGTGTAAAGCAATGTTAAGAGTCTATAAGTACAAGCTTTAAGTGTTACTACTAAATTAAATTCTGGACTTGAGGCATTTTGAAAATCACATTCAATATGATTCATTTTTCCTTGAAATGAAGTTGTTATATCATGCCAGTGACACAACCAGAGGTGAGATCCTAATAGCTCTTGAGGGAATGGGCCTTGCATGATCAAATTTAAATAAAATTTAGCACCTAAATTCAGTAATGGAGGCAAGCAATAGCATGGGAATTAACCAACTTCACTTGGGCTACTTTCGCAATAAAGAAGACAATACAAGTCAACAATATAGCACCATGCTGCCATAAAAACCCTTAAAAGTAGCAATTAGTTCAAATTTTATAAGTAATTGTGAGACAGCAGTCTGAGTTTTCTAAAATCAAACATACAAAAAACACACTTTCAATAGGCCAGTTAAATTAGTTATTGGCTGACTTTTAAGATAGTTAAGTACCTTAATAATAAAATAATTAAGGACATGGCTCTCTTGAAACTTAGTGTTTTAAAGAAGGTTCCATGTTCAAAAAATGTAAGTTGTAAAGATCTAACAGCAATTATTTACCTATATTAAGATTCATATGAGTTAAAAAATTATAGAAAACATATCCATCAACATAATGAGTTAGAAAATATACCAAAAATTAATATTGCCAGAATTCTTAATCAGAAAAACAAGCTCCAAGACCTCTGGAAGTCTTGGCAATATTTCTGTCCAATGTAGCCATTTATCTCCCCAGAAGTAAAATTTAAAGGTCTCAACTAAAATAAAACACTCTCTTCAGGAACTGGGTGACTATCATTAAGTACTCCATCGATTGGTAGTTGTATGTGTCCTATCTTATCTATTAAAAAATGGCTAAACACTATTCAGTAGGTGATATGTTTCTATGGAATCAAGACTTACATTCTTACAGGTTTGCCCATAGGTATTAGTTCTTCTTAAGATCTAGCTCCCTTATTAAAAGAAGAAATTTTAAAGAGTTCTAGAAGCTCAGATTACTTTTCCATTCAATTACATTTAAGAAGCCTGCTTGTATAGTCATTAAGGTGAATAAAACCAGATTATGGTACATACCATTATCAAACAGTTAAAGTATATATCTTCATCAAACATTATTAGTATCTCATGTCATTTGATTACACAGAGGCTTTTTTTTTCTTCCTGAGATGGAGTCTCACTCTTGTTGCCCAGGCTGGAGTGCAATGGCGTGATCTCAGTTCGCCACAACCTCCACCTCCCAGGTTCAAGCGATTCTCCTGCCTCAGCCTCCCAAGTAGCTGGAATTACAGGCATGCACCACCATGCACAGCTAATTTTTGTATTTTTAGTAGAGACGGGCTTTCTCCATGTTGGTCAGGCTGGTCTTGAACTCCCAACCTTAGACGATCTGCCCGCCTCGGCCTCCCAAAGTGCTGGGATTACAGGCGTGAGCCACGATGCCCGGCCAACACAGAGGCTTTTATTAAATGATTCTATTTCATAAAAATGCACCTGTTTCAATCTCACCTTGCTTACAGACCACATACAACAAGACACATCTGTCTAATGGCAAGTTTCACATTCCTGCACAGCAGATTTCATGAGTCCTAAACAGGCTACATCAGAGTCTACCACAGGAAAAATCAGATTTCAAAATATCTTACCCCAGATATGAGAAACACTTTACAGAAGTCCAAAACTGGCAGAATCTGTAGGAAACTGGCAGCTTCCAGCGTGTCTTGAAGGTTGTCCATATTAAGAGAAAGCTTTGCAGTATAAATGAAATCAATAATTTTCCTTAGACCGACTTTGCTCACACCATGAAGTTTAATGCACATTAAATCTTGTTCTTTCATTCCACCTTAAATAAAAAGACATTCAATTAAATGAAGGTGGATAATTATGGTCAAACTCACTTCTGCTGCTAATTAGATGCAATAAAATCAAAGGAAAGTCTTATCTTATATAAGCAGTCATATTAGAGTCAGTCTGCTGCACATTTTACTGTTAAAAGAAAGTACTTAAAAAAGATAATCTCTATACTAATGGAGGTCATATATGATGCAAGTGCTTCCAAAATGTTCTCACTTCCTATTTTTTGACATAGAGTAGAGATTGTACTAGGAGGACACAGAGTCTCTGATGGCCCACTAGATATAAGCTTGAAAAAGAAAAGCTGTGAGATAAAGATGGACAGTATGAAAAAAGTGCATCAATTTTCCATGTTAAAACAGCACCACCGAAAACCATACATACTGTTGTGTACTTCTTTTGAAGCTGTTTCCAAAAGAACCAAATTTCATGTTAGAAATAAAAAAGATTTAAACACGGATTTTTCATATTGTTTTAATGTGGTTTCAGAGTTTTAAAAGGCAAACTACCTGTGAACATAGCCTTGAAGTAATCACTAGCAGATGCCATCATGACTCTATGCACAGGGAAAGCATCATCTGTGTCACCTGGCATCAGGGTCACATCACAAAGCAATCCTTCAAGTCGAAGCTGGTCAAAGCCCTACAACAAGAACATGAGTTGAGTCACTAATCAAGGTAAAATGAGGTTACAAATCTTCGTGTGCTAAAATTGTTTGAATATTAATGTGGTGCAACATATGTGGAACATAAAGCCAACAGAATATTCGGGAGAAGAAAAAATAACTGCACAACTTTCCTGATATGTGACAATGCATGTTTTCTTTCACTGTAGGAATAACACAAAATTAAGACTAATTTAGGTTAAAAACGATTAAGGAAAAAGTATATACTTTTGCTTATTTACACAATTATCAGCTTTTACCTTATTTTGAAAAATAATTACAATGTGCACTTCTACTTTCCCATCTGCAGAATGAGAGTATTAGACTGTCTTAACATTCCTTTTCGCGATAATTTAATAGTCCTTTTATAGTGCTTGACTGAAGCATCTTGGTTTTGTTTTGTTTTGGGGGAGGTTGAGAAAGAAAAGTAGAGAGCAACTGTATTAAGTACACGATAGTTCTTTCTACTAATTGTATTACTTCATCTCTTTGAGAAGCCTATACTCAGTACATTGCTGCTGCCTGGCCAAATATCTTTCAAGTTTCAAGTTTGAGACTTAATTATCTTTGTTTGAAAAAAAACAAAAAAAAGCCCAGGAAACCCCAACATGAGACTTAATTGTCTCCAAATGCCTAAAGGTTTAGTGGAGAATTAACAGGCTAGCAGCCACAATTCAGAGGAGTGACAGAGCTCTGGTGAGAAGAATCCTTGTTGATTAGCTTTTTCACTACACCCTGATGGTCTCAACTAACGACAAATAGACAGTTGTTCTATTGATATAAGTTGGAAGAATGACAATCACTTTTAAGATTATAACAGGTTGAATCTACAACATACACATATTTCAAAACATCATGTTTTTCAATTTTTATCTTTTATTTTTAATTTTTGTGGGTACAGAGATGTATGCTTTAGGGGATGGATACCCCATTTACCATGATGTGATTAAAATATCATGTTTTACATGACAAATTATATATAATGTTTATTTGTCGATTAAGAATAACGAATTTAAAAAGATTGTAACAGGCTACTAAAGTACACCAAAAGGGAACAATATGCAATTTAACAATGATACAAAAAATGAACATTTTGGCAAGATTGAGTCTGTAGTTTCAAAGATAGAAATGTTTCATTATAAAAAACCAGGAAGACAGATACACAAAATACACAAATTGCTTTCTAATAATATAATACAGTAAGAACCAACAGCATTGATTACTCTGTCCCCTTCATATTTTAATGACTTCAAATAAAACTATGTTTTGTTTCACAGATTTAAAGAGCAAAAGGCATAACATATTAAGAATGCAGTTTTAAAAATATTGATCCTACACATATGTGTAGTATAAACCCTAGTTAAGCTTCTCATTTTAATTTTAAAGCTTTTTAAAGAAAATGCTTGAATTACAGAACTGGAACTTCAAAGAGATGATCTGATCCAGCCACTCTCCCTCTAGGGAAAGAGATGAATATTTTTATTCCAAAAATATTTATACATTATACATACACTTTAAAACAAGATTATATATCATATTTTTCTTTTTCCAACAATGATTGACATGTTTATGTTAACAAATATCAAATCTTTCACAAATGCCCCTTTTTCTTTGTAAACCCAAACATTATATATCCTATGCCACTATTTTTATTTTCCATTACTAATTCGTCTGCTGTCTCTGTTATTTAGAAAAGTAGAAGTAAAATAATAATAGCTCATCTTATAAAAAGAGATGCCAATTTTAAGGGAATATTCTCATGCTGAAGGCATGAGAAGAGTCACTTCAGCTCTTTTTTTGTTTTGTTTTTTTGAGACAGAGTCTCGCTCTGTCGCCCAGGCTGGAGTGCAGTGGCGCGATCTCGGCATTGATATATGGGGTCTAAATTGCAATAAATTTGTGGGAATCACCTTTCAAATGTAGAGTATTGGGAAGCAGTGAATGAGGACACTAGGGTGTGGGAGAGGATAGTCAAGCATCAGCTGAAACAGTTGAGAGACTAGCATCTTTGAATTCCCCAGTGTTTGGCATACTGTTGGTACTTAATATATGTTCCATTAACGCATGAACAAACAAACAAAATTTTACTCAGAAGCTACCACTGGTAACTTTAAAGCCATGTAGTCACATTGGGTAGGATGTAAACTTTGCAACAAGTTAACTGGAAACCAGGAACTTATTTGTGAAACCTCTCCCAATAATAAAATGAGTTGTGCTTAAAGTGTTCGTTTGTGTTCGTTTGTGGTAGTTTGTGGTAGTGGTAAAGGTTAAGGTAAGAGAAAAGGTAGTGAACCAGGAGTTGGGGAGAAAACGTTGGCTCCCAAACTTGTGTTTGTTTTATCCCTCATATAAATTTCAGGTTTAAAAAATTAAATATGTGCTTGTATGTTTTTTGAAGTCAAAATACAGAAGGATATAAGTTAAAAACTTAAAGGCTACCTCTTTCACTTACTAGAAGTAACCACTGTTAACAGTTTAGTAAGCATACTTCAAGACCTCATTCTCTATATATCATAATCTACATTATGCTTGTATTAAAATATATAAAGGCCTCTTTAAAGTGGGTTACTATACATACTGTTGTGCATTTTAAAATTCACTTGAGCAGATAACACAGATAGTCTTCTATCTCAGTGCACAGGATTTATTTCATTCTTTTAGTGCATGCACAGTAATCTACAGTAGGGGCATGTCATAAGTTATTTATCCATTCCCGCTTAGTTGAACACTCAGGTTTTCCCTCAAATTCTGCAGTTATAAGCAATGCCGCAATTAACTTCCTTGTACATACACTTAGCTGTCTAAGTATATCTGTGGGAGATATTCTCAGGACTGGAGTTGTTGGTTCGAAGGATATTTATTTTTAAAGTTTTGAATAGCTAATGGCAAGTTAAAGGATTTGATTTTTCTTGGGAAAAGTAACATACCTTGGGCATTGGCATAAAAAAGAGATGTCAAGATACTAATGAGATGAGTCTAGGTACTGTATGCCCCCTTTATGTTTATTTATCAAATAGTTTTTTATTCTTCTTCTCTAAAGCATACGTAGACAATATCTTTATAAAGAAATTCTGGATTATTTATTCAAAAGCAATGATTGTATCTGATCCATTATTTTCTTCCACTAAAGAACAAAAACAAACAAACAAACAAAACCTTCTTGGCTTATTTGCTAGCCTCCTGCCTTTAAAATATTCCTGCAAATATTTTACAATTGGAATTGAATAATGTCAGTATGTTCCATTCCTACTACATATTACTTTTTTTTCCCTCTGAAAAGAGGAGTAGCTTGTGCATCATGTATCGTCAGCTGTGTAATTTCTTGTTTTGTCCATATTCCATTCAAACTGCTTGTGGAGGTATGTAATCAATGCTCAAGATCTGGACAGCTTTGCTCAGCTAAGACACCGGGAGCTTTTATTCTTTTCACAGATTTTATCATTTTGTGTCCCTTTACACTATCATTTTTAAAAAATCCTTTAACCTTTCTCAGTATAATCTGGTGTCCCAAAAGAAAAGAAGTTAAGGCACCTAGAGCATTTTTAACAAATTCGGAGTGTCTTTTATTCCACGCTTAATGTATCTACCTTTGGCAAGTTATCTGCTTTTGTAAGGTTTTACATTTATTTTCACAACATACAGTGTCCCTTTCTAAACATTTCATAACCTTTATTTTTATATGCATAAATGAATGACCCCACTATCCAATTCCATATTAGTGAATTTTATTCTACGTTATGTCTATCTTTATCCAAATGATATCTGTCAATTCAGATTGTTTTCAAACAAATTCTAAACATCTTGTTTGTATATTATTTTCCAGATATCCCAGTTCTGTCTAAAGAGAAGCTCCTTCTGACTATACACATTGTTGTGTACAAGAAGGCAGTCATTTCTCTAAACACCTTTTATTCTCTAATCTTCTAGTGAAGTATGCATACATTAAAAGAAAAAGAGAGAGGTTCATTATCTTCCAAAATTCTCATCTGCCTTCTATATATCTACTTTTTGCTTTCACTCATAAATCTTTTCCCCTATTTAAGAAGCCTTTCAAAGATTCCTGCACACTCGAAATAAGTCCTTTTACTGTAAAATCATTTTCTTTCACCAAACTTGTACTCACTCTTCTTGAAAGATTTACATGAACATTTTTGTCTGTTTCCATATGCTAGTATACCATATACCTATGCAGCTCTGCTTTAGGCAAATTGTTCAGTTTCTAATTAGTTTTTCAGAATGTCCTTAAAACTGCTTCTGTTGATTTAAACTCATCATCTTTCCAGTCTCTCTATCTCAACACTTATCTTAGTTCTCTACTTTTCTGTCTCTGTGCCTTGGGTTTGATTTAAGAGGGGTTTGTCTGTCCTCAATTTCTTTAATATTTCCCTTTCTTCTTCTATAAATCTCCCCATATCTTCCTTTATTTTCTTCTCCATATCCTGGAAAAATAGCGTCATTTAATGCTATTTTGATGCTGGAAAATAGCATTTTAATGCTATTTTTAATGTTTAATGTTTTAATGTTTAATGTTTAATGTTTTTAAACATGTTTTTTCTCTTCACTGTATTAAACTTACCCAATGTATCAAAACTTCAACCTCTATTAAATAGAGAGAGGTACATATCTAATACCAGGAAACAAAGAAAGTCTGAAACATCTAATGAGTTTGATAAATTTTAAAATGATCATATTAAAACAGAATAGAATATGACTTGATATTACAGGATTATAACATGGAAACCAGACAAGCTATGAATAATTTGTATAAAAATTACTTGGATGTCAATAGCTTTCAAGTGAAATATAATGCTATTGTGAAAAAAAGCTACATTGATACTGTCAGGTATTTAAAAGGAATTTGATAAACAAATAATTCAACTAAATTCTACATTAGAACAAACTTACTAGCATATTATATCTAGTTTTGATCATTGTCATTTTAAGTAGAGAAAAAACGAAACACATCCTGAAAAGAGTAGTTAAAATTATAATGGAAAATATGTTCTATGAACAAAGATTAAGGAACTAAAGAAAGTTAAGAAATGGCCTTACTCCAGTGTTATGTAAATGTAATGTATTAGATAAAAACAATACCAGCCATGTTTTTATGAGGCTGCTCTTCATTTTATTCAAAGGACAGAAAAAGGAACAGATGCACTTAAGTTAAAACAAATATATAGGCTGGACATAAATGTTTATATTAATTTTAAACTCTGTGCTCATTATTATATAACACTGCTTAGACTTTAAAAACGTAAAGACTTTCCATCACTGCAATATAGCACAACTTCTGGTTTGCAGAGACTTCTTTGATCTGATCCCAACCTTATTTTTTATTAGTTCCCTATATACTCTGACCCGTCTTATCAGGTTGTTCTCCAAACGATCACATTGGTGATAAAAATTTTTTTTCACCTGGAATATCCTTCCTCCTTCAAAGACTAGCTTAAATTAGACCTCCTTTGTTGTTGTTGTTTTGTAGAGAAGGGGTTTCATCATGTTACCCAGGCTGGCCTCAAGGATGCCCCCCAACCGCCACCTGTCTCAGCCTCCCAAAATGCTGGGATTACAGGTGTGAGTCACCACACCTGCCCAAATTCCACCTCCTTTGTAAAGCTATCTCTCACACAATCATCTCTAAAATAATTAGGCATTTTTAGTTTGGATTTCACCATTACTTATTCAATTATATCCTATAAATTTATGTTTCCAGTAAGAGAGATTCGATTTACATTACGTCCTGAAACTCTTTAAAATCAAACAAAAATATATGGAAAAAAAGTTTAAAAACATTGAAGGAAAGGGATCTGTGAAAGATAAGAAACAAATTGGGTGAGCCCTATGACTGTCTAAATTTACTGCCTATGGATTTCAGACAGAGGTGCAGGGAGTGGGAACCCAGGCAAAACCTAGTATTCTCCTAGAGCTGAGAGTCTGGGGACATCAAGGCAGATAGGACAGAATATAAGAAGAGAGATCAGCACACAGAGAGGATTCCAGAGCTCGAAAAACAGTCACCCTCAAGGATTCCAGCGAGTAATGATAAACATCTTTGTCTGCAGAAAGAACCGCCAAAAAAGAGCACAAGGAATACTCTCCAAGGTTCACAAAGGGCTGGAAGTCGTTTCTATTCAAACCATGAGTGGAAACCTTACAAGGCTGGGGTTTTAAGCATCTGCCACCCCCACTGTCACCATCGTCAAAAGGATTCTGCCTCAGTACTGGGGGAAAGTTTGCTCTAGAATAAATGCTGGCCTGGTGCAATTTCACAAAGCTTAAAAGTAAATGAAAACCACATATTAATGAGAGCAGATGAATTAAGAAAGAAAATCAGAATGCAAACTCTCACCAAGCTGATGGTGAGTCCCCACCTCACCCCACCCCCTATCTTATATTTCCCAGTCTACCCCGACCTGGACTTAGGGCATCACGTAAGCTGGAAACAGTCACCTGTCAACAGACAGAAAAAGCTCCAGGAGAAGCCCCCTACTTCTTTTTTTTTTTTTTTTTTTTTTTTTTTTTTTTTTTTTTGAGATGGAGTCTCGCTCTGTCGCCCAGGCTGGAGTGCAGTGGCGCAATCTCGGCTCACTGCAACCTCCGCCTCCCAGGTTCACGCCCTTCTCCTGCCTCAGCCTCCCGAGTAGCTGGGACTATAGGCGCATGCCGCCACGCCCGGCTAATTTGTAGTTTTAGTAAAGACGGGGTTTCACCATGTTAGCCAGGATGGTCTTGATCTCCTGACCATGATCCGCCCGCCTCTGCCTCCCAAAGTGCTGGGATTACAGGCCTGAGCTACCGCGCCCGGCCACTTCTTTCTTAAAGAGAAGAAGATTCTCAAAGCTCAGAGAGCTTGGAGAGGACGCCTCGCCTCGCCCCGCCCCGCCCCTCCCGGCCTGGCCTGGATCCCAAGGCAATTTCAAGGCATTGGTAGCAAGAGGAGTGACAATGGTGACAGTGGGGGTGGCAGATGCCTAAAACCCTGTAAAAGAGGAACCTTTCTCCTTGGTCAGAGAAGCAGTGATTGTCTTTCTGTGGTGAATATTCAATTCAGTTCCTCTCTCTTTGTCTTTGGGCCAAGATGTGGGTGCAGCCATGATAACTGTGTGGCAGAGCAGGGAAAATAAGGTCCCAGCTTTCAGGCCAAAGGGCCAAAATAGAGCCCTAGCAACTGGAAAGAATTCGGAAGATGGTCCAGGTGGAGGAGAATGAAGAAGAGACCTCACAAAGTTCCATACCATGGAATACTGCTCAACAGTAAAAAGGAACAAACTATTGACATAGACAACAAAATGAATGAATCTTAAAATATTATACTAAGTAAAAGAAACCAGCCCCAAAAGCTTACAGATCATATAATGTCATTTATGTAACATTTCCAAAAAGACAAAAATAAAGCGACAGAAAACAGATCAGTAGCTTCCAGGGTTTAGGGATGGTGGTGGGTATAACTACCAAGGGGTAACAGGAGGGAGTATGCTGAGGTCATGGAATGGTTCTGTGTCATAATTCTGGAGATTAAATGAAACAATATATATGTTGAAACTCATAAAAGTATGTACTAATAAAAAATTGACTTTTACTGTATGTTAATTTACAAAAATAAAAGTAAAAGGATGGTAAAAGATATACAAAGCAAACACTAATTAAAATAAACCTAGCATGACTACAATACCAAACAAAATAGATCTCAGAGCATAGTACCAAAAATTAATCAGGTAACTTCATAATAAAGGTCAGTTTACCAAGAGAACATAAATTCCTTAGATGTCTGTGTGTTTAATAGCAGAGTTTCAAAATACATGAAGCAAACTGAGAGAACTACAAATAGAAATAAACAAATTTACAATTATAATTGGAGATTTCAATACCATTCTCTCAATAATTGATTTTAAAGGTGACAAAAACCAGTAAATATACAGAAATTAGCAAGGATACTGAAACAACACTATCAACCAACTTGACCTAATTGGCATTTACAGAATACTTCACCGAAGAACAGTAGGATGCAAATTATTTTCAGGTATATGTGAAACATTTACAAGATAGATCATATTCTGGGCCATAAAACTAGTCTTAAAAAATTTAAAAGGATTCAAGTCATACAAATTATTAATATGTTCTCTGGCCCCAGCTTAATTATATTAGAAATCAAAAATAGAAAAATCTCTGGAAAATCCCCAAATGTTTTGAAACTAAAACATACTTCTAAATAACCCATAAAGAAATCAAAAGAAAAACTCGTAAGCATTTTGAACTAAATGAAAATATAACATCAAAAATTGTGGAGTGCAGATGAAGCTCTACTTAGGGGAAATTTATATCAGTCAATGACTATATTAAAAAAGAAGAAACACCTCCTATGAAAGATGTTTCCTTCTTAAAAAACTAGAAATAGAAGAGCAAATTTATCCCAAATTAGGCAGGAGAATTGCAATAATAAAGATCATAGTGGAAATCAATGAAATAGAAAACAGAAAAACAGAAAAAGCAATAAGACCAAAAGCTGTTCCTCTGAGAAGATCCATAAATCTGACAAAACTCTAACAAGACGGATTAGGTGAGAAAAAGAGAGAATATACAAATTACCAATGCCAGGATGAATAGAAGTGGCATAAACTAGAGATTCTATAAGTATTAAAAGGATAATAAGGAAATATGAACAACTTCATGCCAATAAATTTGACAACTCAGTTTAAATGGACAAATTCTGTGAAAGACACAAGCTACTAAAGTTTTAGAAGAAACAGATAAACTAAATAGCTACATGTCTACTATAAAATTAAATTTTAATTTAAAATTGTTTCCCCAAGGAAAACTCTAAGATGAAATGGTTTCACTGGTGAAATCTATCAAACATTTAAGGAAGAAAGAACACCAATACCCCACAAACAAATCCAGAATATTAGGAGGAGAGCATATATCCCAAGTTATTCTACATGGCCAGCATTATTCTAATACTAAAACCAGACAAGACAATCACAGAAAGCCAAGATCAAAATCCATCGGGCACAAAGATGTAAAAATTTTCAACAAAATTTTAACAAGCCAAATTTACTGATATATAAGAATAATAAATACATCATGACCAAGTGAAGAGTTTATAACTCCAATGCAAGGTTGCTTTCACAATCAAAAGTTAATCAATATAAATCACCATACTAACAGACTGAAAAAGAAAAATGCTAAGATCATTTCTTAATGACTACAGAAAAAAAAGGCATTTGTCAAAATCCAACATCCATTCCTGTTTTTTTAAAAAAGTAAACTCGCCAGATGTGGTGGCTCATGCCTGTAATCCCAGCACTTTGGGAGGTTGAGGCAGGAGGATTGCTTGAGCCCAGCTGTTTGAGACTAGCCTGGGCAATATAGTGAGACATCGTCTCTACAAAAAAAAAAAAAAAAAAAAAAAAAACTTAAATTAAATTAGTCGAGTGTGGTGGCACACACATATAGTCCCAGCTACTCTGGAGCCTGAGGTAGGAGGATTGCTTGTGCCTGGGAGGAGGTTGCAGTGAGCCAAAATCATGCAACTGCACTCCAGTCTGGGTGACAGAATGAGACCTTGTCTCAAAAAAAAATTAGAAAATTAAAATAAATTTTTAGCAAGCTAAGAATACGAGAGAACTTCCTCAAACCTACAGATAACATCATACTTAATGGTGAAAGACTGATTGCTTTCACCATTTTTCTAGAGGTTTTATCCAGTGCAATAAGGTAAGGAAAAAAAAGGCATCAGACTGGAAAGAAAAAAGAAAAGAGGAAAGAAAAAGAAAGGAAGAAAGGGGAAAGAAAAGAAAGGGAGGGCAAGAAAGGATGAAAAGGAAGAAGGAAGGAAGGAAGGAAGGAAGGGAGGAAGGAAGGAAGGAAGGAAGGAAGGAAGGAAGGAAGGAAGGAAGGAAGGCAGGCAGGCAGGCAGGCAGGCAGGCAGGAAGGCAGGAAGGCAGGAAGGCAGGCAGGCAGGCAGGCAGGCTTATTTATAGGCAAAATGATTGCCTATATAGGAAAACCTATAGAATCTACCAAAAAAGCTGCTAGAACTGATAAGTCAGTTTACCAAGGTTGCACAATGCCAGATCAATAATTAATAACAAACTGTATTACTGTATACTAGCAACAATCAGAAATTCAAATTATGTATTCCAGCATAGTTGACTTTCAAGTTGGTATGTGATAGCCCTCTCTATCACTTCGACACTAGCAAATAACCAAAAATACTCAATTGAGAGAGCAGGACAAGAACACACTGAAGTGGCCTAAAAAGGGAAAGCGGCAGACAGTCTTCCAACTTTTATCCTAAAGATGCACAGTCAATTCGAAGAATAAGAATAACTTATTGTACCCCAACCTGAGTGCCCCAAGAGCTATGCCCAAGAAAAACTATGGACTCATTTCCCTATATTCTAGCTGCCATTCAGGAAATGAAAAGAAATTAAAAGTATCATTTTCATAAAAACCACAAGAATCTAGACTATTTGAACTCTTATTTTATAAAATGTAAATTATCTTAATCATTATGCCTGTTTCTTATGTTAACAACGTACTAACATTATATTTTTAAAGTTGTTTATTTTATGATCATAATGTTGAGAAAAAAGGATATACTTCATCAACATGACATTATCAGCAACCCAAGCATTTACCTCAGGATAAACATTCAGAGAAATTAACCCAGGGAAAGGCAACACGTGTTAATCTGTATAGGCTCTTACAATAACCCATTTCTTTAACATTCTATTAGCTAGAGGATAAGACTATAAAATGATATCCTACATTGACTTTAGAACTAAAAATGAAGAGAGAAAGTAAATAGCTATAAGTGAGGAAAACACAAAAAGAGCAGTCCAATAGGCACCAATCTTAAAATGAGAAAATATCAACTAGAGGCCCACATAGCCAGAGTAACGAGGCATTTTCCACCTTTATAGGTTTGAGTATCGCCAGTAATCAGGAAATGATTTGTTTCCATATACCTAAGTATTCTGTAATTAATATACACTGCCACCAGCTGAAGCATGATACCCTCGTTATGGCCTCCAGGTCTTAAGGATGAAAGGGATGTTTTCAACTGGCAGTTAACATTTTTCTCCCTGATTTTTTTTTTCTCTTTTCAGTAGGTGAACGGAAGAAAGGCAAGCCAGCAAGAAGACATTCTGTGTAATTCTGCTGTTTCTATCAAGAATAAAATATTTATTATATCATTCATTCCAAACTATCTTTTAGCCTTTGCTAATACATGTTTTTACATTTATAGTTAATGAACACAATATTTATAGACATTGTATTTTAAAAGGTAAGACAATTTAGAGCAAGACTAGTAGAAATAAAAATACAAAACTACACCATCATCAAATCTGTCTCAGTATTTATCACTTACTGGCTATGTGAACTTGGGCAAGCCTCCTAATCTCCCTGAGCTTCAGCGTCCTTATCTATAAAATGGAGATAACAATTCTTGCCTTTTGTACCTCATAGCATTTTTTTCAAGTATCAATGAGGAAAGTATATATGAAAGTGATTTATAAGCTGCCATCCAAATTAATTTATTTCACAAACAACATCAATAATAGCATTAAAAAGACACTGAGCACTTTCTCTATCCCAGGGCTAAGCTCTTTATATGTATTATTTCTTATTAAAATTTAATTTTTAATTATAATTGACACATAATAATTGTACATATTTATGGGGTACAATGTGATGTTTCAATGCATGTATACATAGTATAATGAACAAATCAGGGTAATTATTATATCCATCATCTGCAATATTTATCATTTCTTTGTGGCTTTGTGGCAATAACATTCAAAATCTTCTCTTGTAGCTTTCTTGAAATATATATTACATTGTTATTTACTATAGTCACCCTACTGTGTAACAGAAAACCAAAATTTATTCTTCCTAACTGTAGCTTTGTACTCATTGACCAATCTTTCCCAGTCCTCTCCTCTCCCCTACCCTCCCCAGTCTCTGGTAACCACTATTTTACCCTACTTCTATGAGATTAACGTTTTTAGATTCCAAATATGAGTGAGAACATGCAGTATTTCTCTTTCATTGCCTGATTTATTTCACTTAACATAATGTCTTCCAGGTTCATCCATACTGCCACAAATTACAGGATTTCATTCTACTTTATTCCTTAATGGTATTCCATTGTATCTATCTATCTGTATCACATTTATATATAGATGTAGATATAAAATTTTTTTCTTTATCCATTCATTTGTAGACAAGCATTTAGTTTAATTCCACGTCTTAGCTATTGTGAACACTACTGCAATAAACATGAATGTGCCAATGTCTCTCCAACATGCTGATTTCCTTTGGATATATACCCAGTAATGGGATTGCTGGATCATATGGTAGTTCCATTATTAGTTTTTTGGGAACTTCCATACTATTTTTTATCATTGCTGTACTAATTTACATTTCCACCAACAGTATTTAAGAGTTCCCTTTTCTCCACATCATCACCAGAATTTGTTATATTTTGCCTTTTTTATAATAACCATTCTAACTGAGATGAGATGATTTTGCATTGTGGTTCTGATTTGTATTTCTCTGATAATTAGTGTTGTTGTGTAATTTTCCATATATCTGTTGGCCATTTGTATGTCTTATTTTGAGAAATGAAATGTCTATTCAGGTCTTTTGCTCATTTTTAATTGGATAATTTATTTTTTTTTTTGCTGTTGAGTTCCTTATACATTTTGGATATTAACTTCTTATCAGATGCATAGTTTGCAAGTACTTTCTCCCATTCTGTAGGTTGTCTCTTCATTTGGAAATGCAAAAGAGCCTGAAGAGCCAAAGCAATCATGAGCAAAAATAAAAAAATTGATGTCATTACACTGTCTGGTTTCAAAATATCCTACAAAGCTATAGTAAACAAAACATCCTGATTCTGGCATAAAAACAGACCCACAGGCCAATGGGACAGAACAGAGAACCCAGAAATAAATCCATGTATTTACAGCCAAGTGATTTTTTTAATAAAGGTGCCAAGAACACACATGAGGAAAGGACAGTCTATTCAATAAATGGTGCCAGGAAAACTGGATATCCACATATGGAAGAATGAAATTAGTCTCTCACCACACACAAAAACCAACTATAAATAGGTTAAATACTTAAAAGTAAAATCCAAAACTTTGAAACTACTAGAAGAAAATACAGGATAAATGTTCATGAAATTAGGCTGGGCAAGGATTTTTTTAATAGGTCCTCAAAAGCAGAAGCAACAAAAGCAAATAGACAAATGAGAGTACATCAAACTAAAAAGCTTCTTTATAGCAAAGTAGCATCTCTTTTAATGATAACTAGTATGTTAATAATACAAAAGGTGGACATTTATTAAGCAGCATCATGTACTGATCATAGGCATACAGAAACAACAACTTAGATCCTAGACCTTGAGGAGCTCACTGATAGGTGATATTTATAACAGATAAAATGTATGAATAGAAGAAGCTACTAACTCTGCTTGGGTCAAGAAAAGTTTAACAGAAGAGGTACCATCCATTTAAGATGGATCATATACACCATGGAATACTATACAGCCATAAAAAACAATGAAATCATGTCCTCTGCAGCAACATGGATACTGCTGGGGGCCATTATCCCAAGCAAATTAAGGCAGAAACAGAAACTAAAATATCTATATGTTCTCACTTATAAGTAGGAGCTAAACATTGGGTACACATGGACACAAAAATGGAAATAATAAACACTGGGATTCTAAAAGGAGGAAGGGAGAAATGGGAGAAGGGCTGAAAAACTACCTATTGGGTACTATGTTCACTACTTGGGCAATGGAATCATTAGAAGCCCAAACCTCAGCATCACACAGTATACCCATGTAACAAATTTGCACACATCCCCCTGAATCTAAACTAAAAATAAATAATTTTTAAAAAGAAAGAAAGGTCATTATAAATAAATTGAGGTTTATCAGACAGGAAAAGTGAAGTAAGGGCATTCCAGGGAGAGGTAATGTGTACAAATGCACTGGCATATGAACACACAATATATGTTTAGGGAATAGTGAAAAATCCAAACCCTTCTAGGCATTTTCCTTGACCCTCTCTCCTACTAACTTTGCCAAGATAATACAGAAGCAAAGATTATATGGCTGAATGGATAAAGAATTGGAGAATGGCAAAGCAATTAGCAGAACAAGAAGGGACCATAAAGCTGAAGGTGCTTGGAGAAAATGCTTATAAATCATGTATCAGATAAGGGATCTGTATCTAGAATACATATATATGTAAAATATATATATACACATATATGTAATATAATATATATGTGTGTATGAACCCTTACTACTGAGTAATAAAAAGATAAACAACCCAACTGAAAAATGGGTAAAGGATTTCTTTTTCTTTTGTTTTGGTTTGTTTTCTTCTTTCCTGGTGACTTGGCACAGAACAAGAATAAGATTTTTTTTCTTCCAGAATCACATACAAATGGCCATAAGCATAAAAAAAAAAGATATTCAACATGATTAGCAATCAGAGAAATGCAAATCAAAACTACTTCACATCTACAGGGATGGCTATAATAATTTTAAAAAGACAGTTAATAAATGCTGTTAAGAATGTGGAGAAATTAAAACCCTCATGCACTGCCAGTGTGAATATAAAATGGTGCAGATACTTTGGAAAACACTGGCAGTTCTTCAAAAAATTAGACAGAATTACCATAGGATCCAGTAATTCCACTCTAAGGTATATACCAAAAAGAAATGAAAACATGTCCTCACGGACATTTACACATGAATATTCATAGCTTTTATTCATAAAAGCCAAAATGTATGAAAAAAATGCTTATCAATGAATGGATACATAAACAAAATATCTACACAATGGAATATTATTTGAACACAGAAAGGAAGGAAGCATGTTATATGCCACAATATAGATGAACATTGAAAACATTATGGTAAGTAATAGAAACTAGTCACAAAAGACCACATATTGTATGATTCCATTTATATGAAATGCTCAGAATAGACAGATCTACAGAAACAGAGAAAAGATAAATGGTTGCTGTATTAATCCATTCTCACACTGCTATAAAGAAATACCTGGAACTGGTCATTTACAAAGAAAAGAAGTTTAATTGGCTCATCATTCCACAGGCTATACAGGAAGCATGGCTGTGGAAGCCTCAGAAAACGTACAACCATGGCGGAAGGTGAAACAGGCGTATCTGACATGGTGAGAACAGGAGGAAGAGAGTGAAGGGGGAGGTGCTACACACTTTCAAACAACTAGATCTCTTGAGAACTCACTCACTATCACGAGAACAGCAAAAGGGAAATCCACCCTCATGATCCAATTGCCTCCCACCAAGCCCCTCCTCCAACACTGGAGATTACAATTTGACACGAGATTTAGGTAGGGACACAGAGCCAAACCAATCAGTTGCCATATTGAGAAAAGAGTTGGGGGCAACTGGGGAGTGACTGCTAACAAATATGGGCTTCTTTTTGAGGTGATTATAATGTTCTACAATTGATTGTGGTGACAGTTGCACAATCCTGTGAATATACTAAAAGCCATTGATTTGCACAATAAATGGGTGAATTATATGGTATGTGAATCATATCTCAATAAAGCTATTATTTTAAAAACTGAAGGTGCTAGGAAAGTTATCATTCAGTGAATTACCATATGATAGGACAGTAAGAGAAAGATGCTGACAACCTGGAATAATAGGGAGAAGTGAAAGAATAGAAGGTTTCCATGAGAAATAACCACAGATGTAGTAGTAGCCAAGGAGTGAGGGAAATGAAATAATCCTTGATTTTACCAATCACTACTTAAGCTAACCTTAGTTAATCTTTCTTACTTGAGTAAAAGTCATTTGCCCTGCCAACTCAGTCATGGATTATCCTGGAACTTGTTCAAGATTCTAGGAATCCAAGCCTGTTAGGTATCAAATGACTTTCTAGGAATTTTCTTTGACAGCCTAGTTTGCTGAAGCCATTTAATGGAGATGAGTAACCTGCTAGACCTGCTCAAGCCAACCGCCTGCTCAAGCCAACCAGATGGACACCTTATTCGGTATACCCATAACTTCTTTTTTTATTATATAATCACATATTAATACATAATCATTTAATTCATTAACTATTTTCTGTTTTCTTCAATAGTCCTGGCAGAAAATAAGTGGCCTCATCCATCTGCCCAATCTTATCCAGTGGGAGACACCATGACTCCTACCCTCACTGTTCTGCTCTGTCTAGGTGAGACTTAAAGAGAAAGAGGAAAGACCCTAGTCTGAGAGGAACCACATCCCATAGCCAGAGCCTGGTCCATTAATGACGCAGGGGCTCAGGAGTTCCCTGTGGTATACCCATAACTTCTGATCAGCTCTATTCCCTGTGAGACCTTCTCCATTTACCTCAAGTGGAAGGAAAATAAATGAATATTTATTATGCACCTTATTTCCATAAATTGTGACACTTAATCCTCAAATCTCTTACCCAGATTACAAATAAAAAAAGCTGGGCCAGAGAGTATAAATGACATTCCCAAAGTCACATAACTAGCTAATAAGGGGCACGATTAGAATTCTAGTTTTGGCTGAAACCCATGTCCTTCTCACTACAATTTGGCAGTGGGTAATCCTGCAGAGTGAGGCTTATTACAACAGTTTCTCCCCATGGATCAGTTCCCCTGACAGCTACTTTCAATGCCTTTTGAAGCCGGAGTATGTGTTATTGCTAATTTTAAAACAATGATAACATTTACACATTAAACACTTCTCTAGCTTGTTCTCTTGACAACACCACACCTAAGATTGATACAAAAATGTTCCCTGTTAGTGCTTGGCCTTAAAAATCTCAATTTGTGAAAACATAATTTTTAATAGACTTTTAAATAGAGCATAGAAGGGTTTTAATAGCAACATAGAGTGGTATCTCTATGGTACCACAGGAAATATTGTAACAACATAAAAAATCAGTTGAAGAAAAATTATCTTCAAGTAACACAAAATTTCAGGTTACTTTCACATCACTGTTCTTTCTCAGCCTGGACCAATGAGCTAAGGCATGGCAGAGCTAAGGGCTCTGAGACCCAGTTACACTTGTTTTGTCAGCTGTTATATATTTTTTTATTACAGAGGTTATGCAGAAAAATATTTCCATTGTAAATAAAAATTAAACATTATAGGATTTTACAGAGCAAAAGATGACATTATTCCTCAGCTTCCCTAGTGTTTCCATACCATTTGCTATGCATTCACATTCATGTGTATACATATTGTATAATTTTTCTACTGATAAAAAGGATTATACAATACATATTGCCTTGTTACATTTTTAATAGCTTTATTGAGATACAATTTGAATACCATACAATTTACCCATTTAAAGTGCACAAATCAATGGTTTTAGTATATTCACAGATATATGCAATGATATCCAGAGTCAACTTTAGAATATTTTTATCACTGCAAAAAGAAATCCTGTACCTTTAGCTTTCACTCTCATATCCCCCCAATTTCCCTAGCTGTAAGCAACCAATAGTCTACTTTACGTCTATATAGATTTCTTTATTCTGGACATTTCATACAAATGGAATCACATAAAACATGAAATCACATAAAACACGGACTTTGGTGATTAGCCTCTTTCAATTAGCATAATGTTTTCAAAGTTCATCCATATGATAGCATGTATTAGTACTTCATCTTTTAAAATAGCTGGATCATATTACATTGTATGGATGTATCACATTTTCCCTGTTACTTTTTTTTAGTATCTTATATTCTTTCCATTCAATATGTACAGATATTACTCTTTTTGGTGGCTGCACAGCATTGCATAGTTTTGGTGCAACATATTTCATGCAACGATTCACCTACTGATAGATATTTAAGTTATCTCTAATGTTTATCCATTGTAACAATAATTTATAACCTCCATAAAATATATAGGGAGAAAAGAAAAGGCCATGACTCGGTGGAAGAAGGTCCCACCTCTAGAACAATGGTCTTAAAACTATGTTCCTTGATCTGCAGCATCATCTAGAAACTTGTTAGAAATGCAAATTCCTGGGCCTTATCCCCAGAGTTTTTTATTAAAAAATTCTGGTTTGGGACCTAGCGTTCAGTGTTTTAACAAGCCCTCCTGATGATTCTGACATGCACTAAAATTTGAGAACCATTGCTTTAAATATCTCTCACTGCACTACAGTGGCAATCATTGTTCGGTTTCTAGTAAATTTTAAAAATTAGCAGGACCACAATAATTGGCTTTAACTCATGACTACTATGGGCATTACATTAGGTAGGAGTATAGTAGTGAGGTATTTCTTATTTTTCTTTAGCGAGAGCACTTTAGTATACCAAAAACACTTCTTCCTCACATACTTTTCCTATCTGTTTGACCCCTTATTCTCTCTTCCCATAACTTGAAAAATCAACAAGTAAACCATTTACACAGCTTTTTTTTGAGCACCTTAAAAATCTATCCTCATATGTATAACAAACAAAAATAGCCGAAGACTCGTTTTCATATATTAGAGGATTAGAGGGATTTATTTTTTTTTTATACTTAAAGTTCTGGGATACATGTGCAGAACATGCAGGTTTGTCACATAAGTATACACGTGCCATGGTGGCTTGCTGCACCCATCAACCCATCATCTACATTAGGTATTTCTCCTAATGCTGTGCCTCCCCTAGCCCCCCACCCCCTGAAAGGCCCTGGTGTGTGACGTTCTCCTCCCTGTGTCCACGTGTTCTCATTGTTCACCTCCCACTTATGAGTGAGAACATCTGGTGTTTGGTTTTCTTTTCTTGTGTTACTTTGCTGGCAATGATGGTTTCCAGCTTCATGCATGTCCCTGCAAAGGACATGAACTCATCCTTTTAATGGCTACATAGTATTCCATGGTGTGTATGTGCCACATTTTGTTTATCCAGTCTATCATTGATGGGCATTTGGGTTGGTTACAAGTCTTTGCTATTGTGAACAGTGCTGCAATAAACATACCTGTGCATGTGTCTTAACAGTAGAATGATTTATAAATCCTTTGGGTATATGCCCAGTAATGGGATTGTGGGTCAAATGGTATTTCTGGTTCTAGATCCTTGATGAATCACCACACTGTCTTCCACAGTGGTTGAACTAATTTATACACCCACCAACAGAGTAAACGTGTTCCTATTTCTCCACATCCTCTCCAGCATTTGTTGTTTCCTGGCTTTTTAATGATCACCATTCTAACTGGCATGAGATGGTATCTCCTTGTGGTTTTGATTTGCATTTCTCTAATGACCAGTAATCATGAGCTTTTTTTTCATATATTTGTTGGACACATAAATGTGTTCTTTTGAGAAGTGTCTGTTCATATCCTTCACACACTTTTTGATGGGGTGGTTTGTTTTTTTCTTGTAAATTTGTTTAAGTTCTTTGTAGATTCTGGATATTAGCCCTTTGTATGATGGACAGATTGCAAAAATTTTCTCCCATTCTGTAGGATTCCTGTACACTCTGATGATAGTTTCTTTTGGTGTGCAGAAGCTCTTTAGTTTAATTAGATCCCATTTGTCAGTTCTGGCTTTTGTTGCCATTGCTTTTGGTGTGTTAGTCATCAACTCTTTGCCGATGCCTGTGTCCTGAATGGTATTGCCTAGGTTTTCTTCCAGGGTTTTTATGGTTTTAGGTCTTACGTTTAAGTCTTTAATCCATCTTAAGTTAATTTTTGTATAAGGTGTAAGGAAGGGGTCCAGTTTCAGTTTTCTGCATATGGCTAGCCAGTTTTCCCAACACCATTTATTAAATAAGGAATCCTTTCCCCATTGCTTGTTTTTGTCAGGTTGGGCAAAGATCAGATGGTTGTAGATGTGTGGCATTACTTCTGAGGCCTCTGTTCTGTTCCATTTGTCTATATATCTGTTTTGGTACCAGTACCATGCTGTTTTGGTTACTGTAGCCTTGTAGTATAGTTTGAAGTCAGGTAGTGGGATGCCTCCAGCTTTGTTCTTTTTGCTTAGGATTGTCTTGGCTACACGGGCTCTTTTTTGGTTCCATATGAAATTTAAAGTAGCTTTTTTCTAATTCTGGGAAGAAAGTCAATGGTAGCTTGATGGGGATAGCATTGAATCTATAAATTACGTTGGGCAGTATGTCCATTTTCACGATACTGATTCTTCCTATCCATGAGCACAGAATGTTTTTCCATTTGTTTGTGTCCTCTCTTATTTCCTTGAGCAGTGGTTTGTAGTTCTCCTTGAAGAGGTCCTTCACATCGCTTGTAAGTTGGATTCCTAGGTATTTTATTCTCTTTGTAGCAATTGTGAATGGGAGTTCACTCATGATTTGGATCTCTGTTTGTCTATTATTGGTGTATAGGAATGCTTGTGATTTTTGCACATTGATTTTGTATCCTGAGACTTTGCTGAAGTTGCTTATCAGCTTAAGGAGATTTTGGGCTGAGATGATGGGATTTTCTAAATATACAATCATGTCATCTGCAAACAGAGACAATTTAACTTCCTCTCTTCCTATTTGAATAAACTTTATTTCTTTCTCTTGCCTGATTGCCCTGGCCAGAACTTCCAATACTATGATGAATAGGAGTGGTGAGAGATGGCATCCTTGTCTTGTGCCAGTTTTCAAAGAGAATGCTTCCAGCTTTTGCCCATTCGGTATAATATTGGCTGTGGGTTTGTCATAAATAACACTTATTATTTTGAGATACTTTACATCAATACCTAGTTTATTGAGAGTTTTTAGGATGAAGGTGTGTTGAATTTTGTCAAAGGCCTTTTCTGCATCTATTGAGAAAATCATGTGGTTTTTGTCATTTGTTCTGTTTATGTGATGGATTACATTTTATCGAGGATTTTTGCATCTATGTTGATCAGCGATATTGGCCTGAAATTTTCTTTTTTTGTTGTCTCTGCCAGGTTTTGGTATCAGGATGATGCTGGCCTCATAAAAAGAGTTAGGGAATATTCCATCTTTTTCTATTGTTTGGAATAGTTTCAGAAAGAATGGTATCAGCTCTTCTTTGTACCTCTGGTAGAATTTGGCTGTGAATCCGTCTGGTCCTGGGCCTTTTTTGGTTGGTAGGCTATTAATTACTGCCTCAATTTCAGAACTTGTTATTGGTCTATTCAGGGATTCGACTTCTTCCTAGTTTAGTCTTGGGAGGGTGTATGTGTCTAGGAATTTACCCATTTCTTCTAGATTTTCTAGTTTATTTGCATAGAGGTGTTTGTAGTATTCTCTGATGGTAGTTTCTTTCTGTGGGATCAGTGGTGACATCCCCTTTATCATTTCTTATTGTGTCTATTTGATTCTTCTCTATTTTTTCTTCATTAATCTGGCTAGCGGTCTATCTATTTTGTTGATCTTTTCAAAAAACCAGCTCCTGGATTCACTGAGATATTGAAGTGTTCCTCGTGTCTCTATCTCCTTCAGTTCTACTCTGATCTTAGTTATTTCTTGTCGTCTGCTAGCTTTTGAATTTGTTTGCTCTTGCTTCTCTAGTTCTTTTAATTGTGATGTTAGGGTGTCTATTTTAGCTTTCCTGCTTTCTCCTATTGGGATTTAGTGCTATAAATTTCTCTCTAAACACTGCTTTAGCTGTGTCCCAGAGATTCTGGTATGTTGTGTCTTTGTTCTCATTGGTTTCAAAGAACTTATTTATTTCTGCCTTAATTTCGTTATATACCCAGTAGTCATTCAGGAGCAGGTTGTTCAGTTTCCCTATATTTGTATGGTTTTGAGTGAGTTTCTTAATCCTGAGTTCTAATTTGATTGCACTGTGGTTTCAGAGACTGCTATGATTTCTGTTCTTTTACACTTACTGAGGAGTGTTTTACTTCCAATTATGTGGTCAGTTTTACAATAAGTGTAATGTGGTGCTGAGAAGAATGTATATTCTGTTCATTTGGGATGGAGAGTTCTGTAGATGTCTATTAGGTCTGCTTGGTCTAGAGCTGAGTTCAAGTCCTGAATATCCTTGTTAATTTTCTGTCTCATTAATCTGTCTAATATTGTCAGTGGGGTGACAAAATCTCCCACTCTTATTGTGTGGGAGTCTAAGTCTCTTTGTAGATCTCTACGAACTTGCTTAATGAATGTGGGTGCTCCTGTAGTGGGTGCATATATATTTAGGATAGTTACCTCTTCTTGTTGCATTGATCCCTTTACCATTATGAAATGCCCTTCTTTGTCTTTTTTTATCTTTGTTGGTTTAAAGTCTGTTTTATCAGAAACTAGGATTGCAACCCCTGCTTGTTTTTTGTTTTCCATTTGCTTGGTAAATATTCTTCCATCCCTTTATTTTGAGCCTATGTGTGTCTTTGCATGTGAGATGGGTCTCCTGAATACAGCACACCGATGGGCCTTGTCTATCCAATTTGCCAGTCTGTGTCTTTTAATTGGGGCATTTAGCATATTTACATTTAAGGTTAATATTGTTATGTGTGAATCTGATCCTGTCATTATGATGCTAGCTAGTTATTTTGCCCCTTTATTGATGCAGTTTCTTCATAGTGTCAATGATCTTTACAATTTGGTATGTTTTTGCAGTGGTTGGTACCAGTTTTTTCTTTCCATATTTAGTGCTTCCTTCAGGAGCTCTTATAAGGCAGGCCTGGTAGTGACAAAATCTCTCAGCATTTTCTTCTCTGTAAAGGATTTTATTTATCCTTTGTTTATGAAGCTTAGTTTGGCTGGATATGAAATTCTGGGTTGAAAATTCTTTTGCTTAAGAATGTTGAATATTGGTCCCCACTCTCTTCTGCCTTGTAGGGTTTCTGCAGAGAGATCTGATGTTAGTCTGATGGGCTTCCCTTTGTAGGTAACCCGACCTGTCTCTCCAGCTTCCCTTAACATTTTTTCCTTCATTTCAACCTTGCTGAATCTGACGATTATGTGTTTTGGGGTTGCTCTTCTTGAGGAGTATCTTTGTGGCATTCTCTGTATTTCCTGAATTTGAATGTTGGCCTCTCTTGCTAGGTTGGGGAAGTTCTCCTGGAGAATACCCTGAAGAGTATTTTCCAACTTTGTTCCATTCTCCCCATCACTTTCAGGTACACCAATCTAACTTAGGTTTGGTCTTTTCATATAGTCCCATATTTCTTGGAGGCTTTGTTCGTTTCTTTTCATTCTTTTTTCTTTGATCTTGTCTTCTTGCTTTATTTCATTAAGTTGATCTTCAATCTCTGATATCCTTTCTTCTGCTTGATTGATTTGGCTATTGATACTTTTGTATGCTTCATGAAGTCCTCATGCTGTGTTTTTCAGCTCCATCAGGTCATTTATGTTCTTCTCTAAACTGGTTATTCTAGTTAGCAATTCCTATAATTTTTTTCAAGGTTCTTAGCTTCCTTGCATTGGGTTAGAACATGCTCCTTTAGCTCGGAGGAGTTTGCTGTTACCTACCTTCTAAAGCCTACTTCTGTCAGTTTGTCAAACTCATTCTCTGTCCACTTTTGTTCCTTTGCTGGCGAGGAGTTGTGATCCTTTGGAGGAGAAGAGGTGTTCTGGTGTTTGGAATTTTCAGCCTTTTTGTATTAGTTTTTCCTCATCTTTGTGGATTTATCTACCTTTGGTCTTTAATGTTGGTGACCTTCAGATGCGGTTTCTGTGTGGATGCCATTTTTGTTGTTCTTGATGCTATTCCTTTCTTGTTTGTTAGTCTTCCTTCTAACAGGCCCCTCTGCTGCAGATCTGCTAGAGGTGCTAGAGGTCCACTCCAGACCCTGTTTGCCCGGGTATCACCAGTGGGGGCTCAGTTGGAAATGCAGAAATCACCCACCTTCTGCGTTGATCTTGCCGGGAGCTGCAGACCAGAGCTGTTCTATTCGGCCATCTTCCCTTTTCCCTACACAGCTTTAAGATGCCAGGAGATGGAAAGATTCTCGTTCCTGACTCACATATCTATTGATGACCCACAGGACAATGAACCTTAGATAGACCCCAGCTCCAATTAGAAACGGAAATACTGGGGAAATGGGATTTTACTGAATTCAAAGATTGAAACTAGCAGGAAATTTAGAGGTATGCTAGTCAAGAGTCACATTTTGGAGATAAGGAAAATGAAATCCGGTGAAATTACATTTAAACACAGAGGATGCACAGCAAGTATAAACCTTGTCCCTCATTATATTATATTCTATATACAGCTTTACTATAATGGTTCTTGATCAGGGATATGCATGAAATCCATCTGGGGAGATTTCTTTTAAATATGCATTTAGAAAGGCAAATTTTCCTTATCTTATTAAGGGTAGTAAGAGGACCAATATAATTTAACTATCTTTAGAAGACATTAATGGACATCCAGTACCATATTGCTCTCTAATTCAGCAATGCCCACAGAAGTCAGAAAATGTCCACAAAGGTCAGAAGTACTTAAGCTTCTAATCCCCGTGCTAAATAGCTCCAGATTGCTGTGTTTCATGTTCTTTTGGCTTTCTACTGTGTTTCTGTCCCCTGCTTTTATTTTAGTTATTACTTATTACATGTATCAGAGGGTTTGCATCCAGCAGTCCTAACCTCTTCTCCCACAGTTACTACTACCAATGCGAGTTGGGACACCAAATAAATATAATCTTTAGAACCATTACAAAGATGATAGTAAAACAGGCTGTGAATGAGGAACTAGGAAAATTCAGTGTAGGGACCTTGTAATACTTACTTTGATTGCTATGGAATGAAATCAGATATGGTATTCTGTAAGAAAGTGGCATACTGGCAAAATGTCCTTTATACAAACCAAACAAAAAATTGATTCTGAGGATTTTTTAACCTCAGGAATGTGTGCATTCCTCCATCAAGATTTCTCTCCTGGTTAGTTTTTGTCTTTTGTTTCTTTACTTAATAAACTTCATTTTTTAGAGCCATTTTGGGTTCACAGCAAAACTGAGCAAAAAATAGTTACCATACATTTCCTATTCACACATACACACCCACAACCTCCTCCACTACTGACATCCTGCATCACAAAATCCATGGTGGGTTTTTTAAAGCTACGTAAACACTACCAAAGAGACAGCTTAAATTACCTGTAACACCACAGAACTGTGGGTATTGCTGGTAAAGATGCGTGTAGGTCCTGCCTTGGAAGACTGCAAATGGGATGAGAGGCCCATTTCGCTGCCTCCAAGGGACAATTTCATGTGTTGGTCTTCCTCTTCCACGAGAGATCTGAAAGTTTTTTTACATAAGAAAGAAGGGGAAATTAAAACTTGTACAATTTACAATGAGATTATTTAGAAAAATAATCAGTCACTATTGCAATCATATGACCATGCAATATGGTGAATATTGTTTCACTATATTATACGCTTGTACCACTCTTTATCTTAGAAGAAATGTATATTTGTAAAATGGTTTCCAAGTACAGAATATACAGATGATAACTGAGAAATCAACTTAAAAGGTGGTTCAAAATTATAGTCACAGAGTTTTTAAAGGCCACAGTAATTACTGTTGATATGTTACTATTTAGATAGCAATGCCATCAAATTATGCTGCATATAGTTAAAATTAATTTGGAACACCTAATTTTGAAAAGATAAAAATGATAGCTACCATTTATTGAATAGTCATTATATAGCAGGTACTTGCCAATAATTTTATACACAGACTAAAGAAGGGTCAGAAACCACTTATTAAAGTGGTTGGCCCAGGGTTTGAATCTAGGTCTAGTCTGATTCCCACTCCAAACCCCCATTAATAAAAGTAAAAGATTAATTGTTATATATTAATGCATTACTTTATCTTCTGTTATTAGTAGTAGTTCTAATCAACCCCAACTGAACAAAATTTTTCACATGATATAATTTCTTTTTCTAGCAGTATCTCTCACTTACCAGTTTGGGATTGTTTAATAGCTACAATCTAGTCACATTTCCATCTTTTCAAAGAAATGAATACTAAAAATATAAATACAGGCAATTCTGTATTTGCATGTATTGCAGCAATAGTATTTTCAAGGGGCATAAGTAAGAATAGGAGAACCTTAGTCAGTAGGTCACTTAGATGCAAAGAGAATATGACAATACATTTGATAGTTTAAAAATCTCAGGTTATACTAAAAATGTGCCATTATTAATAACCTTTCATCATTCCTTAGAAGAGATCTTGTGTTTCTCCATAGGTATACATTGCTAAAATAATCTCTGGATCACCTGCCTAAGAGTGGGGAGCCCATGGCTCATGAATTTGGTTCTGCATTCATGATACAGACTGCTAAAAAGACTGCTAAAATAGACATTAGGAAAAAAGAAGGAGAGCAGATTTTCAAGTGCTGGAACTCTTCATTTTTTCTGTAATTTCCTCAATTTTGAATTATTTGCTTTTCTAACTGTCTAACTGAGCTATCCAATATCAGAAAGGTTTCACCTTTTTTTCCTGTCATACCTAAAACCCCAAGTTGATCAGTTTTAACAAGAAAAAGACCATACTAAAGATTCTGCTTTTTGAATTATGACACCAACTAAGTGGTTTTAAATCTTGCAATAATTAGCAAAAATTCTGGCCTTAAGGATGACATCAATTCTTCTTAATGATATTAGAGCCATAGTATAACCAAAAATGAATTAATAATATATAACCATGTTTAATTCAATTCTGATAGATATTTAATAAAGAAGAGAATAACTTAAGATTTTAAAAAGCATAAAAGAAACTGGATATAGCCTTCCACCAGAGTTTCAGAGATAGCTTTAAAGAGAATTAAGTTATATTTATGATATATAGCACACACACACAATTTTAAACAACTTTTGTGGACAGACGTTTAAAATTACAGAATCAATTGGAAAAGTCAGAAATTGATTGATGGTGACTGTTATCCCTAACCAGAAAATGTCTATTCATCCAGATTATATTAATAGGATATTCAAGCAGACTGTTTTATTAGTTTCTGTATTCCCTGCACAGAGCCTAGCACGAAAGACTTAATATATGTCCTCTGAATGAATACAGAATCTTCTTTCTGTAGATCATTCCAAAGACATTTCTTTATTATGCAGTGCTTAAATGACCATCAATTATCATTCTTATGAAACTGCAGATGTAAAAGGGATAGGAGTAAAGCTGAATTCACATTGCCACAATGACATATCCCGGAAATTGCTTTTTTGAGTAAACTACAAGTAACAACTTATTTACTTTGTCATTTGTCTCTTGCTCTTAAAAACAGAAAGCAAAAAGTGAAAATGCAGCCCTTTCTTGCCAACATAATATGCTTGCCTTTTTAATTAATTACTTCAAAAGCTGAAGAAGCCTGGACTAAAATTATCTTTTTCATGATGTTTTATCAGTATCTTTTGACTTTTTAACATTCAAAACACTCCCTACTAATTTCTGCTTTGGTAACAGTACATGCCATGTTAACCTTCTTAGCAGATTCAATATTCCCATCTATCTCCCCTTTATTAAGTTTATTGATTGAATGTGAAGAGCACTGTTCTTCAACATTGCAAGGAGGTAACACTTCTCTGCAAACCCCAAGCCACAATTATATCAATCTATGCTTAAAGGAATGATTATCTGAGTAATTCCAAGAAAAAAAATAACAGTTTTTAATCTGATGTTTTTTCAACTCATATAGTTAAATACAATATACATACAAGTCATTCTCAATGTGGGGAGGGGGAGCAGGAGGCATTTTGCCCCTCCTTCCACCCCCATGATTCATAATGTCTGCAGACATTTTTCACTGTCACAACTGGGGATGCTGCTAAACATCCTACAAAACAGGACAGTTCTCTAGGTCAAAGCTGTTCTTAGGCAAAAAAGTCAAGTGCCAAAGGTGAGAAATCCTAATATAGAGGAATTTACTGTCTCATGAAAATTTTTCTCAAGCAATTTCATGATTTAAATAATTTCCCAGTCATAGGGTTGAATCCATGAGGTAATGCTAGCAATATGAAACACAGCAGGATTATTAATTATCACTAATTCTTCCAAGGCTACCTAACAGAATATCTCTGCTCTCCACAGGCCCATCAATTTGAAAACTCAAGTCTAAGAGTAAAAAAGTAGATAATGGCTTTGAAGTTTATAAGAAAATTATGCAGCAAAGCTTTTGTTTTACATAAGCTCATGTAAGAATAATAATTTCCTAAATCTGCATAAAACAGTTGTTATTTGGATCCACTTTTACATGTTAAGTTAGAATCTGGCAAATTCTGTCTAAATAGTCCCATTTCACCAGCCCTACAAGATTATTCATGGGAGAGACTATATTAACGAATTTTGTTTCTAAAAATTAAACCTCTCTTTTCCCTACAATATTATAGTCTGCATATTGCTTGCATGCCACCCCCCGCCTACCCAATCACCACAGCAGACGTCTTATTCTTGAAACAATGACCAACCATAAAGCACAAGAGCAATCTTTCACAAAGTGTACGTGAATCACTCAACTGTGCTTGCTCAAAGAAAACAACTACTTTTTTGATGAGTATTAGCTTAGAGATGGAGGCACTGTCTGACCATTTTACTGAAAGCATTGTAAACGTGGTCAAACCAAACATACACAGACTGTGGCATTTCTCTGCACTGCATTTAAAGACAAAAGGAAAAAAAGCCTAAGCCATTGTCATATGTTAACAAAGGGCTGCCAACATTGTAATCTTGCCTCGAAATGTCCACATATTTAAAATTACCCGAACGGAAACATGTAAGTGATATGAGCACACAATTCACAAAGATCAAGGTGCCAATGGTTAGCAGATACAAAAATGTTCAACCTCATCAGTATTCCAGAATATGCACAAAGATTCTATCTTTAAACCTGCAAAATTATCAGAGTACAAGATATACTCTCAAAATTGCTAGTGCAAACATGTCATAAACTCCTACTACTGTCTGCATAGAATTGTTCATCCAAATGGATTTTTTCAAAGGAAATTTAAAACTCACTAAATGGACAAATGTGGTTTTTTTTTAATAGCAAGCAACATGACAATGAAGAATTGTGTCCTGGTATCTATGTCCTGGTAGGTGGGCCAAAGCAAGAGTGCTCTGCTGATCTGACTTAAATGTGTTTTCTTCAGTGAATCCCTCTGTAGAGGTTTAATTTGGTAGACGTTCTATAGAGAACCATATACTCTTAGAATTCATTATAGTAAATATGTTTGTTGGAATGCTATATGAGGAAGGAAAAAGCATCTCTTAATTGCATCATTTGACTCAAAAGCCACAAATAATCTTCCAATGCTCCTCAATCTCCATACCTAAATAAATCCCACGACAATCCACTGAAACCAGTACCATTGTGTTTAAAAAATAAGATATCATCTTGATCAATTATAAAATGTGTACTTCAATTTCTTGGTTTCTATCATTGCAAATAGCAGTTCATGTTATACAGAAACCCAGGTGTGGTCAAATTTCATTGTCAAGGAAAAGGGAACATTTTGGTGCTTCTTGAGATTATCATCATGAAAACACAATAAAAGCACTTAACTTTTCTTGGTAGAGAGGTTATGTGTGCCAATTCATGCACTGGTACATTAATGTCTAGCTCACATCAAATAAAAAGCAACATCTTGATACTGCTATGAATAAAAGACTGTTCTCTACACTTTCCTGTACTGTTTGTAATTTCTGAAGGGAAAAAAGAAGAAATGAATTAGAGAAAAGCTAGAAAGGTAAAAGTATATGAACAACACTTTTCTATTTAGTTCCCTCATTTGTTTCATAGTGCTTTAACTGCCATCATTTCATTACCAAAAAAGGTTAAATCTAACAATATATGCTAAAAACTCAATTTCACTGCAACAAAAGAATGAAAGTCCCAGGCTGGGCGTGGTGGCTCACGCCTGTAATCCCAGCACTTTGGGAGGCCAAAGCAGGCGGATCACCTGAGATCAGGAGTTCGAGACCAGCCCAGCCAACATGGTAAAACCCCGTCTCCACTAAAAACACAAAAATCAGCCGCGCGCAGTGGCAGGTGCCTGTAATCCTAGCTACTTAGGAGGCTGAGGCAGGGGAATCACTTGAACCTGGGGGGCGGAGGGTGCAGTGAGCCGAGACTGTGCCACTTCACTCCAGCCTGGGTGAAAGAGTGAAACTCCATCTCAAAAAAAGGAAAAGAAAAAAAAGAAAGTCTCTTGCATTAGTGTCAAAAGTATAATATAGATATTTCAAGTTCCCCAGATTAATAATATTACCTTAACTAAAGTTGGTGTCAGTGGGTTGGTATACAGGAACAACAACAATAACAAAACAAAATGAAAACAAAAACAAGAAAGCTATGAATGGTTTAACAACACAACAAAACAGGTTGGTTAATCAAGGCACTGACTATCCACTACCCAACCCCCAGGAAAATAAAATACATATTGCTCACACTCACAATTTAAAAAGAAAATCAAGAAAAAGTCTTTCCTCAAAGTACTTTCCATCCATTTGTTTTTCTGCTCTGAAACAGAGAAGTGTCTGCTAGCAGCAGCATTTGCTAAATGAAACATTTCTTGTGATAAAGTTGCATGGCAGGTGGAGAAGAAATTTCACCACCTGTTCTCATACTCATTTGAATTTCAGGGCTAAATCTGTCAAGGTATTTCCTTCCACCCTTGAGAAATAAATTAAAAACTTAAGATGGTAGAAGCCATTTTCCATTGGCTTTTTAAGATAGAGTCAAAGTATTCATACTGCATTGAATTCGAAAGATATTAATAGCTTTTCTACTCCTCTCTTTCTCCACACTTCCCAAACAAAAGCTGAATGATACCACAAACGTTTGAGTGTACACATACTCAACTTTCATTATGAAACAAAGGAACATGTTTTGAAAAAATCGGGAACAAAATTTCCAACTCATGAAGTAAACTAATGTATATAAAATAAGCCTGGCATTTTTGTTGAAAAAAATTAAAAACTTAAAATTTCAAATATTGAAAGATTTGTCCCCCAACTAAAATGTCATTTATAGTATCATTACACAAAGAAATTATAAATATCATAGCAACTTCTCTCTCTTTTTTCTTTTTCAAATACCAACAAGAGTGAGCTTGAAAGTAACATCTATTAATAAGGCATAAATTAATTGTTGTTTAAAGAATATATCTTCTTAATGAGGTGTTTGCCTGAAAGGAATCAAGAAAGATAAAGCTTTTGTTAGTTATTTGTAGTTTTTTTAATGACATAAATATATTATTGTCTACCTGAAATCATTTCACTAATGGAACTCTTTAGTTACAGATGAGATTTTATAAAATAGCTGCTATCTTTCCAAGGCTATAAGAAGCTATTGCACAGGCTATAAAAAGCTATTGCACAGGCTTCTTATATGCATATGTCTGTCACATTTAAAATAGAACAGTATTAATAAATAGCTTCTGTCTGTTTTAACATAGGAATAAGATCATTTACCCAGCACCTGCTGTGTACTAAGCACTGTGCCAGGCACATTCTAGTATCCTATTTAATCCTTGTAATAACTCATTTAACTTACAAAGGACATGAAGGACCTCTTCAAGGACAACTACAAACCACTGCTCAAGGAAATAAAAGAGGATACAAACAAATGGAAGAACATTCCATGTTCATGGGTAGGAAGAAACAATATCATGAAGATGGCCATACTACCTAAGGTAATTTATAGATTCAATGCCATCCCCATCAAGCTACCAATGACTTTCTTCACAGAATTGGAAAAAACTACTTTAAAGTTCATATGGAACCAAAAAAGAGCCCGCATCGCCAAGTCAATCCTAAGCCAAAAGAACAAAGCTGGAGGCATCACGCTACCTGATTTCAAACTGTACTACAAGACTACAGTAATCAAAACAGCATGGTACTGGTACCAAAACAGAGATATAGATCAATGGAACAGAACAGAGCCCTCAGAAATAATGCCGCATATCTACAACTATCTGATCTTTGACAAACTGGAGGAAAACAAGCAATGGGGAAAGGATTCCCTATTTAATAAATGGTGCTGGGAAAACTGGCTAGCCATATGGAGAAAGCTGAAACTGGATCCCTTCCTTACACCTTATACAAAAATTAATTCAAGATGGATTAAAGACTTAAATGTTAGACCTAAAACCATAAAAACCCTAGAAGAAAACCTAGGCATTACCATTCAGGACATAGGCATGGGCAAGGACTTCATGTCTAAAACACCAAAAGCAATGGCAACAAAAGACAAAATTGACAAATGGGATCTAATTAAACTAAAGAGCTTCTGCACAGCAAAAGAAACTACCATCAGAATGAACAGGCAACCTACAAAATGGGAGAAAATTTTTGCAACCTACTCATCTGACAAAGGGCTAATATCCAGAATCTACAATGAACTCCAACAAATTTACAAGAAAAAAACAAACAACCCCATCAAAAAGTGGGCAAAGGACATGAACAGACACTTCTCAAAAGAAGACATTTATGCAGCCAAAAGACACATGAAAAAATGCTCATCATCACTGGCCATCAGAGAAATGCAAATCAAAACCACAATGAGATACCATCTCACACCAGTTAGAATGGCAATCATTAAAAAGTCAGGAAACAACAGGTGCTGGAGAGGATGTGGAGAAATAGAAACACTTTTACACTGTTGGTGGGACTGTAAACTAGTTCAACCATTGTGGAAGTCAGTGTGGGGATTCTTCAGGGATCTAGAACTAGAAATACCATTTGACCCAGCCATCCCATTACTGAGTATATACCCAAAGGACTATAAATCATGCTGCTATAAAGACACATGCACACGTATGTTTATTGCGGCACTATTCACAATAGCAAAGACTTGGAACCAACCCAAATGTCCAACAATGATAGACTGGATTAAGAAAATGTGGCACATATACATCATGGAATACTATGCAGCCATAAAAAATGATGAGTTCATGTCCTTTGTAGGGACATGGATGAAATTGGAAATCATCATTCTCAGTAAACTATCGCAAGGAAAAAAACCAAACACCGCATGTTCTCACTCATAGATGGGAATTGAACAATGAGAAAACATGGACACAAGAAGGGGAACATCACACTCTGGGGACTGTTGTGGGGTGGGGGAAGGGGGAAGGATAGCATTAGGAGATACACCTAATGCTAAATGACGAGTTAATGGGTGCAGTGCACCAGCATGGCACATGTATACATATGTAACTAACCTGCACATTGTGCACATGTACCCTAAAACTTAAAGTATAATAGTAATAAAATAAAATAAAAAAATAAAATAAAATAAAGACAGGGAACTGAAGCTCGGAGAGTTTAAGGCCTCACCATGAGTCTAGTAACTATGATTTGAACCCACATCTGAATCCAGAGCCTACATTGTTCCCATTTATACCAAGCCTAAAAAATTAAAAATAGCAGACAGTAGAGGCTATAAGTCACTTAGCATTTCAATGCTTAATTTATAAGCACAAGGAGGATATCAGAGAGATACATTCTGTTATAGGCAAGTAATTTTCTGGTTTAATTAATTCAATCTGAAGATCACTTACTTTTACCATTCTATTTCCATAAAAACAATACCAACACTAAAAATCTTTCATGCTATTCTCCCAACACTTATGGGGTAGGGAGGTAGTAAATCCTAGAAAATAACTCAGATGAAATTTGGGGAGAATTTCACATACTGATATCAACATTTAAAAGAACACATTCTGAACTCTAATGCCAACCATCACAATAACAGATATAACACTATGACGTAGATAAGGGAATTGGGCTAGACAAATGATATTCCATTAGATAACTATAACAGGATGAAAGTTAATTACCCAAATCAAAAGGCATTTCCACTGAATATCTCAATCTTGTCCTTAAAGAACTTCAAAATAATATTTGCTCCCTCTGCTTACCATATTTCAAGACTTTAGTGTCCCTTCATCTTTTAAAATTTATATACCAGTTAAACTGCATCATGTCCAATTCATCTTGACCAAAAATGTTTTCTATTTAGAAAGCTTAGTTTATATATTATTTCTCATTCTCCACATTTCTTATATTTGTGTGAAAGCAAGATAAGCAGATGGGTAGATTGGTAGATAGGTAGACGGATGGATGGATGGATGGATGGATAAAGGGATACATGGATGGATGAATGGTAGGTAGATAAGGTATGTAAGAATCCATTCTATTTTCTGAATGAGATAATTATTTTATTTCTAATGAAGTAATTTAAAAATAATTAGAAGATGAATGCATTTCTAAATGTTGATTCCATACCTTCTATACAAACAAGTGAATTCAAATCTTCCTTGCTTTTATAAAACCACATAGGTGAAAGAATGCACATGTGATAATGGTGGTAGGGAGATGGCAATATGTAGAAGTGGGCTAGGAGAAACAGCATGTGCTCCCATCACTGTCAAGAGTCCCCTTCCCAGTGCACAGAGGAAATAGTTACAATCCTCTGGTGAAGCATAGGCCCTCTAGAAGGATGCTTCGCCCTACAGCTAGCACCCAGCCTGCCCTTTGAGAAGTCTCTATATCTGCAGCAGTGAGCTTGCCTTCTCTTTCTTTAATCCAAAAATGAAGAAACTGGAATGGGTATTCCAACCCCTTCAATGCTCAGGCCAATTTTCTAGGAGCTTTGCTTCCAGAGGACTTGTTAACCAAGGTGTCATTTTACTCCCATTATCTGTAGCTCATCAACTTTAAAATTTGACTCTTTTGCTAAGGTGCATTAAAATCAAAAAGCACGTTAAGAAAGAACTGTGTTTCACCTTCCTAAGATTTTTATTAAATATTCAAACATCTGAGTTACCCAATTTTAGAGTTTATTATTAAAGCAGATTCCACAAACTCAAAACCAATTAGAAATAACTGAGATAAATCGATTTGGGAACAGGAGATTCATTAATCAACTGCTAAAAGGTGGTGAAAATCCTATCCTTTCCTGAATTTCCCAGTTCTATTCAACTTCACAAAGTCAGTAATTCATGACCAGGTCTTAAGAGAATGTTTATTTATCTTTTAAGGGGAAACATGAAAAAACCTAAGAGTAAGACTCACAAAGTAGTAACCATTGCATTCCATGTTTTAAGAAATATAGTTGGCAGCCCTAAGAGTCCCAATGACTCTATGTATTCAAAGCCCGTAATAAATTTACCAAATCTCAGTCTTGATTTTTGTAATGGCCTGGAGTCATCTCTAATTATTTCAATGAATGTAGGAAAAAATTAGTATCAAATCAGTCATACGTTTTCAATATGACAGCCAGTATTTTTAAGACAGGGGAGAATAATACAAAAAAAGAAGACAGGCTCTCAACCTAATGAGTCTGAGAATCACTCTTAGGATAGTTCTTTCAAGCTCATCACAGATACGTGGCTCAATGGAAGCAAAGACTCTAAGTATCATTTTTTAACATTAAAGTTATTGTCCCTTTTCTGCATATCTGCCTCACCATTAAGGGTTTTTTTCCACAAAACTTTATTATAAGACTTCAGTTTATCCCTTTTGTACTATGCTTCCCATAAAGAAACATATCCATTGCTGGCCATAAGCTCTCAGGTTGTTAGGAGATGCAAAAAGTCTTCACTGTTACTTACAGCCCACTCACCTATCTACATATTCACAGTTACCATACTCCAAGAGTATATATGTGGTCTTTAGCTCTAGAACTGGTTCCTGGTTTTTCACCTAAAATGTTTTAGGGTCCACCATTTTACTACACTCCTAGAAAGCCAGTTTAATTAAGATCACCATAATATTCCAGTCCATATCACAGAGCAATTTCAGTATCTAGCCACAGACAACTCTGCTAATGTGAATAACAAAAATTGCTCTACCAAAACTACCATAAGTGTTTATCCATGGTGCAGTAATTCTAAAGAAGGATTCATTTGGGCAAAATATTTATGTGTCACAACTATACATCATTACCTAAAATATTAAAAATTATTTACAAAATTTATAATGTTTTTCTGGAAGGCAGACTGATGATTTGGGGAGGGGCTATTCCAAATTATAAATCATCAAGGAATTTGTCTCTTTAGGGGTAAGATGTTTATTTGTAGAAACACCATGTTCTCTGGCTAAAAGAAGGCTATGTGTTCTTGGGTAGAACATACCATTGTGATAAAAATGACATAGTAGGCATCAAGCATTCAAATCTCCTGGTCATTTAAATGGGAATTTTAAATTGAAGATAACTGGAGCGTTTTCAGATTGTGTGTACATGTGTTTTGCAGAAGCAATCTATGAATTATGAAGTAGTAATGAAGTACTTACCTTAATCTGTGTGAGATAAATGAAAAAAGAGAAGTATTCCTTTCCTTCCTTTTATACAGTCCTTTAAACCAGTGTTTCACACCCCAAACTATAATTTCTGACTCTCAGTGTAGATGAGAAGCAGACAAAAGGGGAGAAGAGTCACCATGTAGATGAGAGTAGCAGGGAGTCAAGGTGTTAAAAGTTTCCCTAGCTAGTCGGAAAATGCTACTACCCTCACTCACTCCATCTCCATGAGATACTTGTTGAAGCAATCATCATTTTTACATCTTCAAAATCCAATCTTTTCATATGTCAAAGATATGCTTAATGGTAATGAATTTGACTACATACATATTTCTTAATGACCATTCCTAAAATGTTGGTCAGTCAGAAGAAATTTCAGAAATCTCCGATGTATCCTGATATTATACATTCAAAAGAACTATAGATAAAATATTTGGATTCTAAAAGGCAATTGCTCTCACCAAAATTATTTGACCACCTTTGACCCTTGCTTCTTCCCCATTTCCCATGTCCAATCAACTGCTAAGTTCAACTGAATCTCTCTCTAGAATGCTCCTATCCTTCAACCCCCATCCACTCTCACTGCCTCTACCACAGTTCTTGTCTGTATTACCTCTTACCTGGATTTAATTATAATTTTCACATACATAATGGTCTTTATACATACTGTGATTGTATTTATAGCTCAGAAAAGCACTCCCTTGCTCAAAGGTATTCAGTGAGTCACTGCTTGCCGAACAGAAGCCAAATCCTACACTCTTGAAGTCAAGGCTTCCTGGCCTCACCCTCCTTAACTAATTGCACAGTCCAGCAAATTATTCACAATAAATGTTTGTTTAATGACAACAGAACAAACGAAAATCCAAATTTACTTACAAACTACAAATTGTTTTGCTTTGGAATATATTGCTTTTACATATTCACAGCTATGCATTTTTTGTCTCTTGCTAAACAAGTAATGTGTAAAAGCCATTGTATTTAATCATTTTTAACACAAAGAAAATTCATTTAATTTAAATATAATATCAGCTAAACCTTTATGGTTAGATTGAAGCCCTTTAAGTATAAAAAATTCAGGACATAAATGTAAATACTTTTTTGAGTGTTAATTTTTAATTTATTTCTCCTAAACCCTAGTCAGGTCTTCTTTTTCTCCTAGTCAGTGATTTCTTTTATCAAACTATACACACAAAACACATTATCATTTAAGTAAAAGCATATTAGCTTCAAAACATAAATATCTCAAATAGTTTTCTCCATTATGATGAACAGCATGCAAAAATAAGTCAAATAACTCTTAACTTTGAGAGTAGTTTCTATCGTAGAACAGATTTTTAAAAAAACCTTATTTTCCTTATCAGTTACAATTTGATGAACCATGACTAAAGTATTTTGGTCACTAGTAGATTGCTTCTAGTAAAATTACTTTCAGTCTGTGCCAGTATCATGGTATTTCTCAGCAACAATGAACAGAATCTGGATTTTTGATTAGTTCTTTTCATAGGAAATACAGTCATAACTTATTCTCTAACAAGACCATGATACACAATAGCCCCCATTATTCGGTGGATACATTCCAAGACCCCCAGTGGATGTTTGAAACTATGGATATACCAAATTCCATATACACTACGTTTTATTCCTATACATACATAACTACCTGATTTATAAATTAGGTACAGTAAGATATCAACAATAACTAGTAATAAATAGAACAATTATAACAATATACTTTAATAAAAGTTATGTGAATGTGCTCTTTTTCTCTCTCTCTTTCTCAAAATATCTTATCATACTGTACTCACCTATTTTCATGCCATGGTTAACCATGGGTAACTCATTCCAAGGAGTTGGAAATCATGCATAAGGGACAACTACTATATTCAATTACTGCATATATCAGATGAATAAACTTAACACTTTCATGTGAAGTGATCTGCACAGAGGTACAGACCTAAAAACTATTCTCTAAATTCATTTATAAAATCGACATTTATTGAGCATCTGCTATGTGCCAGGCACCACACTAGATGATAGGAAAACAAAGAGCAGTCAGGATACTTGCTTGCAAAGAGATGATAATAAAACAAAGAGCAGTCAGGATACTTGCTTGCTAAGAGATGATAATAAAAAACAATTACTTTCCAAATAATTAAATGATATAAAATTATAATAAATGCTTACCACTCTTTACTAACAAATATCATGTTGTATAATTCATAGAAACCACAATAACAAAACGATTGCCAACTTTTTTCTCTAATCCATAAGGGTATCAGTTCATATTTAGCATATAAGCACCAAATAAAAATAAATAAATAATATCAACTTTCCTTACTATTATTTTAAAGGGTTATTTGTTCCAGATCAGGCTATCTGCAGGGCTGGATCAGCAATCACACAATATTCACTATTCAAAAACATAATCTGCAATTTTAATTATATGGAAGAAAGTCAAAACTCTTGATGATGTGATAGTACTGCACATCATTTAAAAAAAACACTCTAATTGTATCTATCTATATGCTTCAGCAACATTTCTATGAAAAGTATATTAATGAACCAAGTCTCCAGTCTACTTAAAACCAAACCTTTGTTTCCAGTTTCACGAACTTTGTTTAGCTGTGAATCATTCAGAAATGACTGCATGCACGCACCCTCTGTAGGAAAGTGATCGTAACGAATGAGAAAATCACTTCAATTTGGTGATGCTAAGGGGTTATCTATTGGACAATGATTCACAATTTAGTGTCATCCATATACTTTTCAAAATTGTATTTCAAATATTTTGTAGGTCCACCCAAACTAAAGCTAGATCAGACTATTAATTAAGAACATGTTTCACTGTCAGACAAGAGAAGAGCTCTGATATAATCACATTTAATAAAGAGAAACCTAGTTAAGATTTTGTAGAGCTGGTCTTTAATATTAATTTTAATGCAGTTGAAGAAATGGTATTTTTAAAAGGAAATATAAATTAAGACTGGGTTAAATCATCAAATACAAATGTACACAGATGGAGGAAAAGTGATCAAGCATTAATATCACATTCTCTTTCAAGGTAAATGGTATGACCAAAAGAGTGATTTCTAAGGTTCCTATCAGCTTGTGGATTGAAAGAACCCTGATTAAGATAATTATGCACATTATATGATGTCAAGGTCTTATCTCATTGATCAGTGAAAAGCTCTATATTTTTGAAACCAGAAAAAAAAGTGAAAATAAAAGATGTTACAGGGCAACTTGTAAATGATTAAGCAAGTTCATTTAGAACTTTTAGAAACAGCTGCGGTGAGAGACTTAAATGTGGGAAGCAAGAAGGGAGTGCAGTTAGGTACAGAGGGATCGCATAAGCACAAATTAAGCCCAATTGCCCACATACACTCAACTGAGCTTGCCACTCCAATTCATCATTCTCATAATATTTGGTTCTCTAAATTTTAGTGCTCTAAAACACAATATTTTCAATCTAAACCTTTTAAATTTAAAATACCATCAGAAGGCCAAGTGTGGTGGCTCATGTCTGTAATCCCAGCACTTTGCGGGGCACAGGTTGGGGGCAGGGGGATAGCTTGAGGCTAGGAGTTCACGACCAGTCTTGGAAACATAGCAATATCCTGTCTCTACAAAAAAAAAGTAAAAATAATAAATTAAAATACCATCAAGCCCCTGCACCTGCCATAATAGGAGCCAGACAATGTCTAGAAAGTTTGGTAACCAGATCTGAGATCAGAACTTTCCTGGATGCACCTCCAAGTTTAGAAATGCCACTTCTGAGGCCATAACTTGCTGAAGAATCAAACATAATGGTCAATGACTGAGTAGCATAGACAGTCCTCACCTGTTATTTAACTGTTCTTATTTCACTCAGTAGATGTTACCTGACACTCAAAATTTCAATATTTGCCCCCTGCACCTGCCAAACACCAAACACTAAAGTGCATTAGCAACAACCACATAATCATATGCCACTGCTAGCTAATTCAGTACTATGTTTTGAAGATTTTTAAGGTTCTCAACAACCTGTATTATTTGAATTTCCAGAGACATGCAAAGACCTTCTGGTTGTTAACTATTATTTTCTGGTAGCCTTTATGTTCAATCTGATTTTGAACAGTCTTTTGAATAAACTGAAAATGTTTTGGGAAGGTAGAAATGTAGAGTCCTTTGAAATTTTTTTCAATGCAATAAAATGCAATCAGCATCAGCCAACTTGTACTATGCACACACTTTAGTACTTTTTAAATGGCTCTGATAACAGTGGAGTTATTCTGAATGATTCCGCTTGTTGCATCAAATTTTATTAAGAAAACTAATTTCATGATTTTATTCAAAAGGTAGCACTATTACTATTAACTTTTAATAAGAGACTTGGGCTATGTGAACCATCTCAAAATAGACTGAATTTTCAAAAAAAATAGTTTTTAAATAACTAGCATCTTCAATTTCACTCATATCTGTATTTTATATGATTGTATATGCTTGCAAAATCGATGTAATCAAAACAATTGTGCCTATTTTATAAAATGTAGAGCACAATAAAAGCTCTAATAGGAGAAACTTGTTTTCATGATATTTTCAACACAACCCCAGATTATAGTTCTGTTACTGGATAATTCCACTTTTTAATAAGATTTCCAGGAAATCATTGTTGCAAGGGCTGAGAACTGCCTATGTAATGTTTAAACTATTATAATTTTCAAGAACAAAACTACTGATCCAGAGATTAATAAATATGGTTTAGTTACAGGAATGCAAAATTTGTAGAACCACTTGGGTTAATTGGAACACTTTCTACAACGCATGTGTAAGCCCAACATGATTGTGTTCAACTAGAGTATTGTAGATACAACAAATGACCTCCTAAAGATGTCCACATCTTAACCCCAGGAATCTGTGGATATGTTGTTACATGGCAAAGGAGACTTTGAAAATGTGATAAAGGTTACGAACTTTGAAATGGGGCGTGTCTTGTTTTATCCAGGTAGCCTAATCTAATTACATGAGTCCTGAAAAAATGGAAGAGGAAGGCAGAAGAGTGAGCCAGAAGGCAATGTGAAAAGGATTCAACCTGCTGTCGCTGGCCTTAACGAGGGAGGAATGGGGCTGGAATGCAAGCAATCTCTAGAAGCTGAAATTGTCCTTTAACTTATAGCCAACAAGATGATAGGAACCTTGGTCCTACAGCCACAAAGAACGGAATTTTGTCAATGACAGGAATGAGCAGGAAACAGATTCTCCCCTAGAGCCTCAGCCTTGCTGACATTTTTATTTTAGCCCCGTGAGACCAGTACCAAATTTCTGATCTGAAAAAACTGTAAGATAATATGCCAAGCATGGTGGCTCATGCCTGTAATCCCAGTACTTTGGGAGGCTGAGACGGGAGGATAGCTTGAGCCCAGGAGTTTGAGACCAGCCTGGTAACACAGCGAGACCTCATCTCTACAAATAATAATAATAATAATAATAAGCTGGGTGTGGTGATGCGTGCCTGTAGTCCCAGTTACTGAGGAGGCTGAGGCAGGAGGATCACTTGAGTCCGGTGGTCGAGGCTGCAGGGAGCCATGATCATGCCACTGTACTCCAGCCTGGGCGACACAGTGAGATCCCCATCTCAAAAAAAAAAAACTGTAGGATAATAAATGTGTGACATTTTAGGCCATTCGTTTGCAGTAATTTGATATGGCAGCAATAGAAAAGAAATACATAGAGGTTTGGGTTTTTTTTTTTCATTGAGTATTTGCATGCAATTAAGCAGTGGGAGGATAATGTCTGCAGGAAAGTACTAAATATACTGACTGGGGTAGAACCCTTGGAACGTGCTAAAAAGAGTACACCAGCTACAGCACTGTCCGTGGCAGCTAATTACCATGGGTGGGAAATGTGTGTAATCAATGAAGATGGAATAGTGCTTCAAGGAACTATGGAAACATCAAGAGACAATGGAGTTAATCCCGATATCATATGAGCAAGTAAAGATAATTGCCTCAATATTTTCCTTCAACTTCACCACTTGACAGTAAGCAAGTAAAGCTTTCTAACCTCTTCCTATACCACCACCCAATTCAAAAAGCTTTTCCCATCTACCATATTTCCCTTTTCTTCTAACCCTAGTAAGGTATTATATAATTAATAGATGGCATGAAAGTAGCAAAAGTCTATAAAAATGAAAAGGCATTGGAGAAATTACAAGCTTTGAAATCACGTGGCCCTAAATCTGAATTTTGGCTCAACTTGTAATTTGATGTGTAACATTAAGCAATTAACCTCTCTGAACTTGTGTCCTTATTCGTAAAATAGTGAGAGGATGTACACTTACAGGGCTTTTTGGGAGGAATGAAATTAAGTGCTTAGCACTTCTATAATAGAGGAAAATAAATTGTATTACATTTAACTATGCTAAACTAGGACATTTTAAAAATTTGGAATATGTCTCATGAAGTTTAGAATATCTGTTATACATGCTAGATTAAAATTTAATCTAAAGTTCTGAAACTTGTTTTTATTTTTTTGTTATTGAAGATAAGTTACTTCATTACTCCATTGAACTATATTATAAGAAATCCTCTCCAACAAACTGGGCATGTTCTTGCCTTAGCATGACATAAATGTGGGGGGGAAATGGGTAAAAACAACAGATAACCTCATCATAGTAAGTTATGCTGGGAAAAATATTTTAGTATAATTGAAAACACAATATAATTTTATTTTAAACTAAGATTCAATCTTAGAGTTTGAGATCAAATTATTACTGCTTGGAAGGTAATATATGTAAACTTGTGTGCTATAAAGCACACAAACAGTAAATTATTCCCTGTCCAATGTAAAGAATAGTATTCCATTCTTGTTGTTTAAAAAGACACTATGAACTTTAAACATAAATTGCTTCATTTTCCAAGTCTTTGCTATTGTGAATAGTGCCGCAATAAACATACGTGTGCATGTGTCTTTATAGCAGCATGATTTATAGTCCTTTGGGTATATACCCAGTAATGGGATGGCTGGGTCAAATGGTATTTCTAGTTCTAGATCCCTGAGGAATCGCCACACTGACTTCCACAATGGTTGAACTAGTTTACAGTCCCACCAACAGTGTAAAAGTGTTCCTATTTCTCCACATCCTCTCCAGCACCTGTTGTTTCCTGACTTTTTAATGATTGCCATTCTAACTGGTGTGAGATGATATCTCATAGTGGTTTTGATTTGCATTTCTCTGATGGCCAGTGATGATGAGCATTACATATACACCATGGAATACTATGCAGCCATAAAAAATGATGAGTTCATGTCCTTTGTAGGGACATGGATGAAATTGGAAACCATCATTCTCAGTAAACTATCGCAAGAACAAAAAACCAAACACCGCATATTCTCACTCATAGGTGGGAATTGAACAATGAGATCACATGGACACAGGAAGGGGAATATCACACTCTGGGGACTGTGGTGGGGTCGGGGGAGGGGGGAGGGATAGCATTGGGAGATATACCTAATGCTAGATGACACGTTAGTGGGTGCAGCGCACCAGCATGGCACATGTATACATATGTAACTAACCTGCACAATGTGCACATGTACCCTAAAACTTAGAGTATAATAAAAAAAAAAAAATTGCTTCATTTTCCATCCTGTGCAATATGCACTTTAACATGTGTTATCTACCTCCAGTTCAAGTCTCCTCATTTAGTCCAGACAAATTTTTCTTCTGAGGTGTTTCCATTGCCCTTAAATCCATTATCAATATTGAAAGTACAGTAAGCAAGAATTTATTTAACCTGTTTGTCTTGGTTCCAAATTTTCACAGCAGGAGAATAAATTAAGCTATTTAATTGCTTATGAATGAAGATAGTATGGAAGATAAAAAATAATCACTTTGAATGATCACAAGGACTATGCCCCTAATCCTCAGCAGAGTTATGCCTGGCACATAATAGACAGTTGAGTAACTGCTGAATGTTATAAACTTAATATACAAGGTGATTGAAAAAGAACTGAGCACTTTCTTTTTTTTATTAAAGTTTTAGGGTACATGTGCACAACGTGCAGCTTTGTTACATATGTATACATGTGCCATGTTGGTGTGCTGCACCCATTAACTCGTCATTTAACATTAGGCATATCTCCTAATGCTATCCATCCCCCCTTCCCCCACCCCATAACAGTCCCCAGAGTGTGATGTTCGCCTTCCTGTGTCCAAGTGTTCTCATTGTTCAATTCCCACCTGTGAGTGAGAACATGCAGTGTTTGGTTTTTGGTCCTTGTGATAGTTTGCTGAGAATGATGGTTTCCAGCTTCATCCATGTCCCTACAAAGGACATGAACTCATCATTTTTTATGGCTGCATAGTATTCCATGGTGTATATGTGCCACATTTTCTTAATCCGGTCTATCATTGATGGACATTTGGGTTGGTTTCAAGTCTTTGCTATTGTGAATAATGCCGCAATAAACATACATGTGCATGTGTCTTTATAGCAGCATAAATTATAATCCTTTGGGTATATACCCAGTAATGGGATGGGTGGGTCAAATGGTATTTCTAGTTCTAGATCCCTGAGGAATGGCCACACTGACTTCCACAATGGTTGAACTAGTTTACAGTCCCACCAACAGTGTAAAAGTGTTCCTATTTCTCCACATGCTCTCCAGCACCTGTTGTTTCCTGACTTTTTAATGATCGCCATTCTAAGTGGTGTGAGACAGTATCTCATTGTGGTTTTGATTTGCATTTCTCTGATGGCCAGTGATGATGAGCATTTTTTCATGTGTCTTTTGGCTGCATAAATGTCTTCTTTTGAGAAGTGTCTGTTAATATCCTTCGCCCACTTGTTGATGGGGTTGTTTTTTTGTTGTAAATTTGTTTGAAATTCTACCAGAGGTACAAGGAGGAGCTGGTACCATTCTTTCTGAAACTATTCCAATCAATAAACAAAGAGGGAATCCTCCCTAACTCATTTGATGAGGCCAGCATCATCCTGATACCAAAGTCCGGCAGAGACACAACAGAAAAAGAGAATTTTAGACCAATATCCCTGATGAACGTCAATGCAAAAATCCTCAATAAAATACTGGCAAACGGAATCCAGCAGCACATCAAAAAGCTTATCCACCATGATCAAGTGGGCTTCATCCCTGGGATGCAAGGCTGGTTCAACATATGCAAATCAATAAACATAATCCAGCATATAAACAGAACTAACAACAAAAACCACATGATTATCTCAATAGATGCAGAAAAGGCCTTTGACAAAATTCAACAACCCTTCATGCTAAAAACTCTCAATAAATTAGGTATTGATGGGATGTATCTCAAAATAATAAGAGCTATCTATGACAAACCCACAGCCAATATCATACTGAATGAACAAAAACTGGAAGCATTCCCTTTGAAAACTGGCACAAGACAGGGATGCCCTCTCTCACCACTCCTATTCAACATAGTGTTGGAAGTTCTGGCCAGGGCAATCAGGTAGGAGAAGGAAATAAAGGGTATTCAATTAGGAAAAGAGGAAGTCAAATTGTCCCTGTTTGCAGACAACATGATTGTATATCTAGAAAACCCCATTGTCTCAGCCCAAAATCTCCTTCAGCAAAGTCTCCTCCTAACTTCAGCAAAGTCTCAGGATACAAAATCAATGTGCAAAAATCACAAGCATTCTTATACACCAATAACAGAAAACAGACAGCCAAATCATGAGGGAACTCCCATTCACAATTGCTTCAAAGAGAATAAAATACCTAGGAATCCAACTTACAAGGGATGTGAAGGACCTCTTCAAGGAGAACTACAAACCACTGCTCAAGGAAATAAAAGAGGATACAAACAAATGGAAGAACATTCCATGCGCATGGGTAGGAAGAATCAATATCATGAAAATGGCCATACTGCCCAACATAATTTATAGATTCAATGCCATCCCCATCAAGCTACCGATGACCTTCTTCACAGAATGGGAAAAAACTACTTTAAAGTTCATATGGAACCAAAAAGGAGCCCACATTGCCAAGTCAATCCTAAGCCAAAAGAACAAAGCTGGAGGCATCACGCTACCTGACTTCAAACTATACTACAAGGCTACAGTAACCAAAACAGCATGGTACTGGTACCAAAACAGAGATATAGACCAATGGAACAGAACAGAGCCCTCAGAAATAATGCCACATATCTACAGCTATCTGATCTTTGACAAACCGGAGAAAAACAAGCAATGGGGAAAGGATTCCCTATTTAATAAATGGTGCTGGGAAAACTGGCTAGCCATATGGAGAAAGCTGAAACTGGATCCCTTCCTTACACCTTATACAAAAATTAATTCAAGATGGATTGAAGACTTAAATGTTAGACCTAAAACCATAAAATCCCTTGAAGAAAACCTAGGCAATACCATTCAGGACATAGGCATGGGCAAAGACTTCATGTCTGAAACACCAAAAGCAATGGCAACAAAAGACAAAATTGACAAATGGGATCTAATTAAACTCAAGAGCTTCTGCACAGCAAAAGAAACTACCATCAGAGTGAACAGGCTACCTACAGAATGGGAGAAAATTTTTGCAATCTACTCATCTGACAAAGGGCTAATATCCAGAACTGAGCATTTTCTAAAATGAATTACTCAGTAACTTATTTATGTACTGATTCCCCAAGAATCTCATGTTTATACCGCCTTTCTCAAAGTCTTGAGGATATAAAGCAATACATCATGGCAGCCATGTCAATCTAAAATTTTATCATGTATGTTGTTTGTAATTCTTAACTCTTCAACTGCAAGTTATTAGCACAAATACTTGCCTATCCCATACTTCTTTCTCATCGCTCCGTCTCCCCAAGTTTGGCCATACTTAAGTCTCAACTAAATATTCTAAGTTTCAAGCAGAATGTATGAAATTCTCAGTAACTCCGTACTTCCCATGATGGTATGGAGATATGAAATTCTGCCTCTCTTCCCTCTGTAGAAAGTGGTTTCTTTGCAATGGGGGAAGCGATTACTTGGAAGATACACTAAGTATAAAAAAAGGAATCTAGATAAATTATTGACCAGTGAATGTCTTTGAAATATCTGAAAGTGACAGGAACACTAGCTCTTTGTCTTGCAAGTGTCTTGTGTGCAATATTTTTCTGTTATATTAAATGATTTCAAGAGGTCTTTTTAAAAAATACACAATAGGCTTTAAAACAAAATGTTAACTTCATTTGCACATGCCAGGCTTCCTCAGACTAAAAGATCTGAAGAAGCTAAAAGAATAAACACAGACAGTGAGGAGCAAGCAATCTGATTGTAAGGCCTTCAAAAAGGCAATTTGCAAACTGTAAATTCACTAGGGGACAGTGTGAATCCTATAATTAAAAAAAATAATATAATCTCAGGCCCTTTAAGACAAGCAGAGATTCTGCTTAAAGGAAGAGAATTGTCTTCTATTTGGGCCCCATGTGGAGCATCACATTCAAATGTAGTGTCTTACATAAAGATTAACATGAAAAAACCATCCACGTGAGGACAACCAGGAAGAGTGAAGGGTCTGAAAACCATGTCACATGAGAAGACGCCTAAGCGTGTATGTAATAGAATTTTTTTTTTTCTATATAGCTCTATAAGGCTGCATTGGGAACGGGAGAGAAAAGATACAAGGAACTGATTTTGCTCAATGCAAGGAAAAGCTGTCCATGAATGGAGGGTGCAGCCTTGGTGAGGTAGTGAGCCCTTTGTCAGTGACAGTGTTCAAGAAGGACATGCAATGCCATCTTCGAGAGGTGTCATGGAATGAGTTCCTGTGTTAAAAGGGGTTTGGACTTTCTAAATGACTTTTAAGGTCACTTCTATCTCTATGATTTTCCATTAATAAATGACAACCTAGTCCTTCTGCAAGCTCAGACAATGCAAATTCCCAAAGAACATGCCACAAAAGTTGCAGACTAACACAAAATTTATCTTAGGTGTTAGTTGTGTTATTTTTCCACATAATTTTGTTAAATTGTGCATAAGTAATAAAAACAAAATTAAGTAGACACAAAGCAAGTAAAAGTTTATGTTCTCAAAGCAACTAAACATTCTTTTCTATTTTGAGATTATCAATTTAATAAGTATTTTGCTAGAAAAGAAAGATTTCTCTAATCACAAATGATTATCAATTTAATAAGTATTTTGCTAGATAAGAAAGATTTCTGTAACCACAAAGTTTTCTTTTATTTACTAAATTAGAAAAAAAAGACAATCTTAGGGGATAGAAACATGTCAAATTTAGAAAATTCATATTTTTATTATGTCTGTGCTGTGAATCACCTACAAACAAGGAGCATTTATACAATATACACAATATTTTCTCAGGAAATGCCAGGTACTGAATTTTATTGAAGACATTACAGAGGCAATTGCTATAGAATGTTGTGTTTTTTGGCATTTACTATAAAAATATTTTTTACATATCAAAAAATCATAAATAGGAAGCTAACTGAATGTAAGTGCAGGGACTAAAGGAGAACAAGTCTAGTTCACTAACATTCATTGTCTTTTAGATTGAGAAAGGTAACATTCTAAGGAAAACAACTCACAGGGTCTGTCTTGCTAGAATTCACTGTTATATTTCACTGGTTAATTCTTACCTAATTGCCTTCCTCCTTGCCACACTATTATTGTCAAAACTCGCTGCTGGAAAAGAAAAGATGAAAGGATCACTAGTGCTAATTTTGTTCTATTTCAGTGTGTCCTTAGCATCTAACAAGGCATTAACCCTATAATATTTGCCTGAAGGAACCATTTGCTGTTTTAAAACAATGAATACCTAAACACCATAAAAACACTTAGATGTGATTGCTCTTTCAGCTTTATTAATTTAGGCTAAATGACAGAGTAATTTATATGGTTTGCACCTGTCAGGGGCAGAGTCTTTACTAATGCAGTTTACACTGGCCAGGAGATCCTCCCTCAGGCTAAGGTTGAACTTCAACCTACTGTTGAACAGAGTGCAAAGCAAACACATGTCACCAAGCACTCTATTTCTATCAAGACAATCCCTTCAGAAATCCACATAGATGGCACACCACCCTGCAATGCTAAAATCTAAAGCTGAAAGAATATGTCTACCCAATAAAGACTATTTGATCATCAATCAATCTAGAGACTGAAGTATTATTTTCCTGAATCTTTCGTATTTAAGATATCCCACTTTTCTAGTATGACATTACAGCAAAATTTTTTAAGTGCTTTATACTATATAAGATGCTATTTCTACTAATATTGCCACAAATACTATAGTCTTCATCATAAAGAAAACTTAAAAATGTTGGGACATTTCAACTGTCATTCAAGTTCTAAACAAACAGAAAGAAAACAAACATGGACTTTAAACCCACAAGGAAAAAAGTAATAGTCTTGCTGCTCGATGTTTGCAGTAAGTAAAATGTTCTCTATTGTAGCCTTCACTAGCACAGCAGTACTGCCCTATCTGTAGCATCAATGGAAGAGCTACAGCAAAGCAGCACATACACTGGGTTTAGAAAGAGACCATGGAGCGTTTAGATTTTTCCCACACATGCTCAATCACTATAACACATTTTTACTACTACCTAAAATACTTCATATTGAAATTTCAGTCTTTGACAAAGTACTCAAGTCTTCAATGAAAACCACGTAATGTATATTTGACAAAGCACGGTAAGTAATGATAAAACATTACAAACCAATACTGATGCTACACAAGCATACGTACAAAAAGATCTTATATCACCTATGAAGAATTCTATATTCAAAATACTACTTTAAATACTTATACATTATTTTACAGGTAAATTTCCTATATATCACGATTTATTGAGGAGTCAGAATTGAACAATTCTATTTCAGTGCAAAGAGTTTAGACCCAAAAGACACAAGTAACCATTTAAACCTATGTTTGCCAGCCAAACAATTGTGAGAACAAATATAATGTTACTTGACCCAGTAATCTAATTCAGTCTTTATCATTTTTGAAGTGGAATTATGCTATACTTAAGTATCATTTTGTGTGTAAATGTGTTGAGGAATATAGAGAAGTACTGATGAGAAAAACATGTTAAACATGATGTTTTTATTTTTGGCCAAGTGAGGCAATGAACTGTGATCTAAAATGGTCAAAAACTAAACAACATATTTAAAAACCTGATTTAAACTCCCCAAGCTAGTCTTGCTACATTTCACATAAATTTCTATCTGTGCATATTTACTTACTATTAAGTATTAATATACATAAAAAGAAAAATAAGTTAAGACCAATTCAATAATATAGAGTGTTGTAATGTCAAAATAGTCTGTTACAATGTCAAAATACTTCAGCCTACCATAAGCTCTTTGAATATATTTTTCCATTCTACCTATGTGTACTACCAACAACCAACAGTCAACATGCAAGATCTATTATATTTTGTAGGTTCTATCTTCTAAATTGATTCACTCATATCATCAGGTCAAAGAGGTAAGCACTTAAAAGGAAGAAAGTGATTAATTTAAAATGTTGTGTTGAGTTGTATCTGAGCTTGTGGCTGGCATGAATTTAATAAAACATGGGGATTTATTTCACCATCTCTAAAAATCGACAAATCAGGGGCAATAAGGGCTGCAATTTGGATCTTTTAGACAATCAAATATAGTAGGAATATTAGAAACATTAATAACCATTATAATTGTAACCTGATTTTAGTGAGGTTTTGTTTTGTTTTGTTTTTATAATAAAGTTGCTTTTGGTAAATCTTTAGTCATTTCTTGCCAGTTAAGATGCATAAAGTCAGGAAGCATCCTATTTTCTCGAATTATGTGAAAGAGCTCCATTAACTTCTCACCTCCATTAACTTGTCACCTCCATTAATTTGTGCTTTTGACAAACAGTTTTTGAAAAACAAATATAGCTGGTTTATTTTTACAAACTAGCCTATTTTTTTTTTTACTTCATAAAGTTTAACACCCAAAGAGATAAAAATATCCTGGAGCATAAACGGAAAGGAGCATTAAAAAATCTGAAAATAAAATGACCACAGGATTTAACTCTGAAATGGCCTCATTTTTCAACACTTTCCAGGGAATTGCTTCTTTTGGACTGAGAGCATAACCACACTTCCTCAGCATCTGAAAGGGTTTCAAAGAAAGAGATAGATATAATTGTGCATCTCTACCTCACATAAAACAAAAACTAAGTTAAAAAATGGCAACTCACCACAGCTCTAAATACACAATTAAACTAAGGCAGGAGAAGTTTTCCACATTTTTCCTACTGATAAATATTTTAAAAATAACACTCAAATTTAAAACATTCTTTTCAAAAGCTTTTCTCGTACTAATATTTTCTTTAAAAAAAGATTCGGTTTTCCTCCACCAAAAAGGATCATGAACAATACTTTAAAAGAACATTTTATTATATCTCCTGGATTTTGCCTTTAAAGCAACACTGCAAATTTAAAAAGATTTTCAAAAATTTTGAAAACTTCTAGAAAGACTTCCCAGTGCACTTCAGTACGTATTTACTTAAAATACATTTTTAAAACAGACATTTGTAGAATACTTTTTCAATCCCCATAATATAACTGCTCATAGAGATATAATTTGCACAAATTCAAACTTACACTTCAGAACTTGAATGATAAAACTGAGAAAGATGTACTATCAAACATATTAATATTCATACACAACTAAAGTATAAAAGTCTCAATTAAAAGACTCATTTTCTGATCAATGTTAACTCTGTTTTTAATTCATGAAAAAATAGTAAAGAGGCATTACCATATTTAACACACCACCATCAATCATCAATTTTTAATGCCATTACACAAAAGAAGTCATCCTAAGTGTTTTAGATATTCAAAAATTCAAACAAATCCAACATATGTTAAATATTAAAGTTAATTCTTTTGCAATTCCTTAGGTATGCCTTTGTACTTTCACACTGGTAATTAGATTACCATTAAACACTTTAAATAAACATAAACTTTAGAAAAACAAAACAATGATGAAGTGTGGGCATGCCAACATCTTTAAATGTAAGCAAGCTTGAGGTTTTTAATCCTGTAGGTTTTTGGATGTTGCTGTTTGGGGGCTCCCCCGCCCCCATTTTGCCACAAGGTAGATTCATGAATGAAATCCCACTTTAATATCCTATTTTCTCTCACTTACATGTATGCTGGAGAAAGTGGAGTTGACCTGGATGTTTTAAGCACAGGAACTGGGAATTTCCAGATAGCAGGAGAGCTCGTTTTCCATTTCAATGGCATGTTGTCACCACGGTACTACAATAACAGTAAAGAGCGTTTCCATAACAGACTACCAACTAAGACTTCCATTCCACACTGTACTGACACAGCAGTGGCTGCCGCGGAGAACAAGCAAAGGATTCTGCCAGTGCCCTTAAACCGATGCTTCCAATCTGTAAAATAGGGCTGTAAGGTACCTCCTTAAATTCTTCTGTCCCCTAAAGCAATATGATGATTCAATCATTCCAACTCAACAATAGTGCCAGAAAAGCGTTGACTGCAGTATATTTTTTTAGGACTGCACTGTGCATACCATACAATGCAGCTTTATTTAATAAAAGCAGCCAGGCTTTTTTTTTTTAAGCTTGCAATACCATTGTTCTACCTTAACAGGGATACTGCAGCACTGTACTATATTCTGCACCTATTAACCTGATTTCTGACCAATAGTAGCAAGAAAAAACATAGATGGGTTTCATATGAAAATGAAACAACAACATACCTACTCAGAATACACTTGTCATCCTCTGAACAATCTTCTTTTGAGCTGCAACAATACAAATGGGATATAAACCTCAGCATAGCCTTAGGCTACCGCTAATAGAGATCAGTGACTAAATTCAGCAGCCTGCTTTCCTCCTGTGCAAGCTCTGGCCACACAAATCAAGAATGCCATTATGGGAAAAGCCCGTTTCAAAAATTCCAGTCCCTCTGCTTTCCAGCTAGGAGAAGGCAAAATGTAAGAAGAATATAAACTGCTTCAGAACTCTGCAGGTTCTTCTAGTAGCTTCTGATTCAAGTTGCTCTCCTTTCCCTATTCTTATTTCCAAGCTGAGATGAGCAAAATCTCACACATTTACAACATGCTGTAGTAACACAAATATCACTCTCTCTTCTGCAGCAGCGAAGTACAGAGTAGCATGCTCTTAATAGCAGTCCTCAGAGGGACGCTATCAACAATCTAATTCAATACTGCCCTCCCCTTCTCTCCCCTTTCCCCTCTTGTTCACCACCCCCCCCACTCCTCCCCTCCCTCCCCCGCAGACAGCTCACAAATTGCCTAGAGGAAAGACCAACACTGCTGGCCAAGCAGGTGTCCAGCAGGGACCACTCCAAAGCTCAACAGCGGGTCCGGTAACCTATAGGGATTAGCGATTGTCAAGGAGGTTCAAAAATTGAAGCTGCTGTCAAAGGCAGCTTGAGGTATTTCATGAAAGCAATGGCAAATAAAGGGCTCATCTATATTGTTTCAAAATACTGCCAGAAAATAGCGTTGTAAATGCCCTGAAAGTGACTTTTAAGCTTCTGTTTAAAGCACCAAAACAAACTCACAAATTTTCTACACAATTCTAAAAAGTGAATATAGGTTAAATGAGTATTATGCTGAACTGTTTATTTACAGGCTGAAGAATTTTACTTCTGATATAGGCAATTCACAATCATAGTACCCTTCTGCTTCTACCTAAAAACAGAATTATCCATTTCCATCAATGCAAGCTTAGTAAAGGCAGATCATGATTGACATGAAAGCAACTACCTATTTTTAAAAAATCACTGCAGGAACAAAGCTCATATTTACTTTCAAGTCTGTATCCAAACAATAAACTCATGCTTCCAACTTAAATAGTTAGCGTTCGAATATTCTTTCCAAATTATTCCTAGTTTTTAAAGATTGAGATTTAGTCCCCTAAGAGGCTTTTTCATCTGTATTTTAGAAACACACATGAATGTTTCTACAGTAAGGAACTATTTTCAAAAATTCCAAAATACCAAATTTAGTATATAAGAAATACAGCATGAAATCAACTAACATAATCACAAATGCCTTCCTTTTAAGATACAGACCAATATCAAGGCAAAAAGACAAACTACTATTTTCCTGTGAAGCACAAAACATATATGTACATGCAGTATGTACATATACACATACATACATATATGGAAAGAGAAAGCTTATTTTGAAAGATTGACAAGTAATATATGAACTTTGTAAATATTAAAATTATGTCAGCCATCATTACCTTACATACAATTTTTATTCAACCTATCATACAAAAGAAACAGCCCCCAAAAACCCAGTCAAGCATTTTAAAGGGTTAAATTACATATCCAACTCCTTTTAGTACTTGCACACAAAACAGACTCACAGAAATTGTCAAATGAGTCAGAGAAAGGAATATTTATCAATGCGCTAGTGGCCAAAATATATTTAAAAGTTTTTTTTAACCTGCCATTAATACACATAAATTATAGTCAATATTTTACATTAGAAGGCTTTCTGCAATAATCCTTAATGGTTATATAGCAAAAAGGCCTCAGGTATAATCAGCAGGGGCAACTTGTTTGAAATCCAAAGAAGGAGAAATACATACACACACACACACACACACACACAGCCACACACATGTATGAACACATCAAGTTTGAAATGTCTTATTCCACAGTGAGTTTCAAACAAATTTTCAAAACCCGAAGCATTTGCAAACATTTAAAAATATAAAACATAAAGCAGCTATATATTATGTAGTAAGGAGGTGATGTTTTAGAAAAGAGACTCAATCATTTTCCAGCTTATGAATCTTTTTGTTTGTTTGCTTTTTTGAGATGGAGTCTCCCTCTGTCACCTAGGCTGGAGTGCGGTGGCACAATCCAGGCTCACTGCAACCTCTGCCTTTCAGGTTGCAGCAATTCTCCTGCCTCAGCCTCTTGAGTAGCTGGGATTACATGCACCTGCCACCATGCCTGGCTAATTTTTGTATTTTCAGTAGAGACAAGGTTTCACCATACTGGTCAGGCTGGTCTCGAACTCTTGACCTCAGGTGATCCACCCGACTTGGCCTCCCAAAGTGCTGGGATTAAAGGCGTGAGCCACCGTGCCTGGTCTACTTCACCTTCTGAGAATGAAGATCCAAAAACCTGTGTAAAAAACATGGTAGTGAAGTGTTTCCAGGAGTTTATCTGTCTATGAAGACTTCTCAAACATTGATGAGTGGAAAACAGGCAAGTTAAGGTAGAGTTTTCCAAATTCCCAAAAAGGGAACCACCACAAACAAGTGAAGATCATTTTATTGTAAAGATTATTATTCTTCTATAAGAATATCCTTCTATAAGTTATTATTCTTCTATAAACAATCAACTGATTCAAAAAAAACAACATACTTTTGTCGAATTTCATTGGGCTCCAAAGAAGCTATCTAATACCATGAATCTTCCAGGTCAATTTTTCAGTCTAGATTCCTTGCAGACTTAATATTTAATATTTGTTTTTGTGGTACCCCAATAATTTTAATATTTGTTCAGCATGAAAAGAAAGTAAGGCTGCCTCCCTACACCCCATCCTCAGCACTCTAAAACACCTAAAACCCTAAAAGCATTATATCTGATGGTGGAGATGTATATATATTCAGTTCTTACTTTTCCTTTAATAAATTATTAAGTCACTTATAATTACCTCTCATGAGCAAACAACTATTATGCCAAAGTCCTTAAAAATAATCCCTTTAATCAGAAATACAGTTCATGAACAACACTTTACACTATTAATTCACTTAACAACACTATTCCTCACATATTATTTAGAAATAAACTTCAGCCAGGTAAAATCATCCTAATTACAAGTTGGCAGCATCCAAACAAATCAGATGTTACTACCCTGGTGGAGAATCCAGTCATAACTATGGAGTGTAATTATAATTCCCATTACATTCTAGAACTAAAAATATGTTCACCTATGGAATGAACAAAAATGATTCAACATATATTTTAAATATAATTTTATGCAGGCTCAGTGTCCCACTACTTTAATATTTAGAATAGCAAATGTCAAAAAACCCTTGGTCACATCGTAGGAAACACTTATTTTGATTACAGAACACTTGGCTTCTATTATGTACAATTGCATAAAACAGGAGAGAAAGACAACATACATAAAAGCTCTTCGACGCATTTTATGAACATTAACTAATCAGTTAAAAAATACCTGTGAAATGCACAGTTCAGAGACGTAACAAACAAAGGACAATGATGGGTCTTGGCCAAGGCTACAAAAAGAGCCAACTCTTAGAATGTAAAAGGAGAAGATTTGTTGAAATTTTAGGACTCTAAGAATTCATTTTTCTCAGTACCCTCATTGTATAAACGAAAACACTGAAACCCAGAGAAGCTAACTTGCCCAATGTTGTATCACAAGCTAGCAGCAAAAGAGAAACTAGAAACCAAATTTCAATCTCCTAGTATAGGACTCTTGTAGAATCCCTACTGTTCTTCCCAATGAGACCATTCCACAAGATGCATGTTTCTATTTGAAGTGAACCACACTCTATAAATGTCTCAATGTATTCTAAAGAAACAGGATTACAAAGAGATATCAACTCCTCCAATTATATGTTCACTGAAAAATAGAAGTGGGAGAAAAACACCATAAAAGAAAAGCTGTGCATGAAGAACCATTTCCAAAATCTTAATTCCAGAAGATGTTTAAGAATGTTCAGGAAGAAAATATAATTTAAGCAGTCACAGTATAAGAGAAAACGTAAATATATTGCCAATACTCTGATTTTTTTTCTCAATGCATATGTTCCTAAATAATTTTATAGTAAAACTTAATTTGCTAACTGACTAGTATAGTTTGTCACCAGTACCACCTCACCAAATGAACTAATATATCATGTTTCTAATCTCTTGCTCCATTTTTTTCCTGATGTCCCCTAAGAAATTATCTACTTTTTCATGCAAGTTTTGGTTAATCCTGTGGTAGGTACAGCTAAAGACTAATAGCCCTAGCCAGAGTTTGTATGAACAGGCACTGTGTAATCTTTTCAGTTCTGAAATGTCTCTTCAGATTAATCTAAAATATCCATGTTATTCACAATGCTTAGACAAGACTGCAGATCATGCCAAATTGTGTGCTTTGTTTATGTTCCACCAATCAGTAAAAGTACTTGGATAGCAACCAAATAGGACGGTTAAACCCTTTAAAACACACACAAAATTCTGGACAGCAAAGCAAAATTCTTGATACATTAAGGGTTCCTTCTTACAGGAAATAAAATTGTTCACATTCATGGCTATGTACACTTATACACTTACATGCATGTGTGTTTGTGTGTATCTCTTAAACACATATATGACTATATATTCGTGCATGTGTGTCTCCTTTATTTGTTTCAGGAAACTATCAGATACATTTAAAATTTCTTACTAGATACTCAGATATGTAGTCTTGCCACAATAAAAAATGGAAAATCCCAGATGTTTCTCAAAGACAACTACATTGGAAAGTTTTACATTAGAAATTTCTTTAACAGAACTGTGTGAAACCTAGTAGGCCAACAAAGAATCTACAAAGACATTCCCTTTTGTAGCTATGACTATGCCTTGGATTTATATCAAAGGTATCAAGAAATATAAATTAGTCAAAATCATCAAACAATACAAACAATGTTATGCAGGCACACACTCATGTATATGCGTAGAGAATTCCTCACACCATGATGGCATAAGCAATGTGAAGGGCAGTAATTCTTCCTATCTGTAACATTTCCTTAAGATAAGAAGGGTGCCATGTTGGGCAGAGAAAAAACAGCAATAAGAGATGCTAGTGTGTTGAAAAGGCAGGAACACTAGGTAATGGATCCAAAGGAGAAGACAATAGGGGTGAGGAAGGTAATGGCTGGCTGTAAGGGGAAAGGAAAGCCAGAGTGGTAGTAATTCCTGATATTTACATAATACTTTTTATAGTTGGGTGTCAGATGAAAGAGGTTATGGGGCTAAGATAGGAGCTGGGATGAGTGGGCAAAAATACAGAGAGACTGAGCAGAGAACAAAGATCCAGTTGTTGGGGACCCGATGATCCACAGATTATGACTAACTTTACTCCTTCACTAAGGCTGTAAAAAGGAGTAACACTGAATGGGAAATTCAGAAGTTCTTGCCCTTCCTTCTTCATTTTGTTTTCTGGCACTATCTATACTCTTTATGGCTTTTCTTTTTTTTTTTTTTTCTACCCGTGTATGCTTCAAAGTATTCCCATCTGTTTAAAAAAAAAAATGCTTTAAACTCCAAACCAGGATGTTTGTGTATGCTTGGGGTTGTGGTAGTGGAAATCAATGGTTTTTATTTTATTTTATTTTTTTTATTTTTGAGACAGAGTCTCATTCTGTAGCCCAGGCTGGAGTGCAGTGCCACGATCTTGGCTCACGGCAACTTCCGCCTCCCAGGTTCAAGCAATTCTCCTGCCTCAGCCTCCCAAAGAGCTGGGATTACAGGCATGCGCCACCACGCCCGGCTAATTTTTTGTATTTTTAATAGAGATGGGTTTTTACCACGTTGGCCAGGCTGGTCTTGAACTCCTGGCCTCAGGTGATCAGCCTGCCTCGACCTCCCAAATTGCTGGGATTACAGGCGTGAGCCACTGCACCTGGCAAATCAATAGTTTTTAAGTATATATACTATGTACTATTTACATATGTGATTTTAGATTACCATTTTTAAATTGTTTGGTAAGAGCAATACAGAGAGACGATTTATCATCATCAGTAGGGGTAACATATCCAATGCTCCAAAAAGAGGCCATGCTATTACCACACCCTGTGCTATAGCTATTTTACTTCATCTGCCCAAGATGTCTTTCCCAAATTCCTATGTGTCCTTCAAGAAGGAATCCCTAAATCTTTGTATCTTCCTAATCTAGCACCATTCCTGGCCCGTTGGAAAGCACTCAATAAGTATTTGTTGAGTAAATTGAAAGGGAAATTTATAAACAGAGGAGTGAAAATCAGAATTATATATTGAAGCCAGAATATATCCTGAAAGATTTTTAAAACACTGTTGTTAAACCTGCTATTACCAAAAGCAGAGGTCAAGAGGGATATTTATCTGTTAATTTGATAATTTTAGGCTATAATCTCCTTAAAATGAAAAAATATGTAGAAACATACTATCTTATTAAAAATAAGCATATATTGAAGGAAATCATCCAGAATATATATATACTTTCTTAAATAAAATAAATATTCCAATAAAAAAATCTCTATCACCTGAAATAGTGATCACTCACCTGTTTAGTCATCTCTCAGCAACTTCCTAAGTATCTCCTTAAACTACTTTGAGTAAATAAAATAGTCAAGCTATTGTTAGCTTTTCTGATTGAATCTGTGAACTTATCAAAATAAAAAGCCACTTAAAATGTACAGTGCAACTGAACAGTTAAGAATATGGCTCTATTGAATGAAAATACATTCATATGAAGCTTTCCAAATAGTTTCACTTATTTTTTTTAATTTTGGTAGCATCAAATATAGAAGCAAGACTGCCAAAGTGGCATGAAGACAATGTAAGGAATACTGAAATCTTTATATTTGTAAATCCTGCACTATTTTGGTAAGAATAAACAACTTCTAATAATGTTTATTTATGATGGTTGAAAATTTTTTCAGTAATAAGCATATCACATACCAAATCTCAAAAGACATGCCAGTTACAGAAATTCAACATTTGCCATATTCTATATTATTTCAGAAATACCTATACTTTTCTAAAAGTCTGAATTTCTGAAAGATCTTTAGAAGAGTATATTTTCTTCAACATCCCAATTTTAAATTAATGAAATAGTACTACTACCTTGAAAAATGTATATTTACATCCAAAAAGTTATTACAACATTCACATGTGCATCATAAATGTTATAACCAAAAATGAGGTTAGAAGATCACCTGGTTATCCAATCTCTTCCTCTTCCTATTTATAAATATTGGTTAAAAATACTTATAGAGTAATCAAAATAACATTTTGCTAACCAGCAGCACTTTCACAGAAAGCTAATCCTAATGACTAATTAAGACTATTTAACACTATTTAAATTTTCTATGAGAAAGAGCCATTTATATTCAATTGCTTTAACTTTTACCATTTCCTAGGTTTAATCATTAAAACTGAATTTCATATACATATGCCCACAGAAACTACTGTCATCTAAAAATAAAAGGTTTTGACCAAATAATGAATGAGAAAATCTTACACTTCAAAAAAGGCTCAATTTCAAACTTGAACCTTGTGACCCATTGCCATAATATGAAACCCAACAGTTTTCTTAAAGATGTCCTTATGGTAATGTTATTTGCCCACTATGCCACTATCCAAGAGACTTAGCAACCTGGTCAATACTTCTATTTTCATGACTATTTCCAGATCCTTTTCGTTTTCCAATTTAGAATTCTTCTCTTTAGCGATTTTAAATTCTACAAACAGCTAAAGAGTACAGAGACAGTTATACTGAAAGATGCCAAGTGTATGGTCATAGGTCTAAATTGTAGACTCTAGCTGAAAAGTATGTAATTTAAAATTGCTGTGCCTGCAAACAGAAATTCAATTAAAATCCTATGATGTACAACATCATTAGCACATGCCACATCAAGTGTTCATGTGTTGTAAAATAATCACAGCTTGTTTTGGCATTAGGTTTAGCTTTATTATTTGGATGCAATGGCTATCCAATGAAAGGGAAATCATTTCTTTTCCTTTATCTCATGGTCTACTACTAACCAAAGTAATTCCATTTTGAATAAAAACAGAATTCATCTTCTAGGTTGAATCTAGATTTAAGCTAGAGGTAATCTAAATCTGGGTTTCTTGACTTCCTTTCTATGTCTGTCTACTTCAACTAATAAGTTCAGAACCACTTCATGTCTTCAAAATCAAATATATGTTTTAAATAATCAGTTACTTCTCATAGAATTCTGAAGCTACATTTTCCCTTTAGCTAGCATACATTTATTCATTCATTCCTTATTTCCTTATTCAGCTTGATTTAAGTCAGAGACACTTGAGCATTTTTATGAATCTTCCACTACAGGGTCTAGGCATTTGTTTAAATTTCTATGATACTGTTCAGAAATTAAACAAAAATATTTATGTTTAGGGGTTTCTAGAAATATCAATTTTTCAGATTCAGATTTGTAAAGCACAGAACAACATAACATGTATTCCAAAAAGGGTGAAGAGGCAAGATCGAGCTTGAATGGATACTCTAAACAGGGAAAAAGCACATTTATTAATTAGGACCACACTTTCACATCTGTCAACTAAAATACAGTTATTTCAACTGAAAACTTCTTAGTATATTAACCATTACTGACAGTGTAAGATTGTCTCCTTTAACTTCACAAATGAAATCAATCAACTTACTCTGCCTAGCCCAAAACCCCTAGAAAGGAGATACATGCTCAGTGAGTTATTTCAGTCATCAATAAGTATCAATAACTTATGACTTTGCTAGATGTTACAAATACACAAAAGAACACATGTTCCCTGGCCACAAGACCATTATAATCTAATCAGGCAGACTAGATATACACATAGGAAACACAAATTAGTGTAAATACATTGTTACAGTAAACCCTTAACTACCAGAACCCTGAATAGCCTAGTTTTCTATACAGTTTTTTAAATTACTTTACAATAAAAACAACTGGGAGATGTTATTAAAATATCAAAACTCACTTATTTTTCACCTTTTGGCAGAAATCTTTCTGCCCCTCATGTCTAAAATAGACACAAACCTTTATAAAATACGTCAAAGTCACCACAATGAACAGTAGCTATTGTGACATGCTTCAGATGTACATCCAGCAATGTGTGCAAATAATATCTGTCATTCATCACTCTTGCTTGCCCCTTGCTCCCCACTGCCCTGGTTAATATGGTTTGACATGGAACACAGAAGTTGCTGAGAGAAAAGTGGTTCTTTTCTCTATGCTGCAATACATATACCAAAAGAAAAGTTCTTTACCTTTAAGGCAGATGTGCTCAAACATTAGTGTGCATAAGAATCACATGAGGTGATTATTTAAAATGTAGATATCTGAAGGTGGGGCCCAGTACTCTGCATTCTCAACAAGTACTACAGCTGATTATCACACCAGGTCTACTAAACTATTAGAGAAACACTGCTTTAAAGTCAAGGTTGCTAATTCCTGCTGAATATCTCTTAGCTATAGTAAGATTGTCTTCTTTCTCAGTCCCTGGCCTGCCTTAGCATATGAACACTGGCTGCTCAACACCAGTTGTCATAGCAAACTGTACATCCATTATCTTGCCCTCCCACACTCCAGATCCTTCTAGGTCTGGGAGAGTCTGAAAGTAAGGTCTCCAGCTGGCAGACAGGCACAGAGGCAGACAGACAGATGCGAAGTGGGAAACTGTGAGGTACAACAATTAGAAAACAAATTATCTTGATTGTGTAATACAGATTAAAAAGTTAAAAACTTGTTTCAAACTTTTTCCATGAGGAAGAAGGCAGAAGAGACAGAGCTAGGCATCTGTGGTCCAACTGCAGCTGTGTCCCTGGTTAGCTTTCTGACCTCCAGTGTTATCTTCCCCCATCTGTAAAATAGGGAAAATGCTGCTTTCCTTGCCCGTCTCACAGTGTTGTCGTGAAAACCAAAGTAATTTATGTTTGTGAAAGCATGTTGGAAAATATAAGGCACAATACAATGATGCGTGGCATTTTTAACAGCATGATTTACATACTTTTTTCCTAATAAACACAGTGCCCTAGCCATTACTGTAACTATACTTGATAACTGTCTTCTAGTATTCTCAGGGTCTTTCATGAAAACCAATTCGCACTGAAAAAAAAAAAAAGGTGAGGAAAAATGTAGACCCCTGGACATACCCTGAAGTTGATTTTTTGAATATATCCTTGAAATCGGCTTGTTTTAATGACAATTGCCTCCGTCTCCTGAAAGTGGAGTGCAAAAAGAAACCTGGTTAATTGTAGTTTTATTATATTTAGTTCAAATTTTTCAAAGCATACCCTGACAGCATTTTAGCTGTAAATTAATAAACCATATTTATAAATCCTGAACAGTTAAAACCACACATAACAATTTTAAACTATGTAAATTAACTTTTAAAAACCCTTAACTAGAAAGCCATAAGATCCTATTTGTTTTTAGAAGCTTTCTTAATGTCTCAGAAAGTCTGGAATAAAGATGGGCATTAAGCATAACAATGATTGGCAGTTGATCTAAAAGACTAAACTAGCCAAATTTGGACACAAGGAGACACTTTTCCAGTAAATATATACTCGCCCCTTGGAATAATTTGCCATTTTGTAGCTTTTTAAGCCTAAAGGTCAATTCTTTGCTGATATACTTCTTTGCCATAAAAACCTGAAAGCAAATGACACATATTACAAGCTTTCAGAGAACAGATGGCTAATGTTCTTCTAGGTTCATTTACTACCAATTCTTTTTATTTTCATACTGCTTGTAATTAATAAAAACACATAAATAGATATACTGTCTCCTAACCAGAAGATTTGGTTTTTGTTAAGTTCTGTCATACATCTAGCTCTTTTGGGCTAATACAAAAAGCAACATTGGATAGACATACTTCTGGTACTGCCTCAGGAATCCAGTTTTAAAAATAGAGACCACTACAGAAGCACTACAGTATAGGCTGTTGACAGTCAACTCTCTTAAAAAATTAAAGTATGCTGGCAAATGTTTGATGAGCTCTAATATAAAATTTCATTTATTTCCATTTATTTCATTTATGTTGTTATCAGCATATAGAAAGTAAGCATTAGCCTTATCTCACTTTTTTTCAAAATAAACTGTCTTGGTTTTTTCTGGGTCATCTCACAAGCACTACTGCATTATTAAATCCATAACTATATCAAAGTCATAGTTTAATAATATCTTTAGAAAGACCTTGACAAAGACCTTATCCAAAATGTGATACTAAATCTAATAACTTCCTATGAAAAAAGTAGGTGGAAAATATTTTTTCTTTTTTGGAATGATAAATTCAAAACAGCATCTCCTTAATGACAGTACTATTTGAAAGTATACTTTTAAAATGCTATACACATAAACATTATTGTTGAATGATAAAAAGCTATAATAGGTCAAATTCATATCTGTCATGTTTTACAATTAAGCCCTACCAAAAAATAACAATTATATTATTTCTTTGCTTTAAAATGCATCAAAATGTCTTTAAATACAGCTTATTTTATATCCCTATTAATATTATTCCTTTTCTTTGTGCATTTAAAAAAATCTGGTATGCCACCTTCTGGCAACTGAGTGAAATTATGTATTTCTACATAAGTCACTATTCTTTATTTTAACTTTTTAAATATATGTATATATAGATATTTCTTACCTGCATTACATTTAAGCTATATAAATAAATCTATAACACAGTCTGAAGTAAAATAAAATTCCCTTAGAAATCTTATTCAAAATCAAGCTTTGTACATGCTTCCTATGATTTTTGCATGGTTACCAATATGTCTCCTGAATTCTACAATACATCTAAAATTGATTTTTGTATATCGCTTCACAGCCACATATGGAAATAACAGGCTTGCTATTTTAATGAGTAAGTAACAGCAGTAAATAAAGGAAAAGAAAGGTCTCTTACCAATAAGCCCATTTTTCTCTTAAGGTTTGAACTCTCATCATTTGTCATGTTCTTGTGGATCCCTCTCTCATCAAATTCTCTGGAGTTTTAAAGTTAAGAGCTGTGATGCACAGCTAGGCTCTGCTACATAGTAGCGCACCCCAGTGCATCTGCCTGGTACAACACTTCAGTTGTAGCTCCCAAAAGCAGAAACAGGCTTTATATATTTAAAAAAAAAAAAAAAAACCTATGTACTGCATACCTTCCCTTGATAGGAAATTGTAGTCAGTGTAGTTGAACTATTTATATTTCATATCTAAACTGCTGGCCAGATATGAAAATGAGAAGCACATATATCTTGAACTTAGTTCTGGTAAACTGAACAGGAACAAAGTGTTCATCTTTGGAGCAAAGGTGGAGTGAGACAAATACTAACACCAGGAAATCCAACTTAGAAAAAAAAACATGCTTACCTGAAAGTAACCTTATTTTTTTAAGGGTCACTATCCTGCTATTTGTTGTATTATCTTTATTTTTTATTATCTTTAATTCTTCCCTCTCTCTTGCCCATAGTTGCCAGTCATTAAGTCCTATCTTTTTTTCTTTATCAATCTCCCAGGAATCTAGCCCCTACTGTTTTTTTTAAACAAATGAGCTACTTCAAAAATACATATAACTCATCTCCCTGCATTGCCCGTCTTCAATTTGTCAATCCCATTCCATCTAGATCGCTTTTTAAAAATAAAACTACACATGATGTAAAGTAAATGATCAATGAATAATTTTACAGTAAGTATGTATTTATTGAATTGGCTACATGTTAGGTACTATGTTGGGTGGTGTGGATGTAAAGGTGAACCAGACACAATCCCTGGCCCTCAGGAAGCTCATAAGCTGAGTGAGGGAAGCAGGCATGTATTCTGACAATACAAAATATGGTGTAGAAGCTTTAGTAATATAAGCCTAGCATTCTACAGCAGCAGAGGAATAACAAAAATTCCGTTGCAACTGAGGCTGAAGAATGAAGCATACATCAAGTGAACTCTAGAAGAAATAGCCTGTGCAAAGAAAGAAACATGTGAAGGAATACAACATGTTGCAGGGATCAGCAAATTCTTCGATATGACTGAAAAGAGTTCAATATTACTGAAAAGTGGGTACATAGTGTTGAGTGGAGTAGATTTTAAGGTATGCAGAAACCACATCACAGAAGACCATGCACGCCAGAAAACAGGTTTGGATTTTATCCTGTGGGCTATGAGAAACAATCTGTTGAATGAGTAGATCAATCAAATAATTAATCAAGTAACTAAGCCTAGCACTAAGAACTCAGTACATACCGGCCAACCTACTCTTCCAGTTTACTGTAGTAAATCATAACACCAACTTCCAGTTCTCTATGTCAAAAGCTTTCTTTGTTCTTTCTCGCCTTTGCTCCAGAGGTCCCTCTTGCATGAAATCTCTTCCAAACTCCACTTTCCTGAACTCAACCCATTCTTCCAGATCCAGCTCAAATTCCATTTGCTTCTGTGATATCTTACATGGTAATTTGAGTCTATGGTTTTAAAAATATTCTTTCATTACAGGGACCAGAAACCACGCATTCTTGCTAATGTTTAGCACTCAATGTTGAAGAAATCTTTTTGATCCTTTGCCCACAAAATAAAAGAGGATGGTGAGAAAATCACACTAAGGCAAAGGTCAGAGCCTCAGAGTAAGTAAGCAGGTCCCTGAAAGCCCACCTCCCAGACTTCATAGTGCACGCTAATCTTAGTAACTTCCTTCACCACTCTGAGCCTGAAAAGGAACAAACATGAATTGTGAAGAGAGATGGACCTGTGTTGGGCAGCAACTCTAAAGTACTATGCAACATTGCTGGCTGTATACCTCACAGCCCTGGTTCAAAAATTCCAGGGAATCGATGAGAAAGGGATACCGACAGAAGAGCTGAATGATGGAGCTGTGACCTTTGGAAAAATAGAGCTGTAAGTGGAGAGAAATTGTGATTGTGCTTTACTACTCATAGTAAACCAAGATAATTCACCCAAAGATCCATATAATAAACAAAAGGAATTCATGAAGATCTCAGAAAGAGATGAGTGGGTGAGTGTAGGTGCTTGGGTATAGAAGGTTTAGAATCTCCAAGGGTGAGCTTTAATAGGAGGAAATCTAAGTGTAAGAAAGAGGTGTTTCAAAAAGGGTTAATAATGTTAGCTAGGAGATTAGGATAAGAAGCTATCAGAGAAACATGTCCTTGGGTCTAAATATTTAGTATTCTCTCTCTGTGGAACCACATTCCATTATGCTCAGTGTCAAATACCCAGTAAGTACGCAAGCTTTCGTTGATTTTGGCACTTAACATTCAGCTTTGTCTCATCCTTTTTATGTATGCACAATCTCTTAGATTTATGCAATGATGCAAAAACCATGGTGATTTCTTTTATGTAAACAATAAAAATCTTTCCATCTTAGTCAACTGTTTTATGTTAAAATGGATTAAAAGATTCTGCCAATAATTTCAAAAAGTAGTTAACACTTAAAAATATTCTCTCAATGACTTAAAGCATTCCCAGATAAAAGCTGTCTACACCTTCCTTCTTTTTTATTGAGTGAAAAAACTGACCAGTTGCCTTTCCACTAACTTATAAGGAAAAAAAGCAAGTACAGAATAAGAGGAGAATGTGAGTTGGTGAATGTGCCACATTTTCCAAATAATCTTCAAAAACAGGCAGTACTTGGGGGACATTAAAATGATTTAATCAACAGCACCTTCAGAAGAATGTTTTTAAACTGGGTATCAATGGCACCATAGATTTTAAAACAAAGAGAAAATAAGCCAGACCATTTCCTCATTTAGTTTTGTGAAAAACAGACAAATTGACAGATTATTTCCTTAGGGCCTGGTAGAAAAATCTCAACAACCATTTTATATTATATTTTGATTAGAATAGGTGTTTTATCCAAATTCACATAACTAGTTCATCTCTAAGTTGCAAAGGCAGAAAGGGAGGAGGGGTAACTACCTCTTGGAATTCCACAAGTGTCATATAATAGTGATTATGATGACAGGATCAATACTAGTCTAGTATAAATAATTCAGTTACATTCCATGTAAAATACCATTGTGTTATCTCATCCATAGCAGTACTCTTTCCCTTTCTTCTGATGTATGTAAGATGGTTCAGAGCAGGATGACTTAAGTGGTTTACAGAATTTTCTGTCCTGCTGAAATATCCATAGTGATAGATTTTGAGAACCACTGATCTAAAGAAGGGTTAGCCAGGAGTATTTATATTGGAAGCAATTGCTCATGCTCCTATAGTCTAGAAGTTCATGTTTCAAGTGATTTATCAGATTTCAGTAGATTACCACTCAATCTAATGGGGAAGATGGGGGTCAAAGGAAATAAAATGAATGGAAATGTCATTTGCTGCTACTAATAACTGCTGCCTGCATTGTCACTGAATTAGGAAAAATGGCAAAGAAGGCAGAAGGCCAAAGTCTCATAACCTCCCAATCCTAATTGAATGAATCAGGACCCTCTTATACATTTCTAAAATGGAACAAAACTTGTGTCCTACCACCATATGGAACAAGAAATGATAGACAGTATCTCATTAGTAATTCAAACTACTTAATAGGTATGAATTATTCAAGATTGACTACGAAATATACCAACTTATATTTTACTCACCTAACTCTTAAATCAATTGCTATTTAATAGTTACACTGAGAATTTGAAAGGGCCAAGATATACATGCCAGAACATTAGGAAGTTTAAAATTTTTATCATGTTAGTTTGGAAACATAGAAATAAGCTAAATGACATTTCAAAGACTAAAGGGCAGACATAGAGGGTTAATGAGGAAGTAAGAATTATTTTCCAACCTAATTTTTCTATCCAGATACTCCACAAAGTATTTTACTTGCTTTAAATGTCAGTTTAACCTCAGCCAGCAGAATTCCAAGTAAAAGAGTTTATTATACCTCTTTATTTTTAACAGTTTCATTTTCATTTTCAACCTGATCCTGAGGTAGGCAATGCAGGCATTAATATTCCCATTTTACTCATGAAGAAACAGAGCTGTTAAATGCCTTGGCTCAAGTGACATAGCCGCTGAGAGAAGTGGAAAACAATAAGCCAGGTCTCCTGATACCTAATTTGGTGTTTATTAGTCACCTCTGTATTGTATTAATATTTATATTAATATTCATTTTAAGGAAAAACTACAAATATGACTCCTAAACACCTCCCCTCCAAAAAAAAAAAAAGTCTTCACATAAATGGCTGGAGGAGAGGAGAAGTAAGGAATAGTTAATGGAAGCTACAGAATAGCTATATGACAAAAGTTACATAAATGATCAACCTATACCTGTACCAGAAATATCTTCCCAATGCCAATTCCACAGAGTTCTCTTTCATCTAGTAATTAGCAATTTCTTGGCATACATTTCAAATATGTCATACTCCTTCATGCCTCAGTGACTTCACATCTGATTCCACTTGGAATTCCCTGCCCTTCTACTCTACCAAGCAAACTTCTAGTCATGCTTAAGTGTTCAAGCAAACCTCCCTCAGTGAAACTTTCCCTCACATCCCTTAGAAGATACAGGTAATGGGTTTGCTATCCTCCTGTGATACTTTGAATATTATAGCTCCTCTCTCTTTGGGTTAAAACTGCTTCTATGTCTCCCTAGACTATAAATTCCTGAGAACTGAGGTTGGGCCTTCCTTATGTTTGTATTATACCTAACTCAGTGCCTGTCACATAGTAACCCAATTATAGGAGGCGATTTTGGTGAAATCAAGCCAGCAGAGGTAGGTTCTTCCCTCCTCCATGCCTAACTACACTTTTCTGATGATAATTAAATAAGAAATCATTAAAGGGCCTTTTCCTCCCAAAACTAAGATTTGAATCATAAGAAAAAATAAAATGTTACAATTGCACATAGCATACCTAAATGGCTCCTTTTGATGTTTGCATGACAGACCCTATGTGTGCCTGGCAGGGGGCCCAGCATAGTAGGTATATAATAACTTTATGATAGAAGAATGAGGATGGGGGTGTGAATGGATCAATAGGTGACTGCTGAACTGAACTGAGTAAGGAAAACACTTAACTACCATAAGGAAGGGAAATGTCAGTAATCAACTTTCTAAGTCAAGATAGGATTGGTAAAGCAAATGAATGCATTTTATTAGTTTGTTACCACCTAGGCCAGGGAATATTGAAAAATGAAACAATATCTCCTAAAAGCAGTCATTTTGTGGACTGGTAAATGAAAAGGACAAAAAGTATATTCTTTGGACTGTTAAATCCTATTAAATTACTGTTGCTACAAGTCATGACGAAAGAGTAAACCACAAAATCCAATTTTAACAATCACTGCTCCACTACATGGAGCAAAAAAATGAAATAGCAAATTCAACCAAGCAAGTCACTGCACATCACCAATACCTGGTAATGTAAATGGTATGCTGAGCAGTCAAGAGCAAAATATACAAATGACACACAAGAGGGCCCAATGCGAACAAGCCCTTTTAACGTTCAAAACAGAGAAAAATAAACATATTTGATTAAAGATCTATGAATCCTGTTCCAATGAGAGAATTATAATTTAGGCTTAAGGAAATGTCTCAAATCCCTTTCTCACCCCATTTTCTGGCTTCTCCTTTGTGCAGACTGGTGGAGGAGAAATATCAAGAATATTTACATAATGAACAATATAAAGAATAAAAGACAATGGGGTTCCCCAAAGGGAAGAGCTTATCTACAACATGGTTTAACATGCATAGGTTAGGGAGTGGGTGTGGAGGTTCCTGCAGCTCTGAGGGCTAACTGATGCAGATCATTAACCACTATCTCCAGTGTGTTTTTGGGGTATGTTTGGAAAGGCTGGAAATTTTCATTAAAAAGTAAAAAAAAAAAAGTCTTATAAATGAGAGTTGTGTTTTGCTAACATTAGACTTGAATTTTGGGACACAGAAACAGAATGTATAAGCCCTTATGTGCTAGTTGGTAATACAAAAGTCATAAAAGCTTCTAGGAGCATATTAATCCTGAAGGAAGATTGGCTCAGGAGCCACAGAGAACAGACAGCCAAGGAGAGAGATACTAACAATTAAAGGTGAATGCCCAGAACCATGAAAAATGGTAACCAGAAATATGATTCTGTATAAACCAATCCCAAGCCAAGAGTAAACATAATACTCCATCATTTCTAATTCAAAATTTAGAATTCATTTTGCCACCTTTATTGGTTTCATCATCTTAAGCTTTTATTCAAAAACTTTCCATGACTCCTTATTTCTATGGATGTATTTGTAGACTCCACTTTCAAGGTCCCCTCAACCCCCAGCCCCACCTTATCTATTCAACCCTATTTCCCATTACAGGTAATCCCAGATTTGCACACAACTAAAAAACACAGTACCACCATACCCAGAACTGCTACAGAAGTTATTCTTAAAAAGTAATAATAATAAACAACTTGCAGCCTATAGTAAACCTGTGAAGAGGAATACACAAGAACAATTTGGGGGAGGGAGGTGGAGAAGAAAGGAAAATTAGGCAAAGCTCTTGGCCAAAGCTTTCCTTATCTCAAAATATCTTCTCCTACAGTGAAACTCTCTCTCTCTCTCTCTCTCTCTCTCTCTCTCTCTCTCTCTCTCTCTGTAACCCTCACCCCCCTCCCACATTGTTTGCTCTGTACCAGTGCCAGAAATTCCAGCAATTACAGGTTCATTTGAGCTAACAAGAAGGCTGTTAAAATTAAAGTAAGTACAGCTGCCAGGATGAGGTGGCTATCAGTTATTCACACATTGGCATGAATGAGTTGAGTCAAGTTTCTTCAAATAGCAAAGAGCTGTTGCCCTGAGGGAATGAGGCAGGCTGGAGGTGAGAGAGAGCCTTTTAGAGCCCTAGCAACTTTGGATGGGGTTCTGTTTCAAGGAAGTTAGCAGCATGGGGTGCCTTGAGGGATAGAGAAACTTTCTCTTAGAGAAACTGAGATGTAAAAAAAAAAAAAAAGGTGCAGAAAGGGTCATAGGAGAACAACAAATCTCAATTTCTCTATCACTCTGTCTTCTAGCCCAGAATCCATCGCACCTTTCCTGACTCTCTGCTCCCAGGCTCTGGAGCACTGTCCCTGGGATAGTTCACTACTAAGTAGGTTAAATACAATATTTTGAGCTGGCTAGAAACCATGTATATTATGTGTCATGTCCAAACAAATGGTTTGTAAATAAATCTTTAGAACACACCCTGTTTATAGGTTATGATCTACTTGTAGTTTTCAACATATACCTTCCCCCCATCAACACACATACACACACCCTAATTAGACTGGTCTCTTCTCTGTTTTGCTAAGGCTGGGCTTTTTTTTTTTCCTTTTTTTCTGTCACCACCCATTCAACTCATAAAACATCCCTTTTGCATAGTAGATTGTGGCTGCCTCTCTGTTCACACAAGTTCTGCCCATTCTTAAGTTCTAAATCAAGCTCTACCTTTTTGAAGTATAATTTGATTACCCCCAGCACTCCCCTTTTCTTTCTAAACTCTTTCAGCAGTTACTATACAATGTTCATAGTTATTTATTCTTAGGTGTGTTCAACTTAGCTTCCCAAATGAAGACTGTAAACTAGCTTTCTACAGGCAGAGCCCATTCAATAATCCACCCAAGCATTTAATAAGCATCTACTTTGTACCAGGGGCTGTGTTTAGGGTGGAAGTTCAAAACTAAGTAAACCCAGTTTCTCACCTTCAAGGTGGACACAACCCACGGAACATCAGTTACAGTCACAGTACTATATAAGCTATGCTATAAATGAGATATGTTCCAAAGGATATAAGTGCACATGGAGAGCCCTAAGTGGACTAGCACAGAGGATCAGGGAAAGTTTCACAGAGGTGACATCTGAGCTGAGTATTTCAGAATAAGCAAGAGTATGTCAGGCAGTCAAGTGAGACAGAGGGGATGGTTAGGAGAGAGGGTGCGGGTGCAAGACTAGTTAAGGCACAATTGCAATTGTGACAACATAAGATCTTAAACTAAGGCAGTGGTAGTGGGTGACATTCAAAAAGACTTTTAGGAGACAAAATTGACAGGATTTACTGACTGGAGATGATGATAATGGCTAACATTTGTTTGATCACTTACCATGTGCCAAGCAGTGTTATAAATGCTTACCACATTTAATCATTTAACTTATTTAATCCTTACCAAAGCCTTATAATGCAGTTACTATTAACATCCCCATTTTACAGAAGATAAAACAAATACATAGAAAAATCAAGTGACATGACTAAGGTTACACGATCTGTAAATATTGGAACTGGAATTTGAACCCAAGCAGTCTAGCTCCAGAGCATATATTCTCAAGCCCTCTACTATGCTACCTTTAAATGTGAGATTTTTAGGGAGAGAGGAAGCCCAGAGGACTTCCAAGTTACTGAGAGAGAAAAAGGTAGAGGCAAAAAGGACCACAGTATATGAAACTTGATTACATTATCTGTTGCTTTTTTTTTTTTTTTTTAGTTGGAGTTTCGCTCTTGTTGCCCAGGCTGGAGTACAATGGCATGATCTCGGCTCACTGCAACCTCTGCCTCCTGGGTTCAAGCAATTCTCCTGCCTCAGCCTCCTGAGTAGCTGGGATTACAGGCATGTGCCACCACGCCCGGCTAATTTTGTATTTGTAGTAGAGACGGGGTTTCTCCATGTTGGTCAGGCTGGTCTCGAACTCCCGACCTCAGATGATCCACCCACCTCGGCCTCCCAAAGTGCTGGGATTACAGGCGTGAGCCACCACGCCCGGCCTGCTGCATTTATTAAGTAATTTTTCTCCCTGTTTCTAATTTCAAAAGCAAATTTTGCTCTAAAATGGTTTCCCACCAACTCCCATCTTTCCATCAACCACGAATGCCAATATTAAGTTGGGGTTTTGTTTGCACTTGTACATAGAGTTTAGTTTAATTTCTTCCTATATATCCTAGCATCTTCCTCCCTCCCCCTCTTCCTTCTTTCCTTCTTCCCTTCCTTCCTTCCCATTTTTAGTGACAGGGTCTTGTTCTGTCACCCAGGCTGGAGTGCAGTAGTGTGATTATAGGTGACTGCAGCCTCGAACTCCTGGGCTCAAGTGATCCTCCCACCTTAGTCTTCTGAGTAGCTGAGACTACAGGTGCTTGCCACAATGCCCACTAATTTTTTTATTTTTTTAGAGATGGGGTCTCGCTATGTTGCCCAGGCTGGTCTTGAACTCCAGGTCTCAAGCAATCCTCCATCCTCGGTTTCCCAAAGTGCTGGGATTACAGGCATGAGCCACTACACCCAGAAGCCTATTCTAGCATTTTCTGAAATGGTACTGGTAATCAAACCAAACAGGTACCTGGTCTTGGCCTCAGTCTGTTTGTCCTCTGTTCCAGTCTCACTGGGCACATTCAGCTTCTTCCTTGAATTATTTATAGATTTGGCTTATCACCTTTAGGTTGGAAGTTTTTCCTAAGGCAAAAGTCACATCTCGTTCAACTTTCATAAACAGCAACTAGTGTCTAATATGTTCTCACTAAAAATTGGCCAGGCACAGTGGCTCACGCCTGTAATCCCAACACTTTGGGAAGCTGAAGTGGGAAGAGTTCAAGACTAGCCTGGACAACATAGTGAGACTTCATCTGTATAAAAAATAAAAAATAAAAATAGCAAGGAGTAGTGGTACATGCCTGTGAGGGACGCTGAGGTGGGAGGATCACTTGAGTCATAGAGTTCAAGGCTGCAATGAGCTATGATGGTGCCACTGCACTCCAGCCTGGGCAATAGAGCGAGACTCTGTCTCTAAAACAATAATAATTATAATAATAACATAATAAAAATTAAAGTTAGTTGGCTTGAACATAAAACAAAATGTCTCTTTGAAGCTGCCATTTTTCATTCATTTGTGAACTGCCTTCATGTGTCATATCAGTACCATCTTATTTTTTCTTTAAAACTTACATTTATCTTTAAAGGAAAACTTATTACTGCAAATAGGAAACTAATAATTTCTCATAAAAAGAAGACAATTGTAAAAATACATACTTAACTCCTGTAATAAGAAATGCTTATGCACAACCTAACATCATCCTATTCCCCATAAAATGTCACACATACCACACTACTGGGTAAGTCTTATTTTTTCCATACTGAGGTGAAATCCACATAAGATAAAAGTAGTGATTTTTTTTTAATTTTTTATTTTACTTTAAGTTCCAGGATACATGTGCAGAATGTGCAGGTTTGTTACATAAGTATACATGTGCCATGGTGGTTTGCTGCACCTATCAAGTAAACAATTCAGTGGCATTCAGTGCATTCAGAATGTTGCGCAACCACCCCCTTCTATCTTGTTGTGAAACATTTTAATCAACTCCAAAATAAAACCCATACCCATTAAGCAGTTGCTCCCCATTCTCTCCTCCCTGCCCCTAGCCCCTTGCATCTGCATTCTGTCACTATGGATTTATCTATTTTAGTATTTCACATAAATTGAATCATATAGTATCTAATCATTTGTGCTTGGCTCCTTTCACTAACATAATATTTTGGAGGCTCATCCACCATTTACTAGTATATTAGAAGTACTGATACTTCTAATATACTATATGGCTGAGTATTCCATTATATGTACATACCACAATTTATTTACCCATCCATCAGTTAATGGGCATTTGAGCTCTTTCCACCTTTGGGTATTGTGAATAGTCCCTCCCTGCACATGGGTGTACATTTGTTTGAGTACTAGTTTTTAATTTGGGGGGATATGCACCTAGGAGTTTCTGAATTTCTGGGTGAACATATGATAACTCTATGTTCAACTTTTTAAGGAACCTCTCAGGTGGACTTTGTATAGCACACTTTGTGTTTCAAAAAAGCACAGGATTGAAAGGTTTCACACCAGAATGTGTGTCTCTACACATCTGACATACAAGGAAAGAGGTTCATTCTCATCATACTTATGAAAATACAAATTTCAAATACTTTCATCAAATTTGTGTGATAGTTGTTTTCTTTGCAGTTGGTCCTTCTGTAACAGTAGCAGATGATTCAGACAGTTTGCTAAATTTGGTCTTCAAGTTTGTCTAAAGCTACATGACTAACTTCATCAAAATCATCCCCTAATAAGATTTCCCTCACAGTCTGCACCTTTACATTTTAAAAATTCAATTTTTATCCATTGATCCATACTGACCTCAACAACAAAACAAAAAAAGAGCATAGAACCGATTCCAATTTGCAATTATGTATGTTATAAATACTTTGTATATTTAAATACTACTATTTTCTGGTAGAGTGTTGCTGTATCTATGAAAAGAATGCAGCAATACATTCTTGGGCATGCCTGAACACTGCACCAGTAATTCACTTGGTCTGGGTGAGGTGTTTTTACCTGCATAGTCTTAACTTCAGTAGTATCTAAGAAATGACAAGTGTGATATACCAGGCTTTTTTTCCTAATCAGCGTTAAAATAAGTAACAAATATATTCAAATTGTGTTAGTCTGTCTATTTCTACGGGTACATATACCACCAGTAGCACGCACATAATACTTCAGAAAACACTGATCAAATCATAGCCTATTTAAAAAAAAAAAAAAAGCTACATGTGCTATGCTCACATATTATTTGCCAAAGAAACAGGACATTTCCATCTCATCTGCAAAAAGATAAAGTATGGATTCATCACAAAATATTCAAAACTAAAGAAGGGTTCCTAATAAATCTGAAGACTCATCCATCTTGACTTTCTAAGATAAAAAATTAAGTGTCTTTGGTGGGCATCTCATAGAATCCAAGCTATAAAGACAAATGCTTTCGGGAAGACTCATACTCACTTGCACTTTGCAACATCTTCCACTGGGAGATGCACTCATCCTGTGATTTGACAGGATACTTTGCATTCAAAGCGTAACCACCTCTAATTTAAATAGTATGCTACATTTTTTCATAAAGTATGCCATCTCCTAGAAGCCTACTGACACACTCTCTTATGGAAAAAAAAAAAGAGACTGAGTCATCAATTTTTAAACAAAACGTTTCCCTTTTTAAATATAGAGATTATCATATATTTACTCTAGTTCTCAGGTGAAAAGTGTTCAACCATCTTTTAAAATGTAGGTATCCATGAATGAATATGAAAATAGAAAATACCTGAAAAGCAACATAATGTTCTATCTTGTAGATTTTACTGCCACTGAGTTTTCACACATAACTGGAGGTAAGTTTCAATTAAAAATAAAACAAATGAACAAAAATCTGTCTTCAAGCAAAATATTTTGAAATCAGTCTAAGACATAAAATAATTTAAGAATATAAGGATGAATGTAAAGATTCAATATGAGAATATATGTAAAGTACGTATTGCAAGGCTCATTTGTGCCACAAACATTTAATAAATTGCAGGTAAGGTCCTTCAAGGTCAGATGATTCTCCTTGGAAATAATCCATGAATCCTCAGACCACAATTAAATTCTAATTTTCAGGGCTCCTGTTTCCTCATTTGTTCCCCTATTTTAGCACCCAGCACATTCAGTCTTGTCTAATAATTCTATGTATTGATGTATCTATTTTACTAGTTTGTAAGTACCCCTGAAGGCACCCACAAAGCTCTTAAAATAAAACATAATTGAACATTTGAAAACATAGAAGAGAAAACTATTTAATAAACACAAGTAATATCACCACTTTGTATGGTACTCTACTAATTACAAAGCACTTTCATGTCCTTGATTTCATTAATTTATGATCTTTTATATCGCTGCCTCACCAAGACAGAAATTGAGACGCAGGGAAGCCAAAAGCAATGCTGGGGTTGGAAACTAAGTGTATGAAGGCAAATAGATGGAGAAGGAGAGAAGAGTGAGAACTCACAGTTAAGGTGGTGGGACATGAAGATAGAGAAAGAGAGACAAATACATAGGTACACAGAAACCCCATGGGAAGAACAGCTAAACTTCATTGGATTTTGAGACATTTCCCTAAAAGATATTTGAATTTTTTCAACTACAGATACAACGATATCATCTCTGAAGAATTGGCTTGCCAGTGATACATGGTGGCTCAGAGAGATCTTTAATTGGTTGCAACTGTCTGGGTCTACTCAGGAGAGAGAAACCGCATAGTAATTTGAACAGGGAGAGTTGTACATAAGAAATTATTAACTATGACAGAGGGTTGGAATAACAGGAAATTGGAGTAATGAGAAATTGGCTAGTAATAAGTAAAGAGATTCTAAAAAAAAACACAAGAATCAAAGAATCACAGATATCAGGAGCAACTACCCCTAGGGCTGAGAAAGAGCACCAAAGAAAGTGACTTCTGCTCAAGGCTGAGATCCAGACATTATTGGAGAGGGCACAGCCACAGCACAATGAAGGGTAGAGAAGCTGCTGTGGTGCTCATTAGCTGGAATCTGTCAGAAACCCACCCTTTGTGACATGCTCAAAATACACCTTCTGGAAAGTGTCCTACCAGAAATACTCTGCTATAAAACTGTCTCTGGGGGCACCATGAGAAGCTACTGACCACTGGGTAAAGAAGCTGAGCACTGGTGAAGATGCTCAAAAAACAGCCTGCTGAGCAAGCACACAGGGAACCATGAAGCAAAACCATATAAATGCTATGTAAATTATACATATTATATATAACAACTATATAAATATATAAATTTTATATAAACAACTATATGAACATATAAATACTATACAAGTTTGTACCATATAATTATTCCTCAAAATTATGATTTGATATGTTAAAGTGGTCACCATTGTCAAAGTACTTCCTTCCTGATGTGCCTTTCCAGCACCCTCTACTGACAAAACTTCAGTGTCAGGTGGTAATGGAAGCAACCATTCAAAAGGTTCAAAACAAAAAAAAGATAAAAACAAAAGGTTCCTCAGGGATCTAGAACTAGAAATACCATTTGACCCAGCCATCCCATTATTGGGTATATACCCAAAGGATTATAAATCATGCTGCTATAAAGACGCATGCACACGTATGCTTATTGCGGCACTACTCACAATAGCAAAGACTTGGAACCAACCCAAATGTCCAACAATGAGAGACTGGATTAAGAAAATGTGGTACATATACACCATGGAATACTATGCAGCCATAAAAAAGGATGAGTTCATGTCCTTTGTAGGGACATGGATGAAGCTAGAAACCATCATTCTCAGCAAACTATCACAAGGACATAAAACCAAATACCGCATGTTCTCACTCATAGGTGGGAATTGAACAATGAGAACACATGGACACAGGAAGGGGAACATCACACACCAGGGCCTGCTGGGGGGTGGGGAGATGGGGGAGGGATAGCATTAGGATATATACCTAATGTAAATGACGAGTTAATGGGTGCAGCACACCAACATGGCACATGTATACATATGCAACAAACCTGCACATTGTGCACATGTACCCTAAAACTTAAAGTATAATTTAAAAAATCTATTAAAAATAAATAAATAAATAAATAAATAGAAAACAAAAGGTTCAGGTCCATTTTCACAGAGCAGGCAACACATGGTGAATCTGAAGCTGAGGGCCAATAAATAAATAACTGGCACATAGAACGGAGAAATACTGTTTTTAAGCAAGAGCCAAATTATAGCCCAGTTAGGTCAAATAATTGTTTTACCAAGTCTACTTTCTAGACAAATTTACTAGGACAAGAATTGTGCAGCTGTGTTGTTTTGATTCTATTAGTTCATACTACATAACTTCTTCTTTAAGATTATTATTTTATATGCTAATGTGATCTTCATTGTCAAAGTACTTCCATAGCTCCTAACTCATTTCATACTTGTGAGATGGGAACTGTTAACCCCATCTGATGGATAGAAACCTAAGCTACAAATGCCAAAGATTAATCAGTTAACCTAAGTGCACATAGGTATTTACTATTGCCCTTACCCAAAACAGACCAATCTCCTCACTAATCTATTTGGCCAAACAAATGCAGCCGGGAGGACTTGTCAAGCTAGAACCCATCCCTATCACAGAATCCTAATCCATCACTGGGAATTGTGGATGGATTCAGGCTGCAACCTTCTCTCCTGCCCCAGCGTCCTAAAATTGCTACAAGATAAACTTAATTTCAATCTACTTTGATTAAAAGTATATTTGGAGATTTTTACAACATCCAAAGATTATAACCAACAGCAATGTATTTCCTTGCAAACAAAATAGAGAGGAAAATTATTATTGGCTAGGGATGAGTGTAACAGTAATGTTATACTCACTTCAATAGCTTTCAAGAGCTGTTTCCCAAGTTTTGGATTTTGTGGACCAATGAAATTTCAAAAACATTTTGGGGTCCTACATAGGATACTCAACTTTATTTTACAAAGTAAGGACATTTTAAAAGGCAACCCCTTATCCACAATTTCAAAATTCAAACACTTGGAAATCAATTTTTTCTTGCCTGTAACTCATTTGGCAGCAAAATCTGAACTGATATGAACTCATCTGGCAGTCAAGCTTGACCTGAACTGACATGAGGCTATTCACAGGCTTTTTCTCTCACTTAGTATAAATATTCTTATATTTCACTGCAGTAACATTACTGTAACTGATTATGGGGTGTCACCTCAAACCCTGCTGGGGCTGTTATGTAATATAGGATATACAGACTGCTACCTTTCTAAAATCCAAAAAGAATGTAAGTTCTGAAACATATCTTGTCTCAAGGGTTTCATATAAAGATACAGATACAGTCCTTGATTAACATCGTAAATTTAATTTCATTAAATTAAGGACAAAAGAGCATTTGAACAAGCAAAAAGTGTAAAGAACAATCTCAGAATAAAGGATGGTCCTTTGTAATCAATAAAGTTAGCTTTCTGGTAGATAATCACTACACTGTTGTTTCTCATACATCACTGCAGACCTGTGACAATATCCATAACAAACCAGCTTCCATGAACTAACTGGCATCTGGGAACCACTGCCATTAGAAAACTTTCTACTCAGATGGCTTCAAACTCAAAAGATGACCTTTGGAAACTTTTCGTAGTCTGGGGCAGGACTATCGTAATAGGACCCCAACGAGTTAAGATATTCTATGGCTCCTGCAGGCCATGGATAGATGATATTTAAGCAGCAAAAGAGCCAATGTGATATCCATCCAACAACAAAATTTTTCATTGTTTTCTCCTTGAACTGCTTAAAGTGAACAAATCAGAAAGTACCTACAACTCTAATCCAAATCTAACTGAAAAGATTCTACGATTTTTAAAGAACTAATGCAATTGAATGAACATGAGTATACAAGGCTAAATCCTGATTGTCAGAACACTGGACAAGATGGAAGAAAAAGCCACCAGTAGGGTCAGGTATGGTGGCTCACACCTGTAATCCCAGCATTTTGGGAGGCTGAGGCAGGTGGATTGCTGGAGCTCTGGAGTTCGAGACCAGCCTCAGCAACATGATGAAACCGTGTCTCTACCAAAAATACGAAAAATTAGCTGGGCATGGTGGCACATGCCTGTGGTCTCAGCTACTCAGGAGGCTGAAGTGGGAGGATCACTTGAGCCTGGGAGGCAGAGGTTGCAGTGATTGTGCAAGCCAAGATCGTGCCACTGCACTCCAACCTGGGTGAGAGCAAGACCCCGTCAAAAAAAAAAAAAAAAAAAGCCTCCAGTAAATCATCGTGTTGCATATGAATCTTACAGATTTTTCAGATTTCTTATTTCTGAACACTGCCAATTCTCTGAACAGTTTGTTATATTAACAAACTGGACTGCCTGGACATGTCAAATTCTATCCGAACAGATACTAATGAATCAAGTGCGGTAACAGTTAAAGAGACATAATTCAATCTCTGCTATAAAAGCTACCACCTGCATCTATAAACAAGACAATAATTATTCAGTTTAACAACACTTAATGAGTCTCTACTTTGCCTAAATCACCGGGTTAGATGCACGAAATAGATGGCTAGATGGGAAGATGTCATTTTCCTCACGGACTTCATGGTTTGGTCAGGAGAGATGATTTAAAAATTGTTATACAAAGTGCTAAGTGTTATGATAGATGTGCAATAAAATGCTATGGGATGGAGGCCAGGCGCGGTGGCTCACACCTGTAATCCCAGCACTTTGGGAGGCCGAGGTGGGCGGATCACCTGAGGTCAGGAGTTCGAGACCAGCCTCAACATGGAGAAACCCAGTCTCTACTAAAAATACAAAATTAGCCGGGCGTGGTGCTGCATGCCTGTAATTCCAGCTACTTGGGAGGCTGAAGCAGGAGAATTGCTTGAACCTGGGAGGGGGAGGTTACGGTGAGCTGAGATCGCACCATTGCACTCCAGCCTGGGCAACAAGAGTGAAACTCTGTCTCGAAAATAAATAAATAAATAAATAAATAAATAAATAAATAAATAAATAAATAAAATGCTGTGGGATGGAATATCATGCAATTCTCTCAGAGGCAGGGTTCACAGTGCTAAGATCCAGCAAAAGCAAAGGCACAGAGAAGGGCCTAAAATAACGTACAGGGGCCTTAATTACAGAAAAGGCTATGGTGCTCCCTCACATGTATTTCAAAATATAAATAATTCTAAATTATGAATTAAGTGTAAGGAAGTCCAACAAAGATCTAATTTCCTTGATGATGACATGAAACATCAAATACTCTTTTTCTTCCTCATTGTTTGGTACCTATGTCTGTTTGGTGTTCCAAGCATGTGCTTGATCTACCTTCTGGGTAATCGCACACTACCACAGAAATACAAAAGAATGTGGCACACTTGGCGAAGGGAAAATAATGTGGTACAGTAATAGCACAGAGTACCAAAATGAGAAGCAGCAGAAACTGAGGCTAGAAAGGAAATCTGAGAACCTAATGTGAAGAGCTTTCTATGCCATGCTAAGGAGGTCAGACTTTTTGAACTCATGTTCCTAACCCTAAATAACCAGGAATAGGTTACTGTGCAATAGGTTTTTAAAATACCTCTATTCAAAAATGAAAGGCTTCACTCTGGCCAGGCGTAGTGGCTCAAGCCTGTAATCCCAACACTTTGGAGGGCCAAGGTGGGAGGAGCACTTGAAGTCAGGAGTTCAAAACCAGCCTGGACAACATAGAGATCCTGTCTCATTTTTTTTAAACTCTTTCTTCTAAGCCAGCTTTGCTGATAGTTTATATTTATCACTGCTGTTTGTTTAGTTAGTGAAAAGAAAAAAAATTAAATGAAGAACATAAAAATAACAAAAAGTATTATGAGAAAGCAGTAGTGTTTCTATAAATTATACCATAATTACGTGAAAATCATCTTATTTCCAGTTGCCTCATTTTTAACACCTTATTAGGCAAAAATCAAACCAGTAATAATAATAAACCAGTAAACAAATTAATATTAATCTGAAGAAAAGGACTCAAATTGACAAGCAAAAATCTCATAAATTATAATTTTAAAATGTGGATGTTGACTACAGGAAAGCAGAATTTATAGGAACTACAACAATAGAAAGTAAATATCCAGTACAAGGGTAGTAATCCTTACCATGGTTGTAAGGAAAAAGGTGGCAACAACTCGTCAAAGTACAGAAAATGTTCCTTCCCTTCCCCTTCCTGAACAGTTCAATCCATTAGTGGGACCAAGCAAAGTAGGCATGCCCTATGAAGAGGGCACCATAGAGACTCTTTGTGGGGCTTGAGAAGATGAGGAAGGTGTCATTGCAGGAAGACTACATCAATGGTGGACTGATGTGGTACGGTGAAATGCAAACAAAATGAGGGTATTCATGCAGGGAGGTGGCAGCTACAGCCAGGATTTCTGGAAGTCAGAGTCGGGGAGGCAAGGGTGTGTCAACAGGGCATTGGCTACATGTGAAGGAACTGGTCAAATAATAAGAGACATGTTTCTTAATGTTACCAATTGAGAAGTGAAATCATGAAAAGGGAGAAAACTAGAATGAACTCTATGGTATTGGATTAAAATTGAAGGTATTGGTGAGAACTCATGGTTTCAATGGATAAAGATATAAACATATATGTATAAATGTGTATATGTATTTATGTGTGTATATACATGTATACAAATATTTCCTAGCTCTCTCCATCAAAAGGGCCTTGGAACAGCAATACTGGAATAGCAATGAGCACTCCTAGCAAACAGATTTTGGTTCGAGATATGATTATCCACTAAAAGGAACCATGATGCCTGATTCCAGAGCTAATGCAGAGAAAGTACAAGATGAACTGGAATGTAATGAAGCACTCAGAAAGTACAAGATAAACTCCAAACATAAGGAAGGATGATTGAGACTTGTGAAAAAGATACATAAACCAGCTTGAAGGGGATCATACAAATATGAGACCATTTGGCATCAAAATAAATCAAGGATTATAACAATAAAATAGGAAACTATGATTCCATATTGATGCAATAAATGAAATATTGAAAGTCTGATAAGGGATAAGATATTTGTATAGTCTCAAAGTATTCTCAACCTCATCAGAAATACTATTAATTAGAAATAAAAGAAAAAGTAACCTTGCAGTGGAGAGGCCTGACAGATACCACCTTAATCAAGTTATCAAGTTGTATGGGACAAATCAATATCAGGTGCCACCTGATAGGATGCAATGAGAAGATCATGTCTGTGCAATTCCTGCTGAAGAAGCAAAACCTCAATAATATCATGAGGAACAATTAAGACTAATGAAAACTGAGGGACATTCTGCAAATTAACTGGCCTGTAATCTTCAAAAGTGTCAAGGTCATGAAAGTCAAGAGAAGACTGAGAAAGTGTTCCAGATAGAAAAACACTAAAAAGACATTACAATTAATTGCAATGCATAATTCTGAAGTTGAGCTTTCTGCTGTCAATAACACTTTTGGGATAACTGGAAAAAATTTGAATGGGCTTTGATTACAATGTATTAATGTTATCAGGGACTTGAGCATCTGTGAATTTTTGCAGTCTCAGGGGGTCCTGGAACCAATGCCCCACAGATAACAACAGATGACTGTATATATAAAATATTAAACAATTATTCATAATGGCTGGAAACTATCTTGCATGGAGGGCACTGGGACAAAGATTTGTGATAAATATTTTTGAAAATAATTTTTTAACTTGAAAACAGCCATTATCTTAATACCCTCCAAAAGAAAACTCACAGTATGGTATAGTTGACATAGATATAGGGTGTGGTAGGCAGAATAATGGGTCCCCAAAGATGTCCACATCTTAATTCCTGGGACCTATGCATATGTTGCCTAACATAGCAAGAGATGATGCAGGTGTGATTAAGTTAAAGACTGTGAGATGGGGAGATTATCCTGGATTATTCAGTTGTGCTCCTCAACATTGGAAGAGGAAAGCAGCAGAGGTTCAAGTGAGGAGATGTGAGAAAGATTTGACCCAGCACTGCTGGCTTCGAAGATGGAGGAAGAGAGACACAAGCAAAGGCACATAGGTGGCCTCTGGACGCTGGGAAAGGCAAGGAAACGGATTTTCCCCTACAGCCTCCAGAAAGGAACACAGTCCTTTAATTTTAGGCCAATGACCGGCAGAACTGTAAGGTAACAAATCAGTGTTCTTTTAAGGCACTGGAGTTATGGTAATTTGTTACAGCAGCAATAGAAAACTAAGACATGGGCCTAAAAATAGCTGGAAAGAAATTGTGTAATGATTTTAGCAGTCTTTTCTAGGGAAAACAACAACTGAGGCAGGAGAGTGAAGTGTAACTGAATTAACAATGTTGTTAACAGCAAGGGCTGTGCCTGGATGTAGATGTGTCATTAAATATATGTTTAAGGCCATATAATACATCAGAATTGCACACATAGCAAAGTTTAGAACAGACTGGGTTGAGTTTCCATTCTATTTTTATCCATCTCCCTACCACCCAGTGATTATTAGATCAATACTTACTTTCTATCCAACCCACAGAAAAGAAACTACTGGAACTATTTAGATAAGAGGGAAAGTATTTTACATACAAAAATGGTGGTAAAGGCTATACTAATTTAACTATAAATACTAAGTTCATCACATGGACTGTACAATAGTGAAAGTCTAACAGAATGTATTTTACCAAAGAAGGGTTTTATTTTGCATTAAATATGTGAAATGCAGATTTCTGAGGCAAAAATAACTCTTAATTGTGCCAAAAAAAAAAAGAAAAACCAAACCTCTGGGTACTCATGTCTTGGCCCTTTACCTTGCTACATGAACTTGGACAAATGATCTCACCTTTGAATATCAGATTCCCTGTCATTTTACATTTGAGAGGGTTAACACTATCTCTACAATCTTTTCCTCTCTAAAAAAAGTGTAGTATGTTATTTGTGGAGCCACAGCTATTCTTAGAAAAACAAATAGACTTAACTCTGCCTTCAGCTCCTTTCAAAAAAATCAGCTTGAATTTATTCAGGGTCCACCTTTCAGGGAGAACACAGTGATTCAAGCATATTATCTCATTAATTTTCAAGACAGGAGAAAGTATTTCTGTTCTAAAAACAAAAAAAAAGGAAGAAGAAAGAAACTGGTACCACTGTTAAGTTGGCAGAGTCAAGACCAGAAAACAGTGGTTTTCAAACTCCACACTCAGTATCACATTCTGCCTTTACAACAGAAAGGTCAATCAGGTAAATAAACTACCCTTAAAGGGAAATGGGAAGGAGTATAGTAGTATACTTGAAAGCTAGTATTAATATACTTTCCCCTTCATATCACATGAGTAAAGGATAAATGTAACATTAAGGGGCAGGCATTGGGGGCCAGAGATCAAATAATTATCGCTCCCTAGAGGCCTTATTAGACTTAGCACTGCTTCAGGGAATCTAGAGAGAAAAGTGTGTTCTAAGTGACCTCCCACTGATTTGAGTAGCCTCCCAAGTTTGAGAAGTCAAAAGTAGGAGTCAGCCAGGTGAGGTGGCTCATGCCTATAAGCCCAGCACTTTGGGAGGCCCAAGTGGGAGGATCGCTTGTGGGCCAGGAGTTCTAAGCCAGCCTGGTGAACATAGCGAGACCCCATCTCTACAAAATAGAAAAAATTAGCCAGGCGTGGTGGTGTGCACCCGTAGTCCCAGCTATTCAGGAGGCTGAGGTGGGAGAATCACTTGAGCCACTGCACTCCAGCCTGGGCAACAGAAGGAGACCCTGTCAAAAAAAAAAAAAAAAAAAAAAAGAGAGAGAGACCTGCCAGCCCTGGACAATGGCTGATCTCAGCCAAATTTGGACAAAGTTATATATTAGTATTTTCAATAATGTGCCAGGGAAAAAGAAATGACACTGTCTACATCCAGGCACAGCTCTTCCTGTCAAAAACAACATTAAATTTAATTTGGATTCACTCTGCTGCTTCTGTTGTTTGTTTCCCCTAAAACAGACTGCAAAGGTCACTAGAGGATTTTATTCTAGCTATCTATAGCTCATATCTATATCAGCTATGTCGTGCTGTGCTGATATAGGAAAACATCTTTACCTTCAGGATCATGCATTTCATAACACACCATGGATACAGAGGGCCTCAGGAAGGGAGGAGGACACATTGCCCTTCTCTCAATGGTGGATTAAGGACTCTTAGAAGAGAATCATAGTATGCCTATCTGTGGATCACAAAGCCTTTAAATTGCCATAGCTATTAATAAGTCCCAAAGACAGGCATGGAAACTATAATCCAATGAAAAGGTAGATCTTCCAGGGAAAAAAGGTATTAATCTTTTTCTTTTCATTTTAATCTGAAACAAAGCAATGGTACAAAGAAAACCAAGTGTCGAATGGAGGGAAGGGGTCAAAATATCACACAGCACTGATAACCAGAAAGACAAAGGAAAACTTTGTCCTTTGGCTATATATTTTTAGAAGCATCCACATTAAGGCTCTGAATTATTTCATGGGTCCATATTCCTGGTCACATGTAACCCAAAATAGAACATTACACAACTGTTGTTCAGGAGCCTTTGAAAATTTTACATAATCTTTCTAACGCTCACCTTGTAACTGTGTTTGCTGGGAAGATGAAAAGGGGAAAAAATAAAAGACTGAAAAAGGAGGGAAGTGAACATCTGTTAAAAGAAAAAATTACCTTTATCAACTTCCAGGCTTCCAACTCATTAATAGTACTTAACCTATCAGCGTAAATGTATGCACACCCAAAATAAGCAGAACTAGCTTGGCCTTAGGGTAAACGCCATAGGTGGCTATTACAATGACTCTTGCCAATACAACCAATGTACTACTAGTATTGGAACTTTAATATCTACTACAGACACCACAGAAATAAGATCTAATACTATGGGAGCTGTAAGAAAGGGACACCTAATTCTGCTAGGAAGAGACAGGAGGACACATTCCTCTACATTCACTTCCTGCACTCTCTAAAAAGATCATCATGAGAAGTATTTATTACTGCCATGAATTAGTTTTAGGTAATGAGACACAGGAGAGGTGATACAGGACAGGCAAAACCCTTGTCCTCAGGGAGTTTGCATTCCAGGGAAGGAAAAAGACTGGCATATGGCTAAATGCAAAGACTCTGGAGCTAGACTTCCTGCATTTGAACCCTGGATCCATGCTTATTTACTGTGTGGCCTTAGACAATTTACTTAATCTCTCTGTGCCTCAAAGTCCTTGTTTGTAAAATGGGAATAATAATGATGAGTATCTACTTCATAAAGTTATTATGAGAATAACATAAATTAATATGCATAAAGGTTTTGTACCTAGTACAAAGTAACGCTATTTAAGTGTTAGCTATTATAATGACTCTTGCCAATACAACTACTATGAGTACTGGGACTTCAATCTCTCCTAACAACACCAAAATATAAGAGTCAATGCTATTGAGAAGTGTCTGTTCATGTCCTTTGCCCACTTTTTGATGGGGTTGTTTGTTTTTTTCTTGTAAATTTGTTTGAGTTCATTGTAGATTCTGGATATTAGCCCTTTGTCAGATGAGTAGGTTGTGAAAATTTTCTCCCATTTTGTAGGTTGCCTGTTCACTCTGATGGTAGTTTCTTTTGCTGTGCAGAAGCTCTTTAGTTGAATTAGATCCCATTTGTCAATTTTGGCTTTTGTTGCCATTGCTTTTGGTGTTTTGGACATGAAGTCCTTGCCCATGCCTATGTCCTGAATGGTAATGCCTAGGTTTTCTTCTAGGGTTTTTATGGTTTTAGGTCTAACGTTTAAATCTTTAATCCATCTTGAATTGATTTTTGTATAAGGTGTAAGGAAGGGATCCAGTTTCAGCTTTCTACATATGGCTAGCCAGTTTTCCCAGCACCATTTATTAAATAGGGAATCCTTTCCCCATTGCTTGTTTTTCTCAGGTTTGTCAAAGATCAGATAGTTGTAGGTATGCGGCGTTATTTCTGAGGGCTCTGTTCTGTTCCATTGATCTATATCTCTGTTTTGGTACCAGTACCATGCTGTTTTGGTTACTGTAGCCTTGTAGTATAGTTTGAAGTCAGGTAGTGTGATGCCTCCAGCTTTGTTCTTTTGGCTTAGGATTGACTTGGCGATGCGGGCTCTTTTTTGGTTCCATATAAACTTTAAAGTAGTTTTTTCCAATTCTGTGAAGAAAGTCATTGGTAGCTTGATGGGGATGGCATTGAATCTGTAAATTACCTTGGGCAGTATGGCCATTTTCACGATATTGATTCTTCCTACCCATGAGCATGGAATGTTCTTCCATTTGTTTGTATCCTCTTTTATTTCCTTGAGCAGTGGTTTGTAGTTCTCCTTGAAGAAGACATTTATGCAGCCAAAAAACAATGAAAAAATGCTCATCATCACTGGCCATCAGAGAAATGCAAATCAAAACCACTATGAGATACCATCTCACACCAGTTAGAATGGTAATCATTAAAAAGTCAGGAAACAACAGGTGCTGGAGAGGATGTGGAGAAATAGGAACACTTTTACACTGTTGGTGGGACTGTAAACTAGTTCAACCATTGTGGAAGACAGTGTGGCGATTCCTCAGGGATCTAGAACTAGAAATACCATTTGACCCAGCCATCCCATTACTGGGTATATACCCAAATGACTATAAATCATGCTGCTATAAAGACACATGCACACGTATGTTTATTGCGGCATTATTCACAATAGCAAAGACTTGGAACCAACCCAAATGTCCAACAATGATAGACTGGATTAAGAAAATGTGGCACATATACACCATGGAATACTATGCAGCCATAAAAAATGATGAGTTCATGTCCTTTGTAGGGACATGGATGAAATTGGAAATCATCATTCTCAGTAAACTATCGCAAGAACAAAAAACCAAACACCGCATATTCTCACTCATAGGTGGGAATTGAACAATTAGATCACATGGACACAGGAAGGGGAATATCACACTCTGGGGACTGTGGTGGGGTGGGGGGAGGGGGGAGGGATAGCATTGGGAGATATACCTAATGCTAGATGACGAGTTAGTGGGTGCAGCGCACCAGCATGGCACATGTATACATATGTAACTAACCTGCACAATGTGCACATGTACCCTAAAACTTAAAATATAATTTAAAAAAAAAAAGAGTCAATGCTAGGGGAGCCATTAGAAAGGGATACTTGGCCACATGTGGTGGCTCACGCCTGTAATCCCAGTACTTTGGGAGGCTGAGGTGGGTGAATCACTTGAGCCCAGGAGTTGAAGACCAGCCTGGGCAACACGGCAAAACCCCATTTCTAAAAAAAATACAAAAATTAGCCAGGCATGGTGGCACACGCCTGTCGTCCCAGCTACTCAGGAGGCTGAGGTGGGAGAATCACCTGAGCCTGGGAAGTCAAGGCTGCAGTGAGCCATGATTGCACCACTGTACTCCAGCCTGGGTGACAGAGTGAGACACTGTCTCAAAATAAATAAATAAATAAATAAATAAATAAGAAAAGGACACCTAATTCTGCTTGGAAGAGGCATGGCATATATTTCAGTGAAAGTTTCACAGAGAGGTCCTGAATGATAAACAGGAATGGGTTAGGCCCAACATATGAGAGAAAGCATTCCAGAAAGAAGGGTGGCAATATGAGGGAACGGGTCATCTTCCAGTGTTGGGGAAGGCTGCAATGCATGCTCTGTGCAGGAGAAAAGCCTGGTGAGGTAGACAGGAGCCATATAAGAGACCTTGCCACACTGGCAGCCACTGAAGAAATCTAAACAAGAAAACAATATGACCATATTTACATTTCAGAAAGATCATTATGGCTGCAAAGAGAGAGAGAAACTGTCAGGGGAGAAGGGGAGGGCTAAGACTAGAAGCAAAAAAAAAAAACAGATTAGAAGGATATTTTAATGATCTAGCTGACAAATTATGTGGGCCAAATCTAAGGAAGTGATAATAAGGATAAAACAGCAGGGGGAGTGAATTGGAGAAATAATTGGGAAGGAGAAGTGGACTTAGAGACTAACTGAGTGTGAAGGATGAGAAAGGGTCCAGGATGATGCCCGAGTTTCTGAGTCAGACACCTGAGTGAATGGTGGTGTCATCAAACAATACCAAGAATATAGATGACAAGGCAGGTACTCAGGGCTAAGATTACATGGGATTGGACATTGGATATGTCATGTTTACAATACTGGGGAATCTTTGTGTTGAATAAACATTTGTATTTATGAGATCCAAAATATTAACAGCGCTTTCAGTGCAGTGGGATTATACTTTCCTATAATTTTTCCAAATACTTCTCAATGAGCATAAATTATACAATTGGATAAGAAAAATATAGATAAATATTTGAATATTCAATTTTAAATAACAAATAGCTAGTTACTTCTGATCCTACCTTGCCCAACTTACTGTTAAATATCTTGTAGACAGAGTCAGGAAAACCAGTGCCAGCACTGAAACTGAGACCTGGCAATGTTGTTGCTTTTTAAAGCAGCCAGAGTTCTAGTACCTTTTACTGTGTGCCCCTTTCTGACCACCACTACCATCAATTCCTCTTTGTGCTTATATCAAGTCAGAAATTACAGCTCCTGGTATATATTAGGAAGCCTTTGTGCCAGACTCTGAAAATAAGGCATACTAACTTATTTCCACTGTGACAAATGATCACAAATGGTGGCTTTAAACAACCCTAGTTGATGATCTTACAGCTCTGGAGGTCAGAAATCAAAAATTAACTATTGGCAAAGCTTCAGGGGAGAGATGGTTTTCTTGTTGTTGTTATTTTTTTTCCCCAGATTCTAGAGGCTACCTGCATTCTTGGCTTGTGGCACCTTCCTATATCTTCAAAGAGCATCACTCCAACCTCTGGACCCATCATCACATCTCCTTTTCCTGACTCGCACCTGTGTCCCTTTTATAAGGATCCTTGTGATTGCAATGGGCCTGCCTGAACGGTCCAGGATAATCTCCTCATCTCATAGACCTTAACTTAATCACATCTGCAAGTCCACTTTGCCATGAACAGTGTCATAGTCACAGGTTCTGGGGATTAAAATGTGGCCATCCTGGGCGGGGGCGGGGGCAGGGGGCGGGGGTATTCTGTCTACTGCTGGTAGTATTTGTCAGATTTCTTCACTATAAAGTTACCATTTTTTTTTCCATTCCACATTCTTTTCTTTGTAAGTGAATCATTAAATTAACACCAGTGGAAGGAGAATAAAGTTCCAGCCTCTAAAGAAGGTATATATACAAACAAACATTCACAAATAAAATATGGAATTCTTCTGTAAGGAAGACTTGTCTCTTCTACCCTACTTATTTATTCAATCGTTTATTTCTATTAGTATTGACTCATGGATAAAAATCAGAGAAAACGGTGGGATTAGTGCACAAGAGCACAGACAGAGGGGAAATGGTTAATTCCTTTATTCATTCATTCAGCAAATATTTATTGAGTAACTTGTCTGTAAGAAATGGTTGTAGGTGCTGCGATTAAAGCAGTAAACAAGTTGAACAAGATGCCTGGCCTCTTGGAGCTTCTATTCCAGTGAAAGGGGATAGAAAATAAATAAAGAAGGAAAATATCTAATAGTTGGAATGATGAGTCTTATGGAGAGAATTAAATTGGGATGGTGTGACAATAGACAGTATACAGGTGGCCACTTTAGATTGGATGGTCAAAGGAAACCTCTCAGAGGAGAGGATATTTAAGTAAAGATCTAGACAACAAGAGTCAGCCACATAAAGACCATGAACAAAAAACATTTTAAACAACAGTACAAAGGCCTTTCAGGGAATCTTTCTTCCTTTGAGAATGAACAGACAAAAACAAAAACAACTAGCATGGAAAGCAGCAATGGAAATATATTGAAAAACACTATTTATTGAATAAGGAAACATGACTTCAATGAGCCAGGAAGAGAAAGCCAAGTAAGATAAGATGAGGAAAGATATAAATTACGTTGGTCGAGGAAACTAAAGGAAACTAAACCAATGTGACAAACAAAATGTACATTAAAGGGAGTAAAGAGAGGATTTGACACAGTATAGAGCAAAAATCAATAAATAGAAGGAAAAAAGATAAATTATAACAGATATGGAAGGCACTACTACAACTAATACCCCCATGTTGCAGGAAGTCAGAGACCCCGAACGGAGAGACCGGCTGGAGCCGAGGCAGAACATAAATTGTGAAGATTTCATGGACATTTATCAATTCCCAAAATTAATACTTTTATAATTTCTTACACCTGTCTTTACTGCAATCTCTGAACATAAATTGTGAAGATTTCATGGACATTTGTGACTTCCTCAATCAATACTCTTATAATTTCTTATGCCTGTCTTTACTTTAATCTCTTAATCCTGTTATCTTCGTAAGCGGAGAATGTATGTCACCTGAGGACCACTATTGTACAAATTGATTGTAAAATATGTGTGTTTGAACAATATTAAATCAGTGCACCCTAAGAAAGAACAGAATAACAGTGATTTTCAGGGAACAAGGGAAGATAACCATGAGGCCTGACTGCCTACAGGGTTGGGCAGAACAGAGCCATATTTTTCTTCTTGCAGAGAGCCTATAGATGGAAGTGTGAGTAGGAGAAATATCACTGAATTCTTTTCCCAGCAAGGAATATTAATAATTGGGACCCTGGGGAAGAAATGCATTCCTGAGGGTAGGTCTATAGATGGTTGCTCTGGAAGTGTCTGTCTTATGGGTTTGAGATAAGGACTGAAATACACCCTGGTCTCCTGCAGTGCCTTCAGGCTTACTAGGATTGGGAAATTCCAGCCTGGTAAATTCTAGTCAGACCAGTTCTCTGCTCTTGAACACTGTTTCCTGTTAAGATGTTTATCAAGACAATGCATGCACAGCGGCACACAGACCCTCATCAGTATTCTAATTTTGCCTTTGCCTTGTGATCTTTTATTGCCCTTTGAAGCATGTGATCTTTTTGACTTACTCCCTTTTCATACACCCCCTCCCCTTTTAGAATCCCTAACAAAAACTTGCTGGTTTTGCAGCTCAAGTGGATATCACAGAACCTGACGATATGTGACTTCGCCTCCAGCGGCCCAGCTATAAAATTCTTCTCTTTGTACTCTGTCTCTTTATTTCTGAGACCAGCTGACACTTAGGGAAAATAGAAAAGAACCTACATTGAAATATTGGGGGCTGATTCCCCCAATACCCCCAAAATGGAATTGGCCTAAATATCTAATATTAAGACATTGTTTGTACCACAGAATGGCTTATGCCATGCAGCTATTATAACTACAAGTCTTTACTGATGTCAAAATATTCAAAATCTAATAAGAAAAACAGGGAGGTACAGACATGATATATAGTATAATAAAACAGTAAGCGCTTCCATTTACTGAGCATTTACCATATGACAGGAACTTAACCATATTACAAACATTTTATTTAATCCACAGAACAATCCCACACAGTGATATCACTTTATTTTACAGATGAGGAAATGGACTCATAGGAGTTAAGACACTTTCCAAATTTCACACAGCTAGTAAGTAGCAGAGTTTGAATGACACCTATATTTGGCAGACTTCAGAGCCTCACCCTTAACCACACTACTATAACTAGATCATATTCAATAAGTAAAACCTTAGTTACATTTAAAAATGTATCAGAAGACTAGAGTGAAAATACATCGAGGTGTTAACAGAGGCTATCTTATGTGATTATTTACCCTGCATATATATAATTTTCTATTTTTCTAAGTGTTCTGTAATAAATATGTATTACTTGTAGAGTCCAAACAAACAAACAAAAAATTGTGGAGGGAGAAAATAAACAACTTTTAGTCTGGGACTCAGAAAAAATTGAGACTCGAGCTATAAATGAAAGGTCTTTAGTATGTAGGCAAGGACTGAAATAATTGCGGTAGATGAGATTGCACAGGAAGAATGTAAATATGAACAGCAACACTCAAGATAGGTAGGATGACTGAAATTGGAGTAGCAATTATTCTCCCCAAGAACAGATATACTTTCTATGACCTGGAAAATTCCTTCAAATATATAAAACATGCAACATTACTAACAAGCCCATATCCTTTGTATGAAAACATGCAACTCTTCAGTTATAGGAACAAATATGGTGATAAATTTCATGTGCGTCTACCATAAGATCTTATGACAATAATAGTGGATAACCAAAACCTACAGAATTTTTAAACCAAAATAATTCCAATGTATAAAAAGTAACTGGTCTCAGAATTTCATGTGTTACCCTCTTATTATTTTTATTGGCTAGATCTTCTAGCCAAAGATTTGGCTTACAATTATTGCCACGCTTACTTCACCCATGATAAAACCAGACCCTCACAAGTTTTTAATCTTCAAAAAACACAGAAAAGATACCTTCATTGAAAGTGAGAAAACCAAATTATGATAAATTAATAAAAGGACTTATCTCCAATGGCTGATCACCTTGTTAAATTTGTTTTATATGAAGTTAATCACATATGTGTTTCTTTAGCATGTACTATGTGCTTCGTCTTAAAAATATAATTTTAGACTTTTAAAATGAAAAGAAAGATTTCCATCTTCCAATTCTTACATGTGACAGATGAGGACACCACTTGACAAATAGTAAAGGCTAAATATTTTTAAACATGGAATGACCTGATTCCCAGCCCTGTATTCCCTTGACATTCTACACCATGAAGACATGATTATACATTACGTCAGTACAAAAGTCTGGGCTTATTCCTAGAATCTATACTAAATTCAGTTAGCCTACTTTACAGTCTTAAAGACTGTCACTTAATATTAAATTACTTAACTATAAGTAAGAGTTAACTGTGGGAAACAAAAGAAAACTACTCTAAACCATTTTACTGAATAAAATCACCATCCAGTAATTGTTAATAAATGGTACAACTTCTACAGGTATTTACTGAAAGCTTACTATGTGCAAAATCTTGCATTATGTACAATACAGGATATAAAAATACATTAGATACAGCCAGTCACTCTCTGAAAGGGCTCCCTTAGGCATAAGCAAATAAAGGCTCAAATTACTTCAATGCAGAACCAAACATGATAAAATTCATTGCAGTGGTAAAGTAGTTCAGAGGCAAGAAGCTCTCCTGATCTTGTGATTGGATTGATCAGATGAGGCTTTATGTAGGGTATGGAATTCAGTATGGGTCTTGAGGAACAAGTAGGATTTTAATAGTCATAAACAGGAAAGGACAGTCTAGGTGACATTATCAGATTAACAATTTTAAAAGAACCTTCTGCCTAGAGTGTGAAGAAACCAGTTGGTTCCCAAACATTGTAAAATTCATCCCTAAGTATTTCACAAATGCATTCCCTTTCATTCATTCCCACTGCCATCACCTTTGTTCAGACTCTTTTCATTTCTTTCTTTGACTGCTACAATAGACTGATCACTGGTCTCCTAATTTTCCCGTCCTCCTTCCCCAAATAATCCACACAGCCACCAAAGTGATCTTTCTAGCAGTATAAGGCAGATCACATCACTCTTCTGTTTGTAAGCTTCAGTAGATCTCTGCAGTCTGTGAAGTATGTAAACTCTTTAGCATAAACATAAAATGCTTCTTAACTTGATCCATACCTCCCTCTCCTAACTCATCTCCAGCCTTTTCTTACTTTGCTCCTTATTATTATAATTAATAATCATCTGATTTTGATTATAGCTCTGTGAATGCATCATGCTTTTTCATGCCTTCATGCATAGTAGTGCAATGTGAGATTAACATTGGATGTTATCCTAAAATTAAGATACAGCTATAGAATAATTTGAAAGCGAAAAGGCAACATGGCTAGATTTGAATTCTGAAAAGAGAACTCTAATTAGAACCTAGAGAAAAATGAACTAACCAATTGGTTATTGCAGGACGTCAGGCAAAAGATGAGAGTAGCTTGAACTAAGATGGTGGTAGTAGAGTGGAAATGGAGAGAAGTAGAAGAAACATGACTTCACTCATAAAGCCTGTCCTGACCCTCCCAAGACCCGGTGTATATATGTGTTATACACAGTCAGTAGCACCCCATATGTCCTTTCAACAGCACTTAAGAAACACAATTATTTGTGTGTATTTCCCACTACACAGAAAACCATGTATTAACATTCACTGCTATATCCCTAGCACCCTACCCAGTAAGTGGTGAATAATATTTGTTAAAATGGTAAAAATATGATTGTACAGTGTTTGGCACTCTTTCTCCTGTGTTGGAAATACCAGACGATATTTTATACTGTGTTTCATCTATGAAAGACTACATTTGGAAGACTGAAACTCTGTCAGAGCATTACAGAAATGCTATTAGCTCCAGGAATGCAATCAGAAAATACCGCCACAACAACAAACTGGTGACTCTCACCACAACGTGTCCTCCTAGACATTACCATAATGCATGCATGAGGATGTTCAGATAAGTATACTGTTTCCATCAAAGCAAACCACATGTGGCTGACTTCTCCCTATAGCTCATAAAGCACTAGAATAAAACTTCATATAGGGTAAAATATATGATGGATGGTAGATTACAAGACTAAACACATGCAAGGCTAATAAGAAGTTAATGCCCTTCTACACTGACCTCCGCTCACTCTTAACTCTTTATATTTCCACCTACCTTATTAATTTTTCATAACAATTTTCTTCGTGATATATATTTATTATCTGACCACACCACACCCCCAGAAGAAGGTCAATGAGTAGAAGAACTCATCACTTTTCATCATGCTTTTGCACGTGACAATGTTTAGTTCTTACCAATTACACCATAAATATTTGTTGCATCATAAACAGAACAAATATAGATTTTTTACTAGTCCTTTATTTAGTAAATTAATGAGCAATTACTACATAGCAGACAATGTACTAATAATGGAGATACATTTCTTTCAGATATTCATTAACTTATTGAAGATTTGCTTTGCCAAATTTTTAAATATCCTCCTAAATTTATGTAGAATGTATAGGACAATTTGGAAATAATGTATCTCTTCTTAGCATTCAGTCTTTTATCAAGAACCATGGTATGTATAACTGTCCATTTTTAAAATGTCTTCTTTCCTGTCTCTGAGCAGAATTTTTAAATATTCATAATATAAATCCTAGACATTTTTGTTACGGCTATTATAAATTGATTGTTTGCCATTATATCTTCTAAATGGCGATTTCTGATACAGACAAAAGGTACTGTTTTTAAAAATTTTTATTTATATCCAACTATTTTTTATAACTCATTAGTTCTAGCACTAAGGGGTTGTTTTTAAGACTTAGCTTTTATAGATATACAAGCCTAACCTTTTTATTTCTTTCTATTTTTATTGCATATATTTAAAGTGTACAATATGATGTTTTGGTACACATAGACAGAGTGAAATGATTACTATAGTTAAACAAATTAATATATCCATCACCTTCCAGAGTTGCCTTTTTGTGTGGTAAGAACATCTAAAATCTACTTCCTTGGAAAATTTTCAGAATAGAATATATCATTATTAACTATTGTCCTCATGCCATAGATTACATCTCTAGACTTATTCACCTCACCTAACTGCAAATTTTCATGCTTTGACCTTCTTCTTCCCATTTCTTCCCACTCCTGCCCCTGTGTTTCTATTTGACATTTACAAATACAGTATTTTCATGTGTTTTTTGGCTGCATAAATGTCTTCTTTTGAGAAGTGTCTGTTCATATCCTTCGCCCACTTTTTGATGGGGTTGTTTGTTTTTTTCTTGTAAATTTGTTTGAGCTCATTGTAGATTCTGGATATTAGCCCTTTGTCAGATGAGTAGGTTGAAAAAATTTTCTCCCATTTTGTAGGTTGCCTGTTCACTCTGGTGGTAGTTTCTTTTGCTGTGCAGAAGCTCTTTAGTTGAATTAGATCCCATTTGTCAATTTTGGCTTTTGTTGCCATTGCTTTTGGTGTTTTAGACATGAAGTCCTTGCCCATGCCTATGTTCTGAATGGTATTGCCTAGGTTTCCTTCTAGGGTTTTTATGGTTTTAGGTCTAACGTTTAAGTCTTTAATCCATCTTGAATTGATTTTTGTATAAGGTGTAAGGAAGAGGTCCAGTTTCAGCTTTCTACATATGGCTAGCCAGTTTTCCCAGCACCATTTATTAAATAGGGAATCCTTTCCCCATTGCTTGTTTTTCTCAGGTTTGTCAAAGATCAGATAGTTGTAGATATGAGGCGTTATTTCTGAGGGCTCTGTTCTGTTCCATTGATCTATATCTCTGTTTTGGTACCAGTACCATGCTGTTTTGGTTACTGTAGCCTTGTAGTATAGTTTGAAGTCAGGTAGTGTGATGCCTCCAGCTTTGTTCTTTTGGCTTAGGATTGACTTGGTGATGTGGGCTCTTTTTTGGTTCCATATGAACTTTAAAGTAGTTTTTTCCAATTCTGTGAAGAAAGTCATTGGTAGCTTGATGGGGATGGCACTGAAACTGTAAATTACCTTGGGCAGTATGGTCATTTTCACGATATTGATTCTTCCTACCCATGAGCATGGAATGTTCTTCCATTTGTTTGTATCCTCTTTTATTTCCTTGAGCAGTGGTTTGTAGTTCTCCTTGAAGAGGTCCTTCACATCCCTTGTAAGTTGGATTCCTAGGTATTTTATTCTCTTTGAAGCAATTGTGAATTGGAGTTCACTCATGATTTGGCTCTTTGTTTGTCTGTTGTTGGTGTATAAGAATACTTGTGATTTTTGTACATTGATTTTGTATCCTGAGACTTTGCTGAAGTTGCGTATCAGCTTAAGGAGATTTTGGGCTGAGACAATTTGGCCATCAGAGAAATGCAAATCAAAACCACAGTAAGATACCATCTCACACCAGTTAGAATGGCGATCATTAAAAAGTCAGGAAACAACAGGTGCTGGAGAGGATGTGGAGAAATAGGAACACTTTTACACTGTTGGTGGGACTGTAAACTAGTTCAACCATTGTGGAAGTCAGAGTGGCGATTCCTCAGGGATCTAGAACTAGAAATACCATTTGACCCAGCCATCCCATTACTGGGTATATACCCAAAGGATTATAGATCATGCTGCTATAAAGACACATGCACACGTATGTTTATTGCGGCACTACTCACAATAGCAAAGACTTGGAACTAACCCAAATGTCTAACAATGATAGACTGGATTAAGAAAATGTGGCACATATACACCATGGAATACTATGCAGCCATAAAAATGATGAGTTTATGTCCTTTGTAGGGACATGGATGAAGCTAGAAACCATCATTCTCAGCAAACTATCACAAGGACAGAAAACCAAACACCGCATATTCTCACTCATAGGTGGGAATTGAACAATGAGAACACATGGACACAGGAAGGGGAACATCACACTCTGGGGACTGTTGTGGGGTGGGGGGAGGGGGGAGGGATAGCATTGGGAGATATACCTAATGCTAGATGACGAGTTAGTGGGTGCAGTGCACCAGCACGGCACATGTATACATATGTAACTAACCTGCACATTGTGCACATGTACCCTAAAACTTAAAGTATAATAATAAAAAAATACAGTATTTTTTGTTCGATATCTGCCTTATTTCATTTAGCATAATGTCCTCCACGTTCATCCATGTTGTTGTAAATGGCATTATCTCCTTTTTTTTTATTATTATACTTTAAGTTCTAGGGTACATGTGCACAATGTGCAGGTTAGTTACATATGTATACATGTGCCATGTTGGTTTGCTGCACCCATCAACTCGTCATTTACATTAGGTATATCTCCTAATGTTATCCCTCCCCCCTACCCTTACCCCACGACAGGCCCTGGTGTGTGATGTTCCCCTTCCTGTGTCCAAGTGTTCTCATTGTTCAATTCCCACCTATGAGTGAGAACATGCGGTGTTTGGTTTTCTGTCCTTGTGATAGTTTGCTGAGAATGATGGTTTCCAGCTTCATCCATGTCCCTACAAAGGACATGAACTCATCATTTTTTATGGCTGCATAGTATTCCATAGTGTATATGTGCCACATTTTCTTAATCCAGTCTATCATTGATGGGCATTTGGGTTGGTTCCAAGTCTTTGCTATTGTGAATAGTGTCGCAATAAACATACGTGTGCATGTCTTTATAGCAGCATGATTTATAATCCTTTGGGTATATACCCAGTAATAGGATGGCTGGGTCAAATGGCATTTCTGGTTCTAGATCCTTGAGGAATCGCCACACTGTCTTCCACAATGGTTGAACTAGTTTACAGTCCCACCAACAGTGTAAAAGTGTTCCTATTTCTCCACATCCTCTCCAGCACCTGTTGTTTCCTGACTTTAATGATCGCCATTCTAACTGGCGTGAGATGGTATCTCATTGTGGTTTTGATTTGTATTTATCTGGTGGCCAGTGATGATGAGCATTTTTTCATGTGTCTGTTGGCTGCATAAATGTCTTCTTTTGAGAAGTGTCTGTTCATATCCTTCACCCACTTTTGATGGGGTTGATTTTTTCTTGCAAATTTGTTTAAGTTCTTTGTAGATTCTGGATATTAGCCCTTTGTCAGATGGGTAGATTGTAAAAATTTTCTCTAGGCATTATCTCCTTTTTAAAAGACTGAATAATATCCCATTTGTGTGTGTGTGTCACAATTTCTTTATCCAGTCATCCATTGAAAGTTGTTTCCATATCTTAGCTATTGTGTATAATGTTGCAATGAACATGAAAGCACAGATATCTCGAGGAAGTGCTAATTCCATTACTCTTGCATATATACCCAGAAGTGGGATTACTGGGTCATATGGTAGTTCTGTATTCAGGTTTTTGAGGAACTTCTATACTGTTTACCATAATGGCTGTATCATTTTATATTCCCACCAACAGTGTGTAAGGGTTCTCTTCTCTACATCCTCTCCAACACTTGCTATCATTTGTCTTTCTGATAATGGCCAACCTAATAGGTGCAAGGTGATATCTCATCGTGGTTTTCATTTACATCTCCCTGATGATGTGATGTTGAGCACCTTTTTATATGCCTGTTGGCCATTTTTATGTATTATTTTTTAAAATATATCTATTCAGGTCCTTTGCTCATTTTTAAGTTGTGTTATTTGGTGTGTTTCTTTTCTACTGAGTTATGTAAGTTATGTTAAGATATTAACCCTCATCACATATATGGTTTGCAAATATTTCCTCCCAATATGTAGGCTGCCTTTTCGTTTTGTTTATTGTTTTCCTTCCCATGAAGAAGATTTTTATGTAGTCCCAACTTGTTTATTTTTGTTTCTGTTGCCTAAGCTTTTGGGGTGATATCCAAAAAAATCATTGCCAAGGCCAGTATCAAGGAGTGTTTCCCTTGTGTTTTCTTTTCTTTTTTGTCAAGCTCTTCCTGATAGCTCTGATCCCTTGTGTTTACTTTCAGAAGCTTTATGATTTCAGGCCTTACACTTTGGTATGTAATCCATTTTGCGTTTATTTCTGTGTACAATGTAATATAAGGATCCAGTTTCATTCTTTTGCAAGTGGATATACAGTTTTCCCAGCACTATTTATCTTCTAGGAATTGGTTAATTTTCTCTTCTTCCTTCCATTAATTATGCCTCTTTACTGACATTGGACAGAATTTACAGATATATATTCAATATTATGTTGATTGTGGGCATTCTTATTTTATTGCTGCTTAAGGAACAACTCTTACATATTACCATTAAGTGTGATGCTGAATTGTTGTTTCAGAGAGATAATTTTTTCATATTATAAGTGCAAGTTTCTGTCACTAATCTTTTTTTTTTATACTTTAAGTTTTAGGGTACATGTCTTTTAAGGGCTCTTTTCTATTCTTAAAAGGAGCATGTAATTGTTTTCAAACACCTTTGGATTTTAACTTTTGGTTCTCATTACATCTATGCATTCTATGAATAACTTTCAC